>NC_000003.12:8760000-10010000 GCF_000001405.40 Homo sapiens | reverse complement strand
CTGAAAAAGGCCTGGGCCTTAGAAGATGGGGAAGCAGGAGGACCCACTTAGAGGCCTTCACAACCTTCTAGGGCACAGGCCAGAATGCGGTATAGGTTTCAGAAGGGGGCTGGGTCCCTCACGCTCTTCTTGAACCGAAAGGGCTCCAGGTTCTTGGGCCCTTTCCACGCAGACATGGTTCTGGGGCCCCGGCTACACAGACACCCTTCTGATGGTTGTCGTCTGCAGCCAGACAGGGGGCGTGGGCTGACCCGCCCCTTCCTTTGCCAAGTGGACAGATGAAGGGAGCCTCTGAGGGCAGGATTGCTGGACTGTGAATTGGACTGGGAGTGTAATCCAAACGCCCCACGGGCCCCGCCTCTTCTCTGGAACTCGGCTTCAAGAAAACTGGGACAAGGGATGGCAAGAGCAGCTCTCAGGGCCCTTGCCCCTCCACCCCGTGATGCTTCTAGATGGTTCTCAGGGGCCACCTTTTTCAGGAAGAATTCTCGGGTTATAGGAAAGTAAAGGGAGGAATCGTGCTTTGAGTGGCACTTTGATCAGGCTCTAGACTAGGTGTTGGTTTGGTGGGGTTTGCTTTTCCTCCCGCCTCATACCCCTTCACAAAACCTGAGTCCTGGCTAGGCCGGGAGTGAGATTCCTGTTTCTAGATTTTCATCATTCCGTGTTGCACAGGAGGAGGTCTGGGGGGAAAGGGGACAGATACTAGCAAGTATATAGAAGATATATATGCACCAGGCTCTGGAGCAGCTGCTGACATCTGGTCCAGCGGTCATGGAGACAGGGGCGGGACCAGGTGGCAGTGACGCAGCGGGGGGCGTGGCTCCCAACGGCCAACGGCCCCGCCCAGGCTGGGCTGAGTCGGAGCCGGAACTGGGAGGTAGAGCCAGAGACCCGTAAGCGGAGCCGAACCCCTATGAGCTTGCCCAGTAGGGAGCTCAGGATCCCCAAGATTGGACAGGCAAATAAGCTTAGTGATAGTCCCACCAGTCTTCCCGAGAGTCACGGTAGGCATCCGCTTCCCCTGCCGGTCCCCAGGCCTGCTCTATCAGGCAACCTTGGGGACGGACTCAGGGCTGCATTTCCAATGCTCTGCAGACACACCTCGGGCTTGAATCCCAGGGTCTCACTGATTGCACAAATACTGATTGAGGGCCTCCTGGGTGCCAGAGATGTGTGGCTGTCAGGGAGGCAAGGTCCCTGTTCCAGTAGGGGTGACAGGTGTAAAACAGGATGACTTCAGAACCTGAGAATGGGGACAAAGCAGAGTACTGGGAAGTGGCTATGTGGGTGCGGGGCAGCCTGGGACGGGGTAAACAGCAAATCTTTGCCATCTGTTCCTGGCCAGATTTCGCTGGGGATGCTACTTGATCTCTCTTCAGCCTCAGTTTCCTCACCTGGACAGTGGAGCTGAACCCACCCCCCACTATCTGACCCTGCTCTCTGGGCTGTCTTTTGGGAACCCGCCCTGCTGAGGCCTGCTCCCCACCCTCCATGGCTGTCAGCCCCCCAGGAGAAGAATGTCTGCCATATGGAGGCTGCTGGCAGCAAAGGGAGATGAACAAGCCAAGGTTGCCCGGCCTGCATGCCGGCCCAGGTAGACACTTGAAAGGACCTTCTCTGTTTGTGGGTTTTTGCCCTGGTGCCTGGAGCCCCTTCCCTATAGTCCCTTGACCCAGCCCAGCTCTATGGGCTGGAAGCCCTGGCTTCTGAAGAGGAGATGTCAAGCTCTACCACAGGTCACAGCCAGAAAGAATTCTGGCCTCGTCCAGTGATAGTAAAAGCCACGCCTGGGGAATGTGCCCTCTCACAGGACAGCACTTCCAGAGGGGGCACAGCAGCAAGGTGGAGGGACAGACTCTGATGGGCCCTTGGGGAGCTCAAGCAGAACCCACAGGGGCCCTCTTTCTGGGGGTACAAACTGGCATTGGGTGGAGGGACATCCAGTATTGACACCTGAGGGACCTTCATCCCCAATGTGGATTTAAAGGACAGCAGCTCACTGGGGAGACAAGGAGCCCTATAACACTCCCACCCTCTCCTGAGCCTGCTTCTTGCTTCCTGGTCCTGTTCTTTATTGGGGAAGGAGAATCTTATCTGACTGGGGGAACTCCAGGACTGACCCTGGCCACCATCAGTAGTGGGTAGGGTAACCAAATGTTCAAGGTTGCCACACTCAGATGCCGGCCATGCACAAGGGTGGGGCCTTCTGGACCTACCTCAAGCTCATTAGGAACCCACAAGGAAGCTCCTTGATGGGTGCTGATGGGCATCTGCACCCACAGATTCACTGCCAGACACGGACAAACCGGGTTCCTGGGAAGCTGGAACCTACCTTATGAAAGCCCCCATTCCCACCACCCCCTCCATCCCTCAGGGCTGCTGCTGTGTCTTGCCATCAACCCTCCCCTGACACCCAGGATGCCTGCCTCACCCAGAAGCACTCCTACGTCAGGCCTCTGAGGGGGAGCGCTTCATGCCACTGTTATCAAAAGAAGAAACCATCGAAGCAGAAAGGCCAATGCCACACTAGACAGCCAGGAGCCCAGCAGAACAAGTGGCCCCCTAAGGCACTTTGGGGACCACACCCCGCCACTGACCCCAGCACAGTCTGGTTCCCAGGGCTTCAGGATCCTCCTGGGGACCTCTCAGCATGATTGACACAGGCAGACGGGACCTGAAGGGGCTGCTGGTCCTTCTGAAAATGTTCACCAGGTAGTGTGAGTGTGGGGAAGCCATGAACAATGTGTGGGACTCTACCCTGCACCTGCTCAGAGCCTCAGCCCTTCAGAGCCACTACTAATGATTTGCTGTGGGTGGGGTCACCCTGATACTTCTCTGAGGTGGCTTTTTCTTGCAGTTTTTCTGAGTAACTGACAGGAATCCTTGACTGCATGCCGCCTAAACTAGGGTGTGCACAGCCCTCGTTCTGTGCAAAGAGGGTGCAAAGCAGCAGAGTGTCTGTGACCCATTTGCCACCTAATGTTACTACAAGATTTGCAAGAACCGGTCACTTATCAGTAACCATTTTTATTTAAAAAGATAAAATAGAGCTTTGCAGGAAAGTGCTGCAGGCTCCCACGTTGCCGGGCAGACGACAACCTGGGCGCCTCGCCCAGCTCCTCCCCACAGCCATTGGCATCCACTGTCAGGTTTCAATGTTCTTGGACCTCAGGGCCTTCGTCCTCTCCAATCTAAATGCAGAGAGACATTTGACATGGACTCTCTCAGGTGTTTTGCAAAATGCAACACATTCTCATTGACTCTGGTCACTCTGCTGTGCACTACATGTCAAAACCTCTTCCTCCTCCCTGAGACTTTGGTCCTTTAACTGACAACCCCCCTCCCATTCCCTCCCTCTGCCACTCTCTGACCCCTGGTCACCATCGATCTACTTGCTACTTCTATGGGGTCAACTTGTTTAGATCAACACTTCTGGGACCTCACGTGGAATTGGTCTCTCTGAGGTAGTGGAGATGCTAAGTAGTGGGATTTCCTCATTCCACATTGTACCCCATGAATGAATACAAGCATGATTTGCCAATTGAAGCAATACAATAAAGACAGAAGAAATGTAAAATGCAGGAATTGTGGCTTGACCACCACAACGACTTGATTTTTGTCTTCAGCCATGCAACTATGTTGGGGCGATCTTATTCCTCCTTTTCTTTGGTAGAGACAGGCAAAAATATTTTAATAGTATGCAAAGGCATCTATCTCCTGGCAACCCTGCGGCAGCCCCAGCTTCTTGCCGAGCAGGCTGACGTCACAGCCTCAGGCTTCTCAGCTTGGACTTCTCAGCTTGGACGATGCTGGCTTCCTGGGATGGTTTTTGGTGTATCAGGGACGTTTCTAAGACTTCACCAGTTGCTGGTGCTCTGGGTGAAAGGGGAGACAATAGGGTCATGCTGGGGGCTTCACTAAAACTTCCTGGCTTCCCCGATCTGGCTTCCTCTGTAGGCTGGCAGGTGTACTGGCAAGAATGGCGGTCTTCTGCCCTGACATCTGGCTTTCTTCGGGAGGCTGAACGTTAAAAGCTGGCTCCCTATGAGCCCGCATCAGTGAGAGAGGGAAGGTGGAAAGTTCAGTGGATGGGGAAGGAGAGGTGGGAACCCCGGGAGGAAGGGACAGTTCTCTGATGGTGGAGCACTTCCTCTCTTGTTTTGTGTGCTCTAAAATGAGGTAGGTGGCCATGGGATAGTTGAATTTTCTTTCTATGATTGCCACAGAGATGTTCTTGGCCTGAAATCCCATGGCCACCATGAGCTGGATTGTTTGGGGTGGTCCAGGAGTGGCTCTTCGTATGGTATCAGTGGCATCTTCTGGCTACTTTTCACCCATGGATTTTTCATCAGTTACAGTGAAGGACACTTCCTGGCGTTCAGCATTAGTAATTTTTTAATGAGTCAAGTTGAAGGGCAAGAAGTGGTGGGGCATGGTATCTTCCTGTGAGAATTTTTTCTTGAAGTTTGGAGGCTTCCCTGAGTAAAAGGGCAAAGTCCTGGCCCTTCTACCTACTGTATTCCTGAAATACAGTATGACACTGAGGCTTTGTATGTCCCTGGCGGGTCACTGGCATGCCTGGCCCAGGGAGCGTTCTGGGGCCACGTAGGGGTACATGCCACAAAAAGCTGTCAGCATCTGCCCCTCTCTGAATGTTGTACTGAAGCCAAAGTCCACAATGTATGTTGCCTCATTCTTTGAATAGGATGTTTTGTGGCTTTAGGTCTGGATGTGTGATTTTTTTTTTTTTTTTAAGTGGCAGTACTGCAGGGCTGACAGAATCTGCCTGAACATGGTCCGGGCCTCCTCTTCCTCCTCGATGTGGCCATAGTGGTATATCTGGTGGTGCAACTCTCCTCCTCTGGTTTACTCCCTCACCACCTGGAAGAGCTGAATGATATTTGGGTGATGGAAAGTCTTCAAGATGGCAACCTGGGTCCCAGTTGGCCTATGCTGAGCCAGTTCCCTATCAGATGGTGTCTATGAACTGATAGTTTTGTATCTCCTTGTCAAGTGAGGTGGAGGGTGATCCCTGCTCCATGGTGCCTCCCAACTATACTGACTACAAATCCTGCCTCTAAAAGCTATGCTGTGATGCACAGCACTAACTGTGCTAGCTAGGCTAAGGCCACTGTCGGTGACAATACCCCAGGCTCCAAACCCTCTGGGTCTGAGGGCCGTTCCCTTCCACGGTTACACAGATTCCCACCCCTCCCTGCCCATCTACCCACCATGCGGGGAAGGTGCCAAGGAGTAGACACATGGACAGTCGTTCTGGTGTCTCCTGGTGGGGCCAGACTGGGCACCATGGCTGCAAGCACAGACAGGGCAGAGAAGAGGCCAGGGCCACGTGGTGGAGCTGGGTCTAAAACAGGACTCCCAAGGGCAAAGGCCCTGCCCAGACTTGGCACCCACAGTCTTCTGCTGAATGCTATGAGCCCGCTTCAGTGAAAGAGGGAAGGTGGAAACTTCAATGTAGAGAGGACAAGTGGGATCCCCAGGAGGAAGGGTCTGTGGTCTGATAGTGGACCGCTTCTTCTGTTTTGTTTGTTCCAAAACAAGGTAGGTGGCCATGGGATAACTGAATAATTTTTCTTTGATTGCCACAGATAGGTTCTCAGCCTGGAATCCCATGGCCACCAAAAGCTGGGTTGTTTTGGGATTCAGGTGGTCCAGGATTTGTTCTTCATGTTGTCAGAGGCAACTCCTGACCACTGTTCACCCACGGGTCCCTCATAACTTCTTCTAGTGTGGTCTGCTCCCTGGGGTCTACTGTTAATAGTTTTTTAATGAGGCTTTTAAGACCTCAGGAAAAGTAGACTGGGGAAAAATAGCTTCCACTTTAAATTTTTGCTGAGAGGACCCTAATGCTGCATGAGCAGAAGGGCAGAACCCCAGCCACCATGTGGTATAAAATTACTCTGAGGCTCTGAATATCCATGGTGGCACATTGGTAGCCCTGGCCTAGGAAACGTTCCAGGGCCATGTAGGGGTTAAGTGCTACAAAGGGCTGTCAGCTTCTGCCCATCATGGAATGTGGTACCAAAGCCGAAGTCTGCGATCTTAACGTTACCGTCCTCATCAAGGATGATGTTTTCTGGGTTCAGGTCTCTGCGCAATTTGCTATGGCACTACTGCATGGCCGACAGAATCTGCCTGAACATGGTCTAGGCCTTCTCCTCCCTCATGAGGCCATGGTGGTGTATTGGTTGCGTGGGTGTCCTCCTCTTGCATACTCCGTTACTAAATAAATAACTGGTGTTGGGGGTGTCAATCACTTGATACAACCGTACAATATTGAAGTGACAGAGTAACTTTAAAATACTTATCACTCTCTGGAGAGTGATGCCAAGGGAGCCAGCCTTGGGGATGATTTTGATGGCCATTTGGGTCCCAATCAGCATGTGATCCTGGACCTCACTGAACGTGCCACGGCCAATGGTGTCCAGGATTTTACAGTTCTGGAGCTCCTGGTCAGGTGTGGTGGAGGCTGATCCCTGCTGCATGGTGCCACCTGTCTACACTGACTATAAAACTACTCTAAGTGTAGTGACTATGGTAACAATATTGACCCCACCAACTTGATTTTTGTCTTCAGCCGTGCAACTATGTTGGGGTCATCTTATTCCTCCTTTTCGGCGGTGGACACAGGCAAAAACATTTTAATACAATGGAAGTGCATCCCCTGGCAGCCCTGCGGCAGTCACAGCCTCCTTATTGGCAAGGCTGAAGTCAAAGCCTTGGGCTGCCCAGCCTGAATGACACTGGCTTCCTGGGATGGTTGTTGCTGTGTCAGGGACATTTCTGGGTCTCTGCCACTGCTACTGGTGCTCTTGGTGGAGAAGGCCACAGGGTGTTGCTGGGGAGGTGGTGAGCCAGAGGTTTCTGGGTCTGCACCACTGCTGCTGTTGCTCTGGGTATAGGGGTAGGCCACAGGGTCATGCTGGGCGGCTTGTTGAGCCTGGGATGTTTCTGGGTCTCCACCACTGCTGCTGGTGCTCTGGGTGGAGAAGAAGGCCACAGGCTGATACTGGAAGGCTTGTTGAGCCAGGGACATTTCTGGGACTCCACCACTGCTACAGGTGCTCTGGGTGGAGGGGAAGGCCATGGGGTCATGCTGGGGGCCTTGTTGAGCCAGGGAGGTTTCTGGGTCTGCACTACTGTTGCTGGTGCTCTGCGTGGAGGGGGAAGACACAGGGTCATGCTGGAAGGCTTGTTGAGCCAGGGACATTTCTGGGTGTATCCAGTTGTGCAGGTCTCCTCCTCTTGCATACTCTGTTACTAAATAAATAACAGGGTGATGCTCAGGGGCTTGTTGAGCCAGGGATGTTTCTGGGTCTTCACCACTGCTGCTGTTGCTCTGGGTGGAGGGGGAGGCCACAGGGTCTTTATGTATTTAAGCATAAAGGCAAGGCTTGGCGCGGTGGCTCATGCCTGTCATCCTAACACTTTGGGAGGCTGAGGCGGGTGGATTGCTTGATCCCAGGAGTTCAAGACCAGCCTGGGTAACATGGCAAAACCTCATCTCTATAGAAAATACAGAAATTAGCCAGCTGCAGTGCATGCCTGTGGTCCCATCTACTCGGAAGGCTGAGGTGGGAGGATCACCTGAACCTGGAAGGTCAAGGCTGCAGTGAGCCAAGATTGTGTCACTGTACTCTAGCCTGTGTTAGAGAGCCAGACACTATCTCAAAATAAAATAAAATAAAATAAAATAAAAAAAGAAACTGCTGAAAAAAATTAAAGACATAAATAAATGGAAAGAGCTATTGTCTTCATGGATTGGAAGACACTCAATATTCTTAATGTGACAATACCATTCAAAGTGATTCAATGCAATCCTTATCAAAGTCCCACAACATAGTTTGCAGAAATAGAAAGATCCATACCAAAATTCACATGGAATTTCAAGGGACCCCCAAATTGCCAAAACCTTGAAAAAGAGCAAAGTTGGAGGGCTCACACTTCCTGATTTCAATATATATATATGTATTTTTTCAAGATGGAGTCTTACTCTGTCACCCAGGCTGGAGTGCAGTGGCGTGATCTCGGCTCACTGCAAGCTCCACCTCCTGGGTTCATGCAATTCTCCTGCCTCAGCCTCCTGAGTAGCCGGGACTACAGGCACCCGCCACCACGCCTGGCTAACTTTTTTTGTATTTTCAGTAGAGATGGGGTTTCATCGTGTTAGCCAGGATGGTCTCAGTCTCCTGAACTCGTGATCTGCCCGCCTCGGTCTCTCATAGTGCTGGAATTACAGGCGTTAGCCACAGCACCCAGCCCTGATTTCAATACTAATACAAAGCTACAGTAGTCAAAACAGTGTGGTACTGGCAGAAGGACAGACACATAGACCAATGAAACTGAATACAGAGTTCAAAGATAAGCCTTCATATATGTGACAAATTGTTTTTTTTTTTGAGACGGAGTCTTGCTCTGTCATCCAGGCTGGAGTGCAGTGGCACAATCTCGGCTCACTGCAAGCTCCACCTCCCAGGTTCACGCCATTCTCCTGCCTCAGACTCCTGAGTAGCTGGGACTACAGGCGCCCACCACCACACCCGGCTAATTTTTTTTTTTTTTTTTTTTTTTGTATTTTTAGCAGAGACAGGGTTTCACTGTGTTAGCCAGGATGGTCTCGATCTCCTGACCTCGTGATCCGCCCACCTCGGCCCCCCAAAGTGCTGGGAATACAGGCGTGAGCCACCATGCCCGGCCGACAAATTGATTTTTGACAAGGGTGCCAAAATAATTTCAGTGGTGAAAGGACCATCTTTTCAACAAATGGAACTGGAAAAACTGGATATCCATATGCAAAAGAATGAAGCTAAATCCTTAAAATACACTATACACAAACATTAACTCAAAGTGGATCAAAGACCTAAATTTAAGAAAATAAGAGAAAACCTTCATGACCTTGGATTCGGCAATGGTATCTTAAGCATAACAACCAAAAGGACAAGCAACAACAACAAAAAAAGTAAAGAGTGGGTTGTCCGGCTTTGGAGTGGCAACCTTCGTGGCCCCAGGGACT
The DNA here is from genome assembly GCF_000001405.40 of Homo sapiens. Lineage (NCBI taxonomy): Eukaryota > Metazoa > Chordata > Mammalia > Primates > Hominidae > Homo > Homo sapiens. The sequence goes on along the minus strand of NC_000003.12, from coordinate 10,000,963 downwards.
AAAAAGAGAATTAAATACAAGTGATGTTGAGAAAAGCAAGATTTTTGTTCAGAAGTGTGCCCAGTGCCACACCGTGGAAAAGGGAGGCAAGCACAAGACTAGGCCTAATCTCCAAGGTCTCTTCGGGCGGAAGACAGGTCAGGCTGTTGGATTCTCTTACACAGACACCAATAAGAACAAAGGCATCACCTGGGGAGAGGATACACTGGTGGAGTATTTGGAGAATCCCAAGGGTATGGAAGAAAAATGATCTTTGCCGGCATTAAGAAGAAGGCAGAAAGGGCAGGCTTGATAGCTTATCTTAAAAAAGCTACTAATGAGTAATAATTGGCCACTGCCTTATTTATTACAAAACAAATGTCTCATGACTGTTTTATGTGTACCATACTTTAATAGATCTCATACACCAGAAATCAGATCATAAATGACAGAATATTTTGTTGGGCAGTTGTGATTTAAAACTAAGACTAGCTTGTGGTTAAATGTTCAGTTTTTGAATTTTAATAGTAATTCCAATTCAGAACATGGTATCACTGTTTACCCCTTCTAAAAATATGATTAGACTTTGTTAGTAATGTTCAACTTCTCACAAAGATGGTGAGTGCCATCTTAAAACTTAATAGAGGCCGGGCGCAGTAGCTCATGCCTGTAATCCTAGCACTTTGGGAGGCCGAGGCGGGTGGTTCACTTGAGTTCAGGAGTTCGAGACCAGCCTGGCCAACATGGTGAAACCCCCGTCTCTACTAAAAATACAAAAATTAGCCAGGCGTGGTGGTGGGCACCTGTAATCCCAGCTACTTGGGAGGCTGAGAGAGAACTGCTTGAACCCGGAAGGCAGAGGTGCATTGCAGTGAACCAAGATCGCGCCACTGCACTCCAGCCAGAATGACTAAGCAAGACTCCATCTCAAAAAAAACCCCAAAAAATAAAAACAACAACAACAACAAAAACTTAATGGAGATTGGTTTTATATTTAGATTTATTTAACTGGTTATGTGAATATATTTAAATACTGGGGAAATTTCCTCACTGTCTTAGAACCAAGCAAGATTCAACTGTGTTTGGTGTTCATTTGCCTCTTAAAGGCTAGGATTGAAGGAAAATAAGGTAGCAATGTCTAGTTTATTATTTAACACTTCTCACATTTTATACATGATCTATAAGGTCACATGCTTTTAAAATAGTAACAAGTTAAACTTCACTCTTGAATTCTTTACACTCTAACTCAAACTAAGTTATGATTCAGGATTGTCTTTAAAGAACCATTCGAAAACATAAAACTGCTGCGTATTTGTGATTGGGAATGGTGCTTTTGCCAACTTAAAATGATTAGAATACACACTTTAAAACTATGTGTGATCATACGACTCAAAATAATTAAGAAAATCACAGATCAAAAAAATAATAAAATAACATAAAAAATAAGGCCAGATGTGGTGGCTCATGCCTGTAATCACAGCACTTTGGGAGGCTGAGGTAGGCAGATCACGAGGTCAAGAGATCAAGACCATCCTGGCCAACATGTGAAAACCTGTCTCTACTAAAAATACAAAAATTAGTTGGGCGTTGTGGCACAGGCCCATAGTCCCAGCTACACGGGAGGCTGAGGCAGGAGAATTGTCTGAACCCGCAAGGTAGAGATTGCAGAGAGTCGAGATCGTACCACTGCACTCCAGCCTGGTGACAGAGCTAGACTCCATCTCCAAAAAAAAAAAAAAAGATAAATTTGACTTTATCGAAACTAAATACTTTTGTACATCAAAGGACACTATCAAGGGAGTGAAAACCCATAGAATGGGAGAACATGTTTGCAAATCATATGTCTGATAAGGGATCAATATCCAGAATATATAAATAACTCCTATACCTCAACAATGACAAAAACCCAATTTAAAAACGGGCAAAGGGCTGAGCACAGTGGCTCGTGCCTGTAACACCAGCACTTTCAGAGGCAGAGGTGGTTAGATCTCCTAAGCTCAAAAGTTCGAGACCAGTCTGGGTAACATGACGAAACCTTATGTCTACCAAAATTGCAAAAAATTAGCGGGGCACCATGGTGCGCACCTGTGGTCCCAGCTACTCAGAAGGCTGACATGAGAGGATCGCTTGAGCCTCGGAAGTGGAGGTTGCAGTGAGCCAGGATCATACCACTGCACTCCAACTTGTGTGACAGAGTGAGACCTCATCTCTGAAAAACAAAACAAACAAAAATGGGTAAAGGACTTGAATAGACATGTCTACAAAAATATAGAAATGGCCAAGAAGTATGTGAAAAGATGCTTAACATCATTAGTCATTAGGGAAATGCAAATCAAACCACAATGAGGTATCACTCCGTACTCATCAGGATAATTATAATTAAAAAATAGGGCCAGGAGAGGTGGCAGGTACCTGTAGACCCAGGTACTCAAGAGGCTGAGGAGGGAAGACTGCTTGAGCCCAGGAGTTTCAGGCTGCAGTGAACTATGATCACGCCACTGCACTGCAGCCTGGGTGACAGAGCAAGATCCTATACATAAAAAAAAAAATTAAATTATTAATTCATTAAAAGCAAAATTATTATTATTATTATTATTATTATTATTATTATTATTATTTGAGACAGAGTCTCGCTCTGTTGCCCCGGCTGGAGTGCAGTGGCGCAATCTCGGCTCACTGCAAGCTCTGCCTCCCGGGTTCATACCACTCTCCTGCCTCAGCCTCCCAAGTAGCTGGTACTACAGGCGCACACCACCACGCCTAGCTAATTTTTTGTATTTTTAGTAGAGACGGGGTTTCACCATGTTAGCCAGGATGGTCTCAATCTCCTGACCTCGTGATCTGCCCGCCTCGGCCTCCCAAAGTCCTGGGATTACAGGTGTGAGCCACTGCGCCCGGCCATAAAACATTTTTTAAGAAAGGAAAATAAATGTTAGCAAGAATATGGAGAAATTGGAGACCACGTGCATTGGTGGTAGGAATGTAAAATTATGCAGCTGCTATGGAAAGCGGTGGTGGTTCCTCAAAATGGTAAACATATGTTCATCACATGATCCAGCAATTCCACTCTTATATACCCTAAAGAACCGAAAACAGGGACTCAAACAAATATTTGTAAACCAATACTCATAGCAACATTATTCAAATGGCCAAAAGGTGGAAACAACTCAAGTGTCCATCAATGGATGAATGGATAAAAAAAATGTGGTATAAACAAAGAATGGGGGCCGGGCGCAGTGGCTCACGCCTGTAGTCCCAGCACTTTGGGAGGCCGAGGAGGGTGGATTACCTGAGGTCAGCCGTTTGAGACCAGCCTGGCCAACATGATGAAACCCCAACTCGACTAAAAATACAAAAATTAGCTGGGTGTGGTGGTGCACGCCTGTAATCACAGCTACTCAGGAGGCTGAGGCAAGAGAATTGCTTGAACCCAGGAGGCAGAGGTTGCGGTAAGCTGATATCGTGCCACTGCGCTCCAGCGTGGGGGCCAGAGTGAGACTCCGTCTCAACAAAACAAAACAAAACAACAAAAACAAAGAATGGAATTACTAAAGCTGTAGTAGGGAATGAAGTTCTGATGCATGCTACAACATACATGAACCTTGAAAATATGCTGGCTGGGCGTGGCGGCACACGCCTGTAATCCCAGGACTTTGGGAGGGCGAGGCGGGTAGATCACGAGGTCAGGAGATCGAGACCATCCTGGCTAACACGGTGAAACCCCGTCTCTACTAACAAAAAAAAAAAAAGAAAGAAGGAAAAGAAAATAATATGCTAAGTGAAATAAGCAAGACACAAGGATACATATTGTTATGATTCCATTTATATGAGGCATCTAGAATGAACAAATCCATAGATAGAATGTGATTAGTGATTATTAGGGGCTGGGGAGAGGAAGATGGCAAATTATTGCCTAATGGGTACAAAGTTTGTTTGGGATGATCAGAAGTTCTAGAAATGGATAGTGGTAATGGTTGTATAACATTATGAATATACTTAATGCTACTAAATGTACCCTTAAAAACAGTTTAAATGGTATATTTTACGTTATATCAAAATTAAAAATTAAATAATGAAGAAACTTTATATTACTGATTTAAGGCAATCTCCAAAATAAACTGCTAAATGCAAAAGGTATGATATAGAACAAGAGGGGAAAGGAAACTACAGGTAAACACAAATTTGTAAATTCTCAGAACATCTCAGAAGGTTATAAAGTGATTGTCCCTGTGGGAGACAAACCAGGTGCCTAGAGGACTGAGAAGAAGTGAGTTATTTTTCACTGGATACTCTTCTATATGTTTTGAATTTTGACACATGTATATTACCTAGTCCAAAATTTTTTTTAATTAAAAAAATGTGTTGACTGGGGATCCAAGAAAGGGCAGGGGGGAAGATAAAAAATATACTAGTTGTTCAAAGTCACAGTCCAGTATGAATTACTGCCATAAGGTAGCACTAAAGATACAAATGAGTTACAAGTTATGATTCCAATCTAATCTCTTCTTTTTGTTTTATTTTTATTTATGTGTCTATTTTTGAGATAGAGTCTCACTCTGTTGCCCAGGCTGGAGAGCAGTGGCACAATCATGGCTCACTGTAGCCTCAACTCCCTGGGTTCAATGGATCCTCCCACCTCCGCCTCCTGAGTAGCTAGGATTACAGGTGTGTGCCACCACACCTGGCTAATTTTTGTATGTTTTTGTAGAGATGGGGTTTCACCATGGTGCCCAGGCTGGTCTCAAACTCCAGGGCACATGTGATTCTCCTGCCTTGGCCTCCCAAAGTGCTGGGATTACAGCCTGGCTTTTTCAGTGAATGGCATCCACAAACAAAAGCAAGCCCACGTGAAGTTCACATTAGATGGAGATGTTTCTTAGAAAACAAGGCAATTCTGTGTCCCCACTGCACTCAGAACCTGAACAGTTTCATGGTTAGCTGACCACAGACCCATCTCTACCCTAATAGACAGAGCTTTTTGAGGGCAGAGGATCTAATGTATCAGTGCCTGGCACAGAATAGGCACTTAATGTTTGTGGTAAGAATAAAAAAATGCTCGAACTATGGCTATGTACTCCATTTCCACTATTTTACACAGCAAATCTATCATTTGCTTTTTTTTTTTCCAGCAAATTTCAAGTAAAGAGGTTTAAAAACACAAAATACTAAAAATACAAAAATCAGCCGATTGTGGTGACACGTGCCTGTAGTCCCAGGTACTTGGAAGGGTGAGGCAGGAGAATCGCTAGAACCCGGGAGGCAGAGGTTGCACTGAACTGAGACAGCGCCAACTGCACTCCAGTCTAGGTGACAGAGCTAGACTCCGTCTCAAAAAACAGAATCTTTCCCAACATATTGCTTCTTACCTGGATGTGGCTGCTGGCTTCATTCTGTTTGCCACTGGATGGCCATTCTAAGGGGATTCACCACCGAGGCCTCTCCAATCTCTACTTCGTTAAAATCACAATCAACCCAGTCCCATCATCTATTATCTAGTAATGCTGGCTTCAGGAGATTTAGGAATATGCCAGTGTAACTTGACCATCCCGTCTTGACCTATTTCCCATATTTTATCAGTGAGCTCTACCTAAGCCCTCCTGATTTTGCTCCTGGGCGTAGTTTTCCTCTTTCTTTTTCCCATATGGGTTAAATTTTACCCTTTAGGTTGAGGTTGTACAAGATCAGTTGAAATTCCTCAAAAAGATGCCACTCAAGGAGCTAAAAGCTTTAAAGGTTTTCTCCATATAGTACAGGCTAGATTTGCATGTTTCCAAGCAAACATGGATCATGACAGTGTCTCTAAGACATTAAGAGGGTCCAGAAATGTCTTAGATGCCATTCTCCCTTTATACCGTCACTCCATAAGTCATAACAGAATTCTCAATTACAACAGCTACCTCATGTCAGCTGCAACTACTGCTCTATTTTAAATGTTTACAATTTTTTTTACAAATCTTCATTTTAAAAGTTCCATTCAGATGCGTTTTAACATTGCTAATAGGAAGAATATATGTACAAATACAAAATAAGACACTGTGCTTTACTTGCTTTCATAAACATTTTCCACAAATACAGTCCTCTCTCTCTGGATATATGCTATTAAAATGTGTCTCGGCCAGGCACGGTGGCTCATGCCTGTAATTGCAGCACTTTGGGAGGGCGAGGCAGGTGAATCACCTGAGCTCAGGAGTTCGAGACCAGGATGGCCAACATGGTGAAACCCTGTCTCTACTAAAAACACAAAAAATTAGCTGGGCATAGTGGCACGCGCCTGTAATCCCAGCCACTCAGGAGGCTGAGACAGGAAAACTGCTTGAATCCGGGAGGCGAAGGTTGCAGTGAGCCGAGATTGCGCCACTGTACTCCAGCCTGGGCAACAAGAACGAAACTCTGTCTTGAAAAAAAAAAAGTGTCTCATGTTTTGAAATAGACCAAATCTGTATCTTAATTTCAGACAAGAGAATTTTAGAGTTCAGAACACAGAGTTAGATCCACCAGTCAAATCTCTTCATTTCATCAAGGCTGGGAGTAAAATTGAGCTTTCCTGAGACCCAGTTCAGAGCTACTTTCCCTTCAGTAAGTTCCAACCAACAAAAAATAAGCATTAGATGATTCTTCCTTCCTCTGTTCCCTCCTTGCCAAAATAAGTATTTCAACATACCTGCTGGCAGTATGTGTCAAAAAACATAAACACATTATTTGTATAGGAGACTGCCAAATGAAATTCTACTCTAGTCTAGAGAGTGAAGCAAACTCTGAGCCAGCGACATAATGGATGAACACATATCCTTAAGAACCTTGAGTGGGGAAGAGTAGAGAGAGAAAAGAAGCTGTAGGAAACAGTACACAACCTAAGAGTTGCTTATCCTTTTGGAATGTCAGATCAGACTTCTCTTCCCCAACTCTCATTTTAACTTAAGAAATCTTAATCTTTGTTTTACACAGAATAATCCTTCACCATTCTGAGTTTTCTCTCAGGATCAATGGGAGTCCACATTTGGATATTAATTGACTGTTAAGCTCAAAGAAGTTAAGTTATAAGCCTAATAGTACATTCCTATCTGCTCGATTTGGGATTGGAGGCCAGATCTTCTAAATCCCGGTTTCCTCATGCAATCACACGACCCCCCAGGGATGTTCCACCTTGGTTATAATTTGAAGTTGGTCTATAAGGTTCAATGCTAACTAAACTGACTTTTTTAAAAGAAGTGATCATGCTCTATCAATAATGCAATATATAGACATTAATGGACCCAGAGTAAATAACCAGTTAATAAACATAGCTTCCTTATTGATACCATAATTTTAAAAAATCTTACATTTAGTAGTAAGCTGGGTATAATGCTTTATTGGGGAAAATGCAATGAAAAATTACATATGGTTTCCGTGTCTAGAAAATTACAGCCCAAAACACATATAACTGGCAGAAATAAACACAGAAAAGAACTGCTAGATGAAATAAGACAAACATTAAATCTATTCCTAAATATAAAATGTAAGATCCAATGAGGTATTCTCATTAGCTCCTAACCCAAACCCCAAACTACTGGCCCATCCAGTTTTCTAAGTTCTATACTGTTAATATACTGAACGTTCAGCCAGCAAAACATTATTCCCAGTTTATAAATTCCAGTTTGAATAATTTACATTTCCAGAGGAATTATCACCTAAAATCCAGTTTTGAATGGCCAAAGAGTGATAGTTCAAATAGGTCCATATTTACGTTTCTACTAGTTTCTACAGCCTGGTCCTATTCCCCTCAAGGTTTTTATAAGCTACTTAGAATAGGATACGAAAGGCTAGTTTGTCATAATTGCAAACTGCATTGAGATAGACAATTAAAATGTTAATGCAAAAATAAAATTCAAAAATTTCAATGGGTTTGAACAATGGACTGAAATAAGATGAAATTTTACATGAGAGCTGTAAAGCTTTCTGTTTTAGATTAAAAATCAATAGTCTCTGACACTTACTAAGTAATGAACAGAGAATGTACTCTGGAGCAGCTGTTCTTGAATGCAGCCTGATCGAATCTTATTTCTTAGCACCCTTTCAATGTACTTCTTTGTCTGAGTATTGGTGCTATAGATGATGAAAAGCATCACCAGGTCAATAAATATGCAATAATAGAAAAACAGTTAACCAATCAGTACATTTGCTACAATGAAACAGCAGCTTTTCCTCTAATTAAAACACACAATGGATGATGCTCATTTGTTCCACACACTCCCCTGGTAGTATCTACACTTTTCACAAAACCCAGAAATATTTTTTAAAGAAATAAAGTGCCACAACTATTAACCACTGGTATCTCTTAGGAATACATTCCAATATACATTAAAGTGATACTACTACAGAAGTAACTTTGAACATCTTCACATTTATTAAAAGATTCAATCACTTGCCAACTCCAGTATGTATTTTCACTATTACTAGAAAAATTACTTTGTGAAAAGTTGGAAAGACTATAAATGCCCATCAATCTGGAAAGGGTTCAGTAAATTATGATGGAGTAATTTTAATTTTTGAAATATTATAGTCATCAAAAAGGATAAGCCAGGCTGGGCGTGGGGGCTCACACCTGTAATCCCAGTACTTTGGGAGGCTGAGGTACACATATCACCTGAGGTTAGGAGTTCGAGACCAGCCTGGCCAACACGGTGAAACCCCATTTCTACTAAAAAATACAAAAAAAAATTGGCCAGTCGTGGTGGCAACTGCCTGCAATCCCAGCTACTCAGGAGGCTGAGGCAGGTCAACGACTCGAACCCGGGAGGTGCAGGTTGCAATGAGCCGAGATTGTGCCACTGCACTCCAGCCTGGGTGACACAGCGAGACTCTGTCTAAAAAAGACTTTTTAATTACAAAATTTAAAAAAAAAAGAAAAAGGTAGATCAGGGGTCCCCAACTCCTGGATCACGGAGTCTGTGGTCTGCTAGGAACCAAGCTGCACAGCAGGAGGTGAGGGGTGGTCAAGTGGTCATTACCACTGAGATCCGCCTCCTGTCAGATTAGCGGCTGCATTAGATTCTCACGGGAGCGCAAACCCCATTGTGAACTGCACATGCGCAGGATCTAGGCTGCACATTCCTTATGAGAATCTAAGTAGTGCCTGATGATCTAAAGTTGAACAGTTTCATCCTGAAATCATGCCCCGAAACGGTCTGTGGAAAAACTGTCTTCCATGAAACCAGTCCCTGGTGCCAAAAAGGTTAGGGACTGCTGAGCCATACTCTATTTTTTGACAGAGGAAAGACATTCCTGATATGAAGTGGAAAAAACAGCAGCCTGCAAAAGGATAATCAGGCTGGGCATGAAGGCTCATGCCTATAATCCCACTGCTTTGGGAGGCTGAGGAGGGAGGATCATTGAGCCCAGGAGGTGGAGGCAACAGTGAGCTACGATTGTGCCACTGCACTCCAGCCTGGCGACAGAGTGAGACCCTGTCTCTTTAAACACCACCACCACCACCCATAATCATAGTTAAGATTCTGCTTTTGTAAAAACAATATATAAACATATATATGTGTAGGCATAAGAGTATACCTGTACTTGCACACAATTACAGCTTGTATATGAAGAGAAAAAATTTGGAAGGATGATTACCCCTGAGGAATGGGAAAGAGAGCAGAGAAAAACTGTATTTTTTACATCTGTAGATTCCTTGTGGATTTTTCTCCACAATTAGCTTGTTTACCTAAGTTTAAAAAAGAAAAATATGAGGGCTGGGTGCAGTGGCTCATGCCTATAATCCCAGCACTTTGGGAGGCCCAAGCAGGAGGATCACTTGAAGCTAAAAATTTGAGACCAGCCTGGGAAACACAGCAAGACCTCATCTCTATAAAAAATAAAAGAATGGCCGGGCGCGGTGGCTCACACCTGTAATCCCAGCACTTTGGGAGGCCAAGGCGGGCAGATCACGAGGTCAGGAGATCGAGACCATCCTGGCTAACATGGTGAAACCCCGTCTCTACTAAAAATACAAAAAATTAGCCAGGCGAGGTGGTGGGCGCCTATAGTCCCAACTACTCAGGAGGCCGAGGCAGGAGAATGGCGTGAACCCGGGAGGCGGAGCTTGCAGTGAGCCGAGATCGTGCCACTGCACTACAGCCTGGGCGACAGCGAGACTCCGTCTCAAAAAATAAATAAATAAATAAATAAATAAAAGAATTGGCCAGGCGTGGTGGCTCACACCTGTAATCCTAGCACTTTGGGAGGCTGAGGCAGGTGGGTGGATCACCTGAGTCAGGAGTTTGAGACTAGCCTGGCCAATATGGTGAAATCCCATCTCTGCTAAAAATACAAAAATTAGCCAGGCATGGTGGCAGGCACCTATAATCCCAGCTACTAGGGAGGCTGAGGCAGGAGATTTGCTTCAACCCAGGGGCCAGAGGTTGCAGTGAACCGAGATTGTGGCACTTCACTATAGCCTAGGCAAAAGAGCGAAACTCTCTCAAAATAACTAACTAACTAACTAACAGAATTAGCCAGGCCTGGTGGTGCTTGCCTGTAGTCCCAGCTACTCCAAAGACTGAGGTGGGGGGATCGCTTGAACCCGGGTGTTTGAGACTGCAATGAACTATGATGCTGTCACCGCACTCCACCTTCGGTGACAGAGCAAGACTTAGTCTCTTAAAAAAAAAAAAAAAAAAAAAAAAAGAGAAAGGCCCGGCACGGTGGCTCACACCTGTAATCCCAGGACTTTGGGAGGCTGAGGTGGATCATAAGGTCAGGAGATCCAGACCATCCTGGCTAACAACGTGAAACCCCATCTCTACTAAAAATACAAAAAATTAGCCGGGCGTGGTGGCAGGCGCCTGTAGTCCCAGCTACTCGGGAGGCTGAGGTAGAAGAATGGCATGAACCCAGGAGGTGGAGCTTGCAGTGAGCTGAGATTGCGCCACTGCCTGCACTCCAGCCTGGGTGACAGAGCAAGACTCTGTCTCAAAAAAAAAAGAGAAAACACTGGGAGTGTATTCAGGGCAATCTGAGTCTATGCTTCCAGGAAAAAAAAAAAAAAAAAGTTAAAAAGGCAAGCAGGACAAAAAAGAAAAAACAAATTTTACTACTTCTCTTAACTGAATGCTCCACTTCTTAGGACACCAAAATTTAGAGTCATTAGACCAGAATACAGTCATTAAAGATAACAATGAAGACAAAGCAGAAGCACATGGAGAAGAAAATGTTGAGAAAAAAGAATACAAATTATATTTATATTTATAAAATGATTACAAATACGTAAAAATAGGTATGCAGGCAGTCAAGGTGTTAAATTTGTGTTTATCTAAAACCAAAAACAGTGTGTTTGGAGTACTTTGATATTTCTCACCACAAAAAGTTATTCATTTTTTTCATTGCTTTATTCATCATCATGAAAGCTTTTAAGATAGTCATCCCAAAATTGGATAACAAAACTAACAAAAATCCCACAAAACAGATTCCAACCAAAGAAAAATCTTTAAAGGCAACCAATCAGCACCTAAGGAACTCAATCATCTGGCTTTTTATCTTTTGAGATGGAGTCTTGCACTGTCGCCCAGGCTGGAGTGCAGTGGCGTGTGCCACCAGGCCAGGCTAATTTTTTTTTTGTATTTTTAGTAGAGACGGGGTTTCGCTACATTGGCCAGGCTGGTCTCAAACTCCTGACCTCAGATGATCCGCCTGCCTCAGCCTCCCAAAGTGCTGGGATTATAGGCGTGAGCCACCGTGCCCGGCCAATCATCTGGCTTTTTGATGGAAGGTATTTCTAGAATTAATAGAGACATAAGATCCAGTACCACTGCTTTGACAGTGGACAGACTGATTTACTCTAGTCAGGTCTACATGAGCAAAGTAAAGTAAAACATGGAATGCCATTATCTTGACAGTGGTGCTGGGTGGAAGGAAGGGCAATTAGGCAGATATAGGGACCTGAGACTTAGGTGGTTATTTTCTTCATCTCATCAGTGGGGACCTGGCTTCTTTGACTGCACCTTGATGTGCTTGTTTACACTGTTAGTATTTCCCCTTGTGGATACTGTAGGCTTATTTTATAGCCAGAGTGAGTAGGGGCAGGCTATCTGGCCAGTCGCCACCTCAGATTATCTTCCCCAGACAGCTAATGTTTATTAGAGCAACTAGGGAAGAGAGAGAAGAGTGACTGGAGGGAGGAGAAAGAAAGACAGTGGGAAGGCAAGCTAGCCAATGTCATTACTTTTAAGTCTGCAATACTGAAAATGCATAGTACATGAACATTACCTTGTGTTCAGATACTGAGGCAGTGTTTTCAATTGCCTGAAAAAACAGGAGAGTCACAAAAATATTATGACACATCAGCGAAACACGTTACACCTTATTCAGCATGCCCTGTTATCTCATCTAAGAGCCAATGTGTCCATATGGCAACCATCAGCTATCATTTCCACTTGAATGAGTTTTGAGATTTTTATTTCAATCTACCTCAGTTATACATCTGTCACTAATTGCCACTCATTTCCTCCTTGATAATCAAAGTTCCAAAGATCCCACCTTAATCCAGGCTTCTGAAATGGTTTTCTCATATCTAATAGCTGACTTTATTACATCAAAGAGAATAATACGGTTCTGACCGCTGCTTTCTTGATTTCCTGAGGAATTACAAGTAGCAGAGAGGAAAAAAATTACTCTTCTACCTACCAGAAAAGAACTTACAAGATGTGAATTCCTGCTTAGTAGCCATGTACCCTGGAGTAAATGACAACCTCATGTATAAGATGGCTAATAAACTTGCACTGTAGTCTGCCTGGGATTGATCTGAATGGCTAAGAAAACATATGAACACATACATAGCCACATACATATACGTAATTTGAAAAACGATATAATACTAGATGTAAATATCATAATAGTACCATTATTTGTAGTTGTAAGTATTAAGCTCCAACTCTGACTGTGGGATGTCAGAGAACTGTGACATCCTATGTGAGGAAAAGGGTGGCAATTATCCATGAGCTCTTTACCTTGCTTGTCCTTTACTTTTTAACTTTACTTGGAAAGCCTGCAACAGTGATGGCAAAACACAATGCTGCAGGATCCAACTTCTCCCGAAGCTCAGAGATTACCTGCAGAAAGTTAATATTAGCTATGGTGTTCTGCTCATTCATAGTGGGTAGGTACAGTCCAGTCTCTCAACCATGACAATCTCCTGAAAGACTGAGGAAGAAAAAATTTTAAACGTTGGACATTTTGAAAAATAGAGTTGTGAGAATAGCTAAATGCAATGTCGTAGAATGTCATATCCAAAATTTCAGAATTCTGTGAGGTACTACACAGAAAGAGTAAATGTAACTTATAGCAGCTTATATAGATCAATGAATCTGTTGAATAGCTCCATTTCCTCTTCTCAATGCTATCCGGATTAGTCAACATTCTCAGTTAGTCAGGACTTTCGGCTTCCAGACACCCGCCTTTAACACGTGCGATACCATTTGGCTTCCCGAGAAGCCCAACAGACGTGAGATGAGGCCGACTGCCTGGACTAGTTCATCGGGAAGGGGGTGAGGGTAAAAGCCTTTCTCATTTCCTCATTTTAACGACGCAGAAAGGTACCTGTGGGGACTATCCCATCTCAGGGCAGATGAGGAAGCCGAGGCTTGGGGCGCGGAGCCCCAGAGAAGAACGCCGACCGCGGCCCGGACTTAAGAGATTAGGTCGCAGGGGAGCGGGGCCTCGAGAGACTACGACCACTGCTCCATTTACTCACCGAGAAGCCGTCCCCGCCTGTAGTTTTCTTTCTTTTTTTTTTTTTTTTTTTGAGACGGAGTCTTCCTCTGTCGCCCAGGCTGGAGTGCAGTGCAGCAATCTCGGCTCACTGCAGGCTCCGCCTCCTGGGTTCACGCCATTCTCCTGCCTCAGCCTCCCGAGTAGCTGCGACTACAGGCGCCTCCACCACGCCTGGCTAATTTTTTTGTATTTTTAGTAGAGACAGGGTTTCACCTGTTAGCCAGGATGGTCTCGATCCCCTGACCTCGTGATCCCCCCACCTTGGCCTCCCAAAGTGCTGGGATTCCAGGAGTGAGCCACCGAGCCTGGGCCACCGCCGATAGTTTTCCACTTTCCCGCCAGGCCCGACGCCGCTCTGACGCCACTGAGGTGCGCCACGACGTGACGTCAACGTTCGCGCCGGAAGTGGAAGACCAGGCAGCCCAGCTGAAGGCAGTAAGCTCGGCTCACAGTCGCAGGAGAGTTCTGGGGTACACGGGCAAAGGGGCTTGAGAAGGCCCGGAGGCGAAGCCGAAGAGAAGCAACTGTGCCCCGGAGAAGAGAAGCTCGCCCATTCCAGACTGGGAACCAGCTTTCAGTGAAGATGGCAGGGCCAGAACTGTTGCTCGACTCCAACATCCGCCTCTGGGTGGTCCTACCCATCGTTATCATCACTTTCTTCGTAGGCATGATCCGCCACTACGTGTCCATCCTGCTGCAGAGCGACAAGAAGCTCACCCAGGAACAAGTATCTGACAGGTCAGCGCCCTCCCTTCTCCAGCCTACCTCACACCGCCGTGACCTTGGGCAAAAAAGTGCAGGAGTTGTGTCAATTTGCCTAGGTTCACGTCGCGCCCCCTCTGACAGGGTGACCTTACCCGTTACCTCTGTGTTTCACTTTTGTCCTCTGTGAAATGGGGATGATAACAGTACCTGCTTCATAGACAGGTAGGAATCAAATTAGGTGATGTCTGTAAGTCCCTTAGCACAGGATCTAGGACGTATTGAGTGTTGAAAAAAACAGTACTGTTAATCCTTTAGGTTAGTCGCCGACCCTCGGTGGGTTTACCTATGAACTATTCCATCCCACCCTTCCGTTGAGAAGAGTGCCAGGTGCGTTACAGCGTTTAGTCTTTGTAACATCCAGTCAAGTGAGTGTGATAATCTGCATTCTACCAAATTACTGTTCCAGGCGTCGGGCCTGGTGGGACTGTCAGCTGAGATGCCAAGTACCAAAGCGCTTTGCAGTCTGTAAAACTGCCATTAGAGATGTAAGGAATTGTAATTATTTCCCCCCACTAGAGTGGAGGCAACTTCCTCACATATTTCATTGCAGTATTTATTTATTTATCTATTTATTTGCTTATTTTTGAGACGGAGTTTCGCTCTCGTTGCCCAGGCTGGAGTGCGGTGGCGTCATCTCAGCTCACTGCAGTCTACGCCTCCCGGGTTCAAGCGATTCTCTTGCCTCAGCCCCCCGAGTAGCTGGGATTACAGGCCCGCACCACCACACCTGACTAATTTTTGTATTTTTAGTAGAGACAGGGTTTCACCATCTTGGCCAGGCTGTTCTCGAACTCGACCTCAGGTGATCCACCTGCCTTGGCCTCCCAAAGTGCTGGGATTACAGGTGTGAGCCATGGCAACCAGCCCCTCGTTGCAATATTTATATACAGATAAAGGAATTTGAGATGATTATAGGTGGTTATCTAGACATGTAGCCCCTCATATTAAAGTAATAGTTTTCTCCCAGCAACTTGGGATGCTGAGGCAGGAGGATTGTGGGAGACCAGCCTGGGCAACATAACGAGACCTTGTCTCTTAGAAAAACAAGCAATTTTCAGTCAGTTCTGATTACTTTCAGAAATCATCTCAGGTAAGTGCTACTATATCTTTAGCACCTCTCTCTCACATTAATTTCTCGTTTTAATAAAGAGAGTAAGCCTCAGGCTAAGAACTTTTCACAGGTAACAGTGTCTAGTTAAAATTTAATAATGTTGTTTTGTTTCTACTGTACTTAAGTTACTTTCTTTTTTGTGACAATACTGGATTTCCATTTGCTGGTAATTTAAAGATTCCTTTAAAATCATATAGATGGGAAAAAAGTTGATATATAAAAAGTATTAAATATGTAATGATACAAGCGTTGGACAAAAATTCTAACATGGCATGAGAGTGACTGAAGTTTAGGAAGCACTACTGTAACATTTTCAGTTAGTTCTTCCCAATTATGCCAAGAAGAATAATAACCATTTACTCTATATCAGGTACTATGTGAAGTACTTACATTCATTAACTTATTTAAAACTTCAAAGCAACTCTATGAGGTACATATTGTCTCATTTTATAGAAACAGAGGCTTTAACAAGTTCCATCCCACCCGTTCGTTGAGAAGAGTGCCAGGTGCGTTACAGCGTCACACAGGGTGACATTTAGGACTTCACACCAAGCCTTCTGGGTATTGGGCTTTTTCCACTATACTACAGCGATCACTTTATCTTTCTGTAGCATTAGTTTCAGAACTGACCAGAGCCAGCACCCCACCCTGGAGCGAACCTTAAGAAGTCAGCTTACTGGCCGGGCATGGTGGCTCATGCCTGTACTCCCAGCACTTTGGGAGGCCGAGGCGGACGGATCACGAGGTCAGGAGATCGAGACCATCCTGGCTAACATGGTGAAACCCCGTCTCTACTAAAAATACAAAAAATTAGCTGAGCGTGGTATGCTGGGCGCCTGTAGTCCCAGCTACTCGGGAGGCTGAGGCAGTGGAATTGCTTGAACCCAGGAGGCGGAGCTTGCAGTGAGCCAAGATCGCGCCACTGCACTTCAACCTGGGTGACAGAGCAAGACTCTGTCTCAAAAAAACAGAAAAGAAGTCAACTTACTGGCCGGGTGTGGTGGCTTACGCCTGTAATCCCAACACTTTGAGAGGCCGAGGCAGGCAGATCATGAGGTCAAGAGATTGAGACCATCCTGGCCAACATGGTGAAACCCCATCTCTACTAAAAATACAAAAATTAGCTGGGCGTGATGGCACGTGCCTGTAGTCCCAGCTACTCGGGAGGCTGAGGCAGGAGAATCGCTTGAATCCGGGAGGCAGAGGTTGCGGTGAGCCGAGATCATGCCACTGCACTCCAGCCTGGCGACAGAGCGAGACTCCATCTCATTTAAAAAAAAAAAAAAAAGTGTATTTACCACAGAAAGAAGGGCTGTAGAAAAGTGCGAAGTGGGGAAAGCTCAGACATTTAGCATTTTCTGGCACCTGTAAAATTTCTTATTTTAGCCTTACATTAGCACTGAAGCAGATACTCCTTAACCCATTTTTACAATTCCAGGGAGCCTGGAAAAGTTAAGTAGTCTTCCCAAAGTAGGGAAATATTGTGCCTGTACTTGAACTCAGATCAGTCTCACTCCCAGGTTAAACCCTCTTCAACCATGATTCCTGCTGTCGTAGATTCTCTGCCATGATTTTCTGCCCATGGTTCACTATTAGAGCAATGGTTCTGAATTATATCAGATCCAAAGCTCTCTTTTGTAACCACAAAATGAAATTCACAGTTAGTGTAGTCTGTTTACAAGAACCTTTTTTTTTTTGGAGACCAGAGTCTCACTCTTGCCCAGGCTGGAGTGCAGTGGCGCAATCTTGGCTCACTGCAACCTCTGCCTCCCCAGCTGAAGTGATTCTCCTGCCTCAACCTCTCGAGTGGCTGCGATTAGCGGCATGCGCCAGCATGCCTGGCTAATTTTTGTATTTTAGTAGAGACAGGGTGTGAGCCATTGCACCCAGCCAAGAACGCTTCCTTAAGAAGGAATGTAACAGCCGGACACAGTAGCACATGCTTGTAATCCCAGCACTTAGGGAGGCTGAGGTGGGCAGATCTCTTAAAGTCAGGGGTTCAAGACCAGCCTGGCCAACATGGTGAAACCCCATCTCTGCTAAAAATACAAAAATTAACCAGACACGGTGGCATGTGCCTGTAATCCCAGCTACTAGGGAGCCTGAGGCAGGAGAATCACATGAACCTAAGGAGTAGAGGTTACAGAGAGCCGAGATGGCTGCACTGCACTTCAGCCTGGGCCACAGAAGGAGGCTCTGTCTCAAAAAAAAAAAAAAAATTCCACAGATTACCATTACGCCCCCTACAGGGCAGTAACACCCCCATGAAGAACCAACCACTGCTCTAGAGAAAATGTCTCTGCTCATAATTGCTGCATCCCTTAAGTGAGGTAGTTGGATTATACCAGCTCTGACATGGAGTGGCTCAGTCTCATCAGGTCATCATTTGACTTGAGCAAAATGCTGTACATGCTGAACCAGCCTAAGTCCAAGAAAAAGGTGTGTTTTAGTTGTAAAACTTTTTTTTTCTTTTTTTTTTTTTAAGTGACAAGTCTTGCTGTGTCACCCAGGCTGGAGAGCACTGGCACAGTCAAGGCTTACTGCAGCCTCAACATCTCAGGCTCAAGGATCCTCCCACCTCAGCCTCTCGAGTAGCTGGGATTATAAGCGTGTGCCACCACGCTCAGCTAATCTTTAAATTTTTTGCAAAGATGGGGTCTCCTCCGTTGCCCAGGCCGGTCTCAAACTCCTGAGCTCAAGTGATCCTTCCATCTCGGCCTTCCACAATATTGGGATTATAGGCATGAGCCACTGGGTATAGGCATACCCAGCGATATAAAACATTTTAATAAATATACTATAAATGTCCATTAGCAGCAGGGCACGGTGGCTCACACCTGTAATTCTAGCACTTTTGGGAGGCTGAGGCAGGCAGATCACGAGGTCAGGAGATTGAGACCATCCTGGCTAACAAGGTGAAACCCCGTCTCTACTAGAAATACAAAAAATAACCCGAGCATGGTGGGACGCGCCTGTAATCCCAGCTACTCGGGAGGCTGAGGCAGGAGAATCGCTTGAACTGGGAGGCAGATGTTGCAGTGAGCCGAGATCATGCCACTGTACTCCAGCCTAGGCGGCAGAGCAAGACTATGTCTCAAAAAAAAGAAAATTTCCATTTGCACCAGGTATGGTGGCTCAAGCCTGTAATCCCAGCACTTTGGGAGGCTGAGACAGGTGGATCACGTGAGGTCAGGAGTTCGAGACAAGGCTGGCCAGCATGGCGAAACCCCATCTCTACTAAAAATACAAAAATTAGCTGGGGTGGTGGTGCACGCCTGTAGTCCCAGCTACTCTGCGGGCTGAGGCAGGAGAATCTCTTGAACCCAGGAGGCAGAGGTTTCAGTGAGCCGAGATCACGCCACTGTACTCCAGCCTGGGTGACAGAGCAAGATGAGACAATGTCTCAAAAAAAAAAAAAATTTTTTTTAACAGGTATTAAACCAAAGCTGTAAAATACATGAATGAAATATATTAGACTAGGTTTGGGGATAGATTATGTGTAAAAAATGGTTCTCAGACTTGACAAATATACTACTGACATTTTGGAAAGGAAGAAACACTGATTCTTAAGAATTTGGAACTCTGGTTTGAGAAGTACTGACTTTAAAGTTTTATTCCAAGAAAATATCTTTCAGGCCTGGTGCAATGGCTCACACCTATAATCCCAGCACTTTGGGGGGCTGAGATGGGAGGATCCCTTGAGCCCAGGAATTTGAGACCAACCTTGGCAGCATGGTAAGACCCTGTCTCTGCAAAAAATAAATAAATAAATAAATAAAAGATGTCCTTCAGTTGCAAATTACAAAGCTTTATAACAGTACAGAGACTTATTTTTAGATATTCATGAAAATAAAAATACAAAATTAAAAATTTCTTTTAGAATTTGCAAACTTCAGAGAACACAGCTATGGATCTCAGCTTAAGAAAGTGAGTGTTAGAAAATACAGGATAATTTAAGATTGCTTATTTAGGTCTTGAAATACCTCAGGGTCACAATACTCAACTTCATTTTTACAAAATTGTTCAGCAGTGTAATTGTAGGAGATTTAGATGAATTTCTCTTGATTACACTGCCTGGGAAAGTCTTGAGTTATCGTAGACTGGACAAGTGTTTTTTCGTTTGTTTTTCTGGGGACAGGGTCTTGCTTTGTCACCCAGGCTGGACTAAAGAGGTTGAGGCTGCAGTGATTGAGGCTGCGATCGCAGTGGTGCGATCATGGCTCACTTCAGCCTCGATCTCCCGGGCTCAAGTGATCCTCCCACAGCCTCCCGAGTAGCTGGGACTACAGGCACACGCCACTGCACCTGGCTAATGTTTAAATTTTTTTGTGGAGACAGTGGTCTCATTATGTTGACTAGGCTGTTCTTGAACTCCAGGGCTCCAGGGCTCAAGCAATCCTCCCACCTCAGCCTCCCAAAGTATTGAGATTACAGGCGAGAGCCACCACGCCTGGCTGTGAACAATGGCCTTTTGATGGCCTATCATGTGCCTTGCACTCTGCTGCATGCTGTGGGGTACAGTGTAAGACAAGGTCACGACCCTGCTCTCAGAGTTTCTGTTCAAGTAATAAAATATGCAAAGGAAAAAATAACAGATACTATTAATCTAGTGCTTAGGATGTGCCAGGTACAGTCATATAAGATCATATATGTGAAGAACTCAGCCTAAAATTCTCCACTTGGCTGGGTGTGGTGGCTCACGCCTGTAATCCCAGCACTTTGGGAGGCTGAGGCAAGTGGATCACTAGAGTCCAGGAGTTAGAGACCAGCCTGGGCAGCATAGTGAGACCCTGTCTCTACAAAAAAAAAAAAAACAAAAAAAACAAAACACAAAAGTTTGCCAGGTGTCATGGTGTGTGCCTGTAGTCCTAGCTACTCGGGAGACTAAGATGGGAGGATCACTTGAGCTCCAGAGGTCAAGGTTGCCATGAGCCAAGATTGTACCACTGCACTCCAGCCTGGACAACAGAGTAAGACCCTGTCTCAAAAAAAAAAAAAAATCCTTCATTAGTTTCCTTTTGCTCTTAAGACAGTGATCAAAATACAGTGGGACCTGGCTGGGCATGGTTTTTCATGCCTGTAATCCCAGCACTTTGAGAGGCTGAGGCAGGCGGATCATCTGATGTCAGGAATTCGAGACCAGCCTGGCCAACATGGTGAAACCCCATCTCTACTAAAAATACAAAAATTAGCTGGGCATGGTGGTGCGCGCCTGTAACCCCAGCTACTCTGAAGGCTGAGGCGGGAGAATTGCTTGAACTCGTGAGGCAGAGGTTGCACTGAGCTGGGATTGCGCCATTGCAGTTCAGCCTGGGAGACAGAGTGAGATTCCATCTCAAAAAAAAAAAAAAAAATACAGTGAGACCACATGATTTTGTATAGTCTGGCTCTTGCACACCTCTCAAGTCTTGTTTTCATCACATTTTCTATAGTTCTCCTTTTTCCAGTCATGTGGCCTTTTCTCAGGTCCTCAGAGGCAGAGTGTTTACTTCTACGAGGCTTTTGCCCATTTTGTTTACACCAGCACTTTGCCAAGGTAATCCTCACTCATCCTGAAGAGTCCAGCTTAATCCTACATCCTCAGCAAACTCTCAGACCTTGACTTTCCAGACTCCATCACCTCCTGGTTATGCACTCTTGCAATACCATCCATCTCTCTCTAGGACATGATAATTGAATTTCACATTTATTCCTCTGGTTATTTGGTTAATGTCTTTCCCCCTCACTAGACTTTGACCATCGTAAGATATTTGTATTTTGATCACCGTTCTTCATGTCACCTGGCACTTAGAAGTTCAAGAAATATTTGTTCAATGAAAGAATAAATCTACCCTTGTACAGAATATGAATAGAGACTTAGGGAATTTAAGTGACTTGCTCAAGATCACATGGCTAATAAGTGGCAGAGGTGGGATTGAACCCATGTGTTCAACTCCAGAGCTTAAGTTTTTACCCATTACTCTAGACCCAGTGCTTCTTATACTGTCAATGGTGAAGGACCAGTTTTGGGGTTTTTTGTTTTTTAAATTTCTAATCTCTTATAGGCTAATACTTTTGTAAAATATTTTGATCATGTATCTGGATGTTGTGACAATGTCAAATTATTATAAAAGTCTCTAAATCCTTACTCTCAGTGTCTGTGCTTATCACAGACTAGCATTCACCACACTTTGAGTATCTTTAGACTAGCATCCAGGGAGCAGAATGTATTACATGTTGCGCCCTGTAGATAAAGTAGAGAACTGTATAGCATAATGAGCTCAGGAGGAGGAAGCAGAGAGAATTCCACGAGGGCTCCAGGCATTGGGAAAAGCTTCGTGGAGATGCTGAGACTTGAAGATGTTAAGGCATGATGGAGTAGAACTCGGAAAGGAAAGGGCACTGGAACATTCCCAGCATGTGGAGAAACTAGAATATGTGTAGTGTGACAGGGGAAACCCCGGGGTACTGACTGTTTAAAACAAGTGGTTTGTATTGAGTAGAGACAGGAAGCCAAGCACAGTTTTTTTGTTTGTTTGTTTGTTTTTTGTTGTTGTTGTTTTTTTGAGATGGAGTCCCACCCCAGGCTGGAGTGCAATGGCGTCGTCTCGGCTCACTGCAACCCCCTACCTTCCTGGTTCAAGTGATTCTCCTACCTCAGCCTCCTGAGTAGCTGGGATTACAGGCACAGGCCACCACACCCGGCTAATTTTTATATTTTTAGTAGAGACAGGGTTTCATCATGTTGGCAAGGCTGGTCTCAAACTCCTGACCTCGTGATCCGCCCACCTCGGCCTCCCAAAGTGCTGGGATTACAGATGTGAGCCACTGCGCCTGGCCCCTACCAAGCACAGGTTTTACTATGTTCATTTCTGTTCATAATTTTTTTTCACGTTTCAAGACTATTTCCATTACTTTAAGGGCCTTTTCCTCTTTTCCTCCTTTAATGAACTTTTGAGTACCTAGAAAAAAATTAATATTTTGATCTCTGTTTTGTCATTTGCATCTTAGCAACACCCATTTGTTGCATAACACTGTATTCTTTTTTTGTTGTTAGAGACAGGGTCTTAACTGTTGCCCAGGCTGGAGAGCAGTGGCGCCATCTCAGCTCATTGCAACCTCTGCCTCTTGGGCTCAGGTGATCCTTCTACTGCAGCCTCCTGAGTAGCTGGGACTACAGGCACGTGCCACCAGCCTGGCTAATTTTTTTTTTTTTTTTTTTTTTTTTTTTTTTTTTTTTTTTTAGAGACAGGGTCTTGCTATGTTGCCCAGGCTAGTCTCAGACTCCTGGGCTTAAGTGATCCACCTGCCTTTGCCTTCCAAATTGCTGGGATTAGAGGCGTGAGCCACTGCACCTGGCCTAGCATGATATTTATTGATCAACTATGGCTCTAATAGTTGATTTAAGATCACCTAGTAATTTCATTTATTTATTCAATAAATGTTTACTGAGAGCTTTCTAACAGTCTGACTTCTGGGTAGATTTTCTATTTGTCCATCAGATAGCAACCCTCTCAAGGCCTGTTCTCATTTCTCTGTAGGTAATAAGAAATTCCTTCTTTTATCCTCACTCTTCTCCCTTTCTCCTGACCCCAGATCTCCTGAGCAGTGTTCAACTATTCTTTTCACTCAGAGAAAGTGTCTTCCTAGCTTATTATCAAATAAGAAAAAGCTGAGTGTAATGTCCCAAATGTACCTAACTCTGAAATATTTATGTGTTCAGAAACACAGTCACTTTTGAAAAATACTTTTCTGAAAACCTAGTAGTTAGGTTAAATAAGTTTACGTTGGTTTTAAAGATACTTGTATTTTGGGAAGTTTCCACACAGAGCTGTTGCCAAATAGGCCCTCTCTTGTGTTTAAATAGGTCTTCTACTTGACTCTCCCATTTTCTTCTAGTGTTTCACTTTTTAAAATCTCATTGTGTTGGTTGTATTTTTCAGTCAAGTCCTAATTCGAAGCAGAGTCCTCAGGGAAAATGGAAAATACATTCCCAAACAGGTACTCATTTATCTTTTATTAAAAAGCTCCACGATTCACTGTTGGGCAGTAGATATCTGAATGTTTTATAAGGGGGCTCTGGGGAAAGCTAAAGGTTGGCAACTTAGTAATTAAGCTGTGGCCTGGTGGTGTTTGCTCTCATGGTGACCTCACCCTTCTTAGGAAATTGTTTTTAAATGTGACTCAGCTAAAGTGTCAGGTCGCCTGCCAAGTAGGCTGACAGCTCTGAGCGGAACAGCATATCCTAAAGGCCTTCTGACTAAGCCACTGGGGAGTAATTTAACAGTTTGCTGTGTCATAGTTCTTAGACTTAAAACACTTTTTTTTTTTTTTACTAGTCTTTCTTGACACGAAAATATTATTTCAACAACCCAGAGGATGGATTTTTCAAAAAAACTAAACGGAAGGTAGTGCCACCTTCTCCTATGACTGGTATGTTTGTTCCCTTCACTCATCTTTAAGGAAGATTTTTAACATGGGTATTTGAGTGGGGTGGGGTAGGCAGGGAGGGTGTCATTTTATTTAAATGTTAAATTGCAAAAGATAGTAATCTTAGACCTTAGAAATCATCTGATACAGGGATCTATGGAAGTGGAATTCTCTTTTTCAGTTAGATTTTCTGAGAACCCCAATGTATAAAGTGGATTAAAAAAAATAGTTCTCAGCTGATGGAGTGGGGAGGCCAGAGCTATTGTCCCTGGGTCTCTCCTTATTGCTGTTCTCAGGACCCAGGATTCTAGGGAGCACAGTTGGTAAAGCATTCCAGCCTGGCTGTCACCCAGTGCCTGGATCCCCTTCCAATAGATGGCTGCCCAGCTTCTGCCTAAATGAGGAAGAGTGCAGTACTTCCAAGATGTGCCATTTTGTTGACTTTGTTGTTAGACGTGATTGTTTGGTCTACCCTACAGTTTTGGCTCTAACATTTTCTACTTCCACTGATACCAGTCATGTGAAAAATATAGCATGTTAAAAGTAAAACAGGCCAGGTGTGGTGGCTCACGCCTATAATCCTTGCATTTTGGGAGGCTGAGTCAGGTGGATTGATTGCCTGAGGTCAGGAGTTCAAACCAGCCTGGTTTACATGATGAAACCCCGTCTCTACTAAAAATACAAAAATTAGCCTAGCGTGGTGGTGGGTGCCTGTAGTCCCAGCTACCCCGGAGGCTGAGGCAGGAAATTGCTTGAACCTGGGAGGTGGAGGTTGCAGTGAGCTGAGGTCACGTCACTGCACTCCAGCCTGGGCGACAGAGCAAGACTCCATCTCCGAAAAATAAAAATAAAAATAACTAAAAGTAAAACAAAGTAATTTGTTGTTCTGTGTTGACTCCTCTCATTTTAGTACTATTCACTTCTTTAGGTGAGATAACCAGCTATTTTAAACCCATACGGAAGGTATTATAATTAATTTTTTTTGAGAGTGACTAAGGTTGTATGGAGTTAATTTTTTAACAAATTTTTAAGAAAATTTACAAGAAACAAAAGACCATTAAATATATGAAAAGTTACTTGACCTCACTAATAATCCATGGAATATCAATTAAAACAAGATATCTTTTTTTTTTTTTTTTTTTTTCTTCAGAAAGGAGTCTCGCTCTCTCACCCAGGCTGGAGTGCAGTGGTGCGATCTCGGCTCACTGCAGGCTCCGCCTCCCGGGTTCACGCGATTCTCCTGCCTCAGCCTCCAGAGTAGCTGAGATTACAGGCACCTGCCACCATGCCCGGCTAATTTTTTGTATTTTTAATAGAGACGGGGTTTCATTGTGTTAGCCAGGATGGTCTCCATCTCCTGACCTCGTGATCCGCCCGCCTTGGCCTCCCAAAGTGCTGGGATTACAGGTGTGAGCCACCGTGCCTGGCCAAGATATCTCTTTTTTTTTTTTTTAGCCCAGTAAGCTGTCAAAAGATTGAAAAGATTGTCAGGATCCACTATTGTCAAGGTCGAGGAAGTTAGGCTCCCTCACCATTGGCGGGAGTGGCAAGAGGTGGGGCCTTGCTGACAGTCTGACAATATCTATCAATTTTAAATGTACAAATCCTTGGACCTAGAAATTCTAAGAAATTCTCTTACGGAAACACATAAACATGCAGATGTATGTGCAAGATAATTGTCGGCAGCATCATTTATCGTTTATTGGCAAAAACAATGGAAACAATCGATAGGTCTACTCAAAAGTGATTGGTGTGACCACACCATGGAATCCTATGCAGACATTAAAAATATTGAGACTGGGTACGGTGGCTGACGCCTGTAATCCCAGCACTTTGGGAGACCGAGGCAGGCAGATCACTTGAGGTCAGTCACGAGTTCAAGACCAGCCTGGCCGACATGGTGAAACCCCGTCTCTACTGAAAATACAAAAATTAGCTGGGCATTGTAGTGTGTGCCTGTAATCCCAGCTACTTAGGAGGCTGAGGCAAGAGAATCACTTGAACCTGGGAGGCGGAGGTTGCAGTGAGCTGAGATCATGCCACTGCACTCCAGCCTGGGCGATAGAGTGAGACTCCATCTCAAAAAAAAAAAAAAAAAAAAACGCTGGGTGCGGTGGCTCCCGCCTGTAATCCCAGCACTTTGGGAGGCCGAAGCAGGCGGATCACGAGTTCAGGAGATCAAGACCATCCTGGCTGACACGGTGAAACCCCGTCTCTACTAAAAATACAAAAAATTAGCCAGGCGTGGTGGCAGGCACCTGTAGTCCCATCTACTCGGGAGGCTGAGGCAGGAGAATGGTGTGAACCTGGGAGGCGGAGCTTGCAGTGAGCTGAGATCGCACCACTGCACTCCAGCCTGGGCGACAGAGCGGGACTCCGTCTCAAAAAAAAACAGTTTACAGAAAATCAGGAGAAAGTCCCTGGCAACAGAGGTAAAACTTAGTGGTTTCTTGTTTGTGCTTTTGTCTTAGATCCTACTATGTTGACAGACATGATGAAAGGGAATGTAACAAATGTCCTCCCTATGATTCTTATTGGTGGATGGATCAACATGACATTCTCAGGCTTTGTCACAAGTAAGTTACAGACCCAGCCGACTTCATGTTACCCAGAGAAATTCAAGTGCTAGTGAGACACTAATATCACAGGTCCTGTGTTTTCTTTTGTAAACTGATAATAGTCCTTGAACAAAAAATTTAATATGTGATGACTTTTACGGCTTTTGCCCAAAAATGATCCTAAGTTCATGACGTGGATGCTTTTTAGCCAGATTAGATTCAAGCAAGTGACTTGCTAGCTTACTTCCAAAACTAATACGGTATTCTCGTTGAGCAGGATAAAGGGAAGCGTATTTCTATTTTGACTTCATTTGCTAGATGTTAGGGTGAGTTTTCTGTTTGTTTGTAAGTTGATTCGCTTTTAATCAATTTGGTTTCTTATTAACATAATTCTATGCTTATATATTCCACTTAGAGTTTGACAGTTTGCTGCAAGTTTTTTCCAAATTTCAGGTCACAGCTCAGTTTGAGTCCCTGCTTCCTCAGTAAGCTAGAGGCAGATATTATTCAGGGAAACTAGAGCAGAGTGGCATTTTGACTGTCTTTTCTTCAGAAATTGCCACAGATTTCCTTGTGGAAGTCGTTTTCCAAAAGCTATGTGGCACAGAGTTCCCACCTCCTCTGAGAAAGAGTCACACTTATTCTAAAAATAAAACAGCTCAGAGTGATTGTGAACTTTTTCTTCTCTGCAGCCAAGGTCCCATTTCCACTGACCCTCCGTTTTAAGCCTATGTTACAGCAAGGAATCGAGCTACTCACATTAGATGCATCCTGGTAAGAACTTTCTTTTGTTTAATAAAAACACAAACCACACTTTGGGAAGCCAAGGCGGGAGGATCACTTGAGCCCATGAGTTTGAGACCAGCCTGGGCAACAGAGTAAGACCCTGTCTCAAGAAAACGAAAACAGGCCGGGCGCAGTGGCTCACGACTGTAATCCCAGCACTTTGGGAGGCCGAGGTGGGCAGATGATGAGATCAGGAGATCGAGACCATTCTGGCTAACACTGTGAAACCCCGTCTGTACTAAAAATACAAAAACTTAGCCAGGCGTGGTGGCGGGCGCCTGTAGTCCCAGCTTCTCGGGAGGCTGAGGCAGGAGAATTGCATGAACCCAGGAGGCGGAGCTTGCAGTGAGCTGAGATTGCGCCACTGCACTCCAGCCTGGGCGACAGAGCGAGACTCTGTCTGAAAACAAACAAACAAACAAACAAAAAACGAAAACAAAAACCTCACAAACCAAAATCTAAAACCAGTGTCCCTTAAAGATGAGGATTTCTGGCTGGGTGCGGTGGCTCACACCTGTAATCCTGCACTTTGGGAGGCCGAGGCGGGCGGATCACCAGGTCAGATTGAGACCATCCTGGCTAACACTGTGAAACCCCATCTCTACTAAAAATACAAAAAGTTAGCTGGGCGTGGTGATGGGTGCCTGTAGTCCCAGCTACTCAGGAGGCTGAGGCAGGAGAATGGCATGAACCCAGGAGGCGGAGCTTGCAGTGAGCTGAGATGGCGCTGCTGCACTCCAGCCTGGGCGACAGAGTGAGACTCCATCTCAAAAAAAAAAAAAAGATGAGGATTTCTAATTTGCAATACTTCATTGGAATCAGTTTTTAAAGTTTTTTGGGTTTTTTTTTTCAAGACGGAGTCTCACTCTGTCACCCAGCTTGGAGTGCAGCGGTGCGATATCACTGCAACCTCCACCTCCTAGGTTCAAGCGATTCTCCTGCCTCAGCCTCCCGAGTACTTGGATTACAGGTGTGCACCACCACATCCGGGTAATTTTTTTATTTTTCATGGAGACAGGGTTTCACCATGTTGGCCAGGCTGGTCTCGAACTACTGACCTCAAGTTATCCACCTGCCTCAGCCTCCCATAGTGCTGGGATTACAGGCATGAGCCACCACGCCTGGCCAGAGTTTTTTTTTTTTTTTTTTTTTTCATTGAAACTCCACTGAAAATGCCATGGGTGGTTTATGGCAACTTTTACATGAGTCTAGCAAAAGGAAAGAATGTGTCACCTCTTTTCTATCACAATTGGGGGCTTAAGAATGCAGGGGTGGATGTATCAACCCCCAGAAAGTTACAAGTTTAAGCCAGGAATTCTGGCCAGGCAATCATTTTTAGTAATACCCTTGAGCTTATGGGAGTGGAAGTTTGTATTTTTTTTTTTCCAAAGTACATTACTACTAATGATAATAGTTTTCATTAGTTCTAGTCACTGGGCTTAGCGTTTTCCATATTTTACCCTCATAGCAACCTATGAAACCTGTGTAGGAATTGACATTTGATGACAAGGTCTGTTCAAATCCAGCACCCATGTGTTACTTACCACTCTTTATAATTTTTTAAAAGAGATTTCTCCTTCTGAATACCACTATTTTTTTTTGAATGGCAGAATAAGAAAAATTAAAATCTGAAAAGCTCTTAGAAAATACTGCTACAATATCTGGAACCTAGTAATGCTGCTTCATGTAGCCTCTCCAGACTCTTGCCTGTGGCTTCCCAAAGACTGGCATAAACAAGAGGAAAAGAAAAATGGACAAAATGGGGATTACTAGTGGTAATCTTGACTACTTGGTTTGAGCAGAGCCCTCTAGGATGTGTGGGAGGAGCAGGAAAGGCCAGAGGCTGGGAAGGCTGGGCCATGCACAGTTCTGCTAGAGAAGAAAAGCTGTACATTATATGAGTAGCATGAGTCTATTCTACTTTTACCTTCAGTCTCATTGGGCTAAACAAAAACTTCATGGGTTGGAGAAAAGCTTATTTATCTTTTCTCAGCATCCAGAGAGGCATGTGACTGAAATGCAGTCATGGACAGACGCGAGACTGGAACCTGAGTGTACAATTACCACTGTGGTGAGATCAGCAACATTGTATTCAGACAGGCCATTTACTTACCTGCAGCCTATGGAGTAACCAGAATAGACTCTTGCCCTTATGTGACCCACTTGTTGGAATGAGTGTGGATCTTTCCATTTATCTATCACTTCCCATATGCATTTTTGTTTTTAGTTTTTATTATATGCAAGCATATTTATTTTATGGAGGTTGAGTAGGAAACCTAAGCTAAAGGAAGCCTCAGTGATATAGTTCAAAACTTGGAATGGCTCTCCCAGTAGCTATAGTCCTCGGTACTGTATTTCCTGAAATCCATGTCTCATCCCTTCTTGTAAGTATGGAACACACCCAGTGGCTCACGCCTGTAATCCCAGCACTTTGGGAGGCTGAGGTGGGCGGATCACTTGAGGTCAGGAGTTCGAGACCAGCTTGGCCAACATGGTGAGACCCCATCTCTAATAAAAATATAAAAATTAGCCAGGCATGGTGGTGTGTGCCTGTAGTCCCAGCTACTCAGGAGGTTGAGGCAGGAGAATCTCTTGAACCCAGGTGGCAGAGGTTGCAGTGAGCCAAGATTGCGCCACTGCACTCCAGCCTGGGTAACAGGGTGAGACTCCGTCTCAAAAAAAAAAAAAGTATGGAACACACCAACACTTGTGATTTCCTCTAGGGAATGGAATTCAGAATGGGAGTCACCTTTGGATTTTTTGAAATATAGTTCTGTATTGGTGAGACTGCTTTAACAACTTGTATTTCTTCTGTGGTTGTGCTTTGGATGAATATAGCCCATCCAAGGTGACTTCTTTACAAACACTGAACAACTTTGGGTGGTAGGGAAGTGGGAACTGCATTACTCTCTGATATAATAACTAACCACACCATTTTCATTTTGCTTTGCCAGGGTGAGTTCTGCATCCTGGTACTTCCTCAATGTATTTGGGCTTCGGAGCATTTACTCTCTGATTCTGGGCCAAGATAATGGTAAGAAGCATGTCAGGTTTACTAAGCAAATACTTCCATAGATGAATCATCCATATTAGAGCCAGAAAAGTCTTGTAGGTTGTGCTGTTTGTTACCATAGTCAAATAAAATGTTTCCTTCCTTAAGTTTCTGAGGTATTCTGAAAGAGTCTTAAAAATTCCGGGGGTCAAACTGAAGATCTCAATTCTCTCTGGCAATGACTGGGACAGTATTTTGATTCCCCAGAGTCTGATACCATCATGTGAGGGATCCAGCACCAGCAGTGTAAGCCTGTGAACCTAAAGCTTAAAGAAGGCTTGGTTTGTCAGTTCATTGACTAGAGCCCTTGCCAGTACTAATCCTTGCTCTCTTGTTTACTGGCTGGGACCTCAGAAAAGTTACTTAACAAGTTACTTAACTTCGAATTCTCTATTTACTTATCTGTAAATAAGGACTTTATTAGTTAACCTGTGGGGTTGTTAGGAACAGATGAGGAAAAATATGCAAAGCACTTAGTGAAGTACTTGGCATGCAGTAGTTGCTCAATAACTGGTGGCTGTTATTGTTGAAATTTGAAATAAAGTTTAGAGCTTCCTTTAGTGATCTCTCTTTTGCTGTTACTGTCCCCATTTTTCAGGAGACACAAAGTGACTTTCCTAGAGTCACATAGCCAGTGGGTGACAGGGCCAGCCAGTGAGGCTGTAGTCCAGTTCTCTAATCTGTGTGAAGCCCATTCTTCCCCTTGGGTGCTGGGGTGCTTGCTGAGTCCTGGCACTCATGTAAGTGTGTCTTATGCTACAGCCGCTGACCAATCACGAATGATGCAGGAGCAGATGACGGGAGCAGCCATGGCCATGCCCGCAGACACAAACAAAGCTTTCAAGGTATACTCCTTCACCTTTCAAAGCTGCAGCAATGCTCTGAAAGGTGTTACCAAGAGCTATTTTAAAAATAGCTTCCTTGAAGGGAGTGTTGTGTGGTTCCATCGTTTTAATTTAAACTTAGTAAAAACATAGTTTACACGTCTCTCTTTCCTGAGACAGAATCATCTATTAAGTAAATGGAAATTCTTGGTGCTTTTACTGGTTTTTAAATGCTCACTGGAATTTAATCCACACTATCAATGATGCTGTAAAATAATCCAATCGGAGGTGCCAGGTAAACATTTAGAATAATTTGAACCTTTTTGAACCCCATAGACATCAGATATAAATTGCATTAAAAAAACAATACTAAGAGCCTTTTCACAAAAAGGTTCTAGAATTTGCAAAATTTAGTATGATTTTTGTGGGACAAAATCTCACTGTGTTTCATGATAGAAACTAAAAGAGAAGGGAAGTTCCGGCCAGGCACAGGGGCTCACACGTGTAATCCCAGCACTTTGGGAGGCCAAGGTGGGCAGATCACCTGAGTTCAGGAGTTCGACACCAGCCTGGACAACATGGTGAAACCCTGTCTCTATTAAAAATACAAAAATGGGCCAGGTGCGGTGGCTCACGCCTGTAATCCCAGCACTTTGGGAGGCCAAGGCAGGTGGGTCAGCTGAGGTCAGGAGTTCAAGACCAGCCTGGCCAACATGGTGAAACCTCTTTTCTACTAAAGATACAAAAAAAAAATTTGCTGGGCATGGTGGTGGGCACCTGTAATCCCAGTTACTTGGGAGGCTGAGACAGAATTGCTTGAACTCAGGAGGTGGAGTTTGCAGTGAGCTGAGATTGATTGCACCATTGCACTCCAGCCTGGGCAACAAGAGCAAAACTCTGTCTCAAAAAAAAAAAAAAAATACAAAAATGAGCTGGGCACGGTGGCATGTGCCTATAATCCCAGCCACCCAGGAGGCTGAGGCAGGAGAATCACTGGAACCTGGGAGGCGGAGGCTGTAGTGAGCCAAGATCGTGCCACTGCACTCCAGCCTGGATGACAGACCAAGATTCCGTCTCAAAAAAAAAAAGAGAGAAATTTCTCAGCCTGATAAAGGACATCTATGACAGACCCACAGCTAACATCATACTCAATGGTGAAAGACTGAAAGCTTTCCCTTTAAGATTAAGAACAAGACAAGGATGTCTGTTCTTGCCACTTCTATTCATCATTGTCCAGGATGTACTAGCCAGGGCAGTTAGGCAAGAAAAAGAAATAAAAAAGCCATTCAGATTAGAAAGGAAGTAAAACTATCTCTGTTTGCAAATGGCATGGTGTTGTATGTAGATCATCCTAAAGAATCCACAAGAAAACTAACAGAGCTAATAAATAAGTTCAACATCAATTGTATTTCTATACACTGGTAATGAAGAATTGGAAATGAAAGGAAAACAATTTTATTTATAATAGTATCAAAACGAATAAAATATTTAGGAACAAATCTAACAAAAGAAATGGCCGTGGCCGGGCATGGTGGTTAACGCCTGTAATCCTAGCACTTTGGGAGGCTGAGGTGGGCAGATCACAACGTCAAGAGATCAAGACCATCCTGGCCAACGTGGCGAAACGCCATCTCTACTAAAAATACAAAAATTAGCTGTGCATGGTGGTGCCTGCCTGTAGTCCCAGCTACTCGGGAGGCTGAGGCAGGAGAATCACTTGAACCCGGGAGGCAGAGGTTGCAGTGAGTCAAGATCACGCCACTAGACTCCAGCCTGGTGACAGAGCGAGACTTCGTCTCAAAAAAAAAGAAATGGCCTTTTGTTAGATTTAAACCGACATACTGAAAAATTACAAAACATTGCTGAAAGAAATTAAAGACTTAAATAAATGGAAAGACATCCATGTTCATAGATTGGAAGACTTAATATTGTTAAGATGGCAATACTCCAAATTTATCCACAGATTGAACACAATCCCTATAAAAATCTTACTTGCCATTCTTGCAGAAATTGACAAGCTGCTTGTGAAGTTCATGTGGAAATTCAAGGGAATCACAATAGGCAAAAATGTTGGCAAAATTGAATAACTTACACGCCGTGGTTTTAAAGCCTATTACAAAGCTGTAGTAATCAAAACTGCACAGTAATAAAAACTGGCATAAGGAGAGATATAGGTCAATGGAATAAAATGGAGAGTTCAGAAATAAACACATCTATTTATCATCAATTGATTTTCAAAGAGGGTACCAAGACTATTCAGTGGGGAAAGAATAGTCTCCATTCAACGAATGGTGCTGGGAAAAGGATATCTACATGCAAAAGAATGAGGCTGGGCACCTATTTCACACCATGCACAAAAGTTAAGTCCAAATGGTTCAACAGGCATGTTAGTGCAGAAGAAAAAAAAAAATTAGGTTCAAATTAGCCAAATGTGGTGGTGCATGCCTATAGATGGGAGGACCACTTGAGCTGAGGAGTTTGAGGCTGCAATGAGCTGTGATTGTGCCACTGCACACCAGCTTGGGTGACAGAGCGAGACCCTGTCTTGAAAAAAGAAATCAAATGGGTCAAAGTCCCAAATCTTTAATATTGCATGATATTACTCATATAAAATATTTGGAATAGGAAAATTCACAGAGACAAGAAAGTAGGTTAGAGTTTACTGAGGATGGGATGGGGGGCAGTGGGGAGTAATTGCTTACTGTGCACATTTTCTGTTTAAGGGGACATAAAACTTTGGAAATGATAGTAGACATGGGTACACATTGTGAATGTCATTAATGCCACTGAATTTTACATCTGAAATGGTTAAAAGTGGTGTATGTTATGTTACATATATTTTACCACAATAAAAAAATAAAAATTTGGCTGGGCGCAGTGGCTTACACCTTAATCCCAGCACTTTGGGAGGCTGAGACAGGCAGATCATTTGAGGTCAGGAGCTTGAGACCAGCCTGGCCAACATGGTGAAATGCCATCTCCACTAAAAATACAAAAATTAGCTGGGCATAGTGGTGCCTGCCTGTAATCCCAGCTACTCAGGAGGCTGAGGCATGAGAATTGCTTGAACCTGGGAGGCAGAGGTTGCAGTGAGCCGAGATCCACCATTGCAGATGCAGAGGTTGCAGTGAGCCAAGATGGCGCCACTGCACTCCACCCTGGGTGACAGAGTGAGATCACTCTGTCTCAAAAAAATAAACAACTAAAAAACAGTGAGAGGGCTGGGCATGGTGGCTCACGCCTGTAATCCCAGCACTTTGGGAGGCTGAGGTGGGTGGATCACAAGGTCAGAAGTTCAAGATCAGCTTGGTCAACATGGTGAAACCCCATCTCTACTAAAAATACAAAAATTAGCCGGGCGTGGTGGCGGGCGCCTGTAGTCCCAGCTGCTCAGGAGGCTGAGGCAGGAGAATTGCCTAAACCTGGGAGGCGGAGGTTGCAGTGAGCGGAGATTGCGCCACTGCACTCCAGCCTGGGTGCCAGAGCGAGACTCCATCTCAAAAAAAAAAAAAAACAGATACCACTTCATGCCCACTCAGATGGTTATAATTAATAAAAAAAAAGATCAACAATAACAAGTGTCGGTAAGGATGTGGAGAAATTGGAACCCTATTGTTGATGATGGTACAGCCACTTTGGAAAACAGTTTTTCTGCCTTTCCTCAAACAGTTAAAACATAGTTACTATATGATCCAGTAATTTCACTCTTAAGTAAATACTCAAGAGAACTGAAAATGTATGTCCACACAGAAACTTATGTGAGAATGTGTTCAGAGCATGATTCATAATAATCAAAAAGTAGACATAACCCAAATGTCCATCATCTAATGAATGAATAAACAATGGAATATTTTGGAATATAATGTACATTGTATGTACAGTAGAATATATACAATGGAGTGTTATTCAGCTATAAATAAGAGTGGAATACTGAATCATGTTAAACAGGGAAGAACCTTGAAAACATGCTAAGTGAAAGAAAATAACAAAAGGCCACATATGCCCAGAATAAGTGAAAAAAAGATACGGAAGATAACGTAGTAGTTGCCAGAGGTTGTGGGAGGTGAATAATGGGAGCTGTCTACTGTTTGGTATGTGGTTTCTTTTTGTTATGATAAAAGTGTTCTGCAATTAGATAGTGGTGGTGGTTGCACATATGAATATACTAAAAATCACTAAATTATACACATTAAAGGGGTAAATTGTATGACATGTAAATTATATCTGAAAAACTCACTCATGAGCTAACATTTGTATTTCACATTAAATAAGCTTGTTCTATCTATCTATCTATCTATCTATCTATCTATCTATCTATCTATCGAGGGTCTCACTGTGTCACCCAGGCTGGAGTGCAGTGGTACAATCCTTGCTCACTGCAGCCTCGAACTCCTGGACTTAAGCATTCCTCCCACCTCAGCCTCAGTACTGGTACACGAGAAGCCAGTACTACAGGCACACACCACCACACCCAACTAATTTTTTTTTAAATTTGTATAGAGATGGGATCTCGCTGTGTTGCCCAGGCTGGTCTTGAACTCCCATCCTCAAGTGATCCTCCTGCCTTGGCCTCCCAAAGTGCTAGGATTACAGGTGTGAGCTACCACATCTCGCAAGCTTTTTTTTTTTTTTTTTAATTTATTTTTAAAGACGAGGTATTACTATCTCTAGGCTCATCTAAAGATAGGTTGTCCAGGGCAGTCCCAAACTCCTGGGCTCAAGCTATCCTTAGCCTCAGCCTCCAGAGTAGCTGGGACTGTAGATGCATGCCACTGCACCCAACTCATAAAGCATTTTTTAGACACTCACTAATTTAAGGCAAAGTAGTCAGATTAATAGAATATTTGAGAAATGTAATTTCTTGGAAAATTCTGCAAATTTATTTCTGCTCAACATATTACTAGTTTACATCTAAATGATTATATGCCAAAAACAGTTTTTTAGTTCACATCATCAAAGTCTTTATTCCAGTGATTAAAAATTACTGGACTCCCACAAACTGTAATGAAGTGCCATTGTGTGTCTGGACATAAGGTTGGAGGAAGTGTTCTTAGGCCCACTGAAGATACCCTGGGCCATTTATGTCAAAGCATTGTGGACCATGCACCATTTAAACCAGATGGCAAGTCCCTTGATTAAAGAGCTGAGAATCTGCACTAATTTGTCTGTTGTACATCTCTCAAGAGTACTGTGGGGCACAAAGGTGCTTAGTGAGTGTGAGCTGATAGACGGGTTAAGCGCTGGGGACTTTGCAGTCAGACCACAATTTAAATCTCAGCTCCATTAGTTCCTAGTGCCAGTGGCCTTGAACAAATTATTTGACCTCTTAGTCTTAGTCTCCTTATCTATAAATTGAGGGGTGGCAGGAAGAGGGGGAGGAGAGGATTGGGGTAGCAGCATTTCCCTTGTAGGATTGAATGAGCTTATACATGCAGATAGCTCACTCCAGCTTTTGGCCCAGAGTAAGTGGTCACTAAAGGTTAGCCACAGCTGTCAGTAACAATTCCCTCTCTTCCTGCCTGGGTGTTCTCTTCCATTACAGACAGAGTGGGAAGCTTTGGAGCTGACGGATCACCAGTGGGCACTAGATGATGTCGAAGAAGAGCTCATGGCCAAAGACCTCCACTTCGAAGGCATGTTCAAAAAGGAATTACAGACCTCTATTTTTTGAAGACCGAGCAGGGATTAGCTGTGTCAGGAACTTGGAGTTGCACTTAACCTTGTAACTTTGTTTGGAGCTGGCACCTCTTGAAATAAAAAGGAGGATGCACGAGCTGGCAGGCATGCAGCAAGGCTTGTTCTTGTCTGGGCTGGGTTCCCCTTTATGTTTGAAACTAGAGGAAATAGGAGTATGCTGGGCAACTTGTTATTTTTAAAATGTTGTAAATGTTCCTTCTGGTGACTCTAGTAATGAAAGTCAGAGAAAGGGGGAAACCTCAGGCTACTGATAATATATAAAATCTTGGCCAGGCGCAGTGGCTCACGCCTGTAATCCCAGGATTTTGGGAGGCTGAGGCGGGTGGGTCACGAGATCAGGAGTTCAAGATCAGCCTGGCCAAGATGGTGAAACCCCATCTCTACTAAAAATACAAAAAAAAATTAGCCGGGCGTGGTGGTGGGCACCTGTAATCCCAGCTACTTGGGAGGCTGAGGCAGAGAACTGCTTAAACCTAGGAGGCGGAGGATGCAGTGAGCTGACATCGTGCCACTGCGCTCCAGCCTGGGCGACAGAGCAAAACTCCATCTGAAAAAAAAAAAAAAATATATATATATATATATATATATCTATCTTAGCAGAAGCCCAGTCTTCGAAGGAAGCATTGTTAATTATAGCTAATGATTATGTGCAGTCAGCCTGACATCTAGCCACAGTAAACTCCTGTTTTCTTGGGATCCAAACACCCTGTGTTTTACCATTAGTTTTGTTAGTATTGTTAACTTTCTTTACACAAGTAAACCATTTCCACTACCAAAGGTTTAGAAACTATGGATGAACAAAATGAATCTCCCTGTTCATTTTGAGCCTACATAGACATAGAGACCAAATATGTCAAAACCTTATTCAAATAAACTCTCTTCAGAGTGAATACCCAGGGTCAGGACAGACTCAGCAAACCTTCTATATCACTTAATTCTGCCCAGTGAAAATCAGTGACCCTGAGGCACTGCCAGATTCTAAAGTGCCTTTGGGATCATCAGAGACTGTCTATAAATAATGCAAAATCTTGATCTGGATGTCAGTGTATCAAATCTTATCAAATCCATTGACAAATCAGTGGTGCTATACTGGAAATGGCTACTCCTTTGGATGAAGGACCTCATTTCCCAGTTGCTTGGAACAAAAGAGAATTTACATATTGCTGTAAGAAGGGAGAGACGGCAGTTGTTGGTAGACACACAGATAAGGGTGCCCAAGAATAATTCTGTCTGGATTAAAGGTCCCAGGGAAGTGACGGTGCCATTTCTGTACCAAGAGGTGAATATAATTTGCATGTTGAGTGCAGTAATTAAGAACAAACGACTCGACTCCACAAATTAAACCGTCCTGTTTTCTCTTCTTTGCCTGTGAAAGTGTTGCCTCTGTAAGTCACTAACAACCTTCTGCCAGCAGTTGACTGTCTATCTTGGATCAGTGCGGGGAGTCTAAGACGAAAGAGATGTGAACCTTGCCCTCAACTCACAAGAGAGAGACACCTAAGAGCTTTTTAAAATTTTTTATTATTTTTTTAGAGACGATACCTTGCTATGTTGCCCAGACTGGTCTTGAACTTGTGAGCTCAAGCCATCCTCCTGCCTCACCCTCCCAAAGTGCTGGGATTACAGGCATGAGCCACTGTGCCTGGCCAAAAGAGACCTTTTTTTGAGGTCACCGAATCTGAGAATCTGGAATCTCTGACCCTGGCCTCCAGAGTAACATATGTGGACATAGATACAGACATGTCCCTCTAAAACTTATTCATAATGACCCGCAGACCCAAGTTAAGAAACCCTGACCTTTAACGATAGTTAAAATGGCTGCTTATACCAGATAGAAAAGGAACAAGTGTTCACAGGAGAGCTAACCTTTGACCTGGGTCTTGAAAGACTTCCTCTGTGTAGAAGGGCATTCCAAGCAGAGAAAACAGAATCAGCAAAAGCCCATGGATTAAACTGTCTGCAATTCATTGCACCCCAAGGAAGTGGGGAGTGGTCCAGTATGCCCTGGAAAGGTCCAGGTTGGGTAGCATGCAAATGGTAATTGGTGATTGAGTGGTAGCCGCCTCGTTCCTCTGCATCGGGAGCATTTGAGTCTGCCTCTTCACCCACACAAGGTTTGGCCTTTTTCCCTTGTAGCAAAGATGGGTGGTTAAAATGTGTGTGACCAGCCTGGCCAACATGGTGA
The DNA here is from genome assembly GCF_000001405.40 of Homo sapiens. Taxonomy (NCBI): domain Eukaryota; kingdom Metazoa; phylum Chordata; class Mammalia; order Primates; family Hominidae; genus Homo; species Homo sapiens. Next base: position 9,961,857 of record NC_000003.12, on the reverse strand, counting down.
GACCCCGTCTCTACTAAATATACAAAAATTAGCCAGGCATGGTGGTGTGCACCTGTAATCCCAGTTACTCGGGAGGCTGAGGCAGGAGAACCACTTGAACCTGGGAGGCAGAGGTTGCAGTGAGCCGAGATCGTGCCACTGCACTCCAGCCTGGGCAACAAGAGTGAAACTCCATCTCAAAGAATAAAAAAATGTGTGTGAGACTTTCCTGTCCCATTGTACTGGTAGTAAATGCACAGACCTGTCCTTGGCATCAGCGAGTCAAAAAGAAAAGCCAAGGTTGTTTTAGTAGGCTCTTTCCAGAACAGCGCACAGGCTTAGGGAGCAGTGCTTATTGTGTGTGTTTCTTGGAGTTCAATTTGGGCCAGGCTATAAATGAGAATTGCATCTCTTCCATCCACCTTGACTTATCACCTGATACTACTTAGGACACCGCAAATGTCTACTTGCTGATCATGGAATAGAACAGGGGTGTCCAATCCTTTGGCCTCCCTGGGCCACACTGGAATAAGAATTGTCTTGGGCCACACATAAAATACACTAACACTGACGATAGCTGATAAGCTACAAAACAAACAAAAAACAATGTTTTAAGAAAGTTTATGAATTTGTGTTGGGCCCCATACCAAGCTGTCCTGGGCGGCATGCAGCCTACAGGCCAGACAAGCTTGGTATAGAAAGTACCGTACAAGGAAAGCTAAATATTGACAGTCAACTGCACAACACAACTCAGAAAAATACAATTTAGATTTGAGGTGAGTAGGTAAACCCGTGCTTAGGGACAAAAGTCAGCTCGATTCCTCTGTTTGGTCTGTAAGGTGTGTGATGGGTATGTGTGTATGTGAAAGAGGGTTACTAACTGGATTAGGAATATTGCAGTTGCAGGTGACAAGCTGAACTCAAGCAATTAAAAAGGAATGGAAATTGACTCAATAACTAAAATGTCTGGTGGTTGGCTTCAGGCACAGCTGGGTCCAGGGCCTCTCATGATATCATCAGGACTCAGTTGCTTTCTCAAGTCTGCTTCTTAGACAGTTAGTTTTCTTATAGAGGCACGAGATTAGTAATCCTAGTGAAAAGAAAGCACCCCTTTTTAAAAAATCTAGGAAAAGTTAGGGTTGCATCTTAACTCATCTGCCTTAAGTCAACTGCAAATTCCAGGAACTGCTTAGCTTCTCATAAACTATAAGAACTGAAGGTATAATAAGAGTGATTCCCCAAAGGAAAACTGGGATGCTGTTGCCTGAAGAAGTGGCATGGGTACCAGACAAAAAATATCTTATCTTACCTTTAATCATCCAAACCATCTGGAATGTTCCCAACAGGAGGTGCTGTCCCTGTCCTTGGAAGTAATTGCGGTCTGCAAACATTTGCAGGATTTCTACAGTGTGCTCAGGGCCATGCTAGATATTTTCAGATCTTTCTGTTCATTCAACCAATAGTGAATTGAGTGTTGCCAGGCACTGCATATGAACAAGACACAGTCACAGACCTTAAAAACTCAGACTGCTAGACCAACCTGGCTAACACGGTGAAACCCTCTCTCCACTAAAAAATACAAAAAAATTAGCCGGGCATGGTGGCGGGTGCCTGTAGGCCCAGCTACTTTGGAGGCTGAGGCAGGAGAATGGCGTGAACCCAGGAGGTGGAGCTTGCAGTGAGCCGAGATTGCGCCACTGCACTCCAGCCCGGGCGATAGAGTGAGACTCCATCTCAAAAAAAAAACAAAAACCAAAAAACCTCAGACTACTATAGTACATGCTGTGACAGGGACGATCCTAGGGAGGCCATGGGAACATCCTGCAGGTCATCCAGTCAACCCGAATGCTCAGGGAAGGCTTCCCAGCAGAAACATCTCAACTAAGATGTGAAAGATCATGAGGAACTTGCCAGAAAAAAATATACAGACTGTTCTAAACAGAGGTAACGGTGTGCACAAAGTCTCAGAAGCAAAGATGTTGGTGTTTTCATGGAACTGAAACAAGACCTGCATGACCCTGCAGTGTAGAGTATGAAAGGACTGATAAACATTTGGATTGTACACTTAAAACGGGTGAATGGGGTGGGGTGCGAATTATAGCTCACTAAAACTGCTTCAGAAGACAAGATGAGGAGGCAGCACTAGGGCCAGATGGCAGAGGAGCTTATAAGTCATCCCTCAGAGGCGGAACTTCATCCTGATGATGGCAGCAGGAAGCCTTTGTAGGGACTGGTGTGAAGGGATTTGCTGCTGGGCAAGGAATGGAATGGAGGGGCAGAAGTGGGTATGGAGAGCACTGGAGTGAGAGTGAGATGGTAATGCGGTCAGAGGAGAAGGCGCAGCATTGAAGTCATGTCCATGATTAGCTCCTGCTTTCTCACACTCACTGTGTTGCTTTGCAGAAGACAGTTTCCCTCTTTGGGCCTCAGTCTCCCCACCAGTCACAAGGCTACTTTGGAAAAGTCTGGCAGGTCCTCAAAAGTTTTAATGTAAAATTTCCATATGACTCAGCAGTTCCACTCCTAAATAGATATATACCCAAGAGAAGTGAAAACATACTGGCCGGGCATAATGGCTCATGCCGGTAATCCCAGCACTTTGGGAGGCCGAGGCAGGCGGATCACGAGGTCAGGAGTTCGAGACCAGCCTGACCAACATGGTGAAACCCCGTCTCTACTAAAAATACAAAAATTAGCTGGGCGTGATGGCGCGCCACTGTAATCCCAGCTACTCGGGAGGCTGAGGCAGGAGAATCGCTTGAACCTGGGAGGTGGAGGTTGCAGTGAGCCAGGATCATGCCATTGCACTCCAGTCTAGGCAACAGGGTGAGACTCCATCTCAAAAAAAAAAGAAAAGAAAACATATGTCCAGATCAGGTGCGTTGGCTCATGCCTGTAATTCCAGCACTTTAGGAGACCAAGGCAGGTGGATCGAGCCTCCTGTAGTCCCAGCTACTCAGGAGGCTGAGGCAGGAGAATTGCTTGAACATGAGAGCCAGAGGTTGCAGTGAGCTGAGATCGCACTACTGCACTCCAGCCTGGGCTACCGACTGGGCCACAAAGCGAGACTCTGTCTCAAAAAAAAAAAAAAAAAAAGAAAGAAGAAAAAGAAAACATGTCTACACAATTATGTATACATGAATATTCATAGTAGCCACAAGGTGGGAAACAACCCAAATGTCTATCAGCTAACAGATGGATAAATGAAATATGGTATAGCCATACAATGGCGTATTATTCAGCAGTAAAAAGAATAAAGTACTGACCAGGTGCAGTGGCTCACGCCCGTAATCCTTGCACTTTAGGAGGCTGAGGTGGGAGGATTGCTTGAGGCCAGGAGTTCAAGACTGGCCCGGCAACATAGCAAGACCCTGTCTCTACAAAAAATAAAGTTATCTGGGCATGGTGGCGTATGCCTGTAGTCCCAGCTACTCAGGAGCCTGAGGCAGGTGGGTGGTTGCTTGAGCCCAGAAGTTGAAGATTACAGTGAGCCATGACTGTGCCACTGCACTCCAGCCTGGGCAACAGATTGAGACCCTGTCTCTAAAACAGTAAAATAGGTTAGGCACAATGTCTCATGCCTGCATTCCAAGTACTTTGGGAGGGTGAGGCGGGAGGATCACTTGAGCCTGGGAGTTGGAGACCAGTTTAGGCAACATAGTGAGGCCTCACAAGAAAATGAAAAAAAAAATCAGCCAGGCATGGTGGCACATGCCTGTAGTCCCAGCTACCGAGGAGGATGAGGTGGAAGGATTGCTTGAGCCCAGGAGGTCAAGGCTGCAGTGAGCCATCATTGCACCACTGCACTCCAGCCTGGAAGACAGAGCGAGACCCTGTCTCAAAACGATAAATAAATAATAATAAAGTAATTATCACTATTTTACCAGAATTTTTTTTTTTTTTTGAGACAGAATCTTGCTCTGTCACCCAGGCTGGCGTGCAGTGGCACGATCTTGGCTCACTGCAACCTCTGCCTCCCGGGTTCAAGCGATTCTCGTGCCTCAGCCTCCCGAGTAGCTGGGATTATAGGCGTGCACCACTGCATCTGGCTAATTTTTGGATTTTTAGTAGAGACGGGGTTTCACCATGTTGGCCAGGCTGGTCTCGAACTCCTGACCTCAGGTGATTCACCTGACTTGGCCTCCCAAAGTGCTGGGACTACAGGCGTGAGCCACTGCCCCTGGCCCAGAATTTTTTAATGTATCTCCCAAAATCACTTTTTTGTGGGAGGGGAGGGAGCAGGGAAGTTGGATATTTTCAAAGTAAATCACAAGTATGTCATTTCACACATAAGTCGTAGGTATCATAACAGATATGGAATTTTTTACACATAACCCACAAGGCCATTATTTCACCCGATGCAAACATGCTTATACCTTAATATGTCCTAAGACTCAATCTGTGTTCATATTTCCCTAATTGTCTTAAAATGTCTTTTCCACAGTGGATTTATTTGACTGAGGCTCCCAACGAGGCCCCCACGTGGCATTTGGTTGCTATATCTCTTAAATCTCTTATGTAACAGTTTTCCCTCCCTCCCTTTTTTTTCAAGACATTCATCTGTCGAAGAAACCATGTTGTTTGTTGTCTCTGTAGAATTCTGTGAATCTCTGAAAATGTTATCTGAATGGGAAATTAAATCTTTCAATTGTTTTTCACTTTAAGGAAAGATTAAGGGGAATGAATTAGTGATAGATGCATGGAAAATTAAGCAAATGAAAAACCAAGCAGTACTTACTGCAGGAGAAACAATGTCTGGAGAGGGAATTATTATCCTCACAGCACACTTCTTGAATCAGCTTGAATACTTGTTTCACAGTTCTAGTATTGTAAATGCAGAATAATGATACCAAAAAACTACAGAAAAATATGGAAAGTAATAGAAGAACTACATTTTCATATTATCTTCATAGTAGTCAATAGATTAACCCCCAAAACTGAAAATAATTAACATTAGCCGCATAAATCTGATGTGAAAATAGGATAAATACCAGAAGAAATAACCAGAAGTACCAGAAAGACTTGACAATAATTACTTCCAGAAAGTGGGAATTGAGAGTGAAAGGGAATGGGGTAAGGATCTGCTGATTTTAAAGTGGCATCAGATTTCACACACAAAAAAAATAAATAACTCTTGGCCAGGTGTGGTGGCTCACGCCTGTAATCCCAGCACTTTGGGAGGCCAAGGCAGGCAGATCACTTGAGGTCAGGAGTTTGAGACCGGCCTGGCCAACATGGTGAAACCCCATCTCTGCCAAAAATACAAAAATCAGCCAGGCCTGGTGGTGCATTCCTGTAGTCCCAGCTACTCGGGTGGCTGAGGCAGGAAAACGGCTTGAACTCAGGAGGCGGAGGTTACAGTGAGCTGAGATTGTGCCACTGCCCTCCAGCCTGGGTGAAAGTGAGAGACTCTGTCTCAAAAAACAAACAAAAAACCTCTTTAAAAAGATCAGGTTTGTTTAGTTGGTGTTGGTGGAAGCTAAAATCTGAGAATGAGTAGGCTAAGACTCCAGGAGCCCTTCAGGCTGAATTTGGCCAGTTTGGTAAAAGAGTATAACTCCCCGTGCCCTCAGAGTTCAGGACAGTGGGCAGAGCACAGAGAAGGTTCACCAGCCTGCACTTTCTCCCACCTGTTCTCCCTTTTGTTTATTTTCTCATGCCTGCCAGAGCAACCAGCCAGAATGAAAATGCCAACCAACTGTCCTGGGCTTTGTCTAAGCAGGAGATTTCATCATTGCCAGCCCCATCTTCTTTGCCTTTTCTTTCTCACTCTTTCCTTGGGGAGTCACAACAACTTTCAGCTCTGTTGGTTTGAAGTCAACAGAGATCCAAACTGGAGGGCCTATTTTCATGGACTCAATTAACTCCTAACACAGTAGGGGCCGCCTGGAAGGCCTGGGGTTTCCCTCTCCCCCACTTTCCTCTCTCAGGTTCTTCCAGAGGGGCAGGAGGGTGTCATTACTATTAAGAGCACTGGTTCTGGCCAGGCGTGGTGACTCATGCCTGTAATCCTAGCACTTTGGGAGGGCGAGGCAGGCTGATCACTTGAGGCCAAGAGTTTGAGACCAGCCTGGCCAACATGGCGAAACCCTGCCTCTACTAAAAATACAAAAGCAAGATTCCATCTCAAAACAAAGAGCACTAGTTCTAAAGTCAGGCCTGTGGCTTGGCCCCTTAGTTGCTGCATGACCTTTAACAAGTTATTGAACTTCTCTGAGCTTCAGCTTGCCAGCTGTATAATGAAAAACATAAAACCTAGGGTTGTCATGAGGACTTAAAAAGAATAATGGTGTGTAGCATAGTTTTTGGCAGACCAAGTGCTTGGTGAACAGGAGATATTGACCATCCCTTGTATACTTGGAGTCACCTTCCATTTATCCCCGCCGTCCCAGAGTCTGCAGAAGGATGCTGGGAGCTCCATCTGGAGCTGAGATACTCCCCGTCCACACCTGCGCACCTCGTGTTCCCCGCTTACATTCACCTCCACCCCAGCCAGTCTCCTCTTTCCGCAGGATCAGCTTTCACCTTGGCCTCTAGCCAAAGGGATCCTAATCTCTCTTGCATTTGTTTGGAATCTCAGAATGCCTGCCGGTTGGTGGTTTAGAAACGCGATGGGATTGGGGCCCCTGGTTCCAAAGAGGGCAGCCAGCAAGCAGCCAGATGGCCCTGCATGGACTGGGAGGTCAGGCACTCACACACCTGCCCTTCTCAGGAGAAACTGAGGAAGGGAACCGGGCCAGCTCTGAGCCTGTGGAGGGAATCTCAACATCTCCAAAGGAGGCTCCCAGCGAGTTCACAAGGGGAAGTGAGAGGAAGGATCCAGACTCCTCAGCTTCTGTAGGGGGCCCTAGGACTGCATTCTGGCCAAGACTGCCCACATGGGAACAGACACAGGTCCCCCAAAGGAAGTTAGGATGCTGTCAGGAAGGGAAATGGTTATTGCAAAACCCTCCAAAATGTCAATCAGCTATATGTAGAATCAGGATCCAGTTAACTTCCTACAAGATTGTAACAACAGGCTGGATCTAACAAGATAAACAACAAACAAATGTAGAATCCTACATTAAGAGTCAATAAACCAGTGGTACATGAAGAGATGGGAAGACTTTACTACTAGATCAATTGGGTAACAAAGTAATGTGGCTGCTAGAAACATTAATTCAGTGTGAGGCCGTATGAATGGAGTAGAATCCTGGAAAGGAGAGGTGAAGGTTCAGCTTTACTCCCAACAAGGTTCATTTCCAAGAGTCCTACTTTCAGAGGGGCGTTGTTGAGCTGGTAAGAAGCAAACAGAGAAGAGATTCCACATGGTGAGAACCCAGAATCCTGTCCTGCAAGGAACAGCTGAAAAACTCGGAGTGTTTGTCCTGGAGAAAGAAGACTCTAGAGAAATGAGAGATGCCTTTACAATTCTGAAGTGGCTCCAACAAGGAAAACAGAGCTGGTCAGGTCATGTGTGAAACGGGCAAGGCCTGCACCCTCTCCCAGAGTCAAGCAGCTGAATGCAGGCCCCACCATTTACCAGCCATTAGGGATGGAATATTCTTCAAACTGCAACACGTCAGACACAACTGGGGCCTGAGTATTGCTTTTCTGTGAGAGCTAGAGGTAGGAAGCCATTGGGAGGGAGATGTCAGCTCAGCCCTAGGAAGAATTTTTTCTTTTTCTTTTTTAAGTGAAATTTGATTTTTTATTTGATACTGGGTCTCTTTCTGTCACCCAGGCTGGAGTGCGGTGGTGCGACCTTGGCTCACTGCAACCTCTGGCTCCTGGACTGAAGTGATCCTCCCACATAACCCTCCTGAGTATCTGGGACCCAGGTGCGCACCACCACACTTGGCTAATTTTTTTTTTTTTTTTTTGGTAGAGATGGGGTTTTGCCATGTTGCCCAGGCTGGTCTCGAACTCCTGGGTTCAAGCAGTCCTCCAGCCTTGGCCTCCCAAAGTGCTGGGAATATAGGCATGAGCCATTATACAGGCCAAATTTTCTTCTTCTTCTTCTTCTTCTTTTTTTTTTTTTTTTTTTTTTTTGTCAGTCTCGCTCTACTGCCCAGGCTGGAGTGCAGTGGTCATTGCACTCCAGTGACACAGCTTGTGGTCAATGGACAGAGTGGTCAATGCACTCCAGTGACACTCCAGTGGCCATAGCTTACTGCAATCTTGACCTCTTGGGCTCAAATGATTCTCTGGCCTCAGCCTCTGGAGTAGGTAGGACTACAGGCATGTACCACCACGCCCAGCTAGTTTTTTTGTTTTTTTGTTTGTTTTTTAATTTAAAAAAGTCTCACCATCTTGCCCATGCTGGTCTTGAACTCCTGGGCTCAAAATGATCCTCCTCTCTAGGCCTCCCAAAGTGCTGGGATTACAGGTGTGAGCTACTGCACCCAGCCCTATCTCATTTTTGATAACCACATATATTTCCTGTGTGGCTTTCCCTTAAGGAATTGAGCCTAATAATGGATGTTTAGTATATCAAGAGGTGTTCAAAGAAAGACCAAGAACATTTTGACAGTGTCTACCAGCCCCATATGCAGACCCATAGATTTTACTACCATGCCTCGGCTAGGCAATTATCTGGTAGGTGCACTAGTGTACGTGCACAGTGATGTGTTAAGCAAGGAATGGCCCCTGCTCCATTATCCCTGCGAGCAAAAGGCTAGAAACAACCTATGTCCAATTACAGGGGACAGGATAAAGAACAATAACTAGCTGACCATATGCTGGAATTCTCAACAGTGGATACAAGAAATGATATAGATCTATAGATATTTACATGAAAAATGTGCCAGAATATATTGGAAAGTGAAAAAGACAAATTACAGAAATGTGTACAGTGGCTGGGCACGGTGGCTGACGCCTGTAATCCCAACACTTTGGGGGTCCGAGGCGGGCTGATCACCTGAGGTCAGGAGTTCGAGACCACCCTGGCCAACATGGTGAAACCCTGTCTCCACTAAAAATATAAAAATTAGCCAGGCATGGTTACTAGGGAGGCTGAGGCAGGAGAACCACTTGAACCTGGGAGGCGGAGGTTGCAGTGAGCCGAGATCACGCCACTGCACTCCAGCCTGGGCGACAGAGCAAGACTGTCTCAAAAAAAAAAAAAAAAAGTATACAGTATGATGTCATTTCTATTTAAGATGTACATGTAACTGTACATTGAGAAGAATCTGAAGGATACATACCAAGCTGTAGGTAGGATTTACCTAAAAGGATGTAGGGATATAGAAAGGAAGTGAGCTCCCCGTCCCATGAGGTATGCAAGCAGAGGCTAGCTGCCCCGTTTTCAGGGATGCTGCAGAAGACATTTCCACATCCCTCAGAGATGACCTCGGTTCCACTCTGAGCCCTGACAATCCCTGAGCGAGGGGAAGTCAGGGTTGACAGAAGAGTCCACCCCTAAGGGGAAAGAGTTAAGCAGGGCTGCGCTCCTGTGGGCGGGCTCGCGATCGGCAGCGCCGGGCTCTGTTAGCCGAGTCTGAGCATCTCGGAGGATGCGGCGCGGCGATCGGCTGCAGGGACGCGCGCAAGGTGAACACGGGGGCTGCGGCGCGCAGGTGAGGAGCTGGCCCAGGGAGGGGGCGATGGCGGGACCCCGACGGGGAGCGTGGCCTGCTGCCCCCGTCGCGGGCGCAGGCGACCAGGCCTGCACGGCGCCCACCCCCATCCAGGACACTGCGGGAAGGCGCGGAGCCAGGGAGAGAGGAGACGGAGGAGGAGGAGGAGGAGGAGGAGAGGTAACCCGAGATGGACCAGCTCCGAGGCTGCCCCGCAACGGCCTCGCCCTGCCCCCAGGCCGGCCTCTCCCCAGTCCCTGCGGCAGAGAGATCCGCCACCCCCCACAGCCTCTCCAGCAGAGTGGGAGCCCAGGGCTGGGCAAGCCCCCGCCTTGTCCGCAGGTGCCCACATCTCTTGGGTTGGCAGTGGTAGGCAGATGGCATGTTTATCTTTGGAGGCCCCATTCAGCCGTTTTCTCGGCAAAGCTTTTTGGACCTCCTGTGGAAGATGAGCCTCCGAGGGTTTCACAACCCCGATTGTGTCCACTCAGCTGTGTGACCTTGGGGGAGTTGCTCACCCTCTCTGAACCCCCGTTTCTTCCCCCTGTGAAATGGCTGTTCCCACACCTTGTATTGGGAGGGCGGAGTGACGTGTTGCTAAGCTCAGCGCAGGAGCCTCACTGGGAAAGAACTAAACACAGGAGCACTGTTTTTAGCCAGTACCTGTGTTAGGGGCGTCTCAGCGCACCCCTACTCCCAACCCTGGAGCAAAGCCCTGTCTCTGGGCCCCCAGCACCTAGCCTAGACCAGGAGCAGCCCATGGGGCTCCGTGAATGTTTGAGAAATGAACTAACAAGGCTTTAAGACAGAGTCTAAACTCGAGTTTGGAGGATGGGACTCAAAGGTCTTTGAACCCCTTGAAATTGTTCACAACTTTCGGTGAGCCTGGGTCTTTTCCCCGGGAGAGCACCAGGGGTTTTCAGTGGCTTCTTAAGGTGTCTGTGAGCCACCATGGGTTAACAGCCAGGAAGCTTTGGGGACAGCTGCTCCCCAGAGAGGAAAAGAGCAGGGCCTCTGCCGCCAAACACACCCAGGCTTCAGCTCTCGCACCCTCCATGAAACCTCTCCTGGTGGTGGGGCCCCTTCCTGCCTCCCTGGCCCACTGACAGGCTCTCGAGAACAGGAACTTTTAGGGGATATCCACGTGGGGCCAGGTATATACTGGAGGCTGCAGGTTTGAAATAAGAGGCAGGAGATTATTATAGAATCAGACCAGAGTGACAAGTGCCCAGGAAGATGAGGGAAGGAAGGCGGGAAGAGGAATGTGTAACGCTTGTCAAGCATCAGGTATGAACCTCGCCCATACCTGTTTGGTTATTTGTCTCATGCCTTGAGTTAGGCATGCTTATTATCCCCATTTTACTGATGGGAAAACTATGATGCAGAGAGGTGAAATGACTCCCCCAGGAAATGAAGACACTGGGATTCAAACTCAGGCCCCTCGCCAAAGGCCGGTGCATATTCCTCTCCCTCTCCACGTCTCTCATTTTTGAAGTGGGCCTTTAGGAATAACATTTCAGGCAGGGTGCAGTGGCTCATGCCTGTAATCCCAGCACTTTAGGAGGCCAAGATGGGCAGATTACCTGAGGTCAGGAGTTCAAGACTAGCCTTGCCAACATGGCAAAACCCCATCTCTATTAAAAATATAAAAATTAGCCAGGTGTGGTGGCACATGTCTGTAACCCCAGCTACTCGGGAGGCTGAGGCAGGAGAATCACTTGAACCTGGGAGGTGGAGGTTGCAGTGAGCCGAGATCACGCCACTGCACTCCAGCCTGAGCGACAGAGCAAGACTCCGTCTCAAAAAGAACAGGATTTCAGTAAGTGAAGGGGAAGGGAGAGAGCATTCCCTGCTGACAGAACAGCAGAAGCAAAAGGCATGGGAGCCACACAGTCCAGTGGGTGTTGGAGGACAGATGAACAGCTTGTGGTGGCCAGGGTCTTGGAAGGCCAGGAGAGGAGCTTATGTTCTTTCTTGAGGGAAATGGGGAGCCACTGAAGGTTTTAAAGCAGGGCAAGTGCCACGTCCAGCAATTTTAAAAGCAGAGAAGCTGCTGCCTTGCGTTGCTTTTCTTTCCTGTCAGCCCCTTGAGGAAGGCATGGGGGCCCCCAGCCCTCACATGTCATTCCATGCCCTGTTTTTTTTTTAGGCTCATCCAGTGAGGACTGGAAGGTGGGGGCTTTAGGCCCAGGCATCGGAGTAGACCATGGCCTCCAGCCCATGGGGCTGTGTATGTGGCCTTCTGCTGTTGCTGCTGCCACTCCTGGGGACTGGCCCTGCCCTGGGGAGGGGCTTTCCCAGGCCACTTGAAAACTCCGAAATCCCTATGATCCCTGGAGCCCACCCCAAGGGCTCTGTGGGCTCAGAGCCCCAGGCCTTTGACGTGTTCCCGGAGAACCCCAGAGCTGACAGTCACAGGAACTCTGATGTCCGCCACGCCCCTGCTGAAGAGATGCCTGAGAAGCCTGTAGCCTCTCCCCTTGGCCCAGCCCTGTACGGGCCCAAAGCAGCACAAGGAGCTCAGAGAGAACGACTCCCAGTAACTGATGACCTCCAGATGGCTCAAGGACCAAGCTCCCACGGCTGGACAGGACCTCTGGACTCACAAGAGCTTCTGCAGCAAGAAGCAGTGGCTCCCCACCCAGTGGGCCACCCTCATCTCACTTTCATCCCCACAACTCCCAGACGTCAACTCAGGGTAGCCACAGTTCCTCCCTCCCTGCAGCATGAAGGCCAAGAGGGACAGTGGCCACCTAGAGATGAGGGTCTGAAGGCCAAAACTAAGAGCAGGGTCCCACCCACTTCTCCCTCAGACCACCAGGGCCCACCCCACACCCTTGTTTCCCACTCAGGTACTGTCAAGAGGCCAGTGCTGGAAGGACAGGGTGGGTTTGAGGAACACTTGCAGGAGGCAGCTCAAGGTCCCCACTTCACCCAGCAGGATCCAGCAGCCCCTGATGTTGGCTCAGTACCCCCAGTTGAGGTGGTGTACTCTCAGGAGCCAGGGGCCCAGCCAGACTTGGCATTGGCCAGAAGCCTTCCTCCTGCTGAGGAGCTGCCGGTTGAGACCCCCAAGAGGGCTGGCGCTGAGGTGTCCTGGGAAGTCAGCTCCCCAGGTCCCCCGCCCAAGCAGGCTGACCTTCCTGACGCTAAGGATTCACCAGGACCCCAGCCCACGGATCCACCCGCCTCAGAGGCTCCTGATCGGCCGTCTAAGCCAGGTGGGTATCAATGAGTGTGCTGAGCGATGTTCTGGGGCAGCTGGATGCCTCAATTCTGTTTGACCCTGGGTCCCTCTAGGTCTCATTTTCCTCTTTGTGGCAAATGAGGTTGATTGTGACTCAATCCTGAGGGATTAGGAGGACCATAGGAGGGTCAGGTAAGGTGATGACTGCTTTGTCATTTCAGAGAGAGCAGCAATGAATGGAGCAGACCCCATCTCCCCCCAGCGGGTGAGAGGAGCTGTGGAGGCCCCAGGCACCCCCAAGTCTCTCATCCCTGGTCCCTCAGACCCTGGCCCAGCTGTAAACCGAACAGAGAGCCCCATGGGGGCCCTGCAGCCAGGTGAGAGCATGGCTGGGGTGTGGGGAGAGGGAGTGCTCTGTCTAGTAACTGAGAACCTCTGTTGGGGATGTATGGGGGCGGAGGGTGGGGAATGAATGGAGACAATCACCTCCTTAAAGGAGTTGCCCAGGGCCTCCTTCAAACAACCTAGGATAATAAATTCATACTCACTGGGAAATCTGGGAGAAGTCATTTGCCCTTTTGGGGCTAGAATGTTCTAATATGTAACATGGATATGTTTAGAACAAAAAAAATATATAAAAATTAGTTGGGCGTGGTGGTGCATACCTGTAGTCCCAGCTATTCCGGAGGCTGAGGTGGGAGATCACTTGTCCTGGAGGTCAAGGCTGCAGTAAGCCCACATTGCACCACTGCACACCAGCCTGGATGACAGAGTGAGAACCTGTCAAAAGAAAAAAAGAAAAAAATTCCAATGCCCAAGCCACGTCCCAAGAAATTCTTATTCCTTGGTCTCCAGAAGATTCTAATATGCAGCCCATGTGTCGAACTGCTGGGGTACTACCTCCCTGATAGTAGCATTAATGAAAATGATAGCTGACATCCATTTAGCACTTACTGGGTGTTGGGCACCGGGCTAAACATTTCATCTTCTTCACAACGCAATGAGGCAGGTGCTGTTATCTCCATTTTGCAGATTTGTTTGGAAAAGTTAAATGACTTGCCAACCACACTAGAGGGTGATACAAAATCAAAAGCACTTTTCAAATGGCTATTTTAATATTGTTATAATTGCAGATGAAGCCGAGGAGTGGCCGGGGCGCCCCCAAAGCCATCCCCCAGCACCCCCAGTCCAGGCCCCCTCGACGTCACGCCGGGGCCTCATTCGAGTCACCACGCAGCGAGCCCTGGGCCAGCCTCCCCCTCCGGAGCCCACCGCCAGCTCCATGGCTTCAGCCCCAGCCTCCAGCCCCCCAGCCAACGCCACTGCACCCCCGCTACGCTGGGGCCCCCTTCGGCGGGTCCTGAGCTTCTCCTGGGAGCTGCACGTCTACGGGGTGGGGGTACTCTTTCTGCTGCCCGCGTTGTTGGCGCTGGCTGCGCTGGCAGCCGCCCCAGCAGGGCCCCGGCTGGCATTGGTGGCCGCGGTGCTGGTGCTCGTGGCTTCGGCGCTGCGATCCGCCTACATGCTTACCGACCCTTACGGCTCGCAGGCGCGGCTGGGCGTTCGCGGGGGCCTGGTGCTCTACAACCTGCCCTTCCCCTTGCTGCTTACGGCGCTGGCAGCCCTGACTCTGCTCGGCCTGGGCGCGGGGCTGCCGCCACCGCTGCAAAACCCACTCCTGCTGGGAGCAGTGGCGCTGGTGCATGGTGTAGGGTTGCTCGCGACAGACCTGCTGTCCACATGGTCTGTGCTCAACCTCCTGACGCAGGGCTTGTCGTGCGCCTGGGGCGCGGCCGTGGCTCTGGGCACGCTCTGCCTGTGCCGTCGCCGCCTGCTGGACGGCCCACGGGGCTGGGATGCCAGCCCGGGCCCTCGGCTGTTGGCTGTGGCGGGCGCGCTGGGGCTGCTGGCTAGCGGCTTGCAGCTGGCGGCTGCGCTCTGGCTGTACCCGGGCCCAGGCCGCGTGGGCCGCTTCTCGTGGGCCTGGTGGGGTGTCCACTTCTGGCTGCGCCTCCTGGAGCTGACATGGGCGCTCGCCCTGGCGTTGGCCGCGGTGGCTGCCGCGAGACCCAGGCCGCCCACGGAGCACGCTTGCTGGGCTAAGCTGATGCGTCTGGCGTGCCCGGCGCCGTCAGGAAAGAGCGAGGTGCCGGAGCGACCCAATAACTGCTATGCAGGGCCCAGCAACGTTGGTGCAGGCAGCTTGGACATCAGCAAGAGCCTCATCCGCAACCCGGCGGAGAGTGGGCAGCTGGCCACGCCCAGTTCAGGCGCCTGGGGCTCGGCTGCGTCGTTGGGTCGCGGACCCCAGGGTGGCCCGGGACTGTCCCGCAACGGTGTGGGACCGGCGCCATCGCTGAGCGAGCTGGATCTGCGGCCGCCATCGCCCATCAACCTGAGCCGCAGCATCGACGCCGCGCTCTTCCGCGAGCACCTAGTGCGAGACAGTGTGTTCCAGCGCTGCGGCCTCCGCGGCCTGGCCTCCCCGCCGCCTGGAGGCGCTCTGCGGCCGCGCCGGGGCAGCCATCCCAAAGCCGAGCTCGACGACGCTGGCTCCTCGCTCCTCCGCGGCCGCTGCAGGTCGCTCAGCGACGTGCGCGTGCGCGGGCCGGTCCCACAGCACGTAGTGGAAGCACCCGACGGGGCAGCCGCTGCGGCTTCTGGCAGCTCCCTCGACAGCTTCTCCAGGGGTTCACTCAAGATCAGTTGGAACCCCTGGCGCCACGGGCTGTCATCAGTGGACAGTCTGCCCCTAGATGAGTTGCCCAGCACGGTACAGCTACTGCCTGCCCCGACCCCAGCCCCTGATTCTACCGCCGCTCGGCAGGGGGACGGCCAGGGAGAGGTCCAGCCGCGCGGCAAGCCTGGGGAATCCCGCAGCGCCTCCAGTGATACCATCGAGCTTTGAAGAGCGGTCCTGACGCAGGGCCAGGACCCTGCCCGATGCCCACATGGCATGGCCTACTGGGACAGTTGAGCCTTTAAAAAATGGGCATCCTGGCCAGGCGCGGTGGCTCACGCCAGGAATCCCAGCACTTTGGGAGGCCGAGGTGGGTGGAACACGAGGTCAGGAGTTCGAGATCAGCCTCCTGGTCTCGAACATAGCGAAACCCTCGTCTCTACTAAAAATACAAAAAAATTAGCCAGGTGGCACACGCCTGTAGTCCCAGCTACTCGGGAGGCTGAGGCGGGAGAATTGCTTGAACAGGGAGGCAGAGGTTGCAGTGAGCCGAGACCACGCCATTGCACTCCAGCCTGGGTGACAAGAGTGAGACTCCGTCTCAAAAAAAAAAAAAAAAAAAAAAAAAAAAAAGGCATCCCCAGGCCTCTCTACCTGACGGCAACCCCCGGGGGACAGCCAGGTTTGAACTCACCCCACCCCCATGCCGTTTTTTGCTTTTAATATTTCTATTTTTTTTTCAGCCGGCATTTTGCACAGAGGCCGTGTCTTATGCGGAATACAGGGTGGGTGTGCATGGATTCGGGCATGAAGAACAGGGAGCAGGTGCCCCAGACTCCCCAACGTGGAGTGATGAGCCTCGCTTGTCTAGATTGTCCTCTTTGTGCCAAAGAAATAAACCCTTAGGACTTGGCTCATGCTTCCCTCTGGCCATGCCAGGATCCTGTACTCATAGGAGGAAGGAGAGACTGGAGGCCCTGCCTCCCAGTCATTCTAAGTCCTGTGTATTGGACGGAGAGCAGGACTCCGAGGAAAGGTTGCTTGAGGCTTGGAGGCTCTGGTCATAATGGCGACCACACTTTTATTGAATATCTGTTGTGTACTGTCCAGGTCTTCACATTTGTCACCTCATTTAATTCTCATGTTAAGCCTGAGTGGAAAGCATTATGAAGCCCATTTGAGGAAAGAGAAGAGTGAAGTTCAGAGGCAAAAGTCATCTGTCCAGGGTCCTTTGCCAAATGACAGCTGGCATGGAACCCTCCTAAGGCTGATTCCTCTATCCTCCTTCTCCTAACAGCACTTCAGGGGCAACCTTCTCCTCTATCTTTTCTCCACTCACCATCAAAGAAGCCCTCAATTTCCCAGGATTCTAGGACATTTCCCTAAGGTGGGGGTGGTGGGACAGGTAGTAAGACTGATGCCTTTTAACTTTCCAAGACCTTTCTTTATTTCCTGAGATGAATAAATAAGTGGCAATGGGGTGTGGGGATGTGGTGAACACAGAACAGGAACTGGCAGCATGCAGCTGGCAGGAGGGAGCTGTGATGGCCCCACCCCTGTGAGGACCACCTAATCCTAAGCAGGGGCCAAAGCTCTAGCAGCCACCATTAAGGAAAAACTTTTGAAATTCACACATTGTGAAGCCTGCCAGTCCCCGCCAGGTGAAGAGCTCATGGTATCCACCTTCAGGGCTACTTTTTACCCCAGGGGCCTTGTCTGCCCGGGCCTGGGTACCTGGGCTGCTCTGTAAGGCAGGTAGGGGTGCTTACCCCACTCTCAAAAATAAACCAAGCTGTCCTGAGTGTCCAGCAGGAGGGCAGCCCAAGCTCTGGGGGCAGCGTGGGTGGGAGGAGGTCCTACAGGTGGTGGCCGCGATTATCTGCCCTTGATGAAGCCCTCCAGCACACGGTCACTGCGCTCTGACAACCAGTAGCCAGTCATGGCCGCCACAGCCCCAATGAAGATGGCGGTGAACACCAAGTCGCCCTTAGCAGCCAGCGTGGCCAGTGCACAGATGATGATGCCAAAGAACATCTGCTGCAGCACCACCAACTCGTCTTCTGTCATCTCTGAGAAGAAGCCTGCTGACTCTGCAGAGGAGCAAGAGATGCAGCCTGGCACTCGTATCCCTGTTCCTGGTAGTTCTTGGAGTCTCCCCAGAACTCCCACACACCTGATCATCATGGCCACCAGGCCTGCCCAGCAAGCCAGGCACACTACATTTACTGCTCAAAACCACCCTGCAAGGGGCAGTTACCATCCCTGTCTCACTAAATGGGAAAGTGAGGCTCAGAGAGGTAAAGGGGTTGGACTTGCCAAGGCCATGTGGTGGACAAGTTGGGGGCAGAGCATTTATTACGTGTATGAGTCTCGTTCCACGGTCAGACTGTCTGGATTGGGATCCCAGCTTTGCGACTTGCTTGCCATATAGCCCTGGGAAAGTAGCTTCATCTCTCTGCATCTTCATTTTTACATATGTAGAGTGGGGATGAGAACCCAACTTCCAGCGTCGGGTTGTTTCAGGGGTTAAATCAGTTAAGATGGGGAATGCACCTAGAACAGCATCTGACACAGTAATTGCTGGGGAAATGGTCCCTGCCATCATCGTTGTGATTACCCTGCATCTCACCACACCCCCGGCCTAGGACAGCTCTCAGCAGGCCAGGGCAAACACTGGTCCCATTGGATAGATGAGGAAACAGGTTAAGGAGGCAGACTGATTTGATGCCAGGTCTGATTCCCTTTGTACCCTGGAAGGTATAAGGCTGCTGAGAGCCAACCTGGAGATCAGATGTAGAGCCCGGTCTCAGTGCAGCCTCCAGGGGGCTGGGTGGCAGTAGGGATGGGGCAGGGCCTGGAGCTGCCACTGCTACCTGGGGAAGGGGCTTGCCTGCCTTCTCTTTGAATGAGGACCTCCCCTCTCCCGCCCCAGGGCTCACCTGGGATCTGCTCCTTCACACAGATGCCTTCCATCTGCTTGTAGCCCTCGGCACAGATGCAGCGATAACCGCCCTCGGTGTTTTCACACTGCTTGTTCTCTCCCGGACACACCTCTGTCTCACACTCATCCACATCTTGAGGGGAGGGAGGGGTCAGAGTCCTGCTAGGGCCCCCCACCCAGCACCCTGACTCCATCTTGTCCATCTCTCAACACTCCCCTCTGCCCTTGCCCAGGCAACATTCCACCCTTCCTTCCCCCACCTGCCCATATTCCAGCCTCTTCACCATTCATGCTGGGTGAGGCACTCCCAGGTGCCTGTGTCCCATCAGCAGGAGACTCACCGAGACACTTGGAGCCCACCTGCTGATAGCCAGGGCTACACTTCTTACAGCGACCTGGCCCTGCCCCCATGCAGCCTAGGCAGGCCTTGGCACAGTCTGGAGAGAGGAGAGAAAGATGAGGGTGAGATGTGCACCTAGGCCCAGGGGAGCCACGCTCCAGAAGCGGAGGCCTGGGGGTGCTCTGAAGCCTGAGAAGGGGAAGGTTTGGAGGGACAGGTGTGGAGCAGCTCTTCCTCCACTCCTCACGTCCCCTCCTCTGCAGAAGTAGACACTGACCTCGGCACTCATAGGAGCCCTCAGTGTTCACGCAGAATTGGTCAGCTCCACAGTTGGCTCCCTCTGTGCCACACTCATCAATGTCTGCAGAGAGGTGAGCAGGGTGAGAATTTCAATCCCTATTTAGTAGGGAAGCTGAAGCCAGAGCCGTTGGGGAATGGTCTTGCCTGGGATTAAATGGTATGGCAGAGACTGCAAGCTGTCTACCAACACAGAAGCAGACTAGCTGGACTTCAGGCTGCCCAGCCAGAGACCACATTTGCCAACCTGTCTTGAAGCTAAGTGTGTCCCTGTGATTGAGTTCTGGCCAACAGGATGTAAACAGGAGTGATGAGCTCCACCGTTAGCTTGGTCTTAAAACAATGCTTGGACTCCTCAATGCACTTTCTTTCCCTTCTCCCTTCCTGAGTGCTGGCATGTGGGACACAGAGATGCCCAGGACTCAGCTTCAACCATGCAGACAACGCCCAAGGGGATGATTGTGCAGTAAGTTACAGGAATAATCTGGGTACTGGAATGATTATGACTAGCAGAGCTCCCCTGCCAGCCTGGACTACTCACTTTGGGACTGTAATATGATAAAAAAAAATAAACCTCTACCCTCTAGATTCTTTTTTTTTTTTTTGAGATGGAGTTTCGCTCTTGTCACCCAGGCTAGAGTGCAATGGTGTGATCTTGGCTCACTGCAACCTCTGCCTCCTGGATTCAAGCGACTCTCCTGCCTCTGCCTCCCGAGTAGCTGGGATTACAGGCACCTGCCACCATGCCTGGCTAAATTTTTGTATTTTTAGTACAGACAGGGTTTTGCCATGTTGGCCAGGCTGGTCTCGAACTCCTGACCTCAGGTGATCCACCCCACTTCAGCCTCTCAAAGTGCTGGGATTAGAGGCGTGAGTGAGCTACCACACCCAGCCAACCTCTATACTCTTTAAGCCACAGTCTTTTGGGGATTTTTGTTACAGCAGCTTAGCCTTTACTTTAGTCTATATAAGTGGCTAGGCTGGGACCAAACCAAGTCTTGAACCCAGGTTTCCTGACCCCAAGTTCAGTGTCCTCATTCTCCTAGCCAACCCTTCCTCATTTTTTTTTTTTTTTTTTTTTTTTTTTGAGATGGAGTCTCCCTCTGTTGCCCAGACTGGAGTGCAGTGGTGCGATCTCGGCTCACTGCAAGCTCCGCCTCCCAGGTTCATGCCCTTCTCCTGCCTCAGCCTCCTGAGTAGCTGGGACTACAGGCACCCGCCACCACGCCCAGCTAATTTTTTGTATTTTTAGTTGAGACAGGGTTTCACCATGTTAGCCAGGATGGTCTCGATCTCCTGATCTCATGATCTGCCCGCCTTGGCCTCCCAAAGTGCTGGGATTACAGGCGTGAGCCACCGCGCCCAGCCCCTTCCTCAATTTTTAGGACTTGGCCAAAGTAACGCCTCCTCCAAGAAGCCTTTCCTGATTCCCCATCACCACTTCCACTGAACTAGATCAGAGGCATCTCTCACTGTACACAGGGACTATACTACACAGTACCTGTGTACTGGACTGTAAGTATCTGGTTACTTTTCTGCCTTCCCAGCCAGGTTGAGATCTCCATGAAGGTGGAGACTAGGCTAGTCTAGCCCAGGCTTGTGTTGAGAGAATAAAGGACCAAGCCCAGGCCCCTGACCATCTTCCCAGACCTAGCTAGGGCCCCACTTACCTACACACTTGAGGTGATGCAGGGCCCAGCCCTTCTTGCATTGCAAACAGTTTGATTCCTCAGGTCCTGAGCATCGGGCACAGGGGCCAAAACAAGCTGGGTGGAATGGGGGCAGCATGAGGATGGGCAGGCAGGTGCCCCATCTGCCCCTGCCCAGTGCCACACCTTTTGGCTACCTACCCGAACATACCAGATGGCTGGCGTTGCGTTCTGCCTCAAAGTAGCCAAGGCCACACTGGCCACAGGCCTCACCCCCGTAGCCGGCTTGGCAGTCACAGTGCCCGCTGCCCCCTCGTGTCCCTTCTCCTTCACACTGCCCGTAGCCACCGCAGGGCCTCTCTGTTCCCCCAGGACAGGCTGTGGGAAGACACCAAACCAGGTGAGGTCATCTATACAACCTTGATATACAAGATAATATTTTCTCCCTCTCCCTCTCCCTCTCCCTTGCCTTCCCTCCCTCCCCCCCTCCCCTCCCCCTCCCCCTTTCCCTCTCCCTCTCCCCATGGCCTCCCTCTCCCTCTCCCCATGGTCTCCCTCTCCCTCTCTTTACACGGTCTCCCTCTGATGCCAAGCTGAAGCTGGACTGTACTGCTGCCATCTCGGCTCACTGCAACCTCCCTGCCTGATTCTCCTGCCTCAACCTGCCGAGTGCCTGCGATTGCAGGCGCGCGCCACCACGCCTGACTGGTTTTCGTATTTTTTTGGTGGAGACGGGGTTTCGCTGTGTTGGCCGGGCCGGTCTCCAGCTCCTAAACGCGAGTGATCCGCCAGCCTCGGCCTCCCGAGGTGCCGGGATTGCAGACGGAGTCTCGTTCACTCAGTGCTCAATGGTGCCCAGGCTGGAGTGCAGTGGCGTGATCTCGGCTCGCTACAACCTCCACCTCCCAGCCGCCTGCCTTGGCCTCCCAAAGTGCCGAGATTGCAGCCTCTGCCCGGCCACCACCCCGTCTGGGAAGTGAGGAGCGTCTCTGCCTGGCGGCCCATCGTCTGGGATATGAGGAGCCTCTCTGCCAGGCTGCCCAGTCTGGAAAGTGAGGAGCGTCTCTGCCCGGCCGCCATCCCATCTAGGAAGTGAGGAGCGTCTCTGCCCGGCCGCGACCCCGTCTGGGAGGTGAGGAGCGTCTCTGCCCGGCCGCCCTGTCTGAGAAGTGAGGAGCCCCTCCGCCCGGCAGCCGCCCCGTCTGGGAAGTGAGAAGTGTCTCCGCCGGGCAGCCAGCCCGTCCGGGAGGGAGGTGAGGGGGTCAGCCCCCCGCCCGGCCAGCCGCCCCGTCCGGGAGGTGAGGGGCGCCTCTGCCCGGCTGCCCCTACTGGGAAGTGAGGAGCCCCTCTGCCCGGCCACCACCCCGTCTGGGAGGTGTACCCAACAGCTCATTGAGAACGGGCCAGGATGACAATGGCGGTTTTGTGGAATAGAAAAGGGGGAAAGGTGGGGAAAACACTGAGAAATCGGATGGTTGCTGTGTCTGTGTAGAAAGAAGTAGACACGGGAGACTTTTCATTTTGTTCTGTACTAAGAAAAATTCTTCTGCCTTGGGATCCTGTTGATCTATGACCTTATCCCCAACCCTGTGCTCTCTGAAACATGTGCTGTGTCCACTCAGGGTTAAATGGATTAAGGGCGGTGCAAGATGTGCTTTGTTAAACAGATGCTTGAAGGCAGCATGCTGGTTGAGAGTCATCACCACTCCTTGATCTCAAGTACCCAGGGACACAAACACTGCGGAAGGCCGCAGGGTCCTCTGCCTAGGAAAACCAGAGACCTTTGTTCACTTGTTTATCTGCTGACCTTCCCTCCACTATTGTCCTATGACCCTGCCAAATCCCCCTCTGGGAGAAACACCCAAGAATGATCAATAAAAAAGACAAAAAAACAAAAAAAACAAGATAATATTTTCTGCTCTGCATATCAGTAAACATTTTTGGAGAAGAAAATTAATTTTAATGACATAATATTTTGTCATAAAACTGACATTTACTTAACCAATTTCCTCTTGTGGAACAATTAGATTTTACAGACCTTTTATTTATTTATTTATTTATTTATTTATTTATTTATTTATTTATTTTTAGTGACAGGGTCTCGCTCTGTTTCCCAGGCAATGACATGATCATAGCTCACTGCAGCTTCGAACTCCTGGGCTCAAGCAATCCTCCCACCTCAGCCTAGGGGAACAACAGGCTGCACTACCATGCCCCACTATTTTTTTTTTAAGAGACAGGGTCTTGCTCTACTACCCAGGCTGGTCTCTCAAACTCCTGGCCTCAAGTGATCCTCCTGCCTCAGCCTCCCAAAGTGCTGGGTTTACAGGTACGAGCCACTGGACCAAATATTTTCTTTTTTTTTTTTGAGACAGAGTCTCGCTCTGTCGCCCAGGCTGGAGTGCAGTGGCATGATCTCGGCTCACTGCAAGCTCCGCCTGCCGGGTTCATGCCATTCTTCTGCCTCAGCCTCCAGAGTAGCTGGGACTAGAGGCGCCCGCCACCATGCCCGGCTAATTTTTTGTATTTTTTAGTAGAGACGGTGTTTCACCATGATAGCCACGATGGTCTCGATCTCCTGACCTCATGATCCACCCACCGCAGCCTCCCAAAGTGTTGGGATTACAGGTGTGAGCCACCGCGCCCAGCCAATATTTTCTTTTACAAAGACTGAATTTGCCATCTTTGTAGCTAGCTCTTTATCTGTAGCTTCAGGAAAGACTGCTCTAAAAGAGGCTGGTAGTAAGTTCAGCTCTTGTGCCAGGACTGTGTGTGAGGATGGATGGCGATCATGGAGGCTCCAGGTCAGCACCCGCCCCTCCCCAGGAAGGTACCATAGTCCGATCTGGCATGGGAAATGAAGGGGCTGGGAAGTCTATCATTTCTTTAGTACATGATGATAACTATACTGCATATGACTCAGTCTAGCCCCTGTGCTTTCTCCAAGCCTTTCCCCACTGATTTGCCCATCTCCCCAGCCCTGTCAGGCAGGCAAGAACTGAGGTCCAGAGAAGTTTATCTGAGTAGCCTGAGTTCACACAGCGAACTAGGGACAGAGCCAGGACTGGATCCCTGGACTCGGTGGTCCCCTCCCATCCCCAAGAGCAACTTAAAAACTCACGAAGGCAGGAGGGCCCGAAGGTGCCTGCGGGGCAGCAGAGCTTCAGGGAATCTGAGCACAGCCACTGGAAGAGGTCCGGGGCCTCCTGCTGCCTGAGGCAGGGGCAGGGTGGAGGGAGGTGGGGAGGAGGTGCTGAGATAGTGTCATAAGTGCTGTTCCCATTCCCCCATGCCTGAATCTGTGATTCAACCCAGCTTGGACATAAGACCCAAAAGGCCATCTGACCAATGCCCTTTCCCCATTTGGCAGAAGGGTAAACTGAGGCTCAAAGTGGAGCGCAAGTCCCCCGGCAAGTTCTTAGCAGACCTGGGTTTGGAAGGAGCACAACCAGGACATGGGCCCCAGCATGCACCCCCCTGCTTCTCGGCCAAATCAGGCCTTATCACCAGGCCTCACCTGTGACCCACTTCCAGGGAAGGCCCTTTGCCACTCACTTGTGAAACCACCAGCTCTCCACCAGCTCCTCACTCAGCTCCAGCAGGCGGTGGCACTCGAAGTCTGACTTGCTGCACACACCCTCCAGCACCTCTACCAGGCGGGTCTCACTGATCGGACAGGGCAGGGCTGGTGGGAAACATGCCCCACCCCACCCACCACCCTCCTCAAGTCTCTCTCCACCCTTCCTCGTGCGGTGAAAATATCAAAGGAGAGGCCATGAGGTATAATGGAAGGGGTCATGGTTCTGGGAAGCAGAGAGACCTGGGTTCAAATCTAGTGGTAGATCTAGTGGGCAAGTCACTTAACCTCTCTGAACCTCTTTGTTTTGTCATCTGTAAAATGGGGATGACAATACCTTCCCTGCAGGTTTGTTGTAACATACATCAGTTCCTGCATCTGAGCAATGGAATATAATACCCTTGCTGGGTAGATATGGCTAAAAATACATCCTATAACAAGTGTTGGCAGGGATGTGGAGAAATTAGAATCCTCCCACACTGCAGGTGGGAATACAAAATGGCATCACCACTGTGGAAAAGCAGTTCCTCAATAAGTAAAACATGGAATTGCCATAGGACCTGCCAATTCCACTACTGGATATAGACCCAAAAGAATGGAAAACAGGTGTTCAAACGAAAACTTGTAGACAATGTTCATAGCAGCACTATTCACAACAGCCAAAAGGTAGAAACAATGCAGATGTCCATCAACTGATGCATGGTTAAACAAAATGTGGTACAGCCAAATGAGAATATTATTCAGCCATAAAAAGGAATAAGTATTGATATATGCTACGGTATGGGTGAACCTTGAAAACATTATGCTAAGTGAAACTAGCCAGACACAAAAGGCCACATATTTTATGATTCCAATGAAATCAGCAAATCCATAATTTCTGCTTGACTAACACAAATTAGTGATTGCCAAGAGCCGAGGGAAGGGGAGAATAGGGAGTGGCTGTGTAATAGGTATAGGATTTTTTGGGGGGGTAATGAAAATGTTCTGGAACTACATAGTGGTGATGGTTACACAACATTGTAAATATTATTAAATGTCTTTAATGGGAAATTTTTTATGTGTATTTTACCACAAATATATACATATATATATATATATACGCATATATATACGCACATATATATACGCAGACATATATGCACATATATATACACACACATATATATATACACACACACATATATATACACACATATATAAATATTTGATGTCTTATATCCTGTATTTAAAGGGTCTGGCACAGTGCCTGGCATATAGGAGGTGATTTAAAAAAGCAAGCAACGCAGGAGCCATTACAAAGCTGGAAGTGCCTCTGGGGTTGTCTTAGCCAATCCCCTCATTCCTGAATGAGGAAACTCAGGCCCGGCGAAGGAAAAGAGAAAATGACCAATGTTACATAATAACAAAACCTTTATTTCTAGTGGGCATCCCAGTTAAGCCTTTTCCACACTTCTATGAAATAGGCAAACCAGGTATTAATATCCCCATTTTACAGGTGAAGAAACTGTGGCTCTGAGAGGTTAAGAACCGACAACCAGGTCTAACTCTGAGCCTTTGCTGACTCCTCTTCCATCTGACTTTGAAAAGCTGGAGGGCTCAGGGCTCGCCTTTCTGTATCCTTCCCATGCCTTTCTTTACATACTGACTATATAAATGGCTTTCTGTATTACATATATTGACTATATAATGGCTTTCTGTATCCTTCCCATGGCTTTCTTTACATACTGACTATATAATGACAACTCTCAAATTCCTGTTTCCAATTCCTACTCTTTTCTGAATTCCAGATTTGTATGGAGTCTACCTGGATGTCTAATGGACATTTCAGCCCAATACGTTCAAAGAACACCACATCCCACCCCTCCCCTAAACCTTCTCGGTTTCGCATCTCACCATCTTAGAAAACAGCTGCACTACTCACCCAGTTGCTCAGGCCCAAAATCTAGTAAGCATCTTTTATTCTACTGTTTCTCTATACCCATAATGAATCTATCACCAGGTCCTATTGTTCTCTCTGCAAAATATACCCAGACTGTGACCTCTTCATCATGTCCTCCACTAGATACCACACTAGCTTGTGTTGCCTTTGTACCTAGATGATGCACTTGCCTCCCAAACTGGTCTCCCTGCTTCCTCCGCCCTTGCCCCTTACAATCCGTTTGCTACATAGCAGTGTGAGTAATCTTTAAAGGTGTAGAGAAGACAGTATCACTTTTTCTGCTCATAGCCTTCCAAGAGCTTCCCATTACACTCCAAAAAAAATCTAAACTCTTTTCTGTAGCCCTCGAGGCTTAAGCCTTTGCCTTCACCTTCTAGCACTCTCCCCTTGGCTCACTCCACTCCAGCCACTTCTCAAATACACCAAGCTCAGTCCCATCCTCTGCCCAATTCCCTCCCTGTCACATAGCTCGCTTCTTCACTTCCTGTCTCTCTGTTCAAATGCCAAACCTTGAACACCTTGCCTCCCACCGTCCTGCAGTCTACCGTGCTTCACTGTTTGTTCTTCATCTGACATAATATTATTCACTTACTCATTCACTGCTTGTCTTCTCTACTAGAATGTGAGCTCCAGGAAGGGGGCATTTTGCTTGCCTTGTTTACTGCTATACTATAGATGTTCAGTGCTATTTGTTGAATGAATAAGTGCTCCCCAAGAGTTCCTAGCCCTACACCAGCAGAGCAGAGATTTGGCGGGGAGGGGAATATACACCCCTTCCCCCAGCAGCCCCTTACCTGTCTTTGTATTTGGACAAATTCTCTTCCTCCCAGGCAGTGTTTCCACCTCCAAAGTTGTCCCGGATGGTTCTCTCCAGGCCCTGGAAACAGAAAATTAGTAATAGCTAAGTACAGTGCCTGGCACATGCTAGCACTTCACTGTTCTACTGACTAGGAAACTGAGGCACAGAAAGGCAACCTGCCTAGGGCCATACAACTAGTAAGAGACCAAGATGAAACTTAAATCCACGCAGATTTGCATCCCAGAGTTCCCCACTCTAAATCGCTGTGTTCCCCTCTAACGAGGCTGCCGGTGCACCCACCTTGTTAAAGCTGTCAACCAGTCCCCGGCAGGTATGACACGGATGGGGCTGAGGCGGGGGAGAAGACTGGGGAGGTGGAGAGGGCTGGAGCCAGATAGGTCCTGGGAGGTTGAGGAAGAGGCTGAGGCCCCAGAGCATAGCTGGGACTAGGCCCTTCGGGGGCCATGGGGCCATCTTTACCCAGGCTGGGGACCTGCAGATAGAGGGCGTGGAGAGGCTTCACTGAAGGAGTCAGGCCCCACGCGAGAAAGAAAAAGGTCTGTTCTAAGGTGCCGTGGCGCTGGGATCTGCGTTATTACAAGCAAAAGAGGCCAAACTGGGTATTGCAGGGGCTGTGGGGATGGGTGGGGAAAGGCGCATAAGATGCAATTCCAGAAGAGAAATAAGTTATCCTCGCTAGCATGGGGTGGAGAGGAAAGTGGCCTCGCTCCTTGACAAGGGGGCAGAAGTCAGCCTCTTGTCTGAGGGTCTGATAAAGAATATTAGGGGCCGGATCCGCAGAATTAGGGAGAAGAGATCAGATTCCAAGTACTGAAGGAGAGGAGGCCAGAGGGGTTGTCTTGGGGGAGGTGTCCGGAACCCCGGGCTTGGAGGGAGGAGCCCGGATCCGGATATGAAGGGAAGGGATCAGATTCAGGGCCTCGCAGAAGGGCAAAGGCACGGCCCACGAGCCGGCAGAGAAGGATCCAGACCCTCGTAGGCCACGGAGAAGGAAGAAGCGACCGCCCCAGCCCGCGGGCGCCGTGGGCCGTCTCCTCACCGCGTCGCTGCCACAGCCTGCGTAAAACGCACAACCCCCACCCGCGCCGCAGTCCAGGGGGCGGAGCTTGCCGCCCAGCCAATGGCGACGGGCCATGTGCCATTACGTCACCCCACGCCAGCCAACCAGAGGCGGCACCGAGCTGCACCTGTCCGGGCTTTAAAGGGCCGCGGGGCTAGGGAATGACGTTTGCCAGCCCCGCCACTGAAACGGAGACGCGTGTGGGCCACATGGGTAGAAAAACAGCGTCTGCCTTTATTTAAGTCCCGTCCCCCGCCCCAGGTCCCGCGCCTGGTCCCACCCCGCGTCCCGGCGCGGGAGTCCCCGGGGGATGGAAGTAGCTATCCAGGGCTGGCTGAAGGGCCCGGGACACTTGCTCCGCTCTCTCTTGGAGCCGCCCGGAACGCGGGGCGCGAGGCTGCTGCAGGGCCCCCAGGAAGTCTGGCAGTTGGGAGGGCAGTGTGAAGACGGGCACGGTGCGGAAAAGGGCGGGTACGGCGTCCGGGTGGAGCAGCCTGTCGAAGCAGGCCCCCACGTAGCTGCCGGGCGCCCGGCCCTGCAAGAAGTCGGGCAGCACGCAGCTGAGCGAGGCGCGGAAGGCGTCGTGCGGGCCGTGCGCCCCGGGCCCGGACACCCCATCCTGTAGCCACTCGCTGCACAGCGCCACCGCACCGGGAGAGAAGAGCAAGACCACCACGCCGCCCTCCTGCAGGGTCTGGCGCCGCTGCGCGTGAAACCAAGCCACGGGCCCCTGCGCGCTCAGTTCACGACGGCTCCACAGGTCTACGGCCACGCGCAGCGGCAGCTGGCACAGGGCCGACGCCAGGGCGCCCACCAGGCGCTCGAAACCCGAGTCATCGGCTGAGTAGAGGAGCAGAGCCGCGCGGCCCCTGGCGGCCGCTGCCGGAGAAAACAGATGGGGAGGGAAGAGGTGAGCTGGCACAGGCCTGGCTCCCCGGGGGCGGCCCTCCGCCCAGCGCTTGCTCCCACTCACCCCCCGAGCGGACGTCCTGTTTCAAGAGCCTCAGCCACCCTGTTAGGGGAGAGGGGCGGAGGCAGCCAGTGAGCTCGGCCGCCGCTTTCCCTCGGAGAACTCCCACAGCCACTCTGGTCCTCCCCCAGGGGAATGGGGAGCCGGGAAGCGCTCACCTTTCGCGTGATCCTTTTTGAGAAGGAGGATGAGGGAAAGCGCAGCGGCAAAGAGTAGGCAGGCCAGCCACACGAGGGCCCAGCGCTTGTGGATGTCTGGGAGACCCAGAGAAGAAGAGTTAGAAACTTACCCTCCACAGAGAAGAAAAACTGAGACTTAACAGAAATGAATTGGGCCGGGTGCGGTGGCTCATGCCTTTATATAATCCCAGCACTTCGGGAGGCCGAGGCGGGCAGATCACGAGGTCAGGACATCAAGACCATCCTGGCTAACACGGTGAAACCCCGTCTCTACTAAAAATACAAAAAATTAGCCGGGCGTGGTGGCACACGCCTGTAATCCCAGCTACTCGGGAGGCTGAGGCAAGAGAATCGCTTGAACTCGGGAGGCAGAGGTTGCAGTGAGCCGAGATCGCGCCATTGCACTCCAGCCTGGGCGACAGGGTGAGACTCCTCTCAAAACAAAACAAAACAAAACAAAAAACGAAGAAATGATTTGCCCAGAGTCCACAGCACAGTGTCAGAGCCAGTGGATGAATATAGCTCCATCTGTTTAGGGGTCTTTGAATAAGTAATGTCACCCTCTGCCTCAGTTTTCTCCTCTGTAAAGTTGTACCTGTGTCATAGGGTTGGTGTGAGGACTAAATATATTAATACATATAAAGCTTAACACAATGTGTTAATACATACTTAACACAATGCCGAGCATCTTAAGTGCTAAAATGTCAGCTGTTTTTCTCCCCTAAGCTAGGGTTGCTGGGCCCTTGATCTTGCTGTCCTGGGTGTCTGCAACTACCTGGTGTCCCTGCCCTGTCTTTTTTTTTTTTTTTTTACCTCCAATTGATTTGCCTTGAATTGATTCATGACAGCCTCAGAGATCTTTTAAAAATATAAATTTGGGCCAGGTGCGGTGACTCACGACTATAATCCCAGCACTTTGGGAGGCCGACGCGGGCGGATCACGAGGTCAGGAGTTCAAGACCAGCCTGGCCAAGATGGTGAAACCCCATCTCTACTAAAAATACAAAAATTAGCAGGGCATGGTGGCAGGCGCCTATTAATCCCAGCTACCCGGGAGGCTGAGGTAGAGAATTGCTTGAACCCGGGAGGCAGAGGTTGCAGTTAGCCGAGATCGCGCCATTGCACTCCAGCCTGGGCAACAGAGTGAGACTCTGCCTCAAAAATAAATAAAAAAATAAGTATATATATATATATATATATATATATATATATGTGTGTGTGTGTGTGTGAAATATATAAAAATTTGATCGTAGCTCCTGCTGCTCTCAACATAAGATCCAAATCCCCTACATGTCTCCTGCATCTTTATCTCATGACAGAAACCTGCCTGTCCAAGACCCTGTATCTCTACCCCCTTCCCCTAGCTCAGTCTTCAGAGTTTTGCTGGAACC
This sequence comes from Homo sapiens, assembly GCF_000001405.40. Taxonomy (NCBI): domain Eukaryota; kingdom Metazoa; phylum Chordata; class Mammalia; order Primates; family Hominidae; genus Homo; species Homo sapiens. The sequence goes on along the minus strand of NC_000003.12, from coordinate 9,931,291 downwards.
TTCCCCCTGAGCCCCTCACCCCTCACCCCACCCAGGTCAGGTCCACATTGTATGCATTTACAGCACTGAACACTTGGTGGTGCTTCAGTAGCTCCCACTTTAAATGTAAGTGACTGGCTCATGTCTTGCTAGTCTTCTAGGGGTGGGGCGGGGGCAAGGATTTATATTTTTGGTGTTCCTGCGATCCCTGCAAGCTCTCATCATTTTTTGAGTGAATGAAGGAATGACCCTCTGTTTATCTGATCTCAGGGAAGGACAAGGCCATTGCATGTGCTGTGCCCAAGAGTGGTCCCTGTCAAGATCCCCACTCCTGGTACAGAAAGGAAAGGCAGTTCTTACAATACTCACATTTGTCCATGGGGCAGGCCCATAGCGCTCCCAAGTCATCGTCCCATAGCTGTAAGATACAAACAGAACCAAATCCAGGGCACCAGCCAGGTGTTCCAATATTCACCAAGCTCTGGTGGCCTGATCTCCAAATTCCCAGCATCAACTATGCATATCTCCCGGCTAAGGTTCCTGCAGCTGCTCTGCCTTTGTGCTGTGCCCACTGACTAGGGTATGACTTCTTCCATACCAAATCTGGCTTATAGGAAGAAATTCTTCCCGGAAGCTCTCCCTGGAACCCAAAACTTAGCACCTGTAGGTGTGGTTATCTGTTTATGGGTGTCTAGCCAACAGTGTGCTCCTTGGGGATAGGAACTGTGCTTCTTCTACTCTTAACTTTCCCAGGGCTGAACATAAAATAAGCCTAAATAGACAGTAGGTGAGTGCTAGTTTTAGGCCTGTTGCCCCTAGGCATTGAGGTGGGGCCCTTCTTCCACCAGCTCACCTGCAGACACTGGCCTGACTGCAGGTCTTGTAGTAAGTACTCTCCAAGGCGAGCTGCCCTCTGCCAAGCCAAAGGATGGGGGCACTGTTACCTGGAGGTAGCACCCTTAGGGCAGCACCTACCAGGCTACAGCTGGGTAGAATGAGGTAGAGGGGACTGGGAGACTTTGGTGATGCCGCTGAATATGGCCCTGGTCTGAGTCACCCCCCATGTTCCCAGAGACCGGCACAGGGTGGATGGAGTGAAAATTTGAGGCCAGATGTGAGATGCATTTGGAGAGATCTGTGGAGGAGGGTCGCCCAGTCCTAACCGTGGAGGCTTTGCTGGGTAGTGAAGTACAGCCACTGGGTTCCAAGGCACAGAGGGATCTGTTGTCCTGGGGGCCTCGTGTCTCCAACAGTAGCACATCGTCTTTGAGAGGCCCCAGGGAGTCTGGAAGGGGTGAGAGGCCACTCTGACCAAGACCCATCCTTGCTGGGATTGGCCACTTGCCTGCCTCCCATGCCCTGACCTTCACCCCTAGGAGGTGGCCCTGCCCCAGCTGCCCCCAGGCCCAACTCACCAGCCCACAAGCACTCCTGCAGCTGCAGCTTCTCCGAGCTGTTCACCTGCTGGGAAGAGACCATGGTTAGGGCCACTAAGAAAAGCAAAAGCCAAAGGCAGAAAGACCAGAATGGGGCAGGCAACAGAAGGCCTGTTGGGTTGGGAATCTGCACTCAATCTGACCTGAGGCAGATGTGGATTCAAGGCTGGGTGATTAGGAATCACTACATCTTTCTCTGCCCCAGCCTTGTGAGATCATCTGTATAAAGCGTCTTCTGACCCTAAAGCTGTTTTTATGTCTTACGGAGCATGGTTCCCCTCTCATCTAACCTTCTCAAAGAGATTCCTTTCTCACATGACCACCCTGCTAAAAATTGCAACCCCAGTCCCACCTTATCCCTTTCCCATGGTATTTGTATGCAATTTTAAGATACTATATGATTTATTTACAATGTCTGTTGCCTGCCTTTCTCCATTACAATATAAGTTCTATGAGGGTAGAGATGTTAGGGTCTATCACAAGTGCCTAAAACAGTGACTTGTGCTGCTCAAAAAATCTTGAATGAGTGAATTTTTTTTTTTTTTGAGACGGAGTTTCACTCTGTCGCCCAGTCTCACTCTGTCACCCAGGCTGGAGTGCAGTGGCGCCCTCTCAGCTCACTGCAAGCTCAGCCTCCCAGGTTCACGCCATTCTCCTGCCCCAGCCTTCCTAGTAGCTGGGACTACAGGTGCCCACCACCACGACCGGCTAATTTTTTGTATTTTTAGTAGAGATGGGGTTTCACCATGTTAGCCAGGATGGTCTTGATGTCCTGACCTCGTGATCTGCCCGCCTCGGCCTCCCAAAGTGCTGGGATTACAGGCGTGAGCCACCGCGCCTGGCCGGATGAGTGAATGTTCTTATAATCACCCTTTGAAACTGTAGAGCAACCCATTCTACAGGTATGGAAATAGAATAAGGATAGCAATAATAAAAGTGGCTACATTTATGGAGCATTTAGTCTGTACCGATTCCTAAGGGGAAGCACTTCTCTTATTTCATTGTCACAACCACTCCATGAGGTAGTTACTGTATTATCATCTGCATTAAACAGATGAGGAAACTGACGTTCAGAGAGGTGAAGTGAGTTGCCCAGGGTCCCGCGCACTACTAAAGTAGGCAGTGGAACTCCCATAGAGGAAGCTGGCAACCACTATGCTTTAGCGGCCCAAGAACTAAGACCCCCTTGGCTGGGGGGTCTGCCCAGGTCCAGCCTCCAGCCCAGCACTATGCACCCCTTTCTGACCTGAACACAGAGGTTAGGGTGGCCTTTCAGCAATGGGAACTCGAGAACCTTCTGTGGAAAGAGAGGAATGGGTGGGATCACAAAAGGGGACCCCCGGTTCCCCACTCTCCCCTCACCACGGGAGGTGCCCTCTGCTTCACTTACGTCCACAGTGACGTTCTCCCAGGAAAGCGGTGGGACCAGTGGCTGGCAGGGGTCCCCACCCGGAGCCCGCCAGCACAGTGCCGCTTCTGCGGGCAGCGAGCACGGTGCGTCCAGCAGCCAGCTCTGCAGGGTCAGCAGTTGCAGTCGGGCGGCTTGCCAGAGGTTCTGGTGTGCGCGGGGGTCTGCAAGGAAAGGGCACAGTCACCGCAGGCCAGGTACCCATCGCTCGCAACACCCCAACCCCAGCCCCAGGCCGGTCGGCTCACCCTCCCTGAAGGGGCAGATGTTCGTCCTAACGGAGTCAGGTTCCAGAGGCCACACCTGGAAAGGAAATGGGGGTCTGCTCAGGTCCCCTCCATGGGCATGTGCCTGGCCCTCTGCTGGACAGTGGGGATGCACTCATTCAGCAGGTATTTCACAAACACTTGCTGGGTCTTCCTGCCTTTTACAAAACCTGGAGGTGCTCACATCTATTCTTCCAGCAAACATAATGCTGGGCACTGGCAACATCTTCATTAACAAACTTTTTTTTTTTTTTGAGATAGAGTCTCGCTCTGTCGCCCAGGCTGGAGTGCAGTGGTGCAATCTTGGCTCACTACAACCTCCACCTCCCAGGTTCAAGCGATTCTCCCATCTCAGTCTCCTGAGGAGCTGCGATTACAGGAACATGCCACAACGGCCGGCTAACTGGTTAATTTTTGTATTTTTAGTAGAGATGGGGTTTCACCACATTGATCAGGCTGGTCTCGAACTCCTGACCTCAAGTGATCCACCCGTCTCAGCCTCCCAAAGTGTTGGGATTACAAGCGTGAGCCACCGCGCCTGGCCCATTCAACAGACTTTTAATGAGTGCCTACCATTGTGTCTTAGCAGTATGGCAAGCACAAGAGACCTTGGATAATTAAATTTTTATTATTTTTTTATTTTTTGAGATGGAATCTCACTCTGTTGCCCAGGCTGGAGTGCAGTGGTGTGATCTCAGCTCACCACAACCTCCGCCTCCTGGGTTCAAGTGATTCTCCTGCCTCAGCTTCCCAAGTAGCAGGGACTACAGGCGCACATCACCATGCCTGGCTAATTTTTGTACTTTTAGTAGAGACTGGGTTTCACTATGTTAGGCCAGGCTGGTCTCAAACTCCTGACCTCGTGATCCACCCACCTTGGCCTCCCAAAGTGCTGGGATTACAGGTGTGAGCCACTGTGCCTGGTGGATAATTAATTTTAATTCATTCCACAATCACTTGTGTAAGCACCTGCTATGTGTTGGGGAATGTGCTAAGTTCTAAGGACACATTCATTTATTCTTTCAACAGACATTTCAAGAGTGCCTATTATGTGCATAGCTCTATGCTAAGCACTAGAGGTAATACATTAATTTATCCATCAAGCCTTTAGTTAGGAACACCGACTATGTGGCAGGCACTGTGTTTGGCAATGAAGCCATTTAAATCACAGCATACATCTCATGAACATCTGCTGTGTCCTATGGCTGTGTTAGGCAGTAACATTTATTCACTCATTCAACAGTGAGGACCTCATACTGTTACCTTGTTTAAAAACAAAACAAGGCTGGGCGCGGTGGCTCACCCCTGTAATCCCAGCACTTTGGGAGGCCAAGGTGGGCGGATCACGAGGTCAAGAGATCGAGACCATCTGGCCAACATGCTGAAACCCCGTCTCTACTGAAAATACAAAAATTAGCCGGGCATGGTGGCATGCACTTGTAGTCCCAGCTACTTGGGAGGCTGAGGCAGAAGAATTGCTTGAATCCAGGAGGCAGAGATTGCAGTGAGCCGAGATCACGCCACTGTACTCCAGCCTGCCAATAGAGCGAGACTCTGTCTCAAAAAAGACAAAAAAACAAAAAAAAAACAAAAACACAAAAAAACAAAAAACAAGTAGGCGCTATGTGCAAGGCTCTTGCAAAGCTATTACATTTGAATTAGATATGATTTGCTTGCCTTCAAGGAAATCACAAACTCACACTTGTAGTAAGGATAAAATATTTATATAAATTAGTAAAACACTCATTCATTTCATAATATTTATTGAGCATCTGTTGTGTACAAGAAGAAATTAGATGCCCAAATAAGAAAGTAAGTGATTGAGCTGGGTGTGGTGGCCCATCGCCACAAAACATTAAAAAATGAAAACAGGCTGGGCACAGTGGCTCACGCCTGTAATCCCAGCACTTTGGGCGGCCGAGGCGGGTGGATCACGAGGTCAGGAATTTGGGACCAGCCTGACCAACATGGTGAAACCCTGTCTCTACTAAAAATACAAAAATTAGCTGGGCATGGTGGTGTGTGCCTGTAATCTCAGCTACTTGGGAGGCTGAGGCAGGAGAATGGCTTGAACCTGGGAGGCGGAAGTTGCAGTGAGCCGAGATCACGCCACTGCACTCCATCCTGGGCAAAAGAGTGAAACTCCATTAAAAAAAAAAAAAAAAAAAAAAGGAAACAATTAGCCAGGCATGGTGGCGCATGCCTGCAGTCCCAGCTGCAGAGGCTGAGGCAGGAGGATCCCTTGAACCTGGGAGCTTGGGGCTGCAATGAGACGTGTTCATGCCACTGCACTCTACCATGGGTGACAGAGCAAAATGCTGTCTCTAAAAAAAAAAAAAAAATTTAAGAAAATAAAAGAAATGAAGTGATAAATGGACAAGGAAAGATAGAAGTGCAAGGGGATTTGGAGCTAGGAGAGGCCGGGTGGTTGGGGAAAAGCTTTGGGAAGGAGGTGAGGGCATTTGAGGTAATGGGAACCACCTGAGAAAAGGCAGGGAGCTAGCTGTATCTTGGTAAGTAGCTCCACTGGATGTAACAATGTTCTCATGAAGGGGAATCATGGGGAAAATAGAGTGAAAAGGCACCGTTGGGGGCAGAATATGGGCCCAGAATGCCAGGAAAGTGATGGGAAGGGAGGGGAGCTTGGAGGTGTTGAAACAGTCTAGAAAACAGATGATAGAGCCCTAAGCTGGACTGAGATGGAGAGGAGGGGGAAAGAAAATGAGAGACATTAATGTCAGAGGTAAGATGGATGAGACCTGATGACCAATTAAATGTGCAATCAGCGGCTGGGCACAGTGGGTCATGCCTGTAATCCCAGCACTTTGGGAGGACGAGGCTTGTGGATCATAAGGTCAGGAGATCGAGACCATCCTGGCTAACACGGTGAAACCCTGTCTTTACTGAAAATACAAAAAATTAGCTGGGCGTGGTTGCAGGCACCTGTAGTCCCAGCTACTCAGCGAGGCTGAGGCAGGAGAATGGCGTGAACCCAGGAGAAGCAGCTTGCAGTGAGCCGAGATCACGCCACGGTGCTCCAGCCTGGGCGACAGAGAAAGACTCTGTCTTAAAAAAAAAAAAAAAAAAAGTGCAATCAGGGCAAGCCACAGTGGCTCATGCTTATAATCCCAGCACTTGGTGGGAGGCTGAGGTGGGAGGATAGCATAAGCCCAGGAATTCAGAACAGCCTGGGTAACATAGCAAGACCCCGTCTCTACACAAAACAAAAAAAAACTAGCTGAGTATGGTAGTGCTCACCAGTAGTTCCAGCTACTTGGGAGGCTGAGACAGGAGGATCACTTGAGCCCATGGGGCTGAGGCTGCAGTGTGCCATGATTGTGCCACTGCACTCCAGCCTGGGCAACAGAGTGAGACCTTGTCTAAAAAAATAAATAAATGTACAGAGGAAGAGGAAAGAGCCAGCATATTTAAGCCTGGGTGTGGCACACATTCTTATAACAGCCCCATGAGGCTGTTACTATTATTATTCCCATTTTACAGATGAGAAACAGGCTCACAGAGGTGAAGTGACTTGCCCAAGGTTACACAGCTAGCAAATGGCAAGAGCCAAGATTCAAACCAGTCCAAGTTCGTAGCACATGCTCTGCCCGCCAGGGGAACACAAAGACAGAACTGGAGGAGTAGGGAAAGGTTTCAAGGAGAAGGTGACATTTGAATGGGGCCATGAAGAATAAGCAGGAGTTCTGTGGAGGATCAGGGAGAGCATTCAGGGAATGTAATAGACAGAAGGCATAGGACAGCAAGGGTCAAGGGAGGGCCAGCCACCCCAGGGAGCCACAGTCTCCACCTCAATGAAGGGTTTGAAGAATGGTGAGACCAGGAAGGCAGGGATCACCCCCATCATCATCTTCCCACTCCTCTTCTGGCACCCAGCTAGACTCTGCTCCTACCTGAATACAGAGGCAGGGAACCAGGTCTGTGTGGTTCAAGGTAATGATCTGCGGTCCAGTCTGTGGAACAAATAAAGGAAGGAGGTTGGAGAAGATAAGGAGGAAGAGGAGGAGGCCAAAGTCAAGGAAACCAGGAAGGCAGAAGTTCCCCCACCAATTTTCCCTTGCTTGGGGTGAGTCCTCTTCAAGGATCCTCTCTGATATGGCACTGCGTCCTTTGCACAGGCATCGGCCTACAGTGGGAATGGACTTGGGAAGGGGGAGGCCTCACCAGGTTTTTGTGCCACCGGGGTTTTGGGGGGCCCTGGACCTGATTCCAGTACAGGGAGAGGCCGAAGTGCTGCTCCTCAGAGACATTCAGAACCAGATGCACGTTGTCACCATCTGCTGACACGTTGAGCCAGGGCAGGGCTGGTGGGAGAGGCAAAGAGAGCGCAGCTTAGACTTCCTCACCTCTTCTGCATCCCCGACTGACCCTTTGGAGTTTCCTTCAAACCCCCTAGACTGGGAGGCTCTCGGAGGGCAGAGCGTGTGTCATCATTTCAGACCAGACTTTGCTCCTAGCAGCTGCCCAAAGCCAAGCCCGTGGAGACCCTAGTGTGTGGTCGGAGAAGAGCTATTCTCCCTGCTTCTCCCTCTGCAGAAAGATCTTGTAACCTCTTTAAAACAAGTCATTTTCCTCTGTTCAGAACTGTGACCTTTCTGACCTTACCTCTTGATACTTGTGTCCTTTTTTTTTTTTGAGAGGGAGTCTTGCTCTGTTGCCCAGGCTGGAGTGCATTGGCACGATAGCTCACTGCAACCTCCACCTCCTGGGTTCAAGCGATTCTCTTGCCTCAGCCACCCGAGTAGCTGGGATTACAGGCGTGTGTCACCACCCCCGGCTAGTTTTTGTATTTTTAGTAGAGATGGGATTTCGCTCATGTTGGCCAGGCTGGTCTTGAGCTCCTAACCTCAAGCAATCCTCCTGCCTCAGCTTCCCCAAAGTGCTGGGATTGCAGACGTGAGCCATCGCGCACAGCCTATGGCATTTGTGTCCTTAATAACTCTGCTGCAGAGTTATTAAGGACCTCCTTACTGTTTCTCTCTCTTTTTTTTTTCCTTTTTTTTTTTTTGAGATGGAGTCTGGCTCTGTCGCCCAGGCTGGAGTGCAGTGGTGTGATCTCGGCTCACTGCAAGCTCTGCCTCCTGGGGTTCAAGCCATTCTCCTGCCTCAGGCTCCCGAGTAGCTGGGACTACAGGCGCCTGCCACCATGCCCAGCTGATTTTTTTGTATTTTTTGTAGAGATGGGGTTTCACCGTGTTAGCCAGGATGGTCTCGATCTCCTGACCTCGTGATCCGCCAGCCTCGGCCTCCCAAAGTGCTGGGATTACAGGCGTGAGCCACCGCGCCCGGCCCCCTCCTTACTATTTCTTAAACACCCCTGACATACTCCCACCCCAGGCCCTTTTTGCTGGCTATTCTCTCTTCCCTCAAATATATGGCTCCTCCCTCACCTCTTTCAGGTCTCTGCTCACCAGAATGAGACCATCCCTGACCTCTACAACTCCCAACCTTCCCCAGCCCTTCCACAAATGTTCTCCTTAGTGCTAATCACTGTCTAACTTACTGCATTCTTCACATCTCCATGTGTTTGTTGTGTCCTTCCTCACCCCCACCCTGACCCTGACACCAGCTCCGTGGGGTCGGGTTTTTTGTCATCTTCATTTATTGATTTATTAATATTTCCAGTGTCCAGGGATTTGCCTGGTACACAGAAATTAATAAATATCTGTTGAATAAATGAATCAATGTCTACTTAATGAAGGAAGAAATGAAATCCATGATATACACATCTGTGTTTTCAAAACTCTGGTGTTGAATAGTCTTTAATGAGTTGCCAAAGAGGCAGGCCAACTTTAATTTTAAGAAGGCAAAAAGAAAATGAAGTTGAAAACATTTAGTAGTTCAGAAAACATCACAGTATGTGATGTATTCACAGTATTTATGTATTGATCTGGGTGCTAGTTATGCAAGTGTATACATATATAAAAACAAATTGGCCGGACGTGGCGGCTCATGCCTGTAATCCCAGCACTTTGGGAGGCCGAGGTGGGAGGATCACGAGGTCAGGAGTTCAAGACCAGCCTGGCCAGCATGGTGAAACTCCATGTCTACTAAAAATACAAAAATTAGCTGTGCGTGGTGGTGCACGTCTGTAATCCCAGCTGCTTGGGAGGCTGAGGCAGGAGAATCGCTTGAACCCAGAAGGCAGAGGTTGCAGTGAGCTGAGATCACACCACTGCAGTCCAGCCTAGGCGACAGAGCAAGATTCCGCCAAAAAAAAAAAAAAAAAAAAGAACTGGACATGGAAATCAGTACCCTTTGGCTGGGCGTGGTGGCTCACGCCTGTAATCCCAGCACTTTGGGAGGCTGAGGCAGGCGGATCACAAGGTCAGGAGATCAAGACCATCCTGGCTAACACGGTGAAACCCTGTCTCTACTAAAAAAAAAAAAAAATTAGCCAGGCGTGGTGGCGGGTGCCTGTAGTCCCAGCTACTCGGGAGGCTGAGGCAGGAGAATGGCGTGAACCTGGGAGGCGGAGCTTGCAGTGAGCCGAGATTGCACCACTGCACTCCAGCCTGAGCGACAGAGCGAGACTCTGTCTCAAAAAAAAAAAAAAAAAAGAAAATCAGTACCCTTTACATACTTTTATGTATGTATGTTATACACAATAAAAAAGAAAATACAAAACGAAAACAAAATCCAAATAGTACGTGGGAAAAAAGTTAGACCCTTGACTTTCTTAGCTTTTATTTCAAGTTTTTTGTTTTTGTTTTGTTTTGTTTTGTTTTTTGAGACGGAGTCTTGCTCTGTCACCCAGGCTGGTGTGCAATGGTGCAGTCTCAGCTTACTGTAGCCCCTGCCTCCCAGGCTCAAGTGATTCTCCTGCCTCAGCCTCCTGAGTAGCTGGGACCACAAATGCACACCACCATGTCCTGTTAATTTTTGTATTTTTGGTAGAGACGGGGATTTGCCATGTTGCCCAGGCTCGTCTTGAACTTTTGAGCTCAAGTGATCCTTCTACCTCGGCCTCCCAAAGTTCTGGGATTACAGGCATGAGCCACTGAGCCTGACCCAAGATTCATCTTTCTATTTCCAGTGCTTAGCACAGATACTGCAATTAATGTGTTATGAACAAATGAATGAATGAATGAATGAATGAATATGTTCTGTGAGCTTCTGAGATGTGGTAGCCCATATCTGAAGTGGACTCCAAGGGTTTCTTATACTCCAGACCCTGCCCCTCCCTACCCCCGGCCCACTGGCCCTAGCCCCTACCCCAGCAGCTCGGGATGCTGTTCCAGACTTCGAGCCCCCTGCAGTCTGAGGAGAGATCACAGAAGAGCCTCCAGTGGGGCTGGGGGCCAAGGAAAGAAGTGGGGGCAATTTGGCTCCCAGGGGGGCATTAGGAATGGCTCCCCATCCCCTACATACCACCCACATCTATCCAATGCTCAAAGAACCTTCCCCAGGGGCTGGAAAGCCATATCACCCAGAGAGAGAAGGTCCGAGGGACTGACTCTGGGGAGGATAGCAGCTCAGACCCCTGCCGGAGAGTGGATGGAGCTAGAAGAGGGTGAAATCAGGAGGGGGAATGGCCAGAGGGGACAGAGGCTAGGGGGCCAGGACTTGGGGGTCCACTTACCAGGCAGCTGCTGTGTGTGGTTGAGTTCCTTCTCGTACCTGGGCTGAGTATAGGACCAGATTCGTACCTCACTCCCTAGGGCAGCCTCGAAGCAGTCATATACCACAGAGCCCTGTGAGGAGAGGGGTGAGGAAGGCTGGCGGTGCAGGGCTCAGAATCCAGGCCAAGGGCTGTGGGATCATCTGCAGGGACCACTCTGCTCACTGCCCTCCTCCCCCAACTAATGACTGTATTTATACTGTATAGCCTGAAATCTACTATTCACCTTTCTTTCAAGGGGCCTCAATTCTAAAGCAAATGTCCTCAGTAAGAGTGTCACCAGGGCGGGAAAAGGCCCTAGACATTTAAATCCCTGCACCCACCCTGCTGTGCTAGATCACCTGGCCAAAGCTAAGGAGATGAGACACCCCAACACAATATGGCACACCCCTCCCCACAGAAGTGGTTCTCACACTCAACCCAGTGCCTCAGTGTTCCTTACAACTGCTTGTGACATGGACCAAGCAGATGTTCTCCCAGTCTACAATTCTCCAGATAGGATATTGGCTGGGGGCTGGAGGTTGGAGGGAAAGTCAAAGGGTTTGAGTGATTTGACCCCAGTGGAAATAGACCTTCCAGGTACATGTGGCCTCCTAAGGCAGGGAGAAGCCCCAACACCCTGCACCATGGTACTTACACCATGGTAAGTATACCATGGTATGTATGGTAGGACTCTTTCTTTGGTCCAAGAGTACAGAGAAGTGCATCCAGCCCACAGACCTCCCCTCTCCAAGCCTCATTTTATCTATCTGGAAAATGAGGATACTAATAATGCCTCATCAGGTAGTTTTGAGGATTACAAAAGAATTAAATTTATTGAAATTATTCAGTGCCAGGCATTACATCCAGTGTTTTACAGGTACCAACTTAATTTAATTCTCACAACAGTCATGTGAGGTGGGACTATTCTTTTTTTTTGAGACGGAATCTCGCTCTGTCGCCCAGGCTGGAGTGCAGTGGCGCGATCTCGGCTCACTGCAAGCTCCACCTCCCGGGTTCACGCCATTCTCCTGCCTCTGCCTCCCGAGTAGCTGGGTCTACAGGCGCCCACCACCATGCCTGGCTAATTTTTTGTATTTTTTTAGTGGAGGCAGGGTTTCACAGTGTTAGCCAGGATGGTCTCAATCTCCTGACTTCGTGATCTGCCCGCCTCAGCCTCCCAAAGTGCTGGGATTACAGGTGTGAACCACTGTGCCCGGCCAGAACTATTGTTTTTTTATGTGGCAAAAACAAAAACAAAAACAAAAACAAAAAAACTTTAAGAGATATTTCACAAGGAAGTTACACAAATAGCCAATAAGCATGTGAAAAAAGTGCTCAACTTCATCAGTCATTGGAAGATACAAATTAAAACCACAATGGCAAACCACTACATATGCAGAAAAATTATGACAATTACAACACTTATGCTTGTTTTGGCACCACATATACTACAACTGGAACAATACAGAAAAGATTAGCAAGGCCCGTGCCTGAGGATGACATGCAAATTCATGGAGGGTCCCATATATTTAAAATTCAAATATATTTAATTTAAAAATAAAATAAAATTACACCATCAAGTGTTGGCAAAGATGGGAAGCAACTAGGACTCCCATACACTGCTGGTAGGAGGGGAAAATAGTAGAAGCACCCTGAAAAACGCTTGGTGATTTCTCGCAGTCAAGCATATGAAGTAGAACTATTCTCATCCCCATTTTACAGACATAAAAGCTGAGGCATAACAGGCTGAAGGGACTTGCCCACAGCGCTGATCAGAATCAAAAGAATAGTCCCACCTCACATGGCTGTTGTGAGAATTAAATAAGTTGATACCTGTAAAACACTGGCTGTAATGCCTGGTACTGAAGGGTTTCAATAAATTTAATTCTTTTGTAATCCTCAAAGAGATAATGCATGTGAAAAAGTTTTATAGATTTTAGGTTTAGAAGGTGATTATTATTATTTTGCATACCACAGACTGACCAAACTGCACAAGGGCAGCAGGCACTTGCACCTCCAGCAGGACGCAGCGGGCAGTAGGGTAGGCCTGGAAGGAGAGCACGACTTGGGCCTGGAGAGAGGCTGTGGGCAACAGGGCAGGGGTCAGTCAGGCCCAGGAGCGGCAGGCCAGGCCTTGGCATGGGGCAGTTGGGCCAGCCAGGTTCTCCTCACCATTCCTAGGCTCCTCCACCCCTGAGTCAGCTGCTCCTCCAAACTTTTCCTCATCTTCAGGCTCTTCCCAGTGCCCTAGAAGGACCCAAGAGCAAGGCCCTGGGTGAGGCCCCCTGCTCTGGGCTGGCTGGCTTTGGCGTTGGCTTCCTTCTGGAAAGCCCAGTGCTGGGAAGCAGGGGCTGGGGAGACCACACTGGCCTGGGGGTCCTTCTGCTGGTGTCCTCCAGGAGAACACTGAGGATGCCTAGCACTGCTTGAGAGATCCCCTGGCCCTCATGCCCACCCCAGACACACTCACGTGTACACATGCACTGTCACAGGATGACTTGCTCACCATGCACGGCCAAGTGGACAGCCACACGCAGACAGAGGTCACAGTCGGTCTCCTTCTGGCACCTCAGCACCAGCTCTGTCTGCAGGTGCGTAGGCGCCAGCACGGGGCCCGGAGCAGGCACGATGTCCCCAGGCAGGCAGAGTATGTCACTGTCTGTGTGTGGAGGAGCGGGTGGGAGCTGAAGCTGTTCCAAGCCCAGAATTTGGTGGCACCTGACATACCCAGAGAGCCAAAGAACTTGGCTGTCCTAGGCTGAGGTGGGCATGGAGGGCATGGGCCTGGGACAGCTCTGCTCCCTTCGGCCAACCTGGGAAATTCTTTTTAAAAGTAGGGATACTTACCCCAGAGGCGGCAGGAGAGGCCCTGGGAAGGAAAGAAAGGAGAGTCAGAATTTGTGCCCCCACCATCTAGGCACTGTTCTCTGCCTAAGACCTCCACCTACCTTTTTCTGGGGCTCCGTATTCCCAGACCCTCCCAGAGAAAGACAGACCCAGCTCTTGCCCCTTCCCCGTTCTTCTCTTCTACCATCAGCACCAGACAGACCAGACAGGGCAGTTCTGGCAGTGGCAGCAGTGACAGGAGCCAGGCTAAGGCTTTGCTGAGCCAAAAACTGAACCCTGAGCCTTTCCTCGTCTCCCCAGGGTTCCAGACTCACCGGAGAGCAGTGGGTAGCGTCCTGAGGCCCCACAAGCCTCTCCAGAGAAAGGACCACTGGGCTTCGGCCCAGTGCCAAGGACAGCAAGAACCAGGGCACAGGCATCTTCTAGGTGCCAGGTGGCACCCAGGCCTGAGGCCCTGTGCTGCCCCCCCCCAAGGGGGGCAGACACCCCAGTCAGCCCGTGTCTGTGGGTGGCAGGGGCTGGAATCCCTCTTCAGCCTCCAGAGGGGGCGGAGGGGGCTGTGCTGGGTAGTTTGTGCACTCTCTGTCCTGGGAGTCCTGACTCTCCTCCTACTTCCAGCACGGAGTGCTTTCGTTTTGGCTCCCGGCAGGCTGCTGGCTGTTCCCGCCCCTCTCTGTCCCTCCCACCAACACCAGGCTTGGGAGCCAGCAGCCTTGGACTAGGGTGGTGGCCGCACCTCCTCCTTCTTTGGCTCTCCTCTCCCTCTGCTGACACCTGGCTGGGAGGGGCCCCTGAAGAAGACAGCGAATGCATCACGGCTGAGTAAGGGAGCTCTTACTCACCCCCGGAGCCCTAAGGAGGACACAGCCCTGGAGTCCTGGGCCCACTAAGTCTCCCCTTACTAGGCACACTCGGTCCCTTCAGACACTCTTTGGGCCTCGGTAACCCTTTGTGGGACAGGAGCTCTAAAAGCACGGACAAAAGGCACCAGAAAGTGGGCTTTTCACCACTGCCTGGCTCAAATGCGGTATGGGGAGTAGAAGGAACCCAGGACCCCAGAGCCTGGCAGACAGGGGTCCCATCTGTGCTGTTGCTGTGGGCCGGCTGTGTGATGATGGACACACCATCTGGCGAAGCCTCTGTTTTCCTCTCCTCTTGTAAGAATCACTGGGGGGGATCAAGGAGATTGCCCCATCCTCCTTTGCTTTTGGAGGCATTGCTTGTAAGAATGTGACGGATGCCATGCGGTATGGACACAGAGGATTTGGGCCAGCACACTGACACATACCCCACCAGGCAGGCTCCCCAGCCACACTAGAGAAGCACACTGTGTTTTCTTAGTTTGTCATGTTTGTCTTTATTCATCTTTCCGGATCTTGGTCCCCACCGCCAGCACCCACCCACCCCACCCCCAACCCCCACTGTCCTGACCACCTGGAGCCAAAAGCCTCTTTTCCTAGGTCCAGAGTCCTCTCTCCCTCTGGCCAGAGCCTCAGAGTGGGAAAGGGAATCCCTGGCCCCCAAGGAGGTTTTCTCTCAGCCGCCCCCTGCAATCCCCCACCGCCTCACCCTCCTTCAGAACTGACATGGCTCCTGCCTCCCTACCCCGGCCCCAACCTCTCCAGCCTGGACTGAAGCATAAGCACACTGCTCTTTCTGGAGTTCTGGAGAGGAAGTGGGAAGACCGCCCTCCCCCATCAGAACAGGGGTTAGAGGAGCTCTCAGTCAAGGGAAAGTATGAGGAGGAAGAGGGACGCGCGCGGGGACTGGGCTGGGACTTCCGGCCTGTGAGGCAGGGAATGCGGCTTTTCGGCCAGTCGTCCTCGAGGCACCCCAAGGATTTCAGGGTCGAAGGCTCATTCCGGGGTTCCAGCCAGTGTCCGTTGCGTTGCGGCCGCAGACACCCGGGACTGCGGTGGAGCTCTGCTCAACCTAGGTCTGCAAGTCGGGCGGCCTCTCGTTCGAGCCGGCTGCACAGCTCTAGGCGGCTCTGCCTGCGCTGCCGCGCCCCAAGGCGGCCCCAGCTGGTGGCCTCTGCGAAAGGCCGCGCGTCCAGCGCCCGCAGCAGACGCGGCAGGTCGCGCAGCAGGCGGTAGCGCGGCAGGGCGCGCAGCGGCGGGGGGATGTCGCCCTTGGCGCAGAGGCGACTGAAGTAAGCGAGCAGCAGCAGCGGGCGCGGGGCAGCGTGGAGCAGGGCGAGCAGGGGCGCGGCGCGGGGGTCGGGGCCGCTGACCGGGCGAAGGTCGGCGCCGCTCCACAGCAGCAGCACAGTGCCCTGCTCCCGCGCTACGCGCGTCCGCGCCGCCCAGAGCCACGGCAGCGGGCCCACGCGCGCCACGTGCCTCCCCTCCCACAGGTCCACGATCACGTCGCGCCCGCCGCCCAGCGCTGCCCGTAGCAGTTCAGCCAGCGCTCCCACCAGGCGCCGCTGCGCCTCCGAGTCCGCCGCGTGCAGGAGGAGCACTGGCCGCGCTGGGCCCGGGCCTGGTGGCGGGAAGCAACAGATGAAGGCTGGGCGGCTGAGGGACTGCTCAGCCCTCTTCTCCCCACCCTCTCGGGATACCGTAGGGTGCTCGCCTCTCCGCCCCCGCCCCCGCCCCTTATTTGCTCTGGGGGTTGGTACCGAAAACAGCCCTAGCCTATAGGGTGCTTATGGGCTAATTAGATAAAGGCACCCCTTCTGAAGAGAGGGTCAGGGCTCCAGGCTGGGCGAGTACAGCGCAGGCTGGATTTCTGCCCCACTAGCCTTTTGTACAGAGACTCAGTACAGTGACAATATGCTCAGAGGGCCCTTTGCCTTGCCTTAACCATTCCTGCTCACTTGGGGGCCTGAGGCTCCCTGCCTGGGTAACAGAGATTGGGTGCAGTGCTGAGAGCTCAGACAGGGGAGGGTGAGGGGGCAGCTAGTCTCCGAGCTGGGCAGGTCTGACTTCCCAGGTTACCCCAGGTGAGCTTACCTGACTGTGGGCGCCGGCAGGTGAGGGCCAGAACAACACCCAGTAGGGTGAGGAGGGCCAGCAGTGCCAGGATCAAGAGCCCCAGGTGTCTGTAAGAGACTGAGTCAAGCAGGATGAGGCCAAGCCCAGTTCCTCAGTGCCCAGCCTCCCTCTTACCTCCCCCTCCCCAAGAACTCACCATCCGGACACAAGAGGTGCTTCCAGGCAAACTGGACATCTGACCGCCACACCTGAGGGCACAGAGCCCCCCACCCCTATGAGCCAGGCATCTTCTCCTCCCGGGGAGCTGAGTGAAGCATGGAGCTGGGGGAGAGGGGAGTCCCCACTGGCTAGGGAATTCTTCCCAGGTGGGTTTGTGTCTGCTCCAGCTGCTAGCCTGGCACAGAACAGGTCAATGGTGGCAAACTCAAGTGTGACAGGGGCCAAACTCAAAAAGTAAACTCAAAGTTGACCAGGGCTGCTGTGAGGACCTGGAGAGCACAGGCCCTGACTGAAACAATCAGATGGCACTGAGCTCCAGGCCATTGTCACCATGCCAGAATGTGGACACACGGCACTAGGTTTTTCTGATTTTTCAACAGAGGCCAGAAATCCAGCTTTGTTTATATATGTAAATGGTGGTAAGCAATTTCAATTTAAAACACTGTGCTGGCCAAACCAAACATTTTTGCAGAATGGATTTTCCAGGGGTGGGTGCCACTAGGGGAGCAGATGCCAAGGCTCTGTATGTAGAGTGAGGGTAGGTTTCCTTACCAGGACACAGCACCCTGGCCTCAGGAAGGGAATGATGAGGTCTAGTGACACTGGGCTTGAGCCCCGGGCCTGTAGAAACAAAGAGCAGAAAGGCTGTCCCCAGGGAGGTGAATCTGGCCCTGTCTGGCCTTGAGTCTTTGCCCCTGCTGTTCCTCCCCACCACACCCCCAATCCTACGAGGCTTAGGCCAAGTGCCACCTCTGACAAGAAGGCTTCCCCAGTCACTCCGGCTCCCACTGATCTTTCCCAGAGCTCAGCTCCTGCTGCAGTCAGGTATTTGTCAACAGACAGACTCTGAGTGTGTCCTCTGTGCCAAGCCCTGAGGAAAGAAGGCGGGTGCGGACATTGTCTGTGTCCTCTAGCAGCTCACAAACCAGGAAGGCTGTCTCACTTTACTCTCCTGCACAGCTGAAGAGGTATCAAAACATATCATTGAAAAGAATGTAAGTTTTAAGGTCAGGAGACCTGGGTCCAGGCTTAACTGTTGCCTTTGTAGTCCCTAGCTTTGTGGTCCTTGCATGGAGGTAGGTTACCTCTCTTTCCTAAGGCTCACTTCCCTCATTTTTATTTTAATTTTTTTATGTTTGTTTATTTATTTATTTATTTATTTATTTATTTTTTGAGACAGAGTCTTGCTCCGTCGTGCAGGCTGGAGTGCACTGGTGCAATCTTGGCTCACTGCAACCTCCACCTCCTGGGTTCAAGCTATTCTCCTGCCCCAGCCTCCCAAGTAGCTAGGATTACAGGTGCACGCCACCATGCCCAGCTAATTTTTGTATTTTTAGTAGAGACGGGTTTTGCCATGTTGGTGAGGCTGGTCTCAAACTCCTGACCTCAGGTGATCTGCCCTCCTCAGCCTCCCAAAATGCTGGAATTACAGGCGTGAGCCACTGCGCCTGGCCTACTTTCTTCATTTTTATATGGGGGATAATAATCTTTATTTTACTGGGTTATTGAGAGCATCAAATGGGTATATGCACATGAATGTCTTTTTAAATAAACTACAATGTATATTCATTTATTGGTAACAGCTATTATTAGTCTATGAACTCCTTAACTGTGTTATATACTTTTCTTGTATCTCCCAGAGCCTGCTACAGGGTGGGCACAAAGCATACTAAATTGGACAGAATTTTAATTAAAAACATTTTTTTTAGAGTCAGAGTCTTATGCTGTCACCCAGGCTGGAGTGCTGTGGCATGATCATAGCTCATTGCAGCCTTGGACTCCTGAGCTCACACGGTTCTCCCACCTCAGCTGGGACTACAAGTGTGAGACACTGCATGTGGCCATCTTAAGCGTGACTTGGTCTTTCATACTGTGTTGCTATCACCTGTCTGCTTGGGAGCCCTCATACAATGCAAAACAAACATATAAGCTGCAAGTGAGCATTTAAGAAATAACTGTTTGAAAGAGCTAGTCATGCTTAGTCAGCGTGGTGCTGTGGTATTGAGGGTGTACTTGACTGTGGTTTTTATATCAGATACATGGAAGATAGTCTGATAAAGTGCTCCTAGTTACGTAACAGGTGAAATTTGTCAATAGTTTACAGGATTGTGCAGAGCCTGTCAGCTGCATGGGCTCTGCCTCCTAGGATAGATAACTTCTGCACAGGTGCCTCGTGGAGGCAGGAGAGTAGTGGTAGCGGACAGCTGGGTTCAAGGGAAGGCATCAGTATTAAATGTTGTTCTGTTAGGCTAGAGCAGTGGTCCCCGACCTTTTTGGCACCAGGGACTGGTTTCATGGAAGAAAATTTTTACACAGAGGTTGAAGGGGTTGGGGTTTGGGGGAATGGTTTCAGGATGAAACCACCTTAGATCATCAGGCATTAGATTCTCATAAGTAGCTCACAACCAAGATCCCTCGCATGCACCGTTCACAATAGGGTTTGCGCTCCTATAAGAATCTAATGCAGCCACTGGACTGACAGGAGGCAGAGCTCAGGCAGTAATGCTTGCTCACCCTCCACTTACCTCCTGCTGTGTGGCCTCGTTTCTCACAAACCACAGACAGTTACTGGTCTGCGGCTCACGGATTGGGACCCCTGGGCTACAGGACACCTGAATGTGGGAGGGCCAGTCCCTTGCCTCTGTTATTCCTGTAAATTCAGAAACTGAAAGGATTAGAAAATACTCCCTTAGCTTGCAGTGAGCCGAGATCGCGCCACTGCACTCCAGCCTGGGTGACAGAGCGAGACTCTGTCTCAAAAAAAAAAAAGAAAAAAAGAAAAAAAAGAAAATGCTCCCTTGAGGAACCTACTGTCAGCAAGTTAGCTGAACAGAGGCTGATCACGTAAATAAAGTAAACCAGATGGTAAAAGTCAGGGATTTGTTTGTTTCTGCCTTCCCAGGGTCTATCTCAATGAGGTCACAAGGAAATTGAGGGCTGTGCTCTGAGCAATAGGACCTAGTGGGGGCGAGGCCATACCTGGCTGACAGTGTACACGGGGGGCACCAAAGTGTCCTGCCCCAAGCCTGGGAGGCTCCAGGCAGCACTGAAGGTGGCATGCATTCTTGAGGAGAAGTGAAGAATCAGCTGCTGGGCTTGGGTATCCATGCTTACATTCCAGGATGTGAGAGACCCTGTTTGGGGCGGGGTGGGGGTGTTGATAGGAGTTGGGCTTTGGGTGATGAATTCAGGGCTGGGCTGGGGTTTAGCTTGGTTACAGTTGGGTGAGGATGAAATGGGGCAGGGGGTCCCAGCAGAGGTCACTTATTGACTCACCAGTCTGGTGGGGGCATTCAACATGGCTGCTGTTTCCAAAAGAGAACTGAGAAATACAGGAATGGCAGATTAGCAAGCTCCAGGCAATACCCACTACACCACATCTTTTCTTACCCATGGTTGTACCTTGAAGCAGAGCTGGGGGTGCAGGTCCACCTTCTCCAAAACATACCACTGTGGGAGGAGAGGAGAGTTCATCAGGGAGAAAATTCCTGGGCCCCAGCCCTGCCCACCCTGGTCCTGGGGGAACCTGTCCTCACCCCATCTGACTCTCGAGCTGTGGCATTCGGGAGGTCTTTGCAAAGGGTATGCCAGTCGTGCCTCTGGCAGAGGGCAGCTTCCAGCTTCAGTGGGCAGCGGAGTGTCAGGGCCATGACCATCTGAGTGTGCTGGCTGTAGTCAGTGAAGTGCACTGACTTCCAGAAGTCCGAGCCATCTGGGCAGGTGGCAGGGTCAGTGGGTGAGGGTCAGCCCTGCTTCAGCCCCACCTTGCCACCCACATCCTGGGGGCAGCTGGAGATAATGTTTGTAAAAGTAACCAGCACTATTCCTGGCCAGAACAGGTACTAAATCAATGAGCATCCCTTTCATTATCTTTCTTTTCCTTTTCTTTTTTGAGATAGAATCTCACTCTGTCGCCCAGTCTGGAGTGCAGTGGTGCAATCTCAGCTCACTGCAACCTCTGTGTCCTGGGTTCAAGCGATTCTCATGCCTCAGTAGCTGGGATTACAGGTGTGTGCCACCAAGCCCAGCTAATTTTTGTATTTTTAGTAGAGATGGGTTTTCACCATATTGGCCAGGCTGGTCTCCTGACCTCGTGGACTCCTGACCTTGTGACCCACCCACCTTGGCCTCCCAAAGTGCTGGGATTACAAGTGTGAGCCACCATGCCCAGCCCCCTTTCATTACCTTTCTGTTTTTTGTTTTTTTTTTTGAGACGGAGTTGCACTCTGTCACCCAGGCTGGAGTGCAGTGGTGTGATTTCGGCTCACTGCAACCTCTGCCTCCCGAGCTCAAGTGATTCTCCTGTCTTGATCCCCTGAGTAGCTGGGACTACAGGCGCGCATCACCATGCCCGGCTAACTTTTTGTATTTTTAGTACAGACAGGGTTTCACCATGTTGGCCAGGCTGGTTTCAAACTCCTGACCTCAGGTGATCTGCCTACTTCAGCCTCCCAAAGTGCTGGAATTACAGGCGTGAGCCATTGCGCCCAACCTCATTATCTTTCTATCCAGGGGTCTCTCTCCTCTCCTTCCCAGGCCTCCATTCTGGCCAGGTCCTTGCTTCTCCCCAAACTCGAAATCTGCTTAGGGTCCTCTCAGAACCAGGAATGTCTTTCCCTCCTATCTCTCCTTTCTAAGTCTTGCCCTTTTTCTGACCCCAGCTCAGGTGCCACTTCCTCTAAGAGGCCTTCTCTGCTTATAATGGCCCTTCTTGGGCTTCTCCCTTTCCCAATTTCTTGCCCTACAGCCTAGTCCTTAACCATAACCCTGCCCTGTAAGTTCTGTAGGCTGCTTTATGTGAGTCACTTTTGTCTGAGTGTCCTGCCTCTCCTTGAGAACAACAACATGCATACAGCACTTCAGACATCACCAGCCACTTTCATATGTAATATTTAACTCAGGCTTCACAAACACTTTGAAGGCAGAGCAGGTATTGAGATTTTACAGATGAGGAAAGTGAGGCTCAGAGAAGAACAATTGACAGAGCTGTGATGGGAACTGG
Source organism: Homo sapiens (assembly GCF_000001405.40). NCBI lineage: Eukaryota > Metazoa > Chordata > Mammalia > Primates > Hominidae > Homo > Homo sapiens. Next base: position 9,909,574 of record NC_000003.12, on the reverse strand, counting down.
GTCTTCTGGCCCATCCTCTTAGGACACCATCTCCTAGGCCTCATATTTCTAAACTTCTCACAGTACTGCGGTGCTCAGCGATCTCTGATCTATTGGCAAGCGGACTGGTAGACTTGGCAGCCCTTTTCCCCCCACTGACTCCAGGGAAAGTACCTGCATGCCTTCTGGGGACTTCCCCCAGCACATGTGTGAAGTGCGGGGTGTGTGTGTGTGTGTGTGTACATGTGTGTGTAGGAGACAGAAAGAGAAAGGGGATGTGTGTGCACAAGGGTGCGTGTCAACAGCACTCACAGGCTTCTGGCCAGCTCTGGAAGGGACATTTTTTGCGCCTCACAGTGTCCTCTTGCAGGTAGGATGCCTGGAGAGACGGGAGCAGGTGGGGAGGGTCAGAGGAATGGCTTTTCCAATCTCACTCAGACCTAAAACTCATTCTGGCTTTACCTTACTGTGACGCAAGCTGCCTGAGCTGGCCAGGCACTGACCGAGCAGGAGGGGGCAATGTGGGGTGGGGGCAAGGGTGGAGAGGAACTCCAGAGCATAGGAGAGGGATAAGCAAGTGAGGGGCTAACTCCTCTTCCTCCTAAAGAGAACTATCCCCAGAAAGAAGGAAATCCTGAGGTCGCATTCCTCAGCTTTGGTCTTCTCTGGCCTCCACTCTCAGCCATCCCCAAGGCACCCAGTGCTCTGTGTTGGCTCCTGACTCTGGAATGCCCACATGCCCACCTGCTGTCCACCCTGGCAATTGCTCGTGGCTCTAGGTCTCTGCCATCATCCTCCCTTAGGTCTTCCAGGTGACAATTTCCCTTGCCTTTTCTGTCTAGTCCAAAGAAAACTTTCTGCTATGTTCCTTAGACTTGTAAAGAGAAAAGGAGGACTGCCACAGAGGCCTAGAGGGGACAAGACTTTTGGGGGCATATGGATCCTGCAGTGGCCATGCACACACTCCTTCCTCGACTCCTCAGAACACACAGCAATGACAGCTGCCTATTCTGGCTCTGTGGGCTGAGGCCAGGTCTGGGCCAGGGAAAGATGGGTTTGGATGAGGCTGAGGTTGGAATCACCCTAAGAAGGTCCAATGTTCAGCAGCACCCTTCCACCTCTGACCCCATGTGTGGCTCACAGCCAAGCTGGCGCTGGTCTTCCTAAGCATGCCAGTAACACTCAGTCTTTTTAAACCCAATTTACTGGAGATATACTTGACCAACTGCGCTACCTTGGGGGCTTAGGAGCAGAGCCATGGACAGCCCACACCTTTTCCTTTGCTCACCTCTATGCACAGACAGGGCAGAAGGAATTCATAAGGCAGCTCTACAGTGTGGCCCCCAGACACAATTTTCTGTGGATGAAACAGCAAAGGAAGACAAAAGATGCCTGAGAAAGAGCATGGGCACATAGACAAGGGCAGAACAGTGCTGGGATCTTGGCCAACACACCCTGTTTTTCCTCTAATATGAGATACTTCTTCTCCTGATAAGTCTCTCAAAGGTTGTCTGCTTAGTAATCTAATCATTAGCTCTAGGTGCTCTAGGTGGAGTTGGGGGGAAGGAGACAGGGAATACATTCCTTTATTGAGGCCCTACTATATGCCAGGGAGTGTAGAGGGTGCTAGAAGTATTAAATCAATTAACTCCATGCTAGCATCACAGTGATCTTATGAGGTATCCTCACTGTTATAAAAATGATAAGCTGAGGGCCTCAGGGGTTCAACAGCAGTCCCTGCAAATGCTACCAACTGTATACAATGGCATCCATGACAAAGGGAGGTTGAGGTGGGATGCTGGGGCCCAGGTTGGGAGAATGGGAGACATATCACTCTCTGAGTGGCAGGAACAAAGGGAGGGAGATGGAAGGGTACCAAGACAGATGTGATCATTTTGTTATGTTCTTAGGCGATACAACCTCTTAGGGGAGCTGAAAAGGCTTTTTAAATTTTTAATTAACAATTCTTTTTTCTTACTTGTCACTAACTTGAAGCTCAAGGAAAGGCTTCTTAATGCCTGAATCACACTGAGGATCCTCTCATTGGGGGTAAATACCATACTAATCTCTCTGCTCATTCATGGTCATTCATGGCTGCTCCAGGTCTCTGCCTGCCTTTCCTGTTCTTCCCGGTGACAAGGCCGTCTGCCTTTTCTGTCTAGTCCAAAGAAGTCTTTAAATTTAATTTAATTAATTAATTAATTAATTTATTTATTTATTTTTAGCAGCAGGGTTTCACTATGTTGCCCAAGCTGGTTTTATACTCCTGGCTTCAAGCAATCCTCCTGCTTTGGCCTCCCAAAGTGCTGGGACCACAGGTGTGAGCCACCATGCCACGCCCAAAGAAGTCTTAATGATAGACCCTTCAGCTTGTAAGGAGGTCTTGGACAGTTACCATCCCTCTCTGGGCCTCAGTTTCCTCATTTGTACAATGGGTGGCCTCTTTTGCTAGCACTGTGTGATCGGGCTTTTTACAGGGGGATGACACACCATACCTGGACATCATAGGGACTGCTCAGCTCTTCACACTCCAGTGCCCACTGGTGACAAAGACGCACGCTGACCTCAGGGCCTGAAGATATGGTCACCCGAATAGCCCGGGCCTCAGGCAGCAAATCAAAGGAGAACTCGGGTCCTGGGGAGAGGAAGGACTCAGTGGCCTTGTCTCTTGGCCTTAGCACTGGTACCACCACTCAGCTGAACCCATCTCCTGTTGTACCCAGTGCCCACCTCCATGCCTTTGTGAGTCCAATCTGGGAAGACTTTCCCATGTCTCTGGATCCGAAGGTTGGGTCCTTTTAGAGCGAAGTCCCTTGTGGGAGATGTCTGGGGAGGGGATGGAAATGTGATGGCTCTTCTCAGACAGGTGACGACGAGGCAGCAGCTTCCTCTAAAGGCAGAGAACAAGGTTGGCCTCAGGCCAGAAATCAGGAAACCTGGCTTCTGTTTCTGCCTCTGGAACCTGAGGTACTACAGGCAAGTTGCTCAAACTCTTTTGGCCTCCCTAGCTGTGTAATAGACAGAATACTTCATCTCCACACTTTCTGTCTCACATGGCTGGAGAACCAAATGAGAGGCCAGAAAGCAAAGGTCTGTGGGGCGTCAGGTAGGGCTGGAACTGACAGGGAGAGTACCTGAGCAGGTGCTGGCATCTTGTGTCTCCTATAGAACTTGAATGTGGAAGACTTTTTGGATTTCTGCACCAGGAGGTGGAAGAGGCCCCGTTGAAGACCTGTGCAGGGGAGACGTACTTACTATCTAGCCCTCATTACCCCCTCCCCTGCCTGGAGATGTGGCCCAGTGTTAGTAAGTAATTTTATTTTATTTTATTTATTTATTTATTTTGATATGGAGTTTTGCTCTTTGTTGCCCAGGCTGGAGAGCAATGGCGCGATCTCGGCTCACTGCAGCCTCCACCTCCCAAGTTCAAGTGATTCTCCTGCCTCAGCCTCCCAAGTAGCTGGGATTACAGGCATGTGCCACCATGCCCGGCTAATTTTGTATCTTTAGTGGAGACGGGGTTTCTGCGTGTTGGTCAGGCTGGTCTCGAACTCCCAACCTCAGGTGATCCGCCCGCCTCGGCCTCCCAAAGTGCTGGGATTACAGGCATGAGCCGGCCTGATAGTAAGTCGTTTTAAATCAAGGAGGGTAAGGATGTCAAGCTTCTTTAATCTTGAAAATTATAAAGCAATCAAGAAAAGATTAATTTCTTAAGCAGAGAAAAAGCTATATATACAAAGATATTCATTTTAGCATTCTTTAATTTTTATTTTTTGGAGACGGAGCCTTGCTCTGTCACGCAGGCTGGAGTGCAGCGGCGCGATCTTGGCTCACTGCAATCTCCGCCTCCTGGCTTCAAGCGATTCTCCTGCCTCAGCCCCCAGAGTAGCTGGGACTACAGACGCCTGCCACCACGCCCAGCTAATTTTTTGTACTTTTAGTAGAGACGGGGTTTCACCATGTTAGCCAGGATGGTCTCGATCTCCTGATCTCAAGATCTGCCCACCTCAGCCTCCCAAAGTGCTGGGATTACAGGCGTGAGCCACCACGCCAGTCCCTGCCTCTCTCTCTTTTCTTTCTTTCCTTCATTCCTTCCTTTGTTCCTTCCTTCCTTCGTTCCTTCCTTCCTTCCTTCCTTTCTTGACAGGATTTTGCTCTGTCATGGAGGCTGGAGTGCAGTGGCACAATCACTGCTCACTGCAGTCTTGAACTCTTGGGCTTAAGCAATCCTCTCACCTCAGCCTCCTGAGTAGCTGGGATTACAGGCATGCACCATCACACCTGGCTAATTTTTGTATTTTTAGTAGAGACGGGGTTTCACCATGTTGGCCAGGCTGGTCTCAAACTCCTGACCTCAGGTGATCTGCCCGCCTCAGCCTCCCAAAGTACTGGGATTACCGGCATAAGCCACTGTGCCCAGCCCTGTAGCATTATTTCTAACAACAAACAATTAGAAAAATTAAACACTGCCTATTCTTTTTTTTTTTTTTTTTTTTTTTTTGAGACAGGGTCTCACACTGTCATCCAGGCTGGAGTGCAGTGGCGCTATCTTAACTCACTGCAACCTCCACCTCCTGAATTCAGGTGATCCTCCCACCTCAGCTTCCCAAGTAGCTGGGACTTCAGGTGTGCACTACCACATCCAGCTAATTTTTGTATTTTTTTGTAGAGATGGGGTTTGGCCATGTTGGCCAGGCTGGTCTCAAACTCCAGGACTCAAGCGATCCACCCACCTTGGCCTCCCAGAGTGCTGGGATTACAGGTGTGAACCATCATACCTGGCCCAGAAACTGCCAATTCTTTTTTTGGAGATGGAGTTTTGCTCTTGTCGCCCAGGCTGGAGTGCAATGGCATGATGTCGGCTCACTGCAACCTCCACCTCCTGGGTTCAAGTGATTTTCCTGCCTCAGCCTCCTGAGCAGCTGGGATTACAGGTGCCTGCCACCAGGCCCTGCTAATTTTTTGTATTTTTAGTGGAGACAGGGGTTTCACAATGTTGTCCAGACTGGTCTCGAATTCCTGACCTCAGGTGATCAGGCTGCTTCAGCCTCCCAAAGTGTTGGGATTACAGGCGTGAGCCACCGCGCCTGGCCTAGAAACTGCCAATTCTTAAGCAATGTAAGGGCATTTAGTATGTACCAGGCACTGAGCTGAGCAATTAAAATATAGAGTAAGAAAGAAGATCCTGCTCTACAAATAGATGGTAATAACAATAAATCCATAGCTTTTAATTCCAAGAATCTCAGCTGAAAAAAAACCTTCATAAAATTGTACAATTGTATTTGTGAATATCAGTCATAGCGTGCTATTTTAGGATAATCCAAGTCCCAGTTGAGGTTAAAACAAGACAAATATCTGTTCTAGTAAGTCCCACTTGCTCAGCCTAGGTGGTCCCTCAAAATGTTCTCTTCACTGAGAATGGCCCAAGGGGCTGTTTCTCATACCTGAGCCACCTGACAGCAGATGCTGGCACAAACAGCGGGAACAGTGCCAGACTCGCACACACCAAGGCTTTGTGGAGAAGAGGGCCCACCAGGTGCGGCAAGGGATATAGGCAGAACTTCCTGGGAAAGATGGAAGGGAAAGCAAATGATAGGGTCTAAGAAGGTCCCTCCTACCTCCAACAAGCTGGATTTGAGGCCAAGCTCTGTCACATCCTGGAAGTATGACTTTGGGGGTTACAGGACCTGTCTAAGGATCAGATTCCTCATTCATAAAGCGGGTCTGTTATAAAAATCAAAATTGTAGTGTATGGGAAAATGTCTTGTGAAGTAGAACATACCATAAAATAGGAAGGATTATTGTTGTATTACTGATAGAAGTGAGGGATCAGTTAAGGGGAGGAGCCAACATATATGGAGAACCTGGAGATTTACTCATGTTTCTCATCTAATCCTCTCTACAGATCAGAAGCAACACTGCCTTTAGTGTACAATCATTTCTACTATGCTACTACCCCTCAGAAACTGAGGGTCAGTTGGAGGGGTTAGGTGCACAGTCTGAGGCCACACGGGAGTCTGGCAGAACTGCAATGTGAACCCAGGCTTGTCATGATTCCAAATTTTTCCTTGATATTGTGCTACTTCCCGGGTTGGGAACTGAAAATTAGAATGGAGGGCTTGCTAGGCATCTGCAAAAATAGTGGGCGTGGGGAGGAGCAATGGGGCAGGAAATGCGACTCACCAGTGAAACTGTCATCCTGAGGCACAGGGCCCAGTAGGGAAAAGAAAGGAAAGAGCTATTATTAGGAGAGACTCCCATAAGGCACATTCCTGGGGTCTTTGCTTCAAATCAGCAAATTCTGAGCCCCATAGCTAATAGCCCATACCTTCTGGCTCTTATCTTCCCAGCTCCACCCTGTCCAGGCCCTCAGCACAAAGGACCTTGGCTACCCCTTTGAGACTAGGTAGAGGACACATCAAAGCTGCCACCAGAGCACAGGGACTGCGGAGGTAGCACAGGGCAGGCAGGGGAGTGGGGAGCTTTATGGCTGTGCCAGGCAGGTGTCCCTACCTGGCAGCAGCACCTTACCGTGTGGGAGGCCAGAGGACAGCGGGTGTTCCAGTGGGGCAGGTGGCGAAAGCCAATCCCAGCAGAGTCAGAGAGGTCGATGACTATGAGGAGGAGAGGCAGGAGCAGGGCTGCCAGTCTGGAGCTCCCCATGGGCTTCTGTGCAATTAGGGCTCCCGGAACATGGCTGCATGGCCTGAAGGTGGGTGGCAGGGCCTTGCTGTGCAGCAGCGAACACAGTACCAGCAGGAGCCCTCGCCCCAGCCTGCCCTGGCCCCGCCCTGCCCGAAAGCTCCTCCTTGATCCCAACCAGCCAGCCAGGCCACATTCCTTCCCCTCCAAGTGGAGGGACTGAGGAAAGCTTGTGCCCCCAAAAACCCTACTGCCCCCCACCTGAAAGACAAGGGGCTCCTGCTGTGGGTGAGAAGTAACAGGAAAGGGGCTAGCATCAGGTTGGGGGACGCACCCATTTCTTAGCCCCTCCTACTCCTGAAACACACTGCAGATCTGATCCACCCATCAGCACACTCTGGAACTTGTGTCTCCCATAGACATGCGCTTCACCCCCTCACTTAGAGAATTAGCCGAGCTCTTAAGCACTACTCAGCACTGGGTGCTGGAGATACAGAGGTGACTGAGGCACCATTTAGAGTGGGGAAGAAAAAAAGCACTCTAGGATGCACATGAAGCCCATATGTACCCTGGCTTCCCAACTGGTTAACTCTCAGGACTATAGCCGAGTTCTCTCTACCCATGAGCCAGGTCCAGCTCTTCTAGGCAAAGGGCTCCATACCAAAGGGGCCTCTAGCTTCAAGGACCCACTAGTCAGTACGCCCTGCTCAGGAAGCCCCAGAGCTCACAGCTGAGCCCTGGAGCAGAGGGAGCGGGCCCCACACACTGACCTGGTTTCCTGTGGTTTCCGGTGCTGGAGAAAGGCTGACGAGGCTCCATCTTTGTGGGAACCCTCCCCATCATCCCACAGCTTCCTCCCCTTCATGGAGCATTTGAGCAGCTTCAGCCCTCACCTTGGTAACACACACACTGGAAAGAAAGTTTGGGGCACACCTACCAGGTCAAGGCATCTTTTTTTTTTTTTTTTTTTTTTTTTTTGAGACTGAGTCTTGCTCTATTACCCAGGCTGGAGTGCCGTGGCACAATCTCTGCTCACTGCAACCTCCACCTGCTGGGTTCAACCGATTCTCTTGCCTCAGCCTCCTGAGTAGCTGGGAGTACAGGCACCTGCCCCATGCCTGGCTAATTTTTGTATTTTAGTAGAGACAGGGTTTCACCATATTGGCCAGGCTGGTCTCGAACTCCTGACTATGTGATCCACCTACCTTGGCCTCCCAAAGTGCTGGGATTACAAGCGTGAGCCACGGCGCCCAGCCAAGGCATCTTGAGATTGTTATTGTCCCCCTGCAATTCAATCTAGACCACCTTTCAGTGGCCTAACCACAGCCTGCTTTTGGCCAATTCTATTCCTGTCTTTAGGTTCATTGTCTGAAGGCTGCATCCTACCCATTATCCTAAAAGTACCCTCTAGCTTTTTGAGTTCATGAAAAGATAAAAACTCTTATTCTTTATGTTTCTCCAAGCCTAGCAGTAGATATTATGAAGTATGTGCTGTGTAATTGAATAAATGTCATGATACATTTCATCTATGTAGTTTATCTGTTTCACACTTCACAAAACACTTTTATATTTAATCCTCCTAACCCTACCTGTGAGACAGGTAAGTGTTAATTATTGTTTTCATTTCATAGAGAGATAAGGAAGCAGAGGGATAATGATTTGGACAAGGTCAAAGTCTATAGTTCAGGGAGCTCCCCTTTTGCTAGGCCCTCGCAACTCAACTCTCTCTTTTTTTTTTTTTTTTTTGAGACAGAGTCTCACTGTGTCACCCAAGCTGGAGTGCAAATGGTGCAATCTCAGGTCACTGCAATCTCCACCTCCCAGGTTCAAACGATTCTCCCGCCTCAGCCTCCCGAGTAGCTGGGATTACAGGTGCACGCCACCACACCAGACTAATTTTTGTATTTTTAGTAGAGACGGGTTTCACCATGTTGGCCAGGCTGGTCCTGGACTCCTGACCTAAGGTGATCTGAGCCCAGCTTGGCCTCCCAAAGTGCTGGGATTACAGGCATGAACCACAGCACCTGGCTTTTTTTTTTTTTTTTTTTTTTTGAGATAGTCTTGCTCTGTTGCCCAGGCTGGAGTGCAGTGGTGTGTTCTTGGCTCACTGCAACCTCCGCCTCCTAGGTTCAAGTGATTCTTGTGCCTTAGCCTCCTGAGTAGCTGGGATTACAGCTGTGCACCACTATGCCTGGCTAATTTTTGTATTTTTAGTAGAGACAGGGTTTTGCCACATTGGCCAGGCTGGTCTTGAACTCTTGGCCTCAAGTGATCCACCTGCTTCAACCTTCCAAAGTGCTAGGATTATGGGCATGAGCCACTGTGCCCGGTACCAATTCTCTATCATCCTATGGTCTTCCCTCACACAGCCTCATCTTCCTCTGCTCTTGGAACCCAAAAGGGGCTGCCTGACACAGACCCTAACACAGTATGCCTTTTGGCCTTGAAGTCCATCTCTGCAAACAAAACAGTAAGATCTGAAAGGAGGAAAGGGTGGTCTGGCCATACTAAGAATAGGTTAGAGAGCCTTCCCCCAAATTCTACCTAACTCACAGTGGTTTAGAGCTATATAAATATGAGGTTTCTTTCTTTTCTTTTTTTTTTTTTGAGACAGAGTCTCACTCTATCACCCAAGCTGGAGGACAATGGCGCAATCACCACTTACTGCAGCCTCAACCTCCTGGACTCAAGTGAATCCTCCCTTCACAGGCACACACCATTTTGCCTGGCTACATATAGGGTCTGGCTATGGTGCTCAAGCTGGTCTCAAACTCCTGGCCTCTAGCAGTTATCCTGCCTCAGCTTCCCAAGGTGCTAGGATTACAGGTGTGAGCCACTGTGTCTGGCCAATAATGAGTTTTCTTTTTTTTTTTTTGAGACGGAGTCTTGCTCTGTTGCCCAGGCTGGAGTGCAGTGGTGCGATCTCGGCTCACTGCAAGCTCCGCCTCCCAGGTTCACGCCATTCTCTTGCCTCAGCCTCCCGAGCAGCTGGGACTACAGGCACCCGCCACCTCACCCGGCTAATTTTTTGCGTTTTTAGTAGAGAGGGGGTTTCACCGTGTTAGCCAGGATGGTCTCAATCTGCTGACCTTGTGATCCGCCCACCTCGGCCTCCCAAAGTGCTGGGATTACAGGCGTGAGCCACTGCGCCCGGCCCAAATAATGAGTTTTCTAATGCTGGAGGCATGAAGTGAGAAACTTGGTTCTATTCCAAAACAATCCTTCTTCTTTACCCTTATCTTCTGATCTCTCACAGAGAAAATATTGGTTAATTGCTTCTGGTTAAGGTATGGGAGGAGAAGCAGAAAAGAAATGGAGATAAGAAGGAAGAGAGGAAGGGAAAAAAAGGAAGGAAGGAAAGAAGGGAGGGAGGGAAGAAAGGAGGGAGGGAGAGAAGGCAGCAGGGAGGGAAGGAGGAAGGGAGGAAAGAAGGGAGGGAGGGAGGAAGGGACGGAGGAAGAGAGGAAGGGAGGGAAGGAGGATGGGAGGAGAGAAGAGAGGGAAAGAGGGAAGAAAGGGAAGAAAAACAGCATTCCAGGACCCGCTGGAAAAGTAAAAGGAATAAAGGTGAGGAAGAAAGGGGGAAAAAGAAAAGGACGTGTGCATTTTATTTATTGTCTTGCTGGTTTACTTATTTATTGTAGAGACTGTTCCAAAAAGTATTTAAGGTAAGAAGCACAGGGGTGAATTCTGGCACAACCTAAGGAAGGGGAGGGATGGGATCAACATTTGCTGAAATCCTACTATCAGGCTCTGAGTCATGCATTTTGCCCAGTTTATTTTATTTGTACTACAACCCTTGAGTTCACAGTCTTATTACCCCATTTTACAGACTGCAAAACACTCAGGAAGATTAGGTAAAGTCCAAGCACACACACCTAAGAGCTGAAGTCAGCCCCTCACTTGCTGATCTCTCTCCTACGCTTACGCTCTGAGTTCCTCCCCACCCTTGCCCTCACCCCACATTGCCCCCTCCTATTTGGTGCCTGGCCAGCTCAGGCAGCTTGCGTCACAGTAAAGTAAAGCCAGAATGAGTTTTAGGTCTGAGTGAGATTGGAAAAGCCATTCCTCTGACCCTCCCCACCTGCTCCCGTCTCTCCAGGCATCCTACCTGCAAGAGGACACTGTGAGGGGCAAAAAATGTCCCTTCCAGAGCTGGCAGGAAGCCTGTGAGTGCTGCTGACATGCACCTTGTGCACACACATCCCCTTTCTCTGTCTCATACACACACATGCACACACACACAATCACACTTCACACCTGAGCTGGGGGAAGCCCCCAGAAGGCATGCAGGTACTCTCCCTGGAGTCAGAGGGGGAAAAGGGCTGCCAAGTCTACCAGTCCGCTTGCCAATAGATCAGAGCGCTAAACACCGCAGCACTGTGAGAACTTCAGAAATATGAGGCCTAGGAGATGGTGTCCTAAGAGGATGGGCCAGAAGACCTGGGTTCCCCTCCCTGCCAATTTTTCCTCTCTGAGCCTCGCTTTTCTCCTCTGGAGACTCACCGCTATGTCTTCCTGGCCTTTTCTGCCAGAACACACTACTTGGGGAGATCAGAGGGTTTCTGGACCCTGTAGTTCACAGAAGTTACTAAACTTAGCAGTGTGATACAATTGGCAGGGTTAACAATGTAAAGAAAGAAATGAAAGTGTTGGAAAGAAAGGAAAGTAGATCTTATAATAATGTTACCAGTGGTTAGACTTGTAGGAGAGTTGGGATTGTTTGGCAAGTGTCAACAAGGGAGGAGTAACTGTGGCTGGAATAGGAGGTGGCCAATTGGAGTAAAGCAACAAAGGTGTGTTGTAGGGCTTCAGCACAGAGGCCCTGTCTTCTTGGCAGGTGGCTAAGGCCTGTCTCATCTGTGGTTTGTGTCAAAATGAGCTGACCAAGACTTCATGATTAATGATTAATAGCCTTTACTTGGGAACAAAGCCAGGAGCTCAGGAAGTCCTGGCAGGCCCCTGCACATGCTTAGAGTGCACTGTAGGGACCTTGGGCAGCCATTTTTCTTGTCACCGCCTTATCTGTGCATGAACTCTGGTCAGACCATGGAACAGTAGCTCCAGGTTCTTCCTGTAATGGCCAATTCCTAACGTCTACTGGGGCAACTCTGCTCACTGATAGGGAACCCTGGGCAGGAAGGCCCACCAATTAGATCAATGTACACCAACAGTGGGCGAGTATCCCTTCTTTACATCTGCTCTTCCAGAAGGATCAACCTCCAGAATTCTGAGGCAAGAAATTATTGCTGAGAGGTAGAGACTCCCAATCTCAGCGAGGAAGCCAACACTGCTCAACAAGGGAAGGCATTCTGTTACTTATTAAACCCCTACTATGTAGCCTGTCCATACATATTATCTAAGCCTCCCAACAATCCTGGGGGTAGCTAAAATGATGCCCATGTGTCAGATCAAGAACAGAGGCTCAGGTATCTTGCACAAGGCAAAAGTTAGTAAAATGCCTGGCTGGAATTCCCACCTATGTCTGTCTAATGTAAGAAACTGTTGGCTGGGCATGGTGGCTCATGCCTGTAATCCTAGCACTTTGGGAGGCCGAGGTGGGTAGATCACTTGAGGTCAGGAGTTCGAGACCTGGCCAACATGGTGAAACCCTGTCTCTACAAAAATACAAAAATTAACCGGGTGTGAGCAAAGGTTGCAGTGAGCTGAGATTGCACCACTGCACTGCAGCCTAGGCGACAGAGTGAGTCTCAAAAACAAAACAAAACAAAACAAAACAAAAAACACTGTTCATTCCATTATACCACATTGCCTTTCTCATGGCCTGGATTATCTCTAATAGTCCCTTCAACTCCTACATTCTCTCCTCCTGTAAAGATCAGGAAATAACCATCTTTCATATTTATATAATGATACATAGTTCATAAAGCAGTTTCACAATATTTCAACTTTTTTTTTTTTTGAGACAGAGTCTCATTGTGTCACTCAGGCTGGAGTGCAGTGGCGCGATCTCGGCTCACCACAACCTTAGCCTCCTGGGTTCAAGCGATTCTCCTGCCCCAGCCTCCCAAGTTTAGTACCTTCTGTGAACACACTGCTAAGTTTAGTACCTTCTGTGAACTACAGGGTCCAGAAACCCTCTGATCTCCCCAAGTAGTGTGTTCTGGCAGAAGAGGCCAGGAAGACATAGCGGTGAGTCTCCAGAGGAGAAAAGCGAGGCTCAGAGAGGAATAATTGGCAGGGAGGGGAACCCAGGTCTTCTGGCCCATCCTCTTAGGACACCATCCCAAGTAGCTGGAAGTACAGGCACCCACCACCATGCCCATTTGTATTTTTAGTGGAGACGGGGTTTCACCATGTTGGCTAGACTGGTCTCAAACTCCTGACCTCAGGTGATTCGCCTGCCTCGGCCTCCCAAAGTGCTGAGATTACAGGTATGAGCCACTGCGCCCAGCCACATTATTTGATCTTTAGAACAATCTGTGAAATAGGGAGGGTTGATTTTAGTCCTATAATTGGTAGGTGCATTGGTACTTGAACATATCTTCTGATTCAAATAATGTTCTTTCTACTAAATCAAGATTCAACAAGGGAATCTTGTTTGCTTCTGGAACACTACAACCATGAGGCAGGAAAAGGTGATAGGAAAGGTCCACAAAAGCAAAATTCCGACAACCTAACAAGCAGAAAACTAACATAAACCAAATGGTTTTGGTTTGTTTACATTGTTGACAATAATTTTCATAATGGGTCTTTGATAGTACTCTAAGTCCATAAAGTGCCATTCCAATAACCAAAGAAATTTCAAACTATTTGCATCCCAATTCTTTAAAAACGAGCAATCTGTGTCTGGTGCACATACTAACTCCATTATCCATACATTTCCATCTACTACTGCTCTCCAAATTTTCTCTCTACTTCAGTTTGGTTCTATCCTCTGTGAAATACACCCCGACTTTAGTTTACAATAATCCTGTCAATAATTCCATGTGAGGCTGGGCACAGTAACTCACATCTGTAATCCCAGCACTTTGGGAGGCCAAAGCAGGATGATCATCTGAGGTCAGGAGTTCAAGACCAGTCTGGCCAACATAGTGAGACCCTGTCTCTATTAAGAATACAAAAATTAGCCAGGCATAGTGTCACATGCCTGTAATCCCAGCTACTCAGGAGGCTGAGTCAGGAGAATCGCTTGAACCTGGGAGGGAAAGCTGCAATGAGCCCAGATCGAGCCACTGCACTTCAGCCTAGGGAACAGGGCAAGACTCTGTTTAAAAAAAAAAAAAATTAGGCCGGGCGCGGCGGCAGGCGCCTGTAATCCCAGCTACTAGGGAGGCTGAGGCAAGAGAATCGCTTGAACCCGGGAGGCGGAGGTTGTAGTGAGCCAAGATCATGCCACTGCACTCCAGCCTGGGCGACAGAGTAAGACCTTGTCTCAAAAAAAATAAAAATAAAAAAAATAAATAAAAAGAATTGCATGTTTTTCACACCTCCTGTGCAGCACCTAAAAGCAGTAAAATAAGAACTCAGAGAAGGAATTCATGTTCCTTGAATTGAAGGAACCAGAAAGCTCAAGAATTGCCATATTAACTGGGCCTTAAAGGATAATTAATAAAGCAGTATAAAAATAGAAAAGGGAAATTTTTAAGCAAAGGAAACTGGGAAACCACGAAACCTACATGGGGATCCATAAGAGGTTTAGTTGACTAAGACAGCATGAGACTAGGGGTATTGGGAGATAATGCAGGACTGGTGGATTGGGACCACTTTGGAAACCTCAGAGCTTAAGGCATTTAAGTTGCAACAAAGATCATAGTAGGGACTTAATGATCATGGAACAGATAATCCAGAGCTGTACTCTTGGTATATACTCACTTGAACAAAGGGATGCAGGAAGAGGAATGGGTATGAGGCAGAAACACAAAGGTCTGTTTGGGACATACTTATTTTGAGATGATAATTAGGACATCTAGAGGAAGAGGTTTTAGAGTTGTAAGTACTGCCAGCCAGGCGCGATGGCTCACACCTGTAACACAAGCACTTTGAGAGGCTGAGGCAGGAGAATCACTTGAGCCTGGTAGGTAGAGGCGAGCCAAGATGGCGCTACTGCATTCCAGCCTGGGTGAGGGAAATGAAACACTGCCTTTAAAAAAAAAAAAAAAAAAAAAAAAAAAGGCCAGGCACGGTGGCTTACGCCTGTAATCCCAGCACTTTGGGAGGTTGAGGAGGGCGGATCATGAGGTCAGGAGATCGAGAGCATCCTAGCTAACACGATGAAACCCCGTCTCTACTAAAAATACAAAAATTAGCCGGGCGTGGTGGTGGGCACCTGTAGTCCCAGCTACTTGGGAGGTTGAGGCAGAATGGTGTGAACCCGGGAGGCAGAGCTTGCAGTGAGCCGAGATCGTGCCACTGCACTCCAGCCTGGGCGACAGAGCAAGACTCCGTCTCAATTAAAAAAAAAAAAAAAAAAAAAGTGACTCAGTAATGACTAACTACATACACAATGTTTCTAGAACAAAATAATGACTACATCTCTGGAGAGGGCAGAGCTCTGCAGTTACAGATCTGGGCATCATCCAGAGACAATAAAATCAAGTGCAAAGAGACACATTATCTTTCATGCAATAAATACTGCCAGAATTTTAGGTGTGAAAGGGCCTTTAGTTTAATCACAGATCTCTTCCTTCCTGTTTTTAATGTACTTGCTCCACATCATTAGATATTATGTTCACTGTTTCACATGAATAACAAGTTTCTACTGAATTGTAAATCCCTATAAACCGAGGTACTTTAAAATTCTTTTGGATGCCATTATACAGTAGTAGACTCATAACTGATACCCAGTTAACACTGAAAGATAAATGTGAATATCCAACTAAAAGAAGAGCCCATAACCTAAGGTAGATAAATGAGAATGGACTATTTCATAGATGGAGAGATTAAATGTCTGGCCCATAGTTCTTACCAATCAGCTGTAGGTTACAACTATGACTTAGGTTCCCCATACCCAGTCTACTTCTCTATGGCCACTGCTAGGTTTCTCAAGGAGCTTCTACCCATCATCTCCTAGTGTCTAAGGCCACACCTTTCAAGCAACACACCTTTCACACTCTATCAAGCCCCAAACACAAGGCACAGTGTGGGCAGGGCCATCTTTATTGAGGTTTTTAATTAAAATGCTTTGCAGAGGAGACCACAGCCTGCCAAGGGAGCAGCTGCCCAAATGTTTCCTGACCCGTGACCTAGAGATGAAGTAATTTGATTTATTCCCTATTTCCTTTAGTCTCAATGGCTAAGGGGTAATGGATGGAAATGGGGAGAATGACCGAGTAGAGGCAAGGACGAAGCTCATTCTTAAAGAAAAACCTCAAAGTTCAACTTCAAACAGCTGAAATTTGTTTCATAGCTGTTGGTCACCCAGTTCTAGCCAACCAGGAATAAATTATAGTTTTGCCACCTCAGCAGATGGCAAAAGGAGCTTTCCAGAACTTTGGCCTGGTCTGCACCAGGTACCAACATCACAGCTGCTAAAATCACCAGAAGGGATTTTGGAACCGCTGTACTAGTGTCCTTTCATTCGATGGGATGTCCAGGCTTCACCCCAAAGAGGCTTCATTTATGCTTCTTCTCCTGTGTGCTGGTGAACCAAGAGTCTAGGAGCTTCTTGCTGTAGTACAACTGCCAGGCATGCACTTGCACTGCCAACACCAACACCAGGTACATGATGGAAACGGCAGAAAAACCAAAGAGGAAACGGTAGGCCTTGCCATGGCGGTAGAGCTGCTGTGCAGCAGGGAACATCTCCATGCTGCCATAAATGAGTGGAGCGATGGAAAAGAGTCCCATGCTGATCATGGAGAGCACCAGGTAGCTAATGTTGTTGCGGGGAAAGGAGAGAAGGCCCAAGAGAGAGGGCAAAATGCTCAGCAAATACGGGTATTCCCACTGATAGGGCATGGCCACCTGATCATGTGACAAGAGCCTCAGGTGTCCCACGCTCATCTTAGCAACCAGCAGCAGCCATATGACCAGATGTACGTAGATCAGCTTCTTGATTTCATACTTGAGAGTCACACTGTGGGGCAGAGCAGAGGGAGAAGTATCTTTCAAATTTTTCTTACCACCAACTATATGCCAGACAACTGTACTGGACACTGGGATACAAATTTGAATAAAACAGCCTAGAAGCCGGACACAAAGAACAGAGGAGGAAAAAGTAATTAGAAAATGAAGTGAAAAAGTTCTAGTAAATATATGTTCCCAGATATATGGGATCACAGGAAGGAGGAATCAACTCTGCCTGGCATGGAATGTCAGAGATGGCTATCTAGAGGCAGGTGATATCTGAACTAGGCTCAGGAATGAGTGAAGATGGGCATCCCATGCAGGAGCATGCAGACAAAAAGGCCCAAGTATTTGTGTTCCAGGAAAGCAAGTGGTTATGTGTGGCAGGAACATATTGTTAGGGGGAGAGGGGTAGTGGGATATGAATCACAAAGACTATGAGAGTTAAAAGTAGAAGAGGCTGGGCTCACAACTCTAATCCAAGCACTTTGGTAGGCTGAAGCAGGAGGACTGCTTGAGCCCAGGAGTTCGAGACCAGCCTGGCAACAAAATGAGACCCCATCTCCATAAAAAAAAAAAACAACAACAATACTACTAATAAAAAGGCAGGGCTGGGCGCGGTGGCTCACGCCTGTAATCCCAGCACTTTGGGAGGCCGAGGCGGGCAGATCACGAGGTCAGGAGATCGAGACCATCCTGGCTGACACGGTGAAACCCTGTCTCTACTAAAAATACAAAAAAATTAGCAGCACGTGGTGGCGGGCGCCTGTAGTCCCAGCTACTCGGGAGGCTGAGGCTGAGAATGGCGTGAACCCGGGAGGCGGAGCTTACAAGTGAGCTGAGATCGCGCCACTGCACTCCAGCCTGGGCGACAGACCGTGACTCCGTCTCAAAAATAAATAAATAAATTAATAATAATAATAAAGGCAGAAGGGTAGCTCAGAGCTGTGTTTAGCAAGAGGACGCTGACTGCACCATAGGATTAAAGTCTGGCGGGAGAAGGTATTGGCAGAGAGGAAACGTACTCAGGCCGCCCATACTTCTCCAGCTAGATTTTTTCATCCAAAAGAAGTACATACTTATCTTATTCTTCTAATTCTCTCACGTCCCAAACGTATCCTCCTCATATCCCTAAAGGCAATGTTTCTACTCTGGGCTGGCATGAAAACACCTGCTTAAGTTGTGAGGGCCCTTTCAGCCGGGGCCTAGAGATGTGAAACAAATGAGAGTTCAAAGAGCTTGTCATTCTTTAAAACTCTGGAGAGAGAGATGTGAAGAACATTCTGGGAGAGATCAATGGATTTAAGGAAGTAAAAATTTTAAAATTTTTATTTAAAAATATTTATTGTAGAAAATGTGGAAAGGTTGGAAAAAAAAAACAGTCATCTCTAGACTTCAAGCTCCATGAAGGCAGGGAACAGTTTTTTTTTTCTTTAATAAAATTGTTTATTGAAGGTATAACATGTATACAAAGACCACGTCTGCTTTTGCTCACTATTATAACCTAGTGTCTAGCAGTGTATGATGTTTGGAAGCTCAGTATTTGTCGAACTAGTAATTGAATGTAGAAATACCCCTTACGTGGGAGTGTTTATAAAATTCATTTTAGGCAAGGCGTCCTTAGGAAAGGCTGCCTTTTACTGTCTATATCCCCCCAAACGGCCCAAAATATAACACCTACCATATATTACGTGGTAGGCCTTATGCTACTTTCTTTACACGAATTACTGATTAATCTTTCACCAAAACCTAAAAGGCAGATTATTCTCTCCCTCTACAGATGAGGAAGCTGAGGCTCAAATTAGAAATTCGGTTTCGAAGGTGATACAGCGGGGCCAGCATCGACGTGACTCGGGAGCCCACGCAGGGCGGGAGCCCACGCGGGGCTGGATCCCCTCAAGGCACCGGGCGGAACAAGGGGTGGAGCTCGCGGGGGCCACGGGGCTTTCCAGGATGGGGGACAGGCCCGAAGCCGTCACGGGAGGAGGGGACTTGGCAGGTGAGCGGGGGCTGGCTGGGGAGCAAGACCCTGAGGCCGGGCCGGCGTCGCTCCCCAAGCCCCGCAGGCTCCAGCGGGGGAGAAAGCCTCCGTGCTCCTCGCCTCACTTCATACCTCATCTGGTAGTGCATGGCGACGCGCTCCCGGTGCTGAAAGTCGCTGCCGTCGGTGCCGGCCGCTCGCGGGCCTGCTCGAGACGCCATTGTGCCTGCCCAGAACCCCCGAACCCCTCACGCGGACCTGGTACCGCAACGACACCGCCAAGCGGCCCACTGACCCTATTTGCGCCCCCGCAGCCGCGCGGCTCCGTGAAGAGAACTTCCGGCCCCTCTGTCTCTGGAGGACCGACTCTATGGTCACTCCTCTCCGCGCAGGCGCCCTCGTTCCCTCTCGCCCCCGCCCCGCCCAGCCCCGCCTCTTGTGGAGCGCGCAGGAAATTAATCCCCAGCCTCTTTTGCTGGCGCCCAGAGGCCGCTTGAACACTTTTACTTTCTTAAGCTGTAATATCAGTTAGGATACTTCTGTCCACACTTTACAGAGGGGGAAACTGATATATTCTATGACTTTCCCTGGAGCACACATCATTCACACAGCCTCACACCTTTAATCCCAGCACTTTGGGAGGCCGAGGTGGGTGGATCACTTGATGTCAGGAGTTCAAGACCAGCCTGGGCAACATGGTGAAATCCCGTCTCTACTAAAAATACAAAAATTAGCCAGGTGTGGTGGGTTCCTGTGACCCCAGCTACTTGGGTGGCTGAGGCAGGAGAATCGCTTGAACCAGGGAGGCAGAGGTTGCAGTAAGTCGAGATTGTGCCAATGCACTCCAGCCTGGGGGACAGAGTGCAGAGTGAGACTTTGTCTCAAAATAAGTTTCTCACATTTAATTATTGCAAAGAGAAACAGGGAATCTCTCAGTGAGGAAATCTGGCTTGTCTCCCTTAAACATATAGTCAGTTAATTTGATCAATAATGAGATAAACTGATATCTTGTGCCTCTTTTAATAGACTGAGGACACAGCATCACTTCTATGATGTTTCTGCCAAAAATACCTAACTGAATCTAATCATGAAGAAATGACATAAATCCAGACGGAGGGACAGTCTAGAAGAGAGCTGGACTGTACTCTTCAAAAATGTCAAGGCCATGAAAGAAAAATTATTTCCAAATAAACTTTATCTGTAGAGACAAAGTAGAATGACCATTGCCAGAAGCTCGAGGGGTGGACAGAGAATGGGGAGCTAGTGTTTAATGGGTACAGAGCTTCAGTTCGGGAAGATGAAAAAAGTTCTGGAGATGGATGGTGGTACTGATTGCACAACTATATGTGTGTGCTTAATGCCACGGAAACTGTACACTTAAAAATGATTAACATAGTAAGTTTTATGTTATGTGCATTTTACCACAACAAAATACTAAGCGAAACTTTAAAGAAAGAAGTTATATTATCCGAATAAAGAAAAAAAGAAAGAAAAAAGCATGTATAGTGAGCATCTTCCATGCACCAGGATGCTCTGCTATGACCTGGGGACGCAGAAATAAACATGGTCCATTTCCCCTGAGGGATCCCAGCCCAGTCGGGGGAAGAACTTGTACCCATGAAGCTAAGAAATTCAAGAAAACACAGGAGGCTGAGGGAGGAAAAATGAGGCCTCTCTCCCTGACCTGGAGGGTTAGGAAAGTCTCTCTGGAGTGGCAGCAATTGAGCTGAGGTCTGAAGCCTGAGTGGGAATTGGCTAAAGAGGTGGGGAGCGGAAGAGCTTTTCAGGCAGAGGGAACAGCATGTGTGAAGGCCCCAAATCCAGAGAGCACTTGGCTCTTCAAAGAACTGAGAAACTTAAGAGTGACTGGAGCATTTGGAGGGTTCAGTAAAGAGTTAAGTCTTTATCCCAGGGGGTTTGGGGAACCACTAAAAGGTTTAACCAGGAAAATGACACAGTTTTGCATTTTTAAAAGATAGGTCTAGGTGGGGGCACAGTGCCTCAAGCCTGTAATCTCAGCACTTTGGGAGGCCAAGGCAGGAGATCAGCCTGGGCAACATAGTGAGACTCCCGTCTCTACAAAAATAAAAAATAAAATAATATTAACTGGCATGGTGGTGCGTGCCTGTAGTCCAGGCTACTCGGGAGGATGAGGTGGGAGAATCATTTGAGACCAGGAGTTCAAGGTTACAGTGAGCCATGATTATGCCACTGCATTCCATTCTGGGCAACAGAGTAAGACACTGTCTGTAAATAAATAAATAAAGATAGATCTAGTTGCTGTGTAGAGAATGGCTTGCAGGGGCCAAGGGTGAAGCAGAGGAATCACTTGAAGGCTACTGCAGTAATTCAGGCAATCCTAGGGGTGGCTTGGGCTAGGAGGTGGCAATGGACAGAGAGGAACAGATTTGAGTTCCTTGGGATTTAACATCTGTAGGTGGGTAACAAGAGCACATATGACCAGCAAGGGGCTCACACTAGGAAGGGAGTCTGTGTGGCTGGGATCTGAGAAAGGCAAGCAAGAAATCAGCAACATTGGCCGGGCACGGCTCACACCTGTAATCCCAGCACTTTGGGAGGCCGAGGCAGTGGATCACTTGAGGTCAGGAGTTCAAGACTAGCCTGGTCAACATGGTGAAACCCTGTCTCTACCAAAAGAAATACAAACATTATCAGGGTGTGGTAGCGCATGCCTGTAGTCCCAGCTACTTGGGAAGCCGAGGCAGGAGAATCCCTTGAACCCGGGAGGCGAAGGTTGCAGTGACCTGAGATCACACCACTGCACTCCAGCCTGAGCAACAGAGTGAGACCCTGTCTCAAATTTTAAAAAAATAAGAAAAAAGGCTGGGTGCAGTGGCTCACGCCTGTAATCCCAACACTTTGGGAGGCTGAGGCGGGCAGATCACAAGGTCAGGAGATCGAGACCAGCCTGGCTAACACGGTGAAACCCCGTCTCTACTAAAAATACAAAAAATTAGCCAGGCGTGGTGGTACGTGCCTGTAGTCCCAGCTACTCGGGAGGCTGAGGCAGGAGAATCGCTTGAACCTGGGGGACGGAGGTTGCAGTGAGCAGAGATCATACTGTTGCACTCCAGCCTGGGCGACAGAGTGAGAGAAAAGAAATCAGCAACATTTATTGAGTACCTACTCTATGCCAGGCATATTCACACACGTGAACTCATTCTCTTTTTCCAATACCCTTGGAGATAATTACTTTTGTTATCATTATCTTACACAAGGGAAAATTAAGGCTCAGAAAGGGGAAGTGACTTGCCCAGGATCACGCAGCAATTGCACTATAAGAACTCAGACCAAAGTGGCCCTAGGGCTGCAGGATTTTTACTACCAGATCTGTTACTGTCCTGTTTAAGGGATGACGGTTCAGGACCCACTGAGGGATAACTAAGAGGGTTCGGGACCTCTGGGGAAATGGGCCAGGAATATTTGTCACCTCCCCCCAGGCTCTCTAGAATGTCTTTCTTTGCCCTGTGGAAATCCTGGTGACACTTTGGGACCCATCTTACTGCACCAAGGATCACCTGCTTCCACATTAGTTCTCATCGTTTTTGCTGTCTGTGAAGCCTGGTCTAGAACCATCTGTGATAGACTCATCCAAGATGCTTGTTAAAAACACAGATTTCTGGGCCCCACCCTTACCCAAATGAATCATTCCCCAAAGTTGGGCCTAAGAATATCTTTTTAATTTAAAATGTTGACTAGGTAATGCATTTACATGGTTCAAAAGCCAAACAATAAGCTGGCTGCGGCGGCATGTACCTGTAGTCCCAGCTACTCATGAGGCTGAGGTGGGAAGATTGCTTGAGTTCAGGAGTTTGAGGCCAGCCTGGGCAACATGATGAGACCCTGAGCATGGTGGCTCATGCCTATAATCCCAGCACTTTGGGAGGCTGAGGCAGGAGGATTGCTTGAGTCCAGGAACTCGAGATCAGCCTCGGCGACATAGCAAGAACCTATCTCTAAAAATAAAATTAGCCAGGCAGGATGGCATATGTCTGTAGTCTCAGCTACTCAGGAGGCTGAGATGGAGGATCACTTGAGCCCAGCAGGTTGAGGCTGCAGTGAGCCATGATCACACCATTGCACTCCAGTCTGGGCAACGGAGCAAGACCCTGTCTCAAAAAGAAAATGCAAATGGTCATACAGAAAGGATGCTAATGCAAAGGCATAGCTGTTTAGAGCAGAGGTTCATAGCTGTTTTTGTGCCATGAATTTCCTTGGCAGCCTGGGGAAACTACAGACTCTCAGAATGATATTTTTATTTTTTATTTAATTAATTTTTTTTTGAGACAGGGTCTTGCTCTGTTGCCCAGGCTGGAGTGCAGTGGTACCATCATGGCTCACTGAGCCTTGACCTCCTGGGCTCAAGTGAACTTCTTGCCTCAGCCATGCAAGTAGCTTGGATTACAGGCATGCACCACTATACCTGGCTTATTTTACATTTTTTGTAGAGATGGGGGTCTTGCTATATTGCCCAGGCTGGTCTCAAATTCTTGGCCTCAAGCAAACCTCCTGCCTTAGCCTCCCAAAGTGCTAGGATTACAGGCATGAGCCACCACACCCTGCCTTATTTTATTTATATTTTTAGAGACAGGGTCTTGCTCAGACTGAAGTGTAGTGGTACAATCATAACTCACTACAACCTCGAACTCCTAGGCTCAAGGGGCCCTCCCACCTCAGCCTCCTGAGTAGCTGGGATGTGTGCCACCACACCCAGCTAATTTTTGTATTTTTTGTAGAGACAAGGTCTTACTGTGTTGCCCAGGCTGGTCTTGAACTCCTGACCTCAAGAAATACTCCTGCCTCAGCCTCACAGACTGCTGGGATTACAGGTGTGAGCCACTGTGCCCTGACCCTGCCTTGTTTTGACTGAACAATATATCTTGACTGTTTTCTCCAGATCATGAAGAAACATAAAGAACATCCTTACTCTTTTTTTTTTTTTGAGATGGAGTTTCACTGTTGTTGCCCAGGCTGGAGTGCAGTGGTACATTCTCGGCTCACTGCAACCTCTGCCTCCTGGGTTCAAGCGATTCTCCTGCCTCAGCCTCCTGAGTAGCTGGGATTACAGGAGCGTGCCACCACGCCTGGCTAATTTTTGTATTTTTTGAGTAGAGACAGGGTTTCACCATGTTGGCCAGGCTGGTCTCCAACTCCTGACCTCAGGCAATCCACCCGCCTTGGCCTCCCAAAGTGCTGGGATTACAGGCATGAGCCACCACCCCTGGCTCAGTCTTTTTTTTTTTTTTTTTTTTTTTTTGAGACAGTCTTGCTCTGTCGCCCAGGCTGGGGTGCAGTGGCACAATCTTGGATCACTGCAAGCTCCGCCTCCCGGGTTCACGCCATTCTCCTGCCTCAGCCTCCTGAGTAGCTGGGACTACAGGTGCCCACTACCACGCCCGGCTAATTTTTTTGTATTTTTTTAGTAGAGATGGGGTTTCACCGTGTTAACCAGGATGGTCTTGATCTCCTGACCTTGTGATCCGCCTGCCTCGGCCTCCCAAAGTTCTGGGATCACAGGCATGAGCCACGGCGCCCGGGCCTTAATTTATATGTAGATAGAGTAGGGAGGAAAGAATGAGAGAGAAAGAGAAAGACTAGCTTCTTGTCTGTGATATTAGTTCGAATATACAGTATTTTCCCTGTTTATTTGATGTCTTTTTACTTTTTGTTCATGGTGTTATAAATTTAACATGCAGAATATATTTTTAAATTTAGTGGCTTCTCAATTTTGAGTTGTAGCCACAGTCCTTTTCCAATCCGAGGTGTCCCAGATGATTTTCATGTACTACAGAGTTTGAGAACCATGCTCAGACATTGCCTTTCTCACTGGAATGTGAATTCCCCAAAGGCAGGGACAAGAACTAAGTCATCCATGTCCCCAGCAGCTCATAGTGTCTGGCATAGTGTAAAAATTTCAACGCCTGTAATCCCAGCACTTTGGGAGCTCGAGGCGGGAGGATCGCTTAAGCCCAGGAGTTCGAGACCAGCCTGGGCAACATGGCAAAACTCCATCTCTATTAAAAGAAAAAAAAGAAAAAAAATTTAAAAAGAAAGAAATGCTGGTTGAATAGATAAATTCCAATGGAGCCAAAACCGTCTCCCTCTCCTAATTGCTGTGAAGAATCCCCGGGTTTATCCTTCATCCCTGGACAGTGCTCTCTGGCTGTAGCTCGTGGTTATCTTCGTCTTTCTGTGTCTGGTTTTCTGTCAGGGCCAGACCTCTCCTGAGTCATCTATTGGCCTATCTATCTCAGGACATCAAGTACACAGTAGAGCAATAAATATTTGAGCCATGACTGTTGAAGGGAGGGGCCCCGACTCTTTCTCCAGAACCTCTTCCCTAAAGGGTTTTGCTTGTACCTTTCTCCTGGCTCTTGGTCTGTCCTTAAGTTTAAGTTATATGTGTTCCTGTCTCCTCACTCTCTCTTCATGCTCCCTTCTCAAATCCTTTGCAATGATGTTTCCTTTGTCTTGATCATCCCCCAGGATTTAGTCAGGATTTACCTCAAAGCTCACCTCCTTGGAGGCGTTTCTTGAACGCATAGGCCAATCTAACTCTCCAGCTGTTATTATATCACCTCGTTTTGTTTTCTTCCCAGAACATCATTATCTGAAATTATTTTGTTTATTTGCATATTTATTCATGGTCTGAGTTCCCACCTTCCTCAGGAATGTCAGCTCCTTGAAGTGTGGGACAAGGCTGTCTTGTTTCCTGTTGTATTCTTAGCCCCAGAAGGACTGGCATATAGTAAGTGCTTAATAAATATTTCCTGAATGAATGAATGAATGGTTGCCTGAGAGCCCCTCCAGGGAAGGATTTAGATCTAAATAATAATAATTTCCATTTATTGAGCTCTAAGGATGCACTAGACTCTGTAGCAAGTACATTTCACGATTATCTCTTTTAATCTGCATGGAAACCAGATGCAGTAGAGCTATTTTTATCCCCAGTTGTTGGATCAAACTGAAGCTTAGAAAATTTAGCTCACACAGCTAGCGCTAGACCACTGGTTCTCAAAGTGGGCTCCCTGAGCAGCCATGGCTTCTGAATCATCTGGGAACCTTTAGTAACGCAAATTCCTAGGCACCACCCCAGACTTACTAAGTGAGAAATTCTGGGGTGGGGCCTAGCAATCTGAATTTTAACAAACCCGCCAGCTGATTCTGATGTACCAAAGTGTGAAAAACCCTGTGTTAAAAGAAAGATGAGGTTAAATGTTTTTTTAAAAAACACAGCTTTATTGAGATAGAATTCACATCACCCACTCAAGTGTACAAGTCAATGATTTTTAGTATATTTACAGGGTTGTGCAAACATCACTGAAATAATTTGTAATTAATAGGTAAAAAAAAAAAAAAAAAAAAAGGAAACCTGGCCGGGCGTGGTAGTTCATGCCTGTAATCCCAGCACTTTGGGAGGCAGAGGCGGGCAGATCACTTGAGGTCAGGAGTTCGAGACCAGCCTGGCCAACGTGGTGAAACCCCCGTCTCTACTAAAAAATACAAAAAATAGCCGGGTGTGGTGGCAGGCGCCTGTAATCCCAGCTACTTGGGAGGCTGAGGCAGGAGAATCACTTGAACCCGGGAGGCAGAGGTCACTAAAAATACAAAAATTAGCTAGGTGTGGTGGCACACGCCTGTGGGAGGTAGAGGTTGCTGTAAGCTGAGATCGCGCCATTGCACTCCAGCCTGGGTGGTGACATAGCGAGACTCTGTCTCAAAAAAAAAAAAAAAAAAAAAAAAAAAAAAAAAAAGAAGAAGGCCGGGCGCGGTGGCTCACGCCTGTAATCCCAGCACTTTGGGAGGCTGAGGCAGGCAGATCACGAGGTCAGGAGATCAAGACCATCCTGGCTAACACGGTGAAACCCCGTCTCTACTAAAAATACAAAAAAATTAGCCAGGCGTGGTGGCAGGCACCTGTAGTCCCAGCTACTGGGGAGGCTGAGGCAGGAAAATGGCGTGAACCCGGGAGGCGGAGCTTGCAGTGAGGCGAGATCGTGCCACTGCACTCCAGCCTGAGTGACAGAGCAATGCTCTGTCTCAAAAAAAAAAAAAAGAAAGAAAAGAAAAAGAAAAGGCTGGGTGCGGTGGCTCCTGCCTGTAATCCTAGAACTTTGGGATGCCCAGCCGGGTGGGTCATGAGGTCAGGAGATCGAGACCATCCTGGCTAACACGGTGAAACCCCGTCTCTACTAAAAATACAAAAAATTAGCCGGGCGTGGTGGCGGGCGCCTGTAGTCCCAGCTGCTCTAGAGGCTGAGGCAGGAGAATGGCGGGAACCTGGGGGGCGGAGCTTGCAGTGAGCGGAGATGGTGCCACTGCACTCCAGCCTGGGCGACAGAGCGAGACTCCGTTTCAAAAAGAAAAGAAAAAAAAAAAAAAGAAAAGAAAACCCTGAAAGAAACCCTGTACTAATTAGCAGCCACTCCCCATTCCCCTCCCATCCCCTACTCCCAGCCCGAAGCAACCACTAACCCATTTTGTCTTTTTTTTTTTTTTTTTTTTTTTGGAGGCGGAGTCTCGCTCTGTCGCCCAAGGCTGGAGTGTAGTGGTGCGATCTCGGCTCACTGCAAGCTCCGCCTCCCGGGTTCACGCCATTCTCCTGCCTCAGCCTCCCGAGTAGCTGGGACTACAGGCGCCCGCCACCACGCCCGGCTAATTTTTTGTATTTTTAGTAGAGACCGGGTTTCACCGTGTTAGCCAGGATGGTCTCGATCTTCTGACCTCGTGATCCGCCCACCTCAGCCTCCCAAAGTGCTGAGATTACAGGCGTGAGCCACCGCGCCCGGCCCTACTTTGTCTTTATATAGATTTGCCTATTCTAGACATTTCATATAAGTGGAATCATACAATATGTATATGATTCCTGTGACTGGCTTTGTCTACTTTCTGTACTGTTTGCAAGGTTCCTCCATGTGGTAGTATGGATCCTTTTTGATAAATAATATGCCATGTATGGATAGGCACATTTAAAAAATCGATTTATAAATTGAACATTCATGTGTTTCTACCTTTTGGCTATTACGAATAATCCTATGGATATTCACATACAAGTTTTTGTGTAGACATATTTTTCATTTCTTTTGGATATGTATGTGTATATATATATGTGTGTGTGTATATATATACACATATATATGTAATTTTGTTTGGTTTTGGTTTTGTTTCTTTTCTTTTGTAAAGACAGGGTCTCCCTATGTTACTCAGGCTAAATTTTAATTCCTGGGCTCAAGTGATCCTCCTGCATCAGCCTCCTTCTGAGCAGCTGGGACAACAGGTGTGCTCTGTATGACACACATACACCACACGCACACACACAGAAGTGGAACTGCTGGGTCAGAGATCTTACACTCTTAACCACTCCACATTTCAGCTTGTCTTACTCTCTGCTATGATTTAATATGTACATTATCAAATTGAGAAAAAGACAAAAAAATTAAAAATAATAAAATAAAAATAAAAAATTATCAGTAATACTAATAATCACTTCGATCCATTGAGTGTTTATGTTTGCAAAGCCTTTATTTTTATTTATTTTTATTTTTTTGAGACAGAGTCTCACTCTGTCACCCAGGCTGGAGTGCAGTGGCGTGATCTCGGCTCACTGCAACCTCTGCCTCCCGGGTTCAAATGATTCTCCTGCCTCAGCCTCCTGAGTAGCTGGGATTTCAGGCACCCACCACCACGCACGGCTAATTTTTGTATATTTAGTAGAGATGGGGTTTTCGCCATATTGACCAAGCTGGTCTCGAACTCTTGACCTTGTGATCTGCCCACCTCGGCCTCCCAAAGTTCTGGGATTAGAGGTGTGAGCCACCGTGCCCGGACTTTTTTTTTTTTTTTTTTTTTTTTGAGACAGGGTCTCACTCTGTCACCCAGAATGGAGTGCAGTGGTGTGATCTAAGCTCACCGCAACCTCTGCCTCCCAGGCTCAAGCGATTCTCCTGCCTCAGCCTCCCAGATAGCTGGGATTACAGGCACACACCACCACGCCTGGCTCATTTTTCTATTTTTAGTAGAGACGGGGCTTCACCATGTTGGCCATGCTGGTCTCAAACTCCTGACCTCAAGTGATCCACCTGCCTCGGCCTCCCAAAGTGCTGGGATTACAGGCGTGAGCCACGGCACCCAGGCTACTTTTTTCTTTTTTCTTTTCTTTTCTTTTTTTTTTTTTTTTTCAGAGACAGGGTCTCACTCTATTGCCCAGGCTGTCCTCCAACCCCTGTCCTCAAGCAATCCTCCCGCCTCAGCCTCCCAAAACACTGGGATTATAGGCATGAGCCACTGTGCCCCTTTACTTTTATTGTCACTAATCCTCACCACTACCCTATAAAACAAGAATCATTATCGTCATTACACAGAGAAGAGAAACGGGCTCACAGAAGTCAAGTGATCTGTCTAAGCTCAAGCAAGCTGATATGGGGTGGAGTTGGGACCACAACCCACATCTGCCTGCTTTCTGTGCCCTCTGTGCTTGATCTCATGTCATGGGCCATCCATTTTGCCAAAGCTTTCGAAACATGCCTTCTCCCCTCCTTTTAGGCCTTTTCTGGAAGTCAGGCTGGCTTGCAGCTCTCACCCCAAGCTCTTTTCCCCAGCTGGGGCTGAAGGCTGGGGAGGAGCTTCATGGGGGCTGGAAATAAATGAAGGGAGGGCTGGGCGGGACAGGGCAGTATTTCCAGGAGGCTGTGAGGGGGAGGTAAGGAGTTTGTTATTGTTTTGGGTTTGGGGATTTTTTTTTCTTTGCTCCTGGAGAGCAGGTTAGGTAGCTCTTGGCAGAGTTTTGCTAGGGATACGAAGTGGGTGAGGCTGAGGCAAGCAGAATCCTCCTGCCTCAGCCTCCCACGTAGCTAGGACTAGAGCTTCTGCAGTGCTAAGTGGGAAAGGGGCTTTCTGCCTCTGTGGGGCCTGGTCTGGAAAGTCCCCCAAATTGTTAAAAGCAAAGAGTGATTGTCCCCAGCTGGCAAGGGGACTTTTGTTTTATGTCCACCCCTTGTGCCCCTTGCTCTGCGAAGCCCTACCTGTGCCGGGAGCTTCGAATAGGAAGAGGACCTCAGGGCCAGGCATCCAGGGACTGAGGGGCTACAGCAGAAACAGACCCAGAGGCACCCTTGGCTAGGAAGAGCAGGATGAAGGTGTAATAATTTTGGGAGTGGTCTAAGAAGACTTTCCTTTTAAAGAGTGGAAAGCAATGAAACTGAGGCTTCAAGGCTGCAAAAATTTCGTCCTGGATCAGAGAAGGGCACTACAGGTGGAGGGAACTATCTGTGCAAAGGGTTGGGCCCTTCAAGAGTTGGAGCACAGAGGTTTAGGAGAAAAAGTGGTGACAGATGAGCCCAGGGCTATCTGCTTAGACCTGTGATCTAATATGGGTGCCAACAGCCACATGGCAATGTGGCTATTTAAATTTAAATTAGTTAAAATTCAATAAAGTAAAAAATACAGCTCCTGTGCCAGGTGCAGTGGCTCACGCCTGTAATCCCCGCACTTTGGGAGGCCAAGACAGGGAGATCACCTGAGGTCAGGAGTTCAAGACCAGCCTAGCCAACATGGTGAAACCCAGTCTCTACTAAAAATCCAAACAAAACGAAACTAAACTAAAAATTAGCTGGGCGTGGTGGCAGGTGCCTGTAATCCCAGCTACGGGGGAGGCTGAGGCAGGATAATTGCTTGAACCCAGGAGGCGGAGGTTGTAGTGAGCAAGATCGCCCCATTGCACTCCAGCCTGGGTGACAAGAGCGAAACTCAAAAAAAAAAAAAATTCAGCTCCTGAATCACACTAGTTATGTTTCAAATACTCAATAGCCACATGGGGCTAGTAGCAATGGTATTGGAGAGTATGTACAAGGCATGCCTCTATCATCACAGAATGTTCTTTTGGCCACTGTGAAGCCTCAGGAAGGGGCTCGGATTGCTCAAGGACCCATGGGAGAGAGGAGGCTTTGACTGGGCTGCCTGCCTGTGAGGTCTCTGGACTAGAGGTGAGGGAACGGTCCCCAGAAGTGTGAGGTGGTGTGACTCACCTCCTGCCAGCGTAAAGTGGACTCTGTCCCCATGGACAGGAACAAATCGGGCAAGGCTTCTTCAGCCCTGAGTTGGGTTATCTGCTCAGTGTGACCAGAGCCAGGGGATGAGAAACATGGAGTGAGTGGGACTGGGGCAGGAGCAGCAGCTGCTGAGTGAGGCTGAGCCTGAGCACCCGGTGGGGAGAGGGGTGGGGTCTCCAGCTTGGTCTTGGTTGGCATGCATGGGGCCGGACAGGAGAAGGGCTGGGGGAGGTATGTGTGAGTTGGGATAGAAGAATAGGGAGGAAGGTTGCTGAACAGGGGTTGGGTTGCACCTTGCCTAACAATGAGAGAGATGGGAACCCTCTCATCTCACCCTGATGAATTGTTTCTGCCTCCTTCCCAGGTCCAACGCAGTCCAGCTGACAAGGATGGAATACGCCATGAAGTCCCTTAGCCTTCTCTACCCCAAGTCCCTCTCCAGGTGAGGAAAGTCATGGGCAGAATGGAAAGAGAGCCACCTATGAGCTGTAAGCCAGAACTTCTCAAACTTTAATGGGTATACAGGTCACAGGGGACCTTGTTCAAGTGCAGATTCTGATTCAGGAGGTCTGGAGTGGGACCCGAGATTTTGCACTGCCAAGAAGTCCCTGGGTGATATTAATGCTGCTGCTTACACCACCACCACACCATGCATAAAAAGGAGTAGACACTATGCTTGGTGCTTTTACTCCTGATCTCATGTAAGCCTCACAACAACTTTGGGAAGTGGGGGTTATTATACCAAATTAATAGGTGAGAGAACTGAGGCACATAGTGGGTGCTCTCAATCACCCAGCAAATCCATGAGGGAGCCAAGATTCTAAATTGGGACTGCCTGACTGTAAAATCCAGGTCCTTTCCTTTCCTTTGGTTCTAAATTGAGTGCTTCAGTTAAAAAAATACCTTACATTGACTTCAGGCTTCCCCCACTTCATCCAACTTTACAGGTGAGGAGAGTGAGGCCAAGACAGGTGGTAAATGGGGAATGTGGGGTGGGTCTTTTATTACTTTGCTACTTACTCCTCATGGTCTGAGAACCAGCGTTATCAACATCACTTGGGAACTTGTGAAACATTTGGAATCTCAGGCCTCACCCAGGTCTACTCAGTCAGAATCTGCATTTGAACAGAAGCCCTGGTGACTTATGTGTCCTTCGAAGTTTGAGATGCACTGCTCTAGCAGGCTTTTTTTAATTTTTATTTTATTATTTTTTTTTAAGTCGAGGTCTCCCTCTGTTGCCCAGGCTGGAGTGCAGTGGCACCATCACAGCTCACTGCAACCTCTGCCGCCTCCCAGGGTTCAAGCAATTCTTGTGTCCCGGCCTATGGAGCTGGGATTACAGGCATGTGCCACCACACTGGCTAATCTTTGTATTTTTAGTAGAGATGGTGTTTCACCATGTTAGCCAGGGTGGTCTTGAACTCCTGACTTCAAGTGATCTGCCCACCTCAGCCTTCCAAAGTGTGGGATTACAGACATGAGCCACCGTGCCTGGCTTCTAGCAGGCTTCTGAGTAAGACTAGGGCAGGATTAGCAGGTGATGGGGGGTTGACTGATCATGAGCCCAGTCAGGAGGGGTGGGGAGGTGGCTCCCCTGTGTGGTGGGCAAGGGTTGGGCAAAGTGGGTGGCTCACCCTGATGCTTCAACTGCCCCAGGCATGTGTCAGTGCGTACCTCTGTGGTGACCCAGCAGCTGCTGTCGGAGCCCAGCCCCAAGGCCCCCAGGGCCCGGCCCTGCCGCGTAAGCACGGCGGATCGAAGCGTGAGGAAGGGCATCATGGCTTACAGTCTTGAGGACCTCCTCCTCAAGGTGAGAGCACCTGCGCGTTGCACAGCCCAGCTGTGAGCTGGGATTCAGCAGAGATGGAGGTCAGGGCTTAGAAGGTGGCACAGTTTCCTTTCTGATACCTACCAGCGCCTACAGATGGTAATGCCCACCTGGAGAGCTGTCCAACTAATTAGCAATGACTGATGTCTGTTTGGTAACAGGAGGGGGGCAGTACGTTACCATCCTACACTATCAGTAGGTCAGTGGTATTTTCAGGGCACATTTTTCTTGCTGGAAAATCTCATGCTTCCCACTTCCATTAGTTTTTTTTTTTTTTTTTTTTTTTTTTTGAGACGAAGTCTCACTCTTGTCATCCAGGCTGGAGTGCAATGGCGCGATCTTGGCTCACTGCAACCTCTGCCTCCCAGAATCAAGCGATTCTCCTGCCTCAGCCTCCTGAGTAGCTGGGACTACAGGCACACACCACCACACCCAGCTAATTTTTTGTACTTTAGTAGAGACAGGGTTTCACTGTGTTGCCCAGGCTGGTCTCGAACTCCTGAGCTCAGGCAATCCACCCACCTTGGCCTCCCAAAGTGTTGGGATTACAGGTGTGAGCTACCACACCCAGCCCAAGATGGAGTCTTGCTGTGTCACCCAAGTTGTAGTGCAGTGGCATGATCTCAGCTCACTGAAGTCTCCGCCTCCCAGGTTCAAGTGATTCTCATGCCTCAGCCTCCCAAGAAGCTGGGACTACAGGCATGCACCACCACGCCCAGTTAATTTTTGTATTTTTAGTAAAGATGGGGTTTTGTCATGTTGGCCAGGCTGGTCTCAAACTCCCGACCTCAGGTAATCCACCCACCTCTGCCTCCCAAAGTGCTGGGATTATAGGCGTCAGCCACCATGCCTGTCCTCACTGATCATCTCTATAGGGGTGGGACCCTCTCATCTGCAATCCCAGGTGCCTGGTACAGGTCAAATGTTTGGATTAGGCTTCCAATTATTAGGCTCTATTTAACATACAGAAATCAATCATAGCTAACCTCTTTATTCTAAGTTTCCTCCCCTATTTCTGTGTATTAGTTCTGTTCTTCCGGAGAGCCAATTTCCCCTCCTTTGTAAGGCTTCTGGCTGCGCAGACTACATTTCTTGTGCTTTCAATCAAAAGGACCTGTTCATACTCTAACCTGGACTTGGTGCTGTTTTTTTGCCCTGAGGTCTGGGCACCCCCTGCATCAAAGTGTCCTTGTTATATGTGGCTTCCCCTGGAGGAAGCAATTGCAAACTAACAAAAGTTACACAGTACAAATACAATACAAAACTTTGCCTGAATCATTTGAGAGTAAGTTGCCAACTTGCTGCCTATTACTCTTGGATACTTCAATGTGCATTTTCTACAAACAAGGATATTCTCCTTTCTACAAACAAGGATAGCCATCATACAACTATTACAATCAGGAAACAGTATTACATTACTGTAATTGAATCCTGAAACTCAAGCATTGCCAGCTGTCCCAATAATATCCTTTATAGTGAAAGGATCCAGGTCAGGATCAAGTGTTTATTTAATTGTATGTCTCTTTAGTTTCCTTCAGTATGGAACAGTTTTTCAGTGTTTCCTTGACTTTCATGGCCTTGACCATTTTGAAGATTATGAGCCAGCTATTTTTGTTTACTGTCCCTTGGTTTGGAACTATGCATTTCTTTTTTCTTTTTTTTTTTTTTTTTGAGACAGAGTCTCGCTTTGTCGCCCACGCTGGAGTGCAGTGGTGCTATCTCGGCTCACTGCAAGCTCTGCCTCCCGGCTTCCCACCATTCTCCTGCCTCAGCCTCCTGAGTAGCTGGGACTACGGGCGCCCGCCACCGCGCCCAGCTAATTTTTTTTGTATTTTTGGTAGAGACGGGGTTTCACCGTGTTAGCCAGGATGGCCTCAATCTCCTGACCTCGTGATCTGCCTGCCTCGACCTCCCAAAGTGCTGGGATTACAGGTGTGAGCCACCACACCTGGCCCTATCCATTTCTTTAATTCAGGTTTATATCTTTGGCAGGAATATGATAAAAATAAGTTGCAGGCCAGGCATAGTGGCTCATGCTTGTAATCCTAACACTTTGGGAGGCCGAGGCAGGAGGAGTCCTTGAGCCCAGGAGTTCAAGACCAGCCTGGGCAACATGGTGAGACCCCGTCTATACAAAAATAATACAGGAATTAGCTGGACATGGTGGTGTGCACCTGTAGTCCCAGTTACTCAGGAGGCTGAGGCAGGATGATCACTTGAGCCTAGGAATTTGAGGCTCCAGTGAACTGTGAATGCACCACTGCACTGCAGCCTGTGTGACAGAGCGAGACCCTGTTTAAAAAAAATTTTAAAAAGATTGTCACTGCAAAATTATATGCAATTTTTGTCACCTTACTGTTTTGATTATTTGAATAAAGTGGTAGGTACAGTCAAGCTTCTCTATGTAACATTTTCCCCTCTGTTATTTATTTTCTAGGTCAGTACTTTGTACTAAGTAAACATTGAATTCTGCATCTGTCACTGTATTCACTTATTATTATTATTATTATTATTATTATTATTATTATTTTAGAGAAAGGGTCTCGCTCCATTGCCCCGGCTAGAATGCAGTGATGTGATGATGGCTCACTGCAGCCTCAAACTCCTAGGTTCAAGTGATCCTGCCACCTCAGCCTCCCGACTCGCTAGGACTATAGGTACACGATCTCACACCTAATTTTTAATTTTTTTTTAAATAGAGAGGGGGTCTAGCTATGTTTCCTAGCCTGGTCTCAAACTCCTGGCCTCAAGTGATCCTCCCACCTCGGCCTCCCAAAGTGCTGGGATTACAGGCATGAGCCACTGCATCTGGCCTATTTATTTATTTATTTATTTGTTTCAAAAGGGACACAGGTATTTCTATTTTAATAGCATACATGAATGGCAACAGATTATTTATTGATGCTCAAGTTGTCCCAGACTTCAACATCTTTTTATCATGTCCCCAGCATTCTTTGCATGCTTTCTTTCTGGTGCAACAAGGTATTACAGGCTCATCTTGTATTTTCCCTGCCCTAATTCTTGGCCATTTTTTTCTAAGGTCTGTTTCATTTTAGTGGAGAATGGTATTCAGAAACCGAGACCAGGGAGCTAGATATGTTCATTGCTATTGGTGTGTTGCTGATCCCAGGCCCTTACTGAAAGAGTTTTAAGTAGCAAGATATGTTCCTTAGTGAATCCAAGCAAGAAAAGTGACGTGATAATGCCATCATTCCAAGATAACTAATGATGTGGTTGTAAATGTCCTGAGGAGCCTATTCTTATTATGGACCATGTAATCTGCCAGGTGATTTGCAGCATTTCTTCTGATGAGAGCCTTAAGGTAGTTACCACTATTTCCATTCTCCAGAGGCAGAGGCCAAGTGCATTCACTGGGATTGAAACCCAGGCAGTTAACCTAAGTGTCATGACACTTTTTTTTTTTGAGACGGTGAGACGGAGTCTCACTCTGTCGCCCAGGCTGGAGTGCAGTGGCGTGATCTCAGCTCACTGCAAGCTCCACCTCCCAGGTTCACGCCATTCTCCTGCCTCAGCCTCTGGAGTAGCTGGGACTACAGGTACCTGCCACCACGCCTGGCTAATTTTTGTATTTTTAGTAGAGACAGGGTTTCACCGTGTTAGCCAGGATGGTCTCGATCTCCTGACCTCGTGATCCACCTGCCTTGGCCTTGGCCTCCCAAAGTGCTGGGATTACAGGCGTGAGCCACTGCACCCGGCCGTCATGACATTTTTGCATTTAATCACTATAACAACTTATAAACTGTACTTGCCTCAACTTTTTTTGATGATGAAACTAGTTCAGAGAAGTAAGTAAAAATGGACCAAAGACCTAAATGTAAGAACTAAAACTATAAAACCCTTAGAAGAAAACATAGTATGTAAGTCTTCATGGCCTTGACTTCCTAGATACGGCACCAAAGCAGAGCGACCAAAGGGAAAAACAAACAAACAAAAAAACAAAACCAAAACAAACCAAAACAAACAAAACCAAAACAAAACAAAATAAGCAAAAACAAAACCAAAAAAACTGGACTTCATCAGCAATAAAACCTTTTTTTTTAGACAGAGTCTTCCTCTGTCACCCAGGCTGGAGTGCAGTGGTGCAATCTAGGCTCACTGCAACCTCTGCCTTGCGGGCTCAAGCAATTCTCATGCCTCAGCCTTCTGAGCAGCTGGGACTACAGGCGCGCACCACCACGCCCAGCTAATTTTTTGTAATTTTAGTAGAGACGGGGTTTCACCATGTTGGCTAGGCTGGTCTCGAACTCTTGACCTCAGGTGATCCACCTGACTTTGCCTCCTAAAGTGCTAGGATTACAGGCATGAGCCACTACGCCCAGCCTAAAACTTTTGTATATCAAGGGACACTAGCAAGAAAGTAAAAAACACAGCCCACAAAATGGGAGAAAATAGTTGCAAATCATATAGCTGATAAGGGTCTAATATCAAGAATATATAGTGTTTACAGCTAAGCAAGAAAAAGACAACCCAATTAAAAATGCGCAAAGGATTTGAGTAGATATTTCTCCAAAGAAGATAACACAGTGGCCAATAAACCCATGAAAAGATGCTTGGCCAAGCGTATTGGCTCATGCCTCTAATTTTAGCACTTCGGGAGGTGGAGGCAGGCGGATCGCTTGAGCCCAGGAGTTCAAGACCAGCCTGGGTAACATGGCAAAACCTTACTTCTACAAAAAAATACAAAAATTAGCTGGGAACGGTGGCACATGCCTGTAGTCCCAGCTACTTGGGAGACTGAGGTGGGAGGATCACTTGAGCCTAGGAGGGTGACACTGCAGTGAGTCATGATGGCACCACTGCACTCCAGCCTGGGTGAGAGAGCAAGACCCTGTTTCAAAAAAAAAAGGCTCAGCATCATTAATCATTAGGGGAATGCAAATTAAAATCACTTCATCCACCAAAAAGTGGATATATGGCTGGGTGTTGTGCCTCACGTCTGTAATCCAAGCACTTTAGGAGGCCGAGGCGGGAGGACTGCCTGAGCATCCAGGAGTTCGAGAACAGCCTTGGCAACATGGTGAGATCCTATCTCTATTAAAAAAACAAAAAACAAAACAAAACCAAAAACAAAACAAACAAACGAAAAAAAGATTTTTGGGCCTGGTGCAGTGGCTCATGCCTATAATCCCTGCACTTTGGGAGGCCGAGGCAGGCGGATCAACTGAGGTCGGGAGTTTGAGACCAGCCTGACCAACATAGAGAAACCTTGTATCTACTACAAGTATAAAATTAGCTGGGTGTGGTGGCACATGTCTGTAATCCCAGCCACTCAGGAAGGCTGAGGCAGGAGAATCGCTTGAACCCAGGAGGTGGGGATTGCGGTGAGTCGAGATCATGCCACTGCACTCCAGCCTGGGAAACAAGAGCAAAACTCAGTCTCAAAAAAAGAAAAAAAAATAAGGATTTTTGGCTAAAATACAGACAATGAAAGCATCAGTGAGGATGTAAGGAGACTGGAGTTCTCATACGTTGCTAGTGGGGATGTAAAATGATGCAGCCACTGTGGAAAACAGTTTGGCACCTCCTCAAAGTTAAACATAGGCCCATTGTGGTGGCTCATGCTTGTAATCCCAGCATTTTGGGAGGCTGAGCAGGGAGGATTACTTGAGCCCAGGAGTTTGAGACCAGCCTGGGAAACAAAGCAGCACCCTGTCTCCACCAAAAAAAAAAAAAAAAAAAAATTAGCTGGGCAACATGGCACAAACCTGTAATCTCAGCTACTTGGGAGGCTAAAGTAGAAGGATCACTTGAGCCCAGGAGGTTGAGGCTGCAGTGAGCTGTGATTATACCACTGCATTCCAACCTGGTTAAAGAGCAAGGCCTTCTCCCCAGAAAAAAAAAAAAAAAAAAAAATTAAACATAGAGTTAATGTATGACTCAGCAATTCTACTCCTAGGTATATATGCCCAGGAAAATTGAAAACATATGTTCATATAAAAACTTGTACACAAAAACTCATAGCAGCATTATTCATAATAGTCAAGAATAAACAATCCAAGCGTTCATCCACTGATAAATAGATTTTAAAATCTGTTATATCTATATAGTAGAATATTATTTAGCCAAAAAAAAAAAAGAATGAATTATGTCCGGACGTGATAGCACATGCCTGTAATTCCAGCACTTTGGGAGGCCAAGGTAGAAGGATCCCTTGAGGCAAGGAGTTTGAGACCAGTCTGAGCAACATAGCCAGACACCATCTTTAAAAAAACATAAACATTAGGCAGGTAGTAATGGCATGCAACTGTAGTCCCAGCTACTCGGGAGGCTGAGGCAGGAGGATTGCTTGTGCCCAAGAGTTGGAGGCTGCAATGAGCTACAATTATGTCATGTGCTCTCTACTTATGCTTATGATATGCTTATGATTACTGCATTCCAGCCTAGTAGTCACTGCACTATTAGGTAGTGGTGATTGTTGCACAACTTTGCGAATATACTAAAAAACCCTGAATTGTACACTTTTAGAGGGTAACTTTTAGAGTATGTAAACTGTATCACAATTAAAAATTATATGTGACTTACATTATATTTTATTGGACAATATTATTCTAGACTAGGAACCCTGAAGCCAGGAGCCAAGAGGTACCATGATAAAGTCTCTGGGTAGTGATTCCACAGCAGAGGGCCTGGGCTCCAGTTCCACCTCATAGAGTCCAGCCCACTTGTTCTGGGATGGCAGAAGCATCACTGACCTTATTCCCCAGGTCCGGGACACTCTGATGCTGGCAGACAAGCCCTTCTTCCTGGTGCTGGAGGAAGATGGCACAACTGTAGAGACAGAAGAGTACTTCCAAGCCCTGGCAGGGGATACAGTGTTCATGGTCCTCCAGAAGGGGCAGAAATGGCAGCCCCCATCAGAACAGGTGAGGTCCCACCTGTTGCACCTGATGGGGGAGAAAATCGGGACTCTGGGAGATGTCTTCAAGGGGTGCTAACCATTTGCTTGTCTCAATGCAGGGG
This sequence comes from Homo sapiens, assembly GCF_000001405.40. Lineage (NCBI taxonomy): Eukaryota > Metazoa > Chordata > Mammalia > Primates > Hominidae > Homo > Homo sapiens. The sequence continues at coordinate 9,870,066 of NC_000003.12, read as the reverse complement.
ACAAGGCACCCACTGTCCCTCTCCCATAAGCCTGCCAAGAAGATTGATGTGGCCCGTGTAACGTTTGATCTGTACAAGCTGAACCCACAGGACTTCATTGGCTGCCTGAACGTGAAGGCGACTTTTTATGATACATACTCCCTTTCCTATGATCTGCACTGCTGTGGGGCCAAGCGCATCATGAAGTGAGCAAATTGGGATTTCCTGGGGACAGGGTGGGTACAGGCAATGGGAGAGCCCCTATCTGTCCACATGGACTCAGCCTTCTCAGCGCCTGGGTCTGGCTTTGGTGCTGACAAAGCATAGCCTGTATCAGACAACACGGAGCCTGATGGGCTCTCGAAGTGCTGTGGACGACACCGGCGTGTGCCCAGGGGTGCACGTGTTCCTCCTGGTGGAACCTGGATGCATTTTATTTTTATGACTACTTTCCACTCTAGTAACTACATTTTTTCATTGAAATAGGAAGTTTTCCTAAGTAGTCTTCTAGTCAATTTTATAAAAATGAACATGTGTTGGCCAGGCACGGTGGCTCATGCCTGTAATCCCAGCACTTTGAGAGGCCAAGGTGGGTGGATCACTTGAGGTCAGGAGTTTGAGACCAGCCTGGCCAACATGGCAAAACCTAATCTCTACAAAAATATGAAAACTAGCTGGACATCGTGGTGCATGCCTGTAATCCCAACTACTCAGGAGGCTGAAGCAGGAGAATCGCTTGAAGCTAGGAGGCAGAGGTTGCAGTGAGCCAAGATTCTGCCACTGCACTCCAGCCTGGGCAAAAGAGCAAGACTGTCTCGGAAAAAAAAACAAAAAAAAGCACGTGTCAAAGACTTAATTGAATTCATTAATTAATGAGAGAACTAGCAAGAAGTTACAATCAGCTCAAAGGAGATTTCAAAATCCCACATATATACAGGTCCAGGAAGAATGATGAGATAGGTTGAGTGCAGCAGCTCTCACCTGGGATCCCAGCACTTTGGGAGGTCAAGGCAGGAGGATCTGTTGAGCCCATGAGTTTGAGACCAGCCTCGGCAACACAGTGAGACCCTGTCTTTATCACACGCCCGTGTGTGCGCACACACACACACACACAAAATGCTGGCAGTGGTAGTATGTACCTATAATCCCAGCTAGGTGGGAGGATTGCTTGAGCCCAGGAGTTTGAGGCTGCAGTGAGATATGACCATACTACTGTGTACTCCAGCCTGGGCAACAGCATGAGACCTTGTCTCTAAAACGAAGAAAAAGAGAGATAAATGTATACATACAAAATTGGGCTTTTTCCCCTGTGGGAATGGGAGGGATGAAATAATCTTCCCTCCATATGACAGAATTAATTTGCAAGTCTTATGGACCAGAGTCATTTGTACTATATAATGAACTTTTCTTAAAACTTATTTTTGAAAGTCTAACCAAATGTCTCAAGAAGCATGAGAATATGTGAGGTTAGAACCCGCTCCCGCTTCCCCATTTCCCCTACTTTCCAAACATCCAACCCCATGTTAATTGCTTTATGCTATTTCAGCCTTATGACCCTGGGTGGCAGGTGCAATCCCATTTTACCCATGAGGAAGCTGAAGCTCAAAGCTAGAGCAGTTTGCTGAAGTTCACCCAGCTAATAAGACTGGATTAGGACTTAGGCCTGCCTGATTCAGGTTCTGTTCTCAGTACATGCTCATGCCAGGCATGGATGTCTTCATGTCCAGCACTCTGAACATGAGCTAGACTGCAGGTGGCTTGGACAGGCCTCAGAGTCTAGAACAGAGTGTCTCAAGGTGCAGAACCATGTTATGGAGATTAATCTGGTTGGTCCAAAGTAGTAGTAGAAAAATAAAAGCCTTATGAAATGAGCTGGGGTTTTGCATGAGAAAGTAGGGAGGTTCCGGGCATCTCAGTTAAGGTGGAATTGCAGGTCCTCGCACTAATCTTGATCCCATCTGCAGCATCTGTTCCTATTTGCACATCGCTCTAGAATTGATGAAATGCTTTTAGTGCTACCACCTCAGTGGTATTCAAATGTTATTAATGAAGAAAACAAACATAATGAAACCAATCCCTTCCAGGCCAGCATGGGAATAAGGGGGTGCAGGGAGGGGGTACACTCTTGTTTTTATTTATTATGTATTTATTTATTTTTGAGACAGAGACTCACTCTGTCACCCAGGCTGGAGTGCAGTGGCACAATCTCAGCTCACTACAACCTCTGTCTCCCAGGTTCAAGTGATTTTCGTGCCTCAGCTTCCCGAGTAGCTGAGATTACAGGTGTCTGCCACCACGCCCGGCTAATTTTTTGTATTTTTTAGTAGAGACGGGGTTTCGCCATGTTGGCCAGGCTGGTCTCAAACTCCTGACCTCAAATGATCCACCCACCTCGGCCACCTAAAGTTATAGGATTACAGGCATGAGCCACCAAGCCCAGCCTTGTGTTTTTTGTTTGATTGTTTTTTGAGACTGAATCTTGCTCTGTCACCCAGGCTGGAGTGCAGTGGTGCCACCTCGGCTCACTGTGACCTCCGCCTCCTGGGTTCAAGCGATTCTCCTGCCTCAGGCTCTGGAGTAACTGGGATTACAGTCACCCACCACTATGCCTGCCTAGTTTTTGTATTTTTAGTAGAGACAGAGATTCGCCATGTTGGCCATGCTAGTCTCAAACTCCTGACCTCAGGTTACCCGCCCTCCATGGCCTCCCAAAGTGCTAGGATTACAGGCGTGAACGCCATGCCCGACCTACTTCGTGGTTTTGACTTGCGTGCCCTCTCATTCCACCCAGGGAAGCTTTCCGCTGGGCCCTCTTCAGCATGCAGGCCACAGGCCACGTACTGCTTGGCACCTCCTGTTACCTGCAGCAGCTCCTCGATGCTACGGAGGAAGGGCAGCCCCCCAAGGGCAAGGCCTCATCCCTTATCCCGACCTGTCTGAAGATACTGCAGTGAAAGCCCAAGTCCTTGGAAGCTTTCCCCAGTGAAGGACTGACTGGGGGCCTCACGCTTAACTGGTAGTGCCCACAAGCCTGGCAGCTGTAGAGCCGCGAACCTCCCCACACCTCCCTCACCGCGCAGGACCCTGAGTGAGGAGGAGGAGCTGGAAACCTGGGGTGGGTTGGCCAAAGGAGAACCTCAAGCTCCTGGCCTGATCCAGCTCCTTCCTGCCCAAGGCAGCTTAGCCCATCCAGACTGGTCCTGAAGTCTGTCCCTCCATTGGCATGAAGTCTGCCCCTTAGCAATCTGGCCTCGCAGGCTGTACTTTCATGGTGCTCTCTACCTTCTGGCCCCCATCCCGGAACATTCCTGAGTGAATTCGCAAGCGCACTAGCATGTGATATTAGGGAGTTTGCAATAAATTATTGAGGCTGATGTATCTTCTTTGCCTGTGTTCTTTGGGGTGGGGTTTTATCTGGAAGGTTGGAGGGGGCTAAAGGAAGAGACGAATCTATTGTCAAAGTATTCTCTTTAATGTAGGATTACAGCTAATGGCACTTTTTCTACCAAAGAAGAAAAAAAAAAACAGCTGGGCACAGTGACACGTGCCTGCAGTCCCAGATACTCAGCAAGCTGGGGTGGAAGCATCCCTTGAGACCAGGAGTTCAAGGCCAGGCTGGAGCACAATAGCAAGACCCCAGGCTCCTTAAAAAACAAAATTGCAGTTGATTTTGAAACTAAAGTCAGCTGAATTTGAGGCTTGAGCTGACCATGTAATTGATACCATAAGTAACAATTTCCTAATTAAATTCACCTATCAGAGGAGCTTCAATTGAGCAGGTGGGATTAAGTCACTCTTCTAATTTCTCAGTGTCCCATTTTATAATAACCGTTTAAGTGGTTAGGTGAAAAAGTACTACTCAAGCTGTAAGGCATTTCTCCATCAATGCCCATCCTAACTTGCCAGACAGCTTATCTTTCATGTTCAGGACTTTCAACCTCGGGATTTCAAAGTGGGCTCATAGGTAGCCCCAAAGAGTAGGAGCTTCTCATCAGTGTGAGCTGGCATTTTCCAGTATTGGACAACTCAAGACAAGCATGAAAGGCTGAACTTAGGCTGGGCATGGTGGCTCACGCCGTAATCCCAGCACTTTGGGAGGCCGAGCCAGGCAGATTACCTGAGGTCAGGAGTTCAAGACCAGCCTGACCAACATGGTGAAACCCGGTTTCTATTAAAAACAAAAAAATTAGCTGGCCAGCATGGCAGGCGCCTGTACTCCCAGCTGTTTGGGAGGCTGAGGCAGTAGAATCGCTTGAACCTGGGAGGCAGAGGTTGTGGTAAGCCAAGATCGTGCCACTGCACTACAGCCTGGGTGACAGAGCGAGACTCCATCTCAAAAAAAAAAAAAAAAGGCTGAACTTGTAGAACTTGTAGGTGACTGTTTTATTTAGTCTGTGACTGAAAGATTTAAAAACTTGGCCAGGTGCAGTGGCTCATGCCGGATATCCCGGCACTTTGGGAGGCTGAGGCAGGAGTATCGCTTGAGGCCAGGAGTTCAAGAGCAGCCTGGGCAACATAGCCAGACCCTGTCTCTACACTAGATAATAAAAAAAAATTAGCAGAGCATGGTGGCTGTAGTCCCAGCTACTCAGGAGCCTGAGGCAGGAGGTTCACTGGAGCCCAGTAGGTCGCGGCTGCAGTGAGCTATGATTGTGCCACTGCACTCCAGCCTGGGCAACAGAGTGAGAGCCTGTCTCTGGGAAAAAAAAAAAAGAGGATTCAAAAACTCTATCACAGCCAGCCGCAGTGGCTCACGCCTGTAATCCCAGCGCTTTGGGAGGCCAAGGCGGGTGGATCACAAGGTCAGGCATTTGAGAGCAGCCTGGCCAACATGGCCAAATCCCGTCTCTACTAAAAGTACAAAATATTGGCCGGGCATGGTGGTGGGCACCTGTAATCTCAGCTACTCGGGGGGCTGAGGCAGGAGAATTGCTTGAACCTGGGAGGTGCAGGTTGCAGTGAGCCGAGATTGTGCCATTGCACTCTAGCCTGGACGACAGAGTGAGACTCCGTCTCAAAAAAGAAACAAACAAACAAAAAACGAAAAACAAAACAAAACCTATTGTTTCACTACTCTTACTATAAAGCCTATTTGGATGTAGTAAATACTAAGGCAAAGGCCTATATTACCAAAGATGGTCTGGGAGCTATTTATGGCAGCGGACCCAAACCCTGCAGCCTATGGGCAAAGCGGCTGAAGCTCGCTGAAGAGGGCCTGCTATTCCGGGCTCTCCTGCTCTTTTGCAGTTATGGCTGGAGGCTGGCCCGGTGCCAGGCTGGCTCCATGGGGTGGGCTGTCTGGCAGGGAGGCCTGATGTTTGTATTAGCACAGAAGCTATCCCAGTCCACCCTTGATGAAGCTGTGGCGGGGCCTACCTGCTCCTTCCGTAAAGTGCTCAGTAACAGAGTTGGAGTGGGGGTGGGAGGCTCGGTATTTGTCCCAAGCTTCCCTCCTCCTGAGATCCGGAGTTTCACAAGTGAATCTTGAGCAACTGCCCATGGTCTCTTGGCATTGAGCCCAGGGAAAACAAGGTTCTTTCTTTTCTTCCAGGAGCTCGAGGCTAATGGAGTCAAAGCAGCTGTGGTCAGTGAACAGAAAAGGCAGCCTCTGATGAGGCTTGGGGGCTGGGGAGGGAAGATTCCAAACAGCAAAGGAGTTTGAGCCTCTGTAGGGCCTGGCGGTCCTAGTGGGGGAACGGCCTTTCCTGGGGCCCCCCGCACAGCCAGGAGCAGCTGTCGTCAAGGTGGACTGTGTCCCAGCCCCTCCAGCTCAGCCTTTTCATCTGTTCAAGCTGGTGCTCGGGAGTGCACAGGATGCCTTTCAGAAGAATTCTAAATCCCGGGGGCCTGTGATGCCACAGTCACATGTCTGAGCCCAAAACAAGAGAACCACTTGTGTTTTTGCCACTCTTCTTACCAGCGATGCCCATATTTGTGCATATAATTTTTTTTTTTTTGAGACGCAGTCTCACTCTGTCGCCTGGGCTGGAGTGCAGTAGTGTGATCTCGGCTCACTGCAAGCTCCGCCTCCCGGGTTCATGCCATTCTCCTGCCTCAGCCTCCCAAGTAGCTGGGACTACAGGCACCCGCCACCACGCCCAGCTAATTTTTTGTATTTTTAGTAGAGACGGGGTTTCACCGTGTTAGCCAGGATGGTGTCGATCTCCTGACCTCGTGATCCGCCGGCCTCGGCCTCCCAAAGTGCTGGGATTACAGGCGCAAGCCACCGCGCCCGACCCATATATGTATTTTTTGTGGGGTGGGGGAAATACTGATTCTGAGATGTGTGCTGCCTGGAATCCCATGGCCACCGTGACCAGGGTTGTAGGGGGCCCAGGGGCCCAGGGTCTTTGATGTCAGCCGCATCTCCTGGCCAGCATTGACCCAGGGGTCCCACGTCAGCTGGTTTAGTGGGGGCCGCTCCCTGGGGTCGAGGCTGAGGAATTGTTTTACTAGTGTTTCCAGTGGAAACGAAGAAATAGGTGGAGAGTCATACTGTCACATAGCCTGAGGCGGGAAGGGACCACGGGTGGGGCTGGATGTTCTTTCAGCCTCCCTGGCAGAGATCACTGACAGAGTGGTCAGCTTGGCCAAGCTTCTGCGGTGGATGGCTCTGATGTAGGGGAGGGAGGCAATCCCCAGAGCAGGAATGGGTTCCCAGGGGCCCCTATCCTTGCAGGGGAGGCGCTGGCCATCCTCCCCTCAGAGCCTTCTTCACTGCAGCCCGTAGGGGGGCGAGTGACCTGGAGGATCCGTGCCCCAGGGGCAAACCTCTGGGCTCTGGCTTCAGCCCCACCCGGGAAAACATTCACAGCTCCTCCGGAGAAGCGCCCTGCTGCAGGAAGACTCTAGGGCAGGGCCCAGCTGCGAGGCTACTGGCCTGTTGGTGACAGTACCCCAGGCTTCAAACTCTCTGGGCCTGTTGGCAATTCCCTTCCCTGGGTACAACAGATTCCCACCCGGCCCGCCCTTCTGCTCGCCCCACGGGGAAGTGGCCCAGGAGTGGAGGCGTGGACAGGCATCCCGATGGCTCAGAGTCGGGGTCAGCCTGGACAGCACGGCCTCTGGGGGTCAGACGGGGAGCGAGGGGAAGGTGCCAGGCTCCAGGACAGCCCTTGACAGGCGGTCTGACGGCCTCGGGTCTCCTCTTTTCTGGCCTCGGGGACGGGGCCAGGCGGCGGTGAGCCGCGGGGGGCGGGGCTTTAATGGCCATCGGCCCCACCCAGCCTGCGCTGGGAAGCGGAGACAGGGACGCCCCTGCTCCAGCAGAGCCTGACCCCTGCGGGCTGCCGGGGCCGCCTCCCTCTAGGCGCTGCTGCGCCCACACGGACAGGCGCCCTCTGCGGGTCCCGCGGCTCCCGGCCCCATTCAGCGCCTCCAGATGCCTCACCCGAGCCCTCTCCGCTGGGTCCCCGGGGCCTCAAAGCGCCGACCAAGCCGGGGAGTCACTCCCCTGAGCCACCCGATCTTCCCATGGATCCTTTGGATCCCTGGGTTTTGGAGTTTGTCCTTCCTAAGTGCCGCCTGCCTGGACGCGACTGCCCCAGGACCACAGCTGACCCAGTGCGGCTGCGTCCCCTGCGGGCCACCATCAAGGGCACAGGCATCAGGTCCCCCAAGACTCAGTGACCCGCCCTGCCCGGGGCTGACCCTCAGGGTGGGGAAAGGCCACTAACTCTGGTCCTCTCCCCTTCCTCAAGGCTCCTTCCTCACCTGGGGTGAAGGGCTGCCAGTCCCAGCACCTCAGGGGCCTTCCTGTTTCATTTATACCAACAAATAATCATTCAGTGTGCTGGGACAGAGAAGACAGACACGCTGGCCCCCGGGTGGGCGAGAGAGACTGGTCTGTAAGTGCAGAAAACTCCCAATAGGGACGGGCTAGGAAGGAAACACCAGGAAAAGTGAGGGTGGAAGATGGGGGTGACCCTACTGCAGATGAGATGCTCAGGGAGGGCTTCTCTAGGAGAAGGTGCCATTAACTAGATTGACAAAACGGAAGGGCAGGGCCTGTGAAAGTCTTCTAAGAGAGGGACTGGCAGTGCCCAGGGGGCTGTCGTAGGGATGGAAATAGGACAGCAAGATGGGTGTGGGGAGTGTGAGCCTGGCAGACAGGACCCAGGCTCTATGTGATGGGTGCAGGGGGGGGACCCACGGAGGCCCTGAGAAAGCCCTGGGCCTCAGAAGACAGGGAAACAAGAGGACCCACTTAGAGGCCCTCACAACCTTTGCACAGACAGTGTAAAACGGCTCAGGCCAGAATGTGGTTTAGGTTTCAGAAGGGTGCTGTGTCCCCCACCCTCTTCTTGAGGCTAAAGGGCTCCAACTCCTTAGGCGATTACCACATGGTTCTGGGGCCCCACAGACAGCCTTCTGATGGTTTTTGTCTGTGGCCAGGCAGGGGGCAGGGGGTGACTGCCCCTTCCTTGGCCAAGGGGACAGATAAAGGGAGCCTCTGGGGGCAGGATTGCTGGACTAGGAATCAGACTTGGAGCGTAATCCAAATGCCCCACTGGCCCTGCCTCTTCTCTGGAGCTCAACTTCTTCAAGAAAACTGGGGACAAGAGATGGCAAGACCAGCTCTCAGGACCCTTGCCCCTCCACCCTGTGACACTTTTAGACTGTTCTCAGGGGCCACCTTTTTCAGGAAGAATTCTCGGGTTACAGGAAAGTAAAGGGAGGAGCTGTGTTTTGAGTGGCACTTCGCTCAGGCTCTAGGCTAGGTGTTGGTTTGGTGGGGCTTGCTTTTCCACCTGCCCCAGCCCGCTTCACAAAACCTGAGTCCTGGCTAGGGCCAAGAGTGAGATTCCTGTTTCTAGATTTTCATCATTCTGTGTTGCACAAAACAAGGTCTGGTGGGGGGTGGGGGGTGGGTAAGGAGACAGATATTAGCAAGTATATAATAAAGAAAATTGGCAGGGCATGGTGGCTCATGCCTGTAATCCCAGCACTTTGGGAGGCAGAGGCGGGCAGATCACCCGGTTCACCATGGCCAACATAGTGAAACCCTTTCTCTACCAAAAATACAAAAATTAGCCAGGTGTGGTGGTGCTTGCCTGTAGTCCCAGCTACTTAGGAGGCTGAGGCAAGAGAATGGCTTGAGCCTGGGAGCTGGAGGTTGCAGTGAGCTGATAATGCACGACTGCACTCCAACCTGGGGGACTGAATGAGACTCCATCTCAAAAAAAAAAAAAAAAAGAAAAAAAGAAAGGCCGGGCACAATGGCTCACGCTTGTAATCCCAGCACTTTGGGAGGCCGAGGCGGGCGGATCATGAGGTCAGGAGATCGAGACCATCTTGGCTAACACGGTGAAACCCCGTCTCTACTAAAAAAAAAAAAAAAGATAATTTAGCCAGAGAAAACCTAGAAGAGGAATCAGGATGGGAGGATTAGGAATGGCAGAGGAAGGTGGGGATGGGGGTGGGACAAATAGAAAGGAGGTGGGGGAGGGGGCCAGGGAAATAAAATCCAAGAGATCAGCGGGGATCAGAAGCCACAGCCTTAGTGGGGACCTCAGGAGAGCAGCAACCTGCATCTATCTTGGAAAGGTGGAGAGAGAACTGCAGTGACCTCATTGGGGAGGAAGGGGGAGGTGGCAGGGCAGAGGAAGCAGGGGACAAACAGGAGGAAGAGATGGTGCCCTGGGTCAGGTGGCCGCCACTGCTACCATCAATGGAAGTGGAAAACTCTTTGCCTTCTCCTTACACCTGTCACCATGACACGACACCCCCATGCTTTCTGCCCACCGCCCCCACCTTCTTTAGTAAAGGTGCTGGCAACTAAGGAGCAGAGTCTGATTTGAAGTTGCCGAGGAAACCATCATGGGCAGCTGTGAAACCATCAGGCTTGCCCAGCAGGGAGCTCAGGTTCCCCAAATTGGATGAGCAAATCAGTTTCTGCAGGCCTTGCTGTCCAGGCAAATAAGATGAGGGCAGGGCCATGTGGTTGAGGTGGGTCTGAAACAGGACTCCCAAGGGCACAGGCCCTGCCCAGCCTTGGCACCCAAGGCAGAGCTGGTCAGCCCTGGGCCCCTGTGGGCTGCTATGGCCACCTCCCTTCAGGCGCTGCTGCCCCCACAGAGACGGGCAACCTCTGCAGGTCGCTGGGATTCCAGAGGTGCTCAGAGCCTCCAGATGCCTCACGCAGGCCCTCTCTGCTGGTTCCCCAGGGGCCTCAAAGCGCTGGCCCAGCCACCAGGACACTCCCCTGAGCCTCTCGACCTTCCCGTGGATCCTTTGGAGCCTGGGTTTTGGAGTTTGTCCTTCCTAAAATGCTGCCCACCTGAATGTGGCTGACCCAGAACCACCACTGACCAAGTGCGGCCACGTCCCCTGCAGGCCACCCATCAAGGGCACAGGCAACAGGTGCCCCAAGGGGCCGTGGCCCGTCCTGCCCAGGGCTGACCCTCGGGGTAGGGAGAGGGCACTAACTCGGGTCCTCTACCCTGCCTCAAGGCTCTTTCCTCACCTGGGGGGAAGGGCTTCCAATCCTTGCACCTCAGGGGCCTTCCTGTTTTACTGATGCCAACAAATGAACATTGATCATCTCCCATGTACAGGGACAGAGAAGACAGACAGGCTGGCCCCGGGTGGGTGAGGGAGACTAGTCTGTCAGAGCAAAGACTCCCCATGGAAATAGGGGCTAAGAAGGAAACACCAGGAAAAGTGAAGGTGGAAGATGGGGTGACCCTACTGCAGATGGGGTGCTCAGGGAGGGTTTCTCTGAGGAGGTGACATTCACTTGATTGGTGTATTAGTCTGTTTCATTCAGCTGATAAAAATATACCTGAGACTGGGAAGGAAAAGAGGTTTAATTGGACTTACAATTCCACATGTCTGGGGAGGCCTCAGAATCATGGCAGGAGGCAAAAAGTACTTCTTACGTGGTGGCAGCAGGAGAAAATGAGAAAGAAGCAAAAGCGGAAACCCCTGATAAACCCATCACATCTCATGAGACTTATTCACTATCATGAGAATAGCTTGGGAAATCATGGCCCCCATGATTCAATTACCTCCTCCTGAGTCCCTCCCACAACACATGGGAATTCTGGGAGATACAATCCAAGTTGAGATTTGGGTGGGGACACAGCCAAATGATATCAATTGGCAAAAGGGAAGGGCAGGACCTGTGAAAATCTTCTAAGAGAGGGAACAGCAGTGCCCAGCAGGATGTCCCGGGGGTGGAAATAGGGCAGTGGTTGGGGGTAGGGAGTGTAAGCCAGGCAGGCAGAGCCCAGACACGGTGTGATGCGTGTAAGGGTGGGACCCACGGAAGCTCTAAGAAAGGCCTGGGCCTCAGAAGACAGGGAAACAGGAAGACCCACTTACAGGCCTTCACAGCTTTCTAGGGCACAGACAGTGCAAAATGGCTCAGGCCAGAATGTAGTTTAGGTTTCAGAAGGGTGCTGGGTCCCTCATGCTCTTCTTGAGGCTAAAGGGCTTCAGCTCCTTGAGCCATTTCCAGACATTGTTCTGGGGCCCCGGCTACACGGATGGCCTTCTGATGGTTGTTGTCTGCATCCAGGCAGGGGGCATGAGCTGACCTGCTCCTTCCTTGGCTAAGTGGAAAGATGAAGGAAGCCTCTGGGGGCAGGATTGCTGGACTGGGAATTAGACTTGGAGTGTAATCCAAATGCCCCACAGGCCCTGCCTCTTCTCTGGAGCTTGGCTTCATGTAAACTCGGCTTCATGTAAACTGGGGGACAAGGGATGGCAAGACCAGCTCGCAGGACCCTTGCCCCTCCCCCCTGTGATGCTTCCAAATGGTCTCAGGGGCCACCTTTTTCAGGAAGAATTTTCTGGTTATTGAAGAATAAAGGAAGGAGGCCAGGCGCAGTGGCTCACGCCTGTAATCCCAGCACTTTGGGAGGCTGATGCAGGCAGATCTCTTGAGGATGGAAGTTTGAGATCAGCCTGGCCAACATGGTGAAACCCCATCTCTACGAAAAATTCAAAAAAACAAAAGTAGCCAGGCATGATGGTAGGTGCCTGTAATCCCAGCGACTGGGAGGCTGAGGGAGGAGAATGGCTTGAACCCAGGAGGCAGAGGTTGCAGTGAGCTGAGGTTGCGCCACTACACCCCAGCCTGGGTGACAGAGCGAGACTCTGTCTCAAAAAAAAAAAAAAAAAAAGAATAAAGGAGGAAACATGTTTTGAATGGCATTTATATCAGGCTTTAGACTAGGTGTTGGTTTGGTGGGGTTTGCTTTTTTTTTCTTCCTCCCTTTCACAAAACTTGAGTCCTGTCTAGGGCCAGGAGTTAAATTACAGTTTCCAGATTTTCTTTCCTTTTTTTTTTTTTGAGATGGAGTCTAGCTCTTTTGCCCAGGCTGGAGTGCAGTGGCACAATCTCAGCTCACTGCAACATCCGCCTCCCAGGTCTACACGATTCTCCTGCCTCAGCCTCCTGAATAGCTGGGATTACAGGCATGCGCCATCAAACCCGGCTAATTTTTGTATTTTTAGTAGAGACGAGGTTTCATCATGTTGGTCGGACTGATCTCAAATCCCTGACCTTGTGATCTGCCTGCCTCGGCCTCCCAAAGTGCTGGGATTACAGGCGTGAGCCACAGCACCCGGCCTAGATTTTCTTTTCTTTTCTTTTCTTTTTTTTTTTTTTAGACGGAGTTTCGCTCTGTCGCCCAGGCTGGAGTACAGTGGCAGGATCTCCACTCACTGCAAGCTCCACCTCCTGGGTTCATGCCATTCTCCTGCCTCAGCCTCCTGAGTAGCTGGGACTACAGGCGCCCGCCACCACGCCCGGCTAATTTTTTGTATTTTTAGTAGAGACGGGGTTTCACTGTGTTAGCCAGGATGGTCTCAATCTCCTGACCTCGTGATCCGCCCGCCTTGGCCTCCCAAAGTGCTGGGATTACAGGCGTGAGCCACCACACCGGGCCCTAGATTTTCATCATTGTATGTAGCACAAGACAGACTTCCAGGGGACCCATGGATAGATTATTAGCAAGTAAATAAAAGATGATTTAGCTAGAGAAAATGTAGCAAAAAAGCAATCAGGATGAGGGGATTAGGAATAGCAGAGGAGGAGCTGGGGGAGAGGGAGTTGGGGGTGGGGCTGGGACAAACAGAAAGGAGGTGGGGCAAAAGGCCAGGGAAATCAAGTCCCAGAGGTCAGCAGGGACCAGAAACCACAGTCTTAGTGGGGACTCAGGACAGCAGAGCAGCAAGCTGCGTCTACCTTGGAAAGGTGGAGAGAGGACTGCAGGGAGCTGAGGGTGGAGGAAGGGGGAGATGGCAGGACAGAGGAAGCAGGGGACAGACAGGAGGAAGAGATGGTGCTCCGGGCCAGGTGGGGTGGAGGGGCCCTCTGGTCTCCAGGAGTCTCTAGGCTGCCCTTCAGCTCACCTATAGCTTTTGATAGGCCTTTGGAGGCCACAGGGTTGCCAGATGCCCTCTTGACTTTTGAATCCTGTTCCACTGACCCTGGTAGCAGCTTGGACATCTGCGTCCTCTGCTGAATGCCTCTGGGCCAGATGTGCTGGGCAAATGGCAGCATCGGCATCTTGCCCAGTTCTCACCCACAGCCGTTGAAGTCTACACGTGGTCAACCTGTCACAAGGTTTTTAATGTTCTTGAACCTCAGGGCCTTTATTTTCTCCATTCTGAATGCCAGGATTCGACATGGACCCTCTCAGGTGTTTTGCCATATGCAACACATTCTCATTGACTCTGGTCACCCTGCTGTGCACTAGATGTCAAAACCTCTTCCTCCTTTCCAACTGAGACTGTGGTTTTTTGACCGACAAGCCCCCATTTCTTCCCTCTGCCACCCCTCCACACACCACTCCCAGCCATCGTTCACCATCGACCCACTCGCTATTTCTATGAGGTCAACTTTTTTAGATGGACACTTCAGGGACATCACGTGGAATGTGTCTTTCTGAGGTGATGCAGATACTATGTAGTGTGATTTTGTCATTCCATGGTGCACACATCTATCTAATCCCCGCACTGTATCTTATAAATGAATACAAGCATGATTTGCCAATTAAAATAATATTAAGAAGAACATAATAAATGTAATAAAACACAGGAAGTGTAGCTTGACTGCCCCACCCACTTGGTTTTTGTCTGGGCCCAGCTGTCCATTGGGTTCACTGGTGCTGCCTTATTTCTCCCTTTGACTTTTTTGTGCTAGTCAGAAACAACATAATTGCAGCATGAAACTGAAACATCTTTTGCCCATGGTAGCCATGGCTCCTTTTAGTCACAGAGATTGAGGTTATACCATCCAGCTTCCCGGGGGTTCCCTCAGACCAAGCCACCTCTTCTGGGTCTTCCACATGGAGCGAGCCGACTTCCCAGTGGGTTCCCAGAGACAAGGATCCTTCAGGTTTTCCCCATGGCTGCTGGTGCTCTGGGGAGGGTGAAGCCACAGACTTATGCTGGGGGGCTTTGCTGGGAATGGCTGGCTTCATCTCCAGGCCAAGTAGGGTTCTGCCCTAACTCCCAGGATGGTGTTCATGCTTCTGTGAATTAGAAAGTGGGAAAGGTCGGCTGGTTTTGAGTCCTCTTCTGGGTTGGACAGGGAAGGTTGACTTAACTGTGGCAGATGGGGAAGGACAGATGGGATCCCCGGGAGGGAGGGATTGTGCTCCGATGTTGGAGCCCTTTCTCCTCTGCACTTTTCTGAACTCCATGATTAGGTAGGTGGCCATGGGATGATCATATATTTTTTTAATATCACTTCCTCGATATGTTCTTCCTAGAATCCCATGGCCACTATGAGCTGGGTTGTTGGGGGGCCTGGGTAGTCCAGGAGTGGCTCTCTGTATGGCTTGAATCATGTCTTCTGGTCACTATTGACCCAGGAGTTCCTCAACAGCTGGTCCAGTGGGAGCTGCTCCCTGGGGTTGAGTGTGAAGAATTTTTAAATATTTTTTTCCATAAAATGAATAAAAAAGTAGCATACTATTTTAATTTTTTTTTTTTCAGTATATCCTTACAGTTCTGCTCATAAAATGGCAGGGCCCCAGCCACCATTTTGCATACGATGATGCCAAGGCTCCAAACGTTGATGGCAGGGCATTGGTACCCATGGCCCAAGAAGAGTTCTGGGCCTGCATAAGGGAGAGTCCCATCAAACGTTCCCTTTTCAGTGTTGTCTCTCTTTGCAAATGTTGAACTAAACCCATAGTTGGCTATTTTGATGTTACGTTCTTTGTCAAAGAAGATATTAAGCTTTGTTCTGACCCCAGGAGAGCTCTTCCCACCTGTCTTTTTTTCTGTTTCTCTCTGGCAGACTTGCTGGCCTCCAGTGTAGCCCGCACCTCCCAGGCTCTCCGTCGCCTCCCAGTTGCCTTTCAGCACAACCTCCACTGTTCTGGAGAGTGTGCTTAGCCTTGGACTTCTCCGAGCTCTGTTGCACATGAAGTCAGTTCCTTCGGGAGCAACTCGCACCTTTTGTTTTCTGTCTGCTGCTTTCTCAGGCAAACTCTCTGAGCCAGAGCTATGGTGCTGGGCACAGTGGTGCATTTCTCTCTGGTGACACCTGCATGTTAGGAGCTGGGCCCTTGGTTGTGGGGAAAAGAAAGAGAGATCAGATTGTTAATGTGTCTGTATAGAAAGTAGACATAAGAGACTCCATTTTAATCTGTAACCTTATCCCCAACCCTGTGCTCCCTGAGACACGTGCTGTGTCAACTCAGGGTTAAATGGATTAAGGGCTGTGCAGGGTGTGCTTTGTTCAACAGATGCTTGAAGGCAGCATGCTCGTTAAGAGTCATCACCACTCCCTAATCTCAAGTACCCGGGGACACAAACACTGCGGAAGGCCACAGGGACCTCTGTCTAGGAAAGCCAGGTATTGTCCAAGGTTTCTCTCCATGTGATAGTCTGAAATATGGCCTCGTGGGAAGGGAAAGACCTGACCGTCCCCCAGCCCGACACCCGTAAAGGGTCTGTGCTGAGGAGGATTAGTAAAAGAGGAAGGCATGCCTCTTTGCAGTTGAGACAAGAGGAAGGCATCTGTCTCCTGCTTGTCCCTGGGCAATGGAATGTCTCGGTGTAAAACCCGATTCCATCTACTGAGATAGGGGAAAACCGCCTTAGGGCTGGAGGTGGGACATGCGGGCAGCAATACTGCTCTTTAAGGCATTGAGATGTTTATGTGTATACATATCTAAAGCACAGCACTTAATTCTTTACCTTGTCTATGATGCAGAGACCTTTGTTCACGTGTTTATCTGCTGACCTTCTCTCCACTGTTATCTGATGATCCTGCCACATCCCCCTCTCCGAGAAACACCCAATAATGATCAATAAATACTAAGGGAACTCAGAGGCTGGGGTGGATTCTCCGTATGCTGAACGCCGGTCCCCTGGGCCTCCTTATTTCTTTCTCTATACTTTGTCTCTGTGTCTCTTTCTTTTCCAAGTCTCTCATTCCACCTAACAAGAAACACCCACAGGTGTGGAGGGGCAACCCACCCCTTCATCTGGTGCCCAACGTGGGTGCTTTTCTCTAGGGTGAAGGTACGCTCGAGTGTGGTCATTGAGGACAAGTCCACAAGAGATCCCGAGTACGTCTACAGTCAGCCTTGCGGTAAGCTTGTGCGCTTGGAAGAAGCCGGGGTAACAATGAGGCAAACTAAAAGTAAAACTAAAAGTAAATATGCCTCTTATCTCAGCTTTATTAAAATTCTTTTAAAAAGCGGGGGAGTTAGAGTACCTACAAAAAATCTGATCAAGCTATTTTGAACAATAGAACAATTTTGCCCATGGTTTCCAGAATAGGGAACTTTAGATCTAAAAGATTGGAAAAAAATTGGCAAAGAATTAAAACAAGCAAGTAGGGAGGGTAAAATCATCCCACTTACAGTATGGAATGATTGGGCCATTATTAAAGCAGCTTTAGAACCATTTCAAACAGAAGAAGATAGCGTTTCAGTTTCTGATGCCCCTGAAGGCTGTGTAATAGATTGTAAAGAAGAGGCGGGGAGGAAATCCCGGAAAGAAATGGAAAGTTTACATTGTGAATATGCAGTAGAGCTGGTAATGGCTCAGTCAATGCAAAATGTTGACTATAATCAATTACAGCAGGTGATATACCCTGAAACGTTAAAATTAGAAGAAAAAGGTCCAGAATTAGTGGGGCCATCAGAGTCTAAACCACGAGGGACAAGTCCTCTTCCAGCAGGTCAGATGCCCGTAACATTACAACCTCAAACACAGGTTAGAGAAAATAAGACCCAACCACCAGTAGCTTATCAATACTGGCTGCCGGCTGAATTTCAGTATCGGCCACCCCCAGAAAGTCAGTATGGACATCCAGGAATGCTCCCAGCACCACAGGGCAGGGCGCCATACCCTCAGCCGCCCACTATGAGACTTAATCCTACAGCACCACCTAATAGACAGGGTAGTGCATTACATAAAATTATTGATAAGTCAAGAAAGCAAGGAGATATTGAGGCGTGGCCATTCCCACTAATGTTAGAACTGATACCACCTGGAGAAGGAGCCCAAGAGGGAGAGCCTCCCACAGTTGAGGCCAGATACAAGTCTTTTTCTATAAAAATGCTAAAAGACATGAAAGAGGGAATAAAACAGTATGGACCCAACTCCCCTTATATGAGGACATTATTAGATTCCATTGCACACGGACATAGACTCATTCCTTATGATTGGGAGATTCTGGCAAAATCGTCTCTCTCACCCTCTCAATTTTTACAATTTAAGATTTGGTGGATTAATGGGGCACAAGAACAGGTCCGAAAAAATAGGGCTGCTAATCCTCCAGTTAACATAGATGCAGATCAACTACTGGGAACTGGTCAAAATTGGAGCACTATTAGTCAACAAGCATTAATGCAAAATGAGGCCATTGAGCAAGTTAGAGCTATCTGCCTTAGAGCCTGGGAAAAAATCCAAGACCCAGGAACCGCCTGCCCCTCATTTAATACAAGACAAGGCTCTAAAGAGCCCTACCCTGATTTTGTGGCAAGGCTCCAAGATGTTGCTCAAAAGTCAATTGCCGATGAAAATGCCCGTAAGGTCATAGTGGAGTTGATGGCATACGAAAATGCCAATCCTGAGTGTCAATCAGCCATTAAGCCATTAAAAGGAAAGTTTCCCGCAGGATCAGATGTAATCTCAGAGTATGTAAAAGCCTGTGATGGAATCGGAGGAGCTATGCATAAAGCTATGCTTATGGCTCAAGCACTAATGGGAGCTGCTTTAGGAGGACAAGTTAGAACATTTGGAGGGAAATGTTATAATTGTGGTCAAAGTGGTCATTTAAAAAAGAATTGCCCAGCCTCAAATAAACAGAATATAACTATTCAAGTGACTACAACAACAGGTAAAGAGCCACCTGACTTATGTCCAAGATGTCAAAAAGGAAAACACTGGGCTAGTCAATGTCGTTCTAAATTTGATAGAAATGGGCAACCATTGTCGGGAAACGAGCAAAGGGGCCAGCCTCAGTCCGGCCCCACAACAAACTGGGGCATTCCCAGTTCAGCCCTTTGTTCCTCAGGGTTTTCAGGGAAGACAACCCCCACTGTCCCAAGTGCCTCAGGGAATGAGCCAGTTACCACAATACAACAATTGTCCCCCGCCACAAGCGGCAGTGCAGCAGTAGATTTATGTACTATACAAGCAGTTTCTCTGCTTCCAGGGGAGCCCCCACAAAAAATCCCCACAGGGGTATATGGCCCACTGCCTGAGGGGACTGTAGGACTAATCTTAGGAAGATCAAGTCTAAATCGAAAGGGAGTTCAAATTCACACTGGTGTGGTTGATTCAGACTATAAAGGTGAAATTCAATTGGTTATTAGCTCTTCAATTCCTTGGAGTGCCAGTCCAGGAGACAGGATTGCTCAATTATTACTCCTGCCTTATATTAAGGTTGGAAATAGTGAGATAAAAAGAACAGGAGGGTTTGGAAGCACTGATCCAACAGGAAAGGCTGCATATTGGGCAAGTCAGGTCTCAGAGAACAGACCTGTGTGTAAGTCCATTATTCAAGGAAAACAGTTTGAAGGGTTAGTAGACACTGGAGCAGATGTCTCTCATTGCTTTAAATCAGTGGCCAAAAAATTGGCCTAAACAAAAGGCTGTTACAGGACTTGTCGGCGTAGGCACAGCCTCAGAAGTGTATCAAAGTACTAGGATTTTACATTGTTTAGGGCCAGATAATCAAGAAAGTACTTCCCATGTTAAAAAACATTTATTATCGTATTTTGCTGTAATGGGAGTTCGAGAAAAAATTAAAACTGACAATGGACCAGGATATTGTAGTAAAGCTTTCCAAAGATTCTTAAATCAGTGAAAAATTTCACATACAACAGGAATTCCCTATAATTCCCAAGGACAGGCCATAGTTGAAAGTACTAATAGAACACTCAAAACTCAATTAGTTAAACAAAAAGAAGGGGGAGACAATAAGGAGTGTACCACTCCTCAGATGCAACTTAATCTAGCACTCTATACTTTAAATTTTTTAAACATTTATAGAAATCAGACTACTACTTCTGCAGAACAACATCTTACTGGTAAAAAGAACAGCCCACATGAAGGAAAACTGATTTGGTGGAAAGATAATAAAAATAAGACATGGGAAATAGGGAAGGTGGTGACGTGGGGGAGAGGTTTTGCTTGTGTTTCACCAGGAGAAAATCAGCTTCCTGTTTGGATACCCACTAGACATTTGAAGTTCTACAATGAATCCATCAGAGATGCAAAGAAAAGCGCCTCCACGGACATGGAAACACCAGTCACATGGATGGATAATCCTATTGAAGTATATGTTAATGATAGTGTATGGGGTACCTGGCCCCACAGATGATCGCTGCCCTGCCAAACCTGAGGAAGAAGGGATTATGATAAATATTTCCACTGGGTATCGTTATCCTCCTATTTGCCTAGGGAGAGCACCAGGATGCTTAATGCCTGCAGTCCAAAATTGGTTGTTAGAAGTACCTACTGTCAGTCCCATCAGTAGATTCACTTATCACACGGTAAGCAGGATGTCACTCAGGCCACGGGTAAATAATTTACAAGACTTTTCTTATCAAAGATCATTAAAATTTAGACCTAAAGGGAAACCTTGCCCCAAGAAAATTCCCAAAGGATCAAAAAATACAGAAGCTTTAGTTTGGGAAGAATGTGTGGCCAATAGTGCGGTAATATTACAAAACAATGAATTTGGAACTATTATAGATTGGGCACCTTGAGGTCAATTCTACCACAATTGCTCAGGGCAAACTCAGTCATGTCCCAGGGCACAAGTGAGTCCAGCTGTTGAAAGTGACTTAACAGAAAGTTTAGACAAACATAAGCATAAAAAATTACAGTCTTTCTATCCCTGGGAATGGGGAGAAAAAGGAATCTCTACCCCAAGACCAAAAATAATAAGTCCTGTTTCTGGTCCTGAACATCCAGAATTATGGAGGCTTACTGTAGCCTCATACCACATTAGGATTTGGTCTGGAAATCAAACTTTAGAAACAAGAGATCATCAGCCGTTTTATACTATCGACCTAAATTCCAGTCTAACGGTTCCTTTACAAAGTTGTGTAAAGCCCCCTTATATGCTAGTTGTAGGAAATATAGTTATTAAACCAGACTCTCAAACTATAACCTGTAAAAAGTAGATAGTTTACTTGCATTGATTCGACTTTTAATCGGCAGCACCGTATTCTGCTGGTGAGAGCAAGAGAGGGCGTGTGGATCCCTGTGTCCATGGACCGACCGTGGGAGGCCTCGCCATCCGTCCATATTTTGACTGAATATTAAAAGCCATTTTAAATAGATCCAAAAGATTCATTTTTACTTTAATTACAGTGCTTATGGGATTAATTGCAGTCACAGCTACGGCTGCTGTGGCAGGAGTTGCGCTGCACTCTTCTGTTCAGTCAGTAAACTTTGTTAATGATTGGCAAAAAAATGCTACAAGATTGTGGAATTCACAATCTGGTATTGATCAAAAATTGGCAAATCAAATTAATGATTTTAGACAAACTGTCATTTGGATGGGAGACAGGCTCATGAGCTTAGAACATCGTTTCCAGTTACAATGTGACTGGAATATGTCAGATTTTTGTATTACACCCCAAGTTGTAATGAGTCTGAGCATCACTGGGACATGGTTAGACGCCATCTACAGGCAAGAGAAGATAATCTCACTTTAGACATTTCCAAATTAAAAGAACAAATTTTCAAAACATCAAAAGCCCATTTAAATTTGGTGCCAGGAACTGAGGCAATCGCAGGAGTTGCTGATGGCCTCACAAATCTTAACCCTGTCACTTGGGTTAAGACGATTGGAAGTACTACGATTATAAATTTCATATTAATCCTTGTGTGCCTGTTTTGTCTGTTGTTCAAGTCTGCAGGTGTACCCAACAGCTCTGAAGAGACAGCGACCATCAAGAACGGGCCATGATGATGATGGCAGTTTTGTCGAAAAGAAAAGGGGGAAATGTGGGGAAAAGAGAGATCAGATTGTTACTGTGTCGTGTAGAAATAAGTAGACATAGGAGACTCCATTTTGCTCTGTACTAAGAAAAATTATTCTGCCTTGAGATGCTGTTAATCTATAACCTTACCCCCAACCCCGTGCTCTCTGAAACATGTGCTGTGTCCACTCAGGGTTAAATGGATTAAGGGCGGTGCAAGATGTGCTTTGTTCAACAGATGCTTGAAGGCAGCATGCTTGTTAAGAATCATCACCACTCCCTAATCTCAAGTACCCAGGGACACAAACACTGCGGAAGGCCGCAGGGTCCTCTGCCTGGGAAAGCCAGGTATTGTCCAAGGTTTCTCCCCATGTGATAGTCTGAAATATGGCCTCGTGGGAAGGGAAAGACCTGACCGTCCCCCAGCCCGACACCTGTAAAGGGTCTGTGCTGAGGAGGATTAGTAAAAGAGGAAGGCATGCCTCTTTGCAGTTGAGACAAGAGGAAGGCATCTGTCTCCTGCCCGTCCCCGGGCAATGGAATGTCCCCTGGGCAATGGAATGTCTCGGTATAAAACCCGATTGTATGTTCCATCTACTGAGATAGGGGAAAACCGCCTTAGGGCTGGAGGTGGGACATGCGGGCAACAATACTGCTCTGTAAGGCATTGAGATGTTTTATGTGTATGCATATCTAAAGCACAGCACTTAATTCTTTACCTTGTCCATGATGCAGAGACCTTTGTTCACGTGTTTATCTGCTGACCTTCTCTCCACTATTATCCTATGACCCTGCCACATCCCCCTCTCCGAGAAACACCCAAGAATGATCAATAAATACTAAGGGAACTCAGAGGCTGGCGGGATCCTCCATATGCTGAACGCTGGTCCCCTGGGCCCCCTTATTTCTTTCTCTATACTTTGTCTCTGTGTCTTTTTCTTTTCCAAGTCTCTCGTTCCACCTAACAAGAAACACCCACAGGTGTGGAGGGACAACCCACCCCTTCAGAAAGTAATAGTTTATTTCATTTATTTATATTTTTTCTCTCCTTTTCACAGGTGTTGAACAGTTTATTTTACTAATGCATGTGGTTTACCCCAACACATCCCAAATATCATGATTCCAACATGTGGTGTTGGCTGCATTTTCAGAGCTTGCAGTCATACGTCTTAGTCTGTTGGGGCTGCTGTGACAAAATACTGTAAATTGGGTCTCTCTAACAACAGCAATATAATGTTCACAGTTCTGGAGGCTGGCAGTCCAAGATCAGCTGGCATACAGGGTGTCTGGTGAGGGCCCACTTTCTGGGTCATGCCTGCCATCTTCCCACTGTGGTCACATGGCGGAAGGGGCGAGGGAGCTCTCTGGGGCCTCTTGTATAAGGGCGCTAATCCCAACCACAAGGGCCCCACCCTCATGACCCCATCACCTCCCAAAGATGCCACCTCCAGATGCCATCACCTTGGGGATGAGGTGTCAACACATGAGTTTGGGGGGACACAGACATTTGTTCATGTGGTAAGTGGCTCCAATGCTGGCCTGCCTCTGAGGCCTGGCCTCCTGGTGGAGGGCCGTGCAGGCACAGGGCTCTCGTGCACTGGGGTCCCCGGGGACACCTCCCACCCCTGCCCAGGCTCTACTTGGGAGTTGGCAGGTGCTGAGTCCTCTTGTGACCTTCTTAAGAAAGTCCCTCCTGGCCAGGTTCAGTGGCTCATGACAGTAATCCCAGCACTTTAGGAGGCCGAGTCGGGTGGATAACTTGAGGCCAGGAGTTCAAGACCAGCTTGGTCAACATGGTGAACCCCTTTCTCTACTGAAAATACAAAACTTAGCAGGGTGTGGTGGCAGGCGCCTGTAATCTCTGTTACTTGGGAGGCTGCAGCTAGAGAATCGCTTCAACCCAGAAGGCAGAGGTTGTAGCGAGCCGAGATCACGCCATTGTACTCCAGCCTGGGCAACAGAGCAAGACTCTGTCTCAAAAAAAAAAAAAGAAAGTCCCTTCTCTCAGAGCTCAGGGCTGATAACAGAGCAAGAAATGCATCCTCGGGGAGAGAGAGCAGCCTGGCCTGGCCTGGCCTGGGAAGGCTGGCTTCAACCATCAAAGACAGCTCTCACACCTCAGGCCCCAGGGCCTGGGGCTTGATCCCTGCATCCCCTCTTCCGCTGGCTGAGCTCTGTGCCTCAAGAGTGAGACTCCACCCTCCCAGCACTCCCTCACAAGCAGACCGGGCCCCATCCTGCCTCTGCTGACCCCCACTCCCCTGGGGCCTGCTCTCTGGGTCAGGACCCGCATGGAAACCAGGGGCAGGCCATCCCAACACCTCCCAGAGGCTGCCGGCAGCTCAGGCTGGTTTTCCTGTGACCAGTGCAAGTGTTCTTTTCAGTTATCTGACTTCCTTCCGGGGCATTCTGAGCCCACCCATAGCTTTTGGCATGCCTTTAAGGGACACAAAGAACCACAACAGCCACTGTGTCCTCATCTGTAAGGCAGGGCCCCAACCCACCCTGCCTTCCTCATAGGGGTGTGTAATGCTGGATGAAAAAGCCTATTAGAAAGTGTCCGTCAAAGGCCGGGCACGGTGGCTCACACCTGTAATCCCAACACTTTGGGAGGCTGAGGCAGGTGGATCACCTGAGGTCGGGAGTTTGAGACCAGCCTGGTCAACATGGTGAAACCCCATCTCTACTAAAAAATACAAAAAATTAGGCAGGTATGATGGTGCATGCCTGTAGTATCAGCTACTTGGGAGGCTGGGGCAGGAGAATTGCTTGAACCCAGGAGGCAGAGGTTGCAGTGAGCCAAGATCGTGCCACTGAACTCCAGCCCGGGTGACAGAGTGAGACTCCATCTCGAAGGAAAAAAAAAAAGAAGTGTCTGTCAAAGGCCCCGTGCGGCCTTTAATCCCAGCACTCTGGGAGGCCGAAGTAGGTGGGTGAATCCCTTAAACCCAGGAGTTTGATTTTTTAAAAATTATTTTGTTATTTTTATTTTCTTATCTTGAGCCCAGGAGTTTGAGACCAGCCTGGGCAACATCGTGAGACCCCATATCTTTAAAAAAAAAAAAAAAAAAAAAAAAAGCTAGGTATGGTGGTGCACACCTGTAGTCCCAGCTATTCAGGAGACTGAAGTGGGAGGATCGTTTGAGCCTGGGAGGTTGAGGCTGCAGTGAGCTGTGATTGTGCCACTGCACTCCAGCCTGGATGACAGAGCAAGCAAAAAAACACATTAGTGGCCGGGCACAGTGGCTCACGTCTGTAATCCTAGCACTTTGGGAGGCCAAGGCGGGCGGATTGCCTGAGCTCAGGAGTTCGAGACCAGCCTGGGCGACATGGTGAAACCCCGTCACTAAAATACAAAAAATTAGCCGGGTGTGGTGGCGGGCACCGCACCTGTAATTCCAGCTACTCAGGAGGCAAAGGCAGGGGAATCGCTTGAACCCGGGAGGTGGAAGTTGCAGTGAGTCGAGATCGGGCCACTGCACTCTAGCCTGGGTGACAGAGCGAGACTCTGTCTCCAAAAAACAAAAACCAAAACACATTAGGAAAATGTTCACACCAAACTCAAAGTGGAGACTGGGGAGGGAGTGAAAACTGGAAGCACGCAGTAAAGGGGAATTTACTTTTATCCCTTTCATTTCTTAAACAAGAAAAACAGGAAACCTATACATATATATATTGTTTCACAATGACTAATTCTGATGGTAGGAATGTGGGCAGTCATTATATTATTCTTTTTTTTCTGTGTTCTTCTACTTTCTTTTTCTTTTTTCTTTTTTTTTTTTTTTTGAGACGGAGTCTCGCTCGTCGCCCAGGCTGGAGTGCAGTGGCACGATCTCGGCTCACTGCAAACTCCGCCTCCCGGGTTCACGCCATTCTCCTGCCTCAGCCTCCCGAGTAGCTGGGACTACAGGCGCCCGCCACCACGCCCGGCTAATTTTTTTGTATTTTTGGTGGAGACGTGGTTTCACCGTGTTAGCCAGGATGGTCTCGATCTCCTGACTTCGAGGGGCCACAGGACTAGTAGAGCCAAGAGTTGAGGGTCCGGGTGGGGTGATCCGGCCGTCAGAAATGCAAAAGCCTGGAAAGACATCTCCAAAGGCCAATCTCAGGTTGGACAATCGTGAGCTGGGGAAGCTGCAAACACTGTGACCTCCGGAATAACCGCTGGTAATCAGTTACCTCTAACCCTTAGCAGAATTCAGGTCCCTCTACTACTCCTAACCTGGTGGCCTTTCATTAACTCTATGAAGCCAGTTTAGTTCGGGGGAAGGGCAATTATCATTTAGACTACGAACTAATTTCTCCCAAAGTTAGCTTGGCCCAAGCCCAGGAATGACCAAGGACCGTTTAGAGGTTAAAGGCAAGCTGCGGGTTGGTTAGATCAGATCTCTTTCGCTGTCATAATTTTGTAATATAATTTTTGCAAAGGCGGCTTCAGGTTTTTTGCTAAGACAGGTTTTTTGATCAGATCAAATTCTTCTGCTACAGCGCTCTCCCTAAAAGCATAGGAAGGCATTTCTGCATTTCCTTCCTGGGCGGAGGAAAAGCCCCGCCTCCTCAGGCTCTGAGTCCCGCCCGGTCACCATTCCGATTGACACTCCAGCTGACCAATCAGCGCGCTGGCTGGAGCGCGGGTCTGCCCCTCTGGACGCACATGCGCGCTGTCCTGGCTCGGGAGATGGACGGCCGCCGTGTTTTGGGCCGGTTCTGGAGTGGCTGGCGGCGGGGCCTGGGTGTCCGCCCAGTGCCCGAGGACGCAGGCTTTGGCACCGAAGCCCGGTGATTAAGTACCCCCTCTCTCATGCGGGACGGAGGCTAGGGCAGGGGGAAGGCACGTGCGGGATCTGGATCAGGTAGATGTTACCCGAAAACAGCCCCGTTGGCCTCTCTGAGCCTCGGTGCCCTCCGCTGTAGAATGGGACCGGTCGTACCTGAATTTTCGAGGTCAGCCCAGACATTGTGAGGCATTTGTCAGAGGCCGCAGGATTTGGGAAGAGGCGTCCGGAGATAGGAATGGGTGGCACCTCGGGATGGAATGACTCCCATTGCTTCTCCCTCCTTGTCCAGGCATCAGAGGCAACCCCGCGGCTCCTGCCAACGGTCGGGGCCCCTCGGGGACCAGCCCTTCGCGGGGCTGCTGCCAAAAAACCTCAGTCGGGAGGAGCTGGTTGATGCGCTGCGGGCAGCCGTGGTGGACCGGAAAGGTGAGGGGTGAGAGGCACGGCCGCACAAGGACCGGGAGGGGACTGCCTCGGCGTGCAGTTGGGCTCTCCATTGAAGCCACGGGATCAGCCCTGCTTCTGCCTCCCACTAGCAGCATGAGCTGGGACAAGCCACCTAATTTGCACCCTCTCCCCGCTTTTAACCCTACTGCCATGATGCAGTAGGGTTAAGAGTGGGGAGAAGATGCAAATAACTACCGAGCCTTGCACATAGCCGGCGCTCAGTTACGGGAGTTGCTATACTAGATTATTGTTTATTGGCCGCGGTGGCTCACGCCTGTAATCCCGGCACTTTAGGGTGCTGACGCGGGCGGATCACCTGAGGTCAGGAGTTCGAGACTAGCCTGGCCAACATGGTGAAACCCCGTCTCTACTAAAAACACAAAAATTAGCCAGGTGTGGCGGCGTCCGCCTGTAATCCCAGCTACTCGGGAGGCTGAGGCAGGAGAGTCACTTGAACCCGGATAGCAGAGGTTGCAGTGAGCCGACATCGTGCTACTGCGCTCCAGCCTGGGATGACAGAGCAAGACTCAGTCTAAATAAATAAATAAATAAATAATGATTATTTATCGACGGACAAAACACAGGCTTTGGAGTCAGACATACCTAGGCTCTGTGATCAGCTTGCTGTGCGGCTTTAGGAAAATAACTGAATTTCTCTGAACCCCACTCTCTATTCAGTGATTTATTCCTTTTCTCAACTATTTCTTGAACATATGCTATGTTCCAGGCACTGTTCTAGGCAGGCTATACAGTGCTGAAAAAGATAGATATGGTTTCTGCTCTCAGGGGAGAAATGGATTTCTCTCTAACGGGAGAAATGGATGTCAGAAAATAAATGAACAAGTTACTAGTGGTAAGTGCTATGCATAAACTAAAACAGGGTGTTATGATGGTGAGGAACTGCAGGAGGAAGGCAGACATTAGATTGGAGATTCAGACCTCTCCGTGATGTGACATTTGAGCCAAGATGATAGGGAGCCAGACCTGGGAAATTTGGGGACAGGAAACAGCAAGTGCCGAGGCTCTGAGGTGGCAGAGGAACAGAAAGAAGTTGAATTTGGTGTGGGGTAGTTAACTCATGTCTGAGAGTCATGATGGGGACATGTGCTAAGATGCGTGAGAAAGTGCTCTGGAAACTCTTTAGTGCTGCATAAAGGGTTACCGTTGCTTTTGCTGATGTTCGTGTGATGTATGTTTCAGGACCTCTAGTGACGTTGAACAAGCCACAGGGTCTACCAGTGACAGGTATGGGCCGGGGATGTGGGAAGGGAATGCAGCGGAAGGGGGTTTCGTGACTGAGGGAGGGAAAAGTGAAGGCATGAAGCTTTGGCCTCTTGTAATTTTTCTTTCTTACTTTCCAGGAAAACCAGGAGAGCTGACGTTGTTCTCAGTGCTGCCAGAGCTGAGCCAGTCCCTAGGGCTCAGGGAGCAGGAGCTTCAGGTTGTCCGAGCATCTGGGAAGTAAGTGGTAGGGGTGACAGGAAGCTAGGAGTACAGGCATCCATCTGTGGTGGGGAAACAGCTGCTTGGGGATAAGCTGAGACATTTTCCATGGGAAGGTTTGAGATCATAGAGGTGGATACAAGTACTGTGAAGAAGAGGAAGCCGATGGCTCTGGGTTCAAATCCTCAAGTACAAATGGTGTGATACCAGGCAAAGCATGACACCTCCCTGACGCTGGGCACAGTGACTCACACCTGTAATCCCAACACTTCTGGAGGCCAAGGCAAGAGGATCACTTGAGCCCAGGAGTTCGAGACCAGCCTGGGCAAAATAGACCCCATCTCTGGAAAAACAACAACAAAACTTTCCGCGTGGTGGCTCATGCCTATAATCAATAGGACTTTGGGAGGCCGAGGTGGGAGGATTGCTTGAGTCCAGAAGTTCAAGACCAGCCTGGGCAACATGGCAAAACCCTATCTTTACTTAAAAAACAAAATAAAACACACACACACACACACACAAAAACCTAGCTGGGCAGAGCAGCACATGCCTGTAGTGCTCGGGTGGCTGAGATGGGAGAATCACCTGAGCTCAGAAGATGGCAGCTGCAATAAGCTGAGATCCCGCCACTGTACGCAAGCCTAAACAACCTGAATGAGACCCCGTCTCAAAAAAACAAAACAAAACAAATACCCTCCCTGAGCTTCAGTTCCCCTAATGGTAAAATAGAGAAAATAATACCTATGCTCAGTGTGCAGTCATTTCTCCATGACGGTACTCGTGGCAGGCATTGCTAGTCGATCCATGATACTCTTTCCTCTAACTGCCATCAATTAAAGATGGTACTTGAGATGAAATATTTCTGCAGTTCCACAAACTCATGAGCTTTTTTGTAGAGAACTTATTTAAGAGCTAATATGTACAGAATTTCTAGTAGAATTCTGGCACATGGTAGACAATCGTTACGACATTTGGCTCTGAGTTCCCTGGGGGCCGGGGCAAAATGAGAAACACATTAAGCTACATAGTCTTGTTATCAAAGAAGGGGAAACCTTACTTGTTTCTCAGGAGTTGGTCTAGGTTATAGTCCTGGTGTTAGTGTTTGGCCTGAAGCAGGTCAGTGTTCCTAAGAGTTTCCTTTTTAGTGGGCGAGTTCAAGGGACTTTAACTTGTGTGATTTGTCTGCTTATTCCAGAGAAAGCTCTGGGCTTGTACTCCTCTCCAGCTGTCCCCAGACAGCTAGTCGCCTCCAGAAGTACTTCACCCATGCACGGAGAGCCCAAAGGCCCACAGCCACCTACTGGTGAGAGGTGCTGGGAGGTTCCTAGAGTGGTGGGGAGGTCCCAGCAAGCCACCCTGTGACCTCCTCCTGCCCCTTTCTCAGTGCTGTCACTGATGGGATCCCAGCTGCTTCTGAGGGGAAGATCCAGGCTGCCCTGAAACTGGAACACATTGATGGGGTCAATCTCGTGAGTCCGGGTCTGGGAAGAGGAGGGGTGCTTCTAGATATAGTACCCCTACAGAGAGGAGTCAGGGGTATGGATTTGGGATGGCTGGCTCTCCTGTCCCCTAAAACAGGCAAGTGACCACTGCCTATACTGTGGCCCTGCCCGGAGTCTATTGGGAGCAGGGAGGGTCTGGGTATAGCTCCCAGACCTGTGTAAGGCTTGTTCACTCTTGGCTGGCACCACAGACAGTTCCAGTGAAGGCCCCATCCCGAAAGGACATCCTGGAAGGTGTCAAGAAGACTCTCAGTCACTTTCGTGTGGTAGCCACAGGCTCTGGCTGTGCCCTGGTCCAGCTGCAGCCACTGACAGGTAGGTCTGGCACCCTAGCCAGCCTTTAAAACTGCACTTGATTTGGGAGGCTGAGGCAGGTGGATCACGAGGTCAGGAGTTCAAGACCAGTCTGGCCAAGATGGTGAAACCCTGTTTCAACTAAAAACTACAAAAATTAGCTGGGCACGGTGGCAGGCGCCTGTAAAACCAGCTACTCGGGAGGCTGAGGCAGGAGAATCGCTTGAACCTGGGAGGCAGAAGTTGCAATGAGCCAAGATCATGCCACTGCACTCCAGTCTAGGTGATAGAGGAGACTTCATCTAAAAAAAAAAAAAACTGCACTTGAGCCAGGCGCGGTGGCTCACGCCTGTAATCCCAGCACTTTGGGAGGCCAAGGCGGATGGATCACTTGAGGTCAGGAGTTCGAAACCAGCCAGGCTAACATGGTGAAACCCTGTCTCTACTAAAAATACAAAAATTAGCTGGAGTTGGTGGCACGCACCTGTAATCCTAGCTACTTGGGAGGCTGAGGCGGGAGAATCGCTTGAACCTGGGAGACAGAGGTTGCAGTGAGCGAAGATCACACCATTGCACTCCAGCCTGGGAGACAGAGTGAAACGCTGGCTAAAAAAAAAAAAAACTGCACTTGGCTTAGGGAGGCAAGGAGCTGGGGAGACAGTGGTATCAGCAGCAGCCTGGGGAGCATTTGATGGCCCCCAGAGGTGTATGTGACCAGGCCCAGCTAGAGGAGGCAGCTTCAGGCTAGCACCCCAACAGGAAAGAACAGTCCTTAGGCCCGGTGGCTTCAGCAATTAAATCAGGGTTGCATCTCATCATGAGTGGATCCCACAGCCAGGCAGATTGATAGCTGTGATCGTCCTGACGTGTTATGTGTCCCTCTCTGGATGCAGGGGCCATAGTACTGACCTCACTGAAACATATGATCTGAGAAAGGGGGTGGTGTTTCCCCAAAGGAAAAGGGGAGGAGTGATACTGGGTGGCACAGAACGAGTAGCTGCCCACTGTCTCTCCTGGCTTTCCTGTTGCCCAGTGTTCTCCAGTCAACTACAGGTGCACATGGTACTACAGCTCTGCCCTGTGCTTGGGGACCACATGTACTCTGCCCGTGTGGGCACTGTCCTGGGCCAGCGATTTCTGCTGCCAGCTGAGAACAACAAGCCCCAAAGACAGGTACTCCAGCCCACCTGCCTGCTGCTTTCTGAGGGGTGGAGGGAGAGGTGAGCATGGGCAGCATCTCCAGACCTTATCTGTGCAGCTTGGGACTACTGGGAGGCAGCCCTTTTGGCTCCCAAGGCTGTATCCGTACCCACATCTTGGTGTGTGGCCTTGGGCAAGTAACACTCACTCTCTTGGGCTTCATTCTGTCCATGTGTTCAATAAGGGAGTTGATGTGGCTAATTTCTAAAGCCCTCTTAAGTCTGCCATTCTTTGAGTCTGGTACAAAGGGTCAAAGGCATGCGTGTATTAGGACACCAGATGCCTCTACCTGCTCTAACACACTAAGCCCAGACTACCAGAGTCTTCACACAAGAACTGTGCCCTCATGTTAAGGTCAAATAATGGGAGTGGGCTCTGCTTCAAGCACTAAGTACTCAGGGACCCAGGCTGTTGATACCCAGCCAGATGAGGGGAGACAGTGTAGGTTCAAGTGGATAAGGTTTTTCTGGGCCAGGTGTGGAAGTGGCATACATACTGCCACCCACATTCACTCAGCTAGAGCTCACTCACGTCTCACCAAGCTGTGAGAGGGCTGGGAAATGGAGTTGAGGTGTGTGCCTAGGAGGAAACTGATTGGGTGACCCCCTAGCCAGTCTCTGCTGCAGTGTGAGTGCCTGTGTGAATGTGCACATCTGTGTGCAAAGAGGAAATGATTAACAGTTGCAGAACAGTGGGGAATGGAGGAAGCGCCCGCCTTACTCCCATTTCCCTTAGAGCTGGGTACTCAGCTGCTTGGAAAATGTGGGGCTGAACACAACGTACCTCTCCCGCTCCAGGTCCTGGATGAAGCCCTCCTCAGACGCCTCCACCTGACCCCCTCCCAGGCTGCCCAGCTGCCCTTGCACCTCCACCTACATCGGCTCCTTCTCCCAGGCACCAGGGCCAGGGACACCCCTGTTGAGCTCCTGGCACCACTGCCCCCTTATTTCTCCAGGACCCTACAGTGCCTGGGGCTCCGCTTACAATAGTCCTCCCTCTGTTCCTGACCCCCTCACACACACTGGAAAGTGAGGGTGGGGGCTCTGCAGTCAGACAAACCTAAGATCACATCCTGGACAGGCCACTTGCTTGCTGTGTGGCATTGGGCAAGTAACTTTACCTCTCTGGACTTGTGATAATAAAAGTTCCTACCTCATGTTATGGTTTTGAGGATTTGCTAAGAAAGTAAATGTTTATTACGGATCTTGCTTACTGCTGAGTTGTGCCTGTAATCCCAGCACTTTGGGAGGCCAAGGTGGGCGGATCACGAGGACAGGAATTCGAGACTAGCCTGGCCAACATGGTGAAACCCCGTCTCTACAAAAAGTACAAAAATTAGTTGGGTGTGGTGGTACGCGCCTGTAGTTCCAGCTACTCAGGAGGCTGAGGCAGTGAACCTGGGAGGTGGAGGTTGCAGTGAGCCAAGATCACACCCACTGCCTAGGCAACCGAGCAAGACTCCGTCTCAAAAAAAAAAAAAAATTTGTAGAGATGGTGGCTGGGCTCAGTGGCTCATACCTGTAATCCCAGCACTTTGGGAGGCTGAGGTGGGTGGATCACTTGAGCCCAGGATTTCAAGACCAGCCTGGGCAACATGGCAAAACCCTGTCTCTACAAAATATGCAAAAAAAAATTAGCCAGGTGTGGTGGCATGTGCCTGTAGTCCCAGCTACTTGGGAGGCTGAGGTGGGAGGATGATCTGAGCTCAGGAAGCAGATATTGTAGTGAGCCGAGATCTTGCCACTGCACTCCAGCCTGGGTGAGAGTGAAACCTTGTCTCAAAAAAAAAAAAAAAAAACAATTGAGATGGGGTCTTGCTATGTTGACTAGGCTGGTCTCCTGGCCTCAAGCAATCCACCTGTTTTGGCACCCACCCCCCGCCAATGTGCTGGGATTACAGGCATGAGCCACTGCACCCAGCCTTCTTACTCTATTATATTTTTTAAAGCAGGGTCTCAGTATGTTGCCCAGGCAGGCTACCCTCCAACTCCTGGCCTCAAGCAACCCTCCCGCTTCAGCCTCCTTATCTTTTTTTTGAGACAGAGTCTCACTCTGTTTCCCAGGCTGGAGTGCAGTGGTGTGAGCTCTACTCACTGCAACCTCTGCCTCCTAGGTTCAAGCGATTCTCCTGCTGGGATTACAGGCACGTGCCGCCACACCTGGCTAATGTTTTTGTTGTTGTTTTGTTTTTGAATCTCTGTTTTTAAAGCAGGGTCTCAGTATGTTGCCCAAGCAGGCTACCCTCCAACTCCTGGACTCAAGCAACCCTCCTGCCTCAGCCTTATCTTTCCTTTTTTTTTTTTTTTTTGAGACAGAGTCTCAGTCTGTCGCCCAGGCTGGAGTGAAGTGGCGCGATCTCAGCTCACTGCAACCCCACCTCTGGAGTTCAAGCAATTCTCCTGCCTCAGCCTCCCGAGTAGCTGGGATTACAGGCACATGTCACCATGCCCGGCTAATTTTTGTATTTTTAGTAGAGACGGGGTTTCGCCATGTTGGCCAGGCTGGTCTCGAACTCCTGACCTTAGGTGATTCACCTACTTCAGCCTTCCCAAAATTCTAGGATTACAGGAGTGAGCCACCGGCCCTTAATCCTTTCTTATGAAGACACTTGCCATTGAATGTAAGCACCACACTGGTCATTGGGATTATCTCATTTAAGATCTTAAATTTATTTACATCTGCAAAGACCTTTTTTTTTTTTTTTGATTTAGGGTTTCACTCTGTCTCCCAGGCTCAGAGCGCAGTGGCGTGATCACAGCTCACCACAGTTTTGATCTTCCCAGGCTCAGGTAATCCTCCCACCTAGGCCTCCCGAGTAGCTAGGACTACAGGTGTGTGCCACCACACCCAGCTAATTTTCTGTAGAAACGGTTTCACCATGTTGCCCAGACTGGTCTTGAACTTGCGGGCTCAAGCGATCTCCTGCCTTGGCCTCTCAAAGTGCTGGGATAACAGGTGTGAGCCACCATACCCAGCTACAAAGACTCTTTTCCCACATAAGGTCACATTCACAGGGTCCAAGTAGACATCTCTTTTCAGGGGACCACAGTTCAACCCACTACAACTAAGCAGTGCCACACTTTTCTTCAGGTGGGTGTGGCTTATTGGATGTTTCATTTTTAGGTGACCTTGGCCCCTTGCTGAAGAAGGGATAGACCCATGCCCTCTGCAGAAGGGCTGAGGTTTAGGCAAGGCCAATTCCTTCCCCTGTCTCATGGCATTAACGTTCCTATGCCCGGTAGGTGTCATTCTGCTAGCTTGGCTTGTTCTCTGGGGTTGGGGGGCTCCCAGTGCTCGGCAGTTCTGGCAATATGTCCCTGCGTCGACTCACTGCCACGTGATCTTGGGTAAGCCATGCCTCCTCTTTCAGACTCAGTTTCTTCATCTGTAAAGTGAAGGCTCACGCTCCCCACCCCTGGATCGGAGATGCTGGGGGAGTCCCTAAATAGGAAGCCCCATGTCTGTCCTTAGGTGGGAATTCTGGGCCTCGCTGCACGGAGGAGCTGCTGATGGCCTCAGGCTCTTGCTGTGGACCCTGGGGTACACGGCCTCGCCCCATCCACTCTTGACCCTCCAACAGCAATGGAGTCAAGCCCCAAATACTTCACTTGTTTCTTTTTATTTGGTGTTGGATCCAGGACAAGGGCAGTGGGGAATCGAAGCAGGGGCTTCCCTAGCTTCATATCCCCCAGGCCCCTGCGCCTCTGGAATGTACCAACAAGGGGCAGGGGTTTCAGGGGGCTCAGCCTCTTCATGGGGCAGGCCTCAGCCCTGGGTTTGTCACAGTCTGGCCTTGAATTTGCCTTTGGCCTTGACCTTCCGACAGGTGCTAGGAATTGTTCCGACTTCAAAGGGCAGAGGCAACAAGGCACTTCCAGCTGGGGGCCTCGGAGGCACAGGAGAGCAGGAGCCTCGGTGTGAAAGGAGGGGAGAAGAGGGAGATGATCAGAAGTCTGTGGAGGAAGGGGCTTCTGAGGGAGACCAGCTCTTCCCTTGGGGTGCCAGCCAGCCTGGGAGCTGCCCTCTGCCTGTGCCCTCCAGCCCTGACCCCGTGCTCAGCACTGTCCACTGGGTGTGAGTCACAGGTCGAGGCCCACCTTTCTTGGCTTCAGGATGCTGGGTGCCACCTTGAAATCAAGGTTCGGTGGGAGGGAAATGAAGACCTTAGCCGTGGGTAGAGTCCTCAAGGCCTTGCCTGTGGTCGACAGGGCCTTAGTGCCCACCAGCTTGCTGTGCTGTCGTCTGAGGACCTGGCCCTGGTGTCGGAGTACATGGGGAGAAGGCAGCTGGGCCTTGGTGTGGAGGCTGGGGAAGTGGTGACGGGCTGTGGGAGCAAGAGAAGCTGTGAGGCCCTGGGGTGGGGCCCAAGGTGGCCTAGCTGCCCTAACAGGTACGTGTGGAGGATGGGGGGATATGGAGGGAATGGGGTGAAGGCCGACGGAGCCCTCCCGGTTCCTCCTCCAGAGGCAGTGAGAAGAAAACAGGGTAGAGTCCAACAGACCTGGGTCTGCATCCCAGCTGTGCCCCTTCTGAGCTGTGCAACCTTGGGCAACTTCCTTAAACTTCCTGATACCTCGGCTGGAAAATGGGGATAATAGCACCTACCTTGCTAGGTTGGTGTAAACACTAAAGGAGCTGGGCAGGTAGCGGTATGGGGCAAACTGTTAAGTGCTGGACATGTGTTAGTTCTTTCCCCGAGAGGTGACTGCTTGAAGGCAAAGGCAGAATACTGCAGTGGGAAAAGCGTGGGCGCTGGAGAGAGCAACCTGGGCTTAAGTCCTGGCATCTTTGAAATCAGGTCATCTTTGAAATAAGTCACTCTGTGAGGCAGAGTGACTACTTTGGAGGAGACAATACTCATTTGGCTGGGTTTTTTTTTTTTTTTTTTTTTTGAGACAGAGTTTTGCTCTTGTTGCCCAGGCTGGAGTGCAATGGTGCAATCTCGGCTCACTGCAACCTCCGCTTCCTGGGTTCAAGCGATTCTCGTGCCTCAGTCTCCCAAGTAGCTGGGATTATAGGCACCTGCCCCTACACTCGGCTAATTTTTGTATTTTTTAGTACAGATGGGGTTTCACCATGTTGGCCAGGCTGGTCTCGAACTCCTGACCTCAAGTGATCTGCCCGCCTCGGCCTCCCAAAGTGCTTTTTTTGTGTCTTTGTTTTTAAGACAGCATCTCGCTCTGTCTCCCAGGCTGGAGTGCAGAGGTGCGATCATAACTCACTGCAGCCTTAACCTCCCGGGCTCAAGCGATCCTCATTAGCCTCGCGAGTAGCCTGGACCACAGGCTCACACCACCGTGCCCAGCTAATTTGGCTGTGTATTTTTAAACAATACTTTGTGAGTAGTGGCTTTTACTTGCTACTGGTGGCTCTTTGGTGGGGTGGCTGATCCAGGTGGTTGGGAGGGGCCTGGAGAGCAGGAATAAATCGCCTTGGAACACTCGGGTGTTTTGGGGGAATGGTCTTACCCAGGGCCCGGGGGTTCTTCGGACTCAGTGGCAATCTGTTCAAGTGGTGGGGTTGCCTGTCCCCACTAGAAAAGGTCATGGTGAAAATGCAGCCCATCCTGGTGCTGGGGGCATCCCACTCCCAGAGATTGGGGCAGACCAGGGCTGTGGCCCTTTTCGCCTTGCCTTTCTTCCCCTTTCCGGGGGCTGAAGTGGTGGCAGTGGAGACTGGCTTCTCACTGTGCCCCAGGCTCCTGGCCCCAGTGCCTTTCCTAGAAGCTGACCTGTGGGTAGGGGTCCCCGAGTCCTTGCCTTCCCCAGAGCCTCGCTGGGTCAGCAGAGGGACTGCTGGGCGGACCCCCATCCGCCGATGACACATCGCCATGGGCTTCTTGATGGTGAAGCCCTCTACCAGGAGCCGGATGCCCACATATTGAGGCACCTCCACAGCAGGCTGTGGGCAAGAAGAGGAGACAAGGCCCACTCAGTCAGTGGTACTGGAATCCTTGGCCCAGCGGGACCCAGAGTAGAGATGGGTGGAATTACTTTCTGAGGCACCTGGTCAAAGAGGCGTTTCTGAGCTGAGAAATGGAAAGCCCACCTCTGAGTCAGTACCTAGAGTCACAGAGCTCCAGGAATTGCTAGCCCAGAGGAAGGGGGAATCCTAGCCATGTCCCACCAGCACCCCTCAGCCACATTTCCCTCCTAAGCTGCCCCCAGCCCCTGCTGGAATGCGTGTGGCTCCACTGCACAGGCCACTGCTGGTGGACAGCTTCCTGAGCTGAGCCAATCAGATTCTCTGCACAGAGAATTTGAGTTACGCCACCCAGACAAGTAAGAGGTTTGGAGCCTGCCTAGAGCCTCGTGTGAATCCAGGTTATGGGGTAGCAGAAACTAAGAACCTTAAAGAAGACAGTCTGTGGAGAGAATGAAGTAACGAATATGCAGAGGAAGGCAGAGAGAAGGGTCCAGGAGAGGGACTCCCTTACAACTCTCAGTTCCTATCAGGCCAAGCTGTATGTCCTGCCCTCAGCTGGGCTCCAGGAGAGCTCCCTGTGCCTTGCTAGCAACCTGGAGCCAGTTGGAGGTATCTTCTGTGCCACTGAAGGATCCTGATCAGAATCTATCTAAACATCAGAATTACTTGGAGCTTGTTAAAAATACAGCTATTGGCCGGGCATGGTGGTCACACCTGTAATCCCAGAGCTTTGGGAGGCTAAGGTTGGCAGATCACTTGAGGTCAAGAGTTCGAGATCAGCCTGGCCAACATAACCAAACCCTGTCTCTACTAAAAATACAAAAAAATTAGCAGGTCATGGTGGCAGGCACCTGTAATCCCAGCTACTCGGGAGGTCGAGGCAGGAGAATTGCTTGAACCCAGGAGACAGAAGTTGCAGTGAGCCGAGATCGCACCATTGTACTCCAGCCTGGGTGAAAAGAGCGAAACTCCGTCTCAAAAAAAAAAAAAAAAAAAAAATGCAGCTATTGCCGGGCGCGGTGGCTCTCTGGGAGGCCAAGACAGGCGGATCAGCTGAGGTCAGGAATTGGAGACCAGCCTGGCCAACATGGCGAAACCCCATCTCTACTAAAAACACAAAAATTAGCCGGCCATGGTGGGCGCCTGTAATCCCAGCTACTCGGGATCTGAGGAGAATCACTTGAATCCGGGAGGCGGAGGTTGCAGTGAGCCGAGCTAGCACCACTGCACTCCAGCCTGGGTGGCAGAGTGAGACTCTGTCTAAAAAAAAAAAAAAAAAAAAATCAAATAAAAATGTAGCTATCAGCACTCCCAAGTAGCCCCAGATGATGAGGGAAAGTTCATCTTTACAGAAGAATCTCAGCTAATAAATGCAGAAGGAACAACAGAATTAGACATTTGCCATTTTGCAACTCTAATAAAATAGGCAATAATCAAAACTGGTATCAAAACAATTAGATGAAAGGATGACAGGAAAATGTGTAATCTGGACAGAGCCAACACAGCACCTTACAGAAAAATTAATTGCAAAGGGGAGATGTAGCTTATAATGGAGAGAATCTGGTAGCCACCACTGTAACCCACAGTCAAACTCAGCAGCACTAACTGTGAGACACTCTCACAGGATGTGCCTTGTGATGCCACATGAGGTACGCGGCATCACCTCTGAAGTGCTCTTGGGAAAAATGTTTAACCTCATCAAACTATTTGACCTAACTTCTAGTTCCTGAGACAATCAGCTAACAGAAGACCAAGGTAAATCACACCATAAGGAAACAATCAGATAAATCCAGAATGTGGGACAGTTCTACAAAACAACCCGCCTGGCCCCTCAAAAGATCAAAACTATGGGGTCAAAAGGCACTGGGGCTGGCCTAGATGAAAAGAGACAAAAAAAAACAGTGCAAGGTATAAGCCTTTACTATGTGCTGGCCTAAAAACAAAAACAAGAACAAATCAGCAATAAAAGACATTTAGAGGGCTTGGCGCGGTGGCTCATGCCAGTAATCCTAGCATTTTGGGAGGCCGAGGCGGGCAAATCACGAGGTCAGGAGATCGAGACCATCCTGGCTAACATGGTGAAACCCCATCTCTACTAAAATACAAAAAATTAGCCGGGCATGGTGGCAGGCACCTGTAGTCCCAGCTACTCAGGGGGCGGAGGCAGGAAAAGCGCTTGAACCCGGGAGGCGCAGCTTGCAGTGAGCCGAGATGGTGCCACTGCACTCCAGCCTAGGCAACAGAGCAAGACCCCGTCTCAAAAAAAAAAGATATTTGGGGGGCATTTGAAAAATGCAGATATACATAGTCTCCTCCCCAAGCTAGACATTTTGGGTCAATCTCTGGGGGTGGAGCCTCCTCACATCCATACCTTTAGAAGCTTTCAGATGCTTCTGGCCTGGGCACTGGCATTGGGAGCACTGCACTACAATGGCACCTTTTCCCTCAGCTTGCTCATATTTTCCTGCCCATGTATTTCCCCGTTTACATTTTTTGAAACCAAAACGCCAATATATTAATTTAAGAAATGATCAATAACAACTGTAACAAAGGCGAGGTCACTTAGGTCATGTGATCAGTACGTTCTCTTCCTGTAACCAAACCTTGACAGAAACCGGAGGCTAATCAGAAGCCACTTAAACTGCCACAAGAAATTCTATCCAGAACTCAGAAAGCCTTGCAATCAATTTTCTGACTGATTTTTTAAAATGCTGTTCTATTTTACAAGTAGACTCCAATCTCTTTTTGGAGCAAGACGAGTGAAATAATTATAATACTACTAATAATAGTAGCTACCAGTAATTGCCTATTACTATACATTCAGGCACTTTACAGGTTATACATGATGAAACTCCTAACCTTATTAGGTAATAATAACATTAGCTAAAACTTAGTAGCATTTACTACGTGCCAGGCACTATTCTAAAGTACTTTACTGGCTGGGCACGGTGGCTTCTGCCTGTAATCCCAGCACTTTGGGAGGCCGAGGTGGGCGGATCACCTGAGGTCAGGAGCTCGAGACCAGCCTGGCCAACATGGCAAAACCCTGTATCTACTAAAAATACAAAAATTAGCCAGGCGTGGTGGTAGGCACCTGTAATCCCAACTACTTGGGAGGCTGAGGCAGGAGAATCGCTTGAACCCAGGAGGTAGAGGTTGCAGTGAGCCAAGATCATGCCACTGCACTCCAGCCTGGGCAACAGAGCGAGACTCTGTCTCAAAAATAAATAAATGAAGTACTTTACTTATCAACTCATTTAATTCTCACAACTCATAGTACCTAACTTTGTGAGTTAGGTACTATTTTTATTCTTACGGACAAGGAGACCTAGGGGTTAGGAACTTGTCCAAAGTCACATAGCTTGTTGTCACTGAACAGGAATTTGAACCCAAGGAGATTCCAGAATCTCTGCTCTTATGGCTATGCTATATGCCTCTCTAGAAATATTATCCTCATACATGAATTCATTTTATTCTCCCATTCCCATGAGAAAGATGGTAATAATATCCCCATTTCAAAGATCAGGAAACTGAGGCTCAAGGAAGTGAGGTCACCTTAGCAGGACCAGGACTTGAATCTGGGTCTTAAACTGGGTCTGACTGCAGAGTCCTATGCTCCACTGCAGGGCTGCCTGGAAGAGGGTGCAGACTCTCTGGGGTCCTGCCTGGGCCCAACCTCCTCACCTGCTTATAGATGAGCTCAAAGGCTCCTGTGTCACAGTTGCGGTCCAGCATCCGGTCAATGACCACGCGCAGGGTGTCAGCTTGCACGCCAGCACAGAGCCGGGCAGTGACTGCTGTGGAGGGTGCCATCGTGGGGCTGGCGTTGATCTCAATCAGCCAGGGCTGGAAGTCCTCCCCGAACACGAAGTCAGCGCCATAGAGCTCAAAGCTGGCCTTCCGACACTGCACGGTGTCCTGGGAGGTCTGAAGTGCGTGGATCACAGCATCCTTCATGCCAGGCACGATGATGGTGGACCAAGCATTTGGGGCACCCATCTCCTGCAGGTGGGCCTGGAACCTCTGGCTAGACCACATGTTGTCTGGCGGAAGCAGTGGATGCCGATGGCATGAGTTCTCCAGGTGCTTCTGGATGGAGTTGTTGCACAGGTGCACTGAGCTGGGGCAGAGAACAGAAAACTGAGGTCCAGGCCCTTGTGTCTCTCCCATCCAAACTCAGGGAGGACAGGCAAGTCCTGGAAGCAGCCCTGGGCCACCCTGCACTATTCAACTTGAGATGGGGCCCTACTGGGAAGGACAAAAAGGACAGAGGCCTGGGCCCCACCACATTCTTCTAGGGCCAGAACCACTCTTATCTCTCAGGGCTGCTCTGAGGGCGCTAGTTACGGGGGCCGCAGTAGTAAGTGCTTTGTGCATAGTCTCAGTTAACCATCCCAGTGTCTGGAAGATAAGAGGGTGGGTAAGGGTATGGCCCCGTCATCGCCAGGACGTGTTCAAGCGCCATCTCCACACTAGTTGTGAGACCTTAGGGAAGTCATCTAACCTGTGTGCTCTTCACATCTGCAAAATGGGGGTAGTAACAGTACCCACTTCACTGTTTTTTATATTTTTCTTCAGACCTGGTGAACAAGAAGTATGCACTGGGTTCTTATTAAGAATGAGATCATGTATACAAAGTGCTCAGCACTATCACATATGAAGCACTCAATAATTGATAGCTATGAATTTCATACTACTGCCTCCATTCTTCAGATGTGGAAACCAAGGCTTAAATAGGTTTTCACATGACCAGATTCAAACAACTTGGAAGCTGCAGAGACAGAATTGGAATTCAGGCTTTAACAAGGCTTTCTCTCACCCTAGAAGTTAACACGACATCTTAGTTTTCAAAACTCCTGACCTCCTTTCCCCTGCTCTACATTTGCTTCCCTTTTTCCCCCAACGACAAATATAATCTTTTTTTTTTTTTTTTTTTTTGAGACAGATCCTTGATCTGTCACCCAGGCTGGAGTGCAATGGCACGATCTCAGTTCACTGCAACCTCCACCTCCCAGGTTCAAGCAATTCTCCTGTCACGGCCTCCCGAGTAGCTGGGACTACTGGCGCCCGCCAACACGCCCGGCTAATTTTTATATTTTTAGTAGAGACGGGGTTTCGCTATATTGGTCAGGCTGGTCTCGAACTCCTGACCTCAGGTGATCCACCCACCTCGGCCTCCCAAAGTGCTTGGATTACAGGCATGAGCCACTGCGCCTGGCCCAAATAATCTTTTAACCTGTTAGATAATTTCACTTGTGTTCTTGCTTGCCTGTTTCTCCCTGCTAGAATGTAAGCCCTTGAGAGCTGGGATCTTGTTTTGTTCACTGCTATACCCCAAGTGCCCAGAACAGTGCATGGCACAAGGTACACACTCGGTCAAATCTGTTGGAGGGGCCAGGCATAGTGTAATCCCAGCACTTTGGGAAGCCAAGGTGGGATGATCGCTTGAGCCCAGGAGTTTGAGACCAACCTGGGCAACATAGTGAGACCCCATGTCTACATTAAAAAACTTAAAAATCAGCTGTGGTACATGCCTGTGGTCTCAGACACTTGGGAGGCTGAGGAGGAAGGATTGCTTGAGCACAGGAAGTCAAGGCTACAGTGAGCCGTGACCATGCCACTGCACTCCAGCCTAGGTAACAGAGTGAGACCGCCCCCTGTCTGTTAAAAAAAAATCTGTTGGATGCAAGGACAGCTGGCAGGATGAGGGCCTGCCTGCCTGCAGTCTGTGTGTGGAGCCTAGCGCTGCTGCGCGAGTCCCCTGCACTGTAATCGCCTGTTTGCTTGCCAGCTCCCCAACTAGGCAGGGAGCTCGTGGGAGGCGAGCAGAGGGGCTCACTTGTCCAGGTTCTTCAGGGAGAAGGGCTGCGTGGAAAAGCGGATATAGCTGTCGCGGTAGAACCACACGGTAAGTGGGTTCCAGTCAGTTACCAGGAACCACTGTCTGAGGTCAAACTTGGTGCCAAAGATGAGGAGGGGCCGCTCAATATACTTCTGCACCACCCACTTGCCGTCCTTCATCACCACGGGGTTGCCGTTCACCAGCTTCAGCATCTCCTCCAGGTGGTCCATGCACATGATGCCTACGGGGGAAGAGGGCAGTCAGGGATTGGAAGGTCAGGCGTGGGCCAGGAGAAGGGCCAGCTTGTCATGAGCTCTTGTCCCCTCGGAGCTGATAGGGCTGAGTGGGTAAGGCTGTCTCCCTCAATCAGAACCCAGTTCCCTTTGGGAAAGCCAGGAATTTGCTAAGGATTTTAAATTTTTCCTAATTAACCAGTTTTGTTTGATTAAACAGGAATACATACATGGATACAAATTTAAAGTGCTGGACTTTTTTTTTTTTTTTTTTTTTTTGAGACAGCCCTGTCACCTAGGCTGGAGTGCAGTGGCACGAGCTCAGCTCACTGCAACCTCCGCCTCCCGGGTTCAAGTGATTCTCCTGCCTCAGCCTCCCGAGTAGCTGGGATTATGGGTGCCTGCCACCACACGTGGCCAATTTTTGTATTTTTAGTAGAGACAGGGTTTCACCATGTTGGCCAGGCTGGTCTCCAACTCCTGACCTCAAGTGATCCACCCGCCTCGGCCTCCCAGACTGCTGGGATTACAAGCATGAGCCACTGTACCTGGCCAGTGTTGGGGGCTTTTTTAAAGTATGTGCACCTATTACGTTCCTACCAATAATAAATAGACTATAAAACAAAACAAAAATTAGGCAGTACGAAAGGGCATACAATAAAAAATGTATCTCCTTGTCTAGAGGCAGCCAACTGCTGCTTCCAGGACCTTATGGATATCCTTCTGGATCATGTGAAAGCCTACACGTGCCTCCGTTTCCCAGGATTGCATAAATTGAAGCACGTTGAGGATTTGGAATAGTGCTTTAGCTGCATGACTGCATTTAATCCTCACCTCACAGGAGGTATTATCATCCTCCTCATGTCACAGATGAGGGAACTGAGGTTCAGGGAGGCGCTAAAACCTGCTCAAGGTCACGAAGCACATTAGTAGCAGAGCTAGGACTCAAACCCAGGCAATTTGGCTTCAATAGACCTGCACTATTAACTTCCTTGGCCTCTACTGGTAGATGCAGGTGGTGAGGTGCCAGTGCAGGAAGCAGGAGCTGACCCCCACCTCGTCCGCGGGACTTGGCTCCTG
Source organism: Homo sapiens (assembly GCF_000001405.40). Lineage (NCBI taxonomy): Eukaryota > Metazoa > Chordata > Mammalia > Primates > Hominidae > Homo > Homo sapiens. The sequence continues at coordinate 9,825,924 of NC_000003.12, read as the reverse complement.
GCTTCACGATCCAGATGTTGCGATCCCCTTCCATGTCTATCTGGGGTACCACGGCCTGCAGCTGCTGCAGGATGTCCTCACAGCGCTGGACCTGAGTGTCGAGGTGCCTGAGTTCTGCCCCTTCGCTGTGGGGAAATGATAGAACTTGGGCAGGGCTGGACCTGGGACATGCAGGTGGAGAGGGCAGGGGGAGATATATTCCACCATCCCCCGCCGTCATCCAGGCAGCCTTGGTCACGCCCTCCCTGCAGATATCCATAGGTCCCTCCCAAGCCTCCGGCCCCACCTTCAAGCCACCCCGGAAATCCTAACCTGCCCAGACTACACAAATGGGAAAGGCTGATAAAATTCCATTAACTGCAAACCACCCCCTACTCCAACACTCCACCTGTGCCACCCCCTTCCTATTACATTAAAACTGTCTTTGACAGAATTTAATCATTCCAGTTCCTAATGATAAAGCACCACTATGTGCCAGGCATTGTGACAAGGGCTTTCCATATATTTTCACGAATGCCCTCAAGGCCCTGCCAGGGAAGTATTACTAGTACCCACCCCCTACCCCCCGACTTTTTTTTTTTTTTTTTGAGACAGGGTCTTGGTCTGTCACCCAGGCTGAAGTGCAGTGGTGAAATCACGGCTCAGTGCAGCCAGGAACTCCTAGGTCCAAGTTTCAGCCTCCCAAGTAGTTGGAATTACAGGCATACGCCACCACACCCAAGCTAATTTTTATTTTTTGCAGAGATGGGTCTTATTATGTTACCCAGGCTAGTCTTGAACTCCTGGCCTCAGGCCATCCTCCTGTTCAGCCTCCCAAAATGCTGGGATTGCAGGCATGAGCTACCACACCCAGCTCTGGTCCCATTTTAGAGAAATGTAAACTGGGCCAGGCACGGTGGCTCCTGCCTGTAATCCCAGCACTTTGGGAGGCGGAGGCAGGCGGATCACCTGAGGTCAGGAGTTCGAGAACAGCCTGGCCAACATGGCAAAACCTTGTTTCTACTAAAAATACAAAAATTAGCCAGGCATGGTGGCAGGTGCCTGTAATCCCAGCTACTTGGGAGACTGAGGCAGGACAATCACTTGAACCAGGGAGGCGGAGGTTGCAGTGAGCCGAGATCGTACCACTGCACTCCAGCCTGGGCGACAGAGCAAGATTCCGTCTCAAAAAAAAAAAAAAAAAAAAAGAAAAGAAAAGAAAAGAAAAAGTAAACTGGGACGGGCATAGTGGCTCACGCTTGTAATCCCAGCACTTTGGGAGGGCAAGGTGGGCGGATCACAAGGTTAAGAGATTGAGACCATCCTGGCCAATATGGTGAAACCCCATCTCTCCTAAAAATACAAAAATTAGCCGGGTGTGGTGGTGGGCACCTGTAATCCCAGCTACTCAGGAGGTTGAGGCAGGAGAATCACTTCAAGCCAGGAGGCGGAGGTTGTAGTGAGCCGAGATCGCGCCATTGCACTCCAGTGTGGGCAACGGAGCGAGGCTCCATCTCAAAAAACAAAAAGAGTAAACTGAAGCTTTGAGAGTTAAGGGACTTACCGAAGGCCATACACTGAAAGTTGAGTGGTTCAGCCAGGATTCAAACTCTGTCCTGTCTGATTCCTCCACCCACAGGTGCTTTTTGGGGTTCATTCCTGTCTTAATCTGTGCCTAATATTGGCTGAAACAATGTTAGCCTAATTCCTTTCAAGCACTTCTATATCACACCTCTTCTTGCTTGTTTTCTTCCCATCATCTACCCCCACCTAACACATGTGCTTATTTGGTTATTGTCTGAATCCCCTAACTACAATGTAAACTCCGTAAGAGCAGGAACATTTTCTGTAGTTGTTCTCTGCTATAATCCCCATCCCCAAGCACCACACCTGGCACTCAGCAGGTACTCCCTGGAAGTTTGCTCAATGAATGAACGGTTGGCTCAGCAAGTACTTTGGTAGGAGCTTGCCTCAGCAACTGGGCTGCACGGACAGGGTTTCATGGACAAAGAGGGACCCTGTTCTCTACAAGACAGAAAATGTCCTGAACTAAACCAAGTCACAAAATACCCCAGATGGCTGCCTCATCCAGACTCTCGCATTTCTTTCCTTCTGACTGAATAGGACGGGAGCCTCCTGTTCAGGGGAAGCTAACTCTGTGACATCTTAGCATCTTGAGTGTCTCCAGTCATGGAGAACTTTCTCTTTTTTAAGGAGGAGGCAGCAGCCACTGGGGCAGTGCCAGGAACAGGGACAGCCAGATGCAGGGGGCTAGGCAAGGTCTCCCAGGAGTACTCACACCTATGTCCTGACAAACTTTTCTGTGGTCCGTAGCATGAAGTATCTTTTCAGTAATCTGTGATGTGGCCCAGGAAAATATCACACAGGAGCGTAATTTGAAAAAGTATATTCGACATGACAATATGATTTTATAGTTAGCAAAAAGAAAAAAAAAACAGTATTTTAATGAAAAGTCAGCCTGATGAAAACCTGGCTGGCTTAGTTCTTAAAATCCAGGATTTAAAAAAAAAAAAAAAAAAAAACTGGCTGTTTGTTTTTTCTTTGAGACAGTCTCGCTCTGTTGCCCAGGCTGGAGTGCAGTGGCGCGATCTCGGCTCACTGCAAGCTCCGCCTTCTGGGTTCACGCCATTCTCCTGCCTCAGCCTCCCGAGTAGCTAGGACTACAGGCACCCACCACCACACCCAGCTAATTTTTTTGTATTTTTAGTAGAGATGGGGTTTCACCATGTTAGCCAGGATGGTCTCGATCTCCTGATCTCATGATCTGCCCGCCTTGGCCTCCCAAAGTGCTGGGATTACAGGCGTGAGCCACCGTGCCCGGCCCTGCTAATTTTTGTATTTTTAGAAGAGATGGGGTTTCACCATATTGGCCAGGCTGGTCTTGAACTCCTGACTTCATGATCCGCCAGCCTTGGCCTCCCAAAGTGCTGGGATTATAGGCATAAGCCACCGCCCCAAGTGGAATTGTTTTTTTTAAAAAGTTGAGAAGCATTAACACTAAATATTGAATGAATTAGGCCGAGTGCAGTGGCTCACTCTGTTAATCCCAGCACTTCGGGAGGCCAAGGCGGGCGGATTGTTTGAGCTCAGGAGTTCAAGACCAGCCTGGCCAACATGGTGAAACCACGTCTCTAAAAAATATATATATATATGTATATATTATGTATTATATATATTATAATATATATAATACATAATATATACATACAACGATATATGTATATCACACAAAAATTTGCCAGGCCTGGTGGCACACACTTGTAGTCCTAGCTACTCAGGAGGCTGAGGTGGGAAAATCACTTGAGCCTGGGAGGCAGAGGTTGCAGTGAGCCAAGACTGCGCCACTGCACTCCAGCTTGGGTAACAAAGTGAGACCCTGTCTCAAAAAAATAAAATAAAATATTGAGGGAATGAATGAATGCTGGTCATTTGTACTGAACCATTCAACACTGTGTATGTCTGTTATATGATGCAATGTTTTATGTAATCCCGACTTTAGAGAGGTTCTTATAGCCCTCCAGAACTTGCCCCCACACACCAGAAATAAAAAGGACTCATGGCCGGGCGCGGTGGCTCATGCCTGTAATCCCAGCACTTTGGGAGGCTGAGGAGGGCGGATCACGAGGTCAGGAGTTCGATACCAGTCTGGCCTGCATAGTGAAACCCCATCTCTACTAAAAATACACAAAAAATTAGCCGGGCGTGGTGGTGGGCGCCTGTAATCCCAGCTACTCGGGAGGCTGAGGCAGGAGAATCGCATGAACCCAGGAGGTGGAGGTTGCAGTGAGCCGAGATCACGTCACTGCACTCCAGCCTGGGCAACAGAACAAGATTCTGTCTCAAAAAAAAAAAAAAAAAAAAAGGGACTCGTGCTTCATGACTAATGTTCTAAGTCTTGAAAATTCTTTTTTTTTTTTTTTTTGAGACGGAGTCTCATTCTGTCACCCAGGCTGGAGTACAGTGGCGCGATCTCGGCTCACTGCAAGCTCCGACTCCCAGGTTCAAGCGATTCTCCTGTCTCAGCCTCCTGAGCAGCTGGGATTATAGGCGTGCGCCACCATGCCCAGCTAATTTTCATATTTTTAGTAGAGATGGGGTTTCGCCATATTGGCCAGGCTGGTCTTGAACTCCTGACCTCAAGTGATCTGCCCGCCTCAGCCTCCCAAAGTGCTGGGATTACAGGCGTGAGCCACCACGCTTGGCCACCTTGATAATTCTTAATTTAAAATGGGCAGCTTTACATTTTCCAGTAGCTAAAGAGAAAGTACCGGGCCACCTGAGTTATGTCCTGGCATTTAGAAAAGATGCAGTGAATTACGTGCTAATGATGTGGATCTGCTGCTCATGTCATTCATTAGTTCTTCGGTTTCCCCTACTGAGTAATTAAATCTATCCATTTCTTCCCATTACCACCACCCCAGCTGAGATTCCTAGCACTCCCACCTGGCTTCCTGCAGGTCTCAAACCTTGAGCTGTGTCCCAGTTGAGAACAGGGGCTACGCTTCATTTCAGAACCTGGCACAATGCTTGGCACATCGGAGTTGCTCAAGAAATGCTTACTGTGTGTTCTGCCTTCAGGGCTGTTCTCCCTCCAGTTGCTCCTGCATGCTTCTCCCGAATGGAATCTCCCTAAAGCAGCACCAGGCTCACCTTGATCCTCCCTTTCCCCACCTAAGAACCTTCTTCCAAAGTGTGTTCAGAAAACACTGCCCCTCAGGATGCTTGGTGGGAGGCAGGGCACTGGGCTCACTTAAGTACAGGATAAGCAGCGCACTCTCTCTATAGGCTTACACCACCCACAGGTTCTGAAGAGTACTGCCCCAGGGAAGCCTCTTTAACTGCTTAATCCAGTGTTTTCCAAATGTGATGGACCACAAAAGCCCTTTTTTCATAAAATCTATTTACTTCCTGTAGAATTAACATCCACACAACACACACTTTGGGTAATGTGCTGTCCATTTGGTGGCACAGTCCATGCTCTTAGTGACTATGCTATGCCAAGAACCAAGAAAAGTGGCCCAGACCCTATCACGGAGGCAGTGGGAGTCCTCGAGGGTTCCTGAGCAGAACAGCGGGGTAAACGAGCGGGAGGCTTGGGGAAGGGGTAGGGGCTGCACGAGACAGAAAGGGTCTATCCCTAAGCACCTGCCCACAGCCCAAAGTCCCAGCTGCAGGGGACTCACTGGACCACTTGGTAGTAGCGCTGGAGGAAGAGGGACCAGCCCTCGGGGGTGAGGTACAGCGGGGCCTCCAGGTCCTTGTCGATGTCCATGTGGGCCAAGTTGCTAAGGTACTCCTCGCACGCACACAGAGCTTCATCCACAAACTCTGGGGACACCAACACTGGGTTTTTCTCCTGTTTCTTGGGCTGCTTGTCTCCTGCACATAGGGAGGGGCCTGTCACGATCCCATATCAAGGCAGGTAACCTGACGCATGCCACAGCCCCCATTGTCCTAAGGCCTGTCACTTACCTGAGGCCCAGCACGAACCTAGATAGATCCCCTACTGCCCTGGGATGTGTCACTTAGCTGAGGCTTTGCTCTAAATTCACTGCAACTCTAGCACTTGCCCTTGGCTCCCACTGTCCCAGGACCTGTCACTCGAGGCTCTGCCCTAAATGTCCCCAAGGCCTCTGACAGCACCTATAGCCTCTCTGCCCCTGGGACCTCTAACACACCTGAGGCTCTGCCTAAAATGCACCTGGGAGTCTTGGCCTATGTGAACCCAGTTATACATGAACGCCCCTCCCCCAAGTCTGACACAGCTTCTTAAGTCCACACACCAGAAATCCAGACCCACTCCCAGAATCCTGATACAGAGCTACAACCCTTAGCCCACAGAAACACTAACTTCTGTGTGCACTGTTACTGCACAAGGCCCTGACACACCTGAAAGTGATTACAGAAACTGACCCTTCAGAAGACCCCGTGCACATCTACAGACCTGACTCACCCCTGAACATCGCAGTGCTCTGAAGATTCTGATATACAACTGAGGCCCTCAAACCCCTGCAGCCTGACCTATACCATAAAAGCTTAAGCATGGGGTCTCTGGCCACACCCGAGGCCCTTGTGCCCCTTATCCTGGCACACAACCAAGCCTTCCTTGTGCATGACACACACAAGAGACAGCAATGGGGGAGTCTCTCTGGAAGAGGCAGGGATTTTCCTCCTTCCTGGAGAGCTGCCTCTGCTTCCCTGAATCCCTCGCTGATGGGTCCCTGGATTACAGGACTAGGAGCCTGGAGACACGAGCTAAATCCAGAAGGGAAAGGGCAGGCAGTGGTTGGGTTGGCATGCATGATAGTGAGGGTTCCTCTGTGTCCCCTCCACTCCAAGCTGTTCCTTATGTTCAGGCCTAAGCTGTTCTCAGGCCATGTGTAAAGCCCAGTTTCACTGCTTCCTCCTCCTCAGAGACCTGAACTCCTCACAGGCAGGGACGGACCATGTCTTCTTAGTCTGCCCTCTCCAGGGTGCTCGGCTACATGCCAGGCCCATGGGAGGGCTGAATGAGGAGTGGATCAACTAACAAACGGATGGGAAGACAAGTGTCTAAGTACCTGGGACAGAAGAATGGATGAGTGGATGGCCTGAAGAACAGATAGGTAGTAGATGGGAGAATGGAATAGCAGGTAGATAGATGGGTAGGTGGATCTGTGGAAGGATAGGTAGGCAGGGAGTGGATAGATGGATGGGGAGTATGGAGCTGACATCAGGTAGATGAATGACGAGATTAACAATGGGTGACAGGTGGGAGGATGGAAGGATGAGTGGAAGGGTGGGTGGGTGAATCGGTAGATCAGAGAGTGGGTGAATACGTGGGTGGATGAGTGGATGGATGGCTGGTGGATGGATGGATAGATGGGTAGATGTGAATCATACACAGATGTGTGGATGAACCAGTAGGTGCGTGGATGAATAGATAGGTAGAAGGGCAGATAGGTGGAAGGGCGGATGGGTGGAGGATAAATGGGTGGGAGAGTGGAGGTAACCACAGTACTTACCTGAGGCCTCTTCCTCTACTGCCTGAATAGGGTATGACTTCCACTCAGACTTCACCACCAGCTTGAGAACGTTGCGGGCAGCAGTCAGCCAGAAGTCCTCTGCTCCCAGGCCAGGGGATACCCTGCTCAGCCCCTAGGCTTGAGGCCTGTTCTGGTTCCAGAACCTGATCATGACTTGCCCCATTTTGGATCCAGAACCTGACTCTACCTTTTCTGACTCTAGAGCCTGAGTTTAGAACTTGCTCCTGTTTCAGGCTGGTCACGGTGGCTGACGCCTGTAATCCCAGCACTTTGGGAGGCTGAGGTGGATGGATCATGAGGTCAGGAGATCGAGACCATCCTGGCTAACACAGTGAAACCCCGTCTCTACTAAAAATACAAAAAATTAGCCAGGCGTGATGGCGGGCGCCTGTAGTCCCAGCTACTCGGGAGGCTGAGGCAGGAGAATGGCGGGAACCTGGGAGGCGGAGCTTGCAGTGAGCCAAGATCGCGCCACTGCACCCCAGCCTGGGTGACAGAGCGAGACTCCGTCTCAAAAAAAAAAAAGAACTTGCTCCTGTTTCAGTTGTGTAACCAGACCCCAAATCTGACCTGACTTGGATCATATTCTGCCTTCAGAATCTGGCTTGGACCCATTGTCTGATTTGTTTCTTCTGTTCATCACCTACTTTTGATACTTATTCTGTCCTGAGAACCAGACTGTGTCCTAGTTCAGATTCTGAATGTAATTTAAATCTAGCATAGAATCTGGATCCAAATTCTAACCTGAATTTAGAACATATTGTGGAATCGGAACCTAGTCTGCCTTAGAAATCCAAAGCCTGCAGCCTTTTTTGGAACCCAATTCAACAAATGGAACTTGATATAAGCCTGGAATCTGTTCTGGATTCCAAACTCAAGGGACTGACCAACTTTTAGAACCTGCTCTAGAATATAAGCCAAGCTACCCAAGCTTTTCTGGAGGTCAGAGTTGACCAAGCTAAGAGGCTTATTAAGGGAGGGCACATTAGGGAAGGATAAGGATTGAGGGTGGAAAGGGAAATCTGCTGGGGCAGGCAGATGAGGGCATGAAGAGAGGCCTGTTTCTCTCCAATATGAGCCAGAGCTTCAGCCCTGCTCTGTCAGCCTGAGGTTCAGGCATAGGGCTGGGGGTCTCCTTACCTATGAAGGCTTTTTTGTCATCCTCAGCCCCCAGGCAGTAGCAGCGTGGGAAGAAGGAGTTGGCATCAACCTCATCAAACCACGGCAAATTCCGGAGATTGAGACATAGACCCACCTACGGAGTTAGCCACTGAGAGGGCAGGGCAGGACTGCCCACACTCACCACACACCCAGACAGTTCAGAAAGACTCTGACTGGATCTGCGCTCAGAGCCTTGGCCCCGCTTGCAAGGTCTGAGTTGCTCACATCTATCACCATATATTTGCCTGGGAGGTGTCCTTTGCCAAGAATGCCTGATGTCCCTCCTGTCCCCCCTTTCACATTCTTTTTTTTTTTGAGATGGAGTCTCACTCTGTCACCCAGGCTGGAGTGCAGTGGCGCGATCTCGGCTCACTGTAAGCTCTGCCTCCCGGGTTCACACCATTCTCCTGCCTCGGCCTCCAGAGTAGCTGGGACTACAGGCGCCCGACACCACATCCAGCTAATTTGTTGTATTTTTAATAGAGACGGCATTTCACCGTGTTAGCCAGGATGGTCTCGATCTCCTGACCTGGTGATCTGCCTGCCTCGGCCTCCCAAAGTGCTGGGATTACAGGCGTGAGCCACTGTGCCCGGCCCACCCTTTCTCATTCTTAAAGAGCTGCCAAGGCCGAGCGCGGTGGCTCACACCTATAATCCCAGCACTCTGGGAGGCTGAAGTGGGAGGACTGCTTGAGGCCAGAGGCCAGGAGTTCAAGACCAGCCTAGGCAGCATAGCAAGACCTCATCTCTTAAAAATAAAAAAAGAGCTGCTTCCTCTAGAATCCTTCCTAACCCACACCAATAATATAATGGCAGGTCATTATTATAAAGCCCTTCATCCTTGCCACAACCCCAGAAGATGGGCCTTACTGGTATTCTCATTGAAAGATGAGGAAATTGAGGCTCAGAGAGGTGAAGTCACTTGCTAAGAACACCAGGTAAGGCTGCGCATGATGGCTCGTGCCCGAAATCCCAGCACTTTGGGAAGCTGAAGCAGGTGGATCACCTGAGGTCACCAACATGGTGAAACCCCATCTCTACTAAAAAATACAAAAATCAGCCAGGTGTGGTGACACGCACCTGTAGTCCCAGCTACTCAGGAGGCTGAGGCAGGAGAATTGCTTGAACTGGGAGGCAGAGGTTGCAGTGGGCTGAGATTGCACCACTGCACTCCAGCCTGGGAGACAGAGCAAGACTCTGTCTCAAAAAAAAAAAGAAACCCAGGTAAGACAGAATGGGTCCATTAGCCAGATATCTTCTGCTTAGGAGGTAAGAGTCCGTTTGCTCACTATCATTGGATTTGGTGATTGTTCTACCTCCAGACCCATTTTAGACATCATATCTACAAATGCCGGATACGGTGCAGGGGCTGGATTTGAACTTGCCAGATACTGGTCAGACTCCAAATTTTCTGAATTGTATACTTCCCCTTGTCCTGAGAACTTCCTCTTACTAACAAGGTGAGCAGGGAGGAGAGCTGCCAGCCCAAGGGCAGGGGGTCGGAAGCTGCCCTGCCTGCTCCTCTAGGGAGCCCACCTTTGTGGTAAAGGAGCCAGCCCGGGCGTAGTGGTTTATCATCTGATCCTTGGAGAGGAAGCGACAGTCGAGCACATCCCGCCGAGTGGTCCAGATGAAGTAGGGGATCTCATTCTGGACCATGCGGGACTGGGGAGACAGGAGGAGACAGAAACACAGAGGCCAGTGTGGGTAGCAGGGCCTAAGGCAGCCTCTCCCTGCCCTGCTGAGCAGGGTGGGTGAACAGGAAGGAGAGGATGCTTCCAAGGTGGCCTCTAGCCCACACATCATCTTTGTGTAAGTCAAGAAGATTTCTCTTCCTCCAGGGCACAGGTGGGCAGAGAGCAAGCCAGCCTTTCAGCCTCCTTTTGGCCTTAGGGAGGCCAAAGACTCTCTTCTGCCTCCCTTTGTCACTGCTTAAGGTGTCCTATGAGGCTTGTCAGCCCCCAGGCGGTGGCAGCGTGAGAAGGAGTTGGCATTAGCCTCATCAAACCATGGCAAATTCCAAAGACTGAGACATAGACCCACCTATGGAGATAGCTGCTGAGGGGGCAGGGCCCCTAAGGGTGTCCCCAAGGAGTGACAAAGCTGCACAACTGAATGTCACACTTTGTTCTGGCCCATGGTCATCAGTGACTTGCCCAGGGGCAGGACAGTGACTCCAAGCTGATGGGCACACAGCCTGTGACACAGGCTCTCTCATGGACCCCACCTCTCTCCCTCCTTCCTACAACTCTGGGAGGTGGGGTAATTATTAATAACCAGCGTCAGCCCATGCTGGGCCCTGCTCTAAGCACTTTCCACGTCAATTCATTCACCATAATTCTATGTGGTAGGGGCTAAGGTTATCTCTGTTTTACAGATGAGGAAACTGAGGCACAGGAAGGCAAGTGACTTGCCCAAGGGCTCATGAGATTGACCCATATGAAGCTGCCAATATTCAGCCATTCCTGACATACAGAAATGGCTTTTTTTTTTTTTTGAGATGGAGTCTGACTCTTGTCGCCCAGGCTGGAGTGCAGTGGCGTGATCTTGGCTCACTGCAAGCTCCGTCTCCTGGGTTCAAGTTGATTCTTCTGCCTCAGCCTCCCTAGTAGCTGGGATTACAGGTGTGCGCCACCAGGCCCAGCTAATTTTTTTGTATTTTTAGTAGAGGCGGGGTTTCACCATGTTCCCCAGGCTGGTCTCGAACTCCTGACCTCAAATAATCCACCCGCCTTGGCCTCCCAAAGTGCTGCGATTACAGGCATGACCCACCATGCCCGGCCAGAAATGGCAATTTTATATATTTGAACTCAGTAAGTGGCACTACCAAGATGGAAACCCAAGGGCCCTCACCTCAACGTGCATGTCCTCCACATCATCACACCGACTCTTTCAACCTTTTTTCTTTATTTTCAGATGGAGTTATCGCTTGTTCTGTCACCCAGGCTGAAGTGCAGTGGCGCAATTTCAGCTCACTACAACCTCCACCTCCCACGTTCAAGCAATTCTCACACCTCAGCCTCCCGAGTAGCTGGGATTACAGGCGCCCGCCACCATGCCTGGCTAATTTTTGTATTTTTATTTTATTTTTGAGACAGAGTCTCACTCTGTCGCCCAGGCTGGAGTGCAGTGGCGCGATCTCAGCTCACTGCAACCTTTGCTACCCAGATTCAAGCAATTCTCCTGCCTCAGCCTCCCAAGTAGCTGTGATTACAGGCATACACCACTACACCCAGCTAATTTTTCTATTTTTTTAGTAGAGACAGGGTTTCACCATGTTGGCCCGGTTGGTCTTGAACTCCTGACCTCAGGTGATCCATCAGCCTCGGCCTCCCAAAGTGCTGGGATTACAGGTGTGAGCCACTGCTCCTGGCCTTTATTTTATTTTATTTATTTATTTTTTCAGACGGAGTCTCGCTCTGTCACCCAGGCTGGGGTGCAGTGGCGTGATCTCAGTTCACTGCAACTTCCACCTCCTGGGTTCAAGTGATTCTCCTGCCTCAGCTTCCCGAGTAGCTGGGATTACAGGCGCCTGCCACCACAGTCAGCTACTTTTTGTTGTTGTTGTTATTTGTTTGTTTTTTTATTTGTTTGTTTTTTTAGTAGAGATGGGTTTTCACCACGTTGGCCAGGCTGGTCTCGAACTCCTGACCTCAAGGAATCTGCCCGCCTCGGCCTCCCAAAAAGTGCTGGGATTACAGGTATAAGCCACCCCGCTCCGTCTCTTCCAGAGCTTTTTAAGACCTTCCTTCCTGCCTTCACTTACCAAGGGCAGCGGGGAAGGGGAACTATGGGGTTTTTATTTGAAGGGGGAGTTACCATGCATGGCGGCTGTGCTGGCATCTGGTATGACCTAGCAGAGCTCTGAATCCCAGGCCAGATGGGACACAGCCCTGCTGTGTCCCTCCCCACTCTGTGGGCCTATCTAGCCTTTATTCACTTATTTCTTTTTTAGAGATAGAGTCTTGCTTTGCTGCCCAGGTTGGAGTGCAATGGTGCGATCATAGCTCACTGCAGCCTGTAATTCCCAGGTTCAAGTGATCCTCCCACCTTAGCCTCCCGAGTAGCTGGGACTACAGGTACATGCCACCACACCCGGATAATGTTTTTCTACCTTTTTTTGTAGAGACTGAGTCTTACTATGTTGCCCAGGCTGGTCTTGAACTCCTAGCCTCAAGTTATCCTCCCACCTTGGCCTCCTGAGTAGCTGGGACCACAGGCATGAGCCACCATGTCCAGCTCTATCCAGCCTTTAAAGAAGCAGTTTTTACTACAGATAGGGAAACTGTGGCCCAGAGAAAGAAAGGACTTGTCTGAGGTCACCCAGCTGGACACCAATGCCCTCCCTCTAAGCAGGCAGTCCCTGTATCATCTTGGCCCCCAGGGCCCTCACCATCAGAGCATGTGTTCCATCTAGGTCATCAAATTTCAGTAAATCATCGAAGTCGAACAGCTGTGATGGCTGGAACTCCTCGTCCTCATCTTCATCCTCTGTGGATGCAGAGCCCAGAGCTGATGAGTTTCCTCTCCCTGACCCATAGCCCATAAGGCCTCAACTCTGGGACAGTGGGAACCAAAGGAAAAGGACTCAGGAGCAACAGCTGTGGAAAGGGAAGGAACCACTCACCATCCTCAGTGGTGTCACTGTCACCCATCGCTGAGCTATCCAGATCCTTCTGGGGTGGCAGCAGGGTGGGGCCTGAGCGATGGACCATCTTCTTCTCCACCCAGCCCCTCCGGCGCAAGAGACACCGGATCACCGGGTAGCAGCCTTGGATTGTAAAGATCTTCTTCTGCTGCAATGTGAGAGAAGGATACTTCTTCAATAAGTATTGCATAAGTGCCAGACATAGGGGATATAAAGGTGAACCAGACAGTTATGGACTCTGCCATCAGGAAATTTTTATATTCCATTAGGAGAAATAAACAGACTATAAATAAGTAGAGAAATAAATATGCATGGTAATAATGATAATAGCAATGGCTAATATTTATTGAGGACCTACTACATGCTGAGCACTTACATGCATTACTAACAATACTGTGTGTTTTTATTTTGTTTTGTTTGAGACAGGGTCTCACTCTGTTGCCCAGGCTGAAGTGTAGTGGCACAATCTCGGCTCACTGCACCCTCTTCCTCCTGGGTTCAAGCGATTCTCTTGCCTCAGTCTCCTTGAGTACCTGGGATTACAGGTGTATGCCACCACGCCCAGATAATTTTTTTTTTTTGAGACGGAGTCTTGCTCTGTTGCCCAGGCTGGAGTGGCACAATCTTGGCTCACTGCAACCTCCACCTCCCGGGTTCGAGCGATTCTCCTGCCTCAGCCTCCCCAGTAGCTGGGAGTACAGGCGTGTGCCACTGCGCCCGGCTAATTTTTGTATTTTTAGTAGAGACAGGGTTTCACCATATTGGCCACGCTGGTCTTGAACTCCTGGCCTCAGGCCAAGGCCCGCCTTGGCCTCCCAAAGTGCTGAAATTACAGGCGTCAGCCACCTCATCTGGTGCCCAAATAATTTTTATATTTTTTGGTAGAGACTGGGCTTCACTGTGTTGGCCAGGCTGGTCTCCAACTCCTGGCCTCAAGTGATCCTCCTGACTTGGCCTCCCAAAATGCTGGGATTACAGGTGTAAGCCACCGCGTCTGGCCAATACTATGCATTTTTATTAGATACTGTTATCTCCATTTTACGGGCTATGAAACAGAGGCATAGAGAAATTAAGCAGGGTGCCTGAGGCCCCATAGTGGTTAAGCAAAAGAGCAGGGATTTACATCCTGGCAGTTTGGCTCCAGAAACTGCATACTTAATGGGATCCAGAGAAACTACTTAGAAATACATGGTCAGGGAAGGTTGAAAGGAAGCCATGAATGTACAGAGCTGGGAAATGGCGGTTCAGGCAGAGGGGAATGCATGTGCAAAGGCCTTGAGGCTGGAGAGAGGTCAGAAGGAACTGAAGGGAGACCAGAGTGAGTGGAACATGGAAAATGATGGGGAAAGCCCCAGAGGAGGTAGGCAGTGGCCAGACTGTGGAAGGCCCTGCAGGCCTTGGAACGGACTTGGATTTCATACTAAGAGTGTCATGAGCAAAAAAGGCTAACTGAGGGAATCTTTCTAAGCTTGGCTTGCTGCTGTATTACAAAAAGATGAGGGGACAGGATGGAGGTAGACCAGCTAGGAGGCTGTCATAGTTTGCCTAGGAGAGAAATCACAATTACTAAAATGAAGGTGGTTACAACACAGACGGGAGAAGGTGCTAGAGTTGAGAATCGTTTTGGAGGTGGAGATGACAAGTGGTTTTGCTGATGGAATTAGACCTGTGGGTGAAGAAACAGAAAGATGAGATTTCTGGCGTGAGGAACTGAGAGATGGGAAAGACTGGAGACTGGGGAGGACGACAGGTTTGGGCAGGAAGATCAAAGTCTGGTTTGGGACATGAATTTGAAATGCTTGTTAAGTTTTCTGGGTGTAGATGACAGGTAGGGGCTAGATCTACGGGATGTGGAGTTCGAGGCTGGGCTGGAAGGGGCACGGAGAGGGTGCAGCACACTGACTGGACTCAGCCAAGGACACAGCCAAAGGAGACAGACCTGGGGAAGGGGCCAGGGGGCCACTAATGGCTGAGGAACCTTTAAAGGCCGCTGAAAAGCAGCAGCCAAAGAGGGAGAAAGGAAAACTAGGAGCGTGCAGTCAGACAGCCAAGAGGAAGGGTGTGTGGGGCAGCGGTGTCGAAAGATACAGGGTGCCCAACCGAGATCAAGACCGAAAGGCACTGCTGGGTTTGGCTCCCTGGAACTCACCAGGCACCTTGATTAGAGTGGGACATCGCAGGGAACCAGAGTGGAGGGAGCCCAGAAGTTTGGTGCTGAAGGGGTAAACGGGGAGGTAGTTGAAGATGGGTGTGGTGGTTGAGGATTTTTGCTATTGTTTTTTCTTTTGCTTTTGTTTTTTAAGGATATAAGAAAACAGCGCAGGGAGACAGGCTGAGCCGCTCCCAGGGCCCTTTCTAAGCGCCCCTGCCCCTCCTCTGACCTTGACAGCTCTCTCCACGTAGATTTTGGCGTTTCTGAGCCGGTTCATGTGAGACGCCTTGGAGGATCCTCGCCAGAGGACCGGGAAACCTGCAGAAAGATGCGGAATAGGGGCGGGGTACACTGAGGCTGGGCCTAGGGTCTCGGCCTAGGATCTTTTCTGGCCGCCCATAGCCACGCCTCTTTTCTTCCTCCTGCCTTCATCCAGATGCCCACCCTCAGCCGCTCTTCTCCCGACCCCCAGTCCCTCCACCCCAGCGTCTTGTCGTCCTCGCAGCCGCTGTAGGCCAGAGCGAGCGGGCCGCACGGGCCTCACCATCCTGCGGAGAGGGGTCGAGGACCGGGGTGTGCGGGGGGCCGAGGGGGTGGGTATCCGAGGCGCCCTGGGCGTGGGTGCCTGGGACCAGCGTCTTGAAGGCGCCGCTGAGGCGGCGCGCAGGGGCGGGGCTGCCCGCCTGGCATCTGCCGCCTGCGTGACCCTCCTCGGACTGGGCGGAGGCAGGGCCGGCCCATGGCAGCCTCCTGGGTGGACGGAACTCGGAGCGGCGCGCCGAGGGGAAACTGGTGCGTGGCTCGAGCGGCTGCGGCTTCCGCAGCCAGTTGCACACCGCGCCGCCCTCCTGGCGGTACCAGGAGGCCGAGCCCCGGCGCCCGGGCCCCAGCTCCCTCGCGCTCAGGAGCAGTGGCGCGTCGGGGCCCTGCATGCGCCCCTCGCCGCGCTCGCCCTCCCAGGGCCCCTGATCCCGCGCCCCTCCGCGTCGCCGCCTCCTCTCCCGGGAAGTTCCTGCCTAGGCTCGAGCCTTGTCCTCCGTTCCAAGCCCCGCCCCGTTTGCTATTGCCTTGGAAACCATTCCCTGGGCACCATCAGACCGCTCGGGGCTGGTTGGGGGCTGCGATGGGCCCCGGGGCAGTCGAGCGAGGGCTTCCTTATGACCTGGGGCCTCACCCAGACCCTTGATGAGCAGGGCACTGAAGGCGGAAGAGAGCACTGAGCCCCAGTTAGTTAGTGTTGCGGTTCCTTATCCAGTACTTCCTGGTGCCACCGGCCCTAGGGTTTGAGTGATTCCACAGTATTTATAGGCGCTAACAAATGGCCCCTGACCTCATGGAGCTTACTAAAAGCCCAGTGTGAGGGGAATAAAAAGCAAGTAACAAAGGAAGAGAATAGTTTACAGGTATAATAAGGGCAATGAACAAGCAGAGGTGAAACCAGGAAGGGGGCGCATTTTAGATAAAGTGGCGCATTTAAGCTGAAGGTGTAAATGCCAGGAGTCAGGAGTCACCAGGGAAAGGGGAGGAACTGCACTTCAGGGAAGGGACAGTCCCAGCAACAGCCCTGAGAAGGGTAAGAACCTCTGTGCGAACTACAAGACAGCCAGGGTGGCTGGAGCCTGGTGAGGCCAGATCAGACCTGCTGGGCCTGGCAGATGGGCCTAGGGTAAGGTCCTTAGCGAGGGCAGCATATGGGGGTAACAAGAAGGTGCAGAGCACACCCTCCCCAGAAACTGGAAATGGAAAAACAATCATTTGAGTCAACTGCGAAAGAAATGTAATAGTTCACAACAGTTATGCCTGGCCCCCAGGCTAAGACTGTAAGCAACCTTTTTGGAAGCACTGGCAAAATATTATCCTCAAAAGTCACAGGGGAGGTAAGGCTCCAAGATGTTAAACAATTTGCCTCAAATCACAGAGCAGAGGCAGCACTGGAACCCAGGTCTGACTCCAAAGCCTGTCTCTTAAACACCTGTTATCACTCAGGTTGCCTGCCAGTCACAGAAGGACCACACAGGGACAGTTTGAGAGGCAAACTCTAGCAGTGCCCCCGCAGGCAGAGTCGAAGAGTGTCCTGGTAAGAGCCCAGCTTTGTCAGTCACTGGGTAGATGTGCTCTTAAGAGTGAAGGTGGATCCCCCACCTTCCTGTCCAGCTGACCCCAACTCCCCTTTAGCTGATGGCTGGACTTCCCGAAAAGCATGCCCCCCAGGAAAGGTGATTTAGGGAATTTGGACCCTGGGAGAGAGATACATGACAAATGAGGTTTGTGGCTGGCTCACCCAGGCAATGCTGTCCTGTGAGGGTTGTTGAGTGACCAGCTGCTATATCCTATTAGTCACCCAGTTTCACTGTGAGCACCTTTAACATTCACTGCAAAGCTAGAACATAGCCATGTGCCCTGGAGGAGGGAACACCTAATTCAGAGGGGTGGCGAGGTAGGTCACAGAGGTAATGTCATAAAGGAGATGATAGCACTTTGGGAGGCTGAGGCGGGGGGATCACCCAAGGCAGCCGAGGCAACATAGTGAGACCTAAAAAAAAACAAAAACCAAAAACAAAAAAATTAGCTGGGCGTGGTGGCACAGGCCTGTGGTCCCAGCTACTCAGGAAGCTGAGGTGGGAGAATCACTTGAGCCTGGGGAAGCTGAGGCTGCAGTGAGCCATGCTTGCGCCACTGCACTCCAGCCTGGGTAACAAAGCGAGACCCTGTCTCAAAAATGAAAAAAAAAAAGGGGGGGGGAGGAGGGGGGCAATAGCTGTTCCAAGTTGCCCTTACCCCCTCCTCCCTTTAACATCACCTTGTCCACCCCATCAGAAGAAACCCCTCTGGCCATCTGGAGGAATCCCTTTTGAAAGCTCAGCTCAAAGGTTCACCCTTCTTGAAGCTTACCCTGACACCCACTCCTATATTTACCCCTTGGCCCCCAGACTTCCAATATTAAATATGAAACACTTCAGTGAACCTTTTACACACCCAGCCCTTTTCCTGGACCTCCAAGCCTCAAGGCAAGGATAAACATCATGAACACTGGAAATTATTCAACAGCCCAGCCACTGGGCTGGTGGAAAAAATATAGTTCAGTCAGTACCTGTGTAGCAGCGACCGTATCAGATTGTTTATATTCATTATCTCCACTTCATAGACTAAGAAACTGAGACACAAAATAGAAGTAACTTAGCCAAATCTGGCAAGAAGAATCAGGACTCAAACACAAGGGTCTTTTGTCTTTTTACTTCAAGGTGTTACTAAGGTCTAGTACTATCCAATGGAACTTTCTGCAATGATGGGAATCTCTATGTATGTGTTGTATATGCTGTATGTCTATATATGCTGTTATATATGGTACAGTCACTGGTAGCTGTTAAGTTGCCAGTGGGACTGGGGAACTGGATTTTAAACTTTATTTAATTGTAATAATTAAAATTTAAATAGCCACTTGTGGATGGTGATTACTGTTTTGGCACAGGCAAAAGTCTACTCTCTTGCTCACTGGCTAGATTTGGGGCAAGCTATTACATCTCATGTTTGGAACCTCAGTTTCCTTATCCACCAAATGGGAGCACTGTTTCTCTGAGGTTACTTTTTAGCCCAAGTAAGTTCCTTATGTGAAAAGCACCAAAGCTCTGTATAGGCAGACAGAGCAGTTTCAGAAATTAATGGTGCCTGGACTGCAATGAATGGAGTCTCTGGGTTGGGACCCCTGGCAGGAATAATGGCAGGACCAATCATGAGACTGCACCCAGTGGGGAGCTCCAGGCACAATTACCAGCCATCTGGTCTCAGGGAAAAGAAGCCCCACCTCCCCTCCTTTCACACACACACACAGCATAGACCTCATGCAGCCCCAAAGGGGCAAAAAGAGACTTTAATTAGGGGAGGGAGGATCCACCAGAATCAGAAAAGGGACAGCTAGCGTGGGAGCAGAGGAGCCAGAACAGGCAGGAGGAGGGCCCGGCCAGGAAGCTCTGGAGGACTCACCTCGCCACCTCTGGCACAGGCACTGGCACTGACGGACAAGGCGAAACAGCGGCCCCTCTCAACTGGGAGGGCACCCAATGGCCCCTGTAGCCAGAGGTTGCCCGGCTTTTGGGCCCCAGGTCCTAGGCATGACTGGTGGTCACCAATTTGGCCCTTGTCCCCAACCAGTGCTGGGGGGCCATCTTTAGGCAGAACTCAGGAAGCTGGCAGAGAGTTCCCAACACTTATACTGGGGCCAAGGAGGCTTGGGAATAAAAGGGCAAGGGAGAAACTGGAGTCTGAAACCTCCCTCCCTCCCCACCTGGGGTGGCATAGGAGAGAAAAAATAAGTCGCCTTCTGGCTCCAGGCCCGCCCAGACCCACAGCAACCAATAACGTATAATCACTGGGACCAGTCACAGCCACTGGAGGTGGAGGTTTAAAAAAAAAAAAAAAAAAAAAGACAAAAAGGTTACAGTATCCTACAAGCACAGAGTTTAAGTTTCAAGACGTTAAAAAAAATCTGTCCCGGCCCAGGGGACTGAACATCAGAAGCCAGCCTGACCAGGCACGTGTGGCCTTGGGGCAGGTCCACTGCTGCTTTCTTGCCCAGCTAGCAAGCACACCACCCACCTCCCGCATCAAATGCCCACCCCAACCCAACTCCCTGCCGCCGCCGCGCTGCTCGGGGAGTGACTCCAGGACGCCTTCGTGGAGACATGGGTAGTCTGAGGGGGAAGGCCACGAGATCCAGCCAGATGGTTTAAAACTGTCAAGAGAACCAAGAGGCAGTGCATGGTGGTTATTATTGCATCCTGGTGGCACTGCTCTAAGGAGGTGCATGAACCTGAGAGCTGCCACTGTGCTCATATCTGTGAGGGGCAGAGTTGGGTCCCAGGACACCTTGTGGTCATGCTCTAATTCAGCCAGCTTTCAGAAGTGACCTATGGGCACCGGCCCTAAGCCTAGCACTAGATAAGGCAGAAAAATTAAGAGCCATGAGAGCTTCTCCACAGCTCCCTTGTGCCCTGGCATGGAGGCTGCTAGAAAGCCCTGCCAGCGTCCTGCCTGGTGAACTGAGGTTGCTTTCTTTAGGCATGGGGGCTCTCATGCAAGGGGCCTGGGGACTCAGAGGGCCAAGTGGAAAAGGACCCAGGTTCTGGTACTTTTGTGTCAAGCTCTGGATGAACCTCCAACCAAGCCAGGCCCTTGAAATGTTTTCTGCCCTCAAGGGTCCCCCATGCTGCCTAGGACAGCCCTGCACATTTTAGAGACCAAAGGTTGTGAACCAATGGCCCATGCCTGAAACTAGCCCAAAGATGAGCACTGCATGGCCCACATGGTGTTTAAAACAATATGAATTAGTTGCCAACCTTGAAAACATGGAAGATGCCATATACAAATCCAAATTTGGGGGTTCAATGGCCTGGAGCTGTGTGGGAGCCAGCCCCTGCACATGAGGCATGCGCTCAGCAGCTCCTCACCCTGCCCACTCCATACTCAGCCCACTCCATAGCTACCCGACCTTTGGATGCACCTGAATTTGTGACCCTTGACAAAGGCTATGGTACTTTCTTAGACCTCTGAGTCCGAAAACCCAGCTCCACATTCTGGTTCCTCCTCTTACTGGCTGAGGGACTTTGGACAGGTGCTTTTACTTCTAAAGCCCCAGTTTATTAATCTCTAACATGGCGATAATAGCTGACTCAAAGACTGTTTTGAGTAATAAATGGGACATGTGAACATACTTTTTTAGGGGTCCAATTCTGTGCGATATAATTATCATAAATAAGTAAATGATTGTTGAGTGAGTGAGCCAAATATTCAATTGGAACAAGAGCTATTTTCCCCTTCCAGTTCAATCTAGAGGCCTCCTAATATCCTGGCCATAAAATTTTGGTGGTGCAATACACGGAAAGCTTACTATGTACCAGGTGCTACGTTTTACACACATGGTCTCATTTAATGCTCAACCACTGAAAGATAAGTATTAATTACCAGACCTTCATTTCACAGCTGAGGAAACTGAGACTTAGTTGAGAGTTCAGTGACATGCCTGAGTAGGCGGTGGAGCCTGGATTCCCACACAGGTGGGTTGCCTCCATAGCCGAGTGAGCTGAACAGCCATGCCGACCTGTGCACCCACCACAGCTACTCTGTACACTGGCCACCCTCAGTATAATTAAATCCCAAGGGAAGCGGGTATAATTTCCATTTTTAGGAATCTGAGCTCCTTCTGGACTGGGTATGTACTTACTGGTGGGAGTACACACTAAGTCTACCGTCTAGAGATCACAGCCACTCTGGGTGGCACATGTCAACAAACCAAAGATTGCTTGGAAAAAGGAGAAAAAAAAAGGCATGTTCTGAATATCTAAACAACTAAGAACGATGTCACCAGTTCATCAATGTAAACAATTCTACCTCTTCAGATGACTAAAGTGCTTTCAATTAGAAAGACATAAACAACGTAAGAGGAATCTGGAGGACTTACGCCATGCAAGTGATGGAAAACAGGTTGAAGGAATCATGATTTAAGCCTGAGAAACATGCTGAAGGAAAGTACTGAAGTCTATTTGAGAAGTGGAATCATAACATGATTAATTGTCCTATACTCCTAGAAAATTCACATGCAGACTTCACTTACCTCACTTGGGGTTTAAACGAGATAGAGGCAAGGACTTTGTGAACATCCTGAGATGTAGAAATGAGTGACCAAGTTCCTACGAGAGACTAAGAGCCACCCCAGACACCCAAATATAGAAAATGCCTTGTAGCTCTCAGAGATGAACTTGGGGTCCTCTAGCTCCAAAGCACCTGACTGACCTGCTGTGCCCCAGGGGTCCTAGAGAGCTCAGGAGATATAAACACACTGCTTGGACCCCTTTCCCACCAGATGCTAAGTTCTCAACATGACCCCCAGATCCTCTGGCCTCTGGAAGGAAAGCTAAAGGCCCCTACTCACATTCTTAAGGAACTCTTCAGCCACAATGCGGGCACGGGCATTGACTGACAGCTTCATCTCACTGATCTCCTTGTCAATCTCCTCCATGAAGTGGATCACAAAGTCCACCAACTTGTGTTTGTACATCTGCTCTGTGTGGAAGTTGGTGATCAGAAAGCTGATATCATACCCCTAGGGAAGAAGACAGTAGGGAGGGGGAAGAGAAGGAACAGGAGAGAATTAGCACCCCATGGGAACTGAGCTGGTCATGTCCTCCACTCATCCACATGCTTCCCACTGGCTGTGATCTTCTCCCAAGCTACATACCCTTCCAGTCAGCAGCCCAGCTGCTCTGGGGGAGGGTGTCTAGGTTGGATCCAAGCAACTGAACCCCGTTGAGAATTCTGTGTGTATCAGACATCTCTGGAAAACTATCTGTGGCACAACAGCTCTGCATTCAGAATGAGTCAAGGAACTTGAAGTCTTGTTACAGAATAATCTAATCAAACAACAGGGAACATTTAGTCCAGAGAAGAGATGATGTGGAAGATGGGTGGGATTAAGGGTCTTTTTCTGCTGGAGGGCTGTGGGAGGAAGATCAATTTTATTTATTCCGGGTGGCCCCAGAGGTTAGATCTAGGACCAGGAGAGAAAATTTGGCTCAGAATGAGGAAGAACTTGGCTAACACGCCTGACGTGTCTGATGATGGCACATGCTGCTGTGTGGTAGTTGCTTAGTCACTGGGGATATTTTAAGTTTACCTGGCAAGGAGTCTGTGGAGAAGATTCAAGTACAAATTCAGGCAACAACTGACCCAATGTTAACTGTGGCTTTAAGAGACTGATTCAGTGGGCCGGGCGCGGTGGCTCACGCCTGTAATCCCAACACTTTGGGAGGCCGAGGTGGGCGGATCACAAGGTCAGGAGATCAAGACCATCCTGGCTAACACAGTGAAACCCCGTCTCTACTAAAAATACAAAAAATTAGCCGGGAATGGTGGCGGGCACCTGTAGTCCCAGCTACTCGGGAGGCTGAGGCAGAAGAATGGCGTGAACCCAGGAGGCGGAGCTTGCAGTGAGCCCAGATTGCAGACTATGATTCACTTTGGGAGGCCGAGGCAGGCGGATCACCTGAGGTCAGGAGTTTGAGACCGCCTAGCCAACACAATGAAACTACTAAAAATACAAAATTAGCTGGGCATGGTAGCACATGCGTGCCTATAATCCCAGCTACTCGGGAGGCTGAGGCAGGAGAATCACTTGACCTGGGAGGTGGAAGGTTGCAGTCAGTGAGACTGCGCCACTGCACTCCAGCCTGGGCAACAAAAGCAAAACTCCATCTCAAAAAAAGAAAAAAAAAGGCCAGGCGCGGTGGCTCAAGCCTGTAATCCCAGCACTTTGGGAGGCCGAGGCAGGCAGATCACGAGGTCAGGAGATCGAGACCATCCTGGCTAACATGGTGAAACCCCGTCTCTACTAAAAATACAAAAAATTAGCCAGGTGTGGTGGTGGGCGCCTGTAGTCCCAGCTACTCAGGAGGCTGAGGCAGGAGAATGGCGTGAACCCGGGAGGCGGAGCTTGCAGTGAGCCAAGATTGTGCCACTGCACTCCAGCCTGGGCGACAGAGCGAGACTCCGTCTCAAAGAAAAAAAAAAAGAGAGAGAGACTATGATTCATTTGGCAGATCTTAGAAAGGATTTCTAATTCACTGTGCTCTTTCTGATGCTAGACTATAGGCTCCGGGAATAAGCAATGTGTCTTATCTTTTTTGCCTTTTTTTTTTTTTTTTTTTTTTTTGAGACGGAGTCTTGCTCTGTCGCCCAGGCTGCAGTACAGTGGCACGATCTTGGCTCACTACAACCTCCGCCTCCCAGGTTCAACCAGTTCTCTGCCTCAGCCTCCTGAGTAGCTAGGATTACAGGCGCCCACCACCATGCCCAGCTAATTTTTGTATTTTTAATAGAGATGGGGTTTCACCATGTTGGCCAGGCTGGTCTTGAACTCCTGACCTCATGATCCACCCACCTCGGCCTCCCAAAGTGTTGGGATTAGAGGCATGAGCCACCACGCCCGGCTCTTTTTTGCCTTTTCTATGGCTGAGGTAGACCCAACTTTTCCTAAGCTTCTAATCCTCTTTGCTCCCACTCCAAGATGAAGGCCAACTCTCAATTCAGGCAGTGGGTGCCAAACAGCTGGAGTAGCTGGTTCTAGAAACAATCCCAGGCCATTCTGTAACAGGGTCCTGGGTATCGCAAACTCATGGGTCACAGGGTCTCACCTCCACAGGCTTCCTTCGAAGGATAAAGAAGTTCTCTGCTCGCATCATCATGAAGCGCATGAACTTGTGGCACAAAATCTTCTCGATCTCATCAGCCTGGGGAGTGCAAGAGAGAAATGTTTCTCTAAAGCTGACACCCAAGGCCAAAAACACCTTGTAGCCTGGTCTTCTGACTCCAGTTTTTTCAAGGCTCCCAGGAGACAGTGAGGTTTGGTACTCGGAAGGATCACTGAAGTGGGGGACCTGGCTGTCAACTGAAACAAGGGTCTACCTTGGGGCATCTCTTAATGACGACCCATTCCAGAGAGGTAATTCTGACAGGCTTCTATTGCTTCTTTCAGAGTCTACAGCTGTACTCCAAGCTGCCCTTTCCATTCTCATTTCACTAGTGTCACATTTCCCAGGGTGTTTTGCAGCATCACCTGGGCTATCAGAGATAACCTTAGGTGGTCTCTGCTTTAATAACACTGAACATCCAACAATCCCTGAAGTTTCTCCCTTCTGAATGCTCAACATTTCTTTTTTTTTTTTTTTTTTTTTTTTTCTGAGATGGAATCTCGCTCTGTCACCCAGGCTGGAGTGCAGTGGTACGATTTTGACTCACTGTAAGCTCTGCCTCCCGGGTTCAAGCGATTCTCCTGCCTCAGCCTCCCAAGTAGCTGGGATTACAGGCGCGTGCCACCACGCCTGGCTAATTTCTGTATTTTTAGTAGAGACAGGGTTTTACCATGTTGGCCAGGCTGGTCTTGAACTCCTGACATCAAGTGATCCACCCGCCTTGGTCTCCCAAAGTGCTGGGATTACAGGCATGAGCCACTGTGCCTGGCCCTGAACTCTCAACATTTCTAAAGGAAGATTATTGCTGCTGGTTGCTAGCATGCCCTTAACACCTCTCAACACTTGTTAACCTCCCATTTTAGCAAGGAAAGCAGGCCCCAGGTTTATAAGTTTCTGTAGAAAACAGTGTGTAGTCTGCATTTAATAACAGTGCTTCGTTTTCATCCTGTTGAAAGTTTAGAGTTGCCCTCTACTGGCCAGGCATGGTGGCTCATGACTGTAATCCCAGTACTTTGGGAGGTTGAGGCGGGCCCATCACCTGCGGTCAGGAGATGGAGACCATCCTGGCAAACATGGTGAAACTCTGTCTCTACTAAAAATACAAAAATTAACTGGGCGTGGTGGCGGATGCCTGTAATCCCAGCTACTTGGGAGACTGAGACAGAAGAACTGCTTGAACCCGGGAGGCAGAGGTTGCAGTGAGCTGAGATCATGCTGCTGCACTCCAGCCTGGGCGACAAGAGTGAGAATCCGTGTCAAAAAAAAAGGAAGCAGAGGCTAGGTTTCCTGCACTCTGAATCTGGAATCTGGCACACTGATCTCTCAGATGGGGACCCCGGACTGAAAGAGGCTGAAAGGACTGAAAGAGGCCTTACGTTGGGCCTCCTCCATGGTGAACTTACCTGTTTCACAGCAATGCTGACCCGGACAGAGTTGATGGAGCCCTCAATCAGAACCTTTTCCTTCTCATTCCTGCTGATGGTCACAGGTTGTAACAGGAGCTCTTTGCTACTCCTGAAAACATAATGTGACAGAGTACTTGTACTACAGAGGGATAGAATAGTCAGAGTGACCCCACGCAGGTCCTGGAATCACTATGAGACCATAGAGTCCAAGGAATAGAAGACTCACAAGCAGGAGTGCTCCAAGATGGGGGCCAGTGAGTGTGTTCTTCAGCAGAAAGAGCACAGGCTCTGAAGTCAGGGCGAAAAGGTTTTGAAATCCAGCCTCCTCTGTTACTTTCCTTGGGCAAGTTACCCTGTTGGAATCTCAATTTTCTCATCTGTAAAATGACTCTGATTCCTAATTCACTGGCGAGGACTGAGAGAGATCAAAAAGGGTCAAATGTCTAATAGCGTGCCTGGCACATAGTAGGAGCTTTACAAAAGATAGCTATTTTAGTAACTACAAGTTGAACATCCCCAATCTGCAAATCTGAAATCCAAAATCTGAAACTGGCTGGGCACAGTGGCTCATGCCTGTAATCCCAGCACTTTGAGAGGCTGAGGCTGGTGGATCACCTGAGGTCAGGAGTTCGAGACCAGCCTGGCCAACATGGTGATATCCCATTTGTACTAAAAATATAAAAATTAGCTGGGCATGGTGGCGCACTCCTATAATCCCAGATACTCAGGAGGCTGAAGCACGAGAATTGCTCGAACTCAGGAGGTGGCAGTTGCAGTGAGCCAAGATCATACCACTGTACTCCAGCCTGGGTGACAGAATCAAACTCCATCTCAAAAAAAAAAAAAAACCTGAAAGTTTCCGAGTGCTGACAAGATGCTCAAAGGAGATCCTCATTGGAGCATTTTGGATTTGGAATTAGGGATGCTCAACTGGTTAAGTATCTGCAAATATTCCACAATCTGAAATACTTTTGGTCCCAAGCATTTTGGATAAGAGATACTCAACCTGTACAGGCAAACCAATATACCATTTAGGAATACAGAGAGAACACCTGTCTTAGAGGTAAGGAAAGGCTAAAATTGAACACAGTTTGGCTTCCTTTAATTATCAATCCAGAAATGATTCATTTGCCTCTGAGACCCCTATGAGTTCAGGTTACAAAGTAATGCCTCTGAATACCTAGAGATCTCTAATAGTAATTAATTGTGGTGTGGTGTCTCTAAACTGCTAACCATTTTCAAAGGCCCACTGGAAATCGTGTACGTTACACAGTATAACAGGGCATATCCTAACATCTTTATCAGTTATTTTTAAAATTAAAAATTAAATCGTATCATTTAATGTTGTAACCCAGATTATCTCAGTTATGTATGTACCAGAATGAATTTTATTTTATTTTATTTTATTTTATTTTATTTTTGAGACGAAGTCTTGCTCTGCTGCCAGGCTGGAGTGCGGTGGCACGATCTTGGCTCACTGCAACCTCCGCCTCCCAGGTTCAAGCAATTCTCCTGCCTCAGCCTCCCGAGTAGCTGGGACTACAGGTGCATACCACCATGCCCAGCTTATTTTTGTATTTTTAGTAGAGACAAGGTTTCACCATGTTGGCCAGGATGCTCTCGATCTCTTGACCTCATAATCTGTCTGCCTCGGCCTCCCAAAGTGCTGGGATTACAGGCGTGAGCCACTGTGCCCGGCCTATTTACTTATTTTTTGAGACAGGGTCTCACCCAGGCTGGAGTGCACTGTCGCAATGTTGGCTCATTGCAACCTCTGCTTCCCAGGCTCAAGAGATCCTCCTGCCTCAGCCTCCAGAGAAGTGGGACTACAGGCATGTGCCACCATGCCTGACTATTTTTGCATATTTTTTTGGTAGAGATGGAGTCTTGCCATGTTGCCCAGGCTGGTCTTGAACTCCTGTACTCAAGCGATCTACCCACTTCAGCCTCCTAAAGTGCTCGGATTACAGGGGTGAACCACTGCACCAGGCCTCCAGATTAAATTTTAAAGGGGAAAAAGATATTTATGAAATGGAAACTAGATAAGAGAAAATCATTCAAAATATGAAGTATTTGGATTAGGGGGTCAGAGTGTCTAGGCTGGTAGGTAAAAAAAAAATCCCTGATCATTACATTAGAAAAGTATGGAGATGGGAAAAAAAAAAAAAAAAAAGAAAAGTATGGAGATGGAATCTCAGATAACAATTATCTGACCATTCCTTAAACTACCAGTGTTTTCAACAATGCCACAGGAGAGACTTCATCAACAGCCCTGCTCTGAGAAGTCATACCTTGTGTTAACCAATCTTGTCTTTTCCCCTGGGTTCTGTCCTGCCAACCCACTGACCCTATTTTCTTAACTCCAAATTGGGAATCACCATTCAGCTGGCAGCAAGACAAAATGTCAACTGCAGCTTTCCTGACTACTGCAGGACATAAGTTCATGGCACCTTCTAGACAGCAGCCATCTCTGTGTGCTGCACCCCTCATCCCCACCTTGACTTGTCCTTCCCTACCTGACTTCCACTTCCGGCTTGTTGTGTCGTTCCACAACCTGGGAGGAGAAGTTCTCCAGGCAGAGGGCAGCCTGCAATGTGGCCCGCACGGCACTCAGGTAGGGGCGGAGAGTGGCAGTCTATAGGAAATAACACAGAGGAAAGGGAAGATCAAAATCTGTCACGCCAAACCCACCGATCCCCTATTCCAGCTCCCATGAAGCCAGGTAGCACTGAGGGTGCAAGGCTCTTAAGACACTACTGTGAACAGAACAGACTAGGCCTTCGAGACGCCTTCCAAGGTGTAGAGTGGTAGTTTTCAACAGGAGACAATTTTGCCTGCCAGGGTACATTTGGTAATGTCGAGACATTTCCTTTCTTTCTTTTTTAACCTGGGGTCAGACCAGAGGAATGCTGAGACATTTTCAATTGTCATGACTTGGCAAGAAGGGGAACTGCAGGCATTCAGTGGACAGATATCCACTAAACATACTACAATGCACTACAAAGAATTATCGAGACTCAAATATCAATAGTGCTAAGGTTGAGAAAGTGATCTAGAGACACACCAGTGAATGCATGATTGTCGTCAATCTATTAGGCCAACAAATGTATAGGTGTACTGTTTGCCACGCACTGAGCTAACTGGGAATTCAAAGATGATTAACACTGTCTCTACCCTCAAACAGCTCAACTGGATAGCAAATATACAGAAAATAACTATGATATAAAGATGACATGTGAAATATTTAGATTTACAAGTAATCTATATTTGCAGAAGAAACTGGTTTTGAAGGTGAAATGGGATTAGGAGGAGAAAAAGGAGAATAAGGACATTCTTTTTTTTTTTTTTTTTTTGAGACAGAGTCTCGCTCTGTTGCCCAGGCTGGAGCGCGGTGGCACGATCTCGGCTCACTGCAAGCTCCACCTCCCGGGTTCATGCCCTTCTCCTGCCTCAGCCTCCCAAGTAGCTGGGACTACAGGCGCCCACCACCACACCCGGCTAACTTTTTGTATTTTTAGTAGAGACAGGGTTTCACGGTGTTAGCCAGGATGGTCTCAATCTCCTGACCTTGTAATCTGCCCGCCTTGGCCTCCCAAAGTGCTGGGTTTACAGGCGTGAGCCACCACACCCTGCCAGAATAAGGACATTCTTAGGAGAGGG
Organism: Homo sapiens; assembly: GCF_000001405.40. NCBI lineage: Eukaryota > Metazoa > Chordata > Mammalia > Primates > Hominidae > Homo > Homo sapiens. The sequence goes on along the minus strand of NC_000003.12, from coordinate 9,796,633 downwards.
ATTAGCTTCTAGCTGCACTGGTCAGTCCTTGTATCAGCCAAATTCTTTCCCACCTCAGAGCTTTACACATGCTTGACCATCTATCTGTAGGCTTTTCTCCTCTTTCTTTGCCTAAGTCATCCTCCAGATCTCAGCTTAATTAAGGAAGGCCTCTTGAGAGAGACCTTGACATCCCCCTATAAAGTATTTATTACAATTGACAAAAAAATGTCTTTCATGTCTTCTTAATATTTATTTTTGAGAGGGAGTCTCGCTTCTGTCACCCTCGCTGGAGTGCAGTGGCACGATCTCTGCTCACGGCAATCGCCGCCTCCTGGGTTAAAGCGATTCTCCTGCTTCAGCCTCCCGAGTAGCTGGGATTACAGGCGCACATCACCATGCCTGGCTAATTTTTGTATTTTTAGTAGAGACGGAGTTTCACCGTGTTGGTCAGGCTTGTCTTGAAATCCTGACCTCAGGCAATCCGCCCACCTCGGCCTCTCAAAGTGTTGGGATTACAGGCGTGAGCCAACGTGCCTGGCCTTTTTTATTTTTTTTTGAGACAGAGTCTTACTCTGTTGTCCAGGCTGGAGCGCAGTGGTGCAATCTTGGCTCACTGCAACCTCCACCTCCCGGGTTCAAGTGATTCACCTGCCTCAGCCATGCGAATAGCTGAGATGACAAGTGTGCACCACCGTGCCTGGTTAATTTTTGTATTTTTAGTAGAGATGGGGTTTCGCCATGTTGGCCAGGCTGGTCTCAAACTCCTGACCTCAAGTGACCCGCCCATCTCGGCCTCCTAAAGTGCTGGGATTACAGACATGAACCACTGCACCTGCCCTCCTTCATGCCTTTGTAAGTGATTTCTCCTTTACTAGGCTGTAAACCTCATGGTCAACAGACCATATCTATTTTATTCACAGCTATATAGCCTCCAACCTAGCTCAGTACCTAACATATACAGTGTCTCACTCATTTCCTGTAGAATAAATAAGCGAAAGAAATAATTAAGATTAGAGTAACACAAAAGGACAGCAAGAGTTCCAGAGTAGTAATGAGTACAATGTTTCTGTATATGAGAAGCATTTTAGATTCACTAAATGAGGCTGCAGCGGTAGGCTGAGGTAAGATCATGGGGAATCTTGAATGCCAGGCTACCAAGTTTAGCTTTTCTCTTAAGGGGGTAAGGAACTACTGGGGCTTTCTGAGGAGGAAGTTCATGACTGCAGCTGCATGATGGCTCTGTGGAGAATGATTTGGAGAGGGAAGTGAGACATACAGCAGACTGTATCACAAGCAAAGAGTATCACAAGCGTTGGACTGACATTAGATGGAGTGGATAATGGAACTGAAAAAAAACTTCCCAGGGGCTCACGCCTGTAATCCCGGCACTTTGGGAGGCCGAGGTGGGTGGACCACCTCAGGTCAGGAGTTCAAGACCAGCCTGGCCAACATGGCAAAACCCCGTCTCTACTAAAAATACAAAAAATTAGCTGTGGCGGGTGCCTGTAATCTCAGCTACTTGAGAGGCTGAGGCAGTAGAATTGCTTGAACCCAGGAGACTGAGGTTGCAGTGAGCCGAGATCACGCCACTGTGCTCCAGCCTGGGTGACAGAGCGAGACTGTGTCTTAAAAAAAAAGAAAAAGAAAAACCACTTCCAACGAACTGTGGTCCAGCCATTCAATTAACTACTACTTGGTAATAAAAAAAGAGTAACTATTGATACACACAACATGGTTGACTCTCAAATGTATTATGGTAAGAAGCCACACTTAAAAGCCTGCATACTAAAGAATTCCATTTACATGACAATCTGAAAAAGGCAAAACTACAGGGGGGAAAAATCAGTAGTTGTCTGGGGTGGGAAGGAGAGGACTGATTACAAAAGGGCTTGAGGGAACTTTTTGGGGTGACGGAAATGTTCTGTATTTTGGTTGCAGTAGTGGTTACACAACTTGACTTTTTTTTTTTAAGACACGGGATCTTGCTATATTGTCCAGGCTGAAGTGCAGTGGCTATTCACAGGAGTGATCACAGTGTACTACGGCCTCGAACTTCTGGGCTCAAGTGATCCTCCTGCCTCAGTGTCCTGAGCGGATGGTACTACAGGCGCATGCCACCATACCCAGCAAGTTTTTGCAACGCTTTTTTTTTTGAGACGGAGTCTTACTCTGTTGCCCAGTCTGGTGTGCAGTGGCACGATCTCGACTCACTGCAAGCTCTGCTTTCTGGGTTCACGCCATTCTCCTGCCTCAGCCTCCTGAGTAGCTGGGACTACAGGTGCCCACCACCACGCCCGGCTAATTTTTTGCATTTTTAGTAGAGAAGAGGTTTCACCGTGTTAGCCAGGATGGTCTCGATCTCCTGACGTCGTGATCCGCCCGCCTCTGCCTCCCAAAGTGCTGGGATTACAAGCGTGAGCCACCACGCCTGGCCTTTGTCAACAGTTATAGAAAGTAAACCTAAAAAGGGTGACTGGCTCCGTGACGCCTGTCCTTTCATGAATAAAACAGATGTAGTCTCATGTAATACCTCAATAAACTTGAACTTTTAAAAATCAAGAGGCATGTGCCCCACTAGAAAAAAAAAATACAGATTTTTAGCAGAGACATGAGGTCACAAAAGTTTGCCAGGATAGGGAACCCAGGAGGAAGAACAAATTTAGAATAGAATATGAGTTTTGAACTAGAGGTCTAATTTCAAGGTCTCTTCAAGATATCCAGGCAAACCTTGAAAGAGAGCTGAGAAGCCAGATTAGGAGTCATCAGAATGAAGAAAGTTATCGAAGCCAGGAGACTAGATCGGTATCACCAGGGAAGGTGTGACGAAGAGGGAGATGGTCATCCAAAGTCACAACTCCCAGGAATGCCCACACGTATGAAAAAGGCCCACATGTATGAAAAAGGCCCACATGTATGAAAAAGGGAGGACTTCCAGGAAGGGAGGGATGAGCAGTATCACAGCTAACATACACTAAGGCTGACACAGTTCAGTTCTGACCAGGAAGGGCCTGAATGGAAGCAACACGAGAGATCCTCCAATGGGGTGGAAGCAGGGCTGGAGGTACCAAGAATGGGATAAGGAAGTGTGGCCGCCTGCCTTAAGCAACTGTAGGGTCAGGAAGGCAGAAGAGGACAAAGGGCGTATGTCGTGAAGTTCCACTGTGGATAGGCAGGTGGACTTGCTTCATGCCTCAGAGGCTAAGAGGCCGACTACGTACCCTCGAAATGCTCCAAAGAGCCTAGGAGACCCCACTTCCGGGTTCCTACAGGGCTCAGGAAAAGCCCCTACCTGCTTCGAAGGCTGACCGTGAAGCCACAAGGCCCACTTCATACCAGGGAGTACCCCCACTCGCCCCTTCCTCACCTCGGGCCCCCGCCCCGTCTCTTTTTCCCACCCTCATCGTGTCCCCACAACCCCCGGACATCCCTCGGCCCCGCGCCCCTGCGGCAAAGCCACATCTCCCACCGACCCACTGCCCTGAGGCCGAACAGCCGGGGGTCCCTGGCCGGGGGCCCGGCTCTCTCACCATCGCGGGCGCTGGCTGGGCCGGAAAGCGGAAGTACGGAAGTGGCCAGCCCCGCGATGCCTGCCCTTTCGCGAGAAGCGCAGCTACGGTCTCCGCCCGGACTTCCGGACGGTACCATCTATGCTCCGAGCGGGGTAGAGAGCCCTTACGAACGCTTGGGCCTTCCGGAAGTTTTCCACCTAGGGCTGTCTCGGTATTTTTAAATTCTTGCACTCGAGTCACTATTTAAGCTCCTCCAGGAATGGGTGCAGCTTCCCTTTGTGCCTTCGGCCTTCTTGTCACCTTTGCCACAGCCTCCCCCAGGTATGCAATGGTACAGCCCAGCTTCAGATTGGGCACCAAATTAGGACAAGCCGAAGCGGACGAGCCCTTCGTTTCTTCCGGTTCTGTACCCCCATCCTTTCTCTCGCCCCTCCTACCCGCAGCTCCTGGCGCTCGGCGGGGCTAACTGCAGCGCGGAGATCTCGGCCGCCAAGCTCCGCCTCCCGCCCCGGGCTGTGCCCCGGGGCTCGCCTGAGGCCGACCACCCGCACCCCACCTCTAGCGGCTTTGCTCGAGGCCCACCTTCTTCCCACCCCCGGCAAACTCCAGTAGGCTCGCCCTCGCTGACTCCCCGCCCCCGCGTCAACTGCAAGGGGCCCGCCCATAGCCAGTTCCGGGGCGGTTGCTCACATCGACCGGAACTCCCCGCCCCCTCCCGCGGCCCCTGGGGCCGTAGGAGGCCGCAGCGAGGAGGTAGAGGGGGCGGGGGTCGCACTAGGGTGTCCCTAGAGAACGAGGACTCTGAAGGCGGGACATTTGGGCGACCCCCGGGCGGGGCCAGCCATTAAACAGTCCCACTTCTGTGCCAGACACTGAACTGGGCTCTTGACGGGCATCATCTCTTAATCCTCAGAACATCCCAGGGAGGTAGGTACTATTGTTATCCCCATTTTTCAGATTCAGACTTTTAATGGGGAAACAGACCGAGACTTCTTTTGTCCCCATTTTACAGATGGAAAAACTGAGACTGAAAAAGGTCAAATAACATGTTCAGGGGCATATAAGTAGAGAATGGTAAAGCCTGGGCTTGAACCCAGGTCTGTCTGGCTTACCAGCCCACGTTCTAAACCACTGTTAGTGACTAGAGAAGGGAGAAAGGTGGAATAGGGTAAGAAAAGAGGCCAAGAGTCCCAGAGAACATGGTAAGAATGGGGTGCTTGGAACTCAAAGTCTTAGCAGAACCCAAGAGAAATAGAAGGGAAGGAAAGAGCATCAGAAAGGCGAGGCAAGGCATAGCAGTATAGCATGGTGATCAGGGTGCAGACTCAAGACTAGCGGGGTTCAAATTGCATCTTGGAAGCATAGGCACATACCCACCCTTACAGAGTCTCAGTTTCTTTCTCTGTAAAAACGAGATCACAATGGTCCTTGTTCATGGTGCTGAGTGAGAAATTCAGTGAGATAAACTGATAAAGTGCTCTGCACCTAGCTTGGTACCCAGTTAAGTGCCCTGTGAGTAGGAACTGTGCCATCAATTTTGTCAGTAAGGGACTGAAGCTGGGCTTCCTTGAGGCTGTCCCTGGAGGTAAGAAGCCCTTGGGCTTTTCTCAGACCACTTTGTCTCCCATCAATGGCCCTGTCCTCTCCAGCTCCACAGGATCCCCATATCCTGGGCCATGAGTGAGTTGAAAGACTGCCCCTTGCAGTTCCACGACTTCAAGTCTGTGGATCACCTGAAGGTCTGTCCCCGCTACACGGCAGTGCTGGCACGCTCTGAGGATGATGGCATCGGCATCGAGGAGCTGGACACCCTGCAGCTGGAGCTGGAGACCCTGCTGTCTTCTGCCAGCCGGCGCCTGCGTGTGCTTGAGGCCGAAACCCAGGTGATAACCCCAGAGAGGGGCCAGCACCAGAGATGGACTGCAACAAGTTATGGGATGGGTCATTGAGTTAGCCCCATATGCTGAGACTTGGGGTACAGGGGTTTGTGGGGAGAGGGAGAGAGACGCAAACTGGGTTTGCATGACACAAAAAATACACAAGAATATGCATGATCCTCTTAAATTGCAAGATTTCTAATTCAGTAAGCTTTTATTGGCACCCCACTCATCCCCCATTGTGTTCTGGGTCCTATGCTAGTCATTAGAGAAAGGTAATTAGGACAGTTATGGCTGTCAGGGAGCTTGGCAACTAGGAAAGTGAGAAAGTCAAGTACATACCAGGTGATGTGATGTTGTGGTTAGCAGTCCTAGGGAACTGGAATGGGGAAACCTGGATTTGAATCCTGGCATAAGCGCTTGCTAGCATTGCTGTTTCCTAGCTATGTGACTTTGAGAAAGTTGCCTCATATCTCTGAGTGTCAGTTTCCCTATCTGCAAAGTGGGGTGAATAATAGGACCTACCTTAGTGCTTTTGTGAGGATTAAAAGAGAATTTTTTGCAAAAACTCAGCCCAATGCCAGACACTAAGTAAGTACTTCAGATGTTATTTATTTGCTACTCTGATGACTTTATTCACTGCATAAAGATGCCTTGAGCCTTGTGTGCCAGGCGCTATGCTGTATTCTGCAAAATAGAGATGGTTAAGGTGGGCTTTCTGGTCCTCAGTAGCTTATGGTCTAGTTGAAGAGACAAGGTGTGATGGTCATTCCAGTGTGACCAAACAACACGATTGGGTGCACGTTGGAGCTGTGAAGTGCCAGAGACTTGTGGAGGAAGGAGGTGCCAACTGGACCTAAAAGGATGAATGGAATTAACTTGTCCCTGGGAATCCATGGACCCTCCTTGAGGAAGGCTATGACTCAAGTTGTATTTTAGCATCTAAGAACCTGGGTAACTGATTGAGAGAAGGCATCTCAGTAGTGGTGACATCGAAGTGAAGGTTTGCTGAGAGGACTCTTCTGTTAAACAGTATGTGACTGGCATGGGTGATACAGAAGTGAATCAGTATAGATGAACAAGTGAATGAGATTATGAGAAGTATATGAATAAAGTTCTAGGAGGCCAGGCACAGAAAATGAGCTGAATTTTGAAGGATGAGTAAGAGTTTACTAGGTAAAAAGAGGATGGGGAAAGACCCAGGAGCCTCTGTAGATTCTAGATCCTAATTTATTCACTAGAGGAAAGAGATATTCTGTGTTTTCCCTTCTCCCCCTCAGTGACACTTTCTGTAAATTTCAGATCCTCACCGACTGGCAGGATAAGAAAGGTGACAGACGATTCCTGAAGCTGGGTCGAGACCATGAACTTGGAGCTCCCCCCAAACATGGGAAGCCCAAGAAGCAGAAACTGGAAGGGAAGGCAGGACATGGGCCGGGCCCTGGCCCAGGACGGCCCAAATCCAAAAACCTTCAGCCCAAGATCCAGGAATATGAATTCACTGATGACCCTATCGACGTGCCACGGATCCCCAAAAATGATGCCCCCAACAGGTTCTGGGCTAGAGAACATAGAAGGGGGCCTCAAGGTTCTGGTGGTGGAGGCACTGGTGGGGCAGGGGCGCCCACTCAGGATCTGCTTCTCCCTGCAGGTTCTGGGCTTCAGTGGAGCCCTACTGTGCTGACATCACCAGCGAGGAGGTCCGCACACTTGAGGAGTTACTGAAGCCCCCAGAAGATGAGGCTGAGCATTACAAGGTAGAAACTCTGGGCCTTGATAGACATGATGCGGAACAAGAGAGTTCAGAGGTGCCTGAGAAGTAAAGCTACCAAAGCCATGCATCATCTTCCTTCCCCAACCCTGCCCAGTCTGCTGTCTGCTCCATCAGTGCCTCCAGACACCTAGGCCCAAACTCAGCTTTCTCCGTGCACTGCCTCCCCTCTACCCCAGCCAAATGTCAACACGCCCTCAAGCATCTACTTAAGTGAAGTCTGCCCATGTTCCTTTATCCCCATCCCCTCTGCTTTGGTCCAAGCCTTCATCAACTTCTATCCAAACAGCCTCTTAACTCTCTTCCTGTTTCGAGGCCTCTGGAGGAACCTTTCTTCTTTCTTTAAGATATAAAACTTGGGCTGGGAGCAGTGGCTTATGCCTGCAATCCTAGCACTTTGGGAGGCCGGGGCGGGCAGATTGCTTGAGCTCAGGAATTTGAGACCAGCCTGGGCAACATGGTGAAACCCCATCTCTACCAAAATACAAAAAATTAGCCAGGCATGGCGGTGTGCGCCTGTAGTCCCAGCTACTCGGGAGGCTGAGTCAGGAGGATCTCTTGGACCCGGGAGGTGGAAGTTGCAGTGAGCCGAGATCACGCCACTGCACTCCAGCCTGGGCAACAGAGCAAGACTCCGTCTCCAAAAAAAAAAAAAAGATATAAAAGTCACCTCACGCCTGTAATCCCAACACTTTGGGAGGCTGTGGCAGGCAGATCATCTGAGGTCAGGAGTTCAAGACCAGCCTGACCAACATGGTGAAACGCCGTCTCTACTAAAAATACAAAAATTAGCCTGGCACGGTGGCATGCACCTGTAATCCTGGCTACTCGGGAGGCTGAGCCAGGAAAATCACCTGAACTGGGGAGGCATCGGTTGCAATGAGCCAAGATCGTGCCACTGTATTCCAGCCTGGGTGACAGAAGGAGATTCCATCCATTAAAAAAAAAAAAGCCGGGTGCGGTGGCTCAAGCCTGTAATCCCAGCCCTTTGGGAGGCCGAGGCGGGCAGATCACAAGGTCAGGAGATTGAGACCATCCTGGCTAACACGGTGAAACCCCGTCTCTACTAAAAATAGAAAAAATTAGCCGGGCGTGGTGGCGGGCGCCTGTAGTCCCAGCTGCTCGGGAGGCTAAGGCAGGAGAATGGCGTGAACCCGGGAGGCGGAGCTTGCAGTGAGCTGAGATTGTGCCACTGCACTCCAGCCTGGGTGACAGAGCAAGACTCTGTCTCAAAAAAAAAAGAAGATATAAAACTATGTTTTAATGATGAAAATAAATAAAACATGCTCCATTAAAGAAAATTTAGAAAATACAGAAAAATGTTGAGGGAGAATCCTCCCATAGGTGAGCTGTCATGATCAGATGTGCTCATGACATGGCGCTGCATCCAGGCCTTTCTTCCTCCCGTTATCTACAGGATCAAGTCCACGCATCCCAGTCCTTGCTGGCACAGCTCCAGTGCCCCTCTCCATTTTCCTCGGCCATATCCCTCTTCATTGCCGTGTTGACCAGTCCCACCAAGTATCTCGCCCTCATTCCAGGACACCACAGCCTCCTCGCTGGTCTCTGGGCCTCTGGCAAGCTCTTCTCTCCCTCTTGTCTCCTTGACAGACTTGACTCACCCTTCAAGGCCCTGATCTCATGTTACCTCCACCAAAGCACTCTTTCAGATTCCCCAGCAGAAAGTTAGTCAGTCTCTCCTTTGTGCTGCCACAACACTTTGATCTCTCTCTTTCACTTCACTTATCTGATTTCTTAAAAATTTATCTGAAAAAGAGTTCATACAGACAGCAGTAAATTCAAGCAATACAAAAGGTAATTCCCTGTCACCCGTGACCTGAAGGCTCCTAATTCTCTCGAGAGGCAATTGCTGTGACCTGAGACAATCTGTGTACGTATTCTGCACCTTCTATCTTGGGAATTATTTCAGATTGGCTTCTGTGTGTGTGTCTTAGTTCTTTTTGGACCTGTCTCCCTTACTAGAGTGTGAAGTACAGGTTTTATCTTCGTTGTACTTTCTTACCTACACCTGACACTGGGCTTGGCCTTGGACTAGGGACTTGAGAGAGATATAAGATAGGTAAGTGAATGAATGAATGAAGCATGGCTGGCCAGTGCTTACCCACTCAGGGTTGGGTGCCATCTTTTCCACAGATCCCACCCCTGGGGAAGCACTACTCCCAGCGCTGGGCCCAGGAGGACCTGCTGGAGGAGCAGAAGGATGGGGCCCGGGCAGCGGCTGTGGCTGACAAGAAGAAAGGCCTCATGGGGCCACTGACCGAACTGGACACTAAAGGTAGGCCTCTCACCTCCCTGCCAACCCCAGGTCAGGACTTGAATTCCAGAACTTCAGCCCACCTCCCCTCCTTTCCTGTGCCCGCTTAGATGTGGATGCCCTGCTGAAGAAGTCTGAGGCCCAGCATGAACAGCCGGAAGATGGATGCCCCTTTGGTGCCCTGACGCAGCGCCTCCTGCAGGCCCTGGTGGAGGTGAGCAGCCTAACCCAAAAGAGGAACCATATTTACTTTGTGTTTTAATGTGTTATGCTTATTTTTTATCGGAATTTATCATACATTTATTAGGTTGGTGCAAAAATAGGTTGGTGCAAAAGTAAAAACCTGGACTAATATATAGCAAAAGATTGGGAATAATATATAACTTGTGCACCTAATAGAAAAGTGCACAGATCATAAATGTACAGTTTTCACAAATGAGCTTGTATTACCAGCCTGGAGATTACAAAATGAAACATTACTATATCCTAGAAGCCCCTCTCATGCCCCTGTTTTTCTCCAACTTTCCCCAAAGGTAGCCTTACTCCACAATTACTTTTGCTAAGCATCTGTTGGAGGGGCTTTATACACATCCTCCCACTGGAGGCCAGGACAGTGGTTAACGCTGTGTTACAGATAAGAAGATTGAGGCTCAGAAAAGGGAACTGTTCACTTGAGGTCTCACACACCAGGATTCAAACCCTAGCTTCAGGGGCCCTGTCTTTATACCTGCTGGTTGACCTTAGACACACCCTCACACTCTTTCACCTCATTGAGACTCAGTTTTCTATTCTGGCTCAAACACAAGAGTTTATCTCATGGAACAGTCTGGGTACATGTTGCAGGTTATCTAAGGTAGGGGAAGGGGCAGGTCTCTATCTCATATCATCAGACAGGGACCCCAGCTGACGGTGGCCTTGCAGTCTGCACAAGGTCACTCTGGGCGTAATTGTCACTCCAGTCCCACAGAATAAGAGCAAGGAGGCCGGGCGCGGTGGCTCACGCCTGTAATCCCAGCACTTTGGGAGGCTGAGGCGGGCGGATCACAAGGTCAGGAGATCGAGACCATCCTGGCTAACATGATGAAACCCCGTCTCTACTAAAAATACAAAAAAATTAGCCGGGCATAGTGGCAGGCGCCTGTAGTCCCAACTACTTGGGAGGCTGAGGCAGGAGAATGGCATGAACCCAGGAGGCGGAGCTTGCAGTAAGCCGAAATTGTGCCACTGCACTCCACAGCCTGGGTGACAAAGTGAGACTCCATCTCAAAAAAAAAAAACAAAACAAAACAAGGAGGAGTGTGTGAAGGAAACTTTTTGGCCCATGCCTAGCTATGGCTCTTATCTCTTCTGATCACTTTCCCCTGGAGAGAACTTGTCACATGACCATACCCGCCTGCAAGAGAGCCTGGGAAGTACAACTGGACAGGCATTGCCTAGCTGCCGTGGAGGAAAGAAGAGTATGGCATTCGGACAGCTAGCATCTCCGCCACAGCAGGCCTAGCACACTGCCTGGTGCGTTGCAGACGCTTCACAAACCTTAGCTGTTCATTACCATCATTGAGTGTTAATCATTTCTCTTCTGTGTTCCTTTTTCTTCACATCAGTACGAAAATAAAAGGGATTTCTAGAATGATCAAAGCAATTTGGGATTGGTATGGGAAGGCTTCCCACGGTAGGTGGGATGGGAAAGATAAAAGGATATTTCTGGTGTTTGAAGACTGTCAGTGTAGGTCAGAAAGGAGCAGGAAAGTGGAACAGCTATTTTTCCTTCCACTCATTTTTGTGGTCTTCTAGGAAAATATTATTTCCCCTATGGAGGATTCTCCTATTCCTGACATGTCTGGGAAAGAATCAGGGGCTGACGGGGCAAGCACCTCCCCTCGCAATCAGAACAAGCCCTTCAGGTGAGTGGTGTCCTATCCACAACCCACAGTCTGGCCCCCGCTTCTGTTGGCTTCTCTCCATCTCAACCTGGGGAAGTCCTCATCAGTAAGAGGCTGGGGGCAGTTAGGTGAAGCCTAATAGCAGTCTCAAGTGTGAGTGATGACCCAGCGTGTCTGCATGCACAGACTGAGTGCAGGGTTGTTCAGCACAGAACTGTTCATACCATAAATAACCCAAATGTCCTGCTGAAGGGGAATGGTTGGCTAAATTGGCATAACTCCATATGATGAAATAACTTGGGGCTATTAATCATATAGCTGCAAGTATAGAGAAATATAGTTAAATGACATGAAAAGATGTAAATTATAGAGTGACAAGTGGAGAAAATATTAGTTGTAGCCCAGTATGGATGGTATAATACTATTTTTACTTAAAATATATTTCTTTTTTTCTTTTTCTTTTTTTTTTTTTGAGATGGAGTCTCGCTCTTGTCGTTTAGGTTGGAGCGCAATGGCGCAATCTTGGCTCACTGCAACCTCCGCCTCCCAGGTTCAAGCGATTCTCCTGCCTCAGCCACCAAGTAGCTGTGATTACAGGCGCCTGCCACCATGTATGGCTCATTTTTGTATTTTTAGTAGAGACGGGGTTTCACCATCTTGGCCGGGCTGGTCTTGAACTCCTGACCTCAGGTGATCCTCCCACCTCGGCCTTCCAAAGTGCTGGGATTACAGGTGTGAGCCACCATGCCTGGCTTACTTACAATATATTTAAATATGTGCACATAAGGGAAAAAACCTGGACTAATATGTAGCAAAAGATTAGGAATAATATATAACAAAATCTGGAATATATATAATAATATATAACAAAATAATAGTAATTCTCTCTGGGTTGTTGGCATTATGGGTTTTTCCATATTTTTTGAATAGTAGATACATACGTTGCTTGTTTTAAAAACCAGACCAGATGTGTCTGTCCCTCCCTTTGTATCTGGATAGATACAGAGGGGGTGCCCAAAGGGAAAGGCAGGTTTTCACTGACCTTGGGAAGCCCTGGGAACCTCCAAGGTGGGCCCTTCTCCAAGCTGGCTCTTGAGTCTGACGGGCCTGCCTCCCGCTGCAGTGTGCCGCATACTAAGTCCCTGGAGAGCCGCATCAAGGAGGAGCTAATTGCCCAGGGCCTTTTGGAGTCTGAGGACCGCCCCGCAGAGGACTCCGAGGATGAGGTCCTTGCTGAGCTTCGCAAACGGCAGGCTGAGCTGAAGGCACTTAGTGCCCACAACCGCACCAAGAAGCACGACCTGCTGAGGTGAGCGTTAGCAGGATGCACAGTCCCGGGGGTGGCCTTGGAGGCTGTGGCCACGGCTAGTCACCTTTCAGGGGTTTTACAACAGGCTTTCCAATCCTGGCTGGCCTCTAAATCACCTGGAGAGCCTCGAAAAAAACAGCAGTGGCCAGTCCACCGGGTATGTCCCAAACAAATTCTGATTCCACAGAGTGGGGCTCAGGCATCTGTGACTGACCGATTGATTTGATTTGTTTTTGTTTTGTTTTTTTTTGAGAGGGAGTCTCGCACTGTCACCCAGGCTGGAGTGCAGTGGCATGATCTCGGCTCACTGCAAGCTCCGCCTCCCAGGTTCATGCCATTCTCCTGCCTCAGCCTCCTGAGTAGCTGATACTACAGGCACCCACCACCACGCCCAGCTAATTTTTTTGTATTTTTAGTAGAGACGGGGTTTCACCGTGTTAGCCAGGATGGTCTCGATCTCCTGACCTCGTGATCCACCCGCCTCGGCCTCCCAAAGTGCCGGGATTACAGGCGTGAGCCACTGCGCCTGGCCTAGTTTGGTTTTTTAATTATGGTAAAGGCATAATATAAAATGTATCTCCATGGGAGGCTGAGGCAGGAGAATCAGTTGAACCTGGGAGGCGGAGGTTGCAGTGAGCTGAGACTGCACCATTGCATTCCAGCCTGGGCAACAAGAGTGAAACTGCATCTCAAAAAAAAAAAGAAAAAAAATTTACGCTTCTTAACCATTTTTAAGTGTACAGTTTAGTAGTGTTACCCATATTCACATTGTTGTGTGATTTATTTTTTGTCTTTTCATGCTTCTTTTCTTTTTATCCCCAAAGTTTTGTTATTAAAAATTTGATACACACAGAAAATCTGAAAGAATCATACAATAAACATCAGTATATTCTCCACCTAGACTAATTAACTGTTAACATTTTGTTGGAGATCTGTGATTTTTATTTGCTCATCACAAGAAATTGACCAGTGTTTTAGGACATGTTCTTTTGGGAATCCATCACAGTGCCTGCCATTCATTTGATGTCAACTCCCATCCATCTTGTTCTGCATTGATCACGAGGGTATAGGTGACATCTTGAGGAAGACTGTGGAATAGCTACCCTTTAGGTAAAGAGATAGGGAAGCAACCCGAACAAGTCTCTTTGCTTCTCACAGACAAGTGCTGTGTCTTAACTTCATAGAGCCCTGACAGGACAGGGCACATTCATTCATTTGGCCTTTTTTTTTTTTTTTTGAGACGGTGTCTCACTCTGTTGCCCAGGCTGGAGTGCAGTGCCATGATCTCGGCTCACTGCAACCTCCGCCTCCCGGGTTCAGGCAGTTCTCCTGCCTCAGCCTCCTGAGTAGTTGGGATTACAGGCATGCACTACCATGCCAGGCTAATCATTTGGCCATTCTTACTGTCTCTTAGATATTGTGCTGGGGGCCAGCAAGAGAGGCAGAGCAAGGGACTTGCAGATTACTAGCAGATGATCAGTAAAGATAAGTGCCATTAAAAGGAGAGGTAGTTGCTGACAAGCTGCCAGGGTATTTAAGGATAAGAGTGACTAATGTATGCTGAGGGCCTACTGTGTGTCAGGGGCTTTATGTACACTCTCTCAAGTGTCTTGACAACAACCCAGGAGGGAGGAGCTATTTTCGTTGTTTACCAGATGAGGAAATAAAGGCCCAGTGAAGCGAAATGCTCTGCTGAAGGTCACACAGTCAATAAACAGCAAGCTGAGACTTGAACCTGTGGTTGAATCAAAGCCTCTTTCTATAATAGTTTGTTTTCTCTGAAAGGTGAGAAGAAGAAAACACAGATGGAAGAGGCACTGAGGGAAGCAGAGGGAGAGAGAGGAAGAGAGAGAAAAGCAGGCATGTGCAGTTACAGAAGTAGTGGGCCCTAGCTGGGCCTGGTGGCTCATGCCTGTAATCCCAGCACTTTGGGAGACTGAGGTGGGAGGCTTGTTTGAGCTCAGGAGTTCGAAACTAGCCTGGGCAATGTAGTCAGACCCCCTTCTCTACTAAAAATTTTTAAAAATCAGCTAGGCATGGTGGCACATGCCTATAGTCCTACTCAGGAGGCTGATGTGGGAGGATTGCTTGATCCTGGGAGGTAGAGGCTGCAGTGAGCTTGATCAGGCCACTGTACTCCAGCCTGGGTGACAGAGTGAGACCTGTCTCAAAAAAAAAAAAAAAAAAAAAAAAAGAAGTAATGGGCAATGAAGAAATGGCTTGCAGCTCTCAGGAAACCAGAGCACAGCCCTTACCCTGCTGCAGAGCAGCTGCAAGGCCTTAAGCAGCCCCTGACCTGAGCATCTCCTTCCCCTTCTGGAAAACTGGCAGGCTGGACTCAATCACTAAGTGACCTTCCAGCTCCACCATCGATGAAATGTATAAATCAGACCCTGTTCAGAGAGATTGATCTGGTGTCTCACCCACCTCCTGTCAGCCTCAGGCTGCCTAGACCTTAGGGGGCTCTGGAATGCAGATGCCGACGTAAGCAGGCCTTCTGCTGGCACCGGAACACCTGAAACAACAGTGTTTAAAAACAAGAGTTTGGCCCCAGCCTGCTCCAGATCTCCCCCTCACTAACTGTGGGATCCTGGGATCATCTTTGAGCCTCATTTTCCTCACGGGTAACATATGAATAATAGTACATATTTTGCAGGGTTGTTAGGATTAACTGAAAGACAGAGAGAGAGAGTGGGTGTGCCTGTGTGTGTGTGTTTGTGTGTGTGTATGTATATATATATATATTTTAGAGACAGGGTCTTACTCTGTTGCCGAGGTTGGTCTCAACTCCTGGCTTCAAGTGATCTTCCTGCCTCCATCTCCCAAAGCGCTGGGATTACAGGCATGAGCTACTTTGCCCAGCCTACTGTGTATATTTTTAAGACCTTTTTTTTTTTGAAGACACAGTCACGCTCTGTTGCCCAGACTGGAGTGTAGTGGCATGATCATAGTTCACTGTAACCTTGAACTCCTGGCCTCAAGCAATCCTCAGCTCCCTTGGAGTTGGGACTACAGGTGTGCACTACCACACCCAGCTAATTTTTTAAATTTTTTGTAGAGACAGTCTCACTATGTTGCTCAGACTGGTCTCGAACTCCTGGGCTCAAGTGATCCTTCTGCCTTGGGCTCCCAAAGTGCTGGGACTGCAGATGTGAACCCCCATGTGCAGCCAAGACTTTATTCTTCTAGAGCAGTTTTAAGTTCACAACAAAATTGAGAGAAAGGTACAGAGAATTCCCGTATCTCCCTGTCCCCACATGTGCACAGCCTCCCCCGTGATCAACATGAGTTAATATTTTTCAGGAGCTTAAGATAGTGCCATGTAAGTGTAGGTCAGTAACTGCTTTTTGGTCACGACTGTATGACACAATCCACAGGCATGCCAGCCTGGGCTGGTGGGTAGGCTCGGTCTTGAAGAGGGAGGGGTTGTTCTCTGGAGGTGGGCTGACCCTGGCACCTGGCTGGCTGGTCCCCACAGGCTGGCAAAGGAGGAGGTGAGCCGGCAGGAGCTGAGGCAGCGGGTGCGCATGGCTGACAACGAGGTCATGGACGCCTTTCGCAAGATCATGGCTGCCCGGCAGAAGAAGCGGACTCCCACCAAGAAAGAAAAGGACCAGGCCTGGAAGACTCTGAAGGAGCGTGAGAGCATCCTGAAGCTGCTGGATGGGTAGCCCTCACCCCTGCCTCAGGCTGATTATCTGGCCTAGGGGAGGGGAAGGGAGGCCCACTTCCTTCTTTGGGCACAGGAAACATTGGCCTGTGGCTGTCCCTCAAATGGCGGCAGTCTCTAGAGGGCCGTGGCCCTTCCCCTGAGGTCTTTTGGCCTAGCTCTGTACAACCAGGACACAGGAAGCCCTGCTGGGCTAGCCTGAGGCCTAGTCTCTGCTTGGTCCCCGAGATGGGGTTGGAGGGGACTTCGTTTCTGGGTCTTCCTCTTCCCCTCTTTACCATCCCCCACTCCCTAATCCCCTACCCCTGTCTCCCCTTCAAGGACTTCTCCCTTGTGGTTTTGTAAAGTGCAAACTTAAGAATAAAGTGACTGCTGTGGTTTTTCAAAAAAAGCATCCAGTCTTTGAATGTCTGTTACAGTGGGGAGGAAGGAACCAGTGTGGGTGGTAAGGTTTGTGGGGGGTATGCTTGGTGGCTCTCAGCCCATGGCCACTAACCCATGGCATTCAGTCAGGGAGAACTTTCTGAGTACCTCTTTCTGAGGATACTTGTGGCTGCACGTAACAATGCCCCCCCAGCTCAAAGTGGATTCACAGTAAGGAAATGTGTTGGCTGCAGGATGGGCAGTCCTGGGACAGAGTGGCCTTCACGGTTAGCCAATCTAGCAATTCTTCAGGGTCATCAAGGGTCCAGGTTTCTTTTTTTTTTAATTTAAGTTCTAGGGTACATGTGTACAACGTGCAGGTTTGTTACATATGTATACATGTGCCATGTTGGTGTGCTGCACCCATTAACTCGTCATTTACATTAGGTATATCTCCTAATGCTTTCCCTCCCCCCTCCCCCAAGGGTCCAGGTTTCTTAGGGGTCACCACACTGCCCTCCACAGTGTCGACCTCTGCCTAAGGTGAGTCCTTCTCTGGCTGTAGTGTGGCAGTGGAGCAGTTGGGGCCAGATGCTTCCTCATTTACATCCAGCACAGGAGGGAGCCGGAGCCAGCGGGCTTCCATGGCCCATCTACAGAAGCAAGAAGCCTTTTCCCAGATACCATCATGTTTCAGTGGCCCAAACTCAGTCTCACATGCCCATTCCTCAGTCACTGTGGCAAAGGAGACTGTAATGGCTTTATGCCAGTCAGAGTGGAGTTTGCTACTCCATCAAGGTGGTGGAGAGAGAGTAAAACCCAACAAGATCTGAGTAGGAAACAGGGAAGTGAGTGCTAGATAGACCACCGACAACGTCTCTTCCACAGCTGGGGCAGGAAGCTTGGCCTAAGGGACACAGATGAATAAATATGCTCTGGTACCTGCCTCAAGTTGTTCCCAGACTGGTCTGAGAGAATCAGGGAATAATTTGCAATTTACTGTGGGAAGGTTGAGGTCCACGCAGGAGAGAAGGGAGGGTAAGATTCCCTAAGGAAGTGACCTATGAACTGAGCCATAAAGAAGGAGGGCGAACATGGCCAACATTCTCGTATACCCAGCACCTCTCTGTTGGAGAAATGTTCCTTCCCCATCACACATGGTTCTTGTCCAACTGCCAAACTAGGGTGCACACATGACCCCAGCTTGGCCAGTCAAGTGCCAATCCCTCTAGCCACAATGATTAGTCCCAGAAGCAGGCATGTAACCCAAGCTGGGTCACTCGAGGCCCTCCATAAGATTGCTCTGTGGATGCTGAGAGGAGAGTTCCACTTCTTGTTGGACCATAAGCCATAGACTATAAACTCAGTCTACCCCAGTGACCTGCTCTCCTCCCATGGGGAAAAACCTGCTTGAGAATAAAGCCAGCTCAGAAAAGCAGAGCCAGGAGATGGAGAAGTGCTGCATCCAGCTATTCTTGAAGCCACCGGATCCTCCCTTAGACTTCCCACATATATCAGCCCACAAAGGCTTCTTTTGGCTTAAACTAGTTTGCTTTAGAGTTTTGTGATTTGTAACTAAAAAAGGCCTATTACAAGTGAATTTTGGCAAAAAGAAAGATGAAGTAGGATCCTGAGAGAGAGGACAGCATGAGGCCCTGCCTCCCACTAGGTGCTGGGCCAAGCTGCTGCAATTTCTCAGTGACTCATTGTCCCCAGGTTGCTCACAGCCTTCTCAGAGAGAAAAGACACCCACACATGCAATGATGAGAAACCAACTCTAATCATAATGATAATGCAATGAAGGGCTCAGTAAATGTTAGTATGCACCAGGCATTGTTCTGAACTCATTCAACTACCTAATATTATGGGGTAGGTATCAGCTACCCCATAATAACATCCCATTTACAGATGAGGAAACTGAGGCTTAGGAGGTTACATACCTTGCTTTGTCAAGCAATTGAGTGGTTGAGCCAACATTCAAACTCAGGCCATTTGGCTTACAGAGAGAGCCTCTTCATTACAACTCACTGGGGCCCCACTCCCATTACAGTGTATGTGAATGGTACTCCCTATACTTGGGCAGTGCCCAACCTGTGCAGCCATATATGGCAGCTCTGCTTGAAGACCCCCCTCCTCTTAACCACTCACTTCCATGTTCACTGGGCCACACCATAAGTATGGTGGGCGTTGTTGGTAGAGAGTTCCAAGAACAGAGACAGTTTTGTGGAGGAGGTGGGATGAGAGCTGACATCCCAAAATTGGATGGAATTGTGAAAGAAGGAAGACAGATATAAATAGAAAGAAGAACCCTAGAAGACCGACTGGGCCTGGTTCACCAGAGAAGAAACTTAACTTTCAAGGATCAGTCATGAGCACTCTAGCTGTTCTCTGTTGCATACCTACTATCTGCCTGGCACTGTGCCAGGCCCTTTACCCACCCCTCCTATCTGATGCTTACCATGCACCTCCAAGGAGAGTAATATTCCAGCCTGCAGATGACACAGAGACTCAAAGAGATGCTGTGCCTTGCTGAGGCCATGCAGCCTTGATGCAGGAATAGTTGCTGCCCCCAGGTAGCACCATCCCTGGCAGAGTTCTTACAATCATATCAGTGTCTGCTGGAGCCAAAAGATGCCTCCTTTATGAGTGTGGAGGAAGCTGGGTTGTCATGAGGAGGGCGGATTAGTTCCAGTACCTCAAGTCTCCAAATTTAATTCAAAACAATTCTGATTCCTTATCACTAGTTTGGAGGCAAAGCCTTTTGTGTCTTGGCCCTAGAAAGCATCTGTCTTGCACATCATGGTCTCCCCAGAGTTCCAAATGCCTTACAGCTGACTTTCAGCAACACCAGGGTGAGTGAGAACGGGGAGGGTGAGCTCTGACCCACAGTGGGTCCCCAGCCCCTGTCTGCTCCTGAGTACTCTGGGCACCAAGTGCTCTGGGTCCCAGTTGGCTCCTGCTGAAAAGAAAGTGATGGCAGGAGCTTTGTGGAAATGTGGTCGGGGAGTAAATTTATTTCTTGGCCTGGGGCTCAGGACTCAATGGAAAGAACCAAGTCCAGTGGACTGTAACTCACTCGTTTAGGTATCAATAAACTCCCCATTTCTTCTCTTCACCTACCTAATTACCCTATTCACTTATTCACTCCATCCACACACCTCCACTTCTTCATTATACTTTTGTTCCCTCATTCAGTGACCCTGTCACCATGGCTGAGAGCTATGGAGGTGACTAAGGCTCCAGAAATGGGGACACACTAGACAGACAATCAAAACACTAGGCCGCAAGAGCAATAAGAAGACTGCAGGCCGGGCACGGTGGCTCACGCCTGTAATCCCAGCACTTTGGGAGGCCGAGGCGGGCGGATCACGAGGTCAGGAGATCGAGACTATCCTGGCTAACATGGTGAAACCCCTTCGCTACTAAAAATACAACAAATTAGCCGGGCGTGGTGGCGGGCACCTGTAGTCCCAGCTACTCAGGAGGCTGAGGCAGGAGCATGGCGTGAACCCGGGAGGCGGAGCTTGCAGTGAGCCGAGATCGCGCCACTGCACTCCAGCCTGGGTAACAGAGCGAGACTTCATCTCAAAAAAAAAAAAAAAAAAAGAAAAGAAAAAAGAAAAAAGAAGACTGTGCAAAGTTGGCAGGGACCTGGGGCAGAGAAAGACTTAACAACAGCTTAGAGGGTCAGGAAAGGCTTCAGGGAGGATGTGGAAAGAAAATTGCTGGGCAGAAGATAACATTCCAGACAAAAGGAGCAAGGCACAGAGGTGTGAACAGCTGGCCTGCTTAGAGAGAAGTAAGAACTGCAGTGTGACTGGAGCCCTGGGTGTGTGGAGGGGAAAGGAAAGGATAAGAGATGAAGCTAGAAAGTAGGTTGAAGACCAGGCTGGGCAAGGGTTTGAATGGCAGATTAAGGAGCATGGACTTTATTCTCTAGACAATGGTGCTCCAAGTGTGGTCCCTGGACTGCCAGCAACAGCATCACTTAGGAAATTGATAAAAATGCAAATTCTCAGGCCACAGACCTACTGAATCAACAGCTCTGGGTGTATAGTCAGGCGCCGTGGCTCACACCTGTAATCCCAGCACTTTGGGAGGCCAAGGAAGGCGGATCATCTGAGGTCAGGAGTTCAAGACCAGCCTGGCCAATATGGTGAAACCCTGTCTCTACTAAAAATACAAAACGTAGCCAGGCATGGTGGCACGCACCTGTAATCCCAGCTACTTGGGAGGCTGAGGCAGGAGAATTGCTTGAACCTGGAAGGTGGAGGTTACAGTGAGCAGAGATCACACCACTGCACTCAAGCCTGGGCGACAGAGTGAGACTGTCTCAAAAAAAAAAAAAAACCTCTGGGTATGGGGCATAGCCTTACATTATATATAACATGCCTTCTAGGTGATTCCTGGTGCATATTAAAGTTTGAGAATCACATTCTGAAGTAACAGGGAGCCACTGGTGGTTTGTGAGCAGAAAGCACTCTCAGAGCAGCATAGAGGCTGGACTAATGAGAGGGAGTGAGGGTGAAGTTGGTGCAAAGAAATACAAGTGAGATGTGGAATGTGGCAGACTGGTAGATGTCCTCCAAAATCTGTTTCAGTAATATCTCATGTGGAAACTGGAATCATACATTGAAAATACTCTCCATACATTTGATAGCAAATGGAAATTAAGTTTCACATGGTGATTTCTTATCAAAACCTTTAATCAAAAGCTCAGGGCATATTGTTTTTTGTTTTTTTGGGGTTTTTTTTTGAGACAGGGTCTTGCTCTGTTGCCCAGGCTGGAGTGCAGTGGCATAATCTAAATCACTGCAACCTCAGCCTCCCAGGTTCAAGTGATTCTCCTGCCTCAACCTCCCGAGTAGCTGGGGTTACAGGCGTGTGCCACCACGCCCAGCTAATTTTTGTATTTTTAGTAGAGACAGGGTCTCACCATGTTGGTGAGAACTCCTGGGCTCAAGTGATCCTCCTGCCTCGGCCTCCCAAAGTGCTGGGATTATAGGCATGAGCCCAGCCAAAAAAAAAAAAAAAATTACTCAAACATCTTGGAGCATATAGCCTTGTCCTAATTTAGGATTACTTCTCTGAAATTGATTGCCAGAAGAGGAGTCCCTGAATCAAAAGGCCTCGACATTATTTAAGCCTTTGATGCATATTGCCAAATTGCTTTCCAAAGGATCTTTAGCAAATCATTTTCCCACCAGAATGTAGGACTACTCATTCCTCACATCAACATCAGCCTTCAGTGTTACCAGCTTTTTAAACTTCAAATTTGAAAGGCTGCAAATGACCTTCTATTTTGTACTTTTTTGTATCACTAGTGAGATACAAAATGTCCTGTGTTTACTGTGTTTTATCTGTATCCTTTGACCATTTATTAGGTTCTTACTGTTTGTTATCAATCCTGTGTGCTGTTTATATAATAAATATATTAAGCCATTGTCTACAAAACATTTCCCCAGTCTGAAGTTTGCCTTTCATTTTTGGCTACCATTTCGGAGTAGAGTAGGGTTTTCACTTTTTGAAAAAAAGTTAAAAAAAAGTAACAAAAGTTAAAGTTTTGTTTTTTTTTTTTTTTTTTTTGAGACAGAGTCTGGCTCTGTCATTCTGGCTGGAGTGCAATGGTGCAATCTCAGCTCAATGCAGTCTCCGCCTACCAGGTTCAAGTGATTCTCCTGCATCAGCCTCCCGAGTAGCTGGGACTACAGGCATGCGCCACCACACCTGGCTAATTTTTGTATTTTTAGTAGAGATGGGGTTTCACTATGTTGCCCAGGCTGGTCTTGAACTCCTGACCTCAGGTGATCCTTCTGCCTTGGCCTCCCAAAGTGCTGGGATTCAGGAGTGAGTCACCACGCCCAGCCAAAGAATTTTAAAAAATAAACCTGTCCATCTTTTCCTTGTTATTTCTTCCATTTTCTCTAATCTTAGTTAACTACTCACTCTTTCAATAGCTTCTTTTCTGTCAGGTTCAAGAATTCATGGAGGCCAGCCATACTGGCTCACGCCTATAATCCCGGCACTCTGGGAGACCCAAGCAGGAGGATCACTTGATTCCAGAGTTCCAGAGAAGTCTGGGCAACAGAGGGAGTAGAGACCCGATATCTACAAAAAATAAAAAACTAAAAAAAATTAGCCAGGTATGGTGGTACACACCTGCAGCCCCAGCTACTCCGGAGGCTGAGGTGGGATGATCACTCCAGCCTGGGAAGTCAAGGCTGCAGTGAGCCATGATGGCGCCGCTGCACCACAGCCTGGGTGACAGAGTGAGGCCCTGTCTCAAAAAAATAATAAATAAATAAATAAATAAAAGAATTGATGGAGATGTCTGCACTGTTTAGCCATTCAAAAAAAAAAAAAAGAAGAAAAGATCATCCCCCTTTTCCCTGAGAACATTTGACTTTCCTTGACTCACCTTTTTTTAAATTATTATTCATTTATTTATTTTTGAGACGGAGTCTCGCTCTGTCGCCCAGGCTGGAGTGCAGTGGCGCGTGGTCTCTGCTCACTGCAAGCTCTGCCTCCCGGGTCCACGCCATTCTCCTGCCTCAGCCTCCTGATTAGCTGGGACTACAGGCGCCCGCCACCACGCCTGGCTAATTTTTTGTATCTTTAGTAGAAATACAAAAGATAACAGGGTTTCACCATGTTAGCCAGGATGGTCTCGATCTCCTGACCTCATGATCCACCCGCCTCAGCCTCCCAAGGTGCTGGAATTATAGGCGTTAGCCACCGCACCCAGCCACTTTTTTTTTTTTTTTTTGAGATGTAGTCTTGCCGTGTCACCCAGGCTGGAGTACAATGGTGCAATCTCAGCTCACTGCAACTTCCATCTCCTGGGTTCAAGCAATTCTCCTGCCTCAGCGTCCCAAGTGGCTGGGGATACAGGTGCATGCCACCACACCCAGCTAATTTTTGTATTTTTAGTAGAGACAGGGTTTCACCACGTTGGCCAGGCTGGTCTTAAACTCCTGACCTCAGATGATCTGCCCACCTTGGCCTCCCCACGCCTGGCCCTTCACTCACTTTTTGATTAGTACTTTGAAATGTGCTCATCGGGACTGGGGGCTGCAGAAGGATGTATATGTATACGCATCCAAAAAATCTGGAAGAATTGTACTAAAAATGTGAACACTGGTTGTCTCTGGTTGGTGGGGGCCCGGCTGAGAGTGTTGTGTTATTCTTGCCTCCCTCGCACCCCTAATTCCTTTGGACAAGATACCTCTTCCATTCCTTATGGCTGCCCATTACAGTACACTTGCTCAATATAGCACCCTAATTCTCCTGGCAACAGTTTTGGAGGCCAAGGGGTGAACATGTCACTCTATCACTCAAGCAGAGCCAGAGTCCTTCCCTGAGAATGAGATAGGAAATTGGGAGGATGCTTTCCTTCCACTGTGTTTAATTGGAAAGCTGGGGCTGCCTCACTCCATGTTTCCTGCCAACTAGAAGTTCACTCTGGAGAGAAAAAGAGGCCAACGTGTGAAGAAAAATCAAGACAAGGAGAGAGGAGGGAAGACAGAGAAAGCAAATCCTATGAGTACTACATCTCCAGTTCCAGTCTCCAAGCCCCTAATCTCTGGTGTTTTTCCTGCAATCTTGTGCCAGCTATTGTGAACTATAGATTCCTCTTGGATGAAGCTGGTTTAGGTTGGCATTCTGTCACTTGGGAAGCGAAAGAATCTCATCAGTTAGTCTGTGTGTGTTTTCAATACATTATGGAATTTTCCTGCAATGACCATGTATCACTTGTTCAATAGAAATACTAAGAAAGTAAAGATAATGTGTTTGTTAAAGAAAAGAAAACACGAGGCCTCTCAGAAATGCTCAAAAGCAGGAAAAATGTAAAGCACACCATAGAAGCTGTACAAGTCAGCTGGGCGCGGTAGCTCATGCCTGTAATTCCAGCACTTTGGGAGGCTGAGGCAGGTGGATCACCTGAGGTCAGGAGTTCGAGACCAGCCTGACCAACATGGTGAAACCCCCATCTCTACTAAAAATACAAAAATTAGTTGGGCGTGTTGGTTCACGCCTGTAGTCCCAGATACTTGGGAGGCTGAGGCAGGAGAATTGCTTGAACCCAGGAGGCGGAGGTTGCAGTGAGGCGAGATGGCACCATTGCACTCCAGCCTGGGCAACAGAGGGAGACTGTCTCAAAAAAAAAAAAAAAAAAAAAAAAAAGAAGTTGTACAAGTCCTCGAAAGGACAGAGGTCATCTTATCACCCAGGGGGTGTTGTCATCAAGATGAACAGGAATTTGTGGTAAAAGAACCCCTAGCTCAGTGGGTGTGCTTGGTGGGTATAGGGGAGAGTGGGGGCTCAGCCCTGAGCAGGAAATGTATTTTTCCATGAACTAAGGAGTCTGAGATACTGAGATTTGGAAGATGGATCCCTTAACCCCTCATCCCTGGCCAAATCAAGTCCTCTCTCTGAGTCTCAGTTTACACTGAGTCTAGCTCTCATGTTTTGAATAGTGTTCTAGGCACTTCATATCATTATATCATAGAATTCTCAGAACTCTGAGTCAATCTTCAATATTCCCATGTTCCCGAGTAAGAAACTGAGGTTCGGAGAGGTAAAGCATGACCAGGATCAGTTAGACTCCAAAGCCTTTCCAGGAACCTCAGCTATCTTCCTCTCTCATCTGTAAGATGGGCATAATAAATTGGCCAGGTGCAGTGGCTCATGCCTGTAATTCCAGAACCTTGGGAAGCTGATTGGGGAGGATTGCTTGAGCCCAGGAGTTTGAGACCAGCCTGGGCAATATAGTGAGATCCCCATCTCTACAAAAAATAAAAAAGCCAGGTGTGGTGGCACGCACCTGTAGTCCCATCTACATGGGAGGCTGAGGTAGGAAGATGACTTGAGCCCAGGAGTTTGAGGCTGCAGTGGGCCGTGATCATGCCATTGCACTCCAGCCTGGGTGACAGAGCAAGACCCTGTCTTAAAAAAAAAAGAAAAAGAAAAAAAGAAGAAGAGAAAGAAAGAAAAAAGAAAGAAAGAAAGAGAAAAAGGAAATGAGCTGGGCATAAGCACTGTTCTCTCCCCATCACCAGCTGGAACATGCAAGAATTCAGGAGTAGGGAGTGGCACTTGGAGGCCCTTGGAGGTGGAGTGGGGTCCCAAGCAACGTGCCTCCTCCGGCTGCCCCCAGTTCAGCCCCATCCCCAATTCCTGCGAGTTGCTCCCCCCGCCCCCTCTTTCCACTCGGCACCAAATTTCTTCCCAAGGAAGGCCTTGAGCAAACCGACCTTTGGCCTCTTGCCTGCCGTCCTAGTTGCAGGCTCTCTCCCCTAACCTGGACCCCAGCCATCAAACTCTGGAGCCCCGCCAGTCACGTGACACCTCGGTCCTTTTTGGCCTGTTTCCTTCAGGATCCCGATTTAACTTCCTCCTCCCCAATTCCCTCTGCCCCCAATACCTCTAGGCACCACCACCCGCTCTGAGGAGCAAGTGTCTGGGGCTGAAGCCTCAGCTCCATCTTGCAGAGGAA
The DNA here is from genome assembly GCF_000001405.40 of Homo sapiens. Lineage (NCBI taxonomy): Eukaryota > Metazoa > Chordata > Mammalia > Primates > Hominidae > Homo > Homo sapiens. The sequence goes on along the minus strand of NC_000003.12, from coordinate 9,770,498 downwards.
CCGGGGCCTCAGTCTTCCCACCTGTCAAGTGGGGCCCACACCCTGCGACCACCTCCACTCTCTTCATTGCCTAGTCTTGCCCGGTCCTTCCCCACTCCCTCACTCCCCCATCCCCCACCAGACTCCCGTGCAGTTCCAGGGCCTGTTTCCCTTCAGGGCACGGAGAAGGGAGACAGAGCCCTAAGGGAGGTCGCAGAACTGGTCTGAAAGAAAATCCACCAGGCCACAGGGTGAGTTTGGCCGGCCTCTAGCTTCAGACAGACGGGGTTCGAATCCTGCTTTGCTTCCGACCACCCGCTGATTTGAAAATCATCTCTCCGGGCCTCAGTTGTCCCCTCTGTGAAATGGACCCCGCTTAAGACCAAGGGCGGGAAGCGTCCAGCAGGAGATCTCTGACCAGAAGCAGGGAGATGGCCTCCACCCGTGCCCCTTCCCCAGCCTTGGAGCGGTGCCTCGCCTCCCAATCCCGGGTCCCTCCGCCGCAGGCTCCACCTCCACTGACATCAGAGCCGCAGGCGGGCGGAGAGAGCCGCCGAGCCGAGCCGAGCCCCAGCTCCAGCAAGAGCGCGGGCGGGTGGCCCAGGCACGCAGCGGTGAGGACCGCGGCCACAGCTCGGCGCCAACCACCGCGGGCCTCCCAGCCAGCCCCGCGGCGGGGCAGCCGCAGGTACAGCCGGGCCCCCCATCCCTGCACCCCTGGGCGCTGCGTGGGGGCGGTGGGAGCCCCTAGCCTCTGGGTATCCTTTCCCAAGGAGTGGCCACTGGGCACTCTCCCGGGCGGGCTGGACCCTGAGGGGCAGGGCTGGGCCTTTCTCCACCTCTGTCCCAGGCCCAGCAGGTGCCAGGCGGGCCTATGGGACACTGAGTGGGTAATAGAGAAGGGGGCCTGTGTGAGCGCCTTCAGCTGGGCCTGACTGGAAGGGCGTGGGCATTTGGAGGTATCCATGGGGTGGGGGGGCTTGCGGAGTGTACTGTCTTAGGACAGGCGTGTGGGTCAGACATGGGTGGAGGATCTGGGAATCTGTGTGTTTTTTGTTCCAGAGGGGTGTCCACGTGTTTTGTGTGCTGGTATTTGGCTCTCAGGGTCTTAAGTCAGAGTTAGGAGGGGGTGTACAATTGTGTACTGAGGATGTTTGGAGTTAGGTGTGTAAGGACTTGGGGTTTGGTTTGGAATACAGGAGCTTCCAGGGGATGGGGTAGAGGAGCTGGAGGGTGTAGGGTACGTCTGGTATATGAGGGTGTGTGTGTGTGTGTCTGGGTGTCATCTTGTGTGGGTGCGGGTGGATGTGTGTTTTGGGGTGTAAGAGGGAGCTGGGTGAGGGATGTTTGGATGGACAGGCAGGTGTTCGGGTGCAGGGCTGTCTGGGGCACTGTGTGGTGTGGACATGTGTGCTGATGTCTGGGAGTACATGTATGATCAGGTGTCACGGGATGTGGATACAAGGCGTACTGGATCTGGGAGGCAGGTGTTTGAGTTCAGGGCTGTGGAGGGGGCTTGGTGTGGCATGTCTGCTACAGGGATGTGTGTGGATCTGTGAGGGTTGTATTTGGTAGGCCTCCATGTGGGTTTCAGACTCTGCCTCTAGAGCTTACACTCGAGTCTCCTTTCCTAGAAGATTCTGCCCCTGGATGGGTGGGCAGGGTCCCCTGGGAAAAAGGTCCTGTTCCAGGAGTGGAATCTCACACCAGAGGCCCTAGTCAGGGCACCTTCTCCTCATTCTCCCTTAGAGAAAAAGAGAGAAGGAAAGTGCTCTCCCTGAGGTCACAAAGCATGCTGGGCTCTGTTTTGGCCTCATCTGTGGATGGGTTGGGAGGCTGTGTTCTCTGAATGGGGCCCATTCTGGCTTCATATTGGAAGTACCAGCCAAGGCCATTCGATGGCCTTTGCCCTCAGCAAGCTTAGCTGGGGGCCCCAGGCCAGGTGTCATTAGGGCCTCTGGAGCCAGCCTCTACCTAACTCCAACCTCAGTCTCCCCATTCTTCATCTGATAAATGGGAGAGAACTCCCACCCTCTCCTGCTGGATGAGACAGACCTCAGCAGAGGAAGGGCCAGGCTGGATAGGGTTAGATGGGGCCAGGAAGGGACAGAGTGAGCAGGACCATTTCTCATGCTCCCGGGACCCAGATGGGGAGTCAGGAGGGAGAGGTCTGGGGAGCTCCAGCTGTGGCTGTTGTTGCTGTGGTAACAGTGCAGAAAGAGCTATTTAAAAATGTGGCTGAGATGTTGCTGGAAGCCCAGGCTGCTGGAAACCTGATTTCGGAGAGGCCGGGGAGTCGGGGGAAGGAGGAGGGAAAGGAGACACCCCAGCAATCCCCAGGGTGGGGCGGGGACATCACTGGTTCTGGGGACAGGGGGATCCTCCAGGCTTCTACCAGCTGCTCTGGGGGTTTATCTGTTGTACTGCCAGAAGTCAGGGTTTCCCTAGGTGCTTGGATTTGGATAGGGGGAAAACTGGGAAGAGAACTAGAATAAATGAATGAATGAATGCATGACTTTGTTAAATAAAGAATTTTGCTGCCACTGTGAAAGGTTTTTCTCTAGGCATGAGAATTTGCTGAATGTTGAATAAACAAATGAATGTTTGTTGAATGATTTTGTCAAATGGATGAATCAAGGATGAATAAATGCAGGTTGAATGACTGAATGGGGCCTGCAGTAAATTCCCAGACAGAGGGCTGGGCTCTGCTGAGTCTCCTCCTTCCATTCTCCTTACAGGAGCCCTGGCTGTGGTCGGGGGGCAGTGGGCCATGCTGGGGGCAGTGGAAGGCCCCAGGTGGAAGCAGGCGGAGGACATTAGAGACATCTACGACTTCCGAGATGTTCTGGGCACGTGAGTCCAGGGCAGGATTGGGTGCTGGATGGCTGAGGGAGGCTGAGTCCAGGGTGGGGCTTCCTCTGGTCAATTAATGCTTCCTGTTTCCCACAGCCCAGGCCCTGTGGCAGCACTATCTAGGGCCTAAACTGTCCCCAGCTTTTCACTTCTGGATGACAGTGGGTGGGACACGGGCTGCTCTCCCAATAGCCCTGGGTTCTTGAAGAGAAAGAAGTCGAGAGAATGAAGGTGCCAGTCAGTCCATTTAACTTGCTGCCAAGAGCTAAGTGTTCTAGCCTAGGTTTGGGAACTGAGGCTGGAGATGGCTCTGTTCTTGGTGCTGGGAATGCAGAAATAACTCAAACCTGGTCTCTGCCCTTCAAGTTGATCCCAGACATGTGCAAGAGACAGACCTACAGAAAATGACAACAGGGTGTGTGCTGTGCTCCAATTAAGGTTGGGATTGAGGGCTTTGTGGAGCCCAGAGAGAGCTGTGCCTTCTGCCTGGGGGAAAACTTCCTGGAGAATGGGGCATTAGAGCTGGGGACTGAAGGATGGGTAGGTGTGCACTTGTCAGAGAGGAAGAAGGACATTCCAGGCAGAAGGAATAGCATAAACAAAGGCTTAGAGGCATGGTTCTATGTGGAGAGAGGTAGAGTGTGATGGAGCTTAAAATCACAGGCTGGGGGGAGAGTGGAAAAAGGGGCTGGAGATGAAAGTGGGACAGTTTGTGTAGGGTTTTGGAAGCCAGGCCAGGGAGGCTGGATATTGTCCCATAGGCCACCGGGAGACACTTAAGACTTTTTGGCAGGTGTGCAATTCAGGATAGTCACTCTGGCCACAGCTTGGAGGGTAAATTGGAGAGGGACAAGACTGGAAACCAGTGATGAGGTTACTACAGTAACTAATTATCCCTGAGGATTGAAATTTCACCACGAGAGATGCTTTTCTTTGACTTATGACTTCTTATTCTCCCAGAGAAAGCAAACAGATGTGGAAAGAATACCCTAGCAAATCCTCTTTAATCAGTTAACTTTAGTTAAATGAGTTTATTTGTTCCTTTTTAAGAACCTGTTCTAAAACACTGCTTCTTAAAGTTCAATGAGCATACAAATCACCTGAGGATTTTGTTAAACTGCAGATTGATTTAGTAAATCTGGGGCAGGGCCTAAAGTTTTGCATTTCTTTTTTTTTTCTTTTTTTTGACCCAGGATCCAAAGCAGTAGAGATTTTGCATTTCTAAAAAAGTTCCCGGGTGATGCTGATGGTTCTTTAAGGTTCTAAAGGGTGTTAAATTAGCCATGACTCGAATTAGCAGAAAAAGGGATGAACCAACTGTACACATAATCCAAAAGCCCAGGGGTAGACCTCAGGCATGGCTGGATCCAGAGGGCCACATAATGTTATCAGGAAATATATTTGGCCATTTCTCAGGTTGGACTTCCTTTGTGTTAATTTCATTCCCAAGCAGGCTCTCCCCAGGTGGTGGCAAAGATGATCGCCATTAGCTCCAGGCTTACATCCTACCAGCTCAACAGGAGACTCATTCTCAAAGTGCTAGTAAGCTGGCTTGCATCACATGACCAATTACTGTGGCCAGGGGAGAGACTACTTTGACTGGCCAGGCCTGGGTCATGTGACCATCTCTGGAGCCAGGGGATGGATGAGTGACTAGGGGAGGGTCATCCACGTCCTTGGTCCAGCAGTGGTCACAGAACCCATAGGGAATGGAGGAGAGGCTGGAGGGAAGCTGGGGTTCCAGTTCTTCACCTTGTGAATCCCCTCTCCCGATAGGGGGGCCTTCTCGGAGGTGATCCTGGCAGAAGATAAGAGGACGCAGAAGCTGGTGGCCATCAAATGCATTGCCAAGGAGGCCCTGGAGGGCAAGGAAGGCAGCATGGAGAATGAGATTGCTGTCCTGCACAAGTGCGTGGGCCACAGCCTTTCCCTGCCCCAAGCTGACCCTGCCTTGGCCCTCCCATCCTCCTCCTTTCCTGCTTTGGACAAATCATTTAAACTCTCTAAGCCTTAAATTGCCCCTTTATAAAATGGGGATCACAATTTCCACTTGGCAGGGTTGTGGGGAACATCAGAAGTCCTTTATTTCAAGTGCCTGGCCTAACATGACAGATGTGATGGAGGTGCCAGTGCTTAGTCACAGGGGTTTAACTGTTCAATCAGGTGTAAAGATCCATCCTGAACATGGCTTGGACCCACATATCTCAGTTGGTGTTGTCTCTGGACCTACCTCAAGTTCCCCTCACATATTAAAACCACTCAGCAAGTTTAAAAATGACTGTCTGCTGACCCCCAGACTAAATCCACAACCAACTGGTCTATGAATTGCTCATGCTGATATGAAACCTCCTGTCCTCACTGGAAAACTTACAGAGAATCACTTCCAATCTCTCCCCTGAGCTTCCAACCACCCTGGGCAGATAATTTTTTTTTTTTTTTTGAGATGGAGTCTCACTCTGTTGCCCCGGCTGGAGTGCAGTGACGCAATCTTGGCTCACTGCAACCTCTGCCTCTTGGGTTCAAGCAATTCTCTTGCTTCAGCCTCCCTAGTAGCTGGGATTACAGGCACCTGCCACCACGCCCGGCTAATTTTTGTATTTTTAGTAGAGATGGGGTTTCGCCATGTTGGCCAGGCTGGTCTCGAACTCCTGACCTCAGGTGATCCACCCGCCTCGGCCTCCCAAAGTGCTAGGCATGAGCCACCACACCCAACTCCTGGCAGAGCATTTCTAATAAGACCCAGAGAGGACAGGGATTTGTATACAGTCACATGGCAAGTTTGTGGCAGAGCTGAGCCTTCCTCATCATCAAGATCAATTATCGCCTGACCAACACGGAGAAACCCTGTCTCTACTAAAAATACAAAATTAGCCAGGCGTGGTGGCACATGCCTGTAATCCCAGCTACTTGGGAGGCTGAGGCAGGAGAATTGCTTAAACCCGAGAGGTGGAGGTTGCGGTGAGCCGAGATCACACCGTGCATTACACTCCAGCCTAGGCAACAAGAGCAAAACTCCATCTCAAAAAAAAAAAAAAAAACAAAAAAAAAACAAAAACGCCAGGCGCAGTGGCTCACGCCTGTAATCCCAGCACTTTGAGAGGCTGAAGTGGGCAGATCACCTGAGGTGGGGAGTTCCAAACCAGCCTGACCAACATGGAGAAACTCCGTCTCTACTAAAAATACAAAATTAGCTGGACATGGTGGCGCATGCCTGTAATCCCAGCTACTTGAGAGGCTGAGAAAGAAGAATCACTTGAACCCAGGAGGCAGAAATTGTGATGAGCCAAGATCATGCCATTGCACTCCAGCCTGGGCAACACTCCAGCCTGAGCAACAAGAGTAAAACTCCGTCTCAAAAAAAGAAAAAAAAAATCAATTACCATTATTGTTTCACTTATGAGTATTTACCGTGTGCCAGGCACTGTGCCAAGCACCTTACCTGCATTATCTCACATGATCCTCACTCCAACTCTTTGAGGGAAGTACTACCATTGGCTTCATTTTATAGATGAAGAAACTGAGGTTCAGAGAGGTTACATTAAATCTAGCACCTACCCTGTACCAGGTGCTGGAGGAACAGTGGCAAGCAAGACAAAGCCTCTGGATTCGGGGAGCTTATGTCTGGTGGGGGAGGCTGACAAACATGTAAACACAGAAAACTATATATATATATTTTTTTTGAGATGGAGTTTTGCTCTTGTTGCCCAGGCTGGAGTGTAATGGCATGATCTCGACTCACTGCAACCTCCGTTTCCCAGGTTTAAGCAATTCTCCTGCCTCAGCCTCACAGATAGCTGGGATTACAGGCATGTGCCACCATGCCTGGCTAATTTTTGTATTTTTAGTAGAGATGGGTTTTCGCCATGTTGGCCAGGCTGGTCTCGAACTCCTGACCTCAAGTGATCCGCCTGCCTTGGCCTCCCAAAGTGCTGGGATTACAGGTGTGAGTCTCTGTGCCTAGCCAGAAAACTCTTAAGAGGTATGTATCAGGCTGGGTGCAGTGGCTCACTGGTGAAAAGATCTGCACCCAAATAGCATGTGACGGGCAGGATTTGGACCCAGGTCTGTGTATGCCAGAGCCCAGTGTTTATCCCTCTGCTCTCTCACCTTCCAAAAAATGGTAATAAACCATGGTAAGCTAGCTTTTCCCTTTGGGGACGAGATCCTTGGTTTGTCCTACCCAGGTATGTAGGCAGTGGTCGGGGGTTGGGGGTGGCTGAGCTGTCCTGAGCTCTAAACCGCTGTTTTTTTTTTTTTTTTTTTGAGACAGGGTCTTACTCTGTTGCCCAGGCTGGAGTGCAGTGGCTAGTCACAGGTGCAATCATAACAGACTGCAGCTTTGAACTGCTGGGGCCAAGTGATCCTCCTGCCTCAGCCTCCCAAGTTCCCAAGTAGCTTGGACTACAGGTGCACACCGCCATGCCTGGCTAAACCACCTCATTTCTCCTTTCAGGATCAAGCACCCCAACATTGTAGCCCTGGATGACATCTATGAGAGTGGGGGCCACCTCTACCTCATCATGCAGCTGTGAGTGGCCCAACCTCTGCCCTGCCCCCACACCTCTCCCAGCTGTCCCAACCCTCTTTGCCAGACTGCCCTATCCCCTGCTGCAGGGTGTCGGGTGGGGAGCTCTTTGACCGTATTGTGGAAAAAGGCTTCTACACGGAGCGGGACGCCAGCCGCCTCATCTTCCAGGTGCTGGATGCTGTGAAATACCTGCATGACCTGGGCATTGTACACCGGGATCTCAAGGTGGGGCTCAAGGGGGTGTGGTGAGCTAGGGTACCCAGGGGTGGGGCCTTTGCAAACCCCAAACTGTCTGACCTTGGGCAACTTTCACCCCCTCACTGAGCCTTGGATTTCCATCTACAAAGTGGATCTTGTAACCTTTAAACTGCCTCCTCCCATTCTAGTCCAGATACTCAAAGGAACACGAGTGAATTGTGTGGCATTTTATCCAAACAACATTTTGTCTTTTTCTGATTAAAAAAAAAAAAATCTGGCCAGACAGGATGGCTCACGCCTGTAATCCCAGCACTTTAGGAGGCAGAGACGGGTGGATCACCTGAGGTCAGTTCGAGACCAGCTTGGCAAAACCCTGTCTCTACCAAAAATACAAAAATTAGCCCGGCGTGGTGGCAGATGCCTGTAATCCCAGCTACTAGGGAGGCTGAGGCAGGCGAATCACTTGGACCCGGGAGGCAGAGGTTGCAGCAAGCTGAGATTGTGCCATTGCACGCCAGCCTGGGCGACAGAGCGAGCCTGGACGACAGAGCGAGACTCCATGTCAAAAAAAATAAAATAAAAACAAAAAATCCTATTCCCCTTCTGTAGAAAACTTGGATGGGACAGCAAAACATAAAGAAAAAAGCCAGAAATCCCCGAAATCCTACTCCTCGGAAATAGCGACGGGGCTCACATTTAGCAGTACATCTCAATCCGTTCTAGGAGAAGGGCACTTGGGGTGTGACATGCCTGGTTTTGAATTCTGGCTCTGCTACTGCCTAACTGTGGGTTCTTGGGTGAGTCACTTTGCCTCCAAAGGCATCAGTTTCCTCATCTGTTAGGTGAGATTATACAGACTGGCCTAGCAGGGAAGCAGTGAGGATGGCATTAAATCAAGCACTAATCCAGGGTCTGGCATAAAATAGGCATTCAAACATTCCTTTAGGGCTTTACAGTGCACACCTGAGGTTTAGAGACAGTTCCCCCCCACACCCTCTTGAGCCTTGTCCTTCCTGGAATTTTTGGCCTTCTTGAGAGCTTCCTTGATTTTCTTATGACAGCCATGAAGCCACAGTGGCTTTTGGGGATCCATTATTTCTCAGAAGGTGCTTGGAGCGGCAGAAGGTTCTACCAGCCTCTAACCATCTCTGATTGCCCCTTCTCTTCCCTCCTGCCCTTCAAGCCAGAGAATCTGCTGTACTACAGCCTGGATGAAGACTCCAAAATCATGATCTCCGACTTTGGCCTCTCCAAGATGGAGGACCCGGGCAGTGTGCTCTCCACCGCCTGTGGAACTCCGGGATACGTGGGTGCGGAGGGCCCTGGGCTGGGGCTGTGATGGTGGGGGGAACCAGGAGTTGAAGGGCAGAGATTTGTCACCACCACGTCCTCTTCCCTCCACAGCCCCTGAAGTCCTGGCCCAGAAGCCCTACAGCAAGGCTGTGGATTGCTGGTCCATAGGTGTCATCGCCTACATCTTGTAAGTGGGGCTTGGCCATGGTAGGCTGTGGCTCCAGAGTTGTCCTCTCGCCTACTTTCCTCTCTTCCTTCCTCTGCTCTCCCTCTGCCCTCCCTTCCTTCCCTCCCTCCCTTCCTTCCACCAATCAATTACCAGTATTACTTCATTCAATAGATACTATGTTTCAAGCACTGTGCCAAGCAAGCACTGGGGTAAATTTAGCACAGCACAAACCAGACAAAGTGCCTGCCCTCAGGGAGCTGACTTTCTTTCTAGTAGGGAAGACAGACAATCAACAAGTAAATAAATCTACAAACTGACGTCAGGTGATAAAAATAAATACTGTGGAGAAAAACCAAGCAGGAATAGGGAGACGGGGTGATGCCATTTCAGTAGGGAGGTCAGGGAAGGGCTCGCTGTGGAGGTGATGACCGAGTGGTGAGGGAGCCAGACATTGGAGGTGTGGGGAAAGAGTGGCATAGGCAGAAGCAATGGCAAGTGCAAAGGCCCTGAGGAGGGCAAGATGGCGGCACATACAAGGAACAGAAAGGATAATGTAGCTAGAACAGGAGTGAGCAGGCAGGGCTGGTAGAGTTTATAAAGGGGGAACTCCTTCCATGGCTCCTGCCTGACCCCTGAGACTGCCCCAGTGCTCCACCCCGGAGCCAACGGCACCCGAAAGTGGAAATGAGGATGAGTTTCTCCCTGCCCAGGCTCTGCGGTTACCCTCCCTTCTATGACGAGAATGATGCCAAACTCTTTGAACAGATTTTGAAGGCCGAGTACGAGTTTGACTCTCCTTACTGGGACGACATCTCTGACTCTGGTATTTGGGGCTTTGCTTTTTTCCCCTGGGCCCTGCCTCTGGTTCCTCCCTCACCTGCTTTGGGGGCGGTCTCCCTCCTGCCTTCCTTCTGTCGGATTTTCCAGCACCACACAAAGAGCTGTCTTCGAGACCAGACACCCTACCCCTTCTTCCTTCTGCTTGGGTACTTCCTTCTGCTTGGCTCCCAGAGTGAGAAACTAGGCATTCATTTGTTCAATCTTCAAACATAGTCTATTTGAAAATACCTCTCCCCTATTGACACCCTAATGTCTAAAACACCACCATAAACATTTTCATCCTCCTTTTGTGCCCCCTATTAAGAAGCAAACCTGTGAAGCTACTATCGTTTATCATCAGTGTGAATGCACTGAGATTAGTCAAGAACAACTTTTTTTTTTTTTTCTTTCTTTTTTGAGACGCAGTCTCGCTCTGTTGCCCAGGCTGGAGTGCAGTGGCACAATCTCGGCTCACTGCAACCTCTGTCTCCCGGGTTCGAGCAATTCTCTGCCTCAGCCTCCCAAGTAGCTGGGATTACAGGCGCCCACCACCATGCCCGGCTAATTTTTTTTGTATTTTTAGTAGAAACAAGGTTTCACCATCTTGGCCAGGCTGGTCTTGAACTCCTGACCTCGTGATCCACCTGCATTGGCCTCCCAAAGTGCTGGGATTACAGACATGAGCCACTGTGCCCGGCCATATGTTTTTCTTAAGAGAGAAAGGAAAGAGCTGGAAGGCACGGGGTGGGAGGGCCTGAAGAAGAGCATAGGTTGGGTGGGGTGGGGCATGGACTGATTTGGCCTCTTTGTCTTGATGCCAGGCCAGACCTGAGGGAGTGGGTATGCTCTTGGGGAGTACACAGGCAGTACCATGCTGTCATTATCTTTGCTTTTGTCTTGGGGGTTTAGCCAAAGATTTCATCCGGCACTTGATGGAGAAGGACCCAGAGAAAAGATTCACCTGTGAGCAGGCCTTGCAGCACCCATGGTGAGAATTCACACAACCTGTGAGCTGGGGCGGGATTTGGGGCCCTCAGGTCTGCTTCTGCCCTCATAGGCAACCCACCACATAACCCCATCCTAGGATTGCAGGAGATACAGCTCTAGATAAGAATATCCACCAGTCGGTGAGTGAGCAGATCAAGAAGAACTTTGCCAAGAGCAAGTGGAAGGTGAGTCCATATCCCTAGTTCTGGTCCCAGCCTCCCCAGGACTCCTCCCCATCCCTACCCAGGCTCAGCTTGCACAGCACCTGGCATCACACTGGGCACACAGTAACTGCTTAGGGATCCTTACTGAAGGACTTCATTCATTCACTCTTTCATTCAACAAACACTCCCAACACCTTCTCTATTCCAGAGAGGGTCCCTCACCTCCAAGTCTAGAGGAAGAAGTCTGTAATTCTTCAGGAGGCATCTGATCCAGCCTATGGGGTCCGAGAAAGGTCATAAAAGTGGTGATGACCTGACAGAGCTGTCAGTTAAGTAGGAATTAGTGAGGCATAGCGGAATAATGTCTATAGCCATTCCGGGAAGTGCAAGTGCTAAGCCTGGCCAGACTGGAGGGGCTGAGGGGACTGAGAGGCAGGAGCCCAATTTAGAGAAGCAGGTAAGGGGCCAGGCCTCTTAGGGCCTCATATGCCACAGAGGAGCACCAACTTGATCCTGAGGGCACTGAGGAGCCCCAGAAGAATCTTAGGCAAGTATTTGCTGCATAGAAAGGGCTCTCAGGGCCAGGCATGGTGGCTCACGCCTGTAATCCCAGCACTTTGGGAGGCCGAGGTGGTTGGATCACCTGAGGTCAGGAGTTCAAGACCATCCTGGCCAACATGGCAAAACCCTGTCTCTACTAAAAATAAAAGAATTAGCCACACATGGTGGTGCGTGCCTGTAATCCCAGCTACTTGGGAAGCTGAGGCAGGAGAATTACTTGAACCTCGGAGATGGGGGTTGCAGTGAGCTGAGATCGCGCCACTGCACTCCAGCCTGGGCAACAAAGTGAGACTCCACCTCAAAAAAAAAAGAAAGAGCTCTCAGGATGCAGAGAATGGCATGGAGTAAAGACTGGGTGACGCATTAGGAGGCTGTGGCAGAGATACAGGCAGGAGATGGTAAGGGTTTGGAACCACAGTAGCAGCAACAGGGGGCAGAGAACAGTGGTTGATCCAGGAGTCATTTAGGAGGTGAAACTGACAAGACATGACGATGCAATGGATGTTGGGGGAAAGAGATGTCAAGGGCTGGCCCAAGACTGTGGCTGGGAACAGAATGGATGGTGGTGGTACCATGACTGAGATGGTTATCACAGGGACAGAAACATGTTTTGGGGGGATGGTTTTAGTTTTAGACATGGTGAATTTGAGGGGTGTGTGGGACACCTAGGTGGAGATATTGAATAGAGACACACCTGAGCAAGTTACTTCAGCTTTCTGTGCCTCAGTTTCCTCCTTTGAAAATGATAATAGTACCTACCTCAAAGACTTTCATGAAGATTAAATGAATTACTACGTAAAGTGCTTAGAACAGTGCCTGACATACAGTGCTATAGTGTTTGCTATTACATATTAATATGAATTATAGTTATGTTTCTATTTATATATATAGATACACATACATCTAACATATGTGCGTGTGTGTGTGTAAATATATAATAAAGCCTTGTAGAGGTTTTTGGGGGGCTTTAGGGGAATTAATAAAATAACTCCTGAATGAAAATAACAGAACAATTGCAAGAATCCCACTGCGCCCCTGCCCCATGACTTGACTCTCTCAAAAGTCCTTTCTCCCCTCTCCCTTCAATGCCTTCAATGCCAGCAAGCCTTCAATGCCACGGCTGTGGTGCGGCACATGAGGAAACTGCAGCTGGGCACCAGCCAGGAGGGGCAGGGGCAGACGGCGAGCCATGGGGAGCTGCTGACACCAGTGGCTGGGGGTGAGGAGCGGGCTCTGCAGAAGGGCATGGGTGGTCCACAAAGGTGCACCCGGGCTGGAGTGGAGGGCCTGCCCCTGCGGCCACCTCTGTTCTGTCTTCCCATGCAGGGCCGGCAGCTGGCTGTTGCTGTCGAGACTGCTGCGTGGAGCCGGGCACAGAACTGTCCCCCACACTGCCCCACCAGCTCTAGGGCCCTGGACCTCGGGTCATGATCCTCTGCGTGGGAGGGCTTGGGGGCAGCCTGCTCCCCTTCCCTCCCTGAACCGGGAGTTTCTCTGCCCTGTCCCCTCCTCACCTGCTTCCCTACCACTCCTCACTGCATTTTCCATACAAATGTTTCTATTTTATTGTTCCTTCTTGTAATAAAGGGAAGATAAAACCATCCTTAGCGCTGTCTCCCTCAATATCCCCCACCCCATCTTGTTGTGCAAACTGACTGCTTGATTTGGGGGTGCCTGGCCTTTGAGGTAGTCACAGGGAGGCCCCTCCCCAACATGAGACTGGGTGGGGATGGGGAGAGAGAAGTGGGGAATGGAGGGGAAGGTGCTTGGGGAATTTCTTTGTCCAGGGTGCCCCATCTAGCCTTCCGGCCCTTTGGAACCCTTTCTGCGCTTTGCTGGTGGCTCCTGAGCATGGCGGGATTGGCGCAGGTCGGCACTGAACAGCACCTGTAGGAGGGTGGAGTCTGTGTGGGGAGGAGGGTACACTGGGGTCAGGGCTGGTGAGACTAGTGACAGTGTTGGGAGGTGGAAGAGTCCTTGGGGAACAGGGCCGAAGGCAATGAGAATCCACTGGGGTTGGGACAGGGGTGGCTGGAGAGTCCTTTAGGGCCACCTGGGGCGGTGGTGGAAGAGTCCACTGGGTCTGGGCTGGAGGAGAGGAAACCTAGGGAGGACACCTAGGTACACTCACCGCTTGGGCCCAGCCAGCATAAGGTCCCCACAGGCTCCGGAAAAAGTTTCCTAAATCAGAAGTGATGAGACTAAGTTATCTGACCCCTTCTGTGACCCATCAACAGAAGTAGGGTCTGAGGGAGAGGTGACTAAGAGAGAGAGAAGTTTCTACCATCCCAGCCCACTGCCAGCCCCTGCAGCCCACTTTCCTCACCCAGTTCCTTGTTGGTCTGGGGGCTCGGTCCCTTCGCCTGGGACGTGGTAGGGTGCCAGCTGTAGTCACGTTGGGCAATGTGCCACATATGGACATCCACGGGCACAGCCTGGGGCTTGTCTAGGGCCATCAGGCAGATGCAGTCAGCCACCTTTGACAGACACAGAATGAGCCCTTGTGGAAGAAGGGCAGCATGTGGCCAGCATCTTGCTTATAGCCCCAAAGCCGGCTGCTTTCTCCTTCACTCTGGGGTTACTGTTGTTCTATATTCTCAATCAACAGATACTATCTATGAATACACTTTTTTTTTGTTTGTTTTTGAGATGGAGTCTCGCTCTGTTGCCTAGGCTGGAGTGCACTGGTGCAATCCTGGCTCTCCCAGGTTCAAGCAATTCTCCTACCTCAGCCTCCCAAGTAGCTGGGATTACAGGCATGTGCCACCACGTGTGGCTAATTTTTGTGTTTTTAGTAGAGATGGGGTTTCACCATGTTGGCCAGCCTGGTCTCGAACTCCTGACCTCAAGTGATCTGTCCACCTTGGCCTCCCAAAGTGCTGGGATTACAGGCGTGAGCCACCATGCGCGGCCTATGAATACACTGAAATTGCTGTAATAAGAGGTGCTACTAGCTGAACACCTATGTGGGCCAGGTTATCATAACCTGGGAAGAAGGTATTACCACACCCACTTTACAGACAAGAAAACTGAGGCTTTGAAAGGTGAAGTGACCTGGCCAAAGTCACATGGCTGAGAATAGGCAGAACCAAGATTTAATGTTAGGCTGTAGTCCAAAGCCCATCAAAAAAAAATCTTTAAGCAAAAATTCATTTTTTAAACTACAGAGAAGTATAAAGAAAAAAAAAGGCTGGGTGCAGTGGCTCACGCCTGTAATCCCAGCACTTTGGGAGGCTGAGGCAGGTGGATCTCGAGGTCAGATTGAGACCATCCTGGCCCAACATGGTGAAACCCCATCTCTACTAAAAATACAAAAATTAGCTGGGTGTGGTGGCGCATGCCTGTAATCCCAGCTAATCTGGAGGCTGAGGCAGGAGAATAGCTTGAAGCCGGGAGGCGGAGGTTGCAGTGAGCCGAGATTGCACCACTGCACTCCAGCCTGGCAACAAAGCAAGACTCCACCTCAAAAAAAAAAAAAAAAAGACAAATGCCTAATTTCCAGTCATCTTATTGCCAGTTAACCCTATTGACATCAAGCAAAAAGTTTTGTCAGTACATGTCATTTTACGAAAGGAACAAAATGTGGCCGGGAGCAGTGGCTCATCCCTGTAATTCCAGCACTTTGGGAGGGCAAAGCAGGAACACTGCTTGAGGGCAAGAGTTTAAGACCAGCCTAGGCAACATTGTTAAGAGCCTATTTCTACCAAAACAAACAAACAAACAAAAAACCGAAAAGAAGAAATATCTTCCCATTTGTCTCCCCCAAGGAAACTATTATTTAGTTTCCTGCAATTTCCTTCTGGAAATTGCTGCATATATATAGCAGCATATATGTGTTGCATCTGAACAAATGGTCTTTCTAGAAATTCATTCAAAGGGCTATATCCTTTCTACTCTTTCTGCACTCTGCTTTTTTCTCTCATAAAACATCTACTTATATCCTTTCTCCTTCCTGCTCTGCCTCCGGAAGCCAAGCCTCCACCCAGCTCCCAGGCTTGGCTCATTTCCTGCTCTCCTCTTAGTGTCAGTAGAGAGGGCAGCTCCTACCCCCTGGGGCCTCACCTTGGTGCCCACTCCAGGCAGGATGCAGAGGGCCTTGTGGGCCTCCTCATATGAGGACTCTCGTAGCTGCTGCAGCCAGGCTAGCCCGCCCTGTTCTTCCAGGATGGCTCGGGCACTGGCACTCACGTAACGGGCACGATAGCCCAGGCCCAGCTTCCTGAGATGAGCCTCCACCTCTGGCCCTGCGGGGAGTGAGGAGGAGGGCAAGCATCAGGCATCTTCAAGTTCTTCCTGTCCTTAGGCTAGTAAGTGAGCTCTCTACCTCACAAGAGTGCTTTTCCTAAGTTCCCCTCCTACCTCCCCACCCTCTATGGGATAGTGGACACTTTTATGTGCAAGGGAAAGGGTTAGGCCTGGGTCCTGTCCCTCTACACATGTTTTCTGAGCACCTGCTATGAATTGGCCCCGGAGCCCAAGTCTAGTCCAGGGACTGAGGACTTGCTTCCCTTGAGGAGCTCCCCAACTGAGTTCCTTAACCTTTCCGAAAGAGTGTTCACACTCATGATCTAAAAAAATAACCACAATATAGCAACAGCTTCTATGATCAAGTGCTAGGCAACATGCTTCAGATATATTATCATGCTTACTTTTCCCAAGAACCCCACTGACAGTACTGCTGTTTTCCCATTTTACATGTGGAGAAAATGAGGGCTTAGAAGAGGTTAACTTACTTAAGAAAGGACATGGGGGAGATAAGATCTTGCACCTAGGTCTGGGACACCAAGACCTGTGCTTTTTCTTTTTTTGACACAGGGTCTTGCTCTGTCACCCAGGCTGGAATGCAGTGGCACAATCTCAGTTCACTACAGCCTTGACCTCCTAAGGCTCAAGCGATCCTCCCACCTCAGCCTCCTGAGTAGCTGAGACTACAGGCTTGTGTCACCATGCCTGGCTAATTTTGTTTATTTTTTGTAGAGATGAGGTCTCACTATGTTGCCCAGGCTGGTCTCAAACTCCTGGGCTCAAGCCATCCTCCCACCTTGGGCTCCCAAAAGTGCTGAAATTACCAGCATGAGCTACCCCACCTGGCTAACGCCGTGCTCTTAACCCATTACACTACACTGCCTCATGATTGCTTTATTCACTCCCAAAGCCCTTCTAGATAGAAACTGTTATTCCCATTCTACAAACAAGCTAAGAGAAGCCGGAAGAGGTGAATGACTTTCTTGAGGCCTTATGACTAACTAAGCCAGGAGCTGAGACTCAAGAACAGGTTTCTTTTTTTTTTTGTTGAGACAGAGTCTCACTCTGTCGCCCAGGCTGGAGTGCAGTGGCACGATCTCGGCTCACTGCAAGCTTCGCCTCCCGGGTTCACGCCATTCTCCTGCCTCAGCCTCCCAAGTAGCTGGGACTACAGGCGCCCACCACCACACCCGGCTAATTTTTTTTGTATTTTTAGTAGAGACGGGGTTTCACCGTATTAGGCAGGATGGTCTTGATCTCCTGACCTCGTGATCCACCCGCCTCGGCCTCCCAAAATGCTGGGATTACGGGTGTGAGCCACCACGCCCGGCCAGGTTTTTTTTTTTTTTTTGAGACGGAGTCTCGCCCTGTCGCCCTGTCGCCCAGGCTGGAGTGCAATGGCATGATCTCAGCTCACTGCAACCTCTGCTTCCCAGGTTCAAATGATTCTCCCGCCTCAGCCTCCTGAGTAGCTGGGATTACAGGTACCTGCCACCACGCCCAGCTAATTTTTAGCAGAGAGCGGGTTTCACCAGGTTGGCCAGTCTGGTCTCAAACTCCCGACCTCAGGTGATCCACCTGCCTCAGCCTCCCAAAGTGTTGGGATTACAGGTGTGAGCCACCGTGCCTGACCCAGGTTTCTTTTTGTTTGTTTTGAGATGGAGTCTCGCTCTGTAACCCAGGCTGGAGTGCTGTGGTCTGATCTTGGTTCACTGGAGCCTCCTGCTCCCGGGTTCAAGCAATTCTCCTGCCTCACCCTCCGGAGTAGCTGGGACAGGTGCCTGCCATCACGCCTGACTAATTTTCGTATTTTTAGTAGAGATGGGGTTTCACCATGTTGGCCAGGCTGGTCTTGAACTCCTGACCTCAGATGATCTGCCTGCCTCGACCTCCCAAAGTGTTGGGATTACAGGCGTGAGCCACCACGCCCGGCCAGGAATGGGTTTCTAAGCACCAAAAACATTCTCCTGTTTTGAGGCAGTCTGTCTCTTTGCTATGCAGTTCCCAAGCACTTGTCCTAGCTTGGTTCTCACATCTGCCAATCGATACACTTGCCTCTGTAAAACATTTGCCTTACAGGGCTACTGTGAAGAACACACGTGTTCTTAGATACAAAACTATCCCATTCACTACAATGATACCAGCTTGAATTTTTTTTTTTTTTTTTTTTTTTGAGACAGAGTCTCGCTCTGTTGCCCAGGCTGGAGACGGGGTTTCACTGTGTTAGCCAGGTGTGAGCCACTGCGCCTGGCTGATACCAGCTTGAATTTTACATATACTTCCTGTGTGCCAAACACTGTGCTAGGTGCAGTATGTATATTCCTTTCTTCAACCCTCATGACAACTCCAATAATAGCATAGGTAGGTGCTATTATTATTCTACTTCACAGATGAAGAAACTTTAGTACAGAGATGCTAAATAATGTGCCCAAGTGAGAGTTGGGGTTCAGAACCAGGCATGGGTCTGTCCCCAGAATGCATGCTCTTAACCCCAAACTACTGTACATTGTATACAGATATTTTTCTGATTAGGCATTGAACCCATTGGGCAAAAAGCACAGACCAGTGAGGTGCTGACATTTTAGGGATGCATAGGGAGGATGAGTAACTGGAGTTGATCAGACCAGGCAGGGCGGTTCTGGATAGGGGAAGTGTTTGGGAAGGCAGGAAGCCTTGAGAAGGTAACCAGGGGAGAAATGAACAGATCTTGAAAGCTGATGGAAGGCCTGGGGGCAGGGGACCCACCTACTCACCAGCCAGGGCCTGCAGGCTGGGGAAGCCATGGTAGGTGACATCATCAAGCTGGATGAGCCGAGGTCCAAAAGCCTGGCACAGCCGCTCCACCATGCCAGTGATGCGGGCGATGTTGTTGTTGGAGGAACAGATAAAAGAGAAAAGGCATTCGATGGGGTCTTGTCGCAGCAGTCGCACACCTGGAGACCAGAAATGCAGGGGGTAGGAGAGGTACCTGCTGTTGGGTGTGGCCTCTTCCCACCCACAGGTCAGATCCTAGGTACCAAAACTCCAGGAGGATCCCAGGAGAATGAGAGTCAGCACCGTTAGAGAAAGCAACACCAGACCTCTCATTCCTCATAGCATCTTGTGAGGGCTGAGTTACCATCCCATTCCACAGATAAAGAGGCCACAATGTAAGCTCCATGAGGACTGGCATTTGGGTCTGTTTTGTTCACTGGTGTATCCCCGGTCACACAGCAGATGCTTTGTATATATTTACAGAATGAATGAAATCACTTGCCCTAGGTCACACAACCAGGAATGGGCTCAAAATCCTTGTCACTTCACTATGGTGATTAGCAGGATAATAATAATGGTAATAATACTTACTATGTGCCTGGCATTATTCTAAGCACTTTACATGTATTAGTTCCTTAAATCCTCATAAAAGCCTATGAAGTAGATATAATCCCCATTTTACAGGTGGCAAAACTGAGTCATAGAGAAGTGACTTATGTCCAAGAACCCTAACCCCAGCCCAGGTCCTGTACTCACCTTGGAATTTCTGAGCCACCTCTTGGAAGTGGGAGTCCACGGAACCCCAGTGGTGATACAGTTGAGCCAGGGTAACATCTAGCTGGAAGTACTTGCGCACGGCCTCCAGCTCGTCTGGTGTGGGCCTGCTAGCCTGGCTCTTGTCTCCTCGGTACACAGTGCAGTGGAGCTGCTCCTCAGTCTGAGTCAGTGTCCATACTTGATCCGCTAGTACACCACTCCAGTGTGCAGGACTTTGCTCCCTCCACCTGAGCCCAAGGCACATGACAACCCTGGCACTCAATTTCCTTTCTTGCACCCTTTGGGGTCCCTCCTATCCTACAATAGCTCCATGTACGAAACTAATACAAGTAACAGTGCTATCTTCCAGTCTGAGCAACATGGCGAAACCTCACCTCTACAAAAAATACAAAAATTTAACCGGGCATGGCGCACACCTGTAGTCCCAGCTACTCGGGAGGCTGCGCCCGGGGGGTCGAGGCTGGAATGGGCCTCTCTGCATTCCTACCTGGGCAACAGAGCGAGACCCTGTCTCAAAAAAAGAAAAACAAGTGCTATTATCTTCTGCATCGGTTATACCGCTGGATCCTTACAATTATCACTGTACAGACATATTAAAGGTAACAGGTTGGCTACCCGTGCTTGTTTCCTCTTTTGTACCCCGGGTTTCTTCCATCATCCCCCAAATTCCTTTGTACCCCATGCCAGGCAGTGTTGAGGCGGCAGGAGCCAGTCCGAGGGGACAGGCTTCTCAGGCTCAGTCACTCACCGGAAAGATTGTCCAGAAGGCAGAACCAGGTCCAGGCGCAGCTCAGAGCGAGGGCACGGGATGGAGGCCCACAGGGCAGGAGTGGAGGCTAGAGTACGATGCCCCATGCGCCTGGGCAGAAGCGCGCGGGCAGGCATTTCCACAGCAGGCACCGCCCCGTAGTAGCCCCGCCTACCCAGAACCAGGCCTCGTCGACGCCCAAAGACCCCGCCCAGACAAGGACCACGACCCTTAAGGCCTCGCCCACACGGTGCTGTTTAACAACCTTCCCTGTTTCACTTAATTCCTCCACCTCCTGCATGCCTCGCCCTTTGCGGGTCATCAAAGCCCCGCTTCGTGCCCCAATTCTCCGGCTTTCCTGAGGTGTAGGTCCCGCCCCCTCCTTGCGACTTATCTTCTCCCGCCCCCAGAGCCTGTGGGCGCGCACAGCTGTGTTCTTCTGGGTTCTCCAGGGGCAGACCACAGCACCACCGGAAGTAGGGCTCAACCACCGCTCATTTCACCTAGAGGTAGCCAATCCGAGGAGGAGGTAGGAGGCGCCAATGAGAAATCAGGGTGGGCGGGCCGTTCTGAGGCGCTCGCGCGGTTGGCCGGCACTGGGCTCTCTGCCAGCTGCTCGCCTTTCCCCCTCCGGGATTGTCTGCACTCGGGGCGCTAACGAGTTCCATCTGGGCGCCCCGCGGTTCCTCAGGGCTGTCCGTCTTCAGAGCCACGTCCTTCCCCAGCCCGTTCTCCGAGAGCCGTTCTCCCCCGAGCCTTTGCAGTCTTAGGCGTTCGCCCTCCTTGGGCCGCCTCCCACGAACCCTGTCTTCACCAAGAACCGGAGCGAACACAGCTCCGGCCCCAGAGCCCTCGGGAAGTGTCTCCAGAGTATTATTCTCTTCTGCGCCCGCCCGCTAAGCTTGTCCCATTCAAGGCCTTTAGGCGTCCTCTGAGACCTCAGGACATCAGAGGCCTCTCCTCGGATTGTCGTCCCGCCGGCCGCCACAGCTGCTGCCTGCCGTCTTGGGCATTTCTTCCATACTCCATCTGCTCATGCTTTCCTCGGAATGGGACGTTTGCCGGGGGTTTGTCTGGGGCTGGGCCCAGAAGCCCATCAGGTTGAGTCCAAGTCCCAGTGTGTGGCCCTGAGGCAGCCTGCCTTCTAGTCGCCTGGAGTAGGAGGATGGATTATTTAATTTCTTCCCTTCTGGAGGATGGCATGAAAAAGCAGGGAGCTAGGAGACATGACCTTTATCTGGGCCATTCTCACCTTTTAGCATAGGGATTTGGGGTTGCTGTATCTTAACTATCAGGCTGCAAGTTTTTTTTCTTTGAGACGGAGTCTCACTCTGTCGCCTAGGCTGGAGTGTGATGGCGCGATCTCGGCTCACTGCAAGCTCCGCCTCCCGGGTTCAAGCGATTCTCCTGCCTCAGCCTCCCGAGTAGCTGGGACTACAGGTGCGCGCCACCACGCCCAGCTAATTTTTGTATTTTTAGTAGAGATGGGGTTTCACCATGTTGGCTAGCATGGTCTCGATCTCTTGACCTCGTGATCCAGCCGCCTCGGCCTCTTAAAGTGTTGGGATTACAGGCGTGAGCCACCGCACCCCGCCCAGACTGCAAATTCTTGAAGAGCAACATCTGCAGCGGATTGACCCTTGTGTCCCAGCCAGAGACCTAGCGGAGTGTACCGTCAGCATGGAATCAACATCAGACCAGTGCCATCATTGTCTCAGTGCCAGTCCTCAGTGGCTGCAAGGCCTGGGCCGCCCCTTCTTCCTGTGACTGTTCCTATCTGTAGGCATGCCATCCCACAGGCGCCTAGCACTTGGAAGGCATTCCTTCAATAAATGTCGGTGGAGTCTGGAAAGAAGGTGCTGAGGTTGGGGGTGAGCAAAGAGCAACCGTCTCCATCCCAGCTCTGTCTCCGGTTAAGCAGTGGGGAAGGTCTCAGCTGTATTGATGCTGAAACACTTGGGCCATGCCACTGGCAAAGGACTTGAGGCCTCTAAGGGCCAAGTAGGAATCGATAGTTGACTCTTCCCCTGGCAGTTCAGCATACTGGTTGAAGAGCCAGGTTTGCAAACAGACCTGGGTTCCAATTCTAGCTCTGCACCTTCCTAGTTGTAGGAACTTAGGCAAGATAATTTTTTGAAACTTCAGCATCTTTGTGGAGATAACCAGTCTATTATTAAACTACCCTATAGTTATTGCAAGGATTACGCAAAGCTGAATGTCTAAAGGTGCTCAACACAGGGCCTGCCACTCACTCCATGCATGGGCAACAGGGGCTCTCTTTGCTGTGTCTTATGAAATGTAGCATGCACAGCAGTCAGCAACCACTTGGGCCCAATTATGTATCATCCCTGGGGCACAGAACCTCCCTTTGTATCCCCTTTGCCCTGGCAGGGGGCAAGAACAAAGAATTCTAAATTGACAGTTTATTTTCTAAGAATCAATATATTTTCTTCCTTTGAAATAAATACAAACCAGTTTGAAAGGTGGGGGAATCTATGGGAAAGAGAAGGGAAATGGGGACAGCCCCCAGTCTTTTTTTTTTTTTTTTTTAGTACCAAATGACTCTGGCGCGACCCGGAAACGCAGTTACAAATGAGAATAATTTAAATTCTCCGATAATTACAGTATTTACAACAGCAGGGGAGGGAGTCACCTAGTGCCCCTCTTCCAGGCTGGACAGATGCCCACTCACCTCACGACCGGTAGGGGCCCCAGGCCTCTAGGCAGTTATGGATTCTCCTGGCATGAGCAGGTAGAGGTGGTGGGATGGCCTGTTTTACGCAGTGTCCTAACTTTGGCCCACCACCCCGCCCTACAATGCTGTGAGGTCTCTGGAGCTTTTTCTGACCTGTGGGCCCTCCCTCTCCTTGCGCTGAACTGCCATTGGCCCTTGGAGTGTTCTGTACAGTCCAGCTGCACTTAGGGCAGGAGGGACCTCCCCCACCCAGCTTCCCCTGAGACTGGCCCCAAGACCAGAAATGAGTCAGTGCAGAGGCCGGTGCCACTCCAGGACAGTGAGCAAAGGGGAGGAGAGAAGTCACAGGGCACTATAGGTTGGGCTGTGTTGAGCAGTATCAATCACTATCGCTGGTCTCACTGCTCTGCTCGCCTTGCACCTTGCTGCGGTGCTGCAGAGCCCTGTGGTAGGCGATCTGTACTGACTTGCGGATGTTGGACTTGCGGCCCTCCAGCATCTTCTCCTTGTCTAGGTCCTGGTTCACACCCAGAGGAACCAGCTTGGTCCTGGGCAGCCACTGCCTATAGGATAAGGTGAAGATCAAATAAATCATCTCAGGGAGAACAAGGACCAGCCTTCCTCCTCTATTCACTCAAACACACCACCCAAGCACCCACTCTGGCCAGACTCTGTGATGGTCCCTGCCCTCAAAGGACTGTTCATGGTCTAGAGATGAAAGAGCCCAGTCAACAGTTATACTGTGTGGTGGCGGCGGGAGGGTAATCACAGGGTATTTATGGGTACAAAAAGGAGGCACCCTGACCTCACCAGAAATAGCTACCCTGTGCCATAGGCTCTAGGCAGACTTTACTGACATTGAATATCCTCTGCAGACAATTAACAAAAAGACTACATGTGTAAATGTGACAGAACAGGGATTCAGAGCCTGAATGTTTATGCCTGCTTTATCCTCATTTTGTCACTGTGGAGGCAGAGGTGGGAAAACTAAGTCTAGAAGCCATCTGAGTCTGGGTGGGAGCCACCTCTATATTTGTCATAAGTCTCTGATGGTCCTTTGGTTTCTAGCTATAGCTGTGTCCACTAGTGCCCACTCAGCCTCTCAGACACATGGTCGACACAACCCTTTCGCTCAAAAAACTGTTCTAAGTCCCTCCCCCACTGACTTGTGATAGCCCAGTCTGCCTGTTGCTGGAGTTTCCTGGCAGTCTGCCCCCATACCACACAGGGCTGCATCTGTGGCTGTGAGTCACACCAAATGCTCCCCTCCTTACCAGGTTCGTTTGTTGTCAAAGAAGAGGACGAGGTAGAGATGCTCTCGGGCTTCCTGGGTCATCTGCTCCCCAAGTTTCAGCACCTCCAGTGGGGGCACAGGGATGGGAACCCCATGGTGGAACATACCTTCTCGGGGCATCTTTGGATCAATGATCTGAGGATATAATAAGAGCCCAGTTTGGTTCAGTCCATGTCCTCCCAAGGCTTTTCCTCCTCAAGAACTTAGAGAGTATGTCTGAAGTGGGGACAGAGAGGGTATCATGCTACTAGAACTGCAATGCTGACCCTCAGCTTCTTTCCATGCTAAATTATTTCAGAGCCCAAGGAGCAAAGAGAAGCAAAAGGGAGAGATGGAGAAACTGAGTGGGAGCCTCTAAGTGGTACTCAAGCTGTATCTGCCCACCAGTCTACCTTACCAAGAAACTCTGTGCCCCACAGCTCAGCAGGGAGTAGGAAAAGTCTGCTAACTGTGAATCTGTATTCTGGGATTGGAAAGCAAGAAGTGTAACAGAAGCAAGCATACCAGAGCTGGGTATGATGGATAGCCTCGGCATTTGGCCCACACGAGGTCCAGAGCATCCAGCGGGGAGTCCTCATCCTCTGACAGCCAGCCAGCTCCCCGGCCCAGACTCTTCCTTACCACTTCACAGGAATGGGGGAGAGGGGGTGGATCAGCAGCTGGGGGGCTGGCGAGACCCTGACACTGGGTCCCCAGCATCCCTGGCCTTGGGCAAGGGAACTTACTGCTGTGGCCCACGCCGCGGCCAGTGCCCACGGAGTAGGCCTCATTCTCAGTGCCTGAGGTATCCTCACTGCTGTCCTCTGGGAAAGTGCCCCGAGAGAAGGAGGGTTTGCCCCGGCCTTGTTTTGAGGGCGTTGTGCTGTGGACAAGACAATGGGAGCTCAGCTCAAAGGAGGGGAAGAATGGGGAACAGCATGGTATGTGCCCTCAGCTCTTAAAGCCCGCAGGGTCTGAGACTTTTGGAAAGCAGAGGCTATATGAGGAATTTCAAATTCAAACACCCACAGGGGCTAGGCTGATGACCTAACAGAGGTGGGTTAGCCTGAGCAGTGGCGGCAGGAGTGCATACTCTAATCATCACCTTAATCCAGGATGGTTCTCTCTGTTCTATTAATGGTAACACTGATTTATTTATTTAGCAGAGAACCTTGAGTTTGAGCCATCTTAATCTAGACTGAGATGGCTGCCACCCCACTTCCAACAGGGAAACCTACACAGGCCCAAGAGCCCTGGAAGGGCATCCCCTGAGGTTGGCCTCGATCTGGAGGGCTGGTACCTGGTCCGGTCTGAAGCAGCGCTGCTACTGCTACTGCTGCTGGACTCAGAGTCTGAGCTGCTCCGGGGAAGGCTGCAGTCATTACGGTATACCAAGAAACTCTTCTTCACTGGTTGGTTTCCACCGCTGAAGCCATTGGCTGGTAAGTCTTGGTTGAAGGGAAGGGGAGGAGGGAAGGAACCGGTCAGGAAGATGTAGATCAGAGATGACATGGAGGTAAGAGGGACTTGGAGCTTGGGTTCCCCTTCTGTGCTGGAAAATTCCTCCAACCTTGGCCAGCAGAGCTAGCTCTGGGCAGTGTCTACCACAGTTGGCCACAGCCCTGCTCCACCCCTTGCTTCCCTCGGCAGTTACTGGCTTTAGGACACAAATGGCTTAAAGGGCAGGAGATCCCCAAGGAAGGTGAGAAGAGAAAAGGTAAAGTGATACAATGGAGGCAGGGGGCCCTGGATGGGACTTTAGCTGGGTCGTAGTGTCTCTGGGCCTCAGTTTTCCCAACTGTAAGATGAGTGAGTGGAGTTAAAGGATTCCTAAGGACCCTTCTAGCTCGCTCTTTTATGGGCAAATAAAGGGGTAACTGGGAGTATGCTGGGAAGAATGGCAGCTTTGCTCACTCTCTTGGGGGGCTGGGTGATGGTAAGGCTCACCCATTGGGGGGTCTTCTGTGGACTTATCACTGTCGCTGTCTGAGCTCGAACTGGGCCGGGGGCTCCTACCCCGCTTGCGCTGACGCAGGGAACTCATGATGGGGAGCTGGGGGGGCCCCACAGGACTGCCTCCGTGGCTGGGGGTCATCTGGCTCTCCCGGTTTTTGGGGGGCCGGCCCGGCCTCTTGGGCGGTCCAGCTGTCTTCGGGTTCTTTTTGGAGAACAGAACTGAGGTTCTCCTGCCCACCTCATGTGCGGGGGTTGAGGACATGTTGGGACCCAGGCCTGGAGCAGAGAAAGAAAGAAGGAGAGTTGGTGAGGGGCCTGATTTGAGAAGGGTAGATATCCAGGGTCATGCCCTGGGCATATAGGACCATTACTCCAGCTAACGTTGGGGAGATCATTTTAGGGGCTTGGAATTTGGAAGATTAACTCTTATACAAATAGCCAGAGAGGCAGCTAAGAGGCCCCTGATTGGGGAATGAGGGAGAAAGTACAGCTAGCTGTGTAGGAGGGACCTCTGCCTGGGGAATGGCAGGGGTTGAGTGTGTGCTGCAGAGCCAAAGTCTGACTTGCTTTGGGGTCCACCTTGCCATGGGATTCAGACCTTTGCTTGTCTCCTGGCTGCTGCTCTCCTCTGCCGCACTATCTGTCTGCCCATCCTTGTCACAGGCTGCCGGGTGGGGTGTCAGACTACCCCGGCTCGAGGGGCCATGCCGCTCAGGGCCATCACGTCCCGTCTCTCGCTGATGGGCAAGCTTCCGCCGCAGTGCCGTCATCTCTTTCTTGATCATCTTTGCACGCCGTGAGCGGCCCACACTCTGCTTGCTGGCATTCACTTCGTCCAGCCGCTCCAGAAGCAGCTTTAGCTGTTCTTCCACTGGCAGGTGCTTCTGGTTCTCCAGCAAGACCAGCCGCTCTTCCTCGGCTGCTAGGGGTAGGGTTGGAGGGGAAAGGTCAGACTCAGGGCAGCCCTCAGGGCCCCTTGAACCTGGGCAGGCAGCAAGAAACCCACTCATCCCCCCTGGGCTTCTCACCAGGAACAGCTGTAAAATAGCAGCACCAAGATGTGGAATGGCGGGCACTGCTATCCATTCACCCAGTCTGGCTTCTTGGGGAGCATTCCTGGGGATAGCTTGCCACTGCTCAGCCTAGCTGCTTTCTGCCTACACTGCCTGCTCCCAGGAGGGGACTTTTGGAAAGCTGTCCATCCCCGGCATTGGCCTCTTATATGTGTGTGTGATATATCACCCACCATCTTCAGTGTGGTGTGTGGCCTCATCTCCAGCCAGGCTGTGGGGGATATGCATGCCCGTCTCAAAGTCAATGCCCATTTTTTCTGCCTGGCGCCGGGCCTGGCGGAGCACAGCACCACCCTGCTCACGAAGCCGCACTGCTGCCCGGTAGAAGATGGTGTCCTTGGCGTTATACTTGAGGCAGTTGCTGACGATGAGGTTGAAGTCCTCCTCAAAATCATCAAAATTCAGGTAGCGGTAAGCCTCCAAGTTCTGCTTCATGGTGAAAAAGTCCATGGGCTTTTTGATGTGGTCTAGGTAGTCAGGTACCTGGAAGGGCAGGGCAGGTTTGTTTTAAGTGGAGATATCCTCCTTATTGCCCCGAACCCTGCTCCTAACAAGCCCCCCTGAAACACATCCAGCAACCTCCTCCCACCACAGTTAGAGGCAGGCATATAGCACAGGGGAAAGGAAAGCTGGATTCTGGTCCTGACTTTACCAGTCACAAGCTGTGTGACTTTGGCAAGTCTCTTAACCTCTCTGGGCCTACTTTTCCTCTCCTGGAAAATGATGAAAGTAGAGCCAAATATACTTTCTAGACTATATGAGGCTTTAGTAAGAAAATGGCTTGGGGACTCCTCTGAAAATAAACACCACCTTGCATTCCTACAGCTCTTTTTACTTAACAGTAACTTATAAGGAGGCTGCTGCCTCAGGCCTCTCATTTTATACCTTTTAGAGAGAAGAGTCTGCCAGTCAGGACCTAGGGCTTCAGAGCTGGTTCTTTAGGTGCTGAGCCTTCTAAAGTCTCCGTTCTAGGGTTCAGCACCCCGAAAGTGTCTTCCTGCCCTGGGATTATTCATTTGGCAGACTCAGTCCCTGCCTCTGGGGAAGGAGTGCAGACTGCCTCCCATTCTGGGCCCTTGGGGTGTGACAGGGACAAGACAGAGTCCAGGTGATACATGTGGCTCCAGTTCATCCTGCCCCAGAGCCACCAGCCCCTCTCTTCAAGGTCCCCATCTAGTCCTGGCCCAGACCTGCAGCAGGGGTCCAACTGGGAGAGGAACAGAGAGAAGGTGGAGTGAGGGGAAGGGATTCTTACTTCGTCCAATTCGGTTACCTCAGACAGAGGGACCGGCTCGCTGAAGATGTTGCCTGTGTCCTTCTCTTGGAGCTGCTCCAAGGTTTTGCGAAGGAGGATGAGGAAAGGAGTCAGCTGCATCTCCATGGCAATCTGCTGAACCTTGATCTAACATAGAAAAAGGCCTGATCAGCCAGGCCTCGGCCAGTTCAGTGGCAAAGAGGTCT
Organism: Homo sapiens; assembly: GCF_000001405.40. NCBI lineage: Eukaryota > Metazoa > Chordata > Mammalia > Primates > Hominidae > Homo > Homo sapiens. The sequence goes on along the minus strand of NC_000003.12, from coordinate 9,741,965 downwards.
GAGGATATGGTCCCAGCTGGCCTGGGAACCCGCCTTCTTTCCCACCCTCACAGCTGGGTGTACTCATACAGGTCTACCTTCTATGAGGCTCCACCCAGGGAAACTTGCACCAACAATTCTGGCTTCCCCCTTTCTTGAACTACCAGCACCAGCTACCTATGTCACATAACTGAGGATTCTGTTCATACGCTCCTGTGACATTCTGCTTCCAGCAGAACTAAAAGCACACCGAGCACCAGGAGACCTGACTCCAGCGTCAGCCCTGCTGCTATCTGGCTGGGGTACACACGCTATTCCTTCTCCTGGGTCTTTTTTTTTTTTTTTTTTTTGAGACGGAGTCTCGCTCTGTCGCCCAGGCTGGAGTACAGTGGCACGATCTTGGCTCACTGCAAACCCCTCCTCCCAGGTTCACGCCATTCTCCTGCCTCAGCCTCCCGAGTAGCTGGGACTACAGGCGCCTGCCACCATGCCTGGCTAATTTTTTGTTTTTTCTTTTATAAAATAGGGCTGGCCCAGGAGCACTCACCGTCTCCCTTTTGAGTTTTTCCCGCTTGCGGATCAATTCCACGAGCAGCCGAGCTCGCTCCAAGTCATGCCGGAGCCGCTGCCAGGACTTGAGCTGTTCTTTAAGGGCCCAGTTCTTATCCTCAGAATCTCTCTGTAGAGGCAAAACGAAGATCAGAGGATGATTAGAAAGCCAGAGGAAAGGTCAACAGGGAGAAGAGAGCCCAGGAAACTCAGGTCAAGCCAAAAGAGGGAGCACAGTAATTTATTGGTAGTGCCTCAATCTGTGTGTCCCCAAGGCCTGGCAGAATAAATGCTTGGTATGTGTTTGTTGAATGAATACATAAACACATAGGAACAACATCTTTTCATTGAACATTCCATGCTGATCCTGGTTTGAGGGCTAGCTTAAAGGAGGAAAGAGTCTAAGCCCTCTGACACTGGAAACTACAGTTGCAAATTTTGGTTTTCGTCCCCCTGGCGCTAGTTCCCAGAGCCCACAGGGAACTGGACACAGTACCCCAACTTGGTCACAGTTCCTCTGAGATTGCAGGTGTGTCTGCAGGCGACGTAGCAATGGGACCCCATTCCGTGACTGCCGCTTCAGTGTCCAGTAGCTGTGCAGCCTCTGCATGAACTGGCTCTTCCTTTGGATGGTCAGGCGGTTGGTGATTTTACTAAGCCTGGGAGGCAGGAAACAAAGAGTAAAACTTGTTGGGCCCTGATTCTCTTAAGCAGAGCAAGGGTCTCTGGCCAGTGAAAGTTCCTGAATGGGGATGAAGGGAGAGGATCTCTTGTCCAAAAGGCCTGGGACTCTGGACTTAAGGCAAGGAAGAAAGAGTGGTGCCATCAGTGGTACCGTGGCAGACAGGAAACCAAGCTCCCAGCACTAAACCAGATCCCTAACCCTGTACACCAGCAATCAGGGACTTCTGCCCCTAAGACTGCTCTAGTCACTGCAGCCCAGAGTACTATTTGACCCTGGGAGCCCCACTGAGACTGAGCCTTTGAAGGTTTTAAAATGAAGTACAACTGTACAGCAGAAATATATAGTAAATCAAATAAACGGCACAAGAGAACTAAAAAAATCCCTGGCCATCACAGCCCAAATGAGCAGCAGTAACCACTTCACAACTTCTTGAGCTTCCCCTTCCCCGCTTTTCATTCTATTTGTTTCTTCATATTCAGACCATTTTTTCCATTGCTGCCAGTGGCAGTTCCATCCTCTTCCATCCCAACTTAACAAACCACACCATCAAAATGAAGGGCAGTTCCAAAACGCCTGTTAGCTATGCCAGATAAAAGCTGACATTTCTGGCTCTTAATGTGAAAGTCAGGTGACCTGCTAAAGACAACTATCTGTTTTGAAAATATGTTCTTTTTAACTTCTATGCAGCTCCTGGGAAGATAGCCCAGCCCTGCCATTCCACTCAGGAGGCTGCCAGCTCCTCTCCTGGAGGCTCCTTTCTCCCTCATCTGCCTGTCCACCGGCTCCCCACATACCTGTGTGGTGGGATGCAGGGCACTGACACCACAGGTGCTGCTGCCCGCTTCTCTGCCAGGATCTTCCGTGCCTTCTTCATTTTGATCCGGGACTTGGCCTTGGCCTTCTTGACTTTCTCTGAGCTCCAGCCCTTACCCTCATCCTCCTCCTCATCTTCATCCTCCTCACCCTCGCTGTGGGACAGGGCAGGCAGTCGGCGTGCTGAACCTGGAGGCGTGTGGATGTCGCAGTAGGCTGTCTTGCGGACACTGAAAGAGGTGCCGTTGGCGCCTGTCTCCCGCACAGGCTCCATCTTCATGTAAAGGCCAGCCTGCTGGGCGCATGTCACATGGAAAGCTGTGTAACAGTTGGCCTTGTGGCACTGGATGCAGGCCCCTGAGCCCCGTTGTTTGCAAATGTAGCAGGTGAGCTTCCAGCGAGCTGGTGGGATGTGCTCAATGCTGTCAATAGGCTCTAGGAAGACCGTGTTGGCGAAGCAGACCTCAGGGATCCACAAGGCACACACCACATGGGCCCAGCGCCCGTCATCTGTCTGCTTGAAGGCACCGCCCTTGTTGGGGCACAGGGCACAATCCACAGCACGAGAGGGTGACTGCAGGCAACGGCGGCACAGCCACTGGCCCTCAGGGATATAGGGGACACCGTAGCACTCCTGGTGCACGGCCAGGTTGCACATGTCACAGAAGAGGATGACATTGCTGTTCTGGCACTCACCATCATTGCAGATACAGCAAACAGCATCCTCGTCCACTAGCGCATTAGGGTCGCCTTTATTATGACTCTCAAAGTACGACTCCTTCTCCAGTCGGTCCATTAGGTACTCAAAGATCTCCTGCGGGATGGGACTTACACCCTCTGTCTTCCGACGCTCATTCATGATATCCAGCCAGATGTAGTCCTCCTCGTCCATGTCATACTCTACTTCCTCGTCCAGCTCCTCTGCAGACTTCTCGATGTACCTACGGTACAAACAGGGAACTCAGCATCACATGGTTGAGATTTCCCTCCCTTAAAGATGATGGGTCATTTGCCATTGAGCACTTACTCTGTGCCTATGCCCTTCAGATGTGTTGTCTCATTTCATCCTCACCTTAACTCCAGATATTATAGGTACTATCATCGTTTCTATTTTGCTGAAAAGGAAACCTAAGGCTTGGAAGGTTAATCACCTGGCCCCAGCTCACTTGTGAGAAAGTGGTGGAGCTGGGATGTGAACCCAGGTCTGCCACTGCAAAGCTCATGTCCTAGCTGCTATATGTGACACCATCTTCTTGGGGTTGCAGAGGCTCAGCCAGCCTCCTCTAAAAGGAGGAAGGTGGGGCAGCTAGTACCCCTTAGAGTGGTCCAGATGATGGTACGAAGAATCGGGGAAGAAGGAAGGTCATTGGATGTCATTGACAAATTACATATAAGTTGTTTTAGCACTGGTGGGCAGGGCCTCGACTAGAGCTGCCATGGATCTTCTCTCAGCTAGTGTCAGCATCAGCTCAAGGCTCCGTCAAACTCTAGGTGCTATGTTTGTTCACTGGATAGCCTTGGGAGATAACAATTATAATAGCTAAGGTTTACTGAGGATTTCCTATGAGCCAGGCATTGTGCTTAACTATTACATTTATTCTTACCACAGCCATAGAGTTAGTGTTCTTGTTGTCCTCATTTTGCAGATAAGAAAACTTAAGCTTTGAGAAGTTAATCAAAACATAGATAGGTCACATAACAAGGGAGTGGCAGAGGCAGAGGCATTCAACCTCCAGCCCAGTGCTCTTAATGTCCAACCTGTATCACTTACTATGCCAACAGGCCTGGAATTGAGGGCTGCTCTCGGTGCTTGTCACACAGAGAAGGTGCTCCTTGCCTGGCATGCTATAGGTGGCCTAGACTCTGGCACTGTAAACTACAGGGTACAAAGGAAGGGATGGGGCTTTGGCTTCTAAGCAAACCAGATTTAAATCCTGCCTCTGCCATTTTATGACTTTTAGGACATCACTGCTGTACTAAACCTCAGTTTTACTGATGACAGAACGAGGATAATACTACCCACTCACAAAGAAACTGTCAGGGTTATATGGAATTATAAAAATGAATAGGCCACAAACTCTTGGCCTTTACATTTATTTATATACTACCTTGCCCAGTGCCTACTACCCCATCAGGCTCCAGCAACCCCCAGCAGGCCCATGGAAGGAAGTGTGAGCACCTTGGTGTAAAATGCCACCTAACCACTAAGTCATGTGTGACCACATACAGACGTGTGCAAATATGTACATTTATCTTTTTATTAAAAAGTTGTTTTGAAAAATGAATGAGCTAAGTCAAGTGGCACACAGCAGGCCCTAGAAAAACATTAGCTCGTTTCTCCTCTTATGTGGGAAATGGAACTTTGGCTGCTAGAGTGGGCCAGCACACACAGGCTCTGGAGCCACACTGCCTGGGTGCTGTCTAACAGAGGGCAAGTGAGCTAAGCTCCCTGAGCCTTGTTTGTTCATCTGTAAAGTGGTGATGCTAATAATCTGAACCTATTTCACATAGCTATTCTGAGCATTAAATGAGTTAATGCAGGTAAAGTGCTTAGGACAGTGCCTGGTGTGCAGCAAGCACTCAATAAATGTTAACTTATTAGTTTTTGTATGGCCTTTACCCACCTTCCTAGCATTATAGCTGTGTATGTGTCTAACTCCTCCACTACACGATAGAAGTGGGGATTGTGTCTGATTCGCCATACAGATACAGGCACTCATCACTGTTCATTTGAAAGGCATTTTGGGGGTGGAAGGGAGGAGAGAGACTGAAACATTGTAGGAAGCAGCTTCTTCCTTTTTAGCCTTTTACCTCTTCCCCAAGGTGACTGCAACCTCCCTATCTTTGAACAAGGGTATGACTCATGGATGGTGTGAACCATCTGGCTTCTTCCAGGCCTTGGCACCAGCTCTCTTCAGCACCAATTCTCACCCTTTTCTCTGCCATGACACACGTGACATTATGTGATGGTGCATAACACACTCCCACAGGCACCCAGATTACAGGCTGCAGTACAGATAAGGTAGGCTGCATGTCACGTATAATTCCTGGCACACCAGCTGACATGCCACCCTCTCTCTCCCCCTCAAGGAAGCATATTAGAATGCAAGCAAGAGAAAGTGATGCTATTAGAGAGATGACCTCAAATCTTCTCAATTTATATAAAAAGTAAATCGTTTCCAAAACTTGGGCAGTTTTACCAACAGTGGTAACAAATTCCATGCAATACACATCTCAGTTGTTTGCAGTGTACCTGCTGAGAACTGCTCCCCTGAAGAACATATCTGATCCCCAGAAAGAAAGAGTCAGTCTAAGTGGAGGGAGGAAGAAAAGCAGCTGAATGAGCTGGGCTGGGCTGCCTGTTAGAGCAGAGAGAGCTCAAGGGCCATTGGGAGGGAGGGGAAGTCCAAAGAGGGGTCTGTGTGTTTGGAGTAGGGCAGAGGTGGGTAGGGCAGTCAGTGTGAACAGAAAAGAGAAAGACTGTGGAAAGCCAGAAGGAAGTGGAGTTGGACTGAAAAGATGAAAGAATGGGAGAGGAAGTGGGAGATGGGCTTAAACTCAAACAGTGGAGAGAAGAAAGTGCTACAGGCCATATTGCTTGTTTCCAGATTTGCTTTTAAAGAACTGAGATTTAGGCCGGGCGCGGTGGCTCATGCCTGTCATCCCAGCACTTTGGGAGGCTGAGGCGGGTGGATCATGAGGTCAGGAGATCGAGACCATCCTGGCCAACATGGTGAAACCCCATCTCTACTAAAAACTCAAAAATTAGCTGGGTGTGGTGGCACGTGCCTGTAATCCCAGCTACTCGGGAGGCTGAGGCGTGAGAATTGCTTGAACCCAGTGGAGGTCGCAGTGAGCCGAGATCACGCCACTGCACTCCAGCCTGGGTGACAGAGCGAGACTCCGTCTCAAAAAAAAAAAAAAAAAAAAAAAAATGGAGGTTTAACATCATGTGGACTGCACTTTTGGTAAAAAATGCTTTTCATATAAAAGCTTTTATGACAAATCCTCCTCAGAGACCAGGCCTTCTAAGTAGCTGAAAACAAACTTACACTCTTGGCAAATTAACTCATCAGAATGCCTTTTTTGCCTTGGATGCCAACTTTCAGAGAGGTTTTACACTTGGTTTTAGTGCCATCCTTCAGCCAGGATTTCTCCATGTAGTTTCAGCACCACACTGCCCCCCATATCCCTTCATCTTTTACCTCATGTTAAAGAAACAATTAAATGACAAAAATAAAAGGGCCACTGGAGGAGTATTAAATATTGTTTAAGTATAAAATACTGCTTAAACATGTTAAAGGACAGATGACAATAACAGAACAAATAGTGGGAGAATTACCTCTGCAGATTTACAAAGTGCTTTTAGTACCTTATGAAATCAGTGATCCTAGTCTTCTACCTTTTGGGAGACAGAGAAATACCGTATCTGCTCTGCAGATGGGGTCCTTAAAACACACGTTAATTTGGATGCATTTCCCAAGGTCATGCATAAGGAAATGGAGAGGACCAGGAATCAGAAACAGGATGTTTTGCCACAGTGGAAACAGTACAGCTATGGAGTCAGAGGGACCTGAGTTTGAATCCCAGTTCAGCTATCTACTGGCATGTGATTTCAGATAAGTCTGGCCAGGCACAGTGGCTCACGCCTGTAATCCCAGCACTTTGGGAGGCTGAGGTGGGTGGATCACTTGAGTCCAGGAATTCAAGACTAGCCTAGGCAACATGGTGAAACCCCATCTCTACAAAAAATTTTAAAAACTAGCTGGGCATGGTGGCATGTGCCTGTAGTTGCAGCTACTCAGGAGGCTGAGTGGGAGGATCACTTAAGCACGGAAGGAGGAAGTTGGGGTGAGCCAACTGCACTCCAGGCAGGGTGACAGAGCCAGGCCCTGTCTCAAAAAAAAAAAAAAAAAAAAAAAGGATAAATCTGGCACCCTTTCTTGACCATAGTTTCCTCATCTGTGAAATGAGAAAAATACCTACCTGAGAGTTTTGAGAATAAAATAAAGGAGTAGCGTGTGGCACTGTAGAGTAAGTGCATTAGTGGCGTACCATTCCACTCACTGCCCTGGCAAAATCAGTGTTCTTTCACTATTCTTTATTCCTGTCACTCTTCTATCTGTGCCTCTCACCTCTCTCTGGCTAGTGAGCCCTGCTTGACCAGTTTTCCAGAGCTGCAAGGTAGAGGTGGCCTTACCGGTAATAGGAAGTTGGCCGGGGTGGGGCATCAGGGGTGTCCTGTTCCAGCTCCCGATAGACCACCTCTGGCAGCTTGGGAGTGGTGCTCGCAGAAACATTGTGGTGGTGGTGATGGTTGGAGTCCTTGCGCTTCTCCTTGTTCTTATGTTTGCCTGACTTGGGAGTAGCAGCTGGTGTCTCAGTGTTCTCCTTGTTGCTGCCATTCTCAGGGGCCTCCTCGGGGGCTTCCTCATCCTCTGACACCACATCCAGGTTGTCAAAGATGCTGATGCGGTGGACGCGGCCATGCAAGTCCACCTCCACCATGCGCTGGGCCTGTGCATAGCTCATCACCTCACGGCCTGGTGACTGTGAGACCTCTGAGGGGCTGGGTGACTGCTTGTTGGCTGGGCGTGACTGGCGCCCCTTTTTCTTGTGCTTGCGGAGTGGAGTTTGTTGTGGGGGTGGTGGGTTGTCGTGGTCATAGTGGTACAGGTGGTACTCAATACCACTGTAACTCTTGTAGACCTTTCGGCAGGTCTCCACCGGGCACTCGTATGGTGGCTTAGTCGCCCGCAAGTTGTGGCAGAAAGTCTTCACATCAAAGTCCACCCCCATGCTGTCACATCTAGAATACACAGATCAGTTAACATAAGGCTGGGGATGAGTTCCTGGCCATTTGCACCAGAGACCCCAGTCTTTCTAGCCCTCCCCCTCACTTGGAGTCACCAGATTCTGGCCAGCCTACCTCTACAGTGTCTCCAAATGCCATCTCCTCCACCATAGCCCATATCTGGGCCCTCATCACCTCTTGCCTGGTTATCCTGCCCTATGTCTCAACTTCTTTAGCCCAATCTCACATCATGTAGGAGAATGATCTTTCTACCAGGTAGTAATGATCATGACACTCTCTTCATTAAAAGCCTCCTGATGCTCCCAGTTCCTTCAAGATAATATTCCAAATTCTCTATGATGCCATTCAAAGAGCTCCTTTCACTGACTGGCCCTAGTCCTCCTTTCTTTTTACAAGTTACAGCTGTTTTTGTCTACACAGGGGATCTTGCCATTCCCTGAATGTTATAACCTCTCATTCCTGCAAAATGATCCCTATTTGGAATGCCCTCCATACTTTCTGATTGGTGGGCTCCTACTCATTCTTCAAAAAACCAGCTCAAATGTCACTTCTGACACAACTTCTCTGACTCTCCCATGGGGAGCTGTTTCCACAGCATTCCATTCTCACCTCTACCACAGCACTTGACATACTGAAAGTTGTCTCCCCCCTGGACTGGGAGCTGTGTAGCAAGGGTACCAGAGCCTATCCACCTCTGTATCCCCAGTACCTAGCATGCACTGGACATTCAGTTTTTGGCGAACGAATGAATGACCTGTTGAACGAATAGCTGAATGAGGGGATCACCAGACTGAGAGCTCAGATGGGATGAAGGCCATGTAGAAAGCTGAATGGGTGGGTGGCTAATGCTTTAGCGTTGGACTCCTGCAGAAATCACTGGATCACAGAAAGAATTCATTTACTTTTGAGGTCTTTATGGGGAGCCTGGCCCTGGTACTGGGTAGGAGATGTACTGTGAAACAAAGTGAAAACTGAGGTCATTTAGTCAGTGACAGCAGCTTGTATTACATTTGAGCTGTTCACCCACTCACACATCAACTGAGTGACTACCAAGTGCCAGGCCCTAAGGGTACAAACACGAACGCGACAATCTAGGCATGCTCAGCTCCATGCTGGTCCGCAGGGGCCCTCCCTCCCCGCTCCCCAACATTCCTGGGTGAGTGTAGACAGCAGATGGCACCAGGCCTCAGGAAGCCCAGCTTGGTCAGAGACTGCCCCAATTTCTCTCGGCCTAGTTGAGTTCAACCATTCAGCTAGGGGCTTGGCACCATCCCAGCCAGGCAGGGCTATCATGAGCTCCCTGACAAAATAACCCCTCTTGGCCTCTCCACCTGTGCCTTAACCAGGCAAGTGGGCTGCTCCAGCTCCACTGTCAACGGCTCCTGATTTTCACATCAGTAACGCTACACGTCCAACTGCAACTCTTCTATTTCCTACCTGCGGCTGTGTCTTTAAACATAAACCAACCGAAGCACAAACAAGCTCTCCTCTTTCCAAGCTGGGTCCCGGGTGAATGGTTCCCAAAGTAGCACAGCGAATCAGCAATCTCCCCTTGGAACCCGGCAGCAGAGGCACAGGCGAGGGAGACGAGAACTTAGACCAGAAAGCCCGTGGGGAGGGCCCAAGGAGAATGGCGGCTGCATCTGCCCCTGAAGCTCAGGGGGCTGGAGGAAGTAAGGGGCGGGGGCCGGAGGGATAGGGCTGGGCCCCGGCAGTGCCCGCAGCCCACTCTCCGGATGCGGCGGCGTTTCCCCTTTGTGGAAGTGTAACAAGTGAAACAAGGCTCCCCGCCTGCCACTAGCCCGGGCAGCCCCGAAAGATACACTGTTGCCCCAGGATGCCTGCTGGGAAGCAATGCACTGTCAGTTCTCCCAACTGGAGTTGCCAGAGAGGTTCCCGGGCCACGCGGCTCAGTGCGCGTCCCACGAACGTAGCCTACCCCTTCCCTGCCGGCCACTCCCGCCCTGGTCCCAGGCCCGCACTCACCGGCCACCTCGAGTCCGGGCTCATCGCCGGGGGCGCCCGCCGGGGCTCCGACCCCACTTGGGGAGGTCGGCGGGGAAAGTCGGGCCGGGAAGGGGGAGCCCCAACTCCGGAGACCGTAGACCTCGCCACCCCGGCCCCCTGCCGCCCCACGCTTTGGTCCCGGCTCCCCGGGATTCCTGAGCTGACCCCTGCCGCTCCTGGTCCCGCCGGCGCCCTGGGGTCTCAACTCCGTCGGCCGCCGCCCGTTTCGCGAGCCCCCAAGATGCCCGGTCTCGGGACCGGGCGCTGCTGGAACAATGGAGGCTCCCAGAGGCAGCGCGAGGACAGCGGCGGCGGAGACCGTGGCGGCAAAGGCTGTGGCAGCGGCGGCGGCAGCAGCGGCGGCGACGGCGTCTGCGCAGGGTAAACGTGGCGCCGCGGCGCTACTGAGCTGCACTTTCGCCACGGATCCCCGCCCGCCCGCTGAGGCTCGAAAGACCGTGCTCCGGGATTCAGAAAGGACCCTGGACACCCCACAGGGCTTCTCTAGCTCTCCCATCTTAGAGTGGAGTTTCTGGAGACTGAAGTCACCGTACTCGGGATCTGGGGTCGTCGGGCGGTTTGTGGCGAATCTGCAACCACGGACGGTGAGCGCGGGGCTGGGCGTGAGGAGCCCGCCCTTCTCCCCTCCCCCTCTGCCTCCTCCCTATCCGCTCCCTGCCTCCTGCTGGCGCCGCGGCTGCGGGAGGGACCTGGCCTTGGTCTCGGAGGAAGGCGGTGAGGCGGGGCCAGAGTCACGGGGCGGGGCTGGGGGCAGGGCCGGGAGCAAGAGGGATGCGGGCTGGAGCCTAAGGGACCGGTAGTTATGGGTAGGACCGGGGCGGGGCTGGAGACTAGACCGGTCTGTGGGGCGGGGCTTGTGGGAGGGGGCGGGGCTACCGCACAGCGGGGGCCTGTTAGAATAGCGGGGTAAAAAGTGGGGCTAAACAGAAGAAGAGTACTCGCGAGAGAAAGGGCGGAGCTTTGGATGAGCCTGGAAAGTGGAGCTGGACTAGAAATAAAGAACAAAGTTGGAAAAAGCGATGCGACGCTGAAGGGAGCAGGCGGGGCTTGGTAAGGCAGGGGCGGAGCTGTGGGGAAAGGGCAGGACCGATTAGGGATAACGGGGCGTGACTGAAGGAAAGGGAAGAAACTTGGGAAAAGTAAAGGAGAGGTGCTAGAGAAAAGGTATGGGTCTGAGAGAAGGGGCTGGTTTGGGGCCGGTGGGTGTGAAAGGGCTTGTCTGGTAAAGCGGTGGGAAATCTGTGGGTTGGCAGGGATGTGCTGCGGGTTGCTGATTGGAACATGGTGCCAAAACAGCTGATTTAATGTGAGTGGGTCACCTCCTAGCAATGTGAACGTGGGCAAGTTCAGTTCTTTAAGTTCCTTATTTGTAAAACAGAGCTCGAAAACTCTGTTGTTAGTTCTTGAGGGTTTCAGAGAACTTGCATGGCAGGGGGAGACATCCTTAAACAATACTTCTCCAGTTTTGTCATCAAAGAGGAGCGTGAAAGGTCTTCCAGGGTTCTGGGACAAAGCCCAAAGCATCTGAAAGCTTCTATCTTCTTAATGCAAACTTTGCATTTGACCCAATAAAATGTATGTTTTCTAAAAACCATCCCAATAAAATCGACATGCCAGGAAGAGGTTTGCTGATTAAGATCTTGGGATCTGAAGTCAAACTGATGAATTATCTTAAATGACTCATCTTCTCAGAGCCTCAGTTTCCTTATGGGTAAAGTGGGAATAATATATAGTACCTGTTCTCAGAGTTGTTGTGAGAATTAAATGAGATGATGCTTGTAAATCACCTAGCACACGGTTTGACATGTAGTGAATGTTCAAAGAAAATATTAGCTGTTATTATCCTTATTAAAATAATTCAGAATAGATGGATCAAAGCAGAGTTATACTAAGTTATCTCCTTTAGTGGTCAGGAATTCGTTTGAGAATCTGCTGAGAACTATGGGTCGTGTGTAGGATTCGGATTTTATGGAAAAAAGAAAAAAAACAACTATGGGCCTCTCTCCTGAGGAAAAACATACAAAGTTTCACTTATTAAGGTCTTTGAAGAATGTATGAAGAAGTGATTGGATGAACGTGTTAGGATGGGGATGAATCTAACTGAAGCCATCCTGGTTCCCTCCCTCTTGATGTGGCCCCAGTCGTTGGGTCCCATAGTCTTCCTTCGCCAACATGCATGAGACAGAGGTGGAATAAAGATCAGCTTTATTATTGGCATGAAGGCAGAGAGGTGGTGATAGTGCCAGGCCCTCTGCAGGCAAGGAGGCGGAGGGCTTGTCAGCCAGCACTGATCCTCCAAGTTGGCCCTCCCAGTGAAGTCCAGGGTTCCAGGTGCCTCTGGCTTAAAGCAGAAGCAGTGGGTGAGCAGGCTTGCAGACTGTGAGGCATTGGATATGTGGAATCCTCAGGGCTGCTCTGGAGCTGGGATCGGGCTGGGGTTGGCAGGGGGTGGGGGCCGAGGCTGGATGTCTCTGGTGCGCATATAGGACAGCAGCTGCTCCGGGATCTCGGCCAGCACATCCTTGGCCAGTCGGGCCATGCTCAACACCTGGTTCCCCGACCGGTCAACATAGTCTCGGAATGGGACGAACTGGGTCAGGCACAGACAAGAAGAGATAAGCCATGACCAGGAGAGAGGGCATGGGGGTGCAGCAGGGAGGCTTCTTTTTTGATCCCCAGCATCTCTTTCCAACTATCACAGTATCTCCCTCTCCACATCTTGAACAGTTTTCTACATTTGCTTTCTCTCCACCCACTTTTTTTTCCACCTTTTATTCACCCTCAACCCACTCCAGTTTGGCTTCACACAGGCCATTGAAACTGCTTTTGCTGATGTCGTCAGTGGCCCTGTGTTGCTAAATCAGTCCAGTGAACAGTAATTTTTAGTCCTCATCTTGCTTGACTTCTCTTTAGCTTTCCATTACATTTGACCATAATTCTTCTGGACACGTCCCACTCTTGATACCACACTCTTCTGGCTTCTTGCTTACCTTTCTTGAAGCTCCCCCCTCCCACCACCATTCCTCTGGGTCTATCTGCTCTCTAAACCTGGTCCCTTCTCTCTCTCAGCTCTCTTCCTGGATGATTTCATACACTTCCATGACTTTAAAAATTGTTCCCTGGAAGGAAGTAGAGCAGGCCAGGAGGTGGGGAGGGAGACTGGAAAGGAGGGAGCAGGGGAGACAAGGGGCAGGGACCAGAGAGAAGGGATCCTGAGAACAGGAGGAGGTCAGAGAGATGGAGCTGGGGCAAGAAGGAGGAGGAGTCTGTGAGAAGGGGCTGGGAAGAGAGAGAGGCCTAGGAGAGGGACTTAGGGAGAGGAGAAGAAATGAGATGTGGGGGGAGAGGGGCTGATAAGGGAGAAAAAAAACAAAAGAAAATCTGTTTCTAATGACTGCCAAATGTATATATCCATCCATGACCTCTTTTCAAAAAATTATGTTTTATTTTTATTTATTTTATTTTTTTCTTTTGAGACAGAGTTTCACTCTTGTTGCCCAGGCTGGAGAGCAATGGTGCGATCTCGGCTCACTGCAATCTCTGCCTCCCGGGTTCAAGTGATTCTCCTGCCTCAGCCTCCCAAGTAGCTGGGATTACAGACATGCACCACCACACCCGGCTAATTTTATATTTTTAGTAGAGACGGGGTTTCTCCATGTTGGTCAGGCTGGTTTCGAACTCCTGACCTCAGGCAATCCGCCCGCCTCAGCCTCCCAAAGTGCTGGGATTACAAGCGTGAGCCACCGCGCCCGGCCTTTATTTTTTTAATGTAGCAGAGATCAGGTCTTGCTATGTTGTCCAGGCTGGTCTCAAACTCCTGGTCTCAAGAGGCCCTCCTGCCTTGGCCTACCAAAGTGTTGGGATTATAGGCATGAGCCGCCATGCTTGGGCCCATCCCTGACCTCTTTTTAAGGTCTAGAACCACATATTTAGTTGCCCATATTACCACTCCATTCAATTGTCACAGATACTTCGAACCCAGTGTGTTCACAACTGAATTCTAGCTCTTTCTGCCAAATCTCCTCCTCTAGCTTTCCCCTTCCCAGCAAATGGGATGTCACTCACCCAGTTGCTTAAGCTAGAATACTGAGTCATCCTTGAAGCCCTCCTCACTCCCTGTCATCATCTAATCATCAAGTCTTGTAAAATTTTCTTCTTAAATATCTTTTGAACCTGCCACTTTCTCTCCCTCCCCACTGCTTCTAGCCAGATCTTTATCGCCTCCCCTCTACTACTTCAAAGGCTTCCTCACTAATGAGTCTACCTGCCTTTTCTCTTGCCCTGTTACTGTCCACCCACCATGCAGCAGCTAGAGAGATCCTTTTAAAATGCCATCTCACTCCTCTATGTAAAATCCTTCAAGAGCTTTCCAATTCTAACATACCCCCAAATTTTGCCTCCCTCCTCACACTCAGTGTGATCCTGCTACCCTAGCTTCTGCTTTTTCGTGGATCGGGCCAGTTCTTCTGGGCCTCAGAGCCTTCTCACATGCTGCTCCTCTCCCTGTAATGCTTATCCCCTCCCTTAGGTCTTGGCAAGCTAAAGAACCCTTTCCTGACTACTGTACCTATGTTAGGTCCCTGTTACAGGCTCTCACAGTGGCATTTGCTATTCCTCTGGAGTACTTATCACAATCTAATGAGATATTTCTTTGTGTGATTATTTATTGTTGGTTGTCTCCACTAGAGGGCAGGGGCCTTGGGGACCTCCCGACCTACACCACGGATGTGCCAAGGCTGCAGCAACCTTCCTGTTTGTCAAAAAGGATGTATTCAATGAATGAGAAAGGATGAAAGAGTGACGGGGGAAAAAAGTAGGAGACTGAGAAGGCAGTAAGTGAAAGTGGCTCCCAACTTAGCCTCTTCTCACTGTGCCTCTCAGCTCCACAGCCTCTCCCACGTCAGGTCTACCTGAACGATGTCCCGCTCTGCGTAGCGTCCCCTAGAGGACACGCGCACATCATCACCGTCCAACTCTTCCATTGCTGCAGAAAAGACACACCCCTCAGCTGATTGGCCTCTCCAGCCCCACCCCATGCTGCCCCCTCCCTTTGAGCTCCCCTTTGGAGTCATCAGGAGAATGCCTAATGCTTGTGATCAAGTCCTACAAATATCAGTCTTCGTTATGGAGTTATTATTACTATTATTATGCCTCCCAGGCAGTCCATCCTCCCAGGAACCCCAGAGGGAAGTATTAGTATCATCAGCCTTGGTTCTGATAAGGAAACAGGTTCAGAGAAGGTCTGTGACTTGACCAAGGCTTCACACGGGGGTGTCTACCTTGTGTCATCTGTGAGGCAGGCCCAAGTACCCGACCCCCTCCCACTTTTCTCCTTAGTTCTTAGTCCCACTCAGGGACACCCCTTCCTACTCACCCTCAAACATGGCTGGTCCTACACCGACGATAATGATAGACATGGGCAATGAGGAGGCCTGTAGGGGAAAGAGGGTGAACTGTTGGGGCAAGCAGGCATCACTAGGGAGGTGACTGTTGGGAGACAGTTCTCTGTGTATGTGTGTCATGGTTCTGCACATCTTGTAAGCAGAGGCACCTTGATTTTCTCTGCCCCAGACTACTTTTTCAAGGATGTTTCTATATCAAGCAGCCTTGAAAGATATAGTATTTTCCTCTAGAGCAGAGGGCATATTTGCATACTGTCCAATATAGTTTTAAAAAAAGGTCTCCCTGGAGACCTTTGGAACAAAAGGCAAGCATGCTTACTGTCCATTATAAAAGACTCAAGTTCCCTAAGCTCAGGGTTCCTCTTCTGTAACGCAACCCACAGTGGCTGCAAGCATCATCTGTCCCTCTTCACATCATCCAGTGGGAACTGGGACTTAGAGAATTCAAGCAAATGCTAATACTCCAGCTACTGCTTTTGCTGGAAATCAAAGTCCTCTATCTCTAATCCAAGAGTCTTGTGTCTTCTGCCAGCATCCATGAAACTGGCAGGCTAACTTGTTAGCTTGCAAGTAGGATAAAATCTCAGCCCCTTCACAGTATTGACATTACTCCTCCCTGCCAAGCCCTCCTCCTCAGACTCACGCTGACGATGGCCTCCTTGGTCTGCGTCATGTCAGAGATGACCCCATCAGTGATGATGAGCAGAACATAGTACTGGGAGCCATCAGAGATCTTGGCTGCAGCCCTGGATGAGAGGCCAAATGAGAATCCAGCTGAAAGCCAGACAGGCCAAGGGAACACCTTACCCCCAGAGCTTCCACAGCCAGTGTGTGGGCAGTGGGCAGGAACTGGGGCTTCTGAAACCCATGCTCCTTCCCCAGACCTGGCAGCCTGCCACTGCCTGCATATATATATGTGTATATATCCATATATATACACACACATATATACATATATATGAAATATATACATATACACATATATACACATATATACACATATATGTATATATATATACACATATATATACATATATACACATATATACACATACATGTATATACATATATATACACATGTATACACATACATATACACATATATATACACATATATATATATATCCATACACACACATTTTTTGTTTTGTTTTGTTTTTGAGACAGAGTCTTACCCTGTTGCCCAGGCTGGAGTGCAGTGGTGTGATCTCGGCTCACTGCAACCTCCACCTCCCGGGCTCAGGTGATCCTCCTGCCTCAGCCTCCTGAGTAGCTGGGACTACGGGTGTGAGCCACCACACCTGGCTACTTTTTATATTTTTAGTAGAGATGAGGTTTCACCATGTTGGCCAGGCTGGTCTCAAACTCCTGACCTCAAGTGATTCGCCTGCCTCAGCCTCTCAAAGTGCTGGGAGCACAGGCATGAGCCACCGTGCCTGGTCTGCCTTCAGTAATATTTATTGAGCACTTACTATGGTAGACACTGGAGATACATGAGGAGAAAAAATAAATCCATCCCAGCCCTCTGGAGTGAGGCAGACATTAATCCAGGAATCACACAAAAATAGTGTAAAATCACCACTGTGATGAGTGCTGTGATGGAAGGGACACTGCTATGACGGTACCAGAGGGGATCCTGGCCAGGTGCAGTGGTTCATGCCTGTAATCCCAGCACTTTGGGAGGCCGAGGTGGGCGGATCACTTGAGGCCAGGGGTTGGAGACCAGCCTGGCCAATATGGTGAAACCCTGTCTCTATGAAAAATACAAAAACTAGCCAGGCGTGGTGGTGGGTGCCTGTAATCCCAGCTACTCGGGAGGCTGAGGCAGGAGAACCGCTTGAACCCAGCAGGCAGAGGTTGCAGTGAGCCGAGATCACACCACTGCATTCCAGCCTGGGTGACAAGAGCGAGACTCCGTCTCAGATAGATAGATAGATAGATAGATAGATAGATAGATAGATAGATAGATAGATAGGATCCTGATGTGACCCAGCAGGTAAGTGAAGGTTTCTTTAAGGAAGTGATGTTTGAGGATAGAAAGGCTAAATGAAAGAGGAGGATCTTTCTAGGAAGGGGGAACAGCAAGGAAAAAGGCGCTATAGTGGGACTAAAGAACAACTCCCCTGTGTGGAGGTCAGAAATTGAGGGAAGCAGAGTGGGCCACGTGGCTGAAGAAGCACAGAGCTTAGACCGCTCAGGGATTTATCAACCCCTGGCAAGATTTTGATGTTTATATATGAGCGAGAGCAAAGGCTGAAGGCTTCCTTGCTTCCTTCTCCCCCACATTTCTTCTCTCTCCCTTCTCCCCTCTGCCAGCCACATCTCATCGCCTGGGCTGCTGGGCCCCATGCAGTCCTCCCCCTGCCAATCTAACAGCTGCTTCCAGAGCTCCTTTTCCTTCTCTCACTAGTCTTTGAAGCCAAGATTTTTTTTCCACCTGAAAAGGACTTCAGAAGTCATTGAGTCCAGTCCCTTTATTTTGCATATTCAAAAAAAAAAAAAAAAAGACCTAGAGAGGGCACAAAGGTAGTGGGAGACCCTGGTCTCTTGACTTCCAGTCTCCAGTCCTGTGCGGACTGGAAAGGATGGAGCTGTGGCTGTCCAATAAGGTAGCCTTGGCTATTGAAATTTAAATTAATTAAATAGAGTTAAACATTCAGTTCCTTGGCCACCCTAGCTACTTTCAAGTGCCCCATATCCACATGTGGTTGGTGAGTACCATATTGGCCTGCACAGATACAGAACTTTTCCATCATTGCAGAAAGTGCTATTGGACAGTACTGTATTGAAACCTGATCTCAAAATGTGAGGAAAGGCATGGAGAGGGTGTAGAATTATAAAATAGCTTTGGGGACAGGTGGGGTGGCTCACGCCTGTAATCCAAGCACTTTGGGAGGCTGAGGCAGGAGGATCACTTGAGGCCAAGAGTTTGAGAACAGCGTGGGCAACATAGTGAGACCTGGTCTCTACGAAAAAATTTAAAATTAGCTGGGCTTGGTGGCGCGTGCCTATACTCTCAGCTACTCAGGAGGCTGAGTCAGGAGGATTGCATGAGCCCAGTGAGCCATGATGGCACCACTGCACTCCAGTCTGGGAGACAGAGTAAGACCCCAACTGAAATAAAAATAAAAGTAAAATAATAAAATAAAATAATTTTGGCTCAGTTTGCCCAGGGCCCAGAGTGGGAGTGGGTCATGATCCTGGTTTTTTTCTTTTTTTTTTTGAGACAGAGTCTCGCTCTGTTGCCCAGGCTGGAGTGCAATGGCACAATCTCAGCTCACTGCAACCTCTGCCTCCTGGGTTCAAGGGATTCTCCTGCCTCAGTCTCCTGAATAGCTGGGATTACAGGCGCCCACCACCATGCCCGGCTAATTTTTATATTGCTAGTAGAGACGGGGTTTCACCATGTTGTCCATGCTGGTCTTGAACTCCTGACCTCAAGTGATCCGCCCGCCTCGGCCTCCCAAAGTGCTGGGATTACAGGCATGAGCCACTGTGGCCAGCCATGATTCTCCTTTACATCCCCTACCCACTTCCTGAGTTCTGGCCCCAGCCTCCTCAGAGACCTGGCTTGGTACCTTTTCCTGTCACTTACTCATTTCATAAATAGCAATTGCATACCTACTGTGTATCAGGCACCACGCTGGGTGCTGAGCATGGAGCAGAATAGGATATTGTCCTTGGGGAGAGAGAGGATTAAACTACTAAAGTGTATTGAGGTTAGGGCTTTGAGGATGTAACATCTAACCTAAGTACCTGAAAAATGGGTTGGGTTTAGCCAGGTGGTGATGGTGGTGGGAAGGTAAAGGGAAAAGTGTTCCAGAGAAAGAGAATGGCAAGTGCAAACCACGAGGAGTTACATGTAGAACTACAGCGGAGAGGCTGGACCTGGTGGCTCACATCTAAGATCCCAATGCTTTGGGAGGCTGAGATCAGAGGATCCCTTGAGCCTAGGAGTTTGAGACAAGCTGGGCAACATAGCGAGACCCTGTCTCTACGAAAAAATAATAAAATTAGCCTGGCGTGGTGACATGCACCTGTGGTCTTAGCTACTTGGAAGGCTGAGGTGGGAGGGAGGATCGCTTGAGCCCAGGAGTTCAAAGCTGCTGTGAGCTGTAATGGTACCACTACACTCCAGCCTGAGTGACACAGTGAGAACCTGTCTCTTAAAAAAAAAAAAGAACTGTAGAAGACAATGGGCATCATGGAAGGGTTTGGGGGCACAGGAGGTACATCTTTGGTTCTCTGTAGATGCCTTGCATTCTCAAGGCTGTTTTTATCTGGAAGTTAGCTGAGAAAATGGGTGAGTGGCCAGAGGAGGCCAGTCTATGCCTCACTTGGCTGTAGAGTGGGAAACAGCAGAGTCCATTGTGATCATCAAAATCACAGATGTACACTTGACATACATGATCTAATTTAATCCTCACCGCCATTCTATAAGGTAGGCGCTTTAAAAGTTCCTATTTTTATGGCCGGGGACAGTGGCTCATGCCTGTAATCCCAGCACTTTGGGAGGCCGGGTGGCGGGGGGGGGTGGATCACCTGAGGTCAGGAGTTCGAGACCAGCCTGGCCAACATGGCGAAATTCCGTCTCTTCTAGAATACAAAAATTAGCCGGGCATGGTGGTGCGCACCTGTAATCCCAGCTGCTCATGAGGCTGAGGCAGGAGAACTGCTTGAACCCAGGGGCAGAGGTTGCAGTGAGCTGAGATCGTGCCACTGCACTCCAGCCTGGGTGACAGAGTAAGACTCCATCTCAAAAAAAAAAAAACTAAAAACAAAAAACAGTTCCTATGTTTAAAATGAGGAACCTGAAGCTTAGAGACATTAAGTAACATCCCCAAGGGGTTATGAAGCTGGGGTCCAAGCCCATGCCTGACCAGCTGAGCCTGAAGCTGGAGCTCTTGATTCTCTCACTCTCTATCCCCAGTCCATTATCTGGATAGTCCTCTGTACACAGTGCGCACTCTAGTCATATTAAACTCTTCACTGTTTCATGAACTTGCCCCTTCATGCCTCTGTTTTTCATATGCCATTCCTTCTACCAGGCCTACTCTGCTTCTGTTTCTCTCATAAAGTCTACCTCGTCCTCTAGACCCAGCTGAGCAGTCCCCTTTATGGTACTGGAGCCTATGCCCTACCCCCTCCCTCTAGGATACTGCTCCACCCACCAAGATGGGCTGTCTGCTCCTCTAAGTGGGTTCTCACTGCATGATCTGCTGGATAAAGCTAGATGACTATAAGTACATAAGACTATAAGTACTTAAAACACCTTTTTTCTCTAAATTAAACAGGGATGCAATGTGAGAAGAATATAAAATTTGCATGAATTTTTAAGATGAAATACGGAAACTTCAAAGACATTTTCAGCCTGACTGCTTTCAGCTATGCCCCCAGATTCCCCCAGAGGGACGCTGTCGCTTGCCTTTGCTGACAGGCGACTTGCTAGAAAAGTCTGGGAAGCTCTGGTCTACAGAAGGTAATGATTTATTTATATTTCTGTCTCCTGCACCAAGGCGGGAGCTCCCAAGGGGAGGGACTAGATCTGATTCATCTGTGAATCTTCAGTGCCCCAGCAGAGAACTGAGCACACAGCAGATGCCTTTTGGATAGTAATAATGATAATAATAGTAACAGTAATAGCGAACACCTATAGTATTTATGATGTGGCAGGCACTGTTCTAGGTGCTTGACATATATTAATTAGTTAGTCCTCACAACAACCCTATGAAGTAGACATTGTTACTTTCCTCATTTTACAAATGAGGAATAAGGCGCAGAGAGGTTAAGAATCTTGACCAAAGCCACAGCTAGTGAGTGATAGAACCAGAGTGTTAACTTGGCTAGTCTGGCTCCGGACACCACACTCAATGGTGCATTGCCCCTTTACTGAATGTTTACTAAATGAATGAATAAATTTTGAATTAGTGTAGTTGCATAAGATAATATTTAAGAAGTCAGCTTAATAACAACAAAAACATGCTCAGGTTCCAGTATTAGTGAAAAAAAAATCAGTAGTGAAATGTTATATGTATAATAATTTGACTATAATTATGGATACATAAGGAAAAGAACTGTATATACATCCACATTCCATGGGCAGTATTCAGGGTGATTTCTTCATTTCTCTATTGAAACTTTCTACGGTTATGATTAAAGAATCTATTATCATTACTGCAAATTAGAAAATAAATCTACTAGAATTAATACCTGAGTGATGAAATAATCTGTACAACAAACCCCCATGTGTCACATGTCTCAAGTTTGTTATGTAACAAACCTGCACATGTACCCCTGAACTTAAAAGGAAAGTTAAAAAAAAAACAAATCTTCGCTAGGGGAAAAAGTCTATGGACATATAAATCTCACTGAAATCCTTTCACTTTTATTCCCTTTTTGTTTAATCTTTTTACTTCTGAGCTTTCTGAGGGGCTTTGTGTTAGCTGGGTTTCTTCTGTTTACTATAAAGTGGGGTTTGCTTATTTTTTGTTCAATCAAATAATCTTTTTCTTTTTTAAGGTCAAACAGAGCTTATTTATGTTTATTGACATATGTTTGATTTTAGTTCTGTCATTTCATAAATTCGTTTTAAGTTTATTTTAATACCCTCTGGTTTTTTAAGCCATTTGATGTATGATCTGGGTTTTCTTTGGTTTGTGTGTGTGTGTGCATATATATATATATGTATATATATATATTTTTTTGAGACAGAGTCTTGCTCTGTCGCCCAGGTTGGAGTGCAGTGGTGTGATCTCGGCTCACTGCACCCTCTGCCTCCCAGGTTCAAGCAATTCTCTGCCTCAGCCTCCCAAGTAGCTGGGATTACAGGTGCCCACCACCACGCCTGGCTAATTTTTGTATTTTCAGTAGAGACGGGGTTTCACCATCTTGGCCAGGCTGGTCTTGAACTCCTGACCTCATGATTCACCCACCTCGGCCTCCCAAAGTGCTGGGATTACAGGTGTGAGCCACCACACCTGGCCTGCTTTGTATAGTTTTATTCTGAAAATTTGGACAGTCACTCATCTAGTTTTTAACTTATCATTTATGGAGCATGTACCATGGGCCAGACACTGTGCTAATACTTGTTACACTATTATCTAATTTTAACCTTGCAATAACTCTATAAGGAAGCTGCTATTGTCATCCATTATGACACCACCTTACAGGGATGAAATGGATGCTTAAAGAGGCGAAGTTGCTTAAGGTCAGATGGTTAGTGAATGGTGGAGGAAGGATCCCACTCAGATCTGATGCTAAAACGTACGCCTTCACCACAGTGCTGTAGGCTCTTCTCTCTCTTACCCAAACTCAAGCCCCAGCTTGTCATTCTCAGGCAGTGGGGTTAGGGTAATTTGCTGACACCCTTTGTGCCGCATAATAAGGTACAGTCATCCCTCAGTATCCACGGGGGATTGGTTCCAAGACTCCTGTGGATACCAAACTCCTCAGATATTCAAGTCCGTCATATAAAATGGTGTAGTATTTGCATATAACCTATACACATCGTCCTGTATACTTTAATTTTTTTAATTTAAATATTTAATTTAAAAAAATGAGCCAGGCATGGTGGCATATGCTTGTAATCCCAGCACTTTGGGAGGCTGAGGCAGGTGGATCACTTGAGGTTGGGAGTTCAAGACCAGCCTGGCCAACATGGTGAAACCCCGTCTCTACTAAAAACACAAAAACGAGCCAAGTGTGGTGGCATGCGCCAGTAATCCCTGCTATTTGGGAGGCTGAGGCAGGAGAATTGCTTGAATCTGGGAGGCGGAGGTTGCAGTGAGCCGAGACCATGCCACTGCACTCCAGCATGGCAACAGAGCAAGACTCTGTCTCAAAAAAAAAAAAAAAAAAAAAGAGATGGGGTCTCACTAAATTGCCTAAGTTGGTCTTGAACTCCTAGGCTCAAGTGATCCTCCTGCCTCAGTCTCCCAAAGTGTTGGGATTACAGGTATGAGCCACCATGCCTGGCCTCTCCTGTTTACTTCAAATCATCCTAAATTACTTAGAGTGCTCCTGACTATCCTTGGGGGGTCAATCCCTTATGTGGGTCCCCTCATTTCCCCCAGCTTCCACCCAGTTCCCTTACCTGGCCACTTGGTTGATGACAGGAGCAAAGTAGGTGGGCCCATAGAGCTGCACTGTGCGCAGGCTCTGGAAATAGCTCTCCAGCACACCCTCGATGCCCGCACAGTTGGGGTCCTCATCATTGTTGTTCTGTCAAAGAATATGCCCTGCCAGGCTGAGCCCATGCAGGGTACATGCAGGAGTGCTCTGATTCCAGCTCACTCCTTCCTTTTTCCATCAGTCCCTTTCATGCTCCCCTCCAAACCCAGCCCTGCTCCCCTCCCTGCTCTGCTATCCTCTCATAGCTTCCTGTTCCTCTACATGCCCTTTGAAGTAATGTAAACAGAACAAAATCATCAACTTGGGTGAACCAGATGCCAGGGCACGGAGGGTAAGCTCTGGCCAATACCATACCAGGGGGAACTGGTGGGAGATCCGTCCCTCTGGGGGCAGCTTGGCCCCAAAGCCATAAGCTGGGAAGAGCTTATCACTGTCATAGTCCTGGATGATCTCTCCCACTGCCTTGAGGGCCATGGCATAGGCGCTGAGCTGGTAGGGACTCATGTAGTGCAGGGAGGTAGGCTGCAGAGGATTCCCTGTAGGGACACAGGAACCCCAGCCTCATGATCATCTGGATCATCCATCTGTTCACCTGCTTATCTTTGTGTGCATTCATCCACCTATATCCATTTATCTGCCCTCTACCCATGTCCTCCCTCCTTATTTTACCCAATCATCCATTTGTTCATTTATCCATCTATCCACCCACCCATCCCTATATCTATTCATCCATTTACCTACCTACCCACACATCCATCCACCCATCTACCTAGCCATACATCTATCTTTCAGTCTACTTATACATCTTTATCCACCAATCTCTCCATTCTCTTATGCAGCTATCCACTTACCCACTCATCCATCCATCAGTCCATCCATCCATCCATCCATCCACCCACTTGTCTACTTGCCATTTTTCTTCATTTTCCACCCATCTATACAACAGTATTATTTTATCCATCCGGCTAGCCAGCCCTCTCCATTCCATTCATTCCCTTGTCTATTCTCATATGGATCTATCCACTCATGCATTTCCCCTAATTACTTGTTATTTCCCCAACTTAAACTTTAGTCCATTTGTCCACCCACATACCCATCGATGCATCTACTTGTCTAACCTATTATACTCACCAACCCATGTACCCACTCCATTTGTTCATGGATCTATGCATCCATTCATGACTCACCACCTGTTCACCTCTCCATCTCTCCTTATACCCCCTTTCTCTCTCATCCATCAGCCTACTCATCCACCTGTTGAGCTATATATCCTTTCAACCCTCTATGATCCATCTACCCATCTATTTTTCTGCACTCTATTTTCCTGGCTGGGTTTTGCCTAAGTTTGGGCTTCTTGGGTAGGTAAACTCTTATCTCTAGGTAGGAATCCAGGCCAACTCCTAATGACTCCCTTAGAAGTGCCTTCCCACCTCCGACTTTTTCACTCATCCGTGTCTCACCATTGGAAGCCGTGAAGTCAATGGCTACTGTGAAGTTCAGCTGTGTCCTGTTGGGGAAGCAGATGAATTGAGAAGTGAGGAACTAATGATTATTACATCACTATTTCTCAAACAGTAATGTGCATATGGATCACGTGGGGCTCATGTTAAAATGCAGATTCTGATCCAGATGGTCTGGGTAGAGCCTAACAAACTCCCAAGTAATGCTGATGCTGCTGGCTCATGGACTACACTTTAGGTAACAGAATTAAATGCCTACTGTGTGGCAGGTGTATTATATGTCATTTAATTTAACCCTTACTATAGCCCTGAAGTAGTGATTAATATCCCCATTTGGCTGGGCGCCGTGGCTCACGCCTGTAATCAGCACTTTGGGAGGCTGAGGAGGGTGGATCACCTGAGGTCGGGAGTTTGAGACCAGCCTGACCAACATGGGGAAACCGCATCTCTACTAAAAATACAAAAAATTAGCCGGGCGTGGTGGCGCATGCCTGTAATCCCAGCTACTTGGGAGGCTGAGGCAGGAGAATTGCTTGAACCTGGGAGGCGGAGGTTGCAGTGAGCCAAGATCGCACCATTGCACTTCAGCCTGGGCAACAAGAGTGAAACGCCATCTCAAAAAAAAAAAAATCCTCATTTTACATAGGAGAAAAGTGAAGTTCAGAGAAGCAAAGTTACCTTTCCCAGGTCTGCCTGCCTCCACCAAACCAAACAGAATGTCCCCTATAGTCTGCTTGGTTGTGCCCTCTCTTCTACCTCTCCCTCTTGCCTGACTATAACTTTATTTGTGCCCCAATTAGGTTACTGGGGCCACCAGTGAAGACCACTGGTCTGGGAGCCATCTTCCCAGGAGGAGTCGAAAGCTAAGAATGAAAAGCAGCCCCATGAAGGGAACTAAGAAGAGCAGTATTTTGCATTTTACAGAGCACTTTATAGTTGGCCAAGTGTTTTAAAGTTTATCTCCATGGTCTCACTGGGCCCTGACCATTCATAAATAAGAAACCTGGGGCTCAGAACTGGGAGTAATTTATTGCCGGGCTTTCAGCCCAGAGCTTGGCCTGTGACTCACCCTCCCTTGATGTAATCAACAAAAGTGAATTCAGAGTCCACAGAGAAGGAGAGCAGCGTCACCTGTGGGACAGAATAGGCAGCCCTGGCACTTTGGAAAAGGCAGTTGGGGTGGCAGAAGGAAGTGAGGCCCATAGGGGCTTGGAAAGAGGCACGTGATGGGAGGCACATGATTCCACCCGCTCCCCCAGTCAGTCCCACCCTGTTCAACTTCTGACAGGGGAAAAGGGGAAGCTGTCAGAAACATCGTTGGATTTCCAAAAGTATATTAAATTGGGAAATACAACTTAGGTTTTTTTCTTTTATTCTGCAAAAGAGTGAAGTCAGAAAAATTTCCTGAGTGAGAAAAAAAACAAAGAAAAACTTAAGTGGTGCTCCTTGTGCCCAATATTACTATTCCAAGTAATCTGTGCCCACTGTCTTGCCCTGCCCTCGATATTTGCCATGCTGTGTCAATGGGGACAGACACGGAAGGATCCAGGGAGGGCCACGGCTCTAGGGAGCACTCACAGTTCCTGAGTTGACATATTTCTTCTTCTTACATTTCTTCCGAGGGTTAAGAACCTAAGGGGAGGAGGTAACAGTGATGATGAGAAACAAAGGAAGGGAGGTCCAGACTGAGCACACTGGGATGGAGGGCCTGGGTGACCTGGGCAGGGCTGGAATGCTCACCTCATATACTGTGAACTGGTTCTGGGCCTTGCTCAGCTCCCGGTAGCTGGTGGTGAACTCACCAATGAAATCGTGGCTGCAATGAGGTGGGCGTGGCTAAGCAGCAGGTGCTGCTGGTTTGGAACCAGAGCTGAACCCAGTCTTTTATTCCTCCTATCCTAAGCCCCTACTTAGGCTGCAGGGCAGCCTAGTGCTGGGGCCATAAGGGAGGCCAAACATAGGGGAAAAACGGGAAGAGACAGTGTCCAGAGAGACAATTGGGGGGATCAGTTGTACCCAAGACACTGGTGTTTATCATCACCTTTCCTGGCTCCTAAAGCTACTTTGGGGTTCTCAGTGAATGTACAACATATTATTGAGAACTGCTTGGGTCAAGTACAGGAGAAGGGACCATGTGGGGCAGTTCTACCTTCCATCCCGGTCCCAGTCGTACACATCAATCTTCACCGTTCTGAAATGTAGGAGATAAACATACCCTAGGTGTGTATGATAAATCCCAGAGACACCCTCATACACTTAACCACACACATATCATCTCCCCATCCACCCATCTGTCTTCCCATTAAGTTGTTCATCTTTCAACCTGCCTCCCATCCTGTCTATTCATTCATCAGTCTGTGCCTGTACCCAACCACCTACCCCTATTAATACTACTCTGGTTAGTACCACTAATACTTTTTTTGTTTGTTTGGTTGGTTTTTTTTTTTTTTTTTTTTTTTTTTTTTACCACTTTGAGCCTTATTGTATTCCAGGCATTTTTCTCAGCACATTCACAGATTGTCTCATTTAACTTAACAATCACCCTATATAAAGTAATTACTATTATTATTATTTTGGGATAAGGAAATTGAGATACAAAAAAAAAAAAGTAATTTGGCTAAGATCTCATAGCTAGTAAATGACTGAACTGAGATTTAAACCCAGGCATCCTGATTCCAAAGACTTTGTTCTTAACTGTCATGCCTAAATCATTCCATATGTCTACCTATCAGTATATCAGCCCATCCAACCATCCGTCTATCCATCTAGCTACCTATTTACCCATATATTTGCCAGTCCAATTACCTATCAGTTCATCTCTTTAGCCACCTAACTATACATCTAGCCATTCACTGACTCACTGAGGCATGCAAGCATCCATCTGTCTGTCTGTCTACCAACTATATAACATCTATCCATCTGGTTATCCATTCATCAGCATAACCATTCATCTACTCATCTATGTGCCCATCCATTCTTCCACCCTTCCACCTACCACCTATCTTTATTATTTATTTATTTATTTATTTATTGAGACGGAGTCTTGCTCTGTCGCCCAGGCTGGAGTGCAGTGGCGTGATCTCGGCTCACTGTAAGCTCCACTTCCCAGGTTCATGCCATTCTCCTGCCTCAGCCTCCTGAGTAGCTGGAACTACAGGCGCCCACCACCACGCCCGGCTAATTTTTTTTGTATTTTTAGTAGAGATGGGGTTTCACCGTGTTAGCCAGGATGGTCTCGATCTCCTGACCTCGTGATCTGCCCGTCTCGGCCTCCCAAAGTGCTGGGATTACATGTGTGAGCCACCGCGCCCGGCCCCTACCATCTGTCTTTATACTACCCATTTACTCATTCATTTGGTTGGCCTATCCATCTAATTTATACCCATCCATCAACTAATTCACCTACAAATCCATCCGTTCATCCATTTGCCATCTATTCATCTATCCAACCATCAATCCACTTGTCACTCTACCTATCTTTTTGTATTCCACCTGCTTTTCTATTCATCCTCCTGCCTCCCCAGTCATCCATCAAACTCTCATTTACCAATTTATCACCCACCCATCCATCAGCTCATTCATCCGTTAATCACCCATCACCTGTATATCCACAAACCCACCCATCAGTCCAATTATCCATTCTTCTGCTGTCCATTCATTTATCTGCCCCTCTACCCACCCATCAATTCACTCATATATCCATCCACATACATATCCAACCATTCACCAGTTTACCCATCCAACGATCCATCCATGTATCTGCTTATTCATTTGTTCATCTGCCTTTTCATCTACCCATCCACCTACCATTCCATCCATCAGTCGATCCATCCCTGGATAGTCCACCTATCCATCTGTGTGGCTATCCATCTGCCTGTCCATCCACCCAACCTCATGCCCCAAACTCTGTCTCACTGAGCAGGACCCTCCAACGCTATTATGATACTTCTACTATCATTCTTGGGCCCAGGAACCACACTGGCATGTCCTTGGCTCCTTACTCCCCAGCTTATGCTGGAGCCAACCTGTCATAGTCTCCATTGCACAGAGCCCGCACAGGGATGCTGAAGGGCTGCCACACAGGATTCAGCGTGTTTTTCACAACCTCTGTCTTGTGGCAGATGGTGAACCTGGAGGGGAGTGGGAAGAATTGGTATAATTTATCTCGTGCCCGGGGTAGGACTGAATCCAGATGCTCTCAGAGATTCCTGAGATTCCCCCACTTGTTAAGCACATGGCCCACCCCAGCCTAACAGCCCTGATGGCAGTGACTCACGTGCCATCCTCATTGCTCCTGTAGAACACAAGGAAGGGGTCTGATTTCCCAAAGAAGTCCTTCTTGTCCAGCTTGTTTGCACACAGCTGCATGGTGGCAATGTCCTAGGGATGGATGAAGTTGGGCTGGTGGCACCCCAATTGTCCATAGCCTTCAGACAGTCCATTAAAGGGTTTACGGGGAGAGAAGGGAGCTCCTGGGTCTAGCATGTGGCCCTTACTGACCCGACAATTGCTAAGCTCTTCTGCAGTCAGCAATATGGTCCCACACTTCTTGCCTGGTACACCCCTGGAAGCAGAAAAAGCCTCTTAGTGAGAGGAGGGAGGGTAGGCAACAAGGATTGAGTGGCCAGTCTGGGGTTAGGTGGGCCAGGGGATTCAGTTTGCCATTTACTGACAGTCCCTTGTGTCTTGAGTGCCTTCTGGTGAGGAAGGGCCTCACTTTGACTGGGTGGGGTCTGCAGTCTGGTGAAAAGGGGTTAGAACAGCTTAGGTGAACATCTCACAACAGTAGCATGAGAAAGACATGGGATTTAGAGCCAGTGGATTTTATGATTGTTAAGCTGTGTGACCCTGGGCAAGTTATTTACCCTTCCTCGGCCTTAGTCTTTTTCTCTATGAAATGGGAATCATGATGACTTGTCAGGGCTGTGAACAGATCTGAATGAGTGCATGGAAGGAAAAGCAACTCGTAAGCCTTATAGATATGAGCTGGTTGTAGTCTTCAAAGCTGACTCTGGTTCTTACTATATGCTGGGTGCTGTGATAGATATGAATTGGGCAACTGGCTCTCTCCGGCTCTGCTAGACTGCCCGCAGGGAGCTTTGGGGGCGGGGGTAGGTGGAATGTCAATGCCAATAGGTAAGTAGAGTGGATTGTAGTGATACTGAATGAGGGAGAAGAATTTCTGTCCAGACCCAGGGACAAAAGGGCTAGCTTGTTAGGTCAAAGCTGATGTGCTTTCTGAAGACCATGGAGAGGGAGATTTAAAAGACAAGGGAAACTTTATCCTTTCCTGACCCTAGAAGGAACACTTCCATGTGCTTGAATGGTGCATACGAGAACCCCCATCCCCAGCAGTAAGAGACCTTGTTGATAGGGGCCTGTGAACCCTGATTCCCAAAGGGATCCAAAATGTGGCAGAGAGAAAACTAGGTCAGGAGGGTCCTGGGTTCCAGTCCTGGCTCTAACTTGCTATGTGATTTTCCCTATCCTTAGAATGAGAGTTGAACTATTTCTTTGGCTCCTTTGATCTTTGACTCTTTGTGCTTTGCAAAGAGGGAGTGTGATGAGAATAGGTTCTATTCGCCTACGGCTGGGCGCGATGGCTCACGCCTATAATCCCAGCACTTTGGGAGGCCTAGGCGGGCGGATCACCTGAGGTCGGGAGCTCGAGACCAGCCTGACCAACATGGTGAAACCCCATCTCTTCTAAAACTGCAAAAAAAAAAAAGAAAAAATTAGCTGGGCGTGGTGGCGGGCGCCTGTAATGCCAGCTACTCGGGAGGCTGAGGGAGGAGAATCGCTTGAACCCGGGAAGCAGAGTTTGCAGTGAGCTGAGATCAAGCCCTTGCACTCCAGCCTGGGTGACAGAGTAAGACTCTGTCTCAAAAAAATAAATAAATAATTCGCTTGCACATCCAGGACCAACAAATTGTTGATCCTGTTGCCTCCTCACTGTTCTTTGCCTCTTTGATGTTCTCCCTTACCACCTCATCCATCCAGTGTGAATTCCAGTCAGTGATTATAATAATCATTCCCTTGCATCCTGTCTCTTTTTTCCCTTCTCTCACTTTTTTTTAAGAGTTGGGGTCTCACTATTACCCAGGCTGGAGTACAGTGGCACAATCATAGCTCACTGCAGCCTCAAATTCCTGGACTCAAGAGATCCTCCCACATCAGCCTCTCAAGTAGCCGAGACTACAAGTGCACACACTACACCTGGCTAATTTTAAAATTTTTACTTTTTTAGAGACAAGGTCTGGCTATGTTACCCAGACTGGTCTTGAACTCCTGGCCTCAAGAGATCCTCCTGCCTCAGCCTCCCAAAGTGCTTTGATTACAGGCGTGAGCCACTGGCCCAATCTTTTCTCTCACTTTCGATATATTTACTTGGCAGAACCACAGCTCTAGTTAAGCCTCACTCTGCCTAACCCACACTGCACCTGTGAAACTGAACATGGCCAGACAAAAACACAATTATGCGAACTTGTCTCATTTCAAATGCATGATGCAGACTTCAAGAGGGTCCTTATTGCTACCTCAGAGTCATACTGTACATCCCAAGGCCCTTCACTCTCCAGTTCTGGTAGATGGCAGTTTCACTCCTTCTTTCTCCTCAACCCCTAAAGCCTCCTCCCCCATCCTCATTCTCAGCCAATGACCTTGTTTCCTACTCACTGAACAAAATTGAAGCAACCAGAAGAGAATGTCCACCCACCACCACACCTACCTTGCCACCAGTATCTTCACCCACACAAGTGTGACTCCTACAGTTGCTATAAATGAAGTGTCTTTGTGCCTATTTATCCCTCCACTGTGTACTATATTTCATACTGTCTTGTCTGCACGAGAACATCACTTCAGTAATGCTCACCTCTTTTTATTACATCAAGTTTTCAGTTTCTACTTGGTCATTCCCATCAATATGTAAATGTAGTATAATTTTCCCTTTTTTTTTGTAGAGATGGAGTCTCACTATGTTGCCCAGGCTGATCCTGAACTGGGCTCAAGTGATTCTCTCACCTCAGCCTCCAGAGTAGCTGGGATTACACTATGCCCGGCCAATGTAGTATAATTTATCTCATGTTAAATTTTTTTTTTCTTTTTTTTTTTTTTTTGAGATGGAGTCTTGCTTTGTCGCCCAGGCTGGAGTGCAATGGTGTGATCTCGGCTCACTGCAACCTTTGCCACCTGGGTTCAAGTGATTCTCCTGCCTCATCCTCCCTAGTAGCTGGGATTACAGGCACGCTCCACCATGCCCAGTTAATTTTTGTATTTTTAGTAGAGACAGAGTTTCGCCATGTTGGCCAGGCTGGTCTTGAACTCCTGACCTCAGGTGATACACCTGCCTCCACCTTTAGGAGGCCTCGGCCTCCTAAAGTGCTCGGATTACAGGTGTGAGCCACCTCACCCAGCCTTATGTTAAAAAATTATAAACTTGGCTAGGCGTGGCAGCTCACGTCTGTAATCCCAGCACTTTGGGAGGCCAAGGTGGGTGGATCACGAGGTAAGGCGTTCAAGACCAGCCTGGCCACGGTGGCGAAACCCCGTCTCTACTAAAAACTACAAAAATTGGCTGGGCGCGGTGGCAGGCGCCTGTAATCCAAGCTACTCGGGAGGCTGAGGCAGGAGAATCGCTTGAACCCGGGCAGCAGAGGTTGCAGTGGGCCAAGATCACACCACACCACTGCACTCCAGCCTGGGCGACAGAGTGAGACTCTGTCTCAAAAAAAAAAAAAAAAATTATAAACTTATTCTTGACCTCTCTTCCTGCTTCAGCCACATCTCTTTTTCTTTTCTTTTCTTTCTTTTTTCTTTGTTTTTTTTTTTTTGAGATGGAGTCTCCCTCTGTTGCCCAGGCTGGAGTGCAGTAGCGTGATCTCGGCTCACTGCAACCTCCGCCTCCCGGGTTCAGGCGATTTTACTGCCTCAGCCTTCTGAGTAGCTGGGATTACAAGCGTGCGCCACCACTCCCAGCTAAGTTTTTTGTATTTTTAGTAGAGATGGGATTTCACTATTTTGGCCAGGCTGGTCTGGAACTCTGGACCTCAAGTGAGCCACCCACCTCGGCCTCCCAAAGTGCTGGGATTACAGGTGTGAACCACCGCCCCTGGTCACACATCTTTTCTTTTCTCCCCTTTGCTGTAAAACTCCTTGAAAGTTTCCTTGACTTGGGCCGGGTGCGGTGGCTCACGCCTGTAATCCCAGTACTTTGGGAGGCCGAGGCGGGCGGATCATGAGGTCAGGAGATCGAGACCAACCTGGCTAACACGGTGAAACCCCATCTCTACTAAAAATACAAAAAAAATTAGCCGGGCATGGTGGCGGGTGCCTGTAGTCCCAGCTACTCCGGAGGCTGAGGCAGGAGAATGGCGTGAACCCGGGAGGCGGAGCTTGCAGTGAGCCGAGATCTCCCCACTGCACTCCAGCTGGGTGACAGAGCGAGACTCCGTCTCAAAAAAAAGATTCCTTGACTCCTTTCCCGCTCTTCCATTGTCTTCACCTCCACCTCTCCTTCAAAACTGTGCTTAAGAGTCAACAGGGATTTTCATCTTGCTAAATGCAATGGCCAATTCCCAATCTTCATCTTATTTGAGCTGTAGCAGCATTTGATGTGGTTGGTAACTCTCTCCTTCTTGATAACCCTTCTCTTTGCTTCCATGACATCACCCTCTCTTGGTTCTTCTCCTACTTCATTAATTGCTCCTTCTCAGTCTTCTTTTCTAGGTCCAATTTGTGGAGCCTTGGCCTTTGGTTCTCTCTCTCTCGTCTCCCTCTTTCTCTCTTTTTCTCCCGTCCTTCCTCCCCTCCTTTGGTGATCTCATCTAATAGCATGGCTTTAAAGTTAACATCTAAGGCCGGGCTCAGTGGCTCATGCCTATAATCCCAGCACTTTGGGAGGCCAAGGCAGGAGGACTACTTGATGTCAGGAGTTCAAGACCAGCCTGAAAAACACAATGAGGCCCCCTGTTTCTACAAAAAATAATTTAAAAATTAGCTGGGGCTGCTGGCATCCACTTGTAGTTCCAGCTACCTGGCTTCTTGGAAGGTTTAAGTGGGAGTATTCCTTGAGCCCAGGAACTGGAGGCTGCAGTGAGCTACCATTGCACCATCGCGCTCCAGCCTGGGCTACAGAGTGAGAGCCTGTCTTGAAAAAACAACAACAAAACCAACATCCAAGACTCATTTGATACCTCCACTTGGATGTCTAACATTTTATATGTTTATAAAACATAAAATTCAACATGTCAGATTGAACTCTTGATTGAATTCCTCCTCCAACTTGCTTCTCCTTCACGTTTTTTTTTTTTTTTTTGTCTTTTTTGTCCACAGACAGTCTCACTCTGTCACCCAGCTTGGGGTGTCACCCAGGCTTGAGCCCAGGAGTTTAAACTCCTGGGCTCAAGTGATCCTCCCACCTCAGCCTCCCAAGTAGCTGGGACTACAAGTGCACACCACCATGCCTGGCTTTCCTTTGTTTTTTTCCCTACTATCTCAGTTTGTGTCAATTCCATCTTTCCTGTTGTTCAAGCCAAAGATCTTGGTGTTGTCCTCAACTCCTCTTTTCCTCTCACATTCATATTCAATCTGTCAGGAACCTGTTAGCTCCACCTTTAAAATATATCCTGAATCTGACCACTTCTCCCCTCCTTCACTGGTAGCATCCTGGATTACTGTCAGAGTCTTCTCATTGGCTCTCTGCTTCTACCTTTGGCCACCCAAGGTTTATTCTTTTTTTTTTTTTTTTTTTTTTTGAGACAGAATCTCGCTCTGTTGCCCAGGCTGGAGTGCAGTGGCACAATCTCAGCTCACTGCAAGCTCCACCTCCCAGGTTCACGCCATTCTCCTCCCTCAGCCTCCCAAGCAGCTGGGACTACAGGCACCCACCACCATGCCTAGCTAAGTTTTTGTATTTTTAGTAGAGACAGGGTTTCACCGTGTTAGCCAGGATGGTCTCGATCTCCTGACCTCGTGATCCGCCTGCCTCAGCCTCCCAAAGTGCTGGGATTACAGGTGTGAGCCACCGCGCCTGGCCCCCAAGGTTTATTCTTAACCCCACAGCTAGCACCATCTTTTGTAAGCCGCCATGTCATGTCACTCCTCCGCTCAGAACCCTCCAGTGACTCCCGTTTCAGAGGAAAGGTGGAAGTCCGCTGCAAGGCCCTGTTAGCTCTTCAACCTCACTTCCTCCTGCCTCCCAGTCACCTGGCTCCAGTCTTGCTGGCCTCCTTGCTGTTCTTTGAATGCACCAGGCTTTTGCACTGGCAGTCTCCTCTGCCTGGAACATTCTTCCTCCACATGTCTGTACCTTACCTCCCTCAGGTTGTTGCTCCAAAGTTACCTGTCCGTGAGGCCTGCTCAACCGCACTGTTGAATCCTGCACCTCCCACTCACCCATTATTTCCAGTTCCGTTGATTCTGCTCTACTTCGTCTCTTTCCCCATAGCACTTAATATTGTCTAATCTATTATGTAATTTACTTATGTCTATTTTGTACTGTCCTCCCCACACAACTAGAGTATCAGCCCCCTGAGGACAAGAACCTTTGTTTTGTTCACCATTGCAAGCTAATCCCCTTTAACAGTGGCTGACATAGGGTATGTATACATAGTGTTTGTGGAATGAATGAAGCCCTGGTGCCTAGAACAGGGTGTGGGATATAAAACATGCTAATGCATATTTAGTGAGTGGATGTAATGGTAATTCCTGAGGATTTGACTTAGTCCGGGGGAGCTTCCCTGTGGAGAGGGGCTTGGAAGTGGACCTTAAAGGCTGAATCAGACTTAGAAAAAGAGTGAGGAGAGAGAGAGAGAAACAGAGAGAGAGAGAGAAAAAAAAAAAAGAAAAGAAAAGACATATCAGGCCTGATACTGACTCGGGCAGAGCACTGGAAATTGGACTTTTCTACGAGGGTGATGGGAGCCGGGGCAGGCTCCTGACCAGGGGCAACCCCAGCCTCCACTTCTATCAGTCAGCGGCATCCTTGGGAGGGAGAATTTGGAAGCCCCCACCCCACTCCCACACCCCTTCCTATTCAGCTTACGTGAGGGTTCGCTCTACTCGGCTGCCCTGGCCTCCAATCACCTCTCCCAGGGCCAGGAACGCTTGTCCCAGGAAATCCTATGCAGGACAAGGAGTCAGCAAGACCAGAAGCTCTTGAGTGCTGAGTCCCAGCCTAGCCCCAGTGATGCTCCTGCACAGGACCAGGGCAGTTCCCAGGCGAATGAGTGGTGCAAGAGCCACGGCCCTACATGGGCTTTAATGGAGGGGGTGTGAAAGAAGGGGTCTGCGAGCAATCTCTGCCTTGTAGTGGGTCATCAGTCCAAGCCTGTTCTCCACAATACCACCCCCACCCCCAACCTCTGCCCAGCCCCATTCAGCCTCACCTTCTGCAGGTCCCAGCAGTGGCAGCCAAGAAGGAAGAGGAACAGTGAGTAGGGGGCACAGGCAGGACACTCAGGCAGGAGGAGAGGGACCAGGAGGGTGGGTTGGGGGCCTGAAGAAGATGGGGTCTGGGTCGAGGGTTGGGAGGAGTTCTGAGAGTCGTTGAACACATCTAAGTGCCTCCTGTGCGCTCCGCCAACCCTCGAGGAAACGTTTGCTCACCGGTTTGGAGATGTTGGTTTTGGAGTCCACGTTGTACCTGGGAAAAGAGTGGAACCGGTGTGGGGTGGGGCTGGGTGGGGGAGAGGGTGGAAAGGGGTCGGGCACCGAGTCTTGGTGAAAATTTTGGGTGGAGGGATGGGCGGCCGTGGACCCGAATTCAGCTTTGGTCTCCTTTTGGGGAGGAGTCAGGGTGGGCTGAGTAGTCAGACGGTCAAGCCTGGGCCGAGGCCAAGTCAGGGGCTGCTGGGGGCAGGGTTGTGTGGAAGGGGTCGGGCCTGAGGTGGAGCTGCGATAGGAGCAGAGTTGTGGGCGGGGCCAGAGCGGGGGACGGAACTGGACCGCATCTCATAAAAGGGCAGGGCTCAGGCTAGAGGGGGCCATTCAGAATGGGAGGGAGGCCTGCGAGAAGAACCAGGCCGGAGGCGAGGCGGGGGTGGGGCCAGCCAGAATTCCGGGCGGATCCAGGTCGGGGGCGGGCCAAGCCAGAATTCCAGGCGGGGCCTCACACATCGAAGCGCAGATTTTGCTTTTCCTCAAAGAAATAGTCGAGGACGAATTTGCGCACGAAGTCTGGGTTCAGCGTGTTATCAATCACCTCGGTCCGTCCGAACTGGGTAGGGGGGTGGAGGGTCAGCGTGGGACGTGCAGACGGGCAGGGGAATTCCCGGGCGACGCCCTGGGCCGGGAGGGGGCTCTGGGACTCACCTCCCGCCACTCCTGGCTGGCCCGGCTCTGCGTGTAAAGCACCACCACTGCAGGTGGGGGCGGGGAGGGAAGGACGTCAGGTCGGCTCCCACCCCTGGCCCCGACTCCACCCGCCCCTGAGTCGCGCCCAGACCCCAAGTTCCCCCTCCCGGTCCTGGAGCCGCCTACTGGGGTCGGACTTGGAGAAGGTATCAAGGTCTAGCAGGTTCCTAGAGAAAAGCAACAGACAGACAGAGTGGATCATCCTGGAGTCCGCCCGCCTCGAGTCGGCTCTGAGCCGGGCACTGAGGAGAGGCATGGGGCCCGCATCGAACCTCTGTCCCCCATGGCTACCCCCAGCCGGGGTCCGCTCTGTCAGCACTCTGGACAGCACCGGAAATCGCTGTCCAGGAACCATGGCTCTGCGGACTGGACGCGAACGCACCCACACTGTCTCCAAGGGCCCAGGAAAGAGGGCTCGCCCCAGAACTTTGTCCTCCTGGGGCCGAGCTCCTACCGGATATCTGCGACCCACCCCCTGAACCCGCAGGCTGAGCCCTTTTTTCGGGGTGGGGCTGCCCAAGACCCCCCGCTTCTCGATCCCACCAGCTACTCGCCCTGTCATCAGCTGTGATTTTCCAGCCAATTTCGCCTCTCCCCGGGGGTCTAGCCCCTGCCCAGGCTGAGCCCCGCGGCTGGCTGGGGCTGGGGCAGTGCCAGTGCCTAAGCCCTCCCCAGCGCGGCCCGCTCACCGGCAGGACACGGTAATTTCAATCTTGGTGGCCGGGACGCTGCGCTCGGAGGCTCCGCCGAGAGACATGGCTGGTCGGGCGACCAGAGCCGCAGGAGGCTGCGAGACCAGGGCTGCTGGGGCTAGGGGCGACGGCAGCGGCGGGGCCGGCCCATGTGCCGCGGTGTCGGCGGCGGCGGCGGCTGCACTCGCTCCAGCCCTGCGTGCGCTCCAGCCGCTCGCGCCCTGACAGTGGCCGCCGGCGGCAGCGGCTCCAGATGGCAGCACAGCCCCGCCCGGCCCTGCGGGCGGCCCCCGCCCCATTGGAGCAGCCTGGAGCCAGCGGGGAACCTCACCCCGACTCCCAACTCCAACCCACACCTTGGTAGAGTCTGCCCTGCGCAAGTCTCTGGGGTGGAAACCCAAGCCCCCTAGAGTTGTCCATGATGCTGAAACATTTGGGGCACCTGGTGGGCACTGGAATTGTTGCCTCTTACTGAGCCACTCCCTTAGTGTTTCTGTCTTTTCCCACTCCCAGCCTGCCTAGGTCTCTGAATAGGAAAAGTACATCTCTTAGTAGCTGTGTGACCTTGGACAAGTTACTCAACATCTCTGTGGCTCAACCGTGAAAGGCCGTCAGAAAGGCCTTTAACAGCAGCTACTTTAGGTGCTGTAAAATTTTACTGAGATAACCCAAGGAAAACACTTAGCACACAGCAAGTGCTCAGTAAACATTCACTGGTATTTATGATTTGTCCTCTGGGTATTCACAATGATGACAGTAAATGGTGGCTGTTGAGCACCGTGCAAAGCTGTCTGCCCAT
This sequence comes from Homo sapiens, assembly GCF_000001405.40. Classification (NCBI taxonomy): domain Eukaryota; kingdom Metazoa; phylum Chordata; class Mammalia; order Primates; family Hominidae; genus Homo; species Homo sapiens. Next base: position 9,703,262 of record NC_000003.12, on the reverse strand, counting down.
GCCTTTAACCCTCACGACTTTCATGGCGTTACAGATGCGGACACACTCTCATGACGCAATCTACTGTAGGTTACACTGTAGAAGAGGGTGGTGGTCAGCCAGGCTCTCACCCACCACACATGCACACCAATTGCTATCTCCAAAGCTTCAGAAGCCAGTCCTTCCTCCATAGGCAGGGCTCAAGGTAGGGGATGCAGGTCACCCGTACCAGGACCCTGCTGCCTACAGAACTTGTTAAAGATGAAGATCCTGGTCAGGTACGGTGGCTCATGCCTGTAATCCCAGCACTTTAGGAGGCCAAGGCAGGCAGATCACTTGAGCTCAGGAGTTTGAGACTGGCCTGGCCAACATGGTGAAACCCCATCTCTACTAAATACAAAAATTAGCTGGGGATGGTGGCACGTTCACGTAGCTACTCAGGAGACTGAGGCAGGAGGATCGCTTGAACCCAGGAGGCAGGGGTTGCAGTGAGCCAAGATTGTGCCATTGCACTCCAGCTTGGGTAACAGTGAGACTCCATCTCAAAAAATCTGAAAAAAATGAAGATCCTCCAGCTCCTAATTCCCAGGCAACTTCCTTAGCAACCCTAAGGCTAAAGCTCAGGCAGCCCTGGGAATGTGCACAGCTCATCAGGCTCTCTAGGTGACTAGGACCTGCTTAGGCCCGAGAACCACTACTCTCAACAGTCTTGAGTGTTGTCCCCACTGCAGGGACTACCATGGCTCATGAGTGGAGAGGTATACCTGTCGCCAGTTCTCTTCCTGTTTCACCTGCCCTCCACATAAAAACCCCTTGTCCAGCACAAGGAAGGACAATGAGAACCTTCCTAGTAGCTCCACAAAGACAATAACCAAATGATGACACAAGAGTGGCTATTCAAAAAGACTTTGATTTTATTTTGTGATCTGTGTCAAACTGCCTCATTCTCAGTGCAGGTGATCCCTCCTCCCCAGAAACAAGAACTGACAGGTAGGGTCTTTGTGAAGTCATGGCTTCCACAAGGCCCCAGGGAAACCCCACACAGTTCTGAGAGTTGATGGGAATCCCAGCAAAGATGGGGTGGGTGGGAGACAGTGACAAGAAGGGGTGGTGGTCACCAGTCAAGAGGCTGGGGGTTGGAAAACCCTGTCTTTGGCCTTGCTCAGCTTTGGGGCTGCCATGTTCATGATGGAGATGGGGGACTGAAATTTCCCCTGACCTGGAAGTACCCCTTCGGCCAGGCATGGCTTTGATTCTCTGCTAAGGGCTCAGCTGAGAGAGGAGCAGGAAAATGTCATGGGCTGGCTTCTTCACAAGGCATTGCTGCTGATGCTCCGGAGTCCAACACCACGGGCAAATTGCTCCAGCAGGCCCCCGATGGCACCGGAAGGACTGGGGGCTACTGCCCGAAGCCCCACTGTGCTGCTGTACGCAGCCAAGAAGGCTGAGCGCACCTCCTGCAGCCGAGTCTCTCGATCACTCAGGGCTGCAAGCCTATGGGGAGGTCAAGAGAAAGAACAAAGACATTACCCTGGGACAGGACCCAGTATCCTCATCCTCCCTCCCTCCATACCACCTGTCCTTGTGCTTCTTCTGACTGTACAAGGCCAGTGTCTGTCCTACGGCCATGCTATCCTTGTGGTTCAGGCCCCAAATATCTGGCCCTGTTTTCCCTTAAACCATTCCTCTAAGCCCTCAGGCTACTGTTCCCACCTAGAGCAGGAGCTTTTACTGGGACACTAACCTTTTTTTTTTTTTTCTTGAGACAAGGTCTCACTCTATTGCCCAGGCTGGAATGCAGTGACACAATCAGCGCTCACTGTAGCCTCAAGCCATCCTCCCACCTCAGCCCCTCAAGTAGCTGGGACTACAGGCACATGCCACCATGATAGGGTTTTACCATGTTGCCCAGGCTGGTCTCAAACTCCTGGACTCAACTGATCCGCCTGCCTTGGCGTCCCACAGTACTGGGATTACAGGCGTGAGCAACTGTGCCTGGCCTGACCTGACCTGTTGTGAAAATAACTATCTTTGCGATCACTGGGAAGGAGGGTAGCTAAGCAGGAGGGAATTTGCCCCAGCAGCTCTCTGCTTCCACTCCTCAGGAAGAGCAAGCTGAGGCATGAAGTCTTATACCTAACAGTAAGGAGGCCCCTGAAATCTGGCAGCACGCTGCAGCTGTTGAAAGTCCTCAGCCTTGGCTGTAATCCCAGCACTTTGGGAGGCCGAGGCAGGTCAGGAGTTCGAGACTAGCTTGGCCAACATGGCAAAACCCTGTCTCTACTGAAAATATAAAAATTCACTGGACATGGTGGCATATGCCTGTAATCCCAGCTACTTGGGAGGCTGAAGGCAGGAGAATCACTTGATCCCGGGAGGCAGAGGTCACAGTGAGCCAGACTGCACCACTGCACTCCAGCCTGGGCAACAGAGTGAGACTGTGTCTAAAAAAAAAAAAAAAAGAAAAGAAAAAAAAGGCCCCAGCCTTGAGGCCTAGACATGACGCATCTTAGGAGGAAGCTATTGCCCTGGAAGAACCCACTGTCTGCTGGGTTGAAGCCAGGGTTCCCCACTGGAAACCTCTAGGGCTTTAGCTACACCTTCAGTCACTGTGGTTTCCAGGTAAACAGCTGAAAGGGTGCTGGCTTTTCCAGAAAGATCTGTGTTCTGATTCTATTCCCCATTCCTCTCTTGGCCTCTGTAGGCTCTGATCACAGATGAAAGCCCCTCTTCTTTCCTTACCCTGAAATTACAAGTCAAGAAGGGAAACAAGTGCGCACAACTCAGGCTTATCAAAGCATGACTCCACATGAGGCTGTGTGACATCCCCAAGGGCCTTTAATAGAAGAGGCCCATGGACTCTGGACTCAAAGTTCAGGTACTCACATAGTGTTCCCCCAATGGGTCCCTGGAGGGCCCTCTCTAGGGGTCACAGACTTACATGAGAAGAGCCCTCACATTCCCATACACCTAAATACTAAGACCATCCATGCCTACTAATCTTGCTCCAAATCTGCCCTCAAGAAACCAATCCCTGGACAGTCCCTCCCTGGAAATCTGTCAGAGGCAGCTGAAGTGAACCCAATCCCAACGGCTCAATGACTTGTACCCAGGGCTTGTGGGAGCAGAGGGATGTCTGAGGATAAATGACAGTCCTGAGGTAAGTATGGGGGGAGATAGACAGGACTCTAGGGAAAGCAGATCGGTGGGAGTGAAATGTGAGAGATGGAAGCAGTAGGCTCTGGGGCAAAGAAAAGTCAAATCACTCCTGCAGCAGCACTAAGAACATGGAGCTGAGACTGGATTCCTGTACTACCATCAACAATCCTGAAGTCTCTCCTGGCAACTGGGGAAGAAGCATGGCCTGAGATCTTTTTACTTTCTAATTTCACACAGGCCAAAGGCCATGCATGCTTGCCTTAGCTTCTCCTTATAGCATACGAGGGAGAAACAGACCAAGAGTTTACACTCACAGGGAACATCCAAAGATCCATACATGAGCATTCTCACTGCCCTGCCCCACCCCCCTGACATGGCTGCCCATTTCTGAGAGGTGAAAGGGACAGAGACCACCACCTACTGAGAGATGAGAAAAGAGGAGAGGTTATGTGACCCATTTAAGGACACACACCAGGCAAGGGAGGTACTACAGTGCCATTCCTTCTTGAGAGATGAGCTAACAGGCTCAGAAAAGGCAAGGCTGACACTTGAAGATACAGCTGGTGAATAGAGCAGCTAGGATTTGGCCTTAAGTTTTTCTGATAACAAAGCCCAAGTGCTGAACCCACATGCTGCACGGCTTCACAGGAATCAACTCTGACCACATCCCACAGTCTTGCAGGCCTTCAGATCATACGGAATCCAGCCCTCCTCTGAGAACCTCCCAGAACTAAAGGCTTGGCTAGCAGCTTAGAGTGCTGCCTGGGGCCTAAATTGTAGGTTCTAGGGTGGGTGATCTGGGGCTGGAGTTGCCTGTTTCAGTGGCTAACCCCAGGTAAGTGAGGAGTGCTATCAAGCAGGGATATCTGTGCTTCCTTCAGAGATGGCTCTTGGGCAAATGGGGCTGGAGTAGGAAGTCTTTACAGAAAGGTGCAATTTTTTTTTTTTTTTTTTGAGAGAGTTTCGCTCTTGTTGCCCAGGCTGGAGTGCAATGGCATGATCTCGACTCACGGCAACCTCCGCTTCCCAGGTTCAAACGATTCTCCTGCCTCAGCCTCCCGAGTAGCTGGGATTACTAATAGGCATTCACCACCTCGCCCAGCTAATTTTGTATTTTTAGTAGAGACGGGGTTTCTCCATGTTGGTCAGGTTGGTCTCGAACTCCCAACCTTAGGTGATCCGCCCGCCTCGGCCTCCCTAAGTGCTGGGACTACAGGCGTGAGCCACCATGCCCGGCCTGCAATTTTTTTTTTTTTAAGCCTTCGAACATCTAAGATCTTGTTTCTAGCCTAGGGGCTGGCTGCAGAGGAGGCTGTGCCAGGCACAGTGACCTCAGAAGCTCTTTGATGACTTCACAGCTGCAGAGCCAGGACCTGTGCCATCCTGGAATTTCAAGGTCTGACTGGCTCCTGACTGCCCTCAGCTAGGATCCAGGGCCCCCTTTCCCTTCCCAACTCCCCAAGGCACCCTGCCTCCCACCTGCCAACAGGGGTGGGGGGATGAGCTGGATTGCGGTGCTGGTGGTAAGGCCCCAGCATGTGCCATTCATCCAGCCCATGGTATGGAAGGCTTGCTGAGAGGCCCTCAGGCACCACAGCTGAGGAGCAGGGCTTGCTCCCCTGGCCACCAGAGGCTTTCTCCTGCCTGACATCCATGAAGCGGCAGAACAGGCCAGGGGCAGGTGGTTTCCCCAGAGGCAGCTGCTCCAGTCAGGTGGACACACTGTTAAGGGCTGGAAACTCAGGGTTTTGTAGGTGTGGGATCTAGAATCCCCATCCAATTCTTATTCCTGCCCAGAGGCAAAAACAGAAGACAAGGCGGGTAGAGACAGCAAGTAACCCTAGGTTCTGCTCAGGAGCAAAGCTTCGGGCTAACCCAGCACCACTCTGGCTCTGGCCTCCACCATACACCTACCTTCACTATCCCACTGTTCTGCCTTCAAACGATTCTCATGTCAGGCAAAGGCTTATACAGAAATAGAATCTTCTATAGTTACAGTCCAGCAGCTTTCCCTTTGGGTGCACCTGAGACACCAGTGGATGGGTTTTAGAGGCTGCAGAGTGAACACACAAACCAGTGCACTTCCTGACCAGCCACAGGCCTCCTTCATACCTCGGGTCCAGCAGCTGAGAGAGGGGAGGGCAGGAGGCCAGGCCAGCTCCTGAGCGCCAGCCTCATTCCTACCCAGCACTCCTGACTGCTCACCAGCTTTTCCCATGGGCAGGGGAGCATCCTGCCTTCTCAAGCAAGACACTTACAGACAACTGTTAGGGAGCTCATCCGGGAAGCTGAAAGGGAGAGAGGAGTCTGTGTGCAGGACAGCCCGCTCCTGAATACTGCCACAGCCCGTTACCATCTGCCAGCTGCCATAGTCTGTGGAGAGAGAGGATCCGGGCAGGGGATGGTCCACTGATCTGGGGCAGAGAGGAGAGAGAGGGGAGAGGATGCAGTCAGTCATATGCCTGACACAGGCTCTGGAGGGGGCTAGGGGACTAGCGCAGCCCTGGCTGCTAGGTTCTGTTGTCAATCACTGTCTCCAAAAGTCTAAAAAAAAAAGCTGGACAAGTAGTGACCGAGAAAAAAGAATAGATCACCAGGTAAGCTCAGCTGTGAGGACAGTATTTTGTGCAGACTTACTGTGGAAGCAAAAAATGAGAACAAAGCATGGCAGTAAGAGTGAATCGGAGCCACAGCCTGGGGCCAGGGCATGCCTGCGCTGGGAGTGAACACGGCAAGGACAATCTCAACAGCACCAAAGGAAGGCAGCAAGGCTAGCACCCAAATGAAGGTGACCCAGCAGCCAGCCGGGTCACCCATACTTGCTGGCATGCAGATTTGCAGGGTGGGCAACACAGAACCCAGGAGTCCCATCAGAAGAGACAGTACGGGCCTCTTGGGGATTGTGGAGGGTATGACCTAGACTCAAGAGTGATGGAATGGGAGCCCTGAGGTCCCCCCTTTCTCTGCAGTGCCTTCCAGGTGCCATAGTTTGTATTCAGAAGCATCAGCCCAGCAGACTCAGTGGCTATGCCCAGAGGGAAGGGATGAATCAGGCAGGCAGCCTGACAGCTTCCTCAGGCCTTCTTCAGATGGAGGTTTTGGGGGTGGGAGGAAGAAGGTTGTGCTGGGAATCTACCGCTTCCACCTCCTCCCCACTCACAGCCAACCCCCCTCTTCTGTCCTGGGCAGTAGTCCAGCCAGTGTGGGTCGGGGAGGCAATAGGGAGACATCAAACAAGGCCCTTCCACCTGCTACCCCAGGTCCCAGTCCCCAGGACATCATCTTTGATGCTTGACCCTTTATTCTTTCATCCAAAAACAGCAGGAGGTACTCCAGTAGGGATCCAGAAACAGGAATGAAGAGCAGGGATTGGGGGTGGAGAAAAATGTTCACTGCCCTTGGCTCCCCCAGCTGGCTGATGTCAAGGGCTCCTAGTCTGAGGTGACAGCCCGACTGGTCACCGTGCTAGTCTTATCCCCAAGCAGCTGCCACTGGAGTGCAGCCAGCCAGGCACTGCAACTCTGGCAATCCTTAACCATCCCCATCTGTAAGACAGGTGAAGACACCTGCTTGAGGTATCACAGCTAGACAGTGTGAGAAGAGGTTTCTGTTTTTGTTTTTCCCTGCTCTTGTCGCCCAGGCTGGAGTGCAGTGGCGTGATCTCAGCTCACTGCAACCTCTGCCTCCTGGGTTCAAGCAATTCTCCTCAGCCTCCCAACTGTAATCCCAAGTAGCTGGGATTACAGACGCCCGCCACCATGCCCGGCTAATTTTTTTGTGTCTATTTTTAGTAGAGATAGGGTTTCACCATGTTGGCCAGGCTGGTCTTGAACTCCTGATCTCTGGTGATCCGCCTGCCTCAGCCTCCCAAAGTGCTGGGATTACAGGCGTGAGCCAGTGCGCCCGGCTGAGAAGAGATTTTTAAAACCAAGAATGATTACACATTTGTCCTGAAACAGAACCACCTTGGGACCAGGGAAAACAGATGGTTTTCTATGTTAAGGCTGCCATAAATCGGAACCCCCTACAACATACAGACTTGTCACATTCATCATTCCTGCTAAACTCTAGAAGGTGCGTGATGGCAGCATTAGGGATGAGAACGGGATATGGTCTGTCACCTGACGGAAGCCCCTAGGGCCCGACAGAGCAGGGCTTCCTTGTTTCTAGATGGAGAAACTTGGGCTCAGGCAGTCTGTAAATCAAAGAGACAGCTCCCCAGGAGCAGCCTGCCCTGTGCCCCCTCCAGGTCACACCAGGCCTTCAGCCGGCACAACCCTGAGATGCATCCTAGCTCCACAAATCTCGTCTATTGTTCAAGCTGCAGGGTAGAATCTTTTCCAGTTCTAGCAGCTTGTGGGAAAACAACAGCTAAAAACCAGAATGTTGAGGGAATGGAAGGGATGCTGACTAGGTTGAGGCACAGCTGGGGCTGGGAGCATGGGGAAGTTTCTCAGGCCCCAAAACCACTCCCCAAGAGCCAAAGAGTAACACTGGCAAGGGAAACATGACCAATGGGATGGAGTTACTGACTGGCTCCCCTCAAGGATTCCAGGTCCCCTGGGCTTGTCACTTCCCTTTACTTCCCCCATGTCTCAGTAGGTAACACCGGCCAAGAACCGCACTTGCAGCAGCTGTCGGATGGATTAGGCAGCACAGACAGCAGCAGGGTGTGTGATCCCAGGGGACAGAAGCATCTCTCAGCAAGCAGCCATCTTCTGCAGACTCTGGGATTTTTCAAGAGTGAGCACACTGGCTACAAAGGAGTCTTCCTACGTGAGGCCTTTGTCAAAGGAAGGGCTACAAAGTGACCATTCAGCTCCTGGGGTTGAGAGCAAAGGGCCATGCTAAGCAGGAAGGTGTTCACAAATACCACCATGGATTAGCTGGCTGCAGGGGACACCTACAGTGCATCATGTCACCGGGAGTAAGGACCTGTGCCCACATACTGAGAAGGGAGGAAAAGCCTTCCAGTCAGTCTAAGAACACAGGTAACTTAACCAGCTTCAACAAGAGCCCAAAGTCTTTTGCCCTGAGCAGCAAACAGAGGGATCCAAGCTCCACCCCCTCTGCTCTCCCACTACAGGACTGGAGAGAACATGGGACCAAGCAACCCTCAAACTGGATGGTGGCGGAGCTGAACAACGCTTCAGAGGTCACCTGTCCACATCCCAGCGGCTCAGACCTCTGCCTAGGAGGGTGGGAGCTCAGCAACATTTCACTTCCTTAGTTGGATGCGGCTCAGGGCCCTCTTCACAGCACCCAGAGCTGCAGTTCCTACCGGCTCCCAACTCCCCCGATGCCCTGCTGATGGCCAACTCAGAGCAGGTGTCTTTTAGCTAGTCCTTTCTGGAAGGGGGTACAAGAATACTCACACAAACCGAGCTGGCTCAACCCAGGCAAGAATACACAGGTCGGGATGGAGGCCTGGCCTTTTACGCAGCTGCCTAGTGCCATGACAGAGCCTACAGGCTCTCGGACAAATGACTAAGGCCAAGTCCTTAACCACAGCTACAGTTTACTGAGCATTCGTGAAAAGGTATCTACTATGAGTATTTACTCCATCCATCCCAGTCCATCCCAGTCCATCCCAATCCATCCATCCATCCATCCATCCATCCAATCTATCTATCTAATCTATCTTTTGTATTGGCAAGGTCTCACTATGGTGCTCAGCCTAGTCTTGAATTCCTGGGTTCAAACGATTCTCTGACCTTGGCCTCCCAAAGTGCTGGATTACAGACATGAGCCACCATGCCCAACCCATTATTTCATTTTAACCCAAACTTACGGGAGGGGGGCCTGAATCATTTTTCCCCCTTTAAAAACAGGATAAAATAACTGAGCTCAGAAAGGAAGTGATTTTTCCAAGTCAGACAGCTAGGACTGCAAAGCTACGACGGAAACCCAGGTCTGACCAAAGCCCTTGCTGATAATATACTCATCTTTCTTCCTGATAAGGGGTGGGTGACTCAGAAATTGGTTCATGGACCACCACGTAACCTCCAACGGGAGTAAAGCACACAGCTTCTACCTATAACTGAAAAAAGAGGCTCTCATCTGACCCTGGATGTGAGAAAGGAAGCAGCGTGTCATCCTGGGAGGTGCTGTCAGCCATTTTGCCACCATCAGGGAAGCTGGCCAGAGAACAAAGCTAACATGCAGGAGGCAATGGGAACAAACTACGGGGAAATAGAGCTGGAACCTTGATCAGGCTGCACCTGAAGACTGATTTTCCACTAGGCTTTTCCATATACAGTTGTTCCTTATTATTCCTTTTTGTTGCAGGGAATTGGTTCCAGGATTGCCACCCACTTACCACCCCACCAATACCAAGTCCTTGGATGCTCAAGTCCCTTACATAAAATGTAGTAGCACAGCTGATCCTTGAACACACGCATGAACTGCACAGGTCCACTCATATGCAGATTATCTCCTGCCTCTGCTGCCCTACACAGCAAGACAGCCCCTCCCTCTATTTTTTCCTCAGCATGAAGACCTTTATTATGATCCACTTCTACTGAACACACAGGAAATATAGGTTCCCTTCCTTATGATTTTCTTAACATTTTATTTTTCTCTAGCTTACCTAAAAATACAGTATATAACAGATATACAAAACATGTGTTAACTGACTTTATGTTATTGGTAAGGCTTCTAGTCAACAGCAGGCTATCTGTAGCTTTTGGGGAGTCAGAGTTATACCCAGATTTCAACTGCATGTGTAGGGGACAGCCCTAATCCCTGCATTGTTCAAGAGTCACTTGTATTTGCATATAACCTATGCACATCCTCCCATATGCTTTAAATCATCTCGATTATCTGATACAGTGTCAGTGCTCTGTACATGGTTGTTACACTGCATGTTCACATCTGTATTACTTTCTATTGTTTATGTTATCTTGAATGTTTTCAATCTGGTTGGCTGATCATGGATGTGGAAACGACAGATATGGAGGGCTGACTGTAAATGTGTTTCCTTTATTGTTTCGGTCAGTTTGAAATGTGTTTTCTGTTACTTGCATTTGAAAACATCTGACAAGGCTGATACAGAAGGTTTGAAGGTATACAGCTAGGAAGGACCTTGGCGTTACCTAAGCCTCTGATTACACAGATAAGAAAATGGAAACCCAAAGTCATCAAGTGACATGTCATGAAGTCACACAGAGTTAATACTTGAGCTAAGATATAGAATCCTGGGCTCTGAGGGGACCTGGCTGTCACCTAATCTAAACTTACCCTGCTCCCACCCACAAGCAGACAGCCTAAGACAGAGCTCGTTGCTCAAAGAGCAGTTAGCAGGTGGTGGTGGCTGGGGGAAGAGTAGCTAACTGGGCAGCAGAGGTTGGTCCCTGTGTTGCTACTCAGCTATTCAACCAGGCTGCTGGGCATCCCTCCGCAAACTTCACCTGCTCTTCAGGTAGCCTGGCTTCAAGCTGGGCTCAGTGGTGGCACCAACCCTCCTTGGGCATGGACAATCCTGTGCTAGCAACCTCCCTACTCCTAAAGGATGCATGACTCCAGAGCAGAGGCCGAGGCCGAGGCCATGCAAGGTGGAGCGACCTGCTAACCAGAGCTGGGGGAGGCATGTGAGCTCAGAGCATTGGTCCTGGCCTGTCCCAGCCCTCAACCCTGTCGCTGATGAGAGATTTAACAATGGTCCAGAAATGCAACTTAATCAGAAGCTGCTGCAGCAACAACAGCTAACAATGATTAAAAACCACTGGGCTTGCCAGTAAGGGCTGTGGGCTCGGGGTTAGTAAGAATTGGCACCCCACAGAACTTTCTTCCCAACCTGATTCATACCTACTACTTAACTTTGAACAAAGCTTCACAGATTCATTCCATGGGGGAATCCTGCTTTAAAAGAGAGATGCCTGTAGAATTTGGAGTGTATAAAAACCCAAAGAATTCACATTAGGAGAATTTTGGCTGTCACAGACAGCTTCACTAAAAGGTTTCTTTCCAAACAGCTTCTCCTACCACATTAAAGACCTCACAGGCTATTGTTACCTAAGAAGCAGGGAGGGTAATGACAGGATCCCTTAGGCACTTTAAGATAAGAGACTAAATTAATTTTAATGGTAATGGAAATACATAATTAGAATGCTCCAAATCTGAGTAATCTAGACTTTCAAAACCTCTGACCAACAGGCATCCAAGTCAGAAGAAGTCTGGCTCCAGACAGGCATCCCCCAAACAGACCAGCGGAAAGATCAAACACCTCACAGCTGCCCACCCCACACCTTTCAAAGCCTTGCACCCATCTTGGTCCAGCTATCCCAAGCTTGGCCAAGCCCCCATGTGCAGGGCTCTGAGGTCAGGAGGACAACCCCAATTCTCCTCAGCCTCCCAAGAGGGGGCCTTGGTGGCCATCCTGGACTGGCTACAAGAGCCTGAGACACGCCCTGCAAGCAGAAAGTCACCTGTGAGACTGAGGGACACTATCACAGGATTGGAAAGTGGGATCTTTTGGCAGGCAGGAGATGGAGAGCCAGGGTGTGGTAACGGGTGATGGGGTGCTGCCTCAGCTTGGGAGCTCACTGCATTCTGGGCAGTTAAGACTGAGGCAGGACCCAGAGGACAAGAGGAACCTCTGGTTTCCTCCCTAGTTGTTCAGCAATGCTGGACAGGCAGAAAAGGGGGCAGGAACCATGACCTAGAGCCACAGCCTAGAACAGTGAGGGTCAAACAGTGCCACTGCAGCCTCAGAGTGGCCCTGAGGACAGCTGGGCACAGACAAGGGTGGTGCGGCAGCAGGCATGCACACACAGGATGGGACGGGGCACCGGCACATGGGCTTGTCTGTCTGGCCCCATCTCTGCCCCACCACTTCCACCACACCTCCCATGGGGCCAGACGGCGTGTGGCGGTGGTTTCACAGGCTCAGCTCCAGCACTCAGGCAGTGTTCTGAGCTGAAGAGTTCACGCAGGGGTGAGCACATGGGGCCCCTGTGGGCAGTGCAGTCTGGAACGCCCACTTGCCTCCCGCTTATCTGCTCTGCCTATGTGCAGAGGATGTTCTTCCCCAACTTCCTTCATTGCCTGTTTTTGCCCAGAGGGAAAAACCATAGAGGGGTGATGGGAGGAAGGTTCCAGAAGTTTCAGAATGTTTTTCTTCTTAACAGACCTATTACTACCAAGGACTAAACTGAGTCTGAAAATCACATGGACATGTGGCAGAGCTTGACTTGAACCTGGGATGGATGCCAAAGCTCATGCCCATTCTTCTAAATGCCCCTTTTTCCCTGGAATTCACTAAGGGCCTGAAGTCCCACGCTGCTTTATTCACTCCAGAAAGGCTAGACATTCTCAAAACTTTAGAACACAAAGCAATTCACAGGATTCTTTCGATGGGAGTATGAAAGTGGTAGGAAATGCTTTCCCCAAGTGCCAGACCAGCCCTCAATCCTAGCCTCTGGCCTGTGCTCAGCTTTAAACTCACCCAGGAGGCACCATTCCTGCAGCGCCCTTCAGCCACGGCCCTGGCATGGCCATCCTGGCTGAGCTGCTCCCTTTCCAGGTGTGCAGTCACCATCGTTTGTCCCAGCCACACACATGTAGCTCAGCTCCCTAACACTGTTCTCACTGCCCCACCAATTCAGACTTTAGATGTGGGAGCCAGAAGGGACTCAGAATCTAGATCTATCTCTTCAATCACAATGGGAGGTGCGCCTAGGAGGCTGGGATCTGCCAAAGGTAACAAGTGGAGGCAGTCCCTATTCCCCACCTATCACATAACAGCCACGGCACTTCTGGGTTCCCCTGCATTATGCTAGGGTTCGAGGAAGGAGTCTCAAACCACTCTACAAATCAGCCCTTGCTTTATTACCAAACACTAACCCATCCTCCAAATACTGGGCCTGCAAGCTTAGGAACCCCATCTTGAGACCCTAGCTCAGGTGCTGGCCCCCGACCCTCCAGTCTTATTAAGGGGGAAAGCTAGGCACTTCCAACAGCAAGGGCTTTGGAGCTCCTCACCTGGGTTTGGGGACCTCCAGGGGACTGCTACCCATCCTGAAAAAGTTATCAGAATGGTTTGAGGAAGAGGAGCTGGAAGACCTGGCTTCCGCCAGCCCCTGCTGGGAAGGCAAGCGGTCCTCTGAGGGTTGTGGCCGGTTCCAGAGGACACTCTGTGGAGAGGATGAGTGGCTCTTCCTCCTGCAGTGGAAGGAGCAGGGCTGTGAGCCGGGGGCCACTGCAGGCAAAGCCCTCTGCCCACCCTCACTGAATTTCAGGCCTAGGCTTTACTTCCACTGGGAAAACATCACATGAGTTGGCAAACATTAGCACTCTCTCCAGCTCAGGGCCATGGGCAGCAGGGCTGGGTCTTTATGGAGGGCCTGTGGCATCCAAATCACACCAGCCTACTGGTCTTGAAGTATGTGCTAGAAAATGATTCCTCACTCTTCAGTCACTGCCCACCTCCATATGTTATGCAAAATCTTTTTTCCCCCTCTAAAAGACGGGGTCTCATTATGCTGCCCAGACTGATCTCAAACTCCTGGGCTCAAGTGATCCTCCTGCCTTGGCCTCCCAAAGTGCTGGGATTATAAATATAAGCCACCACTCAGGACTTTGTTATGCAACATCTTGAGCCATCTGTCCAGGGTGAAAGTCATCAGGGTCTCAATTTCATGAGATTCTCAAAGGAGCTGACCCTCAAGTTCCCAATTCCCCATCAACTTACACCTACCTTTTGGTTTTCTTTTTCCAAAATGGCCCCCTATCTCCCCGACAAATGATAAAATGGAGCTCCTCCAATACCAGCCTCCCCAGACCCCTGCCCTACCCTGCCCAGCTGCTTCTCTGTCCCACAGGGAGCCCTAGCCCTTTATGTTCCTGGGCCACCACAGGCAGTGCCCTTCACCAACCAGATGGCTGACTTCTGAGGCCCAGTAGAGACAGCAGGAGCACGGAGCTATCCTCTCAGCTCTTCTCTTGGGGGCCTGCTTTGTTCTTGGGGCTCCAGCCTGGCTCCCTGGTGCTGATGGCCCCGGGCCACAGCTGTGAGTGACCTTGGTCCAAGTCTGGCCCCTTACCAAGCTGCCTGAGTTGGCGCTCCTGCTGGGACCAGCTCCACGGCCTCATAGGTGAAGCTCCCAGTGGCTCCTGGGGAACTCTCCATGACCAGGGAGAAGTCGCTGCCAAGGCTGGTGGTGCTGCCACGGTCCTTTCGTCCTAAAAGAAGCCAGTGCCATCAGTCAGCGTGTTACCTTCTCCCACTACTGGTCCCCCACCTTTTCTATACCACATAACTGGGAAGAAAAAAAAAAAAACAAAAAACCTCTTAGCACAAACAGTTCCTGCCTGATCTGTACACGGGAAGATGTATGGAGGAAGGGAAGTCTGTTGGGGCCCAGGACTCACTCAGCATGCAGATGTCTTCCAGGGTGAAGCCTCCATCCCGGGCTGGCAAACTCTTCCTCCTAGAAATGGAAGCCGGAGCAGTAAATTCCAGATCTATCTGGGGTCTTATTGTGTCCCCCGTTCCCAATCCTGCCTGTCCTGGAAAGCAGCTCAATTCACTGGCAACTTGTGGAGACGGGTCCTAGCCTAGGGAGTGTTATAAGACACCAGGGCCACTTCTGGGACCCACGCTGCAAGGCTCTGTCCAACACACAGGTGAAGATTTCTGAGGGCAGCAAGGTCTGCATCCTCCTCATCAGCTTGTGCCCTGAGCGTTCAAGTGTGGCCCAACATGCTTGTAGCTCGGATTAGGAAGGCAAACCAACTCAGGCAAGACCCCAACTCTTACAGGGGTCCTAAGGCAGTTGCCAGCCAAGACTCTTGCATTTCCCAGGCCGGAAGCAGACTTCTGCCCTTTTGTAGGGGGCTGCAGTGTTCAGCCACACTTCCTGCTGTAGGCCATGGAGGACAAGAGTCAGCTTGGGCACACTGGGAGTTAAGAGTCCTCCTACTCCTGGGCTGGCTTCTCCCTGCAGCAACACACCTGTTTTCTTGGTCATGAGAGACCACTCGTCTGTCCCAAAGCCTGTCTGCTAGTGTGACTCCAAGTTGACCCCCACATGGCCTTCCCTGCAGAAGAGCCTCTTCACCAGTGGCCTTCAGCAGGGACCCCTACCCTGGCCTCAGAGCGAAGGCAGGAGGGAGCACCAGCCCAACAAGCAGGGAGGCAGGGCGGGAATGAGGTGGTCAGCCTCTTGCCTCCCAGGGAGCAGCCCTTCTCAGAGCGCCCTGGCCCAGCATGACACGTGCAGGCCTCCACTTACCTCTGGGTCTTCAGAGCAGAGAACTCCTCGGAGGTAATATGCTTCAAAAAATTGAAGCAGAAGAAGAAAATCTAAAGGAGACCAAAGAGCAGCGCACAATGAGAAGAACCAAGGCAGCAGAACTCCCAGGGGAGGGCGGCCAGCCACTCAGGTCAAGGCCCCTGCTGGAGAGCGGCCCTGCTGTGGGACTGTGTGGGTGTTCTGGTCCATAAATGGTGTGGGTGGTACAGAGGCCTTGGAAGGGCCTGGCAGATGCATGTGGGCCGGGGCAAGGCAGGAAGGGATTTCCTTCCTGGGACTGCCAGGGTTAAGCCAGCTATTTTTTTTTTTTTTATTTGAGACAGAGTCTCGCTCTGTCACCCAGGCTGGAGTGCAATGGCGTGATCTCGGCTCACTGCAAGCTCAGCCTCCTGGGTTCAA
Organism: Homo sapiens; assembly: GCF_000001405.40. NCBI lineage: Eukaryota > Metazoa > Chordata > Mammalia > Primates > Hominidae > Homo > Homo sapiens. The sequence goes on along the minus strand of NC_000003.12, from coordinate 9,687,471 downwards.
GCCACTCTCCTGCCTCAGCCTCCCGAGTAGCTGGGACTACAGGTGCCCGCCACCATGCCCAGCTCATTGTTCGCATTTTTATTAGAGACAGGGTTTCACCGTGTTAGCCAGGATGGTCTCAATATCCTGACCTCATGACCCGCCCGCCTCAGCCTCCCCAAGTGCTGGGATTACAGGCGTCAACCACCGTGCCCAGCCAGGCCAGTGATTTTTCAAACCATCATTAAATTCAACATGTGTGTTCTCAAGTGGTTAAAAAGGATAAAGTGAAATGGCACCCTCTCCCCTCTTCTAAGATTCCCAGGGAGAGATGCTAACAGGGAAGGATAGCTGCGGGAGAGATGACTTGGGCGCAGGGAGAATAATGGACAAAGCAGGAACATAATGGAAAGGAAAGGAATCACATTTTTTAGGGGAGGCATCCCAAAATACTGGTTCAGAACTGCGGGTGTGGGCAGCCACTGTCTGGCCTAGAGCCTCCCTTGCTGAGGAGCTGTGAGGGTCAGGTCTTAAGCTTGAGGTGGGCACAGGCAGGAGGCTCCTGACCCCAGCCACACCCCCACCTCCATGAGCAAATTATCTTCTCCCTTCCAGCCAGTGCCTCGCCCAGGGGCCTCCAGGAAGCACACACCAGGCTTCCATTTCTGTGGTGATTCCCAAAGGCCTGGCCCATGAGCCCCTCTCTCAGAGAAATCCCTACTTGGCATCCCACGAGCCCTGTCAGTTTCTTATCTCTGTGTGCCCAGGCAAGGAGCTGCCCCCCACAAGGAGAGGGCTGCCCAGGTCGGGTCAGTATGAAAATGTTGTGTTACTTAAGATTAAACAGGTGTTTTCACTACAGACTTTGTAGTCTTTAATATGCTAATATGCTAATATGTTCCCCGAACCTCCAAGGTGAGGTGGGGAGACGACACAATCGTGTTTAACTAATAGGCCTGGGGTTTTTTGCTTTGGACGCATCAGTGTCTGGATTGTCTGGGGGGGGTAACAGAAAGGTCCTGAAGATGAACCTGCAGCTGAGGAGAGCCTCTTGTCTACATGGAGAGATGCCAAGGGCTCAAACTCAGACACTACTTGGTTCAGCCCCACCCTCTGCAGGCAGATCTGGTCTGCTTTGTCGGGGAGGGAGACTACAGGGAGGGTAGAATGTCCCAGAGCTCCGGGAAAGTCCCAAAATGAGAGGCTACAAAAAGGCTTCTTGAAGCACTGATTTCAATACCAAAGTCACCGCCTCTGAGGGAGTTCACGGAGGCCTCTGAGGAGTAGGCTTAGAGCTCTACAGCCCTGGCAGACGCGATAAGTGTTCAGAAGAAGAGATTTGGAAGAGGAGAGGAGCAGCTGAGACGGAGGAACAAAAGGAGGAGGTGCGAGATAAGATGCCCAGGAAGGAAGCAGCCCCATGAGGGTGAGAAAGATGAGAAACACACTTTGGGAAAATGGGGGAGTGGGGGCCAAAGAGAAGGAGCTGACACCGTGGGACAGCTTCCATGCTGGGCACCTGGACTCATTCTCTCACGCTTGACACCAGGAGACTCAAGGTGAAGCAGACCACCCAAGGTCACCCAGGCAGTAAGGGGGCCAACTAGGGAACACACTCAGGGCCGACTCCAGACCTGCATTGCAAGGAAAACAGGCACTAACAGGTAAGGCCTGCGGAGAGTGGCCGACAGGATGGGGGCGCAGAAAAGGCGACAGGCATGGGGGAGAGAGTGCTGAGCACATTGGAAGAGGAAGGAAGAGCAGGTCCAGAGGAAAGGGGACCTGGAGGCAACCATCAGGGGCAGGACCCTGCTGCCGGGCACCCTGACATTGAAAAGTGGCTGAAGGGTGTGACGGGAGGGTGGGGAAGAGAAGTGCTGCTGCATTTTAGTTGCAGAGACGAGGGGCACAGAAAGGCCTTAGAGGATGGGGTTCCAGAGCTGAGCAGAGAGAACAAGTGGCCTGTGAGAGGGAAGATCACAGGCAGCCAAGGCTGTCATGTAACTGCTCACCCCGACGTGTGGGCTTGTATCCTCTCCACAGCACAGGCCCGCGAGGCCCAGAACACAGAGCTACTGTGCTGGTGCCTGTCCTGCCACGCTGCCTCAGGAGGAGATGACAGGGGGCCACATCCCTGCACACCTGGGGCAAGGAGCTGCCCCTAACACGTGGAACTCAGACAGGCTACCCACTGCCCCTCTTTCAGTGCTGAGCTGTGCCCACAAGTCGTAGGTGGTATACTCACCTCCTCCCCTTTGCTGAGCCGATCTACCAACATGTGCCTGAAAAAAGGAGGGTAGAGAGGCAAAGTCAGCAGCACCAAGATGACAAGGCCAAGAGGACAGGGTCACCAGACACAGACTGTGTCACTGGCACCAGCGTGGCAGGTGGGGCCTGATCAGCAGCTTCGGTCCTTCTCGAGGGGTGGAATTATCCTTACCTCCAGCCCCTGTCAAGGGAGCCACCACACAACTCACATATAGAAACTGTTACTAAGGCCCCAAAACCCAACTCCTGCAAAGGCTTACCCGAAGAGGAACCAGTCATAGGCCACAGTGAGGTAGAGGATCTCAGTGGGCTTCAGGGACGTGTGGATGAGCCCATCCTGGAAGAGACCACAGGAGATGTGACAGAGCCCTCTTCTCATCCCCAGGAGCTGAACCATAACCAGACCCAGTGACAACGCAGGCTGAAGAACACCCGGAAGGACAGGGTTAAACACATCTGCTCTGAGCGATGGCATCCCCTGCTCCACCCTCTGTCTGGAGACAATCCTAACACACCCAAAGAGCAGAGCTTGGTAGGGGCCGATTCATACTCACAGCCCACAAGGAAAGGCGCAGGAGGGAGATGAAGAGGGGGGTCCGATCCCAGCCTGAGATACAGTGTACCAGCAGCCCGCTGTCATCTACTCAGGAACCGCAGGAGAGGATGCCCAGGAGAGAACCAGACATGGGCCGATGAGCAGGAAGTACCACCAGCTTGGCCTGGTGGAGGGAGCCAGGCCCCACCAGCTTCTGTCTTCCCCAGTGGCCTCCCCATGGCTCTTCTCCAGCCTAGTCCCAGAAAGGGGTGAGTGGCAGGCGTCTGGCTTTGTAGCTTCCTTTCTTCCTTCTGACTATAGTTCTCAGTGTACTTCTGGGGACACAGTGCAGCCTACACAGTCCACTTTGCCCAGGTCATTTAGGCAGGGATGACATCCCTACCCAGTTTCTCAGAGGGCACGACAAGTATTTTTTTGGGGGGTAGCGGGAGTGGGCAATTTTTCAGTGTGCAGGGCTGCATGAATTGCAGGACACTGACTATCCCTGGCCAACTCTAACCACATGCTAGTACTACCTTCCCCACCCTCTAGTTTCTGCAGCACCTAACATGCCAGACACACGTTTCCAGAAGTGCTTTGAGGGGTGCTAATGCCCGCAGCTAGAGAACCAGTGCCTGGCTCCAGGGGCTGGCATGCGACTTTGTGGCAAATCTCCCTCCAGCGACTAGTTCAAGGATGGGCACTTAACCCAAACTGGGCCAATGAGCATAAGCTCAGACCTTTACTGGAACTCCAGAGACTGAGGTAGTCTCCCCTGGGGGAGCTAAGATGGCGGGAGACAGGTCTGGAATGGCTGCCAGCCATGAGGCCAAGACAGTGGTTTTGAGAAACAGAGAAAGATTCTTTATGATGTTCACCTGGCTCTGTTCTTGGGCCTTCTTGGTTCCATAAGCCAATGCATTTCCACTTGTTTGAGCAAGTGCAACTCCTACAGAAGTCCTGATTGCTACCAGGGATTTAGAGTCCGTCTGCCCTAGAGACATTGAGCAAGCCAGGCCCATCCAATCAAAACAGCCAAACTGGGTGGAGGACTCTGGAGAACAGGGCCTCTACAGGCTGTGTGCATCCACTGAGCAGCCCGGATTGATTCTCTCATCTCATGCCTCATCTTTCTGAATGAGAGGCCCATCCTGGCCCCACACACAATGCTGTTGTGCAATGCTGAGACAGTGTGAAAATACCCTGTGCACGGCATAGATGGTAAGGAGTTCTTAATTTTGTTTTCTAGGATTTTGAGGACATGGAATAAAGCCACCAATGGACAAATCCCACCCAGCCTCTGGGATTCTAGGAACTCCCCAAATTCCTCTCCCACAGCACAAAAGTAAGGTGTGCAACTCCAACAAACATACAGTTGAGGCAGAATGAACTGGGAACTCCCCAAGGGTGCAGTGGCTCGAGGGCTCTGGAGGAGACAGACTCACCATCACTGTTAACTAAGGAAAGCAGCAGCTTCAGGTAGTTTTGTGTTTGTTGCACCAGATCCCAACACTGTTGGAGAAAAGTGAGAAGAAATGGACATTAACTCAGATTTAGAATTTAAAGTATTTAAAAAATAAAATGCCAAGAGTTATTCTGGGGCAACAACTACACAAGGTCCTTGGTTACAGACCATAGGTTTTGAATCCCAGATAATCTGGGACATTCGTATTCCATCTCCAGCAGCTCCTACCACCTCTCCCTCCACCACTCAGCCTGTGGACCCCCTACTCGGGGGGCGGGGGCGGGGGGGGGGCTCTGACCCAATGTGAGAGTGAGGAACAGAAACGGATGCTGAGGCCAGGGTGACCCAGAGCCCCCTGCCCACATTAGGGTCCTCTAAGTGCTGGGCTCCTGGTGTGGCTGTCCAGGAAGCCAGTAAAGGTAAACGAAGAGCCCTGAGGCTGTAGCCAATGTCTCCAAATGGCCACATAAAGATTCATTCCTTCATATGCCATCACATCACAGAAACTAAAACATCAACCTTTTCAAACATGCTTCATTTGCTTTTTAGTGCTATTTACTGCATACTATCTTTTGATGAATAATAAATGGAGTCTGTCTGGCAGGGAAAGTCTTTTAAAAAAGGAGGCCCATGAGGTGGGAGATGGAAAATTAAGCAAAAGCTTTAAAGAGATGAGAACCTCTGTTCTAGCCCAAGTGCAAGGTCTAGTCCAGACCCTCTAAGAAACAGCCCACTCAGAACCTGGAACTCCATGGAAGGGCCTGACCCAGTTTTGCGGCACCCTTTTCCCTAGCTGGGGCAGTCTCTGTTCTCTTAAGATACAATTGCTTAGCAGTGTTCTGGGGCTGTGCAGAGAGGGTGACGCATGCCAGCAAAACAGCACTTCCCAGGGGGAGGGGGAACACGGCACCTGTAATTGGAGTGGCTTTCCCAGGAATTTAAAACAGCCTCATTTACCTGACCCTCCCACGCCCCTGGAGAGTTCTGACCCACTTTTAGTGACTACAGAGACAGGCGCTGTAGTGCTGTGCTAATAAAGTCATTATCAGTAGCTGCACAAGGGGTCTCTCAACTCATCTGGCTCAACGTGTCAGACACACCATTGCCAATGGAGCAGTGATTCTCACAGGGCAAGGAAAAGCAGGAGAGGGAGGTAAGAGCTGCACTGTACCAAGCCCAGTGAGCGTCAGGTGGGCTAGGGGAAGACTGCAGCAGCCGGGGAGGGCAGGCCCTGCCGAGGACAAGAGAGCTGCGGAATGCCAGCCACCATGACGGCTGTCTGGAGGAGATGCTGACCATCAGGGAGGGGCAGCAAGTTCCCAAGGCTGGGGCAGGAACTACAGGCTGGGGAGGGCTGGGCTGGTAGAGGGCCAAGGTCACACGGCTGAGCTGAGGGATAAATCCAGCCCTGCCAGACTCCAAAGTCCACATTCTTAATCACTGTAGGTACTCTTCCTATAACACCAGAGTAAGAAGCAGAAGTCTGAGGGAACTGCTCAAAGTGATGACCGAGGAGATATGCTAAAAAACAAACAAACAAACAAACAAACAAGGCTCGTGCCTGACTCTCTCATCCTACGTGCTTCATGAAAAAGTCTCTGGGAGCTGAGCTAAATGCCATGCCTCTGCTTATGTTTCTATGCCTAGAGTACTCTTTCTGCTGGTTGGTAAACTCCTACTCATCCTTCAAAGGCCCAGACCAATTATCTTCTCTTTGGGGTTTCTGTGACCACTGGTAAAAACTGTAATGTAGGTGATGGTTACGTTGTTGCCTCTTTTCCTAGTCTAATCCCCATGAGGGCAGAGGCTGTTTTGGCATCTCTAAGGCTTAGTGTTCAGGGACTAGGAGGTCATTGCAGAATGTTCCTTGCTGCTTCTTCATAGCTGGGGCAATGCTGAGTGCCTGAGGGACAGCAGCCCCAGGGAGGGGTCTTAGGACACAGAAAGAAGGGGCATACCTCTACGGAATTCAATTCGGTTACATGGAGGGCAGCAAGACACATGTGTCCTGCCACAACTGCTCCTATCATTCATTCATTCACTCATTCATTCATTCAGTAAGCCTCACACTGCATGCCTCCTGAAGGGCCTGGCACCAGGCACACAAGGGTGAATATGACCTCAACAATCATGGAGTCACGGGAGAGGGAAGACAAAGTTAACCACTGCAGGTGTGCAACTAAAAGGGGACCTCTAGGATGCTGTGTAACCATATGACTGGAGAGCCAAGCCTGATCTGTAGGGACATCAGAGAAGGCTTCTCAGAGGTGATGACATGAGACAGCATAAGCAACAGAGAAAGGAGACACGTGTTTCTGGCAGAGAAAACAGCACGTGCGAACCTGGAGAGGGCTGCCTTCTTTTGTTTGTTTGTTTGTTTGTTTTTTTGAGACGGAGTCTCGCTCTGTCGCCCAGGCTGGAGTGTAGTGGCGCGATCTCAGCTCACCGCAAGCTCCGCCTCCCGGGTTCACGCCATTCTCCTGCCTCAGTCTCCCGAGTAGCTGGCACTACAGGCGCCCGCCACCACGCCCGGCTAATTTTTTAGTAGAGATTGGGTTTCACTGTGTTAGCCACGATGGTCTCGATCTCCTGCCCTCGTGATCTGCCCGCCTTGGCCTCCTAAAGTGCTGGGATTACAGGCATGAGCCACCGTGCCCGGCCATGGGCTGCAGGAAGATCAGCTGGTCACAAGAACAGGCAAGACCAGACTGCATGGAGCTGGGTAGGCCATGTACAAGTTCTTGCATTGTATTCTGAGGAAAATGGGAAGTCAGTGGTAGGTTTTAAGGCAGGGGTGACAGTGATGGCCCTGCTCTATCATTTCAGTGCTTGCTATCTGAGCACTTCATTTCTAGTTACTCCTCAGTGAGGCCCCAGGTTCAGCTGTGAGATGCACTGAGACAGTGGTGGCCTGAGCTAGGCACTGCACAGGAGACGAGGGCAAGAAGGATTGCAGTTGCACTAGGGGCAGAGACTAGAGAACCGATGGGAGCTGGTGATGGATGTGGTGGGAGCAAAGAACTCGAGTTTCAGGTGTGAGCATCTGGGTAAATGGTGGGCCATGGCCAACTCTACTCTGGACAGCTTGAGTCTGAGGGGCCGCCTGAAGGGACATGTGTGAAAGGTGATGCAGGTATGGATCAGAGAGGCCTGGCTGTGGGCTCATGGTGTGGACGATGGATGAGATCACCTGGGGAGATGGTGAAAAGGAACAGGGTACCGGCACCCCAGGGCTTTGCGGGCAGAAAAGGCAGAGCCCACACCCAGCCAAGGAAGAGCATGCTAGGAGCCCCAGTGAGACAAAACAGGTTGAGCAACACTGAAGAGGTGGCCTCTTGGGAGGCGCCTGCCTGCCTGCTACACTCCAGCCCTGCTGCCTTCACGCCTGGAAGTTTCAGTGTTCACTTCCCTGAATTAGCTAGCTAGCAGCCTCTTCATAATTATCATTACAATCTGTCTGGTATTTCAGTTCAGGAGTCCCTTTCAAGCAGTGATCATATTTGAGCCTGGCACAACTCTGAAATAGGTACTGCCAACACCATTTTCAGGGGGAAGTGAGGTCATCTGTTCAAGGCCACAGAGCCTTGCAGGAAGGGCCAGGCAAGCTGGGACCTAGATCTAGGGCCTGCATCTACTAAGCAGAGTACCTCCTCACACGCACAGGACCCCTTCCTAAAGAGGCAAACATCCTTGGGACCAGTGCCTGGAACTGTCACATCTCATTTGCTGAGTAGTTCATCAGATCCAGTTTGTACCTGCATAAGGAGAAAAAATGGTGCCGGAAGGGACCAGAAAGAGGGTGGCTTGGGGCAGAGTCTACTTGACCTCTGCATGCAGCACATAAAGAAGGAAGCCTGCCGGTTCTTTTATCTACTCAGTCTGTCTAGGCACAGCCTGGGACATGAGACCACAGCACAGGTACCCCAAACCTGTTCCTTCTCCAGGCTTCCAGACCATAACAAACAACTGGTCTGCTTTCCTCCCCAGTGCTCCCTCTCTTGCAAACACCTGCATTGGGGAACTCTGACATCACCCTACTTCATACACTCAAACAGTTGCTGTGAGCATAAACCTTGTGATTAGGGTCTGGATATATATAGAGAAAACAAGATGGACCTTGCTGCTATCAGGACAACAGGGTACTGACATTGGTGATCTAGGAGCACCCAGTTGCTTAACATAGATGGGTCAGCCTTTCAAAGAAAGAGAGATCTCAAGGCTGGGTGGGAGCTGTCCAGACCTGGGGACAGGGGAAACTAGCAGGGAGGCAGAATGTTTTCTGTTGCTCACTGGCTCAGTCTTTCAAGTTCTAGGCTCTGTGCCTGTTTCTGTGCTGGGACACACAAGCTGTGGGTCCCTGTCCTCCAGGATTTCAGGGAAGCAGATCTCTAAATCAGTGACTACAGCTCAGTGGAAAATTCCATGATGGATGTGCCCAGGGGGTTAATGGGAATATAGATGCAGGCATCCAACTCGCCAGGGATAAGGAAGAGGCAGATCAGGGAAGTCTTCCTGAAGCAGACACTCGAGCCAAAGCCTGAAGGGCAGTATGTCAGCCAGACAAGAGGAAGCTGAGAGGTGGCAGCCAGGCAGAGGAACAGGACATGGGAAAGGTCGCAGAAAAACAAAACTACTTGTTCTGTCTGAAGCAAGTGGCAAGCAAAGCTGCTGGCAGCCTTCAGACTGTGTGGGCTAAGGGTAGAGAGATGTTTCCAGTAAGACTAGAGGCCCCTTCCATGGTGTGCAATGACGGAGAAGAGCATGGTGGAAGTAATTTTAATGTTTCTATAATCAAATGAGGTCAGGCAGCTCTGTACTTCCTCTGGCTGAACACACATTTAAAAGGAAAAATGTAAAAGTAACTAAAGCCCAGATCTGGAATAGCAGACTCTATGAGGTCCTCTGGAAACAGAACCCCCTGGTGGATGCAAATCTTTGAATGAGTCACGTTCAGAAAGCTTTGATTTTCTGGGACATGAGCAAATCAGGAGATAGTTGAACGGACACACAATTCCTCCTTTCTGAGAGGACAGAGGGCCAAAGGCATCTGAGTGCACAAGCCAGCCCATCAGGCAAACACACGAGGGCCTTGTGGGGCAGGCATCAAGAGTCTCCTTGGTCACCACTCCCTTATCCTGCCCTCAATGCTTGAGTCAGGCCCCTCACCTGATACTGGCTCCAGTCAATGTTCAGAGAGTGAGTCAGGAAGTCGGGGATGCTCAATGGGGCATCAACGTAGTCCTGGGGACAGAAAGACTCCTGTGAGATGTGGGTTGGCCACCAGAGGAGGCTTAGGTGATGGGGAAGCTTGCAGTCCTGAGGCTGTGACTACCACAGGCAGTGCTTGCCTTCTCTGGGCCAGATACCTGTGCTACCTGGGAGTGACAGCTTAAAAATCAATGTGACCAGATCAGTATAGCTGAGTAGGAGTTTTTCAGTCGGACATTTGATGTCTGTTGCTGAAACATGCAAGATCAATATGTGTTCAGCTTCCGGCAGGTTTCCCATAGCCTGCCCCTACAGGCTGGGGAAGGCAAAGAATGCTGCCCCCAGCTTTCACACAGAGAGTACAGAAGGGAAGGGCTTTTCCTATCTTGTTTCTGAAAAATTCCCTTAAACAAAAGAGAAATAAAGGGGGGAGGAAAGTATAATGATGAAAATTTAACAAGTATATACAAGGAGAAGAGGGAGAGGAAGACAGAAACAATCAGGGAGGAAAGGGGAGTTATTTTCCCCAAAGACTGCTTGTTGTTTTCCCCAAAGACTGCTTGTTGTTCTCCTTGGCCTCCCTTTACAAAGAGACATAGATCCAATTTGATGTATGTTATTGCTCATACCTGCTTCCAGTTAAATATGAGCCCTTCTGCCATGTAATCCCGATCTTTATATTCCTTGAAAAATTCACAGCCTGGAAAAGAAGGGCAGAGTTATGACATCTCCCTTCCCAGCCCAAAGTCTTCTGAGACAGCCCTGGCCAGACCCAGGTCCCTGAGTGCTGTGGAGAGGGGGCCGCCAACTCACACTTCTCCAAGCTAGTGGCTTCAGTGAGGCCAAGGCTGACACGGGTGGGCAAAAGCCAGGGGCGAGCCTCTAGAGCCCCTCTGGTTTCCTGGCTGCATGCCTTTTCCACGAGGCACTGCCTGCTCTCAGCCTCTTTGTAACTTTCTCCATCTATGCTCACTGGTCACCAGTCACTTCCCCCACATTGCAAGTCCCTTTGTCCTACAGGTCTCTGTAGTGCCAATCCCAGTAAACAAAGGCATGACTCACAACGTGAGCCACTGCAGCCTAGCTGCAGAGGATCACTCTTCCTCTTCTCTAAAATGGGGGCAAATAATGCTAGCCTTGCAGGCTTTTAGTGAAGACTGAACATCCTAACATACTGGAAAGGCCCACGGACAGTGCCTAAAACCCGGTGCTCAAGAGACACTGCCATGCCCAACAAAGCAAGCAAAGAGGCACTTTTCTATATTCTTTGGTGGAAAAATCATAAGTAACTCCACCAGGACAAGCCCTCAGGAACAGAGAGAAACACTGGAGAGAATAGGGCTTTGGCAACATTCCCAGCTTAAAATCTCAGCTTTTTACTTAACACTGTAACGCTGAACAAGTTGTTTAATGTCTCTAAGCCTTGATTTTGTCATTTGTAAAATGGCTGTTTAAGGATGACATAATACATATAAAACACCTAGCACTGCACTGGTCCAAGTGACACTCAAATGGCAGCACACTATTGTCATCACGCTGCCACTGCAACAAGAGCCCACAGTGCCAGCCCACAGCGTGAAGTCAACTACTTTGCTCTGCGCTTGGAGTTGGCTGCCTTGGTCAGAGAGAATGCGTCTTGCCCCCCGGGCTGTGGCCTGCCCCTGCTGAGTCTGACTATAGCACAGAGAGCATCTGGTCCTCCAAGGAGCTCCTGGTGGCTTCAAGAAATATGGTGGGAGAAGGCACTTGGCTAGCTTGCAGTTATTCTCAGCACCTCAATCAGGGCCTCTACACAAACTTCAGACGGCACATGGCTTTGGCCACACCTCCAAGTCTGGTGAGGTCCCAGAGGCAAGAAAACAATCGTCCAAATTCAGGGGAAGTAGCCACAAAGAAGATTCACATGGAATGTCGCAGCAACTCTTGGGCCAAGTTCCTGTCTGAGGCCACCTCAGGGAAGATAGGAAAGCTTCCCTGGAGACCCAGCCCATGTTTTCCAGAAGTGGCTTTCATTCCATACACACCCTGCACTCTAATCCCCAGGCCTCGAGAAGTCTGGAAACAATCTTCAGCCATAACACTTTAGCCTATTCTTGGGAGCCTCACTGGGAGAAAGAAGAATTATAGATCTCAGACAGAGGCCCTGAGTTATGAGCCCAGGTTTAGAAGAGACAGCAATTATCCCTCAGAGCTCTTGTGAAGTGCTGTTTTCCCAACTCTAGCTGCTCAAATCAACACTGCAGGCCTCAGGCTGAGCTCAGACCCGCCTATGATGCAGAAGCAGTTTTTGTGAGAAACAGAATTAAAATAGACTCTACTCAGGGCAAATGCCTAATGTTCATTACCTGAATAGGCTTCGGAACCACTGTCAGGCAAGAGGAGAGGGACCAAAAGCAGGATGAGAAGTGCCATTCACTCAAGGAGGAAACAAATTAGATTTGTGCTGCAGAATTTGGGACCATCTATTTTGGTGTGCTGAAAGAAACGATCCCAGAATACTTCTCATTTCCAAGGGCCCAAGATAGTGTGACACATCTAGAACTGAGACTACTGAGTACCTGTATGAGCCTCAAAGTCATCACAGGGCTCAACTGAGATTCCTTAAATAGCATCAAAGTGCAGCTCGTGACTTGGTTTGGGTAATAGTAATTTTATTTCTTTTTCTTATTATAAAGTAATAGAAGTTATGTAAAAAAACCCACAAGAACACAAGTCTATCAAATAAAAAGTGATTCTCCTGTCCCCCTTATTTGGGTGTGCAATGGTGTCTCATCCCATCTCCAGCTTTTTTATTTTTATTGATCCTCATTACCCTCCCTAACACACATACACTGTCAGATACAGTACATACAAATTTTGGTCTCTTTTGATGCCTTTTATTTGTTTTTGTTTTTATTTTTGTTTTGAGACGGAGTTTCCCTCTTGTTGCCCAGACTGGAGTGCAATGGCACAATCTTGGCTCACTGCAACCTCCGCCTCCTGGGTTCAAGCGATTCTCCTGCCTCGGCCTCCCGAATAACTGGGATTACAGGCATGCGCCACCGCGCCCGGCTAATTTTGTATTTTTAGTAGAGATAGGGTTTCTCCATGTTGGTCAGGCTGGTCTTGAACTCCCTACCTCAGGTGATCTGCCTGCCTCAGCCTCCCAAAGTGCTGGGATTATATGCGTGAGCCACTGCACTCGGCTTTTGATGCCTTTTATAACAAAAAAAGCTTTGGGGAAAGCATTCAGGCATCTTAACATTTTGGCACACTTCCTTTTAAGCCTTTTTTATAAGCACATTTTCCTTTACTTAGTTGAGAGTATACTATGTGATTCTGTATCCTGCCTATCTTAAGCTCTGTGACGTTTTCCATGTCAAAAAGTGTAAGCATTTTCTATTTTTTATTTTTGGTAGAGACAGAGTGTCGCTGTTTCCCAGGCTGGTCTTGAACTCCTGGGCTCAAGCAATCTTACTGCCTAGGCCTCCCAAAGTGCTGAGATTAAAGGCGTGAGCCACCATGCCCAGCCCATTTTCGATTCTTCTATGACTATACAATATTTCATTCTACTGAGGGATGTGCCATCATTCAATCATTATTCTGATTAGTGAAAACATTTCTTGTTTTGCTATTACAAATAGACATCATGATGAACGTCCTCAACACCAAGTGGCTGAATTACAGCCTAATGACCAATTATTAGAAAAATACCTGGGTCAAAGGGTGATAACATTTTGGGAGTCCTGTAACAAGTTGCCAAACTACAGCAGAAAGGACACTGTGCTACTATTTTGGAGCAATGTTATTTATACTTCTAGCAAAACTATTTTTTCCAAACCAAGTCCTACTTGGAACCTAAATTTAAACGAAGTGATGCCTGGTTCCTCAGGCAGTGCAAACCTGCAGAGTTCAGTCTGTGGAACCCCCGAAGCATCTCCTGGGAGCTGGAAACTATGTCTGAAAACCAGCTATGGAGTTACCCAGTGGTTCCAGTGTGGACCCCCTTAGGTAGGATACACCCATCAGTGTGGGTCTGATACTGCCAAGCTCACTCCAGCATCATTATCATCATCATCATCATCACCATCATCAACATCATCACCACCATCATCATCATCTGCATCAGCGCAAACTTGCTTTTAGGGAAAAGGAGGTTCCCTGAAGCTTTCCCAACTACTCATCATTAGGCCTGTTATTTACAGGACACCTGTTATGGAGGGGTCTGGCACTTCACTCTTAAATAAGCACCATTATCTTCATTTTATTAAGGAGGGAACTGATGCTCAGAAGGGTTATAGGACTTGTTCAAGGAGACACAGTGCTAGGGCTGGGATTCCTGCCCCCAGCTTGCACATGATGAGGACACCCCTCCCACAAGGCACTAGATGAACCTGCCTGCCCTTGCTCATGGCTATGTGGCCCCAATATTGAGGAGATAAGGTCCAACACAACACTGAAGGCAGATGCTGGTGCTGAGAAATAGGAGAGAGGTTTTAAGGAGAAAGAGTATTTACTCCCTGTTGTCTGCTGACAACATCTTGCACTGATGTTAGAGGTCCTTGGCCTCCCTTACTAAACAGGCAGGTATTGCCAGAAAACTTGAATGCTACACACTAGACCAACAGCTTTAATATCCAGTGCAGAGAATACAGCCCTGGCCACAGGTTGCACACACTTTTATGTGCCAGGAACAAATGCAGCTTTGTGGATACCAATGTGCTTTGCAACATGGTGTGGCCACTGTCCAGTTACTGGGAACATAGCAATTATGTGTTCTTCTACCACCAGAATAGCCTTGCCTGGGGCAATTTCCATAAATAACTCAATCACTTCAAGACATGCACCCAAAGGGTGACATCCACTCAGGCTACAGCAGCAAGTGTAGTTGCTCACACAGAGTACTAATAATGTCATTTTACACTTAAACAGTATTTTCATGCACAGACCACTTTCATATAAATCAAAACTGAGCTAAATCGTTCCAAGCTCCTGAGAAAACTTGAGGCTTGGAGGGGTGAAGTACTTCACTCAAGGCTGTGGCTAGGACCAGTGACAGTACAAAATCCCTAAACCCCTTGAGTGGAAAGCCCCTTCCCCAGGACACTATCCTATGCTTAGTGTGGCCTGTGACTGGGAACCAAAATGTCCTACACTGCCTGACACAAACCCTCCAGGAAAGCTCCCAGGGCGCCAGTGTAACTAAGTAGAGAGGGCTTGCTCATGGCCCCCAAGGTCCCCAGTCCTAGGATGCCTGCCACTAGAAGAGAGCCCCCTACCTGGATACGGGATGGAGAGGAGAGTGAAGTCGGCATAGCGCTGGGCTTTGTCCACCTTCTCAGAGGAGGTTACACTACAAGACAAGGATACAATGTGTTACAGTGTCGCAACACACACACAAACACACACCATTCCCCAAATAAGGGTTATAATCACAAATGAAGCTTCTGCTAAAAAAAACTATTCTTCATTGTTAATAATTCCCTTCAGCAGTGCCTACTTTGTACAATTAAGAACTATAACTTCAGCTGGGTGCATCGGCTGGAGGTCATGTTCCCAACATGGAGAAACCCCGTCAAGACCAGCCTGGACAACATGGTGAAACATTGTCTCTATCAAAAATATAAAAAACTAGTGGGGTGTGGCAGCGCGCTCCTGTAATCCCAGCTACTCAGGAGGCTGAAGCAGGAGAATTGCTTGAACCCAGGAGGCAGATGGTTGCAGTGAGCCAAGATTGTGCCACTGCACTCCAGCCAGGGTGACAGGGTGAGGCTCCATGTCAAAAAAAGAACTCTACCTTCTCTGCCCCTATTCCAACATATCAACCAAGGGAAGTTACTCCCCCTCTAATACTACAGCAAGCCTCAATCAGAGCCTAAAGGTGGAAAACAACCTTCCACCTGACCCCAAAATGCACACAGTGTAGCCACTCTGACCCAGGAATGAGATGAGAGCCAAATAATATGATCCTATGGGAACCCTTTTTTTCTGCTCTCCTGTCTTCTCTAATAGTCACTGAGCCCACTTCTGAACAGGGTGAACAAACAGCATCTGAAAATAAACACTGGGGACTCTGACAGATAAAGGATGGGAGGAATAAGGCAATATTCAGATCTGAAGATAGGTGAGCTCTAACGTTAGCCTCAGTATGCCTTATTTTCTAAGACCACCTTTTAGGATCATTTAAAAACATTTAAAAATCATTTAAAAAACAAAATTTTGGAAAAAGTTCCTGAAGTCTCATCACTAACCCAGGCTCTATTTTTTAGTTTTGACTTCTTATATTTGAATTTGGTCCATATGTGTTATTTTTATATGACAGCAGTCACTGAAGTAAAATTTGAATATATGCTGATTTTTTTGTTCAATTTTAAAAGAAATTCTAGGACCAGGCACAGTGGGCTCATTCTTGTAATCCCAGCACTTTGGGAAGCTGAGGCAGGAGGACTGCTTAGGGCCACATGTTTGAGACCACTTTAGGCAACAAAGACTCTGTCACTATGAAAAATAAATTAAAAAAATTAAGAGATTCTAATCTGCCACACATGGCATAGAACATGGAGCTGGAAAAAAAAAATACAGAGATATGTAAGAGAAGGTGGCAGCAGAGCACTGGGTAGAGACTGATGGCTGCCTCAGTCACTAACATACAACCTGAGCAAGCTACTTCATCTCTCTGTGCTTCAGTGTCTGTAAGAGGGGGACACTGGTACCTATTTTGCAGGGCTGTCTGAAGATACAGTGAGATAATGTACAGAAAGCCCTTTGTAAGAAGGCCAGCACGCAGTGACAGCTACATACTAACGCCAGCCCTGCAAATCTGTACACACTGCCTCTGCTCATTTTGTAGTGGGCGCCTGTACTTACTTCATGCCAAACTTCACCTTCTTGTTCTCCACCATCAGGTCACAGATGTATTTGACTGACAGGTATCGAAGCAGCTTGATGTCATAGCCTCTGACCTTATCAAAAAGATGCGTGTCACCACTTCTGAAATAAAGAGCCAGAGGGAGAAGTTACATGGCATGTTCACTCACAGGAGCTTGGGGGTGGGCACTCATTCAGGGAAGTATGGATGTCACTCTTCTCCAGAAGCTGGGGCGTGTGCTAGGTGGACGCATGGGTGCCAAACAGGACAACTGATTTCAGCGAGGTTGCAGGGAAGGTGACTTTCTAAGAGACTACCCCAATCTCTGGGATGTATTTCAAAGAAGAGAAATTTGCAGGTGGAAATGGAAAAGGACTTTCTGGCATTGCTTGACATTAAGCCAGAAGACTCAAAATAATCTCAGCGTTCTAAAATGCAGCAGGCTGGTGGCTGATAGAATCTTTCCGTTTCCATTAGAATTGATCCCCTTCCACCCCCTCCTTTTCCCCCATTTATGATCATTTTTAGCCACATGACTTGCTCATAATGTAGCAGTCTGAAATACTTGTACAGATAAAGTTTTTAGAGCTATTTTATCAACTGATTATGAAATACTAGCAAGTAAATTCCCTCTACCTAGCAGGCCGATGAAGCAAAGAGAAAGATAAAATTTTTCTATCTCACTGCTGCCTTTTGATCAGCCCTGCAGATACAGGCAGAAGTAGAAAGCATAAACAGTCGCCATTACTTTTTTATTTTTTAATCCACACTGCTTTGTTGTCCCCAGCAGTTTCCTTGCTAAGAACAGTGTATGCTGAAGATGGTGACCTGGCTGGGCAGAGGTCACCTGATCTAGGGAGAAGAGCCAAACATTCTTGAGCACAAGCCAGAGCCGCTGCTTTCAGAGCTAACAGGCAGAACCTGGGCATAGCAAGATGCCCTTTCATGAACTGAACTATGATTTGGGAAGCTGATCTTAACTAGGGTGCTTGTGTGCATTCCAGAGATGCTTGACACCAGTTAAAGACTTTCCATGTGGTACAGACCATGCAAAGGAGCTTTTCTAAAATATCCTGTAGTATTGTTTTCTAAAAACATTTGGAAAGCGGATAGCAAGAGTGTGAACCAGCCCATTTCCTCCTTTTATAGGGACTCAAACTCCTGTTCTGTACCAAGCTCTTCTTATGTGTAGTACCAATCATGCAGCTGTGACACATCTGGTCTCCAAATGTGCCTTCCAGGCTAGACCTCATGTCTCCTATGTATGGACTGTAGCCCTTGCCCTGTGCCTCAGTACCAGCTGTACTGGGTGAGATCTGGCAGGTTGGTAATCAGCATCATAGCTGCAAACTGGCAACTCTGTGGGGCTTTAAAACAAATATAGATGTCTGGGCCCTATCTCGGGCCTGCAGTACCAGGAACCCCAAGAGTGGGATGTTCTCTGTGAATCCAGGTGTGCAGTCAAGATGGGGACAGACTGCTCAGGTATTTGGCTGCTACCCAGTGGACTTCAACAGCCATATTTCAGGGGCACAGACTTGGCAGACAGAAGAGGAAGAAGCCAATCCACTCACCTGAACCAGTGACAAATACCCACGGACAATATGAACATGGCCATCTCTGGCCAGACACCCCATCCCCAACACAAGCCCCTGACCACAGCAACCCAGCACTGACCGAAGAGCACAGTCCTCCTCCGTGACGTCCTCCACATCTGCCCAGGCATCATCTGCACCCCCTGCCAGAGAAACCTATCTGTCAGTACTGAGGCTGGTGACCCAGGGCTCCACACAGGGGCCTCCTCACCAGCCTCCTTCCCCATAGTGCCAAGGGTGGGCTGGGACTACATGGCTCTACTCCTAAGGACACAGTATGCCCCCATATGCCTGGTAGTCTTCACCTCTAAGGTGAACTCCTGTTTGTCTCCTGGTCCCTGATCAAAGGAAGGCCCCTGATCTCCACCCAGCTCACTCAGACCCCCTACCTATACTATTGTGGTCATGGGTGGCTATTCTTTTTTTTTTTTTTTTGAGACGGAGTCTCACTCTGTTGCCCAGGCTGGAGTGCAGTGGCGTGATCTCGGCTCACTGCAACCTCCATCTCCCGGGTTCAAGCGATTCTCCTGCCTCAGCCTCCTGAGTAGCTGGGACTACAGGTGTGCATCACCACACCCGGCAAATTTTTGGTATTTTTTAGTAGAGATGGGGTTTCACCGTGTTAGCCAGGATGGTCTCGAACTCCTGACCTCGGGATCCGCTCGCCTTGGCCTCCCAAAGTGTTGAGATTACAGGCGTGAGGCATGGCGCCCGGCCCGGGTAGCTATTCTCTATGACTGGGTTCTCATTCTACATCAGAGGATGCTGTTCAACATTCACCTGAGAAAAAATAGTTGTAGCCTGAGCGTCCATACAGCTCTCCCCATCCAGCCAGTGTGGCCGACCTGCAAATGTGCTGGGAGAGAAACATCATTTTCACGGTCAGATGGTTTTCTGAAGCATGCACAGTTGAAGGAACATGTGGGACTCCTCTGACTCTTCCAGGCCAGCATAACGGGCCCAGGAGCACTCCCCAAAGTTTTATCAGCATCAAGGCTGCCACAATCAGTCAGAAGATCCCTAGTACTTAATCCACAACCTCTACTGAGGGAGTCTCACTCCCAAACAAGAGGCGCCAGTGTTACCAACAGGATCGGATCAGATTGGGTGGTTGTTGCATGTGTACCACGTGCTGGACATGGTACTGAAAAACCCATCATCTTCTCACTGAATTTTACAACAAGCCCATGAGGGATATGTGGCAGGTGGCATGCATTGTTGCTGTTACACAGATGAAGAAAAGAAAAACAGGCTAAGGGAGGTTAAGTGATGTGTAAGGTCATATAATGAGGGGTGAGCTGGGATTTGATCCAAACCCACTGACCTCTATGTGCTTACTGTGATTTGGAACTGTTCAGTGTAGACAGGAACAACCTTTCTAGCGGGGGCAAGGGGTGAGTGAGAAATGTTTTAGAGGCTTCTTTTCCTCATCACTGAAGGGATCACTGTTAAGAGAATTCTAGAAACGGGCAACTGGCACAAACCTCAATATCTAATTGTAAGGTTACTTGTTTAAAATAAATAGTGTTTGCTGAAATCTAGTTGGGTGGGGGGAATGGGAGGAGATACCTGGTGATGGGAAGGCAAACCAGCCCAGAATTTAGCTAAAGGCTAGGAGAACATGACCCTGTTACACTACAATGGGAAATGGCGAAGTTGTGAGGTGACAGACAGGGAGTGAAGCTCACTGCTGAATGGGTAACACAATGTGCAAATGGAAAGTGGATCCCTGGAAGATTGCCAAGTACCATCTGAAGGCTTCTCCATCTCTACCTGTAAGATAATGGGAAGGAAAGTTTTGCTGCTACAGCAAAGAGTTGTGCGTGGGAACGACTAGGTCACTTTCTGGCTCTATCTGAGGTAGCAGCAGACAAGGGGTGGGGACGTGGGGACAGCAATAGAAAAGCTACCTGGATATAACCTGGGACAGAATGAGGGGCATTATTGGTGCTGGGGCAAGAGCTGGTTTGTGGAGAGGCTGTCCTGGAAGCCTACTGAGGAAGCCTACCAAGGGCTGGCATTCCTGCTGGCTTAAGTAGGATGTACTCCAGTGGGGGCCACTTAACTTTCTGTGGGTCTAAAAGCAATTTGAAAATCTGATAAAAAAGTATGAACTATCTCCTGAAAAAAAAAATATGTACACATCATAATCTACTTACATTTCCAGGGATTTCTGGACTCTCTCAAGTCCACTGATGAACCCATTCCCAGACCCCGTTAAAAGCCCTTGCTTTAAGAAGTCAGTCAAGCAGTGAGGAGTAAAGTGGATGCTTCCACAGGAAAGGGCTGAGGACCTCTAAGACTCCAAGACGTTGGCAGGGTGTGTGGCTGCCTGTTCCACTGGCATTTGTATCATATCCACTCTCCCCGCTTCATCTAAGCTGCTGGCAGCTGACCTCACTCTCCTTTGCATTATTTCTGTTAAATCTTTCAGAGCAGATAGCTGCCTTCTTTTTGGCTGTTGAGTTCTGAGACCCTTTTTCTGTTCCCAATTATTCTTCCACATCCCTTCTATTGACCTTGTCTTTTTAGTAATTGAGGCAGCCAGACCTAGGCCAGCAAAACCCGAGTCAGATGGAGAAAAACAAGTTGGCCAAGTCCCCAAGTGGGGAACCAGCCTCTTCAGGAAGGCCCCTGTGGGAGGGCTGACCCCTCTTGATAGACACCTGTTCCTTTGCCTCATGGTTCTGACTCATAACCCATCATCTCTGCCCTTTAAGCTGGCTCCTGACTGAAAACGCAAGATCTACCCTGAATGCTCTCCATTTACCTAGTTAGGAATGGCCTCTAATACGGTCCGTGGAAAAGCACTCTGTATAATTTTCTAATTTAGTAACCTCTGACCTCTGCTCCCCACCTCTTAAACAAAAAGAAAGATGAATTGTTCCAGTTTCAATGGTCTAAAAGCCAGACTCAAGTGTTTGGGGAGAAAATGGTATGAGAACTTACTGTTCAATGCTTGAACTGAGTTTTGAAAAATTATTTAATATACTTTACTTAACCCATCATATCCAAGACATTATGTCAACATGTAATCACTTTTAAAATGAATATTTTACATTTTTTCTATTAAATCTTCAAAATTTGATGTGTATTTTACACTTAAAGCATATCTTAAGTAGGATGTGAAACTTTGGGCATTGGCCAGGTGTGGTGGCTCACGCCTGTAATCCCAGCACTTTGGGAGGCCAGAGTGGGCAGATCACTTGAAGCCAGGAGTCTGACACCAGCTTGGCCAAAATGGTGAAACTCAGTCTCTACTAAAAAGACAAAATTAGCCAGGTGTGGAGGCACGTGCCTATAATCCCAGCTAGTTGGGAGGCTGAGGCACAAGAATCGCTAGAGCCTGGGAGGCAGAGGTTACAGTGAGCCAAGATGGCACCACTGCACTCCAGCTTGGGCAACGGAGAGAGACTGTCTCAAAAAAAAAAAAAAAAAAAACCAACAAACTTTGGGCATTTTAAGGGAAACGTGGACTCATTTCAAAGTTGTTTTTAACAACAACAAACTTTTACATTGCTTCAAGCCTTAAAAATTAAGTTGAAATGGGCCGGGCACGGTGGGTCACGCCTGTAATACCAGCACTTTGGGAGGCCGAGACGGGCGGATCACGAGGTCAGGAGATCGAGACCATCCTGGCTAACACCGTGAAATCCTGTCTACTAAAAAATACAAACAATTAGCCGGGCATGGTGGCAGGCACCTGTAGTCCCAGCTACTCGGGAGGCTGACGCAGGAGAATGGCATGAACCCGGGAGGCGGAGCTTGCAGTGAGCTGAGATCGCGCCACTGCACTCCAACCTGGGCGACAGCGAGACTCTGTCTCAAAAAAAAAAAAAAAAAATTAAAATGAAATGAAGTAAAATATAACCTTAGTTCCTCAGTTGCACCAACCATGCTGAACTGAGTTTTGAAGGAAGCAGAACGCAAGCATTTCTTTTTTCTTAAACATTAGATTCAGGGGTACCTGTGCAAGTTTGTTACATGGATATATTGTGTAAGCGGGGTTTAGACTTCTATTTAACTCATCACCCAAATGGTGAACATAGGACCCAACAGGTATTCTTCAACCCTTGCCTCCTCCTCCTCTTCCTCTCTCCCCTTTTTGAAGTCCCTGACGTCTATTGTTTCCACCTTTATGACCATGCGTACCCGCTATTTAGCTCCCACTTATGAATGAGAACATGCGGTATTTGATTTTCTGTTTCCGCTGGAAGAATTTAAGTTTTAAAAACTTTTGTGGGTACATGTATTTACTTATGGGGTACGTGAGACTTTTTTTTTTTTTTTTTTTTGAGACAGTCTCACACTGTCGCCCAGGCTGGAGTGCAATGGCACGATCTCGGCTCACTGCAACTTCTGCCTCCTGGGTTCAAGCAATTCTCCTGCCTCAGCCTCCGGAGTAGCTGGGATTATAGGCGCCTGCCACCTTGCCTGGCTAATTTTTGTATTTTTATTAGAGACGGGGTTTCACTATGTTGGCTAGGCTGGTCTCGAACTCCTGACCTCACGATCTGCCTGCCTTGGCCTCCCAAAGTGCTGGGATTACAGGCATGAGCCATCGTGCCCGGCCGATATTTTGATACAGGCATACCACGCATAACAATCACATCAGGGTAAATGCGGTATCCATCACCTCAAGCATTTATCCTCTATGTTACAAACAATCCAATTATACACTTATTTTTAAATGTACAATAAATTATTGTTGACTGCAGTCACCCTGTTGTACTATCAAATACTAGATCTTACTCATTCTAACTATATTTTTGCACCCATTAACCATCCCCACTCCTCCCCCTTGTTCCTGTCAGAACCCTTTCCTAGTCTCTGGTAACCATAACTCTACTCTCTATCTTCATGAGTTCAATTGTTTTAATTTTTTTAGCTTTCAAATAAGTGAGAACATGTGAAGTTTGTCTTTTTGTGCCTGGCTTATTTCACTTAACATAATGACCTCCAGTTCTATCCATGCTGATACAAATGACAGGATCTCATTATTTTTCATGGCTGAATGGTACTCCATTGCATACATGTACCATATTTTCTTTATCCATTCATCTGTTGATGGACATTTAGGTTGTGGAAGCAAGCATTTCTTAACACAGTGGAAGCAAGCATTTCTTAACACAACTCTCTCTCTTCCTCAACCTGGTAGAGGTTGGTGTCCCTAAAGTATTGTTGGTAATAATGCTGCCACCATCATACTAGTTCCTCAGTGCCTACCGTGAGCCACATGTCTGACCTAACACAGGCCTCTCTGCTACAGGACTTCTCAGAGCCTTAACTATATGAACATACATTTATCAATCTATTTGAAGAATCTAGTATGCAGTATTTCGAATTCTTATTTGACAGATAATGCTTTTCGCAAGCATGTCCTTAAACTGCTATTCTATGGAAACACTGGTTGGAGTATCTCCCGTGCAACCTCTAATGACAAGCGCTGTGCTGCACAGGGTGGTACTCTTTCAAATGAAGTTGCAGGCCAGGCGTGGTGGCTCACGCCTGTAGTCCCAGCACTTTGGGAGGCTGAGGCGGGCGGATTACCTGAGGTCAGCAGTTTGAGAGCAGCCTGGCCACCATGGCGAAACCCCGTCTCTACTAAAAATACAAAAATTAGCTGGGTGTGGTGACATGCTCCTGTAATCCCAGCTACTCGGGAGGCTGAGGCAGGAGAATTGCTTGAACCCGGGAGGTGGAGGTTGCAGTGAGCCAAGCTTGGGCCACTGCACTCCAGCCTGGCAACAGAAGAGACTCCAGGCCGTGCGCGGTGGCTCACGCCTGTAATCCCAACACTTTGG
Organism: Homo sapiens; assembly: GCF_000001405.40. Taxonomy (NCBI): domain Eukaryota; kingdom Metazoa; phylum Chordata; class Mammalia; order Primates; family Hominidae; genus Homo; species Homo sapiens. Next base: position 9,663,770 of record NC_000003.12, on the reverse strand, counting down.
GAGGCCGAGGCAGGAGGATCACAAGGTCAGGAGATCGAGACAATCCTGGCTAACACGGTGAAGCCCCGTCTCTACTGAAAATGCAAAAAATTAGCCGGGCGTGGTGGCGGGTGCCTGTAGTCCCAGCTACTCGGGAGGCTAAGGCAGGAGAATGGCGTGAACCCGGGAGGCGGAGCTTGCAGTGAGCTGAGATCGCACCACTGCACTCCAGCCTGGGCAGCAGAGCAAGATGTCTGCTGCCTCAAAAAAAAAAAAAAAAAAAAAAAAAAGAGAGAGACTCCATCTCAAAAAAAAAAAAGTTGCAATAACTTTCGGGAACATGAAAACTTTCCAAAGTGGCAACAGCTTTAAGAAGATCAATTTCTAGGACCTAACTTCCATACATACTTTTCCCTAAAACTGATCTGAAGAAGAAAGCTTTTGGCAGAGTCTCCCTTCCTTCCTCCTCTTTCCCAATTTACAAAAAAGGCACACCAGGGACTGAGACAACAGTCAGACTCTCCCCATTGCCCTGCCCTTGACCACTGAGACACTCAGATACCAGCTAAAGGAATGAATAGACTGAATTCCGCTCCCTTCCCCTCTGAGGCTCTCTGTATGTCAGTCCACTCTTCTTGGACCAATTTTCGCACCGTTGCTACTTGCATTCGGAATTTCCCCGCTCAAACGTCACAATGGCTCTCCTAGCAAACACAGAGCCACCTCCCTGCTCAGCGTTCAGCCGTCTTCATTCAATCCCCTCCATCCTCTGCCCTGATGTGTACCCTCTACTTAGGGAAGTTACTTAGTCACTCTCAGCCTCTGTTTCATCTGCAATGAAATGGGCACATCCCGTACACCAAAAGATAGATAAAAATGAAACCAAACTGGGGAGCCAAATTAAATTAACAAAAGTCCTTAGAATATAAGCTCCATGACAATAAAGATTTTTGTCTGCTTTACATGGTGATGTATTTTAAGGCCTGAAGCAGTGTCTGGCACATAATATACAATAAATACTTGGTGAATTATATAATTGAAAGAATGGAAAAACAATATAGGAACTCATTTGATTTAATCTAATCCACAAACCTTTGAAATAGGTGATTATTATTCTTAATTTATAGGAGAGGAAAAGGAGGCTCTGCATAGGCAGGAAATAAGAGTCAGGATCTGAACCTAGGCAGTCTGGCTCTGGAACACGGGGTGGGGTATGCTGGTGTGACCATCCCTTCTCTACCTAGAACCATCCTTCAGTCAGAATTGGTCTGTTTCTCTGGACTGCTTCCCACAACACCCAGTAACCACCCAATGCTTGGCTACTAATGTTGAGGGAAAAAAAGACCCTATACTTTGCAGTAAGTCAGCTACCCCAGAAGAGAGTCGTGGAGCATGAAGCTATGGTATGGGCCTTACCTTGCCCTTGAACAGGATTACTGGGCAGACAAACCGTCCTCTGCACCGGGCCATCTTGCTGCGGTGGATGAGGTCTTGCAACTTGCTCACCTGTACGGTACTCTCAAACCTAACACACAGGCAAGAGAAGCAGGTCAAGCTGACTTTGAAGTGGGCACTTTGTGTATATGTGTTTATTCACACAGACCCCCATACTAGATCTGTGTACATAATGCTTGCTTGAAATTAAATGTCATTCCTAAATTTTATATCATCTATCATCTGTCTGTCTATCTATCTATTTTTTTGAGACGGAGTTTCACTGTTGTTGCCCAGGCTAGAGTGCAGTGGCGCAATCTTGGCTCACCACAGCCTCTGCCTCCCGGGTTCAAGCAATTCTCCTGTCTCAGCCTCCCGAGTATGCTGTGACTACAGGTGTGAGCCACCACACCTGGGTAATTTTTTTATTTTTGGTAGAGACGGGGTTTCACCACGTTGGCCAGGCTGGCCTCAAACTCCTGACCTCAGGCGATCCGCCCACCTCGGCCTCCCAAAGTGCCGGGATCACAGGCATGAGATATATTAAGTTTTTCAGGAAAAAAAAAAAGTGCTAATTATAGGTATTAAAACTTAAATCACTCTGATTTCTGAACCTTTAAGATAAAAAAAAAGTGAGCTAAACTGAAGACATATACAAAATTCAGAAATATACACAGAAAACTGGATATTATGTCTAGGGTGTCCAATTTTTAACTCCCAGGATAAGACCTGGTGCCCTAGGGACCCTCTCTGGAAATCACAGGACCATTTTTGTGACTATCTATTTTTTGCATAACTCTGAATATGTATTTTTGTGATCTTTTAGAGCAAGCAGTCCCCAGGCCCTGAGCCCCAGATCAGTACGAGTCCATGCCCCATTAGGAACCAGGAGGTGAGCAGCAGGCAAGTGAGCATTACCGTCTGACTTCCACCTCCTGTCAGATCATCAGTGGCGGCATTATATTCTCATAGGAGCTCGAACCCTATTGTGAACTCCGCATGTGAGGGACTGGGGTTGCAGAGAATCTAATGCCTCATGATCTGAGGTGGAACAGTTTCATCTGAAACCATTTTCTCCACCCTGCCGTGGAAAAATTGTTTTCCATGAAACCAGTCCCTGGTGCCAAAAAGGTTGGGGAGTGCTGTTTTAGAGGGCAGAATGAGATGACGTTTCTTGGTCCACATGGCTCTAGGCCTCTGCTTTCACAGTCCATATGGCCAACAGCGCACAGAGCAAAGGAGGCATAAGAGAAGCCATGTGTGACACAGGGACGTGTAGTAGTTAATGCACTGGGCTTGGTAAGTGAGCTTCTAGAACTTGAGAGTGAGGTTTAGAAGTTAGCTCCAGCAAGTCATACCCATATCAAATCACGCTTCCCTAAAATAAGGGTCCGCTCTCATAAACTCACCTACCAACCTTTAGCAAAGCTCACCCCAGCCAGTCAGAGCTTCTGGTAGCAACAGAAACAGGAGGCAGGAAAGTTAGAGCAGGAAGCTTTCCCAGCTACACAGAGTAACCAAGTAGAAGGAAGGAAAAATACTCATGTTCCTTCCTTAAAAGTGTTGAGCTTTCAGACCAACTCCTAGAGGGAATTTAATTGCTTCCACATCCTAATCCTTCTAGGAATCTGCGTACAGCTCCTCTTGTACACATGCACCCAAATATTATCCCAGAAGGAAGAAATCAGTGACTCCCACATACTTGTGGTACCTCTTTAAATGTATCTGGATGCTGTTAGGGTTAATAAAAACACAGTCTTTAAAATACTGCGAATTCTTAGTTAAAATATATCTAGGGGCCAGGCGTGGTGGCTCACACCTGTAATCCTAGCACTTTGGGAGGCCAAGGTGGGCAGATCACTTGAGGTTGGGAGTTCAAAACCAGCCTGGCCAACATGGTGAAACCCCATCTCTACTAAAAATACAAAAAAATTAGCCTGGCGTGGTGGCGCGTGCCTGTAATCCCAGCTACTCAGGAGGCTGAGGCAGGAGAACTGCTTGAACCCGGGAGGCAGAGTTTGCAGTGAGCCAACATCACGCCATTGCACTCCAGCCTGGGCGAAGGGCGAGACTCCGTCTGGGGGAAAAAAAAAAAAGCAAAGTGCCCGTAGGGTGGCAGCAACCCACCAGGCAGCCCTAGGCACACAAGCTCACAGAGAACCAGAGTGTGCTGCCTTCCCCTCACCCAGTTTCTCTATGAAATCAAAAGGCACCTTGGTACCAATTAATTGCCTAACTAGACTCCACAAGAATATAAAACCGAGCACCTTTAGTACTGCCACAGTGGCCTTCCTCCCACTTACTTGGCCCGTGGCCGATGTCACATATCTGGTCAGCACCATCTGCTGCAACCGACTCTCACTTAGCTCATACCAGCCCTCTGAACCCTAAATGCCTACATCTGATTTTCCCAGGTTGAGTTGTAGCCTCAAAACCAAGGTGGATTTCTCAGGCTAAACTTCTGTTAAAAACAAACAAACAAAACACCCCTGGTGGAGGACACATCAGCATTTTCCTCTAGGGAGGATCTTTTAATGTAATGACCCACCTTTTCTTGTTAGGTCGGCCAGTGGTTCCTTTACCGGTTCCCCTACATCAAGCTCCAATTCAGTTTCTGGCCAGGCACAGTGGCTCATGCCTGTAATCCCACACTTGGGGAGGCTCAGGCGGCAGATCACCTGAGGTCAGGAGGTAAAGACCAGCCTGGCCAACATGGTGAAACCCCGTCTATACTAAAACTACAAAAATTAGACAGGCGTGGCAGCACGCGCCTCTAATCCCAGCTACTCGGGAGGCTGAGGCAGGAGAATTGCTTGAACCCAGGAGGCGGAGGTTGCGGTGAGCAGAGATCACGCCACTGCACTCCAGCCTGGGCAACAGAATGAGACTCCGTCTTAAAAAAAAAAAAAAAAAGAACCAATTCAGTTTCTGTTCTCTCACTTTTTCCTGTTTTTATTATCTCTTGTCCTTAGGATTCTTTTATTGCAGTGCTAAGCACTGAGCTGTGTCTGGCACATAATACTCACATTCGAAGGGATGAATGTAGGCTTCTGTATTTACATTTGTAATGTATGCACTGAAATTTCTGGCAAGATGTTACCAGGTAGTGAGATTTTGTTGTTTTTTTCCCAACAAGGTCTTCCTCTGTTGCCCAGGCTGCAGTGCAGTGGCGCCATGGTTCACTGCAGCTGACCTCCTGGGCTCAGGTGATCCTCCCACCTCAGACTCCCAGGTAGCTGGGACTACAGGCACATGCCACGATGCTTGGCTAATGCTTTGTATTTTTTGTAGTGACAAGGTGTCACCATGTTGCCCAGACTGTTTAATTCAGTCTGTTTTTTATTCAGTCTATTCAGTTTAATTCAGTCTCAAACTCCTGGGTTCAAGCGAAACGCCCATCTCGGCCTCCCAAGTAACTAGGATTATAGGCGTGAGCCACCATGCCCAGCCAAACTATTTTCAAATACAGAAGAAAATGCTGTTATCACATATTTCCAATAGGAAGCTTTCCCAGACAGGCACCACACTTACCAAACTGGGTGGCTTGTTCCTATAATGTACCCCACAACTTCCTGAGATAAATGTTACTGCTGCTACTATTTAATAGATAAGAGGCACAAAGTAGAGCTTACACCCACATTATCTCACTCAGTCCTCACTTACCCAATTTTACAGATGAGGTAGTTTAATGAGATGAAATCTCTAGCCCAAAGTCACAGAACAGGTAAACAGGGTAGCTGAGATTCTAAACCCTGTGGGTAGCCACTGGGCCCATGGTTTTAACCACTATCCGGCAGGGCCTCACCTGTACTTCCCCTAATTCCAGCTTTTATTAACAATTATTGCTTCTTTATTGGACTCTGTTTCCCACTAGACCTACTGGTAAGGACTTCATCTATCTGGCTTCCAACTTGATCCCTGAGGTCTACTACACAGCAGCAGCTGAACGAACACTGTTGACAAACATGTCTTAGCTATTCAGAGATCCCTGTCCAGGCTTCTATTCCCAGATGATGAACCAAATTGGAGAGGTTCCTTAACAGGACCAAAACATTGCTTAAATCCAATTCTACCCTGTTTAATTCAGTCTATTTTTTATTCAGTCTATTCAGTTTAATTCAGCATCATAGTAACAGCCAAGCCAGACAGTAAAAAAGCAAAAAATGCTATTTCTTCCCACCCAAACATACCCGAAGTCCCCCCTTTCAACAAGCAGGCATCACCCACTCAACATCACTTCAGTAACACTTTAAGGCCTTGCAAGGAGTGAAAAGTAAAAACAAACTCCAACAAGCTCCTCTAAGGTTAATCATGTTCCACAGTGGCCTTGGCCTAACTGTGAGGTTCTGCTAGACAAGGTGGGAGAGCCGTGGTGGTGAAAGATAAGGCAGACAGGTACAGAGTCAGGAAATACAGCTTTTAACCCCACTCTGCTTACTACCTCTGTGATCTTCGGCAAAGGCAAATTACTTCTCTGGGCTTCAACTTCATCTATAAAAGAGTGGTGAGGGCCAGGCGCGGTGGCTCATACCTGTAATCCCAGCACTTTGGGAGGCCGAGACCAGTGGATCACGAGGTCAGGAGTTCAAGACCAGCCTGGCCAAGATGTTGAAACCCCGTCTTTACTAAAAATACAAAAATTGGCCGGGCATGGTGGCACGCGCCTGTAATCCCAGCTACTAGGGAGGCTGAGGCAGGAGAATCACTTGAACCTGAGCGGCAGAGGTTGCAGTGAGCCAAGATCACTTGCGCCACTGCACTCCAGCCTCAGCGACACAGCAAGACTCCATATCAAATTGAAAAAAAAAAAGAGTGGTGATACTGTCTTCTTCACTGAATAGTTGTAGGGCTTAAGCTAGCAAGTAAAACCTCAACACCTGCCAAACAGAGGTACTCAACAAATACTAGTTTCAGTCTCTTTAAGGGATCAACACTAAACTTGTTTCCTTCCAGGAAAAGCTTTTACAAGGCAACCACCACTACGTTTCTCAATGTACTATTATGTTACTGAAGGGTAACATTTGGTATTACCTGAGAGCTTGTTAGAATATGCCAAATCGCAGGCCCACCTCAGGTCTTCTGAATCTCTGCATTGTAGAAAGATCCCCAGTTGATTCACTCATAAAATCAACATAGAAAAGAACCACTCTGTTGGGTGCGGTGGCTCTCACCTCTAATCCCAACACTTTGAAAGGCCGAGGTGAGGAAATCTGTTGAGCTCAGGAGACCCACCTGGGCAATGCAGCGAGACCTGGTCTCTACTAAAAATTAAAAAAAATCAGCTGGGAGTGGTGGTATGTGCCCATATTCCCAGCTACTTGGGAGGCTGAGGTGGGAGAATCACTTGAGCCCAGGGGATCAAGGCCGCAGCAAGCCATGATTGTGCCACTGCATTCCAGACCCCGTCTTAATTAAAAACAAAAACAAAAACAAAAAAACCCACCTTGATTACAGCTGAGCTTAATATCAGAATGTCATCATCAGGGCACAGAGGTAAAACCACCAGCCAGCCAGCACCAAAGAGGGTAGGAAGAAGGGGAACGAAGAGAATGGCAAGGCAAAAACAAAGAAAACAAAACAAAACAAAACCCTCTTGTTCAGAAACTTTAGCTTAAAGATTTACGGAAACTAAGTTTACCCAGCTGGGCGCGGTGGCTCACACCTGTAATCCAGCACTTTGGGAGGCCATGGCAGGCGGATTGTTTGAGCCCAGGAGTTGAGACTAGCCTGGCCATCATGGCAAAACCCATCTCTACTAAAATTCAAGAACTAGCCAGGTGTGGTGCCACACACCTGTAATTCCAGCTACTTGGGAGGCTGATGCACAAGGATCGCTAGAGCCTGGGAGGCAGAGGTTACAGTGAGCCAAGATGGCACCACTGCACTCCAGCCTGGGCAACAGAGCAAGATTCTGTCTTAAAAAAAAAAAGAAACTAAGCTTACCTAATTCTGGAAGGAGGAATTAAGGAAGAGCTAAGAACCATAAATAACAGGGCCATAACAAACCCCAATTCTTTAGGCTTGGCGATCCCAAGTTCTTAGGTTATATAACTGAGGATGTAATACTGTTTCTGTGATCTATTTACAAGAGCCCTTAACACTCTTTTCTTGGAGAACCCCACTACAACCTTGTGAAATGGGCACTCTTTTTTTTTTATTTTTTTGAGATGGAGTCTCACCCTGTCGCCAGGCTGGAATGCAGTGGTTCGATCTTGGCTCAGTGCAGTCTCCGCCTCCTGGGTTCAAGTGATTCTCCTGCCTCAGCCTCCCGAGTAGCTGGGATTACAGGCGTGCGCCACCACACCCAGCTAATTTTTGTATATTTAGTAGATACGGGGTTTCACCATGTTGGCCAGGATGGTCTCAATCTCCTGACCTCATGATCTTGGACTCTCAAAGTGCTGGGATTACAGGTGTGAGCCAGCACGCCCGGCCAAGATGGGCACTCTTATAGACATCCCCACTTTACAGATGAGGAAACTAAGGCTTAGTGCTTAAACTCCTCCTACTGGATTGTTCCTCTGCTGTAAACCTTCTCTGGCTCCCCATGGCCTGCAGCAGCGGTTCTCAAGCTATAGTGTATTTAAGACATCAAGAGGCCGGGTGTGCTGGCTCACACCTATAATCCCAGCACTTAGGGAGGCCGAGGCGGCTGGATCATGAGGTCAGGGGTTCGAGACCAGCCTGACCAACGTGGTGAAACCCTGTCTCTACTAAAAATACAAAAAAAGTAGCTGGGCGTGGTGGCGGGCGCCTGTAATCCCAGCTACTCAGGAGGCTGAGGCAGGAGAATTGCTTGAACCCGGGAGGCAGAGGTTGCAGTGAGCCAAGATCGTGCCACTGCACTCCAGCCTGGGTGACAGAGCACTCTGTCTCAAAAAAAAAAAAAAAAAAAAGACATCAAGGGAGCTCTCACAGAATGTAGACTGGAAATTCTGATTCCAGAAGGCCCAGGAGAGGTTCTAGAATCTGTCATCTTTTTTTTGAGATAGAGTCTTGCTCTTGCTCTGTTGCCCAGGCTGGAGTGCAGTGGTGCAATCTCGGCTCACTGCAACCTCCACCTCCTGGGTTCAAGCGATTCTCCTGCCTCAGCCACCCGAGTAGCTGGGATTACAGGAGCCCACCACCACGCCCAGCTAGTTTTTGTAATTTTAGTAGGGATGGGGTTTCACCATGTTGGCCAGGCTGGTCTCAAACTCCTGACCTCAGGTGATCCACCCAAAGGAGGCTGGGATTACAGGCATGAGCCACTAGGCCAGGCCGAGAATCCATAATCTTAGTAAGTGCTTAGGGGTTCCTAGCACAATAAAACCACTGATACCCACACACAACCCACAGGTTCACACTCCCTGGCCTGATGATCAAGATCCTATATGAGTTGATCCCTAAGGACATTTTCAGGGAAACTCCTGCTCATCCTTCCAATTCCAGTTCTTCCCAGGCACATAAACACAAGGCAGAATTAACCATTTCCCCAGTTGGCCTACGGCAGCACTTCTCAAACCTGGTAGTGCATTCGAATCACCTGGACACCCTGTTCTGCTGTGATTCTGGCTCAGTGGCTCTGGAGCATGAGCTTCTGCGTTTCTAACAAGTTATTGAATGCACTGCTAGCCCTGCTTTGAGTAGCAAGGGGCTACTGCACTATGCAGCATGACTGCTGCGGTACTCCTCACAACATTTCACCCACGGGGCCAGGATTTCACAGATAGTGCTGACAACGGCTCCTGAAATTCCCTTAAAATCAGCAGGAAGTAGGGAGATTAGGAGAGCAAACTTTGAGATCAACATATACCACTTCCTAGAGCCTCATGCTGTGATTACTTATCAGTATCAAATAACTATACCATTTACTGACTACCTACAGGCCACAACCTGCACCAAGCATTCTGTGTCTGCTCTGGTATAAACTGTTAACCCACATAAGGTACTCAGGTCTTGGTAGGCCCACCATAAATGGTAGCTTTTATTTCTAATTCTTACAACGTACATGTCAGGCTTTTATCAGCCCCATTTATCATCTGGACTGCACTACCACTTTCTAAAATTTTAGTTAGTCCTTAAAAGGACTAATTAACATGAGGTAGAGAATTACCAATAAGAAAACTAAGGACAAAGCAGTTAAGTAACTTGCCCAGCATCAGTTACACAGCCAGCAACAGGGGAATCCAGGATGTGAACTCTAGACAGTCTGACTCTAGCAGTCTGACTCTAGACCTTAGGCTCTCAAGTGCTACATACGGTAAACGCTGGTAAGCCTGTCTTTACACAGTGTACCTCCCACTCACACTCTCTAAAAAAGGGACACTGATATTCAGAGAAGTGAAGTGTGAAGTCAGCTATCTTAGGACAATGAGCTCTAGGGTGGAAGTGAAACAGCAATCAAGGGCTGTTACTCCCAACCCCTCATTCTATGCCATGCCACCTTGCCAGTCTGACTTGTCCAACCTTGAAGTAAATAAAAATGCCAATAAGGATTAACACCTGGGGAAAGTGATTCTGCCCTGCCCAGCTACAGACTTCCTGGCCACAGGGATTAGCTGCCACGGACTCCCCAGACATGTACACTACGGTCACATGATGCTCACGTGTCTTTCTCCTTCTCAGAACTCTCATACTCCAGGAACACGATGTGCCGGGGATAGTGGCCACAGATATCCCCATTCGTGTTTGGAATCACGCTGAAACAGTAGTCTCGGCCAAACAGCTCCAGACATCTCTTCTCAATGCGCTCAACCTGCACAGAGAAGGAGACCAGAACACAAAGAGAATTCTGGGGTTCTGAGGGTGAGAATTAGGAGGTCCATGGCCTAAGAGGTCACTGGGAAAGACATGTACCTGGGTGATAATTATTCTGTGCTGGGAAGATGTGATGCTAGGCCACAGGTCCTACGTGTAGTCCATTAACCCATATATTGTATACTTCAGGAAGGATTCTTAAACCCCTAACAATGAATCTGAAATTGTGGGTATTGAGCATTTGGGGGAGACGATTACAGCTTTCATTAGATTCAAAGAGGTCTACAACCCATAAAACATAAGAACTCTTGGTCCAGGTTACTGAAACTGCCACTAATCCACTACCTTCATTGGTCAGCTTCCCCATTCTCTTATTTATTTTTTGAGACGGAGTCTCGCTCTGTCGCCCAGGCTGCAGTGCAGTGGGGCAATCTCAGCTCACTGCAGCCTCCGCGTCCGGGGTTCAAGCGATTCTCCTGTCTCACCCCGAGTAGCTGGGATTACAGGTGCGTAGAACCACGCCTGACTAATTTTTCTATTTTTAGTAGAGACAGGGGTTTCACCATGTTGGCCAGGCTAGTTTCAAACTCCTGACCTCAGGTGACCCGCCCACCTCGGCCTCCCCAAGTGCTGGGATTACAGGCGTGAGCCACGGCACCCGGCCTTTATTTTTTTAAAAGACACAGTCTCACTCTGTCATCCAAGCTGGAGTGCAGTGGCACGATCTCAGCTCACTGCAACCTCAGCCTCCTGGGTTCAAGTGAGCATATTTGGCTAATTTTCATATTTTTAGTAGAGATGGGGTTTCACCATGCTGGCCAGGCTGGTCTTGAACTCCTGATCTCAAGTGATCCGCCCGCCTCAGCCTCCCAGGTGTGAGCCACCATGCCTGGCCTCTTCCCCATTCCTTTTTTTTTTTTTTGAGAAAGAGTCTTGCTCTGTCACCCAGGCTAGAGTGCAATGGTGTGATCTCTGCTCACTGCAACCTCTGCCTCCTGGGTGAGCCACCACGCCCAGCCAACAAAAAATTTTTAATAGAGATGGGGTTCATGTTTCCAGGCTGCTCTCGAACTCCTGGGCTGAAGCAGTCTACCTGCCTTGGCCTCCCAAAGTGCTAGGATTACACGCGTGAGCCAGTGTACTGGCCCTCTTCCCCATTCTTTAGCCATAGACTAGTACCTACAAGCTCTATTCCATGCAACCAGTAAAAGCTGCAAAGTCTCTTTATACACAACTTGCTGGTGAAATAGAAGAAACAGCTCCCCCTAAAATTACTTATTTTGATCACAGTTCAGAGAAAAACACAACAGAAAAAAGGCATAAGAACTGTAACATCAAGAAGTTTGCAAGAGGGCCAGGCATGGTGGCTCACGCCTATAATCCCAGCACTTTGGGAGGCACCGAGGAGGGCAGATCACTTCTGATCAGGAGCTTGAGACCAGCCTGGCCAACAGGTGAAACCCTTTCTCTACTAAAAATACAAAAATTAGGCTGGGTGCAGTGGCTCATGCCTGTAATCCCAGCAGTTTGGGAGGCCAAGGCGGGCAGATCACGAGTTCAAGAGATTGAGATAATCCTGGCCAACATGGTGAAACCCCATCTCTATTAAAAATATAAAAATTAGCTGGGCATGGTGGCGGGCGCCTGTACTCCCACCTACTGGGGAGGCTGAAGCAGGAGAATCGCTTGAACCCAGGAGGCGGAGGTTGCAGTGAGCCGAGATCACGCCATTGCATTCCAGCCTGGGCGACAGAGTGAGACGCCATCTCAAAAAAAAAAAAAAAAATTAGCCAGGCATGATGGTGCATGCCTGTAGTCCCAGCTACTAGGGAGGCTGAAGCAGGAGGATCGCTTGAATCCAGGAGGTGGAAGTTGCAGCGAGCCAAGATCGCACCACTGCACTCCAGCCTGGGTGACAGAGGGAGACTCCTTCTGAAAAAAAAAGTTTGCAAGAAGTTAGTCCAAAGGTAGTGAGTTATCTCAATCGATTGTTCAGTTACAGATCTAACTCCCTGTTCTGCCTGAATTGTTATAAATACATATAAATATATATACATCTAAGTTTGCAGGAGATCAGAAGGCCTGGAGAGATAATTAAGGCCAGCCGCAGCCAATATGAGGTGTAACTTATGCTAACCCTAATCTTCAGGGTCATGTAAGTTGGAAGAGGGGTCCAGAAAAACCAATGACCTACAGCCACTCAAAAGACCCTTACTGGCCAGGTGTGGCGGCTCACGCCTGTAATCCCAGCATTTTGGGGGGCTGAGGTGGGAGGATTGCTTGAGCTTAGGAGTTTGAGACCAGCCAGGGCAATATAGCGAGACCATGTCTCTAGGAAAATAAAGAAAAATTAGCCAGGCATGGTGGTGTGTACCTGTGGTCCCAGGTGCTTGGCAGGCTTAAGTGGGAGGATCGCTCAAACCCAGGATTTCGAGGCTGCAGTAAGTCATGGTTGCACCACTGCAATCCAGCCTGGGCAGCAGAGCGAGACCCTGTCTCAACACAAAAAACAAAAACAAACAAACAAAAAAGCCAGGCGCGGTGGCTCACGCCTGTATCCCAGCACTTTGGGAGGCTGAGGTAGGCGGATCACCTGAGCTCAGGAGTTCAAGACCAGCCTGGCCAACCTGGGGAAACTCCATCTCTACTAAAAACTACAATAATTAGCTGGGCGTGGTGGTGGGGTCCTGTAATCCCAGCTACTTGGGAAGTTGAGGCAGGGAGAATTGCTTGAACTGGGGAGGCGGAGGATGCAGTAAGCTGAGATTGCGCCACTGCACTCCAGCCTAGGCGACAAAGCGAGACTCCTTCTCAAAAGAAAAAAAAAAAAAAAGCAAATTCCAGGATCCCACCCCCAGAAATTCTGACTTGGTAGGACTGGGTGGGACTAAGGAATCTCTGTTTTCACAAAGTATCCCATAAGCACAAATTTTAAAAGTACCCCAGATGATCATTAAACAGGTGGTCCCCAGACTATACTTGGAAAAATTACTTGGCCATTTGGAGAGTGAGGAAGTCCAATCCTTACTGAAGTCTTCCCTGGGTTACTTCAGAGACTACAAGATGCCAACTACAGAATAGCAACTCACGGTAATCTCTGAGGTCAAATCAGAGTTCTGTGGTGCAGGATGGAACAGAATTCCACTGGAAAACTTGGTGCTAAAGCTGCCAAAACCACGTGGGGGAATGAGATGGCAGGGTCGGCAAGATTCCCACCGCACTGCCAGCCAGTGCTTAGGGTGGGGATGGCCTGAGCTGACAGGAAGCCCTCCAGGTCTGGCGATAAGACGACTGGGTGGAAATCCCAAAGGGAGCAAAAAGAGGAACGGAGACCTGCTTTAGATAAAGGAACTGAAAGGGAGTGTGGGTTGTCTTCCTGCTCTATAGGGGAAGGAAAGGGATGGGCCTAAGTCATGCTGAGACCTTATAAGGGGGCAGCACACTGGGTTCACCTCCTGGCTCCATTCTGACCTCTGACCCCGAGGAATCGTCTCCCTATTTTTCTTAGCTTTTTCTTGGGGCTTTTTCCCTGACACAACTCATCCTACGGCACCTGAAGCAGGGAATAGACCTTCCTTAGGTCCTCCTCTCTGATCTTTGAACCTGGCCCCTCAGCTTGATCTCTCACCTCCAGACCCCTTCTCAAACAAGAAGGACCTCTTTGCTGGGCTCATTCTGACCCCAGTTCCTCCTTTTATGGTTGTCAAGACCGACTCTTATACTCCGGATACAGACCCTGGAGAACTCCTCTCTCTCTCTCCTCTTCCTCAGCGGCGAGGTACCACTCCTACCTTTTTCTGACCCCTGGCCTCAGCCTTTCCTCTGTAACTTCCCAAGTTAGGAGCCTTCCCCAGCTCATCGCACCTCCAATCTCACCTTAGAGCCGCCGGTCCCGCTGCCATCCTTGGCCCGGTACTGAGTCCGGGAGAACTCCTCCAGCAGCTCCCCAAGCCCCAGCTCCTGAGGCGGCTGGTTGCCTGAAGAGGCCGAGGACCCCGCCGAGGCAGCGGCGGCGGCGGCCCGAGCGCCGGCCATGGCCCAGCCCCGCGTCCCCTCAGTGTGCCTCAAGCGGGCCCATGGCACCTGCCTGCACCCAACTCCGACACTAGAACCTCCGGAACCGCCTCAGCCACCGCCTTCTACTTCCACTTCCACTTCCGGCCCCGCCCCGTCCCGCCGGATGTTTACTCCGACTCTGGCCAATCGGAGCTCTGGACCCGCGCCCCGCCTACGATTACTGGCCCGCCCCCGGCGCAGAGCGATCCTTCTATCCACCAGGGAGGCCACTGGCTGATACCGCGTGATCCGCCCCAAGGGGTTTCCCCCGGGGAAGCCGGGCTCAACCATTGGGCTGCCGGGGGAGGGGGGTAGCAGGAAGGAACCATTGAAAAGAACCAGAGGAAAAGTGGAATCAACAATTACAGGGAAGCCGAGCGTGGTGGCTCACACCTGTCATCCCAGCACTTTGGGGGGCCGAGGCGGGCGGATCACTTGAGGCCAAGAGTTCGAGACCAGGCTGCCAAAATGGTGAAACCGCATCTCTACTAAAAATAAAAAAATTAGCCGGGCATGGTGACACCCACCTGTAATCCCAACTACTTGGGAGGCTGAGGCAGGAGAATCGCTTGAACCCATGAGGCTGAGGTTGCAATGAGCCGAAATCGAACCACTACACTCCAGCCTGGGTGACAGAGCAATACTCTGTCTTAAGAAAAAAAAAAAATTACAGGGCGAGGAGGAGAGAACGCTTGGAGGCAACAAATTAGTACTAGAAACCATAATGGCAGTGGTTACCAATATTAAAACATTTCAGCCGGCCGCGGTGTCTCACGCCTGTAATCCCAGCACTTTGGTAGGCCGAGGCAGGCGGATTATGAAGTGAGGCATTCGAGACCAGCCTGATCAACGCAGTGAAACCCCGTCTCTACTAAAAATACAAAAATTAGCCGCGCGTGGTGGCAGGTGCCTGTAATCCCAGCTACTCGGGAGGCTGAGGCAGGAGAATTGCTTGAACCCGGGAGGCGGAGAGTGAGCCGAGATCGCGCCACTGCACTCCAGCCTGGGTGACAGAATGAGACTCCGTCTCTAAAACAAAAACAAAAACACAACATTTCATAAAACCCTTTCTCCCCCTGCTGCTCACAACATCCCTGTGAGTACAGTGCATTATATCATCAGCCCTATTTTATTGAGGTAGAAACTGGGAGTCAGGGAGGTGAAGCGACTGCCTTGAAATTCTGTGATGAGAAGCCTCTCATTATTATTATTATTAGAATATTTCAGACATTCGCAAAAGTGGAGACAATAGTATAATGAACCCTCATGTACCCATTAACTGGTTTTGAACAATAATCAACATCTGCTTATCTATCCTGTTTAAGCAGTCCCTTCCCATCCAGGGAATTATTTTAAAGCAAATCCCAGACATCACATTATTTCAGCTGTGAATACTTAAGCATTTATCACAACAGATTTGTACTTCAAAAAAAAAATACATAAAAAATATAAGGCTATTAACATGCCTAAGAAAATTAACAATATTCCTTAATGTGGTCTAATACCCAGTCTGAATGAAAGTAATTCGTTTTTGTTAAACTTTTAATAGAAGTATGATATGTACACCAGCGCCCCGGAACCCTCCTCCTGACCACTTTCAGTCACTACCCACTCACCAACAACCACCCACCACCCTGCCCCCCCAACTCCTCCCACCCCCAGTTAATCACTATCCTGGCTTCTAGAGTTTTAATACGGTAGATTGGTTTTTAATTTAATTTAATTTTTTTTTTTTTTTTTTTTTTAGAAACGGTTTCACTCTTGTTGCCTAAGCTGGAGTACAGTGGCATGATCGTGGCTCACTGCAGCCTCCAACTACTGGCCTCAAGCAATCCTCCTGCCTCAGCCTCCCAAGTAGCTGTGACTACAGGCATGTGCCACCACACCCAGCTACTTTTTAAATTTTTTTGTAGATACCGAGTCTCACCATGTTGTCCAGGCGAGTCTCAAACTCCTGGGCTCAAGCAATCCTCCCACGTCTGCCACCCAAAGTGCTGGGATTACAGGTTTGAGCCACTACTCCTGGCCTACTAGATATTTTCTGACAAATCTATATACGCATTTGTCTTAAACACCAAGGAATGAAATGACTGGATTATATGGTGTTAAAGAAAAATTACAGGCCGGGCATGGTGGCTCATGCCTGTAATCCCAGCACTTTGGAAGGCCAAGGTAAACTGATTACCTGAGCCCAGGAGTTCGAGACGAGCCTGGGCAACACGGTGAGACCCCCATCTCTACAAGAAAATCAACCAGGTGTGGTGGCGCACATTGAGAGGCTACTTGGGAGGCTGAGGTGGGAGAGGATCCCTTGAGCCAGGGAGGTTGAGGCTGCAATGAGCTGTGATCATGAAACTGTACTCCAGTCTGGGTGACAGAGCGAGACTCTTGAGACTCTGCCTTAAAAAAAAAAAAAAAAAAGAAAAAAATTATAGGCCATTATTTTGGACAAAGCACCCGCACTAGATCCTAACAAACAAGACTAAGAACCAAAATGGAGTAATTCCTACTAAACTTACATCTTACCAAGCTGAAACTAAATTATCTGACCTTCAGAGAAATCCAGAGAGATAATAGATATTCCCCAAACAGGCCACTTTCAATAAGCATGATAATGAACTTTCCTCTGCCCTTAATCCTTACAACAAAAGTAACCTGATGTTAATCAATCCATTATTTTTCTTCTTCTTCTTCTTCTTTTTTTTTGAGACGAGTTCCCGCTGTTCTGTCACCCAGGCTGGAGTGCAGTGGTGCAGTGGTGCCATCTCGGCTCACTGTAACCTCTACCTCCCGGGTTCGAGCAATTCTCCTGTCTCAGTTTCCAGAGTAGCTGGGATTACAGGTGTGCGCCAACACACCCGGCTAATTTTTTTGTATTTTTAGCAGAGACGGGGTTTCGCCATGTTGACCAGACTGGTCTCAAACTCCTGACCTCAGATGATCCACCCACCTCAGCCTCCCAAAGTGGTAGGATTACAGGCATGAGCCACGGCGTCTGGCCCAATCCGTTATTTTTCTATTGTTCTGTTTCCTTGTTCCTGCCCTACAGGGAAAGTTACTTTGAAATGACCAATCCGGCCGGGCGTGGTGGCTCACGCTTGTAATCCCAGCACTTTGGAAGGCCGAGGCGGGCGGATCACGAGGTCAGGAGATCAAGACCATCCTGGCTAACATGGTGAAACACCATCTCTACTAAAAAAAAAAAAATACAAAAAAACAGCTGGGTGTGGTGGCGGGCGCCTGTAGTCCCAGCTACTCGGAAGGCGGAGGCAGGAGAATGGCGTGAACCCCGGAGGTGGAGCTTGCAGTGAGCTAGGATGGCGCCACTGCACTCCAGCGTGGGTGACAAAGCAAGACTCCGTCTCAAAAAAAAAAAAAAAAAAGAAATGACCAATCCACTTTGTGTTGTTTGTGCTTTCTTCAGCCCTTATCTGTTTATAAACGCAATGGCTCACACCCGTAATCCCAGCACTTAGGGAGGCGGATGCGGGCGGATCACCTGAGGTCGGGAGTTCAAGACCAGCCTGACCGATGTGGAGAAACCCCATCTCTACTAAAAATACAAAATTAGGCCGGGCGCAGTGGCTCACGCCTGTAATCCCAGCACTTTGGGAGGCCAAGATGGTTGGATCACCTGAGGTCAGGAGTTCTAGACCAGCCTGCCCAACATGGTGAAACCCCGTCTCTACTAAAAATATAAATATTAGCTGGGCGTGGTGGCAGGCACCTGTAATCCCAGCTACCTGTGGGACCGAGGCAGGAAAATCCCTTGAACCTGGGAGGCAGAGGTTGCAGTGAGCTGAGATCACGCCATTGCACTCCAGCCTGGGGGACAAGAGCGAGACTTTGTCTCAAAAAAAAATTAGCCGGGCATGGTGGCGAATGCCTGTAATCCCAGCTACTCGGGAGGCTGAGGCAGGAGAATCACTTGAACCCAGGAGGCAGAGGTTGCAGTGAGCAGAGATCATGCCACTGCACTCCGGTCTGGGTGACAGAAGGAGACTCCAACTCAAAAAAAATAATAAAATAAAATAAAAATAAAGCCAATTAAGATGTTTAAGTTGCAATTCTGTCTTTTGACAATGGTCAAAGTGTAACTTTCTAAGAGTTTTCCCGTGACATTTACATTGCCTCCTGCAAGTCAGCAGAGTTCCAGTTGCTCTGCATCCTTGTCAATACTTTTTTTTATTTTAGTTTTTCTGGTGAGAATGTACTGGTATTTCTTTTGTTTTTTTCCTCATACTAGTTTATACTTTGGAAGAATGTAGTGGTATCTTATTGTGCTTTCGTTGTTGTTGTTGTTGTTGTTGTTGTTGTTGTTGAGACAGGGGCTTGCTCTCTCCCCCAGGCTGGAGTGCAGTGGTTTGATCACGGCTCACTGCAGCCTTCACCCCTGGGCCCAAGCAATTCTCCCACCTGAGCTTCCTGAGTAGCTGGAACCACAGACATGTGCCACCGCACCCAACTAATTTTTTAATTATCTGTAGAGACAAGGTCTTGCTATGTTGCCCAGTCTGATCTTGAACTCCTGGGCTCAAGTGAACCTCCCACCTCAGCCTCCCAAAGTGCTAGGGTTACAAGTATGAGCCACTGCTCTACTTGTGCTTTTAGACTATGTGCCCAGCTCTATTGTGCTTTTAAAAAATCAATTTTATTGAGGTATGAGTACATAGAATAAAATTAATCCTCTTTAATTGTACATTTTGATGGGCATTGCCAAATTATAAAATCACCAGTGTAATTAAGATGTTGAACATATATATCACCTCCAGAAAGTTCCCTTGAGTCCCATCTCAGTCCTTTCCACCCCTACCCCCAGCCCCAGGCAACAACTGATTTATTTTCTGTCACTAGCCTTCCTATAAATGGAATTATACCCTGTGTATTCTGTGTCTAGCTTCTTTAAGCGTAGCTAATTTTGGTTTTAATTTGCATTTCCCTGATTAATGAAGTTGATCACCTTTTCGCATATTTATTGCTCATTTGAATATGCTCTTGGGTAGTGCTTGTTAACATCTTTTGCCCATTTTTCTAGTGGGTTGTCTGTATTTTTATTACAAATTTATAGAAGAGGTTTGAATATTCTGGACATGAGTTCTTTTGAAATCGCCGTTACAAAATTGTAACAGACAGTGAAAGAGATTTGACCTAACCAACTCCATCTTGCTTCTTTTTTTTTTTTTTTAATTTTTTTATTATTACACTCTAAGATCTAGGGTACATGTGCACAACATGCAGGTTTGTTACATAGGTATACAAGTGCCATGTTGTTTTGCTGCACCCATCAACTCGTCATTTACATTAGGTATTTCTCCTAATGCTATCCCTTTCCCAGCCACCCACCCCACAACAGGCCCCAGTGTGTGATGTTCCCCTTCCTGTGTCCATGTGTTCTCATTGTTCAGCTCCCACTTATGAGTGAGAACATGCAGTGTTGGTTTTCTGTCCTTGTGATATTTTGCTGAAAATGATGGTTTCCAGCTTCATCCATGTCCCTGCAAAGAACATTAACTCATCCTTTTTAATGGCTGCATAGAATTTAATGGTGTATATGTGCCACATTTTCTTTATCCAGTCTATTATTGATGGACATTTGGGTTGGTTCCAAGTCTTTGCTATTGTGAATAGTGCCTTAATAAACATACATGTGCATGTGTCTTCATAGTAGCATGATTTATAATCCTTTGGGTATATACCCAGTAATGTGATTGCTGGGTCAAATGGTATTTCTAGTTCTAGATCCTTGAGGGATCGCCACACTGTCTTCTACAGTGGTTGAACTAATTTACACTCCCACCAACAGTGTAAAAGCATTCCTATTTCTCCACATTCTCTCCAGCATCCGTTGTTTCCTGACTTTTTAATGACCGCCATTCTAACTGACGTGAGATGGTATCTCATGGTGGTTTCAATTTGCATTTCTCTGATGGCCAGTGATGATGAGCATTTTTTCATGTCTGTTGGCTGCATAAATGTTTTCTTTTGAGAAGTGTCTGTTCATCTCCTTTGCCCACTTTTTGATGGGGTTGTTTGTTTTTTTCTTGTAAATTTGTTTAAGTTCTTTGTAGATTCTGGATATTAGCCCTTTGTCAGATGGATAGATTGCACAACTTTTCTCCCATTCTCTAGGTTGCCTGTTCACTCTGATGATAGTTTATTTTGCTGTGGAGAAGCTCTTTAGTTTAATTAGATCCCATTTGTCTATGTTGGCTTTTGCTGCCATTGCTTTTGGTGTTTTAGTCATGAAGTCCTTGCCCCCCATCTTGCTTTTAACCTCTAAGCTGGCCTTATTCACTCCTGGGCATAGGCTGAACTAACTTTGGGAGGAACTTAGTTTATAGTTTATAGTTTAAAACAAAGATGATAACAGCCCTTTCCTGAAACAAACCCCCTTCTTGCCTGGGGACTAGACTGCCATTGTAGGACTTAATAAATTAGCCCTAAGATTAGAAGTTATGGTTTAGGAGTGATGCAGCTGGAGGCTACAAGACTCTGACCTTCCCCAAATTGCTCCTGGGGATATCACTATTGTAAACCTAAGACCAGTGTTTGAGATACTTTGCAGACCCTGCACTTGATGGATCAGCTGGTACCACCCAGATCGATAAACTAGCTTATCTGACCTTGTGGCCCCCACCCAGGAAATTACTCAGCACAAGAAGACTCCCTATGAGTTCATCTCTGACCTGACCAATCAGCGCTCCTGGCTCACTGGTTTTCCCCACCTACCAAGTTGTCCTTAAACACTCTGATCCCAGAATGCTTAGGGAGCTGATTTGAGTAATAATAAAACTATGTTCTCCCGCACAGCAGCCTCTGTGTGAATTATTCTTTCCGCAGTTCCCTTTTTTTTTTCTTGAGGCGGAGTTTCACTCTTTTTTTTTTTTTTTTTTTTTGAGACGGAGTCTCGCTCTGCCGCCCAGGCTGGAGTGCAGTGGCGCGATCCCCGCTCACTGCAAGCTCCGCCTCCCGGGTTCACGCCATTCTCCTGCCTCAGCCTCCCGAGTAGTTGGGACTACAGGTGCCTGCCACCACACCTGGCTAATTTTTTTTTGTATTTTTAGTAGAGACGGGGTTTCACCATGTTAGCCAGGATGGTCTCGATCTCCTGACCTCGTGATCCGCCCACCTCGGCCTCCCAAAGTGCTGGGATCACAGGTGTGAGCCAGTGCGCCCAGCCTACGGAGTTTCACTGTTGTTGCCCAGGCTGGTGTGCAATGGCGCGATCTTGGCTCACCACAACCTCCGCCTCCTGGGTTCAAGCTATTCTCCCGCCTCAGCCTCCCGAGTAGCTGGGATTACAGGCATTTGCCACCACGCCCGGCTAATTTTGTATTTTTAGTAGAGACAGGGTTTCTCCATGTTGGTTAGGCTGGTCTCGAACTTCCGACCTCAGGTGATTTGCCTGCCTCAGCCTCCCAAAGTGCTGGGATTACAGGCATGAACCACTGCACCCGGATCCCCTATCTTGATAAATCAGTTCCATCTAGGCAGCAGGCAAGGTGAACCCATTGGACAGTTACAAATTTGGGGACTTGTCTGAGATTGCCCTTGTGACTACCTGCCTGTGGTTCAGTAGCCCCCTCTCCAGCGATGGATCCAGAGGCCACCCAAAGGGGCCACCTAGTTCTCTTGGACTAGGGGTTGACTCTGGTACTCTCTCCACTTGTGGGGCACTGACAACCCAATATGCATGGAATTTTTTTTTTTTTTTTGAGACAGAGTCTTGTACTGTGGCCCAGGCTAGAGTGCAGTGGCGTGATCTTGGCTTATTGCAAGCTCCGCCTTGACTCCAGGTTCACGCCATTCTCCTGCCTCAGCCTCCTGAGTACCCGGGACTACAGGCGCCCGCCACCACGCCCAGCTAATTTTTTTTGTATTTTTTAGTAGAGACGGGGTTTCACCGTGTTAGCCAGGATGGCCTCGATCTCCTGACCTCGTGATCCGCCCATCTCGGCCTCCCAAAGTGCTGGGATTACAGGCGTGAGCCACCATGCCCGGCCTACATGGATTTAATTGCAATGGAGAAACAGTCCTGGGGAGACGTTCCATAACTGTAGCCCTATCACAAGGTGTCTGTCTGTAGCCTCATCATGGTGTGTCTGTAGTCCCATTGCAGGGTGTCTTGTTTGTCTAATAGCTCCACCACAGACAGTCTGTCTCAGTTTGGCTCCCTCAGGGGTCTCAGTTTGTCTGTTGCCCCATTGTGGGGTGTCTGTCTTGGTTTGGCTCCTAGTGGGGGTTTCAGTTGGCTCTTCCTAACTAGTAGGAAGAGACTTGGTTCGGGAGACTTCTCAATCAGGAAGACTTTGGGGAGATTTCTCAGATGGAGAATAGGAGAATAGTTTGGAAGGGATACTCTTGGAGTTCTTGGTTAGGGATCTGATTTGGAAGGCCTTCTGCCTGTCTCGTCTTTATGTGTGTGTTTGTATGTGTGGAGGGCATCTCAGAAGGAGTGGCTGACGGAAGTCCAGCAGGCCTAACTCAGAGAACCCTCCTATTAGTCTGTTAACATTCATTGAGCCCTGGAGAAAGCTCAACAGGCCTGTCTCAGTGTGACTATCCACTCTTCACCTTGCCCAGAGATCACCCATTGTGAATTACCTTTCGGAGCTCATCCCTCCCCACCAGGAGTGGATCAAAAACAATAGGGACCAACAGGAGAAAGTTTGAATTTTGCCAGGATGATATTGGGTGCTGAAAGAGGTGACTAGTGTCTGTTGTATTATGTATATTTTGCTGGGATGGAAAATATTAATTTGGTTTCCCGTGCAGCCTGTTGGACATCTTGCAAAATGGCGAATCTTTTGCCTATGGTTCAATAAAGCAGAAAAGGATGATTTTCTTTTGTAACAGGGCTTGGCCCCCCCACCAGCTATGGCATAGTGAAGAGGGTCATCAAAAGCCGCTTCGTTCTTCTGGAAGCTGCAGCAGAGAAAGGGGACCCGGAAAGTTGGTATGCCAGCAAAAACGGTAATAATTCTTAGCAGCCAAGTTTCTGGTCTCTCTCTCTCTCTCTCTCTCTCTCTCTCTCTCTCTATGTGTGTAAACGATAAACTTCGTTATTTGTCTCCTCTGCAAGGGTTTAACTAATAGAAAAATAAAGGATTTGTGAGACTAGTCAGGCTGTAGCAAATCTGGTGCAGTTTGTACTAAGAATGTGTCTTTCTGTAATGGAGAGAGGGGTATCACAGGATAGAATGTGAGCTTAGGATCCCTATAAGCCTACTTTTCAAGCCACCCCAGCAGGCTCGTCAGTTACAAACTTTGCTGGGGGTCCCTGAAACCAATACCAGATGAAATTTCTCTTTCTTGTTTTATGTCATTAAGAGCTTAACCTTAGGCTGGGCGTGGTGGCTCACGCCTGTAACCCTAGCACTTTGGGAGGCCCAGGCAGGTGGATCACCTGAGGTCAGGAGTTTGAGACCAGCCTGGCCAACATGGTGAAACCCTGTCTCTACTAAAACTACAAAAATTACCCAGGGATGGTGGCAGGCGCCTGTAATCCCAGCTACTCGGGAGGCTGAGGCACCAGAATCGCTTGAACCCAGGAGGTGGAGGTCGCAGTGAGCTGACATCGTGCCACTGCACTCCAGCCTGGGCAACAGAGTAAGACTCTGTCTCCAAAAAAAAAAAAAAAAAAAGAGCTTAACCTTGTGACCATGTGGGGATACTTTCATCTCCAAAAAAAAAAAGTGCTTAACCTTGTGACCCTGTGGTTCTCTTGGTTTCCACCATCCAGAGCACAGGAAAATTTGGGGTTCACGTCATAGCTCTAAAAATTATCTTGAGCAGGCTGGGCACAGTGGCCCATGCCTGTAATCCCAGCACTCTGGGAGGCCGGGGCAGTCGGATTACCTGAGCTCAGGAGTTCGAGACCAGCCTGGCCAACATAGTGAAACCCTGCTAGACATGGTGGTGGGCACTTGTAATCCCAGCTACTCGGGAGGCTGAGGCAGAAGAATCCCTTGAACCGAGAGGCGGAGGTTGCAGTAAGCAGAGACCGAACCACTGCACTCCAGCCTGGGCGGCAGAGATTCTGTCTCAAAAAAAAAAAAAAAAAATTAACTTGAGCAGCTAAAGCTCTTTCCAAGCTTGAAATTGGCTGCTGTAGACTTCTTCTGGGAAGAATAATAGAAACTGCTCGATGTTATGTAGGTCAGTAGCTAAGGCTTTGTCTTTTGACAATGATGGCCTGGGTTCAATTCTTGGCTTCCAGAATGATTCCTTTCTGGTTTGTTATTTGTGTAACTTTGCCATTTATTGAGGATTTTTTTTTTAAAACTCCATGGATAGCTTCTGATTTTCTGTTTTGGATTTTCCTTTCTCCAAACTACCCTTGAGAGAGAGAGAGAGAAAGAAAGGAAAGAGATAGAGAGAGAAAGAAAGGAGAGAGACAGAGAAAGAAAGGAAAGAGAGAGAGAGAAAGAGAGAAAGAAAGGAAAGAAAGGAAGGGAGGGAGGAAGGAAGGAAGAAAGAAAGAAAGAGAAAGAAAGAAAGAGGCTTACCATCTCTTTGAGACACCTTATGCATCCATGGTTAAGTTATAATCTTAGTTAAAACTTATTAATTTCATGTGGGAAGTTACCTGTGGTAGAATTCAAAAGCCAGAAATATTGGGTACCCTGGTAATAAGATATTGAAAAGGATTTTTTTTTTTTTAGAAAAAATAGCTCTGTGGTTAAAACCAGCTTAATTAAAAATGGATAACCAAGCCATATGTATTTAAAAGGAATTTATCTTTTTCCTCTTCTTGAATCATGTTTTTCTGAAAAACAGTTTTTTTCTTCTCAGGAGACTGAATTGTTCTCCATTTTGTCTTTTTGTCACTCTTGATGCCCACATGAGAGAACTTAAGATAAATTCTAACAGCCTGGGTCTCCTGGGGAAAAGCAGAGGAGGCACCACAGATCCCATTCTGGGAAAAACCTCAGATTTCCTCACAGAACCCCAGACATTAAAAGAGAATAGATCCTTCTCAAAATCTAAGGCTCTGTTCTGTTTTGCATTGCATTAGCTCATGGTTTTGGCTTTTGTGGGTATCAGAAATTACTTTGCATTATGAAAGAAACTTGGTGTGTAATAACTAGGTAGGAAATATACTTCTGAGGATGGCTAATGGCACTTACGGGGGATGTTCCGTTCTGATGTTTCAATTAGGGAAGCACACTCTTGGCCACTAAAAGATAGGGAAACATCCCCAACCTGCACTGAGAGATGAGACTCCCACAAGGGATGGGCTGATTACAAAATGGGCTAATTTACTATGGGTTGTTTTGCAATGAAATGCTCAGCAGAAGCACTGCACTGTCTTCTCTTATAGTATTTCCCTCCTTTTGGGGATCCAGGATCCAGTATATACCCTGAATTTTTGGGATCTGTGTTTGCCTTCCAGCTGTGCCTGCTTATTAGGTCCTAGAAACTGAATGCTTTCCTGGCCCTGTTCCTCCAAGGGCTCCACCCCGAAGTCAGTAATCCAGTTAAGAAACTGGCAAAGGAAAAATCTTACAAGTGCTGAATTTTCTGTCCATCTGTGTATTTATTTATTTATTTTTATATTTTTTGAGATGGAGTCTCGTTCTGTCACCCAGGCTGGAGTGCAATGGCATGACCTTGGCTCACTGCAACCTCCACCTCCCGGGTTCCAGTGATTCTCCTGCCTCAGCCTCCCGAGTAGCTGGGATTACAGGTGCCCGCCACCATGCCCAGCTAATATTTGTATTTTTAGTAGAGATGGGGTTTTACCATATTAGCCAGGTTGGTCTCGAACTCCTGACATCAGGTGATCCACCAGCCTCAGCCTCCCAAAGTGCTGTGATTACAGGCATGAGCCACCGTGCCCGGCCAGAAAAATAGAAACTTTAATGCCTTTTTGTTCACGTTACTTTAGCAGTCTTTTAGAAATAAAGACAGTTTTCAAGATTATTTGTAAAATAAAAATGTCTTCAAATTTCAGACATTTGGCCTAGATTAAGGCCAGATATGAGATTTGCTAAATGCTTTAAGGTCATAAACTATTTCTTTGACTTTTGAAAATTGCTCAATTGCTGGGCATGGTGGCTCACACCTGTAATCCCACCACTTTGGGAGGCCGAGGCGGGCGAAACACCTAAGTCTAGGCGTTCAAGTCCAGCCTGGCCAACATGGCACAACTCCGTCTCTACTAAAAATACAAAAATTGACCGGGTGCGGTGGCTCATGCCTGTAATCCCAGCACTTTGGGAGACTGAGATGGGCGGATCACGAGGTCAGGAGATCGAGACCATCCTGGCTAACACAGTGAAACCCCGTCTCTACTGAAAATACAAAAATTAGCAGGGCGTGGTGGCAGGCACCTGTAGTCCCAGCTACTTGGGAGGCTGAGGCAGGAGAATGGCATGCAGCCGGGAGGCAGAGCTTGCAGTGAGCCGAGATTGCACCACTGCACTCCAGCCTGGGCGACAGAGCGAGACTCCGTCTCAAAAAAATAAGTAAATAAATAAATAAATAAAAATTAAAAAATACAAAAATTATCCAGGCATTGTGGTGCATGTCTGTAATCCCAGCTACTCGGGAGGCTGAGGCAGGAGAATTGCCTGAACCCAGGAGGTGGAGGTTGCAGTGAGCCGAGATCGCGCCACTGCACTCCAGCCTGAGCGAAAGAGCGAGACTCTATCTCAAAGAAAAAAATAACAACAAAAAAAAGAACATTGCTGCGAAAATTGTTTAATTTACCTACTTTGGAGCATTAGATTCTAGATAAGGCCTGGGGACATGTGGAGAGCCATGCCCCTAGCTATGCTGCAAAGGGCCAGCCAGACCTTATCTGTACTTCTGTCTGATGTCCTAGGCTCTACGCCTAGGACATAATTAAAATTGCTTATTTATCAGGTTTTTCACCAAAATAAAAGTTGCTAAGAGTTAACATTGTAATATGTAATCGAGACTACTGGAGAAACAGTTTTACATACAAGGCATGTAGGGAAAGTAGAATGTGTTTCTGGTAAAAGAGTATGAGAAGGCATGGGAATATGGCTTTTGTTAAAGGGAATGTAATTTTGTCTACTTCAGAGGGTTTTAAATATTGTCTTAACCTAAAAGAGTAATGGGACAAAAAGAAGGTTCTGTGGGTGTAAACAAGTTGGCTAAGATTTGAAGGGGATTTTTTTTTTTTTTTTTTGCCCTAGATTGAAGATAAAATAAAAGCACACTAATGCGGGGCCAGAATCTGGGCCCATGTGTTCAAATAACAGGGTTTTCTTAGAAAATTGATCTGCTGTTTAACAGAAAATTGTGAACAGTTCTAAAAAGTTCATGAAAATCTTACCTTATTGTCAAACTAATTAAAACTGGATAGATTTATAAAATTTTATTTAAAAACTAGCCTTGCCAGGCGTGGTGGCTTAAACCTGTGATCCCAGCACTTTGGGAGGCCGAGGCAGGTGGATCACGAGGTCAGGAGATCGAGACCATCCTGGCTAACACGGTGAAACCCCGTTTCTACTAAATATACAAAAAATTAGCCGGGCGTGGTGGTGGGCACCTGTAGTCCCAGCTACTCGGGAGGCTGAGGCAGCAGAATGGTGTGAACCCGGGAGGCGGAGCTTGCAGTGAGCTGAGATCGCGCCACTGCACTCCAGCCTGGGAGACACAGCGAGACTGTCTCAAAAAACAAAAACAAAAACAAAAACAAAAAAAACTAGCCTTGGCATTGAAGATGCAGTAATGCAAACATAAATTTGGTTTTCTCTTTTGAAAAAGATTTTTATGTAATATTAAAAGATAATGGGCCAGGCCCCATGACTCAAGCCTGTAATTCCGGCACTTTGGGAGGACAAGGCAGGTGGATCACCTGAGGTCAGGAGTTCGAGGCCAGCCTGGCCAACATGGTGAAACCCCAACTCTACTAAAAATACAAAAATTAGCCGGGCGTGGTGGCGGGCGCCTGTAGTCCCAGCTACTCAGGAGGCTGAGGTAGGAGAATCGTTTGAACCTGGGAGATGGAGGTTGTGGTGAGTCAAGATTGCGTCATTGTACTCCAGCCTGGGCAACGGAGTGAGACTGAGTCTCAAAAAAAAAAAAAAAGATCATGAAATGTTTTTTGTTCACCCCTTTGGGTAAATGGCAGGGAAAAAAGGGGGTAGAGAAAAGAGACAGATTCAGTTGGCCTCATGCTATCTTCATTGGGTCTTGTTTGGAAAGCTAAGTCTCTTTTTTTTTTTTGAGGAGGAGTCTCACCCTGCACCCAGGCTGGAGTGCCATGCATGGTCTGGGCTCACTGCAACCTCTGCCTTCCAGGTTCAAGTGATTCCTCCACACCTGGCTAATTTTTGTATTTTTAGTAAAGACGTGGTTTCACCATGTTGGCCGGGCTGGACTAAGTCTCTTCTATCAGACTAAAGTTTTTGCCTTAAATTTTTTTTTTTTTTTTTTTTTTTTTTTTTTTTTGCGATAGAGTCTTGCTCTGTCGCCCAGGCTGGAGTGCAGTGGCGTGATCTCGGCTCACTGCAACCTCTGCCTCCCGGCTTCACGCCATTCTTGTGCCTCAGCCTCCTGAGTAGCTGGGACTACAGGCACCCGGCACCACACCCGGCTAATTTTTTGTATTTTTAGTAGAGACGGGGTTTCACCATGTTAGCCAGGATAGTCTCGATCTCCTGACCTCGTGATCTGCCCGTCTTGGCCTCCCAAAGTGCTGGGACTACAGGCATGAGCCACTGCGCCCCGCAAAAAAATTTTTTTGACTTACCACTTTGGATAAATAAATAATGTGTGATTCTACTTTGTGATATCCAGTGTTTCAAACTTTCCATATTTGAAAAACTTTCCAAAATCAAATATATAGTATGTCATTTTCTGACCTATTTAATCCTTCAGACATTAGGTCCCCTGAAGTCCAAAAAATTACGTTTGGCTTATTTAGCGTAAAAATCATACAGGCAGCATTGTCAAATATGATATGGTATATGGCTTTCTTTGGGTTTTATTTGTATAAATATGTTATCAGTATGTGTTCCAAAATTATGAGAAACTTCTATAATTCTGATATGATTTAGAGTATGTTATTAATAATTATAATTGTTAATGTAAAATTGTTGTATGCCACAGAAGTAACGAAAACTCCGAGTGAATTGTAGCTTTCAGTAATCCCAGCACTTTGGGAGGCTGAGGCAGGCGGATCACCTGAGGTCAGCAGTTCGAGACCAGCATGGGCAACATGGTGAAACCCCGTCTCTATTAAAAATACAAAAATAAGCCGGGCGTGGTGGCAGGCGCCTGCAGTCCCAGCTACTCAGGAGGCTGAGGCAGGAGAATCGCTTGAACCTGGGGGGCGGAGGTTGCAGTGAGCCGAGATCGCGCCACTGCACTCCAGCTTGGGTGACGAGAGCAAGACTTTGTCTCAAAAAAATAAAAAAAAGACTTGTCATCCACAGACATTTTGTCTTGCTTTGATCCTTTTCAAAAGGCAGTTTATAATCAGATATAGGATTCCGAGTGCAGGTCTATGATAACTTTAAAAATTGTGCTATTGGGCGGTGAAATCCCATCTCTACTAAAAATACAAAAAAATTAGCCAGGCGTGGTGGCGGGTGCCTGTAGTCCCAGCTACTTGAGAGGCTGAGGCAGGAGAATGGCGTGAAGCCGGGAGGCGGAGCTTGCAGTGCTATTGGGCCGGGTATGGTGGCTCAACGCCTGTAATCCCAGCACCCTGGGAAGCCGAGGTGGGCGGATCACCAGGTCAGGAGATCCAGACCATCCCAACATGGTGAAACATTGTCTCTACTAAAAATACAAAAAAATAGCTAGGTGTTGGTGGCACTCGCCTGTAGTTCCAGCTACTCAGGAGGCTGAGGCGGGAGAATCGCTTGAACCCGGGAAGCGAAGGTTGCAGTGAGCAGAGATCACGCTACTGCACTCCAGCCTGGGCTACAGGGCGAGACTCCATCTCAAAAAAAAAAAAAAAAAAAAGAAAAGAAAAAGAAAAAAAATTGTGCTTTTGGGCTTAGCGCAGTGGCTCATACCTGTCATCCCAGCACTTTGGGTGGCTGAGGCAGGTGGATCACCTGAGGTCAGGAGTTACAGAGCAGCCTGGCCAACTTGGTAAAATTCCATCTCTACGAAAAATACCGAAAAAAAAAAAAAAAATTAGCCAGGCATGGTGGCGCACGCCTGTAATCCTAGCTACTTGGGAAGCTGAGGGAGGAGAATTGCTTAAACCTGGGAGGTGGAGGTTGCAGTGAACTGAGATCGTGCCACTGCACTCCATCCTGGGTGACAGAGCAAGACTCCGGCTCAAACAAAACAAAACAAGACAATGCAAAACAAAAATTGTGCTATTGGAATACAGGAAAAAACGAAAGTTCTAGGACTCTCATGGAGAGCTGATGTGTTAAATATTGCTAATCCTTTTGTTTTCAGAGTCAAGAGAACTTATTTCTTCAGAGCTATTTGAAACTTTTAACAAGTGAGTAAAATATACTCCTATGAACAAAATTTGGAGCATATTTGTTTCTCTCTACCTGATTTTTCCAGAATTTGGAAACTGAGTATTCTCAATTTATGGCATTATAGTTATTTGCGTAAGTGCAATAAGAATCTGTTTTCTGCTGGGCACGGTGGCTCACGCCTATAATCCTAGCACTTTGGGAGGCTGAGGCGGGCGGATCACCTGAGGTCAGGAGTTCAAGACCAGCCTGACCAACATGAAGAAATCCCGTCTCTACTAAAAATACAAAATTAGCTTGGTGTGGAGGCGTATGCCTATAATCCCAGCTTCTCAGGAGGCTGAGGCAGGAGAATCGCTTGAACCCGGGAGGCGGAGGTTGCGGTGAGCCGAGGTCGCGCCATTGCACTCCAGCCTGGGCAACAAGAGCAAAAACTGCGTCTCAAAGAAAAAAAAGCATCTGTTTTCTTTTGTAACAGGACACAATTGGGGAAACTGGTTGTTCTACCCAGGCTTTGACTTGAATGTCATGCTTTCTTTAACAAATCAAAGTTGACTTAAAGAGCCAACAAAAACCCCTTGGGAAATCTGGCCTCACCTTGTCTACACAGTCCCTGTACAAGGTTCCTGACTGGTGGTAAGTAAAGAATGTCACTTTCTAACAGGCCCAGGAACACCGAGTTATCTTGGGACCTCAAGAGGACAGGAACTTACCCAACTCACAGGTATTTAGGGTACAAACCCATGGCTGGGATAGGCTTTATTTTATTTTATTTTATTTTATTTATTTTTTGAGATGGAGTCTTGCTCTGTTGCTCAGGCTGGAGTGCAGTGGCACGATCTTGGGTCACTGCAACTCCCACCTCCTGGGTTCAAACGATTCTCATACCTTGGCCTCTCAAATAGCTGGGATTACAGGCATGTGCCACCAAAAAAAAAAAACATTGTTTTTGGATTTTTAGTAGAGATGGGGTTTCACCATGTTGGCCACGCTGGTCCCCAACTCCTGACTTCAGGTGATCTGCCCGCCTTAGCCTCCCAAATTGCTGAGATTACAGGCATGAGCCACCATGCCCGGCCTGGGATTGGCTTTAAAAATGTTTTATCGGCCTAGTGAGATGGCTCACGCCTGTAATCCCAGCACTTTGGGAGGCCGAGGCAGGCGGATCACGAGGTCAGGAGATTGAGACCATCTTGGCTAACACGGTGAAACACCGTCTCTACTAAAAATACAAAACATTAGCCAGGTGTGGTGGCGGGCGCCTGTAGTCCCAGCTACTCAGGAGGCTGAGGCAGGAGAACGGTGTGAACCTGGGAGGCGGAGCTTGCAGTGAGCTGAGATCGTGCCACTGCACTGCAGCCTGGGTGACAGAGCAAGACTCTGTCTCAAAAAAAAAAAAATGTTTTATCTGAGATTCCTTATGGAACAGAGTTCCATCAAAACCAATTTAAAAAACCTACGTGAAAAATAACTATTCTTGCTGCACTTTATGCAAATAATCAGGCCAAGTACAGTAAGACTAAAGTTTATTTTATAAACAAATCAGTTCTATCATGATTTGTTTTTAATAAAAATGGGGACTGGAGAGTGAAAAATTATGCTTCAAAAGAAAAACTATAGTGCACCTGTTGTTAGTTGTTCTTGAGTTTTTTTCTGAAGTTTGGACTAAATCCTAGATTCTTTGTGGCCTGCAAGTCCCCAATCTAATACTTTCAAATCTTTACTTTTAAATCTGGGAATTGCCCTCCTTACCGTAGTACTCATTATTTACCATTATAGTACGTTGTTGCCTTAAATATGTTACCACAAGTATAGATGACAATGCTAACGCCTTTGCCATGCCAGCCTTGGAACCCCAGCCAGTACTGCATGAGTACACTCAGTTACAAAGAGGTTCCACTCCTTTCACCTTGGGGTCAACACCTACCCCACTACGCCCTGATCAGCAGGAAGAAGTTAGAGCAAGCTTCACCCTTTTTCCATCTTCATTAGCCAACTCCTTAAGATTAACATGTTATAAAACCCAAAGGGAGGGATTGAAACCACCATTGCAAAATTGTAATTGAGACAAGTGAAAGAGATCTGACCTCTAACCAACTCCATCTTGCTTCTAACCACCAAGCTGTCCTTGCTCACTCCTGGATGTAGGCCAGACTACCTTTGGGAGGAACTTAGTTTATAGTTTAGTTTTCAAACAAAGATGATAAGACAGCCCTTTCCCAAAACAAACCCCCTTCCTGTCTGGGGACTAGACTGCCTTTGCAGGACTAACAAATTAGCCACAAGATTAGAAATAATGGTTTAGGAGTTATGCGGCTGAAGGCTACAAGATTCTAAACCTCCCCAAATTGCTCCTGGGGATGACATCACTATTGTAAAAACTAAGATCAATGCTTGAGATATTTTGCAGACCCTGCACTCAGTGGATCACCTGGCACCACCCAGATCAATAAACTGGCTCATCTGATCTTGTGGCCCCCACCCAGGAACTTACTCAGAACAACAAGACAGCTTCGACTCCCTATGATTTCATCTCTGACCTGATCAGTCAGCACTCTCGGCTCACTGGCTTCCCCCCACCCACCAAGCTGTCCTTAAAAACTCTGATCCCCGAATGCTCGGGGAGACTGATTTGAGTAATAATAAAATTCTGGTCTTCCACACAGCCAATTCTGTGTGAATTACTCTTTCTCTATTGTAATTTCCCTGTGTTGATAAATGGGCTGTCTAGGCAGCGGGCAAGGTGAACCCACTGGATGGGTACATGGTGGTGAGATATATATACGGTAAATATCTCCACTCATCCTGACTTATCTTTTCACCCTCCTAATGTGCCCTTTGAGAAACGCAGTACTTAGTTTTAATGTAGTCCAATTTATCCACTATTTTTTCTTTTTTCTTTTATTTTGGTTTAGTTTTTTCTTTTTGTCTTTTTACCTGTAATGACATATTTTTTCTTTTATGGTCCGCACTTTATGTGTCAAGATTAAGAAATCTTTGCCTACCCCAAGGTTTTGTATTTTCCTAAGCTTTTCTCTTAGAAAAATTTAGTGTCATTTGATTTATATTTAGGTCTATGATGATCTATATGGAATTCTTTTCTTCTTTTTTTTCTATGTGTCTTTTGTTTTTTCCTTTTTGTGAAGAATGAAGTGGAATTGTTTTTCTCTTAGCCAAAGTTCATGTATTTATTTAGTTACTTATTTTGCGGAGACAGGGACCTATTATGTTGCCCATGGTGATCTCAAACTCATGCTCAAGCAATCCTCCCGTCTCGGCTTCACAGCCCACAGTCAGCTTTGGCTTTCGCTACACCAGTAATTGTCAAACTTGAATGTGCAGGAATCACCTGTAAGAATCTTGCTAAAATATAGATTTTGATTTAGAAGTTCTGGGGTGGGACCTGAACTGCATTTTGTGTGTGTGTGTTTTTCAGACAGGGTCTCCCTGTGTCACCCAGGCTGGAGCGCAGTAGCGCGATCACAGCTCACGGTAACCTTGACTTTCTGGGCTCAAGTGATCCTCCCACCTCAGCTACCCAAGTAGCTGGGACTACAAGCACATGCCACCATGACCAGCTAACTTTTTGTGTTTTTTTTTTGTAGAGACGGGGTCTCCCTATGTTGCCCAGGCTGGTCTCCAACCCCTGGACTCAAGCAATCCGCCTGCCTTGGGCTCCCAAAATGCTGGGATTACAGGCATGAGCCACTGTGCCGGCCTGAGCTTCATTTCTTATAAATTCCCAGATGATGCCATGGCTCCTGGTTTGCAGATCACATTTTGAGTAGCAAAGGGTTGGAAACAGCTGTTAAAAATCACAGCATTCGTCGGGCATGGTGACTCACGCCTGTAATCCCAGCACTTTGGGAGGCCTAGGCAGGCGGATCACCTGAGGTTGGGAGTTCAAGACCAGCCTGACCAACGTGGAAACACCCCGTCTCTAGTAAAAATACAAAATTAGCCAGGCGTGGTGGCGCATACCTATAGTCCCAGCTACTCAGGAGGCTGAGGCAGGAGAATCGCTTGAACCCAGGAGGTGGAGGTTGCGGTAAGCCAAGATCGTGCCACTGGACTCCAGCCTGGGCAACAAGGCAAGACTCCGTCTTAAAAAAACAAACAAAAAAACCCCCAAAAAAACAGCATTTGGTCCGGCGCGGTGGCTCATGCCTGTAATCTTAGCACTTTGGGAGGCTGAGGCGGACAGATCACTTGAGGTCAGGAGTTTGAGACCAGCCTGGCCAACATGGCAAAACCCCGCCTCTACTAAAAATACAAAAATTAACCGGGCGCGGTGGTTCACACCTGTAATCCCAGCTACTTGGGAGGCCGAGGCAGGAGACTCGCTTGAACCCGGGAAGTGGAGGTTGCAGTCAACTGAGATTGTGCTGCTGCACTCCAGTGTGGGCGACAGAGTGAGACTCCCTCTAAAAAACAAAAAACAAAAAAACACTGCATTCAGTTTTGATTCCTTCTCAGCAAGTTCTGCTATAAGTAAATGGTTCTTATTTTGCAATGTATCAAGATCTTCATTCTCAAAGAAATCAGTAAATAAAATTTCTACTAAAAGCTCCTGTTCAATGACACAGATGAAATGAAACCTCTTTCAACTCAGGACCTCCCCTCTCCATTGCCTTTTACCTAGGATTGTGCCAGAGTTCCAGGGTGCTCACGTGCTCGTGTAGTGCTCTCCCATATTGCATCAGAATTGGCCTGTGTAACTAATAGAATACAGGGGATGTGACTGTGTTGTGAATGTTTTGGGAGAGGGTAATGAAAATGTTCTAAAATTGTGGCAATGGTTGCACAACTCTGTGAAAATACTAAAGACTTTTGAATTATGTACTTTAGATAGGTGAATTATAACACGCAAGTATATACAAAATATATAAATTATAGCACATTACTTGAATTTAATAAAGATGTTATTAAAAAACAAATTCATTTATGTTGTTAAAGATGAGAATAGGGGCTGGGCGTGGTGGCTTATGCCTGTAATCCCAGCATTTTGGGAGGGCGAGCCTGGTGGACCATCTGAGGTCAAGAGTTCGAGACCAGCCCGGCCAACATGGTGAAACACTGTCTCTACTAAAAATACAAAAATTAACCCGGATGTGGTGGCAGGCACCTGTAATCTCAGCTCCTCAGGAGGCTCAGATATGAGAATCGCTGGCACCCAGGAGGTGGAGGTTGCAGTGAGCCGAGATCCCGCCACTGTACTCCAGCCTGTGTGGTAGAGCCAGACTCTGTCTCCCCCACCAAAAAAAAAAAAAAAAAAAGAGAAATCAGAATAGGAATTTTCTCTGGAGTAAGGGGTGATTGGTTCAGAAAGGCTACAAGAGAAACTTTGGGGTGCTGGAAATGTTTTATAACTTGATTTTGGTGGTGATTACATAGTTATATACCTATGAGAAAATAATCAAGATGTACACTTAAGATTTGTTCACTTTTATATAGGAATACTATGCCTCAATCCTTTTTTGTTTTTTGAGACAGGGTTTCACTCCCGTCTCCCAGGCTGGAGTGCAATGGTGCTATCTCGGCTTACTGTAATTTCTGCTTCCCGGGATCAAGCGATTCTCCTGCCTCAGCCTCCCAAGTAGCTGGGACTAAAGGCGCACACCACGGTGCCCGGCTAATTTTTTTTTTTTTTTTTTTCGTAGAGACAGGTTTTTGTCATGTTGTCATGGCTGGTCTCAAACTCCTGGGCTCAAGCAATCTGCCCACCTTAGCCTCCCAGAGTGTTGAGATTACAGCCTGGGCGACAGAGTGAGACTCCATCTCAAAAAAAAAAAAAAAAAAAAAGAAGAAGAAGACAAAGATGTTTTTTGCCCAAAACAAACCCGAGAGAATTAGTTACCCGCAGTCTTGAACCATAAGAATTATTTACAGGGGTTGTCCAGGCTGAAGGAAACTGATAGGAAGCATGCAACTACAAAAAGGAATGAAGAGTGTAAGAATGGATAAGTAATGTGGAGGAAAAGAAACAAATATTAGGCTGGGCATGGTGGCTCACACCTGTAATCCCAGCACTTTGGGAGGCCGAGGCAGGCAGATCACTTGAGGCCGGGAGTTTGAGACCAGCCTGGCCAAGATGGTGAAACCCTGTCTCCACTAAAAATACAAAAATTAGCTGGGTGTGGTGGTGTGCACCTGTAATCCCAGCTACAGGGGAGGTTGAGGCCAGAGAATCGCTTCAACCCAGGAGGTGGAGGTTGCAGTGAGCCAAGATTGGGCCACTGCACTCCAGCCTGTTGGCAGAGTGAGACATTATCTCAAAAAAAAAATTATATATATATATATATATATATATATATATATATATATATATATATATAAAAGCTGGGCATGGTGGCTCACGCCTATAATCCCTAGCACTTTGGGAGGTTAAGGTGGGAGAATTGCTTGAGTCCAGGAGTTTGAGATCAGCTGGGCAACAAAATGAGACTCCATCTCTACAAAAAATTTAAAAATTAGCTGGGTGTGGTGGTGCATGCCTGTGGTCCCAGGTATTCCAGAGGCTGAGGAAGGAGTGAGGTAGGAGGCAGGACTCCACTCCAAAGGTGGGGACTTGGACACCGGACCAATTTGAGGACACCTAAAACAGGGACAGGATGGAAGCGGCTTTCCAAAAGACATGCCTACCAGTGTGCCATGTCAGTTTACCATTGCCATGGCAACACCTGGGAGTTACTGCCCCTTTCCATAGCAATGACCTGATTACCCCAAAGTTACTATCCCTTCGCTAGAAATTTCTGCATAAACTTCCCCTTATTTTCTATGTAATTGAAAATAGGTATGAATGTTACCACAGAACTTCCCTGAGCTTCTGCTTCCAGCACACGGCCTATGGGGTAGCCCTGCTCTGCAGGAGCCGTTGTGGAGCTACAACACTGCCCAAGTTGCAACACTGCTGCTTCGATAAAGCTGTTTTCTTCTACCCTAGCACTGGCTCGCCCCAGAGAAGCCAAGAGCCCTGCGGGCTAAGCCTGACTTTGGGGCTCACTTTTCCTGCATCAGCAGGATTGCTTGAGCCCAGGAGTTTGAGACCAGCCTGGGCAACAAAGCGAGATCTTCCTTCTCTACAAAAAAAACTTTTTGTTAATTGGCTGGGACTACTTGGCAAAATAAAACCACAATGAAATAACACTTCACAATTACTAGAATGGTTAAAATTAAAAAGGCAATACTAAATGTTGCCAAGGAAGTACAACAACTGGAACTCTCACACGCTGCTGGAGGATGTTAACAATACCTTTGGAGAACTGTTTATAACATTAAATGAACATCTACCCTGTGACTCAGCAATTTTGTTCCTAGATATTTATACAAGAGAAATGAAGGCTGGGTGTGGTGGCTCACACCTGTAATCCCAGCAATTTAGGAGGCCGAGGCAGGCAGATCACCTGAGGTCAGGAGTTCCAGACCAGCCTGGCCAGCATGGTGAAAACCCATCTCTTAAAAATACAAAAATTAGCCAGGCGTGGTGGTGTGCACTTGTAATCTCAGCTACTTGGGAGGCTGAGGCAGGAGAATCGCTTGAACCTGGGAGGCAGAGGTTGCAGTAGACCAAGATTGCACCACTGCACTTTAGCCTGGGTGACAGAGCGAGACTCCATCTCAAAATAAAAAAAAAAAAAAAAAAAAGAGAAAGTATATGTCCACATCCACACAATGATGTATACAAAAATGTTTATGGCAACTTTATTTAAAAAGCCCCAAATGGGAAAAGAAAAAGAAAAAAATAAATAAAATTTTTAAAAAGCCCCAAATGGGAAATAACCCAAATGTTCATCAAAAGGAGAATGGGTAAACAAACAAATCATGGTATATGCATACAATTTAATATCACCTAACAATCAAAAAGAATGAGCTACTGATACACTCATCCACATTTTTAAAAGAACCCATTACGTTAATGAAAGAAGAAGGCCTAATGAGTACTTACTGTGTGTCTCCATTTATATGAAACTCAAAGACAGACAAAATTGTTCTATGGTGATGGAAATCAGAAAGTGGAGACAGAAGAGGGAAATTAGCCCAGAAAATAAATGATACACTGTTTATAAGAGCACATTCTAAATATATACACTGAAAAGTTGAAAATAAAAGTTTAGGTAAAGATACACCATGTAGATACTAACCAAAAGGAAGCTGATGTGGTTATATTAACACAAGAAGTATTGCAAGAGATAGAAGAGGGATGTTTCTGTTAGGAGTGGTGGCTCAAGCCTGTAATCCCAGTACTTTAGGAGGCTGATGTTGCAGATAGCTTGAGATCAGGAATTTGAGACCAGTCAAATACAGACCTTTTTCAGGCATTTTGCTTCCCAAAATAAAATTGTAGTTCTATTCCTGAAAAGTAGATACTGTAGGAGAATGGGTATTGTGCAGGCAATTATCATTCACTGTTAGAAAGTTCAGAATGCAAAGAAATAGACACCAGATACTGTACACCTCCTGACACAATGCAATAGAATTCATAGTACCACCTATTAAACAGTCTTTTAAAAATTAAATCTCAATTTAATTAAGACTTCAGATATTTCTTTCATACCACAGAAATATGGGGATAGAGGAACAAGTTAAATGACACCGTGAGGAAACAGCCAGCCAAATCCTCTAGAGAGTAGGACATTTTACCAGACAACTGATCTCATTTCTTCAACAAATCAATGACAAGATAAAAAAGAGGAGGCAGGGCTGGTTGTGGTGGTTCATGCCTATAATTCTAGCACTTTGGGAGGTCGAGGCAGGTAGATGACTTGAGGTCAGGAGTTCGAGACCAGCCTGGCCAACATGGCAAAACCCTGTCTCTACTAATAATACAAAAATTAGCTGGGCATGATGGCATGCACCTGTAGTCCCAGCTACTCAGGAGGCTGAGAGAGAAGAATCGCTTGAACCCAGGAGGTGGGGGCTGTAGTGAGCTGAGATTGTGCCACTGCACTCTGGTGTGGGTGACAGAGTGAGACTGTCTCAAAAAAAGAAAAAAAAAAAAAGGAGGAGGCTATACTTTAAATTGAAAGGGACTTAAAATATGCTTCAATGGTAGAACAACCTAATATAATAAGACCTATTTAAATTCTGATTTGAACAAACTAACTATAGAAATATACTTTCTACTATCTCAGGGGCATTAGAATATGGACTAGGTTTTATGAATGACATTAAGGAATTTAATTTTGCTAGACTGCTAAATAATAGTTGTTTATCAAATGTTCTTATTTTAAAGATGCAGCCTTAGGTTTTGTGGGGAGGAGTGAAAAGATATACTGTCTGGGATTTATTTTAAAATACTCTAGCCAAGAAAAAGTGGGGGAGAGGCATAGGGAGTGTTAGATGAAACAAGTATAGTGAAATATTGATGGTTGTTTAAGCTGGATGATAGATATTGTTTTCCCAATAAGTTGAAAGAAAAATAATAAAAGGAGGGTTTGTAACTATATGTTCTTGTTTTGTTTTTTAGAGACAAGATCTCACTATGTTGCCCAGGCTATTCTTGAACTCCTGGGCTCAAGTGATACTCCTGCCTCAGCTTACTGAGTATTTGGACTACAGGCATGCGCCACCATGCCCAGCTAATTTTAAAAAAACCTTTTCTTTGTGTGGAAACAGGGTCTTACTATGTTATTCGGACTGATCTCAAACTCCTGACCTCAAGTGATCCTCCTGCCTCAGCCTCCCAAAGTGCTGGGACTACAGGCATGAGCCATTGTGCCCAGCCGCTATATAGTCTTTATCTTCTACTCAGGATCACCATTATGTAATAACCAGATGTCACCCCTACTGGAGTCTCAGCTGTCCATTTGGTGAGGTCTGCTCTGTGAGTCATCTTACAGTCTGAGCTGAACCTGACACTCTCCCATCTTTTCAGGAGATGTATTCATTTGTGAGGGCTGCCATAACAAAGTCTTGCAAACTGAGAGGCTCAGAACAACAGAAATTTATTTGTCTCAAAATTCTGGAGCCTAGAAGTTCAAAATCAAGGTGTTGGCAGGGCCATGCTCCCTCTGTAACTGTAGGGAGAGGATCCTTTCTTGCCTCTCCCTGGCTTCAGGTGGTTTGCTGGGAATCTTGGGATTCCTTAGCTTGTGAGTGCTTTGCTCCAATCCCTTCTTCACATCATAGCTGTCTTCCTTCTATGTGTCTGCCCCGTATCCAAATTTCTGTTTGTTTTTTTTTGTTTTGCTTCTGAGACCATGCATTCTGAATTCAGTCGAATTCAGAATGCATTCATAAGGACCTATGTAATAATCTCATTTTAACTTGATTATCTCTGTAAAGACCCTATTACCAAATAAGGTCACATTGCAGGTTCAGGCTCTTTAATATATCTTTTTTTGGGAAGTTGGGGGAGGACACAATTCAACTGAGAAAAGAAAAACAGCTCAGGCTGGTTTGAGCTTTATGAGGTTTGCAACATTCATCAGGCCCAGAGAGACCTGAGTACTGGACTTCAGCCGGGATCCTCCCCTCCTCCCTTCCTCTCACTAATGCCCGGGGGCAGTTGTTTAAAGGCATTCTGTTCCTGAGCAGCTGCCTCGTGCATTATCTTCATTCATATTCCTGAGGTTTGAGATACAAAGAACAAGGAATAGGCAGTGGATAGTTTATGTTGGCTGGCCCCGGTGGCTCACACCTGTAATCTCTGCACTTTGGAAGCTGAAGCGGGAGGATTGCTTGAGGCCAAGAGTTTGAGACCAGCCCAGGCAACATGGTGAAACCACGTCTCTACAAAAAATACAAAAAATTAGCTGGGCGTGGTGGCACTCACCTGTAATCCCAGCTACTCAGAAGGCTGAGATGGGAGGATTGCTTGAGCCCAGGAAATCAAGGCTGCAGTGAGCCGTGATTGCATCACTGCACTCCAGCCTAGGCAACAGAGCAAGACCCTGTCTTTAAAAAAAAGTTTGTCATTTTAATGTTTTGTTTTGTTTTGTTTTTTTGAGACGGAGTCTCGCTCTGTTGCCCAGGCTGGAGTGCAGTGGCGCGATCTCGGCTCACTGCAAGCTCCGCCACCCGGGTTCATGCCATTCTCCTGCCTCAGCCTCCCAAGTAGCTGGGACTACAGGCGCCCGCCACCATGCCTGGCTAATTTTTTTTGTATTTTTTTTAGTAGAGACGGGGTTTCACCGTGTTAGCCAGGATGGTCTCGATCTCCTGACCTCGTGATCCGCCTGCCTCAGCCTCCCAAAGTACTGGGATTACAGGCGTGAGCCACCGCACCTGGCCAGTTTGTCATTTTAATGTAAATTATTGGTAAACAACTTAGGAACTGACCCTCTTTTCCTTCAAACACCTACTTGTAGGCCCAGCATGGTGGCTGACACCTGTAATCCCAGCACTTTGGGAGGTCGAGGTGGGTTGATCACTTGAGGTCAGGCGTTCGAGACCAGCCTGGCCAACATGGTGAAACCCCATCTCTACCTGAAAATACGAAAATTAGCCAGGTGTGGTGGCACGTGTCTGTAATCCCAGGTACTAGTTACCTGGAAGGCTGAGGCAGGAGAATCACTTGAATCTGGGAGGCGGAGATTGCAGTGAGCTGAGATCACGCCACTGCACTCCAGCCTGGGCAACAGAGTGAGACTCCATCTCAAACAAACAAACAAACAAACAAACAAACAAAAAAGCAATGCCTACTTGTAACTGCTGCTAATCAGAGTGAATGTTCAGGGCAGCGTGAATCTACGCTTCCAGGTTACAGCCCTCAAACTTGACCCAAATAACCTTTCTACTTATACTGATTTTGCTTTTTTTCCTTTAGGTTGACAGCACAAAAGTTTATCCTCATTGCACTCTGTGGATGCTTCTCCCATTTGACATGTTCACTTCCTCTTATAACCCAAGAGGACTGACAAGGATGGTGTTTAGTTCTGACTTTCCTTTCTCCTTTGGGGCACTGAGCTGTAAACTCCTTCTATTTTCTAACGAAATGTTATGAAGACGCGACCAAACAAATTTTTCTTTTTTTTTTGAGACAGAGTCTTGCTCTGTTGCCCAGGCTGGAGTGTGGTGGCATGATCTTGGCTCACTGCAACCTCCACCTCCTGGGTTCATGCAATTCTCATGCCTAAGCCTCCAAAGTAGCTAGGACTACAGGCATGCACCACCATGCCTGGATAATTTTTTGTATTTTTTGGTAGAGATGGCGTTTCACCATGTTACCCAGGCTGGTCTCAAACTTCTGGACTCAAGTTATCTGCCCCCCTCAGCCTCCCAAACTACTGGGATTACAGGCATGAGCCACCGTGCCCAGCCACAAACAAAAATTCTAACAACACAGAGAAAAAAGGAGACAGAAGGGTACGTCATGCTTTTGCACCTGCCTTTTATAACTTAGGTTATTTCCTGGGGATGGAACATCTTGAGCTAGCAGTGCCGTGCTCTTCTGGTGGCAGCTTGTGGAGTCTGTCTGCCCCTACGATAAGGAAGCAAATGGCCAAGGAGTCCCCTCTCCTGCTCTGCAGGTTAAGACTCCCCTGACTCCATATGCCTTGGTCACATGTATCAGCCAAAGTCCCTGTAGGAAGTGGACAGCATGTTTAAATTTGGATGAATGGGCTGGGTGCAGTGCCTCACACCTGTAATCCCAGCACTTTGGGAGGCTGAGGTGGGTGGATTACGAGGTCAAGAGATCGAGACCATCCTGGCCAACATGGTGAAACCCCGTCTCTACTAAAAATACAAAAATTAGCTTGTCATGGTGGCGTGTGCCTATAGTCCCAGCTACTCGCGAGGCTGAGGCAGGAGAATCACTTGAAGCCGGAAGGCAGAGGTTGCAGTGAGCCGAGATTGCACCACTGCACTCCAGCCTAGCGACAGAGCGAGACTCTGTCTCAAATAATAATAATA
This sequence comes from Homo sapiens, assembly GCF_000001405.40. Lineage (NCBI taxonomy): Eukaryota > Metazoa > Chordata > Mammalia > Primates > Hominidae > Homo > Homo sapiens. The sequence continues at coordinate 9,620,283 of NC_000003.12, read as the reverse complement.
ATAATAATAATAATAATAATAATAATAATTTGAATGAATGGAAGAAAACCTGATAAGGGGACTAGCTACAAAGGTGTGAGTCAGGTGTAGGGAAAACAGAAGTGTGATGCCTGTGACTAGTGACAGAAGCAGTTGACGCAGGATTTTTTTTGGTGCTGCTTTGCCAGCCAGAGACCTCTGCAGCCAGCGACACTTCTACACGGGTGGGAGGCACCCCGCCCACTCAGCTTTGTGGGCTGCACTTGACTTGCACCCCAGCCTGGATCCCGCACTCACTGTGGGATCTGTGCTTAGCCTGCAGCTGGACTGGGTGTCCCATGACCCTGCTTCTGCCTTGGGCATCAGTATTTGGATGAGGGGAACACAGTGGCACCCGAAAGCTTTGGTGATGCCAGCAACTGTGGAACCCCAAAGAGGCTGTTACAGCAAGTTACAGCTCTGGCTTGGGGAAACCCCAAGGTCTGGGGCCCCAGAAGGGTCCTGGCTCTTCTCTCCTTCCTACCACCTGCAGCACAGCGCATGAGGTTGGGGACAGAGCATGTCTGAGCCCATTTGTGTTACAGCTCGTTCAGTCCCACCGACCCACACTGGACTGCAGCTCCTGGGCTGACCCAGCACTGCTTCTGCTTCCCATCATGTGAGGTGGCCTTCCGGCACCAGCAGAAGGCAGAGAGCTACAGTGTTACAACTCTTTTTGTACTTGCATTTGGTGGGTCCCAGGTTCTTGTCCTGCATCCAAGAAGAATGAGGTTATGCTGACAACTGGAGGGTGAGTAAGATGGAGATGAATTTTATTGAGCAATGACACAGCTCTCAGCAGAGAGGGGACCCAAAGTGGGCAGCCCCTACCCAAAAGTGAGTAGTCCCCCACCCAAAGGTGAATAGTCCCAAAGTGTGGCTGAGTCTGGGGTTTTTATGGGCTCAGAATTGGGGGGGTGTGTGCTGATTGGGTTGTGAGTATGCAAAAAAGACTAAAAAAAAGGCACCACTCAAAGATGGGCATGACAGTGTAAAAAACCAATTAGGGAAGAGTAGGTATATATAAAATGGGTGAAGGATGGGGACAATGAGGGGAAAGTGCACCAAACGGGAAGAGAGTTTCTCAATTCAGTTCGTGGATTTATCAGAGACTTGTAGGTTGGTTTTCAGGCTTTAAACTCTCTTTGGCTTGAAGTTTGGGTTTCACCAGGGACCCGCCCCTATCTACCTAAGAATCTGTCACCCTTCTGCCACTATCACTGTTACCATTCCCATAGCTAAGGGCATGCAGTGAACAGTTATGTGAGTCATGTAGAGAGGAAGCCTTGATGGGTCAAGACCCAGCCAGCTCAAGGTGACCTGGGGAGGAAACTGGGGAGATAGATACCCCCACCTTAATCTCATTCCTCCCTCCACTCCCCTCTCAGTTCTTACCTTCGACTGAACACCACTGGAAGGCAGAGGGCATGGAAGTCTTTAATGAGGACCATGGAGGTCAGTCTCCAAGGGCTGCAGAGAGTAGCAGGGGAGGGTGGAGAGTGGATCTGCGGGGGAAGATGGAAGACATTAGGCCCATCTTCTCTCTCCTGGAAAACTGCAGTCCCCTCCTCTGTGCTCTTTCTAACTCCATAGCTGACTCCCCCTTCCCAAGCCATCTTCTACTCAGGCACCAGAGTGTTCTTTCTGAAAAGCAGATCACATCAAATCACAGCCTCTTTAAAAAGAGCACTCCACCACCTGTTTTTGGATGAAGACTCCTTAGCCTACCATCAAGGCTCTTTCCAACATGGGCCTGCTAACCTTTGGAGAGGCCATGTGCTTCCTAGGAGGCAGGCGCTGGGCCCAGCACCAAGGAGTGGATAAAGATCATTCCAAACTAGTCATGGTGGTTTGATTCCCTCAATTATGACTCAGGCATGGGCAGATAACACACTCCTGGCCAATGGAACACAAGGGGAAGTCTGCTGGGGGCTTCTGAGAAAGGTTTCCTTGTTGGTAGAAAAAGATGCCATTTCTTCTTCATTTGGAAGTTATCACACATGGAATTGAAGGAGGTATCTTACAACCATGAGGACAGCTAAGACATGTGGCAGTGGACAGAGTAAAGACATGAAGAGAACCTGAGTCCTTAATGGTATCACAGAGTTGCTAACTTAACCAGTCTGGACACCATCTACCTCTCCTTATCTTGTTATGAGATCTACTAAATTGTCTTTACTGTTTAATCCAGTTCAGTTGAAAATATCCTAATTTAATCAGTATGCCAGGCACTTTCAATTTTTGTGCCTTTGGATAGACTGGTGTCCTTTGACTAGAATGCCTTTATTGTGCTTAATGCACGAACTCCTATGCATCCATCAGAACCCCTCTCCATTGTCATCTTGCCTGTAGAACCGTATTTTCTTCCTTTGGGGGTTTAATTACTGCCTCCTTTGTAACTCCTATGTGCACCTGTGACACTAGAAATTGGCTTTTTCTAGTTTTCTTTTTTCCCTTTTTCCTACTTCAAGAGAGCAACCAAGTCACTGCAATCTGAAGGCTGGGGTTTATCTTGTCCCAAGGACAATTAACTGGCTTAAAAAAAGTTTTTATGGAGGAAATTTTGAACATATACAAAAGTAAAGAGAATAGTAAAATGACTATTGGATCTATCACCCAGCCTTAATAATGATCAATATTTTGTCAGTCTTATTTCCTCTATCCCCACACTTTAAAAAAAAATATAGAGTATTTTAAAGCATATCTTAGGCTTCATATAATTTCACCTATTAATACTTCAGAATACATTTTTAAATAATAAGTTGAGGTTAAAAACAAACCTTGATGATTGGAGCTTTTGCTTTTTAAGGCTTAACGTAATGGTTTATTAACGTATTTAAAAAATATTTACAAGCTCCCACTGGGTGCCAGGCCCTTTCTTGGCTCTGCTGGTATTGTGGCAAACAAGGAAGAGAAAACCCACATTTTCTTGGAGCTATACAAGGAAACACACTATGAACAAGATAATTTCAGAGAGTGATCAACAAAATGAGGAAATAAGACAGGGTCAGTCATGTGCCCATGACTGGGGCACGGAGGATATTTGTCTTTCTGTGCTTGGCTTATTTCACTTAGCGTAATGTCCTCCAGTTACTTGCTTCTTCCGTGCTAAAAAGTACCTGCTTCCAAGGGCCCTGGGAAGGAAGAAATGGTTGAACAGATCTGGAGTACTGGTTACGGATCCAGGCACCCAGTAAGAGCTACATGTGGGAAGGAAAAAGCAAAACCTTTCTGAGGAGGCAACTTTTGAGCTGAAACCTGAATGAGGAGAAGGAATAGCTCTTTGAAGATCTGCAAAGAGCCTTGGAGTAGCGAAACGCAGGAGAAAAGGCCCTGAGGCAGAGCTGAAGAGACCAGAATGAGAAGAACCAAGCCACAGTTTTTTTTTTTTCCTTTTTTCCACAGGTTCTAAAAAGCCACAGTTGTTTTTGTTTTTGTTTTTGTTTGAGGAAGGGTCTCACTCAGTTGCCTGCGCTGGAGTGCAATGGCACGAACTTGGCTCAATGCAACCTCTGCCTCCCGGGTTCAAGCGATTCTCCTGCCTTAGCCTCCTGAGTAGCTGGGATTACAGGCACACACCATCACACCCAGCTAATTTTTCATAGTTTTAGTAGAGATGCGGTTTCACTACGTTGGCCAGGCTGGTCTTGAACTCCTGCTCTCAAGTGATCTGCCTGCCTCAGTCTCCCAAAGTGCTGGGATTGCAGGCATGAGCCACCACGCCCGGCCCAAGCCACAGTTTTATATGACTGAAAGTCAACACAGTCTTAAAGATGACTGAAGTTAATTATTGTGAATTGTCTGTCTCAGGGTTTTGTTCATAGAGTTGTCATTTTCGAAGATTAAAATGATACATAATGTATAAATAATTGAGTATTTATTCTATTAAATTTATTTTTCTTGCTATCTTGTCAGAAACATTATTATGTTAAGTCAAGTTATTCACCTAATTTGTGTCCTATTGACAGTAATGATCATAGAGTTAAAAATTATATTTAAAGTACGTAAAATGTGAATCTATTTTCATTAAGTGTAATTAAAGTAAATGTGAAATATTAAAATTTAAAAGTTGTTTATTTGTTTTCCCAAAAGTTATTTCTCTTCTAAAATATGCAAAATTAGCTGGGCTACAAAAACAACTTAAAATATGCAAAATTATTAAAATTAAAAGGCAAATAGAATTATAATAAATGAATGTTAAATTTCAAAATTAAAGTTTAAAAAACAAATCTGAATTTATTTTTTGAAAGTTTAATTAAATATCATTAGTGCTTTTTCTTTTTGCTTTTGAGACAGGGTCTTGCTCTGTCACCCAGGCTGGGGTGCAGTGGTACAAACACAGTTCGCTGCAGCCTCAAACTCGTCGACTCAAGAGATCCTCCTGCCTCAGCCTCCCAAGTAGCTGAGACCACAGGTACATGCCACCACATTCAGCTAATTTTTAATTTTTTTGTAGAGATAGGGTCTCTCTGTGTTGCTGAGGCTGGCCTCAAACTCCTGGCCCCAAGCGATCCTCCTGCCTTGGCCTCCCAAAGAGCTGGGATTACAAGCATGAGTTACTGCACCTGGCCTTCCTTTCTCTTTTTTTAGAGAACGGAATCTCACTAAATTGCTCAGTCTGGAGTGCAGTGGCTATTTATAGGCACAATCATAGCACACTGCTGCTTCTAAGTCCTGGATTCAGGGGATCCTCTCGCCTCAGCCTCCTGTGAGTAGCTGGGACTATGGGCATGCACCACTGCACCCAGCTAAATAGTTTTAGAAACCTAAAACCATTTGCAATTATACTTGCAATGCCAGTGCCCATCTAGCTGCCAATGTAAATAACCGGTATCACGTTTCACTCACATTATATCTAGACGAACTGGTACGCAAAGTTAAGAGTAATAACATTCTCAATATTGCAAAATATTCCTCAGTTACCATGTGTAATGCTTGTGAGTATAGAGCTAATTTGTGAGTACTTCTGGAACCACAAATTGGAATATAGAGAGCAGTGAGAATTGTACTTCTGACACAACTGGGGAAAATGCTTCATTGTGCAAGAGTCTACTCGAAGAACAGAAAACCAAATACCACATGTCCGCACTTACACTGAGCACACATGGTCACAAAGAAGAGAACAACAGGCTGGGCATGGTGGCTCACACCTGTAATCCCAGCACTTTGGGAGACTGAGGTGGGTGGATCACCTGAGGCCAGGAGTTTGAGACCAGCCTGGCCAACATGGTGAAACCCCCATCTCTACTAAAAATACAAAAAAATTAGCCAGGCATGGTGGCCTGCACCTGTAGTCTCAGCTACTCGGGAGGCTGAGGCAGGAGAATTGCTGAAACCCGGGATGCGGAGGTTGCACTCCAGCCTGGGTGACAGAGTGAGACTTCGTCTCAAAAAAATAAATAAATAAAATAAAAAGAAAAGAAAAAAGAAAAAATAAGAGAACAATAGATATTGGGGCCTATTTGAGGGTGGAGGGTGGGAGGAGGGTGAGGATTGAAAAATTACCAATGGATATTATTATGCTGATTACCTGGGTGACAAAATTACCTGTACACCAAACCGCTGTGACATGCAATTTACTTGTGTAACAAATGTGCACCTGTACCCCTTGAACCTAAAAATGAAAGTTGGAAAGAAATAAACTTATTGCGTTTATTCTTTCTGAAGGGATGGATTTGGCAAATTTTTAATTCATATGTCTTCTCTCTTATCCAAGTGATTCCACCACTCAAATCCTCCCCATACCCTAAAACAGTGTCTGTCTTGAATGTAAGCAATGGCACAACCAACTGAAAGGCATTTGAATGCAGTCATCTTTTCCTTTTCTTTCTTTCTTTCTTTTTTTTTTTTTTTTGTTGTTGTTTTTTAGAGACAGGGTCTCACTCTGTTCCCCAGTCTGGAGTGTAGTGGCACAATCATGGCTTGCTGGGACATCAACCTCCTGGACTCAAGCAAGCCCCCCACCTCAGCCCCCCTCGTAGCTGGGACTACATGTGTGCACCACCACACCTGGCTAGTTTTTGTATTTTCGTAGAGATGGGGATTCACCATGTTGCCCAGGCTGGTCTCAAACTCCTGGGCTCAAGCCATCTGCCTGCCTCGATCTCCCAAAGTACCAGGATTACAGGTGTGAGCCACCATCCCCAACCTTGTCTTTAGAGATGTAGATAAGCATTTCCCTGGGGCCTGAATGGGGTTGGTCCTGAGAGTGGATATTTAGGGTTATGGGTTGAATGGTGCCAGTGCTGAGCACCAGATCACAAATGACAGAAGTGGCTTTACATAAATTTCACATATGTGTTTGTGAGATATGGAGCCCTCTAGAGCAGGAGCCAAGAGCAAGGGTCCCTCTCTCCTTGTTCTAAGGAGGTACTGCCATGTAGGAGTACCAGGCAAAGGCTGGAAGGAAGGAAGGCAGCCCAGAGTCTAGTGTAAGGAGCAGCGATTAGTCCACAACCTCAGATCTGGGGTACAGGAAGGCCGTATGTAGCAGAAGTCACTGCTCCTGGGAAACCCTCAAAGACCAGCAGGTGTCATTGAGGCATGTTTTCCTCATGAGTACTAATCCTACCATTGGGAGATTTCAACACAGTAAACACACACATTTCAACATAATTTGGGAGCAACTGAATGCTGGCGTTGTCAACGGTTTGTTAATCAATCGACTAATTAAGCAAGCACGTATGCAGTGCCTCTATGCGCACTATTCGCACTATGTAGGGCCTGGAAGGGAGCATTGCACAAGGTTAGGGAGTTCCTTGTTCATAGTCCTGCAGGCAAGGCACACAACAAATCCAGTGGGTAGACTTCCCAGGAAGAGCAGTTTGAGTCATATAGGAATGGATGGTTCTTCTGAAATCTCATCCACAGCAAATGTGGAGTAGGAGGCTGAGTTCCCCAGTGGATATCTCTCTCAGGACAGCTTCCTGAATCAGGGAGGGAATTAACTCTCCAGCCAGATTGATTTATGTTCTCAAGTTAATATTGCTAAATGGCATCCCCAGAGACAGTCTGCTGGAATTTCATTTGTATTGCTAATCAAGGGACTGTCTGGTGTACTACTTAATAACAAGCTCCACTCTGATAATTTCTGACCTCAAGATGGATGTTTTAGGCCCAGTTGATGCCCAGAAAATTACTTTCCTGATCCTCAAGTCCAATCCTTACAAATAACTGGGATGAGGAGAATGGAGGCAGAATGGCTCAAAGAAAAGAGCAGGGACTTTAGAGTCAGGCAGACCTGGAAGTGCTGGGCTTCTAGGCTGTGTGACCTTGAACAAGGCACTTCTATTCTCTGAGCTTCAGTTTCCTCATCTGTAAAATGGGGACCTTGGCATCTGTATCAGGCCATTCTTGCATTGCTATAAATACCTGAGACTGGTAATCTATAAAGAAAAGAGGTTTACTTGGCTCACAGTTCTGCAGGCTTTATAGGAAGCAGGTGCTGGTACCTGCTTAGCTTCTAGGGAAGCCTCAGGAAGCTTACAATCATGGAGAAGGCAAAGGGGGAGCAGGCACGTCACATGGTAAAAGCAGGAGAGATAGAGAGAGAGAGAGAGTGTGTTGGGGGCAGGGGGGGGTGCCACCCACTTTTAAATGACCAGATCTTTATCTGGTCACTATTATGAAGACAGCACCAACCCATGATGCATGTGCCTCCATGATCCAAACACCTCCCACCAGGCCCCACCTCCAGGATTGAGGATTACAATTCAACATGAGATTTGGGTAGGGACAAATATCCAGACTAAATCAGCATCTATTTCACTGGGTCAGTGAAAGGACTAAAGGCAACAATGCATTGTAAAGACCCAACATGAGGCAGGCAAAAACAGATGTTTCAGCCTGGCGTGCTGGCTCACACTTGTGATCGCAGCACTTTGAGAGGCCAAGGCAGGCGGATCATCTGAGGTAAGGAGTTTGAGACCAGTCTGGCCATTATGGTGAAACCTTGTCTCTACTAAAAATACAAAAATTAGCCGGGCGTAGTGGCAGGTGCCTATAATTCCAGCGAGTCGGGAGGCTGAGGTGGAAGAATCTCTTGAACCCGGGAGGCAGAGGTTGCAGTGAGCTGAGAGCACGCCATTGCACTCCATCCTGGGTGACAGAGTAAGACTCTGTTTCAAAACAAAACACCCCCCATCCCCCCCCCCCACACAAATGTTATTTTGTTCTTTCCTTCTGGCACAAAATGACAAAAAGAGTTAGGCTTTCTAAATAGGTTGGGTTTCTTGCTAGAGGTAATGCCTGGAATGTTAGTTAGAAAGGCAGGGATTCTTGAGACAGATTTGTTAAAAATAAATGAGGCCGGGCGTGGTGGCTCATGCCTGTAATCCCAGCACTTTGGGAGGCCGAGGCGGGAGGATCATGAGGTCAGGAGATCGAGGCCATCCTGGCTAACACGGTGAAACCCCGTCTCTACTAAAAATACAAAAAAACAATTAGCTGGGCGTGGTGGCAGGCACCTGTAGTCCCAGCTACTCGGGAGTCTGAGGCAGGAGAATTGCTTGAACCCGGGAGACAGAGCTTGCAGTGAGCCGAGATTGCACCACTGCACTCCAGCCTGGGTGACAGAGCGAGACTCCGTCTCAAAAAAAAAAAAAAAAAAACAGTCCTGTTTTATTTTAATTACAAAGGTAATACTGGGTGGGCACAGTGGCTCACTCCTGCAATACCAGTGCTTTGAGAGGTTGAGGTGGGAGGATCGCTTGAGGCCAGAAGTTACAGACCAGCCTGGGCAACATAGCAAGACCTTGTCTCTACAAAATAAATAAATAAAATTAGCAGGGTGTGGTGGTGTGCACCTGTAGTCTCAGCTACTAAGGAGGCTGAGGTGGGAGGATCACTTGAGCCCAGGAGTCGAAGGCCGCAGTGAGCTATGATGGCCCACTGCACTTCAGTCTGGGTGACACCCTGTCTCTAAGAAAAGAAAAAAAAATCTAATACTGAATTTCAGTCAGTATGGTGGACTGAATTGGTGACAAAATATCCTTTCTTTAGGTTTATACTCACAAAAATGTTTGGAAATATTACAAATGTTACTTGCAAAGTCATTTCCACCTCCTACCTGTCCTTTCTTTACACTGGGAGGGCTCACCCCCTCTATAGAGATGGGAAAATGCCAGGACTCACTTTCCCAGCACCTCTTGGGATCCCATCTGGAGGGGATGTAGGCAGCTTCCCCCATTCTGGCCATTGAGACCTCACGGAAAGTTTGCAAAGGGACTTCTGGGAAAAGTTTCCCTCAGTAATAAAAGAGATACATGGGAAGAAATGCCCCCCTCCTTTTCCCTCAGGTTGGCCATATCTGCCACAGCCATCTTGTGACCACGATGAAGAATATTGCAGGTAGACTGCAGAGTGAAAGATGGAAAGTTCTTGGGTCCTTGAGGTCATGATTGAGTCACAAAGTTAACCTGAGAATCCTAAATCTTTGCTACACGTACAGATACAAGGACAGTCAGAATCCATTACCCCACATTAGGATAAGCATCCCAAGTGAAGAAATAATCTTAAAAGATGTTCTAGAATTGGTGATACCCATCAGGTCCTGATAGATAAATTGTGAAATATCTCTGCAGAATATTTCTATAATCCAGGGCACATAGATTCCTGTGGGAAGGAGGCTTTGCTGAAGATAATCTTACAGTCAAAATTATTAAGCACACAAGGAAAGGAATGATTATTGGGGACATTCTACAAATGTCACAGATGAGCACATTTTTATCCCAACAACTAGAAATTTAAAATCTGAGAGAGGCTTTATAAATATGTTTAGAATGTTCAAAGAGCTAAAGGAGGTCAGGCGTGCTGGCTCACACCTATAATCCCAGCACTTTGGGAGGCTGAGGCAGGTGGATCACGTAAGGTCAGGAGTTGGAGACCAGCCTAGCCAACATGGTGAAATCCTGTCTCTACTAAAAATACAAAAAATTAGCCGGGCGTGTTGGCAGGCACCTGTAGTCCCAGCTACTCGGGAGGCTGAGGCAGGAGAATCGTTTGAACCTGGGAGGCGGAGGTTGCAGTGAGCCAAGATTTTGCCACTGTACTCCAGCCTGGGTGACAAGAGCAAGGCTCTGTCTCGAAAAAAAAAAAAAAATTAAATTAAGAGCTAAAGAAGACATAGAAATCATGGGCTAAAACAGAATGACATGAAAGAAAAACAGGTGGGAGAGACAACCAAATACAGTTAACCCACGAACAGTGCAGGGGTTGGGGCATTGACATAGCAACACAGTCAAAAATCTGCCTATAACTTTTTTTTTTTTTTTAAGAGACAGGGCCTCACTCTGTCACCCAGGCTAGAGTGTAGTGACATCATCATAGTTCTCTGCAGCCTTGAACTCCTGAGCTTAATAGACCCTCCTGCACCAGCCTCCTGAGTAGCTACGACTACAGGTGCACACCACCATGCCCAGCGAATTATTTTTAAAAGTCTTTTGTAGAGATGGGGGGTCTCACTATGTTGTCCAGGCTGGTCTTAAACTCCTGGCCTCAAGCGAATCTCCCATCTCAGCTTTCCAAAGCACTGGGATTATAGGCATGAGCCACTGTGCCCAGGCTGTTATGCTTATTATGTACTGTATTCTTACAATAAAGTAAGCTAGAGAAGAGAAAATGTTATTAAGAAAATCATAAGGAAGAGAAAATATATTTACTATTCATTAAGTGGAAGTGGATCATTGATATGGTTTGGCTGTGCCCCCACCCAAATCTCATGTTGAATTGTAGCTCCCATAATTCCCACGTGTTGTGGGAGGGACCCGGTGGGAGATAATTGAATCATGGGGTCAGTTTCCCCCATACTGTTCTCATGGTAGTGAATACGTCTCACAGGATCTGATGATTTTATAAGGGGAAACTCCTTTAGCTTGGCTCTCATTCTCTCTTGTCTGCCGCCATGTAAGACATGCCTTTCGCCTTCTGCCATGATTGTGAGGCCTCCCCAGCCACATGGAACTGTGAGTCTATTAAACCTCTTTTTCTTTTATTTTCTTTTTTTTTTTTTTGAGATGGAGTCTAGCTCTGTCGCCCAGGCTGGAGTGCAGTGGCACAATCTCGGCTCACTGCAACCTCCACCTCCTGGCTTCAAGCGATTCCTGGTTTAGCCTCCCGAGTAGCTGGGATTACAGGCGCCCACAACCATGCCCAGCTATTTTTTTTTTTTTTGTATTTTTAGTAGAGGCAGGGATTCACTGTGTTGGCCAGGCTGGTCTTGAACTCCTGACCTCATGATCCGCCCACCTTAGCCTCCCAAAGTGCTGAGATTACAAGCGTCAGCCACCATGCCCGGCCTTTTTTTTTTTTTTTTTTTTTTTTGAGACAGAGTCTCACTCTGTCACCCAGGCTGGAGTGCAATGGCGTGGTCTCGGCTCACTGCAACCTCCTGGGTTCAAGTGATTCTCCCACCTCAGCCTCCCGAGTAGCTGGGACTACAGGTGCATGCCACCACACGCTGCTAATTTTTGTATTTTTGGTAGAGATAGGGTTTCACTATGTTGGCCAGGCTAGTCTTGAACTCCTGACCTCGTGATCTACCTGCCTTGGCCTCCCAAAGTGCTGGGATTACAGGCGTGAGCCACTGCGCCTGGCCTAAACCTCTTTTTCTTTATAAATTACCCCAGTCCTGGCTGGGCGCGGTGGCTCACACCCATAATCCCAGCACTTTGGGAGGCTGAGGCGGGTGGATCACGAGGTCAGGAGTTCAAGACCAGCCTGGCCAAGATGGTGAAACCTCGTGTCTACTAAAAATACAAAAATTAGCCGAGCATGGAGGCAGGCGCCTGTAATCCCAACTACTCAGGAGGCTGAGGCAGAGAATTTCTTGAACCCCAGAGGCAGAGGTTGCAGTGAACCGAGATCCTGCCACTGCACTCCAGCCTGGGCAACAGAGTGATACCCCATCTCTAAATAAATAAATAACTCAGTCCTGGCTATGTCTTTACCAGCAGTGTGAAAACGGACTAATACAATCATCATAAAGATCTTCATCCTTTTTTTTTTTTTGAGACAGAGTCTCGCTCTGTCCCCCAGGCTGGAGTGCAGTGGCGCCATCTCGGCTCACTGCAAGCTCCGCCTCCCAGGTTAAAGCCATTCTCCTGCCTCAGCCTCCCGAGTAACTGGGATTACAGGCAGCTGCCAACATGCCCTGCTAATTCTTCGTATTTTTAGTAGAGAAGGGGTTTAGCTGTGTTAGCCAGGATGGTCTAGATCTCCTGACCTCGTGATCTGCCCGCCTCGGCCTCCCAAAGTGCTGAGATTACAGGCGTGAGCCACCGCACCCAGCCTCATCCTTGTTGTTTTTTTATTGAGAAGGCTAAGGAGGAGGAGGAAGAAGAAGGATTGGTCTTGATGTCTCAGAAGTGGCAGAGGCAGAAGAAAATCCACATATAAGTGGACTCACACAGTTCAAATTTGTCTTGTTCAAAGGTCAACTGTAGAAATTCTACAAGTGAAAAAATGTAATCACTGAAGTAAAATTTCATTGACCTAGGCATGATGCTGTACACTTGTAGTCCCAGCCACTCAGGAGGCTGAGGGAGGAGGATCACTGGAGCCCAGGAGTTTGAGGCAACAGTGTGTTATGATTGTGTCTGTGAATAGCCACTGCACTCCAGACTGGGCAACACAGTGAGACCCCGTCTTTATAATAAAATAAATAAATAAAATAATTAACATACCCGGACATGGTGGTGCATGCCTGTAATCCCAGCACTTTGGGAGGCTGAGGCGGGTGGGTCACCTGAGGTCAGGAGTTTGAGACCAGCCTTGCTGACATGTTGAAACCCTGTCTCTACTAAAAATACAAAAATTAATCGGGCATGGTAGCACATGCCTGTAATTCCAGATATTTGGGAGGCTGAGGCAGGAGAATGGCTTGAATCTGGGAGGGGGAGGTTGTAGTGAGCTGAGATTGCACCATTGTACTGCAGCCTGGGTGACAGAGCGAAACTCTTGTCTCAAAAAAAAAAGTCAATAGAACAATGAAAACAAAAGTTCACCGAATGAGTTATACAGACTAAATGTAGCTGATGAAGGCCAAGCATGGTGGCTCACGCCTGTAATCCCAGCACTTTGGGAGGCTGAGGTGGGAGAATCACTTGCGCCCATGATTTTGAGACTAGCCTGGGCCACAGAGTGAGATCTCATCTCTATTTTTATTTTATGTATGTATGTATGTATTTATTTATTTTTTGAGATGGCGTCTCACTCTGTTGCCCAGGTTGGAGTGCAGTGGCAAGATCTCGGCTCACTGCAATCTCTGCCTCCTGGGTTCAAGTGATTCTCCTGCCTTAGTCTCCCGAGTAGCTGGGATTACAGGCATATACCACCATATCTGGCCAATTGTTTTTTCTTTTTTTTTTTTAAAGACGGAGTTTCGCTCTTGTTGCCCAGGCTGGAGTGCAATGGCATGATCTCGGCTCACTGCGACCTCTGCCTCCTGGGTTCAAGCGATTCTCCTGTCTCAGGCTCCCGAGTAGTTGGGATTACAGGCATGCACCACCACACACAGCTAATTTTGCATTTTTAGTAGAGATGGGGTTTCTCCATGTTGGTTGGGCTGGTCTCAAACTCCCAACCTCAGGTGATCCACCTGCCTCAGCCTCCCAAAGTACTGGGATTACAGGCGTGAGCCACTGCGCTCAGCATTTTTTTTGGTATTTTTAGTAGAGACAGGGTCTCACCATGTCGGCCAGCCTGGTCTAACTCCTGACCTCAGGTGATCTGCCTGTCTCGGCCTCCCAAAATGCTGGGATTACCGGCATGAGCCACTGCTCCTGGCCCCATCTCTATATTTAAAAATAAATTTTAAGAACTATAGGTAAAGGAAACAATAATCAATTTGAAGATGGGTCTGAACGAATTATCTAGAATGTAGCCTAGAGAGATATAGAACAGAGTTAGTAGTTAGGAGATGTGAAGAACTGAATAAGAAGGTCCATTATGCATATAATAGGAGCTCTAGAAGGAAAGAATAAAAAGAATGAGGGAGGAGAAGAAGCCAAGAGGGTTAACTATTTAAAGGTCCTTGCTGAAAGACATACTTCAAAATTAAGAAAGAAGAAAATTTAAACCCAAGTGATGAGTAGAATATGAGAATAAAAAATTAATAAATATTTTGTAAATCTAGCCAGGTGTGGTGGCTCATGTCTGTAATACCAGTGCTTTGGAAGGCCATGGCAGGAGGATCGCTTGAGCCCAGGAGTTTGAGACCAGCCTGGCCAACATAGCAAGACCCCATCCCTGAAAAAAATACATTTTAACTTATAGAATTCAGCCCTGGCAACATAGTGAGAGCTTGTCACTACTAAAAATTATAAAAATTAGCTAGGCAGGCATGGTGGTACATGCCTGTAGTCCAAGCTACTCAGGAGGCTGAGGTGGGAGGATCGCTTGGCCCTGGGAGGTTTAGGCTTCAGTGAGCAGACACAAATGCCATAAGTTGTATGACATAATTTATAAGAAATATCTAGAATACGTAAATCCATAGAAACAGAAAGAAAATTTTTAAGTTGCTAATCCTGGGGGGAGAAAGAAATGAGGATTGACTGTTTAATAGGTATGGGTTTTTGGGAGGGTGGTGATGAAAATACTTTGGAACTAGATTTAGGTGGTGGTTGCACATTTTGTATGTGATTGAAATTGCATGTGCAATGACTATGACAGTGAGAGAAGCCTAGCATGGCTAACTCCATCTCACGTCTAGCCTCACAGGATTTGTGACTTCCCCAGTTGTGCTTATAGATAACATCACTATTATAGAACCTAAGATTGGTCTTTTGAGATGTTTTTCAGATTTTTATATTCTGGCAACTAACTGACCCCATCTAGACCTGTGACTCATGACTCAGTTGGTCCTATGGACCCACCCACCAGAGGCAGACTCAGCACATGGGGACTGTTTTCCACATCCCTATGATTTTATCCCCAACCAGTCAGCAGCACCCATTCCCTAGCCCCCGCCTGCCAAATTATCCATAAAAATCCTAGCTTCTGAGTTCTCTGGAAGACTGATTTGAGTGATAACTTTAGTCCTTTTGCTCAGCTGTCTTGCATTAATTAATCTCTTTCTCTACTGCAATACCAGGGTCTCAGTGAATTGGTTTTGTCTGTGCAGCAGGCAGGAAGAAATCATTGGGCGATTACATGCTGAATACCCCTGAATTGTACACTTTAAATTGTTGATTTTGCTATGTGATATAATCTAAATTTTTTAAAAGATAAAGAACCAAAAAGGGGACACCCCTACACATCCTAAAAGCATTAAAAGGAAAATAAGGGAATATTACCAAGAAACATATGGCTGTAAACTTGACAACTTAGATAAAGCAGACAAATTCCTTAAAAGACACAAACTGCCAAGCTCATTTAAGAAGAGATAACCTGAATTGTCCAATATCTGTAAAAGAAATTGGATTTTTTGTTGTTGAGATGGAGGTCTCACTCTGTCTCCCAGGCTGGAGTGCAGAGGCTTACTGCAGTCTCAACCTCCCTGGGCTGAGATGATCCTCCCACCTCAGCCTCCTGAGTAGCTGGGATTACAGGCATGTGCCATCATACCTGGCTAATTTTTGTGTTTTTTGTAGAGATGGGCTTTCCCCATGTTGCCCAGGCTGATCTTGAATTACTGGGCTCAAGTGATCCACCTGCCTCAGCCTCCCAAAGTGCTTGTATTACAGGCATAAGTTACTGTGCCCAGCCAGAAATTGGATTTCTAGTTTTAAAAATTCTAACTAAATAGGGTTGGGCGTGGTGGCTCACGCCTGTAATCCCAGCACTTTGGGAGGCCAAAGTGGGCAGATCACGAGGTCAGGAGATCGAGACCATCCTGGCTAACACGGTGAAACTCCATTTCTACTAAAAATAGAAAAAATTAGGTGGGCGTGGTGGCAGGCGCCTGTAGTCCTAGCTATTCGGGAGGCTGAGGCAGGAGAATGGCATGAACCCGGGAGGCGGAGCTTGCAGTGAGCCGAGATTGCGCCACTGCACTCCAGCCTGGGGGACAGAGCGAGAATCCATCTCAAAAAAAAAAAAATTCAAACAAAATAAACTGCAGGGCTAGATAGCTTCACTGCTAAATTGGTTCAGATATTTGTTTATTTCCTTTTACTATTTTTTTGCACCATAAAAAAAAAAACCAACAACCAGTCACATACTTCTTTTCCTCACATTCATATGGGTTTTAGAAAATTATTGCCTTTTCCCCTGCAGAAATAACCCACAGACAAAAAAAAAAAAGTAGTACCACATTGCAAAATCTACAAATCCCAGAAATGAGTAGTTTGAAGACAACCCTCAGGGTCAGGGAGGGAAACAACTGTAGTAAGAGACCAAGCATATAGGACAGCAAGCTGAGGAAACCATTGTGTTCAACACCACTGACCTAGAACACACAGCAGGTACCCCCTCCCTCCTGGCACCCACTGCCGCCGCCTGAAAGGTATAAGTTTTTTGTTTATGATCTGAAAAACACTTTTCCCAAAGAGTTGCTTCATTTGAGAAAAGGGGTAAAGAGAAGAGAAGAGGTGTAATGAGACGTGTTGTAAAGTATGAATAAGAATCATGCCAGGCCGGGCATGGTGGCTCATGCCTGTAATCCCAGCACTTTGGGAGGCCGAGGCGGGCGGATCACCTGAGGTTGGGAGTTTGAAACCAGCCTGACCAACATGGAGAATCCCCGTCTCTACTAAAAATACAAAATTAGTGGGCTTGGTGGTGCATGCCTGTAGTCCCAGCTACTCGAGAGGCTGGGAGAATCGCTTGAACCCGGGAGGTGGAGGTTGTGGTGAGCCGAGATTGCACCATTGCACTCCAGCCTGGGCAACAAGAGCGAAACTCCGTCTCAAAATAAATAAATAAATAAATAAAGAATCATGCCAAACTCAAAGGTCAGGGAATAACCCATGATGAAAAAGAAACCCAGGAAAGCCAACGCCTTGCTACTTTAACCAACTGCCTCCATTGGACCCAAGAAAGAATCTTAAAAACATGTCAGGGTTTAAATCAGTGCATATATCATGCCCCTACAAACCCTGCAGGGTTACCTTCCTGGCTACATGGTGATCAGCTTATGCCCTGAAGCAACAGAGACAGACAGTGAGACTGCCAAAGTTCAGAAAAGAAGGTGGAAATTGTGCTTCCTTCCAAATGAATTGGTTTCCCAACTGCCTTTTCTCCTTGTCCAGCAACTTATTTCTCCCATGCTGCTGCAGGGTATTTATTGCCTTACGCTTTAAATGAAAAGGCGAACTTTGAGGTGCAAGGACTGGGCAGTCCTGAGAGGGCAGGGGGTCTGGATGCACAGTAGTCAGCACATGCTGTGCTCCCATAATGGCTTGGCCCTCCTTTGGTGTTTTGAGAACCTACCCTGAGGTCAGCCTGAAGTTCATTTGCAAGCCTGGTGAGCACTCACTATCTCACTGGGGCAGTGTGACAGAGTGAGGTCTTCAGTATTGCACTGGGATGAAGTGTCCACGAGTCTTAGAAACAAAAGTCACAGTTGCTCTTGGGGTTGGGCTGGTTCCTCCATCCCAGTTTTAGCAGGATGTGGCTGTGGCCACAGGGATCCTGCTGAACTCTTAGACTGTCCGGTGGGTGGGCACCAGTGCCAGCACCGGGGAAGGGAATGTGCAGTAGGCATCCTGCAGGCCTGGGCTCAGTATCTGCAAATGACCTTCAGTGAAGAGCCTGCTGCCTCGCTTGGCAAGAGGGAGGCTGGGGGTGGGCGTGGAGGGTGGGATCTCAGATTCCTTCTGTAGGAGCTGGTCCATGAAGCCAAAATTGGACCAGATCATGCTCCTCCTCTGCTTGAT
Source organism: Homo sapiens (assembly GCF_000001405.40). Taxonomy (NCBI): domain Eukaryota; kingdom Metazoa; phylum Chordata; class Mammalia; order Primates; family Hominidae; genus Homo; species Homo sapiens. The sequence goes on along the minus strand of NC_000003.12, from coordinate 9,602,452 downwards.
GTAATTGAAGGTCTCCTTCAGGCAGAGCTGTCTGGTCTTCATGGGGGAAGACTTGCAGCTGGTGGGTGAATGGGAGATTCCAGCCTCACAGTGGACCAGGACCTTGCCTCCTTTTCCCCTGACACAGCCAATGAAGTCCATTGCATATATATATATATATATATATATATTTTTTTTTTTTTTTTTTTTTTTTTTTTTTTTTTTTTTTTGAGACGGAGTTTTACTCTTGTTCCCCAGGCTGGAGTGCAGTGCCGTGATTGCAGTCTCTGCCTCCCGGGTTCAAGTGATTCTTGTGCCTCAGCCTCCCCAGTAGCTGGGATTACAGGCACTCACCACCACAGCTGGCTAATTTTTGTACTTTTGTAGAGATGAGGTTTCACTACTTGGCCAGGCTGGTCTCGAACTCTTGACCTCAAGTGATCAGCCCGGCTCGGACTCCCAAACTGCTGGGATTATAGGCATGAGCCATGGTGCCCGGCCTGTCTATTCTTGAAAGTGGGAGTTAGTGTCAGCCATATGGCTGTCTTCCATGGGGATCCATTTGTAGTGAAGATGGGTCCTTTGGGTCTTGGAGGTTGGCCTGGAGACCTGTGATATGCAGGTTGGGGAGGAACTCTCCCTTGGATGCATGGTTGACCCTGCCAAAGTAGAGGGAGGGAAAATTTCAACTGGGCCACCCTGGTCATAAGCTGGCCCATAGCTGATGTACAGCACTGGTTTTCCAGACTGGCTGATGAGGGTCACTTCTTTCCTTCTTTTTTGAGACAATGTCTCACTCTGTTGCCCAGGCTGGAGTGCAGTGGCCCGATCATGGCTTCCTGCAGCCTTGAACCCCTGGGCTCAAGTGATGTCCCCGTTTCAACCTCCCGAGTAGCTGGGCCCACCAGCGCACTCTACCACACCTGGCTAAATTTTCTATTTTTTGTAGAGACAGGATCTCTCTATGTTGCCCGGGTTGGTTTCAAACTCCTGGGCTCAAGCTATCCTCCCTCCTCAGCCTCCCAAAGTGCTGGGATCACAGGCGTGAGCCAACGCGCTGGGCCGGCTCTCCTACTTCCTTTTTTTTTGAGACTGAGTCTGGCTCTCTCATCCAGGCTGGAGCGCAATGGTGCAATCTCGGCTCACTGCAACCCGCGCCTCCAGGGTTGAAGCGATTCTTCTGCCTCAGCCTCCTGAGTAGCTGGGATTACAGGCACCCTCCACCACGCCCGGCTAATTTTTGTAGTTTTAGTAGAGAGGGGGTTTCACCACGTTGGCCAGGCTGGTCTCGACCTCTGACCTCAGGTGATCCGCCCGCCTCGGCCTCTCAAAGTGCTGAGATTACAGGTCTGAGCCAATGTGCCAGGCCGGCTCTCCCACTGTCGATCTTGTGGAATAGTTTTACTTCCACGCAGCACTCGGGATATTCTGAGTAGAAGGTCCCCCTTTGAGGAAGGAGACCCGCGGGCCACGGGCAGGCTGGCAGGCAGGCGAGCAGGAGTCGAGTATGGGGCTCGCAGCTTGGGCGGGTGGCGACTGCCCTAGCCTAGATCCATCGCGGCCGCCGCCGCTGCCGCCCTTCTGCCGCAGCCCGGCGCTTTGCCCCGGGCCCGCCGTGGCGCCACCGAGTCGAAGGTGACGTTGAGCGCGCCGCGCACTCTCGGGCGGCGAAGGGCAGGCAGGTCGGGCGGGCAGTGGAGCACGCCGCCGCCTCCTTGCCAGGCATCTAGCCAGCTGGCGCCCGTCGGGCACGTGACCTTCATTCCACCGCCCAGCGCCCCAGCGCCCCCGCCCCCCGGCCCCAACAGAAGCCCTGATTCACATATTTAGAGAAGAAATAATCTCAATCCTACACCAACTCTCCCAGAACATGAAGGAGGAGGGATACTTCCCAACTCATTTTAATTTATATTTGACTTACCCTGATGCTAAAGCCAGTCTAAGACATTACAAGGTGGGTGGAGAGAGAACCTATAGAACAATATATCCTTTATTAACCAATATCCTTCATATCACAAAGTGAATTTAGCAATATATAAGAACCGTAGGCCCTGCAGTGGCTCACACCTGTAGTCCCAACACTTTGGGAGGCCCCAGGTGGGAGGATTGCTTGAGCCTGGGATTTTGAGACCAATAATAAAGAGGATAATAATTCTTAACTTGTTCCTGCTGCTACAACAAAATATCATTGAAACTGAAACCACCTTTGCAAAATTATGACTGAGACAGTGAAAGAGATCTAACTTAACTGACTCCATCTTGCTGCTAACCTCCAAGCTGTCCGTGTTCATTCCTGGACGTAGGCTGAACTAACTTTGGGAGAAACTTTTTTTTTTTTTTTTTTTTGAGACGGATCGTTGCTCGCTCTGTCGCCCAGGCTGGAGTGCAGTGGCGCGATCTCGGCTCACTGCAAGCTCCGCCTCCCGGGTTTACGCCATTCTCCTGCCTCAGCCTCCCGAGGCAGGAGACTAGAGTAGCTGGGACTACAGGCGCCCGCCACCAAGCCCGGCTAATTTTTTGTGTTTCTAGTAGAGACGGGATTTCACCATGGTCTGGATCTCCTGACCTCGTGATCCGCCCGCCTCGGCCTCCCAAAGTGCTGAGATTACAGGCGTGAGCCACCGCGCCTGCCCAGGAGAAACTTAAGTTTATAGTTTGTAGTTTAAACAAAGATGGTAACAGCCTTTTCCCAAAGCAGACCTCCTTCTCGCCTGGAGACTATATTGCCTTTGTAGGACTAACAGTAGCCACAAGATTGGAAATTATGGTTTAAGGGTCATGCAGCTGGAGGTTATAAGATTCTGACCCTCCCTGAACTGCTCCTAAGATCAGTGCTTGATTTTGCAGAGCCTGCACATGATGGATCAGCTGGCCCCACCCAGATCAATGAACTGGCTCATCTGATCTCGTGCCCCTCCTCCCCAACCCAGTAACTGACTGCGTAAGAAGACGGCTTCTACTCCCTATGATTTCATCTCTGACCAATCAGCACTCCTGATTGGCTTCCCCTCTTCCACCAAGTTATCCTTAAAAATTCTGCTCCCTGAATGCTCAAATGCTCAGAGAGGCTGATTTGAGTAATAATAAAACTCTGGTCTCCCACACAGCCGGCTCTGAGTGAATTAGTCTTTCTCTATTGCAATTGCCCTGTCTTGACGAATCTGCTCTGTCTAGGCAGCGGGCAAGGTCAGGTCAACCCCTTGGGCGGTTACAAAACCGCCTTTGCAAAAATTATAACTGAGGAAATTATGGCAGTGAAAGAGATCAGATCTAACTGACTCCATCTTGCTTCTGACCTTCAAGCTGTCCTTGTACATTCTTGGGTGGATGCCAAACTAACTTTGGGAAGGAATTCAGTTCATGATTTGACTCTGAAACAAAATTGGTAATAGCCCTTTCCCAAAAAGACACAGAGAAATTTAATATAGCAGGCTCCAACTTCCTTGTAAACTCATAAGCTAACTGCCCTTGCCAATTCCTGGGCAGGAACTCCTGGGAGGAATTTAGTTAATAATTTAACCTTAAAGCAAGGATGATAGCAGTCCCTTCCCAAATTACCCTCTCCTTGTTTGGGTACTGACATTGCCTTTGTAAAACTTATGAAAGGCCATAAGATTAGAATTATAGGTGGGTCCTGAATTCTGCGACGACCTATGCAGAGTTTAATAATAACTAGCCATTGTTTTCTAATTTGCTTACTGCTCAGAATTCATACAGCTAGTGGTCACGAGATTTATAATTTCTCTAGTTGCCCCTATAGGTAACATCACTATTGTAAAACCTAACATTGGTATTTGTGATATTTTTCAGGCATTGCATTCTGGTGGAACAACTGATGCCACCCAGACTTGTGACCCCCACCCAGGAACTGACAGAGGCACAGAGACAGTTTTGATAACCCTGTGGTTTCATCCCTGACCAAACCAATCAGTATTTCCCATTCCCTAGCTCCCTGCCTGCCAAACTATCCTTAAAACCCTAGCCTCCGCATTCTCTGGGAGGCAGATTTGAGAATTGTCTCATCTTCTCGCTTGGCTGGCCTTGCAATTAAACATGTTCTTTGCTGCAAAACCTGCTGTTCTCAGTGCATTGGCTTTTCTGGGCAGTGGGCAAGAAGAACCTCTTGGGCTGTTACAAAACCATATGATGATCTCAAAAAATGCACCCACAAGAAAGGCATTTGAAAAGAAAGTCTAGGTCAGGCGCAGTGGCTCACACCTGTAATCCCAGCACTTCGGGAGGCTGAGGTGGGTGGATCACGAGGTCAAGAGATCGAGACCATACTGGCCAACTTGGTGAAACCCCGTCTCTACTAAAAATACAAAAAAAAAATAGCCAGGTATGGTGGCGAGCACCTGTAATCCCAGCTACTCAGGAGGCTGAGGCAGGAGAATCACTTGAACCCGGGAGGTGGAGGTTGCAGTGAGCCGAGATTGCGCCACTGCACTCCAGCCTGGTGACGGAGCGAGACTCCGTCTAAAAAAGAAAAAGAAAAGAAAAGGAAGTCTAACATCATTTATGATAAAAACTGTCAGTATACTAGTAACAGAAGAGAATATCCTCAACCTGATAATTGATATCAGTAAAATACCTACATCTAATATCATATTTAATGGTAAGAGACTCAGTGCTTTTCCACTGAGAAAGAGAACAAGGTAAGGATATCTGTCCTTGTCACTCCTATTCAACATTGTAATGGAACATTACATTAAGATTATAAAAAAGCATATAGATTGAAAAGGAAGAAATAAAACTATACTAACAGATTACATAATCGTCTATATAGAAAATCTCAAAGAATCTACAAAAATGTCCTACTATAAGTAATAAGCAACTTAGCAAGGTCACAGGATATGTGGTCAATAAAAAACCAATTTTAATTCTGTACAGTGAAAATTGGGGCAAGGAGTGGTGGCTCACGCCTGCAATCCCAGCACTTTGGGAGGCCAAGACAGGCAGATCATGAGGTCAGGAGATGGAGACCATCTTGGCTAACATGGTGAAACCCTGTCTCTACTAAAAATACAAAAAAATTAGCTGGGCGTGGTGGTGGGCGCCTGTAGTCCCAGCTACTAGGGAGGCTGAGGCAGGAGAATGGTGTGAACCTGGGAAGCAGAGTTTGCAGTGAGCTGAGGTCACGCCACTGCACTCCAGCCTGGGCAACAGAGTGAGACTGTCTCAAAAAAAAAAAAAAAAAAAAAAAGAAAAGAAAAAGAAAGTTGGAACTTGAAATGTTAAAAACCGTCTGGGTATGGTGGCTCATGCCTGTAGTCCTAGCACTTTGGGAGGCCGAGGTGGGTGGATCATGAGGTTGGGAGTTCGAGACCAGCCTGGCCAACATGGTGAAACCTTGTCTCTACTAAACATACAAAAAAATTAGCTGGGTATAGTGGCGTGAGCCTGTAGTTCCAGCTACTCGGGAGGCTGAGGCAGGAGAATCACTTGAACCTGGGAGGTGGAAGTCACAGTGAGCAGAGATCGCAGTGAGCCGAGATCGTGCCACTGCACTCCAGCCTGGGCAACAGAGCAAGACTCTGTCTCAAAAAAAAAAAAAAAAAAAGACGAAGAAATGTAAAAATCATTGTGGCCAGGCGCAGTGGCTCACGCCTGTAATCCCAATCCCAGCATTTTGGGAGGCCGAGGTGGGTGGATCACGAGGTCGGGAGATCGAGACCATCCTGGCTAACACGGTGAACCCCATCTCTACTAAAAATACAAAAAATTAGCCGGACATGGTGGCGGGCGCCTGTAGTCCCAGCTATTCGGGAGGCTGAGGCAGGAGAATGGCATGAACCCGGGAGGTGGAGTGTGCCACTGCACTCCAGCCTGGGCAACAGAGCGAGACTCTGTCTCAAAAACAAAAACAAAAACAAAAAACAAACAAACAAAAAAACCATTGTAATGTGAAGTACCATTGAAATGTAAAGTACCATTGCCAGTTGCAGTGGCTCATGCCTGTAATCCTGGCACTTTGGGAGGCTGAGGTGGGTGGATTGCTTGACCCTAGGAGTTCAAGACCAGCCTGGGCAACATGGGAAAACTCAGTCTCTACAGAAAAAAATACAAAAAATATCTGGGTGTGGTGGTGCATGCCTGTAGTCCTAGCTACTTGGAGGCTTAGCTGGGAGGACCACTTGAGCCCCAGGAGGTTGAGGCTGCAGTGAGCTGTGATGGTGCTGTTGCTGGGCTTTTCCTTAGTTCAGCTAAAGATGGAGTCCTTGTCACATGGCCATGAGAATCTAGGCTTGCAGACAATTTGAAGAATGAGAAAAATGGGATTTATTGGGCCAAATGGGAAACAGAGGGAAACAGGGACTCTCAGCAGAGTGAAAGTACTGTTAGTATGTGCTTCCTGCCTCATGGATTGAATTGCAGGTTCCACCCAGGTAAAGGAGGGGCCAGGCTCCTCCCCACTGCAAACAGCAGGAACTTCTGTGTCTCCATCCCAATGTGCACTCCTCCCAGTGCACAGGCTGGTTGAAGTTTCTCTGGGGACCCCTTCCCATCTGGCTGTCTCAGTGCCATTGCACTCCAGCCTGGGTGACAGAGTGAAACTTTGTTTAAAAAAAAAAGTATCCTTTATGATAACACCAAAAGATGTGAAATAGGTATAAATCTAACAAAATGTGTGCAGCAGATTTACACAGAAAACTACAAAACCCTGATGAGAAAAATCAAAGGAGACTAAAACAAACGACAAGATATATCATGTTCATGGATAAGAAGACTCAATATTATTAAGGTGTCTTAAATTGATCTGTACATTCAGTGCAATTGGTTTTAAAGTTCTAGCAATATTTTGGTAGTCTACAAGCTGATTCTAAGAATTACGTGGAAAAGAAAAGGAACTAGAATGGTCAAAACAATTTTGAAAAAGAAGAAGAAGTCTAGGTGCGGTGGCTCATGCCTGTAATCTGAGCACTTTGGGAGCCAAGATGCATCACTTGTGGCCAGGAGTTCAAGACCAGCCTGGGTAACATAGAGACACCCCATCTCCAGAAAAACATTTTTCAAATTAGCTGGAGGCTGGGTGCGGTGGCTCACGCCTGTAATCCCAGCACTTTGGGAGGCCAAGGCGGGCAGATCACAATGTCAGGAGATCGAGACCATCCTGGCCAACACAGAGAAACTCTGTCTCTACTAAAAATACAAAAAATTAGCCAGATGTGGTGGTATGCACCTGTAGTCCCAGCTACTCAGGAGGCTGAGGCAGGAGAATCGCTTGAACCTGGGAGGTGGAGATTGCAGTGAGGAAAACAAAAGAAAATTAGCTGGGTGTGATAGTGCACACCTGTGGCCCTAGCTACTAGAGAGGCTGAGGTGAGAGAATTGCTTGAGCCCAAGAGTTAGAGACTGAAGTGAGCTAAAAACAAACAAACAACAAAAACAAACAAACAAACAAAGTTGGAGGACTCATAGTACCTGATTTCAAGTCTTACTACAAAGATAGATAATCAGGGTAAAGTAATATTGGCAAAAGGATGGACACATACATCAGTGGAACAAAACAGAGTCCAGAGAATGATCCACACACAAATACCAATTAATTTCTTTTTCTTTTGAGACAGAGTCTTGCTCTGTCACCCAGGCTGGAGTGCAGTGGTGCGATCTCAGCTCACTGCAACCTCTGCCTCCTGGGTTCAAGCGATTCTCCTGCCTCAGCCTCCCAAGTAGCTGGGATTACAGGTGTGCGCCACCACGCCTGGCTCATTTTTTGTATTTTTAATAGAGACGGGGTTTCACCATGTTGGTCAGGCTGGTCTCGAACTCCTGACCTCAGTTGATCCACCTGCCTTGGCCTTCCAAAGTACTGGGATCACAGGCGCGAGCCACCAAGCCGGCCCACCAATTGATTTTTGAAAACATTTTTATTGAGATATAATTCACATATTATAAAAATTCACCCATTTAAAGTGTACATTTCAGTGCTTTTATTATGTTCACAGAGTTGTACAACCATCATCAAAATGTAAGTTTAGAACATTTCAATTCTTCAAAAAGAAACCCCATATCCATTAGCAGTCTACTCACTCTCCTGTTCCCTCAACCCTAGGAAATCACTAATCTACTTTCTATCTGTATATATTTGCCTAATCTAGACATTTTATATGAATGGAATTATACAATATGTGGTCTTTTGTGACTGGCTTCTTCTACTTAGCATAATGTTTTCAAGGTTTATCCACATTGTAGCATGTATCAATATTTAATTCCTTTTTATTATGAAATAATATTTCATTGTATGGCTATACTACATTTTAGGTATCTAGTCAGCAGTTGAGGTGTTGGAGCTCAGGATACCCCACCTCAAAATATGACTGTAGGAGACCAGAATATGCTGCCCCAAAATATACTTCCTTGGCATATTTCAAGCTGGTTATTCTGAGAAACTGCAGACAGGAGCAGCTCTAAAAAGCTGTCCTTTTGTACAAGAAATTTGCATCTATAGAGGAAGCCTATACTAGTAAAAGTATCTGTATCAGGAAGAGGGCTGCTCAGAGACAATTTTTATTACCTGAGAGCAGGAAATGCCATAGCGAAACATGATGTTTTGGGATGCTGATTACTTTGAACCGAGGGTACTTGTGGAACGGCAGATTCAGGCAGAGGCTTTCTCTGAATTCCCCCTTATTTGCCTAAAGATGGATCCTCCAAAAGGAACTCAAAAGTCATGAAGATTAACTCCGTATCAGGAGGAGAGACTAGAGCTCTGTCTTCTCTCTATCCCACCCAGATTATCACCTGTTCTTCTGAGGGCCCATTCATCTTCCCAAAATTCATTTACTACTCCTACTCCCTAAATTGCCTACATTCCCTTTGACCTCTCCTCTAGGAAGAGGGTATATTAGCTTCTAGATCACCCTGGGTTATCGCGTATTCACTTTTCTTTCATGGGATGCCCTTTGGCATGTAATAAATTTGTATACCTTTTCTTTTATTAATCTGTCGTATGTCAACTGAATTTGTAGCCTAGCCAAAGAACAGAGCAGGGTAAAGGGAAGCCATTTTCCCCTCTTGTAACCACCCAATGGGTTCACCTTGCCTGCTGCTTAGACATAGCTTATTTGTCAAGACAAGGCAATTGCAATAGAGGAAGAGTAATTCACACAGGGCTGGCTGTACAGGAGAATGGAGTTTTATATTACTCAAATCAGTCTCCCTGAAAATTTGCAGATCAGAATTTTAATATCTTTTTAAATTTTTTAATAGTTTCTTTTTTTTTCTTTTTTTTTTTTTGATACAAGGTCTGGTTTTATTGCCCAAGCTGGAGTGCAGTGGAGCAATCTTGGCTCACTGTAACCTCTGTCTCCTGGGCTTAAACCATCCTCCCACCCTATCCTCCCGAGTAGCTGGGATTACAGTCATGCACCACCAGCTAATTTTTGTATTTTTGGTAGAGACAGGGTTTCTCCTTGTTGCCCAGGCTGGTTTCGAACTTGTGAGCTCAAGCGATCCACCTGCCTCAGCCTCCCGAAGTGCTAAGATTACAGGTGTGAGCCATTGCACTCAGCCAGGATCAGAATTTTTAAGAATAATTTTGTGGGTAGGGGGGCAGTGAGCCGGGAGTGCTGATTGGTCAAGTCAGAGATGAAATCGTAGGGAGTCAAAACTGTTCTCTTGTGCTGAGTCTGTTCCTGGGTGGGGGCCACATGACCAGATGAGCCAGTTTATCTGGGTGGTGCCAGCTGATCCACCCAGTGTAGGGTCTGCAAAATATCTCAAGCACTGATCTTAGGTTTTACAATAGTGATGTCATCCCCAGGAGCAATTTGGGGAGGGTCAGAATCTTGCAGCCTCCAGCCGCATGACTCCAAAACCATAATTTCTAATCTTTTTTTTTTTTTTTTTTTTAGGTTTACAAATAACTTTTTATTATGGAAGTTTCAAACATACTCAAAAGTAGGGAGAACAGCATAATGAGCCCTATATACCCATCACTCAGCTTCAACAATTACCAACTCTTTTTCCATCTTTTTCATGTACATTTCCTCCACCCTTCACCCCCAACATTTTACAAGTTCTAACTGTATTTTTCTTTTTCTTTTTTTTTTCCCAAGGCAGAAGAATTTTTCTTAGTACAGAACAAAATGAAAAGTCTCCCATGTCTACCTCTTTCTACACAGACACGGCAACCATCCGATTTCTCAATCTTTTCCCCACCTTTCCCCCCTTTCTATTCCACAAAACTGCCATTGTCGTCATGGCCCGTTCTCAATGAGCTGTTGGGTACACCTCCCAGACGGGGTGGTGGCCGGGCAGAGGGGCTCCTCACTTCCCAGTAGGGGCGGCCGGGCAGAGGCGCCCCTCACCTCCCGGACGGGGCGGCTGGCCAGGCGGGGGCTGACCCCCACCTCCCTCCCGGACGTGGTGGCTGCCGGGCGGAGACGCTCCTCACTTCCCAGATGGGGTGGCTGCTGGGCGGAGGGGCTCCTCACTTCTCAGACAGGGCGGCTGCCGGGCGGAGGGGCTCCTCACTTCTCAGACGGGGTGGCTGGGCAGAGACGCTTCTCACTTCCTAGATGGGATGGTGGCCGGGCAGAGACGCTCCTCACTTTCCAGACTGGGCAGCCAGGCAGAGGCGCTCCTCACATCCCAGACGGGGCGACGGGGCAGAGGCGCTCCCCACATCTCAGACGATGGGCGGCCGGGCAGAGACGCTCCTCACTTTCCAGACTGGGCAGCCGGGCAGAGGGGCTCCTCACATCCCAGAGGATAGGCGGCCAGGCAGAGACGCTCCTCACTTCCCAGACGGGGTGGCGGCCGGGCAGAGGCTGCAATCTCGGCACTTTGGGAGGCCAAGGCAGGCGGCTGGGAGATGGAGGTTGTAGCGGAGCTGAGATCACGCCACTGCACTCCAGCCTGGGCAACATTGAGTACTGAGTGAACGAGACTCCGTCTGCAATCCCGGCACCTCGGGAGGCCGAGGCTGGTGGATCACTCGCGGTTAGGAGCTGGAGACCAGCCCGGCCAACACAGCGAAACCCCGTCTCCAACCAAAAAATACGAAAACCAGTCAGGCGTGGCGGCGCGCGCCTGCAATTGCAGGCACTTGGCAGGCTGAGGCAGGAGAATCAGGCAGGGAGGTTGGGTGAGCCGAGATGGCAGCAGTACAGTCCAGCTTCGGCTGGGCATCAGAGGGAGACCGTGGAAAGAGGGGAGAGGGAGAGGGGGAGGGGGAGGGGGAGGGGGAGGGAGAGCCATAATTTCTAATCTTATGGCAAATTTGTTAGTCTTGCAAAGGCAGTCTAGTCCCCAGGCAGGAAGGAGGTTTGTTTTGGGAAAGGGCTGTTATGGTCTTTGTTTGAAAGCTAAACTATAAACTAAGTTTCTCCCAAAGATAGTTTGGCCTATGCCCAGGAATGAACAAGGACAGTTTGGAGGTTAGAAGCAAGATGGAGTGAGTTAGGTGGATCTCTTTTGCTGTAATAGTTTTCTCAGTTATGGTTTTTGCAAAGGCAGTTTCATTCTCCTACAATGAACATTTGTGTTGTTTCCACTTTTTGGCTATCATGAATAATGTTATGACCACCCATACATAAGTTTGTGCAAAGATATGTTTTTATTTCTCTTCAGGCAACCCCCAAGAGAATAGGCATTCAGTTGTCTCCAAATTAAGTTGAATTTTGTGTGCTCAGGGTGTTCAAAACTCCAAATGGTTAAGTTAGAACCAATCAGAGAATCTATCTCTGTCATCTGCTGGCTTTTGAGGGCTTCCCAGGAACAATGACTTCTGCTTCTTATTGCTTTCCTGTGCTCCAGATCTGAGGTTGTGGCCTAACCACTGTTCCAATATGCCAGGAGTAGAATTGCTGGGTCATGTTGTAGCAGGACGAGCCGTGGACAAAACCCCACAGACACCGAGATAGTGAAGGAAGTGGCTTTAATCAGCTGGAAGCATTGGCAGACTAACGTCTTAAAATCCGAGCTTGTCAGGTGCCCAATTTCTGTCCCTTTTAAGGGCTCACAACTCTGAGGGGGTCCGCGTGAGAGGGTCGTGATTGATTGAGCAAGCCAGGGGGTATGTGACAGGGGCTGCAAGCACTGGTGGTCAGAGTGAAACAGAACAGAAAGGGAGGTTTCACAATGTCCTTCCATACAACATCTGGAATCTATAGATAACATCAGTTGCTAGGTCAGGGGTGGAATTTTAACTACCAGGCTTAGGTCAGGCAGGCCCAGGCCTGGTTTTGGGTCTGGTTCCTTGGTTTCGGGTCTGGTTCCTAGGCGCCGGGCTACCTGCCTTTTGTGTCACTTTTCTTTCCTTTTCTGAGTATAAATCAATATAAAACAATATGAGAGAGTCTGCCTCTCTTCTCTCAATGTTGTAACATTATGTTTAACATTTTTAGAAACTTCCAAATTTTCCAAATTGTTTTTCATTTCTTTTTCTTTTCTTTTCTTTTTTTTCTTTTTTCTTTTTTTTTTTTTTTTGACACAACATCACGTTCTGTCACCCAGGCTGGAGTATAGTGGTGTGATCTTGACTCACTGCAACCTCTGTCCCCCAGGCTCAAGCAATCCTCCTACCTCAACCTCTCAAGTAGCTGGGACTACAGGCATGTAGGCATGGCTGGATAATTTTTTGTATTTTTTTGTAGAGAAGGAGTTTTGCCATGTTGCCCAGGCTGGTCTCGAACTCCTGGACTCAAGCAATCTGCCTGCCTCAGCCTTCCAAAGTGCTGGGATTACAGGTGTGAGCCATCATGCCTAGCCCAAATTGTTTTTCAGGGCAGCAACTTCATTTTACATTCTCACCAGCAATATACGAAGGTTCTGATTTCTCCACATCCTTACTAACAGTTGGTATTATCTGTCTTTTTTATGTTATCCACTAATAGTTGTGAAGAGGTATCTCAATGTGATTTTTGACAAAGATGCAAAGGCTATTCCATGGAAAAAGGATCGTTTTTCAACAAAGGGTGCTAGAATAATCAGATATCTATGCACATTAATTGACCCTTGATCCTAACCTTTCATCACAAACAGAAATTAACTCAAAATAGATAATAGATTTACATGTAAAGGGTAAACCTATAAAACTTCTGAAGGAAAACATAAAGAAAAAGCTTTGTCATCTAGGTCAAGCAAAAAATTCTTGGCTATTATATTAAAAATATAACAAAAGAAAAAATGGGCTGGGTGCAGTGGCTCACAACTGTAATCCCAACACTTTGGGTGGCTGAGGCAGGCAGATTGCTTCAGCCGAGGAGTTCGACACCAGCCTGGGCAACATGGCAAAACCCTGTCTCTTTAAAAAATATACAAAAAATTAGCTGGGCATGGTGGCACACACCAGTCCCAGCTACTTGGGAAGCTGAAGTGGGAGAATCACCTGAGCCCAGGAAGTCAATGCTGCAGTGAGCTATGGTTGAGCCACTGCACTCTAGCCTGGGTGACAGAGTGAGATCCTATCTCAAAAAAAAAAAAAAAAAACCAAAAAAAAAAAAAAAAACAGAGAAAGAAAGAAACAAAAAATGATAAATTGGACTTTATCAAAAATAAGAACTTTCACTCTTCAAAAGACACTGTTAATAGAGTGAAAAGGGCTGGGCGCGGTGGCTCATGCCTGTAATCCCAGCACTTTGGGAGGCCAAGGCAGGCGGATCACGAGGTCAGGAGATCGAGACCATCCTGGCTAACACGGTGAAACCCCATTTCTACTAAAAATACAAAAAAATTAGCCGGGCATGGTGGCGGGAGCCTGTAGTCCCAGCTACTCGGGAGGCTGAGGCAGGAGAATGGCGTGAACCCAGGAGGCGGAGCTTGCTGTGAGCCAAGACTGAGCCACTGCACCCCGGCCTGGGTGAAAGTGAGACTCCATCTCAAAAAAAAAAAAAAAAAAAAATAGAGTGAAAAGATGAGCCACAAATTTGGACAAAATATTTGCAAAACACATATAAGGCAAAGGGAAAACTTCCCCTTTGCTTTCTGAATGCTCACTGAAATCAACTGATTGATTCCTTTCCTTCTTTCTTTCACAGAGTTCCGCTCTTGATGCCCAGGCTGGACTGCAATGGTGCAATCTTGGCTCACTGCAACCTCTGCCTCCTGGGTTCAAGTGATTCTCCTGCCTCAGCCTTCCAAGTAGCTGGGATTACAGGCAAGTACACAATGCCCGGCTAATTTTGTACTTTTAGTAGAGATGGGGTTTTGCCATGTTGGTCAGGCTGGTCTCGAACTCCTGACCTCAGGTGATCTGCCCACCTCGGCCTCCCAAAATGATGGGATTATAGGCACAAGCCACTGTGCCTGGCCCCACATGTTTTTAATCTATTGGGAGACTGCCTTTCCTTGGCACTGGTCGCAACCAATTATTATTTTAGAGAGAGAGTTTAACAATCACCTGTCCATCATCTGATGGTCACTTGATATGCCTGTAATCCCTGCACTTCAGGAGTCCATGATGGGAGGATTGCTTGAGGACAGGAGTTCGAGACCAGCTTGGTCAACATAGCAAGACCCGATCTTTAAAAAAAAGAATTGAAGGCTGGGTGCTGTGGCTCACGACTGTAATCCCAGCACTCTGGGAGGCCGAGGCGGGCGGATCACGACGTCAGGAGTTCGAGACCATCCTCGCTAACACGGTGAAACCCCGTCTCTATTAAAAAATACAAAAAATTAGCGGGGCGTGGTGGTGGGCACCTGTAGTCCCAGCTACTCCGGAGGCTGAGGCAGGAGAATGTCGTGAACCTGGGAGGCGGAGCTTGCAGTGAGCCAAGATCATGCCACTGCACTCCAGCCTGGGTGACAGGGCGAGACTCCGTCTCAAAAAAAAAAAAAAAAAAAAAAAAGAATTGAAATAAAATAAAATAAAAAGAAATACATCTCACGCTCATGGATTGGGAGAATCAGTATCATGAAAATGATCATACGGCCCAAAGCAACCTATATGTTCAATGCAATTCCTATCAAACTACCAACATTGCTTTTCACAAAATTGGAAAAAAAAATCCTAAATTTTATGTGGAACTGAAAAAGAGCCCAAATAACCAAAGCAATCCTAAGCAAAAAAACAGATCTGGAGGCATCACATAACCTGAGTTCAACTTATACTACAAGGCTATAGTAACCAAAACAGCATGATATTGATATAAAAGTAGATACATAGACCAATAGAACAGAACAGGAAGGAACCCAGAAATAAAGCCAAATACTCACAACTAACTGATCTTTGACAAAGCATACAAAAACATAAACTGGGGGAAAGGATACACCGCTTAATAAATGGTGCTGAAAAAACTGGATAGACACCTGTAGAAGAATGAAACTAGACCCCTATCTCTCATTATATACAAAAATCAACTCGAGATGGATTAAAGACTTAAATCTAAAACGTGAAACCATAAAAGTTCTAAAAGAAAATGTAGGAAAAATTCTTCTGGACTTTGGTCTAGGCAAATAACTTATAAATAAGACCCTGAAAGCAAATGCAGCAAAAACAAATGTAAATAAATGGGGGCTGGGCACGGTGGCTCACGCCTGTACTCCCAGCACTTTGGGAGGCCAAGGCAGGCTGATCAGTTGAGGACAGGAGTTCAAGACCAACCTGGCAAACATGGTGAAACCCTGTCTCTACTAAAAATACAAAAATTAGCTGGGCATGGTGGCATGCACCTGTAGTCCCAGCTACTCGGGAGGCTGAGCCAGTATAATCGCTTGAACCCAGGAGGTGGAGGTTACAGTGAGCTGAGATTGCACCATTGCACTCAAACCTGGGCAACAGAGTGAGTTAGACTCCATCTTAAATAAATAAATATATAAATAAATGGGACCTAATTAGACACTTCTGTGCAGCAAAATAAATAATCATCAGAGTAAACAGACAACCCATAGGATGGGAGAAAATATTTTCAAACTATACATCCAGCAAAGAACTAATATCCAGAATCTACAAGGAACTCAAGCAAATCAGCAAGAAAAGGACGAATAATCCCATCAAATGTGGCAAATGACTTGAATAGACATTTCTCAAAAGAAAATATACAAATGGCCAACAAATATGAAAAAATGCTCAACACCACTAATCATCAGGGAAATGTAAATTAAAACCATCATGAGATACCATGTTACCCCAGCCAGAATGGTCATTACTAAAAAGTCAGAAAACAATAGATATTGGCATGGATGTGGTGAAAAGGAAACATTTATACACTATTGGTGGGAATGTAAATTAGTACAACCTCTGTGGAAAAAAGTATGGAGATTTCCCAATAATTCTCTCTCTCTTTTTCTTTTTTTGAGATGGAGTCTTGCTCTGTTGCCCAGGCTGGAGTGCAGTGGCATGTTTTCAGCTCACTGCAACCTCTGCCTCCCCGGTTCAAGCAATTCTCCTGCCTCAGCCTCCCAAGTAGCTGGGATACACGCGCCCACCCCCATGCCTGGCTGATTTTTGTATTTTTTTAGTAGAGATGGGATTTCACCATGTTGGCCAGGCTGGTCTCAAACTCCTGACCTCAAGTGATCCGCCTGCGTCGGCCTCCCAAAGTGCTGGGATTACAGGCATGAGCCACTGCACCTGCAGTGCTTATTCTCAGAGAATGAAAAGTAGGTTTACCATTCAATCCAGCAATCCGAATACTAGGTATTTCCCAAAGGAAAAAAGTCATTAAGCCAAAAAACACCAGCACTTTGGCCAGGCGTGGTGGCTCATGCCTGTAATCCCAGCACTTTGAGAGGCCAAGGCAGGCAAATCACATGAGGCCAGGAGTTTGAGACCAGCCTGGCCAACATGGTGAAACCCCGTCTCTACTAAAAATGCAAAAATTAACCAGGTGTGGTGGCGCATGTCGGTAATCCCAACTACTGGAGAGGCTGAGGCAGGAGAATTACTTGAACCCCTAGAGACAGAGGTTGCAATGAGCCAAGATCGCACCACAGCCTGGTGACAGAGTGAG
The DNA here is from genome assembly GCF_000001405.40 of Homo sapiens. Classification (NCBI taxonomy): domain Eukaryota; kingdom Metazoa; phylum Chordata; class Mammalia; order Primates; family Hominidae; genus Homo; species Homo sapiens. The sequence continues at coordinate 9,585,578 of NC_000003.12, read as the reverse complement.
ACTGTCTCAAAAAAATAATAAAAATAAAAAGGAAATAATGTATTTTGCAGAAACCTGGATGGAGCTGGAGGCCATTATTCTAAGTGAATTAACTGAAGAATGGAAAACCAAATACTGTATGTCCTCACTTATAAGTGAAAGCTAAACTATGGGTACACAAAAGCATACAGAGGGGTATAGTGGACACTGCATACTCAGAAGGGGGAGGCTGAGAGGTGGATGTGTGATTAAAAACTACATATTGGGCCGGGCACGGTGGCTCACGCCTGTAATCCCAGCACTTTGGGAGGCTGAGGCAGGCGGATCACCTGAGGTCAGGAGTTCAAGACCAGCCTGACCAACATGGAGAAACCCTATCTCTACTAAAAATACAAAATTAACCGGTCATGGTGGCACATGCCTGTAATCCCAGCTACTCAGGAGGCTGAGGCAGGAGAATTGCTTGAACCCGGGAGGTGGATTGCAGTGAGCTGAAATCGGGCCATTGCACTCCAGCCTGGGCAACAAGAGCGAAACTCTGTCTCAAAACAAACAAACAAACAAACAAACAAACAAACAAAATACATATTGGGTACAATGTACATTACTTAGGTGACAGGTGTGCTAAAATCTCAGACTTCATCACTATACAATTCATTGATGTAACCAAAAACCACTTGTACTCCTAAAGCTATTGAAATTTTTAAAAAGTCAAGTTCTCTCACAGTACAAAGTAATCCCTGGTACCCTCTGAGAAAAGAAAAATAGCACAGAGTACTTTGAGCTATGTGAGGTATGCAAAATTTATTAGTCCCGGAGAGATATGAGTAAGGGACTTCAGTCATGCCCTCTGCACCCATGTAATTATTTACAGTCATTTTGTTCCTGACTAGGTGTCTTACCTATTATCTTCATGTTCCTGGAATTTTTAGTACAATGAACAATGTATAGCAAATCAATGGCTTCAGTTATTTTCACGTAAATTCTTTTTTTTTTTTTTTTTTTTTTGAGACGGAGTGTTGCTCTGTCTCCCAGACTGGAGTGCAGTGGCAGGATCTCGGCTCACTGCAACCTCCGCCTCCTGGGTTCCAGCAATTCTCCTGCCTCAGCCTCCCGAGTACCTAGGATTACAGGCACATGCCACCACGCCCAGCTAATTTTTTGTATTTTTAGTAGAGATGGGTTTCACCATGTTGGCCAGACTGATCTTGAACTCCTGACCTCAAGTGATCCACCCGCCTTGGCCTCCTCCCAAAGGGCTGGGATTACAGGTGTGAGCCACCTGGCCTGGCCTTCATGTAAATTCTTGATAAATGACTTAGGAACTGCCTCTTCTTTTTCCCTTTAACATCCACTTGTAACTGCTGCTGATTGGAGCATAGATTCAGGGTACTTGGAGTTGCAATCCTCAGACTTGCTCCAAATAAACTCTGTACTTATATTAATATTGTATCTGTTTTTTTTTTTCCTGTAGGTCCACACCCAGAAAGCCAAATAGATGAGAGTGAAACCATCCTTATAAACCTTATAAAATTAGCCAGGGAAGAAGGAAGAGGGAGAAAGGAAAATAAGTCAAGCTTGCAGCACACTCAGCATTAATCATTAGGTCACTTTGCTCTCTGACCTTCTTCCTGGTAGTTGTGTAGTTGAGCTAGAATCATGTCAACCCTAATAGTTCCTCTCAACTGTTTACAGGTAACAACTTGAACACTATGAAACATTAAGTTTTACCTTTGAGACATTCCTTAAGATCCTGCTTACTGATGAAACTACTGGCTCAGCTGGTCTGAAAGATCCTACCGACTCAAGCTGATCTGAAGGACTCCATGGATGCCAGCTGGTCTGAAGGACCCCACAAGGAGCTAACTCATGAAAGAATGCAGTTTCCACATCCTGGTGATTTCCTCTCCCTTGCCCCGATCAACCAACAACCCCAATTTTCCAACCCTTTACCTTCCACGATCCCCTTAAAAGCCCCAGCCCAGAACTCCTTGGTGAGATGGATTTGAGGGTCTCCTCTTGTGTCCTCACTTGGTGTGCTGTGATTATGAAACTTTCTCTGCTGCAAATCCTGCTGTCTCACAGTAATTGGTATGTTATTGCACAGTGGGGATACAAACCAGTTGGTCCTATAACAAATGTTGGCAATCCAGCCAGGAGCCCCTTGTGGGCCTGCACCTTGGTGACCCCTCGTTATTGGTTTGGAACCAGAGACAAGCCCAAGTGGCCGTTCAGTTTCACTGAATGAAGGGCTGTCTCCAGTGCCTTGCATGTTGAAAGGGCAGTGTCAACCTGTGGTGCACAAATTTCTTGCAGCAAATGAACGGTTTTTTTTCTGTTTGTTTTGTTTTTTTGAGACGGAGTCTTGCTCTGTCACCCAGGCTAGAGTGCAGTGGCACGATCTTGGCTCACTGCAAGCTCCGCCTCCCGGGTTCACACCAATTCTTCTGTCTCAGCCTCCTGAGTAGCTGGGACTACAGGCGCACGCCGCCACGCCCGGCTAATTTTTTTGTATTTTTAGTAGGGACGGGGTTTCACTGTGTTAGCCAGGATGGTCTCGATCTCCTGACCTTGTGATCCACCCGCCTCGGCCTCCCAAAGTGCTGGGATTACAGGCGTGAGCCACCATGCCCGGCCTGGTTTTTGGTTTTGAAAGATGTCTTTGGTAACTTTTCTCTGTGCAACTGGCACCACTTTTCCCGTCTCCTGATTTGCTGTCCTCCTTGGAGGTCTTATGACCTCTTTGGAAGTTGTGTTGAACCTCTCTAGTAATAGGAAAGGCCTTGTTTGAAGGAATTTCTCCTAAATTGGAAATTGAATAAAAGGCATGGCTAGGGAAAAATACTCTTGATTTCTAAAATTTGAAACTTTATTTTGGAAGGCCTTCTTGTTTGTCTTTGTCCTGTTATATATGTTTATGTTTGTGGAAGGGATCCCCTGGAGGAAATACTAGTGGAAGCTCAGCAGCCCTAACTCAGGAAACTCTTTGTTTGTCTGGCTAGTTGCAATCAGTGAACCCTGAAGGAATTGCTAATGAAATCTCAGCAGGCCTAACTCAGTGTGACTGGCCACTTTTCCACCTTTCCCAGAGACCGTCTGCTGCACTCCTGGTTGAAAATTAGTCCTCTCCACCTTGAGTGAATCAAAGGCACCAAGGGCCAACAGGGGCAATTTTGAGCTTTGCCAGGTCAAACTTGGGCACGGAGCAGAGCGATTAGTGTCTGTATTTTGGTGTATGTGCATCATCTCAGCTGGAGTTGGAAATGTTAATTTGGTTTCCTCAAGCACCCCGGTGGGCTGTATCCTGTAAAATTAAGATGCTTTGTCTATGATTCCATGAAGCAAAAAAAATAATTTTCATTTATACTTCAGCCTGGCCCCAACACTTGCTGGATTCAGGAAAATAGTGACCATCAAATGGCTCCCTTAATTATAATACTCTCCTGCAGCTAGACTTGTTCTGAAACAGGAAGGGAAATGAGATGAGATCCCCTATGTACAATGTTGTATGCAGCTTTGGCAAAACACATCAATGCAAAAGAAATGCAAAATCATGGTTCAACAAGGGAAAAGGCCTGTTTTGACTGACCCCCAACAAAAAGGTGTTTATGTTTTGGTGGTTCCACTAAGTGAGCCTATGGCTCCCCCAGCACCTTAAAGGGGAGCTGCAGCTGCTCTGCTGGCCTCTGAGCTGGAGTTCTCACCCTGAGAAGTAAGGAGTCAGGGGCAACAGGAATGGTCTCTCCTTCTCATACCTGACAGGGAACTCAATTCGTTAGGGTGCCATTTGGCTCTGGGAGGGCAATTGCTCTTATGCCAACTACCCAGAGGAAGCGTTAATGCTGCCACAGGCCAACCTATGGGATTTGCTGGGTCCACTCTCCATTTTCCATCTCTGACTTGTTTAACTAGAAAAATAAGCCCACCTATTAGGAAGATCCAAAGTGGATGGAAAATCTGTTCTCCTCTATGTTAGCTACCCACAACCCCATCTGGGCAGACATCCAAAATTTGCTCAGCACTGTATTAATTTCAGAGGAGTGGAGAATGGTTTTAAATAAAGGCAAGGAGAAAGCTGATCAAATGCATGCAGACTTTTCTGGCAACCCATACGAGCAGTTCCTCAAGTTGCAGTGCCCACCATTGACCCAGGATGAAATATAAACACTGGAGATAGACATAAGTTTGAACACTACCAGGATTGCACTTTGGCTGGTCTCTGCAAGGGAGTGTCCAAGCAAAGAAGCCTCAATCAGGTCTAGGAAGTTAGACAGAAACCTAATGAGATCCCCTCAGAGTTCTTAGAGTGGATTTTCAAGGCCTTCAGACAGTACATGAACAATAATTCAGAAGCCCCACACAATTTAATGTCATCTCAATTTGTAGAGACTTTCTTTCTCTGTTTCTTTCTTTTTTTTTTTTTTTTTTGAGACAGAGTCTCGCTCTGCCACCCAGGCTGAAGACATTCCTAAAGGCCCATCCACCTTTTGCAGATTTTCCCAAATATCTGGAGCACTTTAACTAATAAACATCATGTTTACTATTTTGAATGGGAAGACCCAGATACCAAAGCCCAACTACAGTACTGTTGGACAGTGCTCCCTCAGGGTTTCAAATACTCTCCAGCTATCTTTAGGGAAATACTTGCCAAAGTCCACCAGGACCTCCAACTAAAAGGCAAGACTTTGTTATAATATGTCAGTGGCATATTAGTAGCCAGTACCGCTGTGACAGGCTCTGACCAGAATACTATACTGACTTCAAATTTCCTGGCAGAATAGGGATACAGTGTATCCAGGAAAGAGGCATAGATCTCACAGCCCTCAGTCAAATAAATATGCTCCTGAACCAGAGGGAAGCTCTTGCCAGGGTGTCCAGACCCACCACACAGCAGAAGCTGCAAGGGTTTTTGGGTTTGGCTGGGTTTTGCTGCATTTGGATTAGTAATTTTCGACTTACAGCCAAACTTCTATATAAATCTTTAAAATGAATAGATATCAAGCCCCTAAAATGGACTGGGGATTGTCAAAAAGCCTTTCTGACCATTAAAGAAAGGTTATTAACAGCTCCAGCCTTGGGACTTTCAGATATAAGAAAGCTAGTCAGTTTGTTCCTGCGTGGGAGACAAGGGATGGCTCAAGGGGTGCTAACCCAAGACCTGGCAAGCATGAGACCTGCAGCCCACTTTTCAAAACAGCTAGACATTGTCACAAGGGGTTGGCCCTTTTGCCTCCAAGCAGTTGCTGCCACCTGCGGCCTTCTCCAGGAGGCAGAAAAGTTCACTTTGGGACAACCTACCACAGTGCACACCCCTCACTGTGTGCTCTCTCTATTAGAACAGAAAGGGGGGTACTGATTGAGTTCTGGAAGATTAGGTAGACATCAGGACATCCTCCTAGATTGCCAAAATGTAGCTTTGAAAGCAGTCTCCACTCTAAAACCTGCCACCTTGCTTCCTCAAAGCACAGCTGACCCTGTACACGAATGCTTACAAGTTACTGAACAAGTTTACTCTAGCTGACCAGGCTTGGCTAATATCCCCATGGCAGATCCAGACTTAAAAGTGTTCACTGAGGGGAGCAGCTTTATAGATCAAAGACAACGGAAAGCTGGGCATGCCGTGGTAACACTCTGACAGATTCTGGAAGCAGAGGCACTCCCTTCTGGTACATTGGCACAAAAGGCAGAACTCATAGCCCTATCTGGGACATTCCAACTAGGTAAAGACTCCTGGATAACCATTTATACAGATTCCAGATTTTCCTTTTCTTTTGTTCACGCTTACAAGGCCATCTGGAGAGAAAGGGGGACTCTTAACCTCTGGTAATGAACAAATGAAACATTCTATAGAAATCCTAGCCTTACTATTAGTAACATTGGTCTTAGAGCCCAAAGAAATAGCTATAATACATTGCCCTGGACACCAATGGACAGATAACTTGGAGGCAAAAGGTAATTTTTTTTTTTCTGAGACAGAATCTCACACTCTCCTCCAGGCTGGAGTGCAGTGGTGCAGTCATAGCTCACTGCAGCCTCAACTTCCTGGCCCCAAGTGATCCTCCTCTCTCAGCCTCCTGAGTAGCTGGGACCACAGGCATGTGCCACTGTGCCTAGCTAATTAAAACTTTTTTTGTAGAGATAAGGTCTCACTATGTTGCCCAGGCTAGTCTCAAACTCCTGAGCTCAAGCAATCCTTCCGTCTTGGCCTCCCACAGTGCTGGAATTATAGGCATGAGCTACCACACTTGGTAAAAGGCAATATTTGAGCAGACCAGGCTGCTAGGGAAATGGCATTAAAAAAATACCCCAAAAGTTCTGCTAATGCCATTAGTATCTGAAACAGACCTCATCATAGAATCCCTTAAACAGTCAGAAGATTTAAAAATAACACTTAATTGAGGCTTTGACCTCAGTCAAAAAACCCAGGACAGATGAATCTATAATAAAGAAGAAAAAAATCCTGGCACCTAAACATCTTATGATAGATGTTATCAAACATGTACATGACACCACGTACTATGGCAGAGATGTCGCTCTCCAATGGATCCAAAATTACATCATTGGGCCATAATTAAAGAGGACTATCCAAAAGGTAATAGATTGCTACTTGGTAATAACGAATACATTTTTTTTTTGAGATGGTGTCTTGCACTGTCGCCTGGGCCGGAGTGCAATGGTGCAATCTCTGCTCACTGCAACCTCTGCCTCCGGGGTTCAAGCGATTCTCCTGCCTCAGCCTCCCGAGTAGCTGGGATTACAGGCTTGTGCCACCAGGCCCGGCTAATTTTTTGTATTTTTAGTAGAGACGGGGTTTCACCATGTTGGCCAGGCTGGTCTCAAACTCCTGACCTCGTGATCTGCTCGTCTTGGCCTCCCAAAGTGCTGGGATTACAGGCTTGAGCCACCGTGCCCGGCCCACAGATTTTTTTAAAAAAGAAAAATGTAATAGAAAAATGGCTTCTCTGCACCAAAAATGATCCTAAGACTGGTCCTCCACCCCCCACTATTAGGGGTTCAAGCAAGAGGTGAAGGGCCAATGGGGGACTGGCAAATTGACTTCACCATGATGCTGAGGGCAGCAAGACATTTTAAATATTTGCTTGTTTTCATAAATACTTTTTCAGGACGAGTTGAAGCATATTACGGCAAGACCGAATGGACATCTAAAGTTGTTAAGGCTCTGTTAAAGGAAATCATCCTGCGGTTCAGATTGCCCGTCTGCATTCAGAGTGACAATGGTGCACCCTTTGTGACAATGGTGCAGCCAAGTTACAGAGGATGTGTCCCAGGCCCTCGGCATAACCTGGAATCTCCATATGGCCTGTAGACCACAGTCTACTGGAAAAAACTGAAAAGATAAATACTGTAAAAAGAACCATAGTTGGCCCGGCGCAGTGGCTCACGCCTGTAATCCCAGCACTTTGGGAGACCGAGGCAGGTGGATCACGAGGTCAGGAATTCGAGACCAGCCTGGCAAACATGGTGAAACCCTGTCTCTACTAAAAATACAAAAATTAGCCGGGCGTGTTGCGCACCTGTAATCCCAGCTACTCAGGAGGCTGAGGCAGGAGAATTGCTTGAACCCAGGAGGCGGAGCTTACACTGAGCTGAGATTGCGCCATTGCACTCCAGCCTGGGTGACAGAGCAAGCCTGCGTCTCAAAAAAAGAAAAAAAAAACATACTATAAAAAGAACATTAGCTAAAATTTGTCAGGAAATTAACCTGACCTGGGATAAAGCTTTGCCTATTGCCTTACTCACAGTAAAAGTAGCCTGTAGAAGTGGGCTTAAGTCAAGGACTTCTGAAATCTTATATGGGAGACCAATTCTCTGTCTGCCTTCTAAACTAAAAGATCCCCATTATATCCATATAAAAATTAGATATTATATTTATTTATTTATTTGAGACTGGGTCTCACTCTGTCCCCCAGGCTGGCGTGCAGTGGCGTGATCATGGCTCACTGTAGCCTTGACCTCCCAGCCTAAGTGATCCTTCCACCTCAGTCACCCAAGTAGCTGGGACTACAGGCGTGTGCCACCACTCCCAGCTAACTTTTTGTATTTTCTACGGAGATAGGGGTTAACCCTATGTTGCCCAGGCTGGTCCTGAACTCCTGGACTCAAGTAATCCACTGCATCTTGGCCACCTAAAGTGCTGGCATTACAGGAGTGAGCCACCATGCCTGGCCAAGAATTAGATATTATTAAATATGTACAATCCTTAGGTCTGGCTTTAATTACTATTCATGAGTTTACTTCCAGCAGGTTGTGGTTTCCAACAGACATTCCTTTACATTGCATTTGACTTGGAGACTACTCCAAACCCCAAAGAATCTGCATTCTAATGACCAGCTGAAACCCCAATGGAAGGGGCCATATGAAGTACTACTGATGACCCTTCTTCTATTAGATTTTCAGGAACAAGGTCTTGGTTTCTCCATAGCCGTATAAAACCAGTCCTACCAGACTTTTAGCCTAGCAAAAAACATCAGGAGGCCATTTCAACTCCAGAGCCCATCTTGACCCTGCCTGAATGGACAAGTGAGCCTTTGAGCAACCTTAAATACTTCTTTAAGAAAAAACTAGATAAGTAACTGTTTTAACAGAATTAAATAAAAATTCGTGTCCTTTTGACCATAATTCATTATTGCTGTTGCTTTATGCAAAAAGGTGGGATATCCTTCTACTGTTTTCTTTTCTTTTTTTTTTTTTTTTTGAGACAGTCTTGCTCTGTCACCCAGGCTGGAGTGCAGTGGCATGATCTCTGCTCACTGCAAACTCTGCCTCCTGGGTTCAAGAGATTCTCATGCCTCAGCCTCGTGAGTACAGGCATGCGCTACCACACCTGGCTAATTTTTGTATCTTTAGTAGAGATGGGGTTTCTCCATGTTGGCCAAGCCGGTCTCAAATTCCTGACCTCAGGTGATCTACCTGCCTCAGTCTCCTAAAGTGCTGGCATTACAGGGATGAGCCACGGTGCCCGGTCCCTCCTACTGTTTTCTACCTTATTAGATGCTTAATCCATGTTAAGGAGGAGGAAGGATCACAAGAGCCCAGGGGGTTCATAGTTGCTTTGGTCATTGCTATTCCTGGAATTATATGTATTTTCTTTTTTCCTTCTTTTTTCTTTTTTTGGAGACGGAGTCTTGCTCTGTCGCCTAGGCTGGAGTGCAGTGGCATGATCTTGGCTCACTGAAACCTCTGCCTCCCGAGTTCAAGCGATTCTCCTGCTTCAGCCTCCCAAGCAGCTGGGGTTACAGGCACTCGCCACCACACCCAGCTACATTTTGTATTTTTAGTAGAGATGGGATTTTGCCATGTTGGTCAGGCTGGTATCGAACTCCTGACCTTAGGTGATCCACCCACCTCGGCCTCCCAAAGTGCTGGGATTACAGGCATGAGCCACTGCGCCTGGCCAGAATTATATGTATTTTCAAAATCCTGTGCCATATTAAAGTAGTTCCTTGCGTCCCTTTTATTTAGACAGTCCTGAATTTGTAAAATGCCCTCCCTTACTCTTTAAACTCCAGTCGTCCTTTTGTTCCTATTTTCATTATTGCAATTTTTAGGATAGCACAATACTGTAGTTAAACTGTCTAAGAGTGTTGCTACGGGAGGAAACCTATCAGATTGTTGGACCCCAAGACCATTCAATGTAAACATTTTTCATTAGTGCTACCCGTCACTGACTTTTCAGATGTCCCAAATGCTACTACATATCTGGACCAACCACTGTCCATGTTCACCTTCTGGGTCCAGTTGATTGTACACCAGGAAATTCCTACCCCTTTTTACAACTTGTCTCAGCCTATCATAATTAAAAAATCATTCTACAGCACAGGTCCTCCCAGGTCCATGACTTACTGAGTAGATAAATGTAGCCAATACATGAGAAATCAAGTTAAAAACCTGTCCCTGCTGGGCCAGCAGTATCTATAGCTGGGGTACTACATAAGTGGATTCTGGGGAGCTTATTTAAAAAAAAGACCCATGGCTCAATCCATCTTGTCAATGCTCCCCATGAGTAAGTCCATCAATGAATGCACCATTGGGGGTGTCACTTATGTGCACCCAGGGTACATATTTGTTTGTGGCATAGGATCAGACCCTCCACTGTTGGGATGGGCCCACTGATGTCTTGATAGCTTACATATCAAAGGCTTCTATTTGCTAGGACATTTGGTGACTCCCTTTTCAATCCATCCTACCTGTGAAAGATTCTGTCCTTTATCCCATAAGTTAAAGAGAGGCTGGGTGCAGTCGCTAACACCTGTAATCCCAGCACTTTGGGAGGCTGAGGAGGAAGGATCACTTGAGCCCACGGGGTTGAGACCAGCCTGGGCAACATAGGAAGACCTCATCTCTTAAAAAAATTTAAAAATTAGCTAGGCATGGTGCCATGAACCTGTAGTCCCAGCTACTTGGGAGGCTGAGATGGAAGGATTGCTTGACCCCAGGAAGTCGAAGTCGCAGTGAGCTATGATCATGCCACTGCTCTCCAGCCTGGGCGATGGAGTGAGACTCTGTCTCAAAAAAGCAAAAACAAAAAACAAAACAAAACAAAAAACCTGCTGGGTAGATATCGGGGCTCCTGATGGCAGTCTTTTGGGTGTCATCGTTTCTAATTATGGAGTCTATGCTAACAGGGATACGATCAAAAACTTATCTGCTACCATAGAGACCATTACAAAAGAGACAACTAAAAACCTTAAAACACAACACAAATCTCAAAATTCCCTTGCTCAGGTAGTTCTTGATAATTGGGCTGTGCTTTATTTCCTTTTGGCCAAACAGGGAGGGGTCTGTGCTTAGAGCTACTTGTTGCAGCTATATGGATACTTTGGGTGAAACAGAGACCTGAATAGAAAAGATCATCCAACAAGCTATCTGGCTACAACACGCTCCTACTACAGATGCTATGTCTGACTGGTTCTCTGAGCTTTTCACATGGATACTTCAAGGTTTTCAGTCCGTTTTATAAGGACTTTTGAAATTTGGGCTTGCATTTCTGACAATAGGACTTATAATTTATCTTATGGTCTGGTGTACCATTAAATGTTATGCTAAGATGGTAGACAGGTGCACTAATGTGTGCATGCTGCTCCCTCGAAATTCCTGACCTGCAACTTGTAAGTACTTAGGGTTTACTCTCAGGCAGTTTCATTACTCTAATACTGACTCTTACCCCAGCTACACCTCTTGCCAACAGGAAGAAGCTGGAGTGGTCTTTGACTGATATCGCCATATTAGCTGTCACCTCAGGATTCAGAGGTGATCAAGCCCAGGGAGACTGAAACTGTCCTTATAAGCTTTATAAAATTAATCCGGGAGGAAGAGAGGGGGGCGGAAATGAAACTAAACCAGGCTCGCAGCACTCTCAGCATTAATCGTTAGGTCAGCTTGCTCTCTGACCTGCTTCGTCATAGGTGTTTGGTGCCTATTGTCCTAACATCACATAGACCCTAGATTATGGTTCCCTCTAACTCTTCTATAGATAACAACTTGAACATTATGAAACATTAAGTTTTACCTTTGAGATATTCCTTCAGGTCCTGCATACTGATGAAACTACTGACTCACCTGGTCTGAAGGACCTCACTAATGCCAGCACATCTGAAGGACCCTATGAGGAGCTGACTCACCAAAGAATTCAGTTTCCACGTCCTCATGATTTCATCCTTCTTGTTCTGACCAATCAATGACCCCAATTTTCTGGCCCCCTCATCCTCCACAATCCCCTTAAACATTTCAGCCCAGAACACCTTGGGGAGATGGATTTGAGGGTTTCTTTCTATCTCCTTGTTCAACGCCCTGTGATTATTAAACTCTTTCTCTGCTGCAGACCCTGCTGTCTCTGTGTAATTCGTCTGTTACTGTACAGTGGGCTTAGGAACCTGTTGACTATAATAAGGGTACTCAATGCAAAAGAGTGCAGAGCTTTAGACCTGGGAGGAATCTGCCCATGACTCTTGGGGCTCCGTGAGGAAGACAGGGCACCCAAAAAGAGGTCAGTGACACCTTGATTGTATTCCTCAAGGGGTCTTAGAGTTGCTAGAAGTCTCCTCTAGGTATCTTCCTGTGGAATCTAAGGTGGCAAAAAGGAAGGTGGAGTAGAAGTGAATAGGAATGGAAGATTAAGTCTTAAAGGAGCCAGTTTGGAGATATGTTTAGCTTTCCAAAAGGCCAATGAAATTTTACAATTCTCTCGCAAAAATCATGCCAACAAGAAAGGAAGCAAACAGAGAGACAAAACCTGTAATTAAAAAGAGGCTTCAGTCAACTGAAAAAAATTCCCACAAACAAGATCCACAAGAGAAAAAGCAGAAAGGTCTTTCCCCCTACAAAATTGTAGGCTGAATATTAGCTTTTTTTTTTCGAGATGGAGTCTTGCTCTGTCACCCAGGCTGGAGGGCAGTGGCATGATCTTGGCTCACTGCAACCTCTGCCTCCCAGGTTCAAGCAATTCTCTGCCTCAGCCTCTCAAGTAGCTGGGATTACAGGTGCCTGCCACCACGCCTGGATAATTTTTTTGTATTTTTAGTAGAGAAGGGGTTTCACCATCTTGGCCAGGCTGGTCTTGAACCCCTGACCTTGTGATCTACCTGCCTCGGCCTCCCAAAGTGCTGGGATTACAGGCGTGAGCCACCGCGCCCATCCAAGAATATCAGCTTTTAATTAAGCTGACTTCTGACTGTAGAGCTCTTTAAAAAATCCTTTCAAGTCTCATATTATCAGATTTTAGCCAGGACAAACAGCCAATATTCCTGGCTTCTGAAGTTTTCTCAATCCAAAGGTATTTTCCAAATGACTCACCAAAACCAATAAGCCTTAACTAAGGTTATGACTTAATCAAGGACACATAAGACATCTCCCAAGAGGTGCAAAGCAGTCCTCACAAATTCCAGAATCACCTCAAAAAACAGCTCAAAGAAAGGAAAGTTTCACTACCTGCAAATGGGGTACAACCCATGTATTTTTTTTTTTTTTTTTTGAAACGGAGTCTCGCTCCATTGCCAAGGCTAGAATGCAGTGCAATCTCAGCTAACTGCAGGCTCCACCTCCTGGGTTCACGCCATTCTCCTGCCTCAGCCTCCTGAGTAGCTGGGACTACAGGGGACTGCCACCACACCCAGCTAATTTTTTGTATTTTTAGTAGAGACGGGGTTTCACTGTGTTAGCCAGGATGGTCTCAATCTCCCGACCTCGTGATCCATCTGCCTTGGCCTCCCAAAGTGCTGGGATTACAGGCTTAAGCCACCGGGTACCACCCATATTTTTATCCAGCCATATTTCCTAGAGTCTTAGCTTCTCATCTGACCATCTGCACATAAGGACCCAAAAGCCCTATGTGCAGACAGAGAGAAGAAGACAGGAAATCCAAAGCTGTCTATGGAAGGGAAAAGTATCAATAACATATGAATATCCCCCGAAGTCAAAAGTCACACACATATCAAACCAATTTTTTAATAAATGTTTCTTCTCCTGAGTTAAATAACTTACATTTCCAAAGAATTGTTTTCCTGACCAGGAATTGATTCCAGATTGCAGTGGTGAAAGCATAGATATCCTAAACACTAGACTACAGGATGAAGCACTTTTTAAAAAAAATAAATCCTGTAAGGGAATCCAAAAGAGGTACTTGAGTATTTAAAAGATTTTAACTTTAATTTTGTCAAGAGAATTTCTAAGGCTAGCTATGACACTATTATGTGTCTTTTTTTTTTCAAATAGATCTTTCCGTGAGTAAAAATCAGGCAATTGTTTAGAATGAGAGACCCTAAAATCCTTTTCAAATATAAGAGCCTTTTTAATTTAAATGATGCATCTTTTAGATACTGACAATTAAAATTTCCAATACTGTACTTGGTCCGATAGCAGCTTGATCCAATAAGCCTCTTCATGGAAAGCCCAGGAGATAACTTTCCAGATTTAGAATAAGTTTTTACCATTTAAGCAAGAGATGTTCCTGGAGAGGGCAGAGAAAAAGCATTCTCCGTGATCCCCAAGAAATTTACTCCTGGGAATGGGCTAAGATACTGGAATACTGTTGTTGCCACTGACAGTTAAGAATGGTGTTTGAGGCCAGGAGTGGTGGCTCACGCCTGTAATCCCTTCCCACTTTGGGAGTCTGAGGCAGATGGATCACCCAAGGTCAGGAGTTCAAGACCAGCCTGGCCAAGATGCTGAAACTCTGTCTCTACTAAAAATACAAAAATTAGCTGGGCATGGTGGCATATGCCTATAGTCCCAGGTACTCGGGAGGCTGAGGCATGAGAATCTCTTGAACCCGGGAGGCAGAGGCTGCAGGGAGCCGAGATCATGCTGCTGCACTCCAGCCTGGGTAACAGAGCAAGACTCTGTCTCAAAAAAAAAAAAAAAAAAAAAAGAATTTCTTACCCTTCTGCTGGCTTGTTAGGTCCTAGGCTTCCTTGACTATGACCCCCAGAAGAGCAGAATGGCTTTGGTAACCGGCTCACAGTGCCAAAACTGGGATTCTCCTTAACCCCCTGCATGTTAATAAATTTGTATGCCTTTCCTCCTATTAATCTGTCTTTTGTCAGTTGATTTTCAGTGAACCTTCAGAGAATGAAGAGTTTGCCCTTTGCTCCTGTGCACATATCTGATAAAGGACGTGTGTCCATAATATACAAAGAACTCTTAAAACTTCACAATAAGATAACCAAGAAACCAATATGAAATGAGCAAAAAATTTGAACAGACACTTCACCAACGAAGCAAATAAACACTTGAAAAGAGACTCAGCATCATTAGTCATCAGGGAAATGCAAATTAAAACCTGAGGGAGAGACCCACTCAAATGACTCCAGTTTATTTATTTATTTATTTATTTATTTATTCATTTTTTTTATTGATCATTCTTGGGTGTTTCTCGCATAGGGGGATTTGGCAGGGTCATAGGACAATAGTGGAGGGAAGGTCAGCAGATAAACAAGTGAACAAAGGTCTCTGGTTTTCCTAGGCAGAGGACCCTGCGGCCTTCCTCAGTGTTTGTGTCCCTGGGTACTTGAGATTAGGGAGTGGTGATGATTCTTAACAAGCATGCTGCCTTCAAGCATCTGTTTAACAAAGCACATCTTGCACCGCCCTTAATCCATTTAACCCTGAGTGGACACAGCACATGTTTCAGAGAGCACCGGGTTGGGGGTAAGGTCATAGATCAACAGCATCCCAAGGCAGAAGAATTTTTCTTAGTACAGAACAAAATGGAGTCTCCTATGTCTACTTCTTTCTACACAGACACAGCAACAATCTGATTTCTCTATCTTTTCACCACATTTCCCCCTTTTCTATTCCACAAAACTGCCATCGTCATCATGGCCCATTCTCAATGAGCTGTTGGGTACACCTCCCAGATGGGGTGGCGGCCGGGCAGAGGGGCTCCTCACTTCCCAGAAGGGGCGGCCGGGCAGAGGGGCCCCCCACCTCCCTCCCGGACGGGGCGGCTGCGGGGCAGAGGGGCTCCTCACTTCTCAGACGGGGCGGCTGGGCAGAGACGCTCCTCACATCCCAGACGGGGCGGCCGGGCAGAGGCGCTCCCCACATCTCAGACGATGGGCGGCCGGGCAGAGATGCTCCTCAATTCCTAGACGGGATGGCGGCCGGGAAGAGGCGCTCCTCACTTTCTAGACTGGGCAGCCAGGCAGAGAGGCTCCTCACATCCCAGACGATGGGCGGCCAGGCAGAGACTCTCCTCACTTCCCAGACGGGGTGGCGGCCGGGCAGAGGCTGCAATCTCAGCACTTTGGGAGGCCAAGGCAGGCGGCTGGGAGGTGGAGGTTGTAGCGAGCCGAGATCACGCCACTGCACTCCAGCCTGGGCACCATTGAGCACTGAGTGAACCAGACTCCGTCTGCAATCCCGGCACCTCAGGAGGCCGAGGCTGGCGGATCACTCGCGGTTAGGAGCTGGAGACCAGCCCGGCCAACACAGCGAAACCCCGTCTCCACCAAAAAAATACGAAAACCAGGCACTCGGCAGGCTGAGGCAGGAGAATCAGGCAGGGAGGTTGCAGTGAGCCGAGATGGCCCCAGTACAGTCCAGCTTCAGCTCGGCATCAGAGGGAGACCGTGGAAAGAGAGGGAGAGGGAGACCGTGGGGAGCGGGAGCGGGAGCGGGAGCGGGAGAGGTATTTATTTATTTTTTTTAAAGACCGAGTCCCAGTGAGGATGTGGAGCAACTGGAACACTTATACATTGTTGGTGGGAATGCAAAATGGCACAACCACTCTGGAAAACTATTTGGCAGTTTCTCCTAAAGTTAAATATATGCTTACCACATGACTCAGCAATCTCACTCCTGGGTATTTACCCCAGAGAAATGACAACTTACATTTTTACAAAAACCTATAGAGGGTTTACAGTAGCTTTATTTATACTTGTCAAAAGCTGGAAACAACCCAAATACCCCCAAGTGTCTCCCTCAGATGGTGAATGGACAAGCAAACTGTGGTTCATCCATACAATGAATTACTATTCAGCAATTAAAAGAGACCAACTACTGATACCAACAACATGGTTGAATTACAAATGTGTTATGCCAAGTGAAAGAAGCCAGATTCAAGAGGGTACATGTTGTATGATTCTATTTATGTGCCATTGTTGAAAAGGCAAAACCCACAGGGATAGAAAAGAAGCAAACGGTTGCCCAGGGCTTTAGGTAGGGTGAGTAGCCAACAAGAAAGGGACAGCAGGAAATTTGGGGGATGATGGACCTCTTCTGTATCTTAATTTTGGTAGTGGTTTATACTGGTGGTAATACTGAGCCATTTGGTGATGGTTCAGCTTGTCAGTACTGAAAAGGGTGAATTTTTCTCTGCATAAATTATACCTCAATGAACCTGACTTTAAAAAGTTACACTTTGGGGGACTTTAAATAGAAGATGGAACTAAAAATGCATAGGCAACAATAACAATGAAAATAGAAGAGTACGATTCTAAGTTAAAATATTCTAAGATCCATTTCTGTGCAGGAGGAGTATAGAGACCTTGATTTACTTTAAGGGTAAAGTAAATAAGGGTAAGGGTAAAGGCCAGGCAGAGTGGCTCACACCTGTAATCCCAGTGCTTTGGCAGGCTGAGATGGGAGGATCGCTTGAGGAATTTAAGACTAGCTTGGGCAACAAAGGCAAGGCTTGGTCTCTACAAAGAATTTTTTAAAAAGTAAAATAAGTAAAATGTAAGGCTAACTAATAAGGTGTAGAAATACAATACAGATATCTCTTGCTTAACATCAGTAATCTGTGTTAGAAATCAGAAGTTTTGTGTGAAAACATACAACAGGCAGAAGCCTAGTCCCCATTATTTTAAATTAGCTGGGTGTGGTGGCAGCACCTGTGGTCCCAGCTACTTGGGAGGCCAAGGCACGAGAATTGCTTGAACCCGGGAGGCGGATGTTGCATTGAGCCGAGATTGCACCACTGCACTTCAGCCTGGGTAACAGAGTGAGATTCCATCCAAAAAAAAAAAAAAAAGTAGATTCCAGAAATAAACCCTCATGGATATGGTCAGTTGGTTTTCGACAAGAGAGCCAAGACCATTCATTAAGGAAATGACAGTCTTTTCATTCATGGTGCTGGGAAACCTGGATATCCATTTGGAAAAGAATGAAGTTGGACCCTTACCTTATACCATGTACAAAAATTAATTTATATGGATCATAGATTTAAATGTAAGAGCTAAAAGTATAAAACTCTTACAAGAAAAGATAAGGGGAAAAGTATTATGACAACTGGATTTGGCAATGATTTCTTGGATACAACACCAAAAGCACAGACAACAAAAGAAAAAGCAGATAAATTATACTTCATTCAAAATTAAAAATATTTGTGTATCGAAGGACACTATTAAGAGAATGAAGGGAAAAGAATGAGAATAGACGTTTCTTAGACTTTTTTTTTTTTTTTTTGAGAAGGAGTCTCCCTTTGTCACCCAGGCTGGGTGCAACCTCAGCTCACTGCAACCTCTGTCTCCCAGGTTCAAGCAATTCTCCTACCTCAGCCTCCTGATTAGCTGGGATTACAGGTGCCTGTCACCATGCCTGGCTAATTTTTGTATTTTTAGTTGAGACAGGGTTTTGCCATGTTGGCCAGGCTGGCCTCAAACTCCTGACCTCAAGTGATCCACCCACCTCGGCCTCCCAAAGTGTTGGGATTACAGGCGTGAGCCACCGAGCCCGGCTGAGAAGAGACATTTCTCCAAAGAAGGCATACAAATGGTCAATAAATACATGAAAAGATGTACATCTCTAGTTATTAGGAAAATCAAAACCACAATGAAATACCACTTCATACCAAATTGATGCCTATTGTAAAAAACAAACAAGTAAAAAACTGGAAAATAACAAGTGTTGACAAAGACATGGAGAAACTTGTACATTGCTGGTAGGAATGTAAAATGTGGCAGCTACTGTGGAAAACAATTTTGCAGTTCCTCAAAAAGTTAAACATAAAATTACCATATAATCCAGCATTTAATTTCTAGGTATATACCTAAAATAATTGAAAGCAGGAACTCAAACAAATATTTGTACACCAGTGTTCATAACAGTGTTATTCACAATAGCCAAAAGGTGGAAACAACACAAATGTCCATCAATGGATGAGGATAGGCAAAATGTGGTATATACATACAATAGAATATCATTCAGCCTTAACAAGAATGAAATTCTAATACACGCTACAAAGGGATGAACCCTGAAGAAATTATGCTAAGTGAATAAGCCAGATACAAAAGGACAAATACTCTATGATTCCACCAACATGAGGGGCTTGGAATAGGCAAATTCATAGAGAAAAAGTAGAATAGAGGTTATCTGGGGCTGAGGGAGAGGGAAATAGGAAGTTATTTTTTAATGAGTACACAGTTTCTGCTTAGGATAAAAACATTTTGGAAATGAACAGTGGTGATGGTCACTCAACATTGTGAATGTACTTAATGCTAATGAATTGTATATTTAATAATGGTTAAAAGGGTAAATTTTATGTTATGTATATTTTACCATGCACACACAAATCAAAACCAAAAATCATTGTTTCCCAATCCCAAATGAATAATACAGCTGTTAGCGAACAATTGCTTTATATGCAATAACATGATATTGCGATGACTCTCTTAGTATCAACAGTGACTGAGGTTCATACCCTCTTTGTTGACTTGGGAGAATGCTTTTTAAAAAAAATTTTTATAGAGGGAGTCGCCCTCTGTCACTCAGACTGGAGTGCAGTGGCTCAATCATAGCTCGCTGCAATCTCGAATTCCTGGACTCAAGTGACTCTCCTGCCTTGGCCTCCCAAAATGCTGCGATTACAGGTATGAGCCACGTTGCCTGGCCCGGGAACCCTTTTCAAAGAATACTTGATTCTGATATTCTACCAATAGTAGTTGGAATGTATCTTAAGATATGTTGGCCGGGCGCGGTGGCTCATGCCTGTAATCCCAGCATTTTGGGAGGCCAAGGCGGGCGGATCACGAGGTCAGGAGATCGAGACCATCCTGGCTAACATGGTGAAACCCCGTCTCTACTAAAAATACAAAAACAAAAAAAAAATTAGCCAGGTGTGGTGGCGGGCGCCTGTAGTCCCAGCTACTCGGGAGGCTGAGGCAGGAGAATGGCATGAACCTGGGAGGTGGAGCTTGCAGTAAGCCGAGATCGCGCCACTGCACTCCAGCCTGGGCAACAGAGCAAGACTCTGTCTCAAAAAAAAAAAAAAAGATATTTCATGCACTGAGTTTTGTTTAAAATGTTTTACTGAGTTTTGGGGACATAAGTATAAAATTTTGTCATATAAATATTGGTCAAAAAACATTGTGTTGAAAGATAGGCAGTTTGTGTAAAGCTCTGGTCTTGAAAACCAGGAGAAAAATGCTAAATGGGGAAAGGTCCCACAAGGTATAAATTACAGATTTCCAAACAAGCAGATGGAAAACCAAGAATAAAGAAAATGTGAACAATGAAATGAAGGCTGAAAAGGTGGGAAAAATGCATAGAAAAAACATAGTAAATGTAAAACACAAAATCAGATGGTAGAAATAAATTTCAATTGATCGATAATCACAATAAATGTAAACAGATTAATTTTACCTATTATAAGACAGAGACTTTTATATTGGATTTCTCTATTTCATTTTTACAAAAAGCATGTCAAAAACACATGACACAGAAAGGTTAAAGGTGAAGGAATATACACCGGAGAAATACTAGCCAAAATAATCCTATTTTGAAGCTAACAACTTAGTCTAAACATATGTAGCAAAATTTGATAGACTCACTGGAGAAACTGGAAAATCAGCAATCACAATGGGAGATTTTTTTCCCCAACATTTTAAAATGAAAAATTTCAAATATATCGGAAGTTGAAATAATTTTACAGTGTAAAAGAAAAAGTGAAAAAAAAGAAAAAATAAGTTAAATAAGAAAGAATCTTACAGTGTACAGCCATGTACTCATTGCCTAAATTCTACCAATAACATTTTGCCATATCTTTATCACATATCTCTTCATCTCTTCATCTTTCTATGTATTAATTCATTTTATTTTTTATGCATTTCAAAGTAAATTGAAGAATCAGAACTCTTCTCCTTTAGGCTTCACTAACAAAGTTGAATATCTGATTGCAATTTTTTCTTTTGAAATAAATTTTATAGAAAGTGAAATGCACAAATATTATGTACATATTTGCTAAGTTTTGACAAATGTATATGCCCACATAACCTAAATCCTTGTTAAGATATAGGACATTACCATAACCCCATAAAATTCCTTCATATCAATTCTCTATTGTCCAGTCAATCATAATGGGAGATCTTAATACATCTTTCTTAGAAACTGATGGATCAAGCAGACAAAAAAATTAGTAATGATCTACAAAATGTAAACAACAAATTAACAGGCTTGAGCTAATAGACATACAAAAAACTTTCTTCCATTAACAGAGAATGCACATTATTTTGTTTTATTTTACTTTTATGTATTTATTTAGATAGGGTCTCACTCTGTCACCTGGGTTAGAGTGTAGTTGGCTCGATCACAGCTCATTGCAGCCTCAAACTTCTGGGCTCAAGTGATCCTCCTGTCTCAGCCTCCCAAGTAGCTGGGACTACAGGTGGGAGCCACTGTGCCCAAATCATTTTTTTTCTTTTTTCTTTTCTTTTCTTTTCTTTGTAGAGATGAGGTCTCACTATGTTGCTCAGGCTGGTTTCAAACTCCTGGCCTCAAGTGATGCTACAGCCTTGGCCTCCCAAAGTGTTGAGATTATAGGTATGAGCCACTGGGCCTGGCTCACATTATTTTGAAGCACACAAGGAACATTTGTGAGGATAGACCATATACTAGGCCTCAAAGGGATACTCACAAATTCCGAAATATGAATATCACACAGCCAACATTCTCTGACCACGATGCTAGCAAAGCCCTATTGCCATGGCTTGGGAGGATCTTGCCTGAGCAAGCAGAGAACCATGGACAGGAAAGCAGGATCCATGGGAAGAGAATAATTTCACAACCCTATCACGTGAGCAACTGGATCCTGCAGGAACCTATTTCTGCTAATGTCAGTTTTCATCAGGTCTGTGTCACCTGCACCCCAAGAGTCCCGAATGAGGCAGATGCTTACAAGTAAAGACATGGTACAGTTGTGCAGGCATCTTGCTAGTGTATGACTAATTCCTGACATTTTCCTTTTTCTTAAAGTATAAAGCACTTAGCTCGGCATGGTGGTGTGCACCTATGGTCCCAGCTACTCAGGAGCCTGAGGTGGGAGGATCACTTGAGCCAAGGAGGCAGAGATTGCAGTGAGCCAAGATCGCACCACTGCACTCCAGCTTGGGCAACAGAACGAGACCTTGTCTCAAAAGAAAAGAAAAAAAAAGTACCCTGTCTCAACAAAAAATTTTTTAAATTAAAAAAGTATAAAGCACATTGTTTTATTTAATCATCCATAAAATAGTATTTTTTTTGCAATAGCCTCTTTGCAGATGAAGCAACTGAGATTCAGAAAGTAAGTTTAGGTGATTCATTTAAGATCTCAGCTCCAGTTGGCCCATTCAAATGGTGCTCAAAATCTCGGAGTCACCCTCTGACATTCTAACTATGCTCCATCTGTTCCCTTGTTCTTCTATTATACAGTATGCTCCTCAAAGGCACGGACTAGGTCTTATTCATCTTTGTGTCCCCAGTGCCTGGCATAGGGCCTGTTACACATAAGGTAGCACTGACATTTATTGATGTAGGCATAAAATAGTGTCTACCTGTATTAGTCTGCTGGGGCTGCCATAACTACAGACCATGTGGCTTTACACAACAGAACTAATTTTCTTTTCTTTTTTATTTTCTTTTTTTCTTTTTTTTAATTTTTGAGACAGAGTGTCTCTGTCGCCCAGGCTAGAGTGCAGTAGTGCGATCTCGGCTCACTGCAGGCTCTGCCTCCTGGGTTCACGCCATTCTCCTGCCTCAGCCTCCCAAAGTGCTGGAATTATAGGCGTAAGCCACCACGCCTGGCCAGAAATTAATTTTCTCACAGTTCTGGAGGCTAGAAGTTCAAGTATTGGCAAATTGTGTTTCTTCTGAGGGCTCTCTTCTTGGCTTGTGACTGAAGGAATAAATGACTTGGTCCCCAAGTCAAAGAGAAAGAGATAATGTGTGGGATTGAGGGAGGAAAGAGAAAAATACAGCACTAGCTAGGACTGCCAGGAACATGACCCAGAAAGCTAATTCAAACCATTATTTGAAAGGGCGGTTTCAAATTAAAAAGAGAGATCTAAGCAAATCATTGAAAGCCAGGGGTAATTTTGGAAAGCCAGGTACAGTTTTGACCACAGTATCTCAAACAGCATTAAGAATCTCTCCATCAGCTGGGCACAGTGGCTTGCACCTATAGTTCCAACTTCTCAGGAGGCTGAGGTGGGAGGATTGCTTGAGCCCGGGAGTCCAAGACCAGCCTGGGCAACACAGCAAGACCCCGTCTCAAAAATTAAAAAAAAAAAAATCTTCCATCTGTCAACCCAGCTTCTGAACACATGTTGACCTTATTCTCTTACTCTCAGGCTCTGCCACAGAATTGTGGGCATGACCATCTGCAACCTAAAGTCAGCATCTTTACAATGTATGATTTAAGGAATGAAAAACTGAGCCCATCTCTCTCTCTCTCTCTCTCTCTCTTTCTCTCTTTCTCTCTCTCTCTCTGTCTTTCCTCTTCCCCCAGGGAAGATGCTGATTGATTAGGATGGGCTCAGTTGTCCATCCTGAGGCCAAAGTATTAAAGCCAGGTGGGGCAGGGCAGTATGATTAGCTGAACTGGAACACACATCTACTGCTATGACCCCAAGAGGGCAAGAGGGGCTATTATCAGAAAAAAAGGAGAGAGTACTGGGTAGAAGAAATCCAGCCAGGCGTGGTGACTCATGCCTGTAATCCCAGCAATTTGGGAAGCTGAGGCAAGAGGATTTCTTTAGCCCTGGAGCTCGAGGCCAGCCTAGGCAACATATGGAGGCCCAGTCTCTAAAATAATAATAACGGCCGGGCGCGGTGGCTCATGCCTGTAATCCCAGCACTTTGGGAGGCCGAGGCGGGCGGATCACGAGGTCAGGAGATCGAGACCATCCTGGCTAACATGGTGAAACCCTGTCTCTACTAAAAATACAAAAAAATTAGCCGGGCATGGGAGTGGGCGCCTGTAGTCCCAGCTACTTGGGAGGCTGAGGCAGGAAAATGGTGTGAACCTGGGAGGCAGAGCTTGCAGTGAGCTGAGATCACGCCCCTGCACTCCAGCCTGGGAGCCTGAGAGCGAGACTCCGCCTCAAAAAAAAAAAAAAGTAATAATCATAATAACAATAGACAAATCCTACAGGTTTTCCATTTCAGCATATACTGATGGTTTCATACACACATTTAATTTAAAGACTGATACCTTGAGAGATGACTATCCTGTTTATCTTTATCTTCACAAGCACTAATTTATCTATTTTATGTATTAATGCTTTGTAGACTTTATAAAGAACCTATAAAGAGCAAATTCTATAGGTAAATATGAATCGTTTAGAATTTTCCATCTCTCCCATATTTTCAGAGGAATAATGATATTTTAAAGGCAGAATAGTTGAATGTTTCCACATCCTCAAATAGACGTTCTTGTTTCTTTCTTTAGTCTCTCTCAGTTTTCTCCAACTTTAGTACCTATGAAGTACAAGATGGGATAATATACATGAAACCTTGGTTATTGTATTTTTGGGCAATTAAGGAATTTTTCAAGGATAATTTATATGATACACCTCCCCAGTTGCATTTGTCTTTAGGACCTAACCTCCTACAGAAGATAAAATCCTCTGTGCTAGTGTTAACTAGAGCATCTACTGTGTGACCAGCTCCTTATGTATTTTACCATGTGAGGTTAAGCAGTTGTAGGTTCAATTTTGTAAGTAAGAAGAATGAGGTTCAGATAATTTACATAAACTGATACAAGAGGAATGATAGACAATGAAGAGTCAGAAGGGCGAGGGGGTGGGAGGGGGAGGATGATGAGAAATTACTTAATGGGTACAATGTACATTATTTGGGTGAGGAGTACCCTAAAAACTCTGACTTTACCACAACACAATCTATGCATGAAACAAAATTGCACTTGTACTCCATACGTTTAATTTTTTTTTTTTTTTTTTTTGAGGCAGAATCTCACTGTGTTGCCCAGGCTGGAGTGCAGTGGTGTGATCTCGGCTCACCACAACCTCTGCCTCCCGGATTCAAGCGATTCTCATGACTCAGCCTCCTGATTAGCTGGGAATACAGGTGCACACCACCATGCCTGGGTAATTTTTTTTGAATTTTTTAGTAGAGACAGAGTTTCACCATGTTGGTCAGGCTGGTCTTGAACTCCTGACCTCAATTGATCCACCTACCTCGGCCTCCCAAAGTGCTGAGATTACAGGTGTGAGCCACCACACCTGGCCTGTACGCCATAAATTTATACATTTTTTTTAAACAACAACAACAAGCCAAGCTCACAAAAACTCTTAGGTATCAGGGTTAGAATACAAATATCTGTTTATCTGACTTTAGGATAGCTCTGATTCCTACCCTTAGGGGCTTAGGAACTTCGGAAAGTTTGATGTAAGGGATGCATGCATGAGGTGTGGGTGAAAACACACACAGGTTTCAATCCTGGAATGCCCACTTTCTAGCTATACAATATATATATATTTTTTTCTCACCTCCCGGACGGGGCGGCTGGCCGGGCAGAGGGGCTCCTCACTTCCCAGTAGGGGCGGCCGGGCAGAGGCGCCCCTCACCTCCCAGACGGGGCAGCTGGCCGGGCGGGGGGCTGACCCCCACCTCCCTCCCGGACGGGCTGGCTGCCGGGCAGAGGCGCTCCTCACTTCCCAGACGGGGCGACGGGGCAGAGGCGCTCCCCACATCTCAGACGATGGGTGGCCGGGCAGAGACGCTCCTCACTTTCCAGACTGGGCAGCCAGGCAGAGGGGCTCCTCACGTCCCAGAGGATGGGCGGCCAGGCAGAGACGCTCCTCACTTCCCAGATGGGATGGCGGCCGGGAAGAGGTGCTCCTCACTTCCTAGATGGGATGGCGGCCGGGCAGAGGCGCTCCTCACTTCCCAGACGGGGTGACGGGGCAGAGGCGCTCCCCACATCTCAGACGATGGGCGGCCGGGCAGAGACGCTCCTCACTTTCCAGACTGGGCAGCCAGGCAGAGGGGCTCCTCACATCCCAGAGGATGGGCGGCCAGGCAGAGACGCTCCTCACTTCCCAGACAGGGTGGCGGCCGGGCAGAGGCTGCAATCTCGGCACTTTGGGAGGCCAAGGCAGGCGGCTGGGAGGTGGAGGTTGTAGCGAGCCGAGATCACGCCACTGCACTCCAGCCTGGGCACCATTGAGCACTGAGTGAACCAGACTCCGTCTGCAATCCCGGCACCTCGGGAGGCCGAGGCTGGCGGATCACTAGCGGTTAGGAGCTGGAGACCAGCCCGGCCAACACAGCGAAACCCCGTCTCCAACCAAAAAATACGAAAACCAGTCAGGCGTGGCGGCACGCGCCTGCAATCGCAGGCACTCGGCAGGCTGAGGCAGGAGAATCAGGCAGGGAGGTTGCAGTGAGCCGAGATGGCAGCAGTACAGTCCAGCTTCGGCTCAGCATGAGAGGGAGACCGTGGAAAGAGAGGGAGAGGGAGACCGTGGGGAGAGGGAGAGGGGGGGAGAGGGAGAGGGAGAGGGAGAGCTATACAATATTAATGGCAAACAGCTTTTGAATGTTTTCTAAGTGCTCAGCACTTTGCATGCACAATATCTCATTCAATCTTCTTGAAAACTTTTGGAAGAAGACACTACTATTGTTATTCCCACTTTAAAGATGAGGAAACTGACACTTAAAAGCAGTTAATAAGGTGCAGAAATGGAACTCAGATGGTCTGATGCCAGTGCATGTATTTGTAACCAAATGATATGGATATAAAAAGGAAATGAGCAGTTGTAAAGAATTGAATCATAGGCCGGGCGGGCCTGGTGGTTCATGCCTGTAATCCCAACACTTTGGGAGGTTGAAGCTGGTGGATCACTTGAGGCCAGGAATTCGAGACCAGCTTGGCCAACACGGTGAAACCCCCATCTCTAGTAAAAATAGAAAAATTAGGCATGGTAGCACGCACCTGTAATTCCAGCTACTTGGGAGGCTGAGGCAGGAGAAACGCTTGAACCCGGGAGGCAGAGTTTGCAGTGAGCCAAGATCACGCCATTGCACTGCAGCCTGGGTGACAGAGCAAGACAGCGTTTCAAAAAAAAAAAAAAAAAAAAAAGAATCCACTCTTGAGAATGGTTTATATGACATGGCAATTAAGAATGTGGGCTTTGGAGCAGATTGCTTGGGGACGAACCCCAGCTCTTCTACTTGCTAGAGGTGTGACTTTGGGTAAATCAAAGAACCTCAGTGTCCTCATCTGTAAAATGGGCATACAGTAGTGCCTACCTATATTAGTTTGCTAGGGCTGCCATAACAAAATATTACAGCCTGTGTGACTTGAACAACAGAAATTAATTTTCTCACAGTTTTGGAGGCTAGAAGTCTAAACATTGGCAAATGTTTCTTCTGAGGCTTCTTTCCTTGGCTTATAAGTGGCTGCCTTCTTGCCGTGTCCTCGCACAGTTATCCTTGGTCTCTGTGTTGTCCATGTCTTAATCTCTTTTTATAAAGATTCCAGGCATTTTGGATTAGGGCCCACCCGTATGACCTCTTCTTATCTTCATCATCTCTTTAAAGGTCCTATCTCAAAATACAGTCACATTCTAAGGTACTGGGCAATTGGACTTTAACATATGAATTTTGTAGGGGACAGAATTCAGCCATAACACTACCTCACAGAGTTATTGTGAAGATTAAATGAGACAATACATGTAAGGCAATGAACAGGGGACCTAGAATGCAGTGAGAGCTACCAGCAAGTTGCAAATCATTCCTCAGCAGGATACTGGCTGGAAGTACCCAGGGCTTCTCTTCTTATCCAAATGCAGTCCAGCATCATCCTTGCTTAAGATCTACAGTCCCCATTTGAATCGCACAAGTCTTCCATTCTGGTCTGGCCCCTCCCTGGGGTCGATAAGATGTTCTTCCTGTAGAGAACTCTCAGATTTTCTTTCCGTAACTGCTCCAAGTTTAGTCTTTAAAATGAGAACACGTCCTGTCCCAGCTCCTCATGGCTCAGCAAGGGCATTTCCAATACTACTGCTCTTTCAACTCTTTGGACAAGTCATTTATTATTAAACTTTAATGATAATCACTTACATTTATAGCCTCTTTCAGTTTACAAAGCTCTTTTCCTATCCATTATCTCTTTTAATCCTTACAACATCTGTGGGAAGGAATTACGTTCTTCTCCATTTGACAAATGAAGAAAACACGGCTCTGAAGAGTACCATCGTCTTCCCAGGTTACACAGTTAACATGTGGCAGAGATGGGCTTCAAATTCTGGTCTTTTACTTTCAGTCTATCAGGAGTAGCTCACCCATCAAGGCATCTTTCTTTCTTTTCTTCCTTCCTTTCTTTCTTTCTTTCTTTCTTTCTTTCTTTCTTTCTTTCTTTCTTTCTTTCTCTTTCTCTCTTCCTCTCTCTCTTTCTTTCTTTCTTTCTTTCTTTCTTTCTTTCTTTCTTTCTTTCTTTCTTTCCTTCTTTCTCCGTCCTTCCTTCCTTCCTCTCTTGCTCTCTCTTTCTTTCTTTCTCTCTTTTTTTTTTTTTTCAGAGTTTCACTGTTGTCACCCAGGCTGGAGTGCAATGGTGCAATCTCGGCTCACTGCAACCTCCGCCCCCATGTTCAAGCACTTCTCTTGCCTCAGACTCCCGAGTATCTGGGATTACAGGCACAAGCCACCACACCTGGCTGATTTTTGTATTTTTAGTAGAGACAGGTTTCGCCATGTTGGCCAGGCTGGTCTTGAACTCCTGACCTCAGGTGATCCACCCGCCTTGGCCTCCCAAAGTGCTAGGATTACAGGTGTGAGCCACCATGCTTGGCCCAGGCACTTTTCTACAAAAGTGATATACTAGACAAATAATGCCCCTGCTCTCTCTCTTTCAGAGGAATGTAGGTAAGTTATTAAGGTTAGTTATTTTGATTGGAAGTGATTAAAAACTAACTCAAACTGACTTAAGCAAAAATTGAATTTATTGGGTAACCTTAAGAAAACAATTCAGAAGTAGATTTTCAGGCACAGATGGATGCAGATGCTCTAACTATGTCACCAGAATGCTCTCTCCATTTCTTCTTTCTTTCTTTCTTTCTTTCTTTCTTTCTTTCTTTCTTTCTTTCTCTCTCTCTCTTTCTTTCTTTCTCTCTCTCTCTCCCTCTTTCTTTCTTTTCTTTTCTTTCTTTTTCTTTTTGAGAGGAGTCTCATTCTGTTGCCCAGGCTGCAGTGCAGTGGTGGGATCTCAGCTCACTGCAACCTCTGCCTCCTGGGTTGAAGTGATTCTCCTGCCTCAGCCTCCCAAGTAGCTGGGATTACAGGTGCCCACTACCATGCCCAGCTAATTTTTGTATTTTTAGTAGAGATGGGGTTTTGCCATGTTGGCCAGGCTGGACTCAAACTCCTGATCTCAAGTGATCCGCCTGCCTCGGCCTCCCGAACTGCTGGGATTACAGGTGTGAGCCACCGTGCCTGGCCTCCCTCTCCATTTCATAGCTTCCCTTTGTGTCGACCTTATTCTTAGACAAGCTCTCTGCTGAAGCTCTGTCTCCACTAGCTTCAGCTCACAATTCCCTCAGTTCAACACACTCAATAGAAAGAGAACACCCCTTTTCTGTAAACGGCAATGCATGAGCTGGATATCATTCTCAACTCTTTGACTTGGGTTATGGGCCCACTCATGAACCAGTCACTGTGTCCAGGACAATGGAGTATTCTCATTGTCCAGGCCTGATCATTTGCCCCCTCTGGAGTGAAGTATGGAGTGTGTGTGTGTGTGTGTGTGTGTGACAGAGAGAGAGAGAAAGAGAGAGAGAGAGAGACCCACTAAGGGATCAAGTGAGGAGAAAGAAGATTCTTCAAATAAAAAGCACTGTTGTCAGAAGTGAGTGGGTGGTAGGTGGATCTCTACAGGGTGTCTTTGCTCTGCAGAGCAACCACAGAGGAACTGGGGGTCCATCTTAGCAAGAAGTCTCACTTCTTGCCTTGAGGAAGAGTAATAAGTGGACTTTTATGATTTTTTCCCAGGACTGCTTAGCTTGGCTCAGCAGGCTAGACAATAAGGCAATAATTCAAGCAGAGTATGGAGTAAAGAGTAATGAATAACCTGGTATGTTCAGGGCAGGACCCAAACCAGGAGCAGCCCCAGAGGGGACTCTGAGATGCTCTTTGATGATGGCCACCTCCCTGCTCCCTGCCCTCAGCATCTTCCATCTCCCTGTGAAGCTGTGAGCTCCATGAGAGCTCACCGGCAGGGACCACGTCTGTTTTACTGACCACCTTCTCCCCAGTGCTTAGCCTGGTAACTGTGCCTGGCACATGACAGGGGCCTCACACATTTATAGGATGATTGAATAAATTAATGAACCAGGTTGATCAGTCTGACTGGCAGGATCTATCTACCTCTCTGGATAAGTCAACCCCCTTCTTTGACCTCTGTTCCCCATCTGTAAAGTGGGAGAAGGTATAGAAAGAAACACTCTCCACAGACCCTGCAGCTCATGATTCCAGGATCACAGGGTTCTCAGGAAACAGCCAAGATGCGTCTCAAGAAGCCAAATGGAAGGGGAAATCAAATTTATTGAGCACCTCATGTTCAAGCGCTGAATGAGACTAATTCACGTGGTTCCCAGGTCTCCAAATTGTGGGATTTTATGGATCCATAACTTTAATAAAATTTGGGATTGAAATAGGCTATCTACTTTTTATTTTGGCAAATAAAGACATTTAAAAAACCTCCCGTTAACTATCACCACTATTTCTTAAAAGAAGTGAATTTTTTTTTTGCAAGAAGCAAGTAGGAAATACATAATCTCAAAACAAAAAGAGCAGTCCGACTTCCCCACTGGAAAAAAGACAGTTGGCAATCTTACATGATTTTTTTTTTTTTTTTTTTTTGCAGATAAAATTGCATTTCTTGTTGAAATTTCTTTTAGAGACGAGGTCTGTCTCTGTAGCGCAGGCTGGAGTGCAGTGGCACGATCATAGCCCACAGCAGCCTTGAACTCCTGGCCTCAAATGGTCCCCCCACCTTACCCTCCCTAGTAGCTGGGATGACAGGCACAAGACACTGTGCCCAGCTCCAGATACACATTTTGAGATTGACCCGTGTATGGGGTCCAGTATTTGAGACCTGCTAACATGGATTGCTTTTTGCCACCCCACCCCACTTACATGCCTGTGAAGTGTGACTTAAGCTGCCCACTTTACAGATGAGGAAACAGAGGTTTAGACAGAGTGGTAGTGCAAGGTCACAGAGACAGTTTTAGACTCAGTTTGTCTGGGTTCAAACCCACATCATCTTGACAGATCCTAAGCCAAAGGCTATTTTCCAGCAGGGAAAGAAATGAACCACGCCGGCTCCCCCTTGGGGTGCGCCTGGGGTGTTCTGTGACCTAACCCTGTGCCTGGCCTTTGATGCTTTTTCCTTAACACATCTTTATGGTGTGCCTACTTCATGCCAGGCGCTGAGCTGGGGGCAGGGGAGAGTGTAGGGAGGGAAACCAAAAATGTCCCAGCCCCTTTCTCTCCTGTCCCCTAGTACTCACTCCGGGTCTGGTTCCCCAGGCCTCGCTCCTTGCCCTGGCAGCCAACGAATCCCCATCGCAGGCGTGGGCTGCTACCAGTTTAAGGGGTTCCCTCTCCCAGGGGTGTTGGCAGTTTCCTAGGAGACTCTGGGAACCTTCAACGCCTCCAAGACCCAAAGGACTGAAAGCGTAATGGTGCAACTTCAGGCACTGTGATAGGTTCCAGGGGAGGTAATTGGGAGTAAGAGATCCGTTCAAATCCTGTCAAATAATACCCCCTCCAGCTCCTTCCCCACTCCCATAGGCTTTGTGGGGCCTCACAGCCCCTTAGCTCAGGCTGGAAGAAGGGAGTCCCCTACATCGGGGGCCCTACTGTGGAGGTGTGCTTGCTGCCCCGGCTGGGGGACCCCAGGTATCGTGGCCACCCTTCCCCCCAACTGCCAGAACCAGGAGCACCCTTCCCCGGTTCCGCCCCGCCCCGTCCCGCACGCCCGCTCGGGAGCGCGCCTCCGCCGGGCCGCGCCGGTGCACGAGAGCGCGCGCCTCGGCGCGGGAGCGCGCCCCGGGGAGAACCCGAGCAAGATGGAGGCCGCGCAGAGGCCGCCGCCTGGGCCGAGGCAGCCGCTGCTGGGAGCGCCGAGCCGCGGCGCCTAGGCCGTGCCAGTCCCGGATCCGCTGCCTCCGGCCGTGCCCAGGTTGGTCTCCCCGCACCCTTTCCCCGCGGCCGCAGCCTCGCGCGCGTCCGGCCTGGGCGCGGGGCAGCCGCCCCCCCAACCCCGGCCCTACTCGGGCCCGGCCGCTCCCCAGCCCCCCGGGGACAGCCCCTGCCCACCGCCTGCTCCTCGCGGGCCCCGCTGCTCACCGGCCCCGGTCTTTCGTTCCTTTGGCCTGGAAACCCCCTCTCTCCAACCCTGGCCCGCCAATCCTAGGCTCCCTCCAGCCTACCTCCAGCCCTGGCTTCTGAGGACAGCCCCCCCTTCCTCGCCCCGTGTCCAGCAGTCCCAGCCCCCGATCCCGCTCTAGCTGTATCCTAATTCTGCCACTTTGCCCTCTTAGACCCTCATACCAGCCCCCATTCCCCGTCCCAGCCCCCATATTACCTTCCCAACCACCCAGTCCCAGCCTCTTAAATTCCCTCTTCCCCCATCCTAGAAGCGCCCACCACCGCCTCATAGTCCCTTGCTAGACACCCAATACCAGACCTCCTTCTACCCCTTAATACCAGTCCCCAAATTCCCTTCTGAGCTCCCTAAATTCAGCCCCTCTGCTAGTCCTCCAACACCAGTCTCCAGCCTCCATTCCACCTCCCCTTGTCCCCTCCTACTCCCGTAATACCAGCTCTCAAACCCCCTCCCCAACTCCCCCATGGCCACTTTCAAGCACCTCCCCCCGCACTTCCAGGTCTCATATCCCCATCCTAGGCGCCCCCCAACTTTCTCATGGCCCCCTCCTAGGCCCCCCAGTAGGAGACCTTTGCCAGTCCCCCTAGACACGGCCTCAACACTCTCATGACCCCTTCCTCTCTCCCTTAGCAGCTCCCAGACGCCCCCAGCTCTGCCCCAGGCCCCGCCCTCGCGGGTTCCTTGACTCAGGGCCGCTTCTCGCGTGCGTCCCCAGCTCCCGCCCGGCAGCCCGGCGCTCCGTCCCGGGCCGGCGGCCCCCGCCAGCCGCCGCCGCCGCCGGCCCCGCCTCCGGGCACCATGCTGCCCTCGCAGGAGGCCTCCAAGCTCTACCACGAGCACTACATGCGGAACTCGCGGGCCATCGGCGTGCTGTGGGCCATCTTCACCATCTGCTTCGCCATCATCAACGTGGTGGTCTTCATCCAGCCCTACTGGGTGGGCGACAGCGTGAGCACCCCCAAGCCTGGCTACTTCGGCCTCTTCCACTACTGCGTGGGCAGCGGGCTGGCGGGCCGCGAGCTCACCTGCCGGGGCTCCTTCACCGACTTCAGCACCATCCCGTCCAGCGCCTTCAAGGCGGCCGCCTTCTTCGTGCTGCTCTCCATGGTGCTGATCCTCGGCTGCATCACCTGCTTTTCGCTTTTCTTCTTCTGCAACACGGCTACGGTCTACAAGATCTGCGCCTGGATGCAGCTCTTGGCAGGTAGGGGAGGGGGTGGACGGAACTCCCAGAACAAGCGCCAGGGACGGGGCTCCTTCCTGCCAGGTCCCCTTCCTGAAGGAGTCGGATAGATTCTGCTTCTCTGTGTTAAGACACTCACCTCTTTGGCTGACGGACCCTCAGTGGGTATTGGGGAGGGGGTACGCTGCAGAGAGACACCTTAGGGCAGGGGACAGAGCCTTGGGACTGGGTGGGTGGGTCTGTATGCTTGGGTATGGGTACGCTGCATTTATTGCTCGGTTA
Organism: Homo sapiens; assembly: GCF_000001405.40. Taxonomy (NCBI): domain Eukaryota; kingdom Metazoa; phylum Chordata; class Mammalia; order Primates; family Hominidae; genus Homo; species Homo sapiens. The sequence goes on along the minus strand of NC_000003.12, from coordinate 9,552,012 downwards.
GCATTAAGTTAGTGTCTCTAAGGGTCTCTGTTGGCTGTCTTGGGGGAAATATTTATCTGAGTGAGGGGTTACTGTAGGTATGATCAATTTCTGTTATGTTGAAAAAAAGCATGAAATGGTGAATCAAGAGATCTGGCTTGGACTTTTAATTTGTTGACACTATCAACTTGGGTGTTTCACTTTACTTCTCTGAGGCTCGGTTTCCTCATCTGTAAAACAGGGGAGAAGATTCCAAAAGGACAAATGAAAGAGTGTTTTGTAACCTTTAAAATGCTGTGATAAGGGGGAGAGGCTGTCTATTGTGCTTATCCACTGTTTGAGATGTGAGTGGTTGAAAGCATTGGGTGATATGGGTCTCTGGAGGGCAGGTCTCCATCCCCACTCCCACCCCTGCACCATGCAAGAAAGTTCTGGTGCCATGCCCAATGGGAGTGAGTCCCTGAGACCCTCCGAAATGTTTGACCAAGACAGTCATCTTACCCTAAGAACCAGAGAAGGGCTTTTTGGGAATGAGAAATGCTGAGACAGTTTTCCAGGATCCATTAGAGTCCCCCACTTCCACCCACCTTTCGATCAGAGATAGATTTTGAAGACTCAGCAACTTGGGCTTTTGCCTAATTGCTGGCAGGGAAGAGAGTTGGACTGGGGAAAGTGGGGCCAGGGGATGGGAGGGGTGGGGGAGGAGAGCTAGTGAAGGGAAAAGTTTGGAGTCTTCCAGGGATGAGAAAGAGAAGGGGGAAATGTGATTATCATGCAGCAGAGATGGTTTTTTAAAATAAGCACCTCAGGACATTCAACAAGTGACTGCCATTCCAAAAGAGACCCCCTGGAGGAGGCATTATATCACTTGCTGATGATTCCATTGTTCAGAGCATTGCAGGGAATTAGCTTTGGAGCATGGGGTGTAATCACTTGAATATCTTCATTGAGGAGAAACCTCTATCTTTTAAAGGAGGAATGTAACTTTTGGAAATGGCTGGAAGTCACTCCAGATCAAGTATAGAGAATACGATGGGTCATCAAATTGATAATTGTCACTTGGAATGACAGCCAAGGTGTGAGGACAAAGTCATGAGGCTGGTCTGTTTCCACAAGAGGACTTTTACAAATCCAGGGAGGAATTACTGCCTCATTGGAAGAATTGCCCAAACTCCTAAAAGGACTATTTTGAAGAAGGCAGATGTGGACATTCTAATGGGCTTGTTTCAAATTCATCTCACCCAACTCAATTTAGATGTGGATCTTTGAAGAGGGTGGGAAAGGTGAACTATAGGATATGGGGGATATGGCTCCATACTTCTCTGTGGTACCCAGGGAGGTGATATTATGTATTTCTATTCTATTTCTCCTGCAAAGGCAAGCTGGAATCCTCAACTCATCAACCTTAATTTGGAGTCTGCAGATGGGTTGCTGACCTCTTGGCTTTCAAATTCTCTGTAATCTGTGTGGGTTTAATCCTGGGGATTTGATGAATTGTCCAACAACCCCCATATAATAATAGAATTTCAGGCACCTTAGAGATCAGCTCCTTCAAATCCCACCTTCCCCTCCCCCTGTTTTAGAGAGAGGAAACTGAGTATAGAGATGGGAAGGGCTTACTTGAGGTCACACAGCTGTTAAGGGAGGAAGCTAGTTCTACAGCCGGGGGTCCTTGACTTCTGGCCCAGGGCACTTTTGCTTGCATTACTGCCCCACCCATGTGGGCTGAGGGGGCAGTTGGCAGAGTTGAGCAGTTTATTCCATTTTGTTCAGAGATTTCTGAGTTCTCTGGGTGAGTGACTGATTCACTTTGCTTAATAAAGTGACACCAGGCCAGAAGCCAGACCACTGGACTACGAGTCTTGGGGTGGGGGTTCTTGGCTGACTTGGGTCTGTGACTCACCATGCAGTGTTAAGTAAGCCTTTTAGTTTAAATCTCAATTTCCCATTTGTACAATAGGGGACTGGGAGCAGGTAGATAAGGTGATTTAAAGTATCTCTTGGCCAGGCATGGTGGCTCATGCCTATAATCCCAGCACTTTGGGAGGCTGAGGTGGGAAGATTGCTTGAGGCCAGGAGTTGGAGATTAGCCTGGCCAACATAGCAAGACCCTGTCTCTGCAAAAAATAACATAAAATAAGTAAAAAATAAAGTATCTCTTTCAGCCCTGTGGGGATCCTGGGACAACTCTTTCATCAAGATCATTCCATTCAGAAAGTGATAAATCAGTCATCCTCAGAGGAACTGTGGAGAATCAAAGGGCTCTGTTTTTGTCAGATAAGAATTAAAGTGCCTCTCATATGATTTTGTACCTGTTAACTTTTTTTTTAAATTTTGAGACGGAGTTTCACTCTTGTTGCCCAGGCTGGAGTGCAATGGCATGATCTTGGCTCACTGCAAGCTCCGCCTTCTGGGTTCAAGTGATTCTCCTGCCTCAGCCTCCTGAGTAGCTGGGATCACAGGTGCCTGCCACAACGCCTGGCTAATTTTTTGTATTTTTAGTAGAGATGGGGTTTCGCCATGTTGGCCAGGCTAGTCTCAAACTCCTGACCTCAGGTGATCCACCCGCCTCAGCCTCCCAAAATGCTGGGATTACAGGCATGAGCCACCATGCCTGGCCTGTTCCTGTTAACTTTTATTCAAGTATTTTAGGGTCTTCTGAGTGCAGAGCATGGGGGCATTGGGAAAATACAAAAAGATATTTATTCTTTTGTTTGTTCTTCACCAGCTCTATAACCATCCCTATGCTTAGTCCTGTAATACTGAGATGCATAAGACATCATCCCTGTCTCCAAGGATCTTAGGTCTATAAAATGCAATTCCTGCTCTCAGGGAGCATACTGTCTAGTTACGTCACTATATTAGTCAGCAGTTTTTCAGTGGCAAATGACAGAAACCCAACTCGAGCTGGCTTAAATAAATTAGAAAAAAATAAAGAGGCTAGGGTTTATCGGCTCACTTAATTTGAAAGTCAGGAGTATTTGGCTTCGGGCATGGACAGATCCAGATGTTCAAATCACGCCATGAAGAATCTGTCTCTCTCCATTTCTTGGTTCCTCTGTGCTCGCTCATTTTAAATCCACTTCTGTCTTCAAGGTGACAAATAAGGCTACTAGTAGATCTAATTTACATTGTTTCAGCTTAGCAGTGCTTGTGGAAAAAGAATAATTCCAGCAAACGTTCCAGGGCTGAGCCAGATTGGCCCAGCTTGGTCAAGTGTCCACCTCTTAATTAATCATGGTGACTCTGTCTAAGGCCCGAGCCACATGCCTATCCCTGGAACCACACATGGACTGATAGTGGAGAAAGGCCAATTCCCTCAAAGATAAATCAAGTGTGAGCACTGGAAGAGGGGTAGCATGGGCAAGACAAGCGCCAACAGAAGTTTTCCCCTGGGCAGTCTGAGCACTAATATGTGCGGGCTGGAAATGCCATGGAAACCCGGAGCAGCAGAGGGGGCTGCCAGCTTAGTTGGGAAGCGAGGCTTGAGCTGGGCAGGGTGTTACCAGGTGGGAGGTATGAGAGAGCATCCTGAATGGAGAGGAAGATCATGGGCAAAGACACAGCGGTGAGAAAGACACATCTGGCTTGAGTGTGGCATCCACATAGGGGAGCAGCATGAGGAGAGGAGAGGAAGGAATTATGGGGGCCACAGTATGCTGGGTCAAAGAATTTCGACTTTAATCAGCAGCAGTTGGATACTGCTATGACTGTTATCATTATTACAGAAAAATAGCTAACATTTTACATGCATTATATAATTTGATACTCACAACAATCTTGTGGAGTAGGTACCATTATTCATATTGTATAGGTGAGATCAAGCTGAGCTTCAAAGAGGAAAAAGTCATTTGTCCAAGGTCATACAGTTGGTAAGTGGTGGAGCCCGAATTGTAACTCCATATGTCTGACTCTAAAACCGGAGATCAGCCAGGCTCGGTGGCTCATGCCTGTAATCTCAGCACTTTGGGAGGCTGAAGCAGGCTGATCACTTGAGCTCAGGAGTACAAGACAAGCCTGGGCAACATGGTGAAACCCTGTCTCTACAAATAATACAAAAATTAGCCAGTTGTGATGGCATGTGCCTGTAGTCCCAGCTACTCAGGAGGGTGAGGCGGGAGGATCGCTTGAGCCTGGGAGGCGGAGGTTGCAGTGAGCCATGATCATGCCACTGCACTCCAGCCTGGATGACAGAGTGAGACCCTGTCTCAATAAAAGAAAACAAAACAAAACAAAACAAAACAAAGAACAAAAATCTCCGAGATCTTGGTTAAAGGAGGATTAATTGTGGGGATAGCAACAGCATGTTTTTGCCAGAAGAGTCAACTGCTAACTAAGTAGAGAGGCAGGATATCTCTGCTACGTTTTTTACCCGGTTGTTCCCATTTACTAAGAATATCCAATGTGCCAGCTTCTATGCTAGACGTTTTCACACTCGTTGTCATTTAATCCTCATCTGTTGAAATAACTTGCTCCAAGGTCACACATTTAGTGAAAGGTGGAGCTAAAACTCAACGCAAGTCTAATACAGATCTAGAACCTGTTTGTATCACTGAACTGGAACCCAGGAAGTGAATACACAAATTACAGAGCTATAATCTCCATGGACTAAATGTTACCTGTGGGCCCGGTGTAGTTAGCCGGGGGACACTCCCAACTGGGTTTGAGATTCAAGGTGAAGTGTGGTTAAGGGTCGGGGGTGCCAGGATAAGTATGTGCTAGTCGTGTAAGACCACAGGACTTATGGCCAGGCACAGTGGCCCAGGCCTGTAATCTCAGCATTTTCGAAGGCTGAGGCAGAAGGGTTGCTTGAGTCTAGGAGTTTGAGACCAGCCTGGGCAACATAGTGAGACCCCATCTCTACAAATAATTTAAAAATTAGCCGGATGTGGTGGCACTCGCCTGTGGTCCCGGCTACTCAGGAGGCTGAGGTGGGAGGATTACTTGAGCTCAGGAGGTTGAGGCTGCAGTGAGCCATGATCATGCCGCTGCACTCTAGCCTGGGCAACAGAGCCAGACCGTGTCTCAAAAATAAAACAAAACGAACCAAGAATAGAGGACTTAGAATCCCTGCTCTTCCACTTTCCAACTGTGGGCCTTGGAGAAATGGGTTTGCCTCTCTGAATCTCAGTTTCTCCATCTATAAAAATAGAAATTATCATTGCACCTGCTTTGGAAATGAAGGTAGTAAAATGCTGAGTGTGGTCCTGGTGTATGAGAAGCATTCAATACATAGTCGCTGTTACTCTTGTGACATAGTCCGAGGGAAGAGCAGTTTGTGAGGGATCTTTGACACTTAGAGTTTGGACTTGCTGGGATGACCAAAGGGCTTAAGAAGGCATAAACTGTCAGCTGGAAAGAGTCTTATCAATCCACTTCCCCAACTCCCTCATTTTAAAGATGTAAGGACTGGGTCTGAGTCTCAGAGAGAAGGGACAAGTTCATGGTGACAGAGTGAGACTTGTACCCAGACCTATCCTCATTCCATGGAAGGGAGGTGGTTCTGACCACATTCATTCAATACTAAGTGCTTATTGTGTGCCAGGCACCACCCTGGTACCTGGACCGCAGCAGAGAATAGAATGTGTAGAATGGAATGGAAGCTGGTGGACCCTGGAGGTGGGAGGAGGCAGGTAGAGGGGTTTGGGGGATCTAGAAGTGAGTACCTTTCAGCCTTCCAGTTGTGTGTTCTTTTTTTCTTTTTCTTTTTTTTTTTTTTCAGACCGAGTCTCCCTCTGTCACCTAGGCTGGAGTGCAGTGGTGCGATCTCAGCTCACTGCAATCTCTGTCTCCCGGGTTCAAGCGATTCTTCTGTCTCAGCCTACTGAGTAGCTGGGATTACAGGCACGTGCCACCACACCTGGCTAATTTTTTGTATTTTTAGTAGAGACAGGGTTTCACCATGTTGGCCAGGCTGGTCTCGAACTGCTGACCTCAAGTGATCCGCTGGCCTCGGCCTCCCAAAGTACTGGGATTACAGGTGTGAGCCACTGCACCTGGCCCAGATGTGTGTTCTTAATTATCAGGGTCTCTGGGCTAGGAACCTCAACCAGGAACTCCCATCACTATGGCATAGAATATTCATCTACATTTCTCTCCATTTCTTTCTTTCTTTTCTTTTATTTGAAACTGAGTCTGGCTCTGTTGTCCAGGCTGGAGTGCAGTGGTGCGATCATGGCTTACTGTAACCCTGGGCTCCCGGGCTTAAGAAATCCTCCCACCTCAGCTCCCTCAGTAGCTAGAACTACAGGCACACACCACCATGCCTTGTTAATTATTTTATTTTATTTTATTTTATCTTATTTATTTATTTATTTTGAGATGGAGTCTCACTCTGTTGCCCAGGCTGGAGTGCAATGGCATGATCTTGGCTCACTGCAACCTCCACCTCCTGGGTTCAAACAATTTCTAGCTAATTTTTGTATTTTTTAGTAGAGATGGGGTTTCACCATGTTGGCCAGGCTGGTCTTGAACTCCTGACCTCAGGTGATCTGCTCACCTTGGCCTTTATTCTATTTTTTGTAGAGACAGGGTCTCACTATGTTTCCCAGACTGTTCAACTCTTGGCCTTAAGTGATCCTCCCACCTTGGCCTCCCAAAGTGCTGGAATTACCGGCCTGAGCCACCATGCCCAGCACATTGCCCTGGGTCTTGTTTCAGATTTGATTTGGAATTTTATTCTTCCACTGTCTTTGTTGTATGTGCGTGATACTGATAAACACATTGAGAGAATTTCTTTCCGCTTTCCCTCCTCCTCTCCCTCTTTCCTCTGTTCCTCCCTCATTTCTTTCTTCCTCCCCCAATTCTCCCTTCCTTCCTCTCTCTTTTTTAGTACTTTTGAGTCACTGTTTTACCTTCTTTCCTCTCTTCTGTTCTCCTTTCCTTCCCTCCCTTTACTTTTGCCTCACTTCCCTCTCCCCACCCCTCTTCTTGTGTTTCTCACATCAACCCTTTACTGACCGTGTCGTGTGTGTGTGTCAGGCACTGTGCTAGCCTCTAGAAATCCTGAGTAAGAATCCTTGCTCCCAGGGAGCTCATAGTCTGATGGGAGAGGCAGGAACAAAAACAGATCATCACAATATGGTACAATACATGAAATGGGAGATTCATGTACAGGGTATTCTGAGGGCAGGGAGGGGACTTCCAACACAGTTAAAGAGAGCCAGGGAAGTCTTCCCAAAAGGGTAACATTTGAGCTGAGTCTTAAAGGATGGGTAGGAAAGAGGAACAGGATGATCACAGGCATGGAGGTGGGAATAGTAGCTGTATCTGGGGACTCTAAGCAACTAGGCCAGGAAAGGTAAGAGTTGAGACTGGGGAAGTGGGCCAGAGCTGGATTGTAGAGACCTTCTAAGTCATGGTAAGGAGTTTAGACTTTATTTGTTTTTGTTTGTTTGTTTGTTTGTTTTGAGATAGAGTCTCACTCTATGGCCTGGTCTGGAGTGCAGTGGTCTGATCTCGGCTCACTGCAACCTCTGCCTCCCGGGTTCACGCAATTCTCCTGCTTCAGCCTCCCGAGTAGCTGGGAGTACAGGTGCCCACCACCATGCCTAGCTAATTTTTGTATTTTTAGTAGAGACGGGGTTTCACCATGTTGGCCAGGCTGGTCTTGAACTCCTGACCTTGGGTGATCCACCTACCTCGACCTCCCAAAGTACTGGGATACAGGCATGAGCCACCATGCCTGACCCCAGACTTTACTTGTAGACAGCAGTTCATTGTTAAAGGGTTTTTTTTTTTTAATTTTTATTGTAATTATTTCCAGACTTTTGACTCTTTGGAAAAGTAATACATGTACAAGAGACAAAATTTGGAAGGTAAAAAGGGTACACAGGCAGACATAAGTCTCCTTTCCATCCTCTCCCCCACCTGTTTCTCCCAGAGACAACCCCCATTACCAGTTTCTTGAGTACCCTTTCCAAGAAATTTCTTAAATATGCAAGCAAATGCAAATGGTGTTTTTACATAATTAGAGTATTATTTATCTATAGCTGCATAACAAATTACCCCAGGCTGGGTGCACTGGCACTCATCTGTAATCCTAGCACTTTGGGAGGCTGAGGTGGGCTGATCACTTGAGCCCAGGAGTTTGAGACCAGCCTGGGCAACATGGTGAAACCCCATCTCTACAAAAACTAGCTGGGCATGGTGGCACACGCCTGTAATTCCACCTACTCAGGAGATTGAGATGGAAGGGTCACCTGAGCCCAGAGAGGTCAAGGCCGCACTGAGCCGTGATTGTGCCACTGCACTCCAGCCTGGGTGACAGAGTGAGATGTTGACTCAAAAAAAAAAAAAAAAAAACCAAAACCAAAAACAAACAAATCACCCCAAAACGTAGTCGCCTGAGTCAACAAGCATTTATGATATTTGTTTCTATAAAGTCAGAGTACTTTGGGAGCAGCTTAGATGGGCAGGTAGCTATGACTCAGGGTCTCTCATGAAGTTGCAACCAAGACCTCAGCTGGGGCTACAGTCATCCTAAGGATAACTGGGCTAGAGGACCCACTTTTTTTTTCTTTTTTTTTTGTTTTGAGACAGAATCTCATTCTGTTGCCCAGGCTGGAGTGCAGTGGTGCGATCTCGGCTCACTGCAAGCTCCGCCTCCTGGGTTCTGCGATTCTCCTTCCTCAGCCTCCCGAGTAGCTAGGTCTACAGGCGCCCGCCACCACGCCCAGCTAATTTTTTGTATTTTTAGTAGAGACGGGGTTTCACCATGTTAGCCAGGATGGTCTCGATCTCCTGACCTCGTGATCCGCCCACCTCGGCCTCCCACAGTGCTGGGATTACAGGCGTGAGCCACCATGCCCGGCCGAGGACCCACTTTTAAGTTCATTCATGTGGGTGCCGGCAGGAGACCTGAGAATGAGTGCTCCGAGAGAGAAAAAGGAAGAAGCCACACTGCCCACCCCCTTTTTGTGGTATCAGTTGTATTGAGATATAATTCATATGTCATATAATTCACCCATATCAAGTGAACTATTACATGGTTTTTAATACATTCATGGAGTTATGCAACCATGACCACAACCAGTTTTAGGATATTTTTCATTATCTCAGAAAGAAACCTCATGCACTTTAGCTATCACCCATTAACCCCTGACCCTCCTTCCTTCTCAGCCCTAAGCAACCACTAATTTATTTTCTGTCTCTATGTATTAGCCTATTCTAGACACTTCATATAAATGGGATCATATAACATGTGACTTTTTTTTTTTTTTTTTTTTGAGATAGGGCCTTGCTCTGTTACCCAGGCTGGAGTACAGTGTTGCAATCATAGCTCACTGCAGCCTCAGTCTCGGGCTCAAGCGATCCTTTCATCTCAGCCTCCCAAGTAGCTGGGACTACTGGCACGTGTCACCATGCCCGGCTAATTTTTTTAAAACTTTGGTAGAAACGAGGTCTCTCTATGTTGCCCAGGCTGGTCTTGAACTCTTGAACTCAAGCAATCCTTCCACCTCGATCTCCCAAAGTGATGGGATTACAGGTGTGAGCCACCATGTCAGGGCACTATATAGTCTTTTGTGACTGACTTTTTTCACTTAGCATAACATTTTCAAAGTTCATTCATGTTAGAGCACATATCAATATTTCATTTCTTTTTATGGCTGAATAATATCCCCTTGAATGGGCATACCATGTTTTGTTTATCCATTCATCAGCTGATGGACATTTGGGTTGTTCCACCTTTTGGCTATTATGAAGAATGCTATAAACATTTGTATACAAATTTCTTTTTTTTCTTTTTGAGACAGAGTCTCGCTCTGGTGCCCAGGCTGGAGTGCAGTGGTGGGATCTCAGCTCACTGTAAGCTCCACCACCTGGGTTCAAGCGATTCTTGTGCCTCAGCCTCCCAAGTAGCTGGGATTACAGGCAGATGCCACCACACTTGGCTAATTTTTGTAGTTTTAGTAGAGATGGGGTTTCACCATGTTGGCCAGGCTGGTCTCGATCTCTCGACCTCAGGTGATCCTCCCTCCTTGGCCTCCCAAAATGCTGGGATTACAGGCATGAGTCACCACGCCTGGCCTTGTGTACAAGTTTCTAGGTAGACACATGCCTTCATTTCTCTTGGGTACTTACCTAGAAGTAGAATTGCCTGGACAAATGAGAACTCTGTATTTAAAATTTTGAGAAACTGACAGATGTTCCCAAAGTGGCTTGCCAAATCCAAGATTGCAAAGATTTACCCCTGTTTTCCTCTAAAGGTTTTGTCGTTTTGGCTCTTACATTTAGGTCTTTGATCCATTTTTTTTTTCTTTGAGGCGAAATTTTGCTCTGTCACCCACGCTGGAGTGCAGTGGTGCGATCTCGACTCATTGCAACCTCTGCCCTCCAGGTTCAAGTGATTATCCTGCCCCGGCCTCCCTATTAGATGGGATTACAGGCACACGCCACCACACTTGGCTAATTTCTGCATTATTAGTAGAGACAGGTTTTCACCATGTTGGCCAGGCTGGTCTCAAACTCCTGACCTCATGTGATCCACCCGCCTTGGCCTCCCAAAGTGCTGGGATTACAGGCGCGAGCCATGGTGCCCAGCCTTTGATCCACTTTGAGTTAATATTTGTATACGGTGTGACATACAGGGTCCAACATCATTCTTTTGCATGTGGCTATTCAGTTTCCCAGCACCAAGGTTGTTCTTTTTCCACTGAATGGTTCTGGTACCCTTGTCAAATGTCAATTGACTATAGATACATAGATTGCTTTCTAGACTCTCAATTCTATTCCATTGGTCTATATGTCTATCCTTATGCCAGACCAGACTGTCTTTTAAAAATTTTTATTTTGCCGGGTGCGGTGGCTCACGCCTGTAACCCCAGCACTTTGGGAGGCCAAGGTGGGTGGATCATGAGGCCAGGAGTTCGAGACCAGCCTAACCAACATGGTGAAACCCCGTCTCTACTAAAAATACAAAAAATATTAGCTGGGTGTGCTGGCACACACCTGTAATCCCAGCTACTCAGGGAGGCTGAGGCAGGAGAATCGCTTGAACCCAGGAGGCAGAGGTTGCAGTGAGCTGAGATCATGCCATTGCACTCCAGCCTGGGTGACAGAGTGAGACTCCATCTCAAAAAAAAAAATTATTTTATTTTTAAAATTTATTTTCATTTCTTATTTTTTATTATTATTTTTTTTTGAGACAGGGTCCCACTCTGTCGCCCAGGCTGGAGTGCAGTGGTGTGATCACGGCTCACTGTAGCCTTACTCAACTGATCCTCCCACCTCAGCCTCCCCAGTAGCTGGGACCACAGGCATACACCACCATGCCTCATTAATTTTTTTTTTTTTTAAATTTTTGAAAAGACAGATTCTTGCTATGTTGCCCAGGCTGGTCTCAACTTCCTGAGCTCAAGCAGTCCTCCCTCTTAGCCTCTCAAATTGCTGGGATGACAGGCATGAGCCACTATGACCAACCCAGGCTGTCTTGATTACTGTCACTTTCTAGTCAGTTTGAAATCAGAAAGTGTGAGTCCTCCAACTTTGTTCTTCATTTTCAAGGTTGTTCTGGCTATCACACTGCCTTTTATGTCCTGATAGCAGACATCACACACCATCACTTCTGCCACACTCTATTACAAGAAGTAAGTTCCTAAATCCAGCCCACATTCTAGAAGAGGAGAATTAGGATCCTTCTCTTGAAGGGAGGAATATCAAAGAATTTGTGGACATATTTCCAAGCCACTGCTAATGGTAATATACTAAACATTTGGTTCTGTGGCTTGCTTTTTCACTCAACAATACATCTTGGAGATAGTTCCATATCAGTGTATAAAGAGCCACCTTTTTCTTAACAGCCACGTAATAAACTTTTCTATAGGTGCATCACAATTTAAATAATATTTATTTACAATATTTTGCTATAATAATGCTTCAGTTAATAATGTTATATGTAAATAATCTAATACATATGTAAGTATAAGGATAAAGCCCTAGAAGGGGAATTGCTGGTTAAGTGGTATATACATTTACAATTTGACAGATCTATCAACAGTGTCCTTCACAGACGTTGTACAAAGTTACACTCCCACCAGCGATGTATGATAGTACCTGTTCCTCCATGTCCTTGTTAACTGAGTGTGTTATCAAATATTTCATTTTTTTCCACCCTGATAGAAAACACTCTCTTATTGTGGTAATTTGCCTTTCTATTATTATGAATGAGATTGAATACCTCTTTTATATATGTAATTGTTATATTATATATATATTTTTAAACTGTCATTTCTTAAATTTTGAAAATCAATGTAATGGCATTTTTCCACTTTGATTTGTAAGAGCTCTTTATCTACTAAGAAAGGTAGCCTTCTGTGTGTGAGATGAGTTACAAATATTGCTTCTCAGTTTATCTTTTGACTTTGTCTATGGATTTTTCCCCCATGGGGAAATTATTTTCTTTTTACTATAAGCAAATTCCCTCTTTTATGGTTGCTGGGTTTAGTGTTATACCTAGAAAGGCTCTGAAGTGTTTCAAGTCTGAGGGGAACATGATCGGATCTGGTTGTTGGTGGAGAGGATGGATTGGAGGTATCAGGAGGACAAGGGTTGAACTATTCCTTTTTTTTTTTTTTTTTTGAGACGAAGTTTCACTCTATTGCCCAGGCTGGGGTGCAGTGGTGCAATCTCGGCTCATTGCAAGCTCCACCTCCTGGGTTCAAACAATTCTCCTGCCTCAGCCTCCCAAGTAGCTGGGACTACAGGCGCCCACCACCGTGCCCAGCTAATTTTTGTATTTTTTAGTCGAGATGGAGTTTTGCCATGTTGACCAGGCTGGTCTGGAATTCCTGACCTCAAGTGATCCACTCACCTCAGCCTCCCAAAGTGCTGGATTACAGGTGTGAGCCACCATGCCCAGCCCCAGAGGAATTTAATGCATTATGAGTGCCCTGGATCAGGAATCTGTACCTGGCATATAGGTGCTTAATTAATGTCTATTGAATGAATTAATGATGATATCTGATTTAAGTCTCAGCTCTGCCACCCATTCCTTTGGAGGCAGCACAGTTTAGTGGTCAGAAAACCTGAATTTGGGCCAGGTGTGGTGGCTCACATCTATAATCCCAGCACTTTGAGAGGCCAAGGTGGGCAGATCACCTGAGGTCAGGGGTTCAAGACCAGCCTGGCCAATGTGGTGAAATCCCATCTCCACCAAAAATACAAAAAATTAGCCGGGCGTGGTGGTGCATGCCTGTAATCCCAGCTACTCAGGAGGCTGAGACAGGAGAATCCCTTGAACCAGGGAGGCGGAGGTTGCAGTGAGCCAAGATTGCGCCATTGCACTCCAGCCTGGGTGACAGAGCAAGACTCTGTCTAAAAAAAAAAAAAAAGAAAGAAAACCTGAATTTAAATTCTGACTGTGGTGTTACCAACTAAGTGCTCTCAGGAATATTACCTGATTTCTGAGTCTCGGTTTACTCACCTATAAAATGGGGACAATAATAATAACTGCCTCATGGCGCTGTTGAAGGATTGATTGTGAATTTGCGTGCACACCATGGCACAAACAAAACACTTAATAAACGTTAGCAATTATTATTTGTTGTTGTGTGACCGGAATCAAATCACTTTGGCTTCAGCTTTCCAACATTCCATGGCCTGTGCTAGAACAAGGGAGAAAGGGTTGAAAAGTGGGAACAGTTGGGAGAGGAGCCTGGAGAAGTAGTTAGGGCTGGCTTATGGAGGGCCTTGACAGTGGCTTTGGAGTTCGGGTCTTATTCCTAGATGATGGACAATCACTTTCAGGCATGGGAGTGACCAGGGTCAGATGTGGGTTTAGAAAGATGACTTGGGAGGCTGCTGCGGAGAATGGACCAGTTGGAGGCTTGATGGGAGGAGGGAGCCCGGGAAGAAGGCGATCCAGGTGAGAGATGCCAAGGATGGCGGATGGAGAGGAGGAGAAAGATTGGAGACCTATTTAGAAGACCAATGGGTGTGTTGGTTTTGAGGACAAGGCAGTTGTTACAATGACTCCAAGTTTCTTACAGATAATTGGGTCTGTGGAGTGACATTCACAAAGGACATAGGATGAAGATCAGACCTAGGGTGGAGGAAGAGAAGGTCTATTTGGGAAACACTGATTTTGAGGTTCTTATGGGATGTGCAAGGGGAAAGGTCCAATGAGTGTTACTGAGGTCTGGGGATGAGGAGAAGGTCTCAGCTGTGGATGGCGATTTGAGGCATCATTGTATGAATCTGAGCATAGATGAAATTGCCCAAGGAGAACGTATGGAGGGAGAAGAGACAGCCTAGGGAACAGCAACCTTAAGGGGCGGGCGGAGGAGGAAGAGCCAGAAAAACTAACTGTGAGACAGGAGTCAGAGCAGGAGGAGGCAAATTAGCAATTGAGGGGCTGAGGAAGATAGGCTCGAGGAAGGCCACATGTCTGCAGGAGAAGGTGGACTTGGAAGGGATGGAGAGAGCAGTGGGAGGCTTTTCACCAAATCCTAGAGGTGGATGTGGCAGAGCCAGCCTAGGACAATAGGGGTACCCTGAGGAGGGACAGATGCCAAGGTTATTAACAGGCTGTGGACTCCTTGCAGGCTGGGCCTAGGGTGGCAGATGAGAGTAAATGCTGTTACCAAATAATTACTGCACAAAGTGATGGGGTTCCATCTCTCCACAAGTCATCTGTGATGCCAGATGCCATTATTTGTGTTCCCAACAGTACCCCCCTCCAAAACTGTGAGCCCCTCAAGGTCTGGAACCACGAGTTGAGACTGAATGACTTAGAGAAAGAGTGTCCCAGGAAGAGAGGATGAATTTGACACGTTTTCAGGAACAGAAAGGAGGGCAGTGTGGCCAGAGTGCAAGCGAGAAGCTGAATGGCACCAGAGGAAATGGAGGGAGGCTGGGGCCTGGAAGCCACGGTCAGCTGTTGGCAGGATTTTATTCTGAATGCCATGAAGAGAGAGTTAAGTAGGAGAGCTGGTTTCTTTCTTTTTTTTGAGACAGGGTCTTGCTCTGTTGCCCAGGCTGCAGTACAGTGGCACGATCATAGCTCACTGTAGCCTCAAATTCCTGGGCTCAAGTGATCCTCCCATCTCAGCCTCCTGAGTAGCTGGGACTGCAGGCGCGCACTACCACACCCGGCTGAATTTTTTTTTTTTTTTTTGAGACAGAGTCTCGCTCTGTCACCCAGGCTGGAATGCAGTGGCGCGATCTCAGCTCACTGCAAGCTCTGCCTCTCAGGTTCACGCCATTCTCCTGCCTCAGCCTCCTGCTAATTTTTTTTTTAGAGATAGGGTCTCACTATGTTGCACAGGCTGATCTCGAACTCCTGGCCTCAAGCAATCCTCCCATTTCACTCTTCCAAAGTGCTAGGATTACAGGCATGAGCCACTGTGCCCAGCCATGATACCATTTGTTTTTGAATGTTCATTCTGGATGCTGAATGTGGAACAGGTGATGGTGGAGCAAGGGTAGAAGCAGAGAAACTAGTTTGAAGGTGACTGTGGTAATCAGGGAGGAAGGTCATGGGGCTTGGAGCAAGGTGGTAGCTAGCAGTGGAGATGGAGAGAAGGGGTCTGGTGCTGGACATTTTTTGGAGGTTGAGTTAGTCAGCCTTGCAAATGGATTGGGTGTAGGAGGTGAGAGAAAGGGAGGATCTAGGATACCTCCCAGGCTGGCCTCAGCATCTAGGTTGTTGGATGGGACAGGAGTCACCTCCTAGGAGCTGATAGGGGCATTAAGATTGGGCCTGGATGTCTCAGATTTTAAAAGGAGAAGCTCAGTCTCCCTTGTAAGATAAGCCCCTGCCCTGGATGGGCAGGAACAGAGCTGAGTGCTCAGACCTGGTAGGGAGGGCCTGTGGACAGGCATCTCCAACCCACTTCCCGAACTTCCTTCTCCTGGGGGATCTCCCTGTGAGACAGTTGTCACCACGGCCCCCTTGTGTCCTGGGGAAGCCATTCCCTTTGAAAGCTGTGGCCCCCCTGGCCAGACCTGGTGGCTCACGCTTGTAATCCCAGCACTTTGGGTGAGGTGGGCAGATCACCTGAAGTCAGGAGTTCAAAACCAGCCTGGGCAACATGATGAAACCCCCTCTCTAAAAAAATACAAAAATTAGCTGAGCGTGGTGGTGCGTGGCTGTAGTCTCAGCTATTCAGGAGGCTGAGGCAGGAGAATCGCTTGAACCTGGTAGGCAGAGGTTGCAGTGAGCCAAGATCATGCTACTGCACTCCAGCCTGGGCAACAAGAGTGAGACCCTATCTCAAAAAGAAATTATAATGAAAATAAAAATATAGGAAAGCAAGCAAGCGAGCAAGCAAGCTGTGGCCCCAATGTGGACAGAAATCATTCACTGGACTCCCCTCAGTCTCAAACCTAGCCAGGTCCTTCTGGAAAAACCTTCCTAAATTGAAGGAGGGACTGTCAGCGGACACAAACAGCTGGCTGTGTATTCTGTGCTACAGTGATTCTTTGTATATCTCACCTTTTCTAAGAGTTTTATTGCTTTTTAAAAATTATCATTGTTCTTTGTGGAAAAATTGGAGAATATATTTTGAGCAGAATTACACCCGTAGTCTTAGTGTCTCAGCAATAGTCATTCTTCACTGCATAGTCTATACTCATAACAGTATAGAGTGCTGGTTAGAAGCAGGCTGTCTGGGTCCAAATCCTGCAACTTACCAGTTGTGTGACCCTGGATAACTTGGATAACCTCAAACGTCTTGCACCTCAGTGTCCTCATCTGTAAAAAGAAGATAATAACAGTATCTATTCCATAGAGTTGTAGAGATTAAATGAACTAGCATGTGTAAAGTACTTATTATAGTGCCTGGCATGGTAAATTCTATATAACTATTTGCTGTCACTGTGTGAACATTTTTCCCAAAAAGAAATTATGTTGTGTGTTATTTTTAAAAGCCTTTTGAGACCTAACACATCATGAGTATTTCTTATATATCATTAAACCTTCCTCAGTATACTTTTAGTAGCTGAGTAGTACTCTGTGGTATGAAAGAGCTATATTCCTGTATCGATATAGTAGGAGTTTTTGTCTTTCCTCCCTTCCTTCATTATTTCTCCTCCTTCTCCTCCCCTTGCTCTTATACTCTTCCTCCTCATCTTTTTCGTCTTCCCCTCCCTCTTTCTTTTATAAACAGCAACGTGATGAACATCCTCACAGTTAAATCTTAGAGGACATCTGTGAACATTTTCTTCGATAAATTCCTGTAAATTGGCAAGCTCAGTCAAAAGAGGTTTAAACGTTTCATTTTTCTGTTTTTGAGATTAATCCATGATTTCTATAAGTTACATTTGACCTCTGCATTGCCTTTCTTTGCTGCTTTAATTATTTCATTCCAAGTGAATGAAAATCTCTGGTAATAGTCATTTACTAGCAGTCAAACCCCACCCACTTTATGGTTTCTGTCGGTAATTTATTTACCCGGCTTCAAATTCAAAAGGTGCAACAGGTTATCAGAGAAAAATCTGCTCCTCCAGCTACCCAATGCCCCTCTTTAGAAGGAGCCAAGGTTGTCA
Source organism: Homo sapiens (assembly GCF_000001405.40). Lineage (NCBI taxonomy): Eukaryota > Metazoa > Chordata > Mammalia > Primates > Hominidae > Homo > Homo sapiens. The sequence continues at coordinate 9,534,546 of NC_000003.12, read as the reverse complement.
GTGTCTTATAAATATGTCTGAAAATATTTTATGTACCTGCAAGAAAATATACCCCCACATACATATGATTTCCTGCCTCTTTGCAATGGGAACATTGTGCAGTATTTGTTACCATGAGCCTTGCCTTTCACTTAGCAGGGTATCCAGAGATCATTCCACACCAGCACATAAGGAGCTTCCTCATTCTCTTTAATGACTGATTATATTATTGAATGCTACTGCAAAGGGGCACTATACCTAATCAGTTACCTATCGGTGGGCATTTAAGTTATTTCCAATGTTTACTTATTACACATCATGGTATGCAACCCCCCTACTTTTTTTTTTTTTAAGAAAAGGTCTTGCTCTGTCACCCAGGCTGGAGTGCAGTGGGACAATCTCAGGTCACTGCAACCTCTGCATCCCAGGTTCAAATGATTCTCCTGCCTCCCAAATAGCGGGGACTACTGCATGGTGGCATGCACCACCATGCCTGGCTAATTTTTTGGTATTTTTTGTAGAGACGGGGTTTCGCCACGTTGCCCAGGCTGGTCTCAAACCCCTGGACTCCAGCAATCCACCTGCCTCAGCCTCCCAGAGTGCTGGAATTACAGGCATGAGCCACTGTGTCCGACCCTATGCAACCTTTTTTTTTTTAAAGTCATAAATCTACAGCCCAAAGAAAATCACAAAGTGAACATGACTATGAAAAAAGCACCTAGGTCATAAACCTCATTCCCCCTTCCAGTCACTCCTCCAAAGGTAATCCTGACTTTATTTTTTTTTGAGACAGAGTCTTGCTCTGTTGCCCAGGCTGGAGTGCAGTGGCACAATCTCAGCTCACTGCAAGCTCCGCTTCCCAGGTTCATGCCATTCTCCCGACTCAGCCTCCTGAGCAGCTGGGACTACAGGCGCCCGCCACCACACCCAGCTAATTTTGTGTATTTTTAGTAGAGACGGGGTTTCATCATGTTAGCCAGGATGGTCTCGATCTCCTGACCTCGTGATCCGCCCACCTTGGCCTCGCAAAGTGTTGGGATTACAGGCGTGAGCCACCGCACCCGGCCTGACTTTTAATCCTATAGACTGATTTTGCCTGTTTTTGAAATGTATATAAATGGAATCACACTTTTGCTTCACATGAAGATTCATCCAGGTTGTTGCAGGTAACCACAGTTTGTCCGTCTTCACTGCTGTATACTATTTTGTTGGAGTAAACTGCACAATTTATTTATCCATTACATTGTTAATAGACATTTGTGTTGTTTCCAATTTGGGATTGTGAGTAAAGCTCCTACGAACCTTCTAGCACATATGTTTTGGTGAACTCATCTACACAGTTCAGCTGGGGACAGCCTGAAAAGAGGGGTCTGGGTCTAGGGGATGGTTCAGTGGGTTCAGCCCCAGCAGATGCTACAGCAAGCAGCTTTTGGAGACTGTAATACCTGGTGCTGGATCACCTTCCAGTGCCTGCCCCCTTTGAACTTGTAGACATTTTCCTTCTCTTGCTGAGGAGGGTCCTAGCACACAGGGGACATGTGGCGTGGGGTGGGCAGGTGAAAGCTCCTTTGGCAGCTTCTGCAGCCCCGCACTGTCCTCCAGGGCCCCTGCAGCAGCAGAATCTTCTGCCCCCACTGAGGCCTGTTTCTTCCCTATAGCTGAACTTCCATCTGCAGGGCCTGGGGGACAGGGACCCAGGTGAAAAAGTGGTAGGTGGCAGATCAGAGAGGCCACATCAAGGGAGAAGGGAGTGGGGCCTCTGGAGAGTCTGTTCAAGGACAGAAGACCCTGAGCACACCCAGCCTGATCCCCTATAACAGGTGGCAGCTGTGTTGAGTCATGCACAGAGGGGCAACTGAACACAAAAAAGGCCTCCCTAAAAGAGGATGGTGTAACCGTGTTCTAATGAAACCCTATTAAAAAGATAAGCATAGGCCAGGCGCGGTGCCTCATGCATGTAACCCCAGCACTTTGGGAGGCCAAGGAGGGAGGCTTGAGGCCAAGAGTTTGAGACAAGCCCAGAAAGAGAGTGAGACTCCATTTCTACAAAAAAATAAAAATTAGCTGGGTGTGGTGGCTTGTGCCTCTAGTCCCAGCTACTGGGGAGGCTGAGGCAGGAGGATCACTTGAGACCAGTTGTTTGAGGCTGCAGTGAGCTATGATCACACCACTGTACTCCGGCCTGGGTGACAGAGCAAGACCTTATCTCTAAAGTATAATAATAATAACAATAACTCAAGGCCGGGCACGGTGGCTCATGCCTGTAATCCCAGCACTTTGTGAGGCCAAGGCGGGCAGATCACCTAAGGTCAGGAGTTCGAGACCAGCCTGGCCAACATGGTGAAATCCCGTCTCTATTAAAAATATTTAGAAAATTAGCTGGGTGTAGTGGTGCACACCTGTAATCCCAGCTACTCGGGAGGCTGTGGAGCAAGAATTGCTTGAACCTGGGAGGCAGAGGTTGCAGTGAGCCGCGATTGTGCCACTGTACTCCAGCCTGGGTGACAGAGTGAGACTCCATCTCAAAACCACAACAACTAAAAAGCAATAGCTCAGCATAAAATGCATTATGAAAAGGCTTTACATAAAAGTACATCGATAGCACAAGCTTTAAAGAAAACAAGCACCTGAGTATAAAGTATATGTTCTCTTATTCTTTACCTCTTCTTAGGCTCATCCTAATTTTATTCCCTAAACTCAAGTAATCTTCCTTTGAACTCTCCTTTAGTTTTTTAGTCTTTTCTTTTCTTTTCTTTTCTTTTCTTTCTGAGATGGAGTCTCGCTCTGTTACCCAGGCTGGAGTGCAGTGGCCCATCTTGGCTCACTGCAGCCTCCCGTTCCCGGGTTCAAACAATTCTCCTGCCTCAGTCTCCCAAGTAGCTGTGATTACAGGTGCGCACCACACACCTGGCTAATGTTTGTATTTTTAGTAGAGACGGGGTTTCACCACGTTGGCCAGGCTGGTCTCGAATTGTTATTTCAGATGATCCACCCGCCTCGGCCTCCCAAATGCTGGGATTACAGGCATGATCCACCATGCCCAGCTGAGTTTCTTATTTCTTAAAAGCTCTCCTTCCCTGCCTCCTTCCCTCTCTCCCCCAGGCTACTTCTCAGAGGTAACCGTCATTAAGCTGCTTCTGTATCCTTCCAGACATGCTTATAGATACTCAAGCGTATATGCAGGCATACCTCGTTTTATTGTGCTTTGCTTTATTGTGCTTTACAGATATTGTATTTTTAATATATTGAAGGTTTGTGGCACCCTGAGTCAATCAAGTCTGTCGGAACTATTTTCCCTGCAGCACGTGCCCACTTCGTGGCTCTGTGTCACATTTTTGAAATTTTCACAATATCTCAAACCTTTCTATTATGATTATATCTTTTATGGTGATCTGTGATCAGTGATCTTTGATGTTACTATTGTCATTGTTTTGGGGCACCATGAACTGCGCCCATGTAAGACAGCAAGCTTCATAAATAAATGTGCGTATTTTGATTGCTACACCTGCTGGCTGTTCCCCTGTCTCTCTCCCTCCTTTGGCTTTCCTATTCCCTGAGACACAACAGTTTTGAAATTAGGCCAGTTAATAACCCTGTTATGGCCTCTAAGTGTTCAAGTGAAAGGAAGAATCATACATCTCTCACGTTAAATCAAAAGATTGAAATGTGGGCTGGGCCTGGTGGCTCACGCTTGTTATCCCAGCACTTTGCAGGAGGCTGAGGCAGGAGGATTTCTTGAGATCAGAAGTTCAAGACCAGCCTGGGCAACATAGTAAGACTCTGTCTCTAAAAAATAAGTAAATAAATAAATATTTAAAAACAAAAGCTGTTAATGATGAAGTAGTGAGGAAGGTGTGTCAAAACTGAGATAAGCCAAAAGTGAGGGCTCTTGTGCAAGTTGGCCAAGTTGTGAATGCAAAGGAAAAGTTCTTGAATGAAATAAAGTGCTGCTCCGGTGAGCACATGAATGATGAGAAAGAAAACAGCCTTATTTCAGATATGGAGAAAGCTTTAGCAGTCTGGATAGAAGATCAAACCAGCACAGCATTCCTTTAAGCCAAAGCCTAATCCAGAGCAAGGCCCTAACTCTGTTCCATTCTGTGAAGATTGAGAGAGGTGAGGAAGCTGCAGAAGAAAAGTTGGAAGCTAGCAGAGGTTGGTTCATGTGGTTTAATAAAATAAGCCATTTCCATAGCATAAAAGTGCAAAGTAAAGCAGCAGGTGGTGATGTAGAAGCTACAGCAAGTCACTAGAAGATCTGGCTAAGGTCATTGATGAAGATGGGTAGACTAAACAACAGATTTTCAGTGTAGATGAAACAGCCTTCTGTTGGAAGAAGATGCCATCTAGGTCTTTTATAGCTAGAGAGGAGAAGTCAATGCCTGGCTTTAAAGCTTCGAAGGACAGGCTGACTCTCACATTAGGGACCCATGCAGCTGGTGACTTTAAGTTGAAGCCAGTGCTCATTTACCACGTGAAAATTCTAGGGCCCTTAAGAATTATGCTAACTCTATTCCACCTATGCTCTATAAATGGAAAAAGCCTGAATGACAGCACATGTGTTTACAGCATGGTTTACTCAATATTTTAAGTCCACTGTTGAGACCTATTGCTCAGGATAGGAAAAAAAAAAAAAGAGCCAGGCACAGTGGCTCATGCCTGTAATCCCAGCACTTTGGGAGGCTGAGGTGGGTGGATCAGAAGGTCAGGAGTTCAAGACCAGCATGGCCAAGATGGTGAAACCCCATCTCTACTAAAAATACAAAAATTAGCCAGGTGTGGTGGCAGGCGCCTGTAATCCCAGCTGTCAGGAGCCTGAGGCAGAGACTTGCTTGAACCCGGGAGGTAGAAGTTGCAGTAAGCCGAGATCACGCCACTGCACTCCAGCCTGGGTGAAAGAATGAGCCTCCATCTCAAAAAAAAATAAATAAATAAAATAAAAGATTCCTTTCAAAATATTAGTGCTCATTTATAATGCACCTGGTCACACAAGCGCTCTCAGGAAGATGTACAAGGAGGTTAATGCTGTTTTCATGCCTGCTAACACAATATCCATTCTGTAGCCCATGAGTCAAGGAGTAATTTTGACTTTCAAGTCTTAATATTTAAGAAATACATTTTGAAAGGCTATAGCTGCCATAGATAAGTTGTTCCTCTGTTGGATCTGGGCAATGCAAATTGAAAGCCTTCTGGAAAGAATTTACCACTCTAGATATGCCATTAAGAACATTGGTGATTCATGGCCGGGCGCGGTGGCTCGCATCTGTAATCCCAGCACTTTGGGAGGCCAAGGTGGGTGGATCACAAGATCAGGAGTTCGAGACCAGCCTGGCCAACATGGTGAAACCCCGTCTCTACTAAAAATACAAAAATTAGCTGGGTGTGGTGGCACGCACCTGTAGTCCCAGCTACTTGGGAGGCTGAGGCAGAAGAATCGCTTGAACCTGGGAGGCAGAGGTTGTAGTGAGCTGAGATAGTGCCACTGCACTCCAGCCTGGGTGACAGAGTGAGACTCCATCTAAAAAAAAAAAAGAACATTGGTGATTTTCCTAAACCCGGGAGGTGGAGGTTGCAGTGAGCCAAGATCGTGCTACTGCACTCCAGCCTGGGCCACACAGTGAGATTCCATCTCAAAAAAAAAAAAAAGTTGGGGGGCTGGGTGCAGTGGCTTATGCCTGTAATCCCAGCACTTTGGGAGGTCAAGGTGAGCAGATCACCTGAGGTCAGGAGTTCAAGACGAGCCTGGCTAACACGGTGAAACCCCATCTCTACTAAAAATACAAAAATTAGCCAGTGTGGTGGCACACGCCTGTAATCCCAGCTACTTGGGAGGTAGAGGCAGGAGAATTGCTTGAACCCGGGAGACAGAGGTTGCAGTGAGCTGAGATTGCGCCACTGCATTACAGCCTGGGCGACAGAGCAAGACTCCGTCTCAAAAAATAATAATAATAATAAATGGAACATTGGTGATTCATGAGAGAAGGTCAAAATGTCAACATGAACAGGAGTTTGAAAGAGGTTAATTCCAGCCCTCATGGATGACTTTGAGGAGCTGAATACTTCAGTGGAGGAAGTAACTGAAGGTGTGGCGAAAATAGAAAGAGAACTAGCATTAGAAGTGGAGCCTGAAGATGGGACTGAATTGCTGCAATCTCATGATCAGACTTGAATGGATGAGGAGTTGCTTCTTATGGATGAGCAGACAGTGGTTTCTTGAGATGGAATCTACTCCTGGTGAAGATGCTGTGAGCACTGTTGAAATGCCCACAAAAGATTTAAAATATTACATAAACTTAGTTGATAAAGCAGGAGTAGCATTTAAGAGGATTGATTCCAATGTTGAAAGAAGTTCTGTAGATAAAATGCTATCAAATAGCATCATATGCTACTGAGTAAACTTTTGTGAAAGAAAAGTCAATCGATGTGGCAAACTTCGTTGTTATCTTATTTTCAGAAATTGCTACAGCTACTCAAACCTTCATTGCAACTTGCTGAAGGCTGGCTCAGATGATAATTTAGCAATAAAGTATTTTAAAACTAAGGTATACACATTGGGTTTTTTTTAGACATATGCTATTGCACACTATTAGTATATAGTGTAAACATGACTTTATATGCATTGGGAAACCAAATAATTTGTGTGACTTGCTTTATTGCAATATTTGTTTTATTACGGTGGTCTGGAACCAAACTCGCAATATCCCCAGGGTATGCCTCTGTGTGTGTGTGTGTGTGTGTGTGTGTGTGTGTGTGTGTGTTTGTATTTGAAAAATTAATTTGTACAATTATTGGTTTTCTGGGTTTTTAAAAAAATTATTCCGCCACACTAGTCTACTGTATATGGGTTTTGTTTTTGTTTTTCAGACAACATCTGGCTCTGTTGCCCAGGCTGCAGTGCAGTGGCATGATCTTGGCTCACTGCAACCTCTGCCTTCTGACCTCAAGCAATCCTCCCACCTCAGCCTTCCAAATAGCTGAGACTACAGGCGCTTGTACCATGCCTGACTAATTTTTTGTAGAGATGGGGTTTCACCATGTTGCCCAGGCTGATTTTGACTCCTGGGCTCAAGCAATCGTCCCACCTCAGCACTCCCAAATAAGTGAGACTACAGGCATGCACCACGATGCCCACTAACTTTTTGTATTATTATTATTTTTTTTAGTAGTGTCAGAGTTTTGCCATGTTGCCCAGGCTAGTCTCAAACTCCTGAGCTCAAGTGGTCCACCTGCCTTGGCCTCCCAAAGTGTTGGGATTACAGGCATGAGCCACGATGCCTGGTCAAAATTATGTTTTTAAATTTCACAAGTAATATATGAATATACCCACTCTGTAAAAAGCTGAAATATTACAAAAAGACTAAAGTCCCCACCCAAGCCCCACCCAGAGGCCACCACTCTTATAAACTTCATTTCTATCTTCCCTGATCTTTTTCTGCACATTTACATATATATCCATAAGGAAACTATATCATGTCATCTTCTGTGTACCCCTGCTTACTTCTTTCTCCCTTCCCTTTCCTTTCCTTCCTTCTGTCTCCTTCCCTCCCTCCTTCTCTTCCTTCCTTCCTTTCAGTGAAATACATGTACATGAAATTTACCATTTTAACCTTTTTTTTTCTTTTTTTCTTAAAACAACAAAAATTTATTCTTGTTCTGGAGGCTAAGAAGTCCAATATCAAAGTGTGGGCAGGGCCTCATGCCCCCTGCAGACTCTGGGAGGGAAGCTTCCCTGATCTCATCTCCCTTCTTTTGGCTGTCAGCCTTCCTTTGTGTTCTTGACTTACAGCAGCATCACTCCAATCTCTGGTCTTCACGTGTGTGTGTGTTTCTCTTCTCTTCCTATAAGGACACCAGTGATTGGACTTAGAGCCCACCCTAATGACCTTATTTTGTCTTGTGTCTTAATTATATCTGCAGGTACCCTGTTTCCAAATGAGATCACATTCACAGGTACCAGGGATTAGGACTTGAACATATCTTTTTGAGGGAACGCAATTAAACTCATTACATTCACCATCATTTTAAGAGATGCTTGAAGGAGGGAGATGATATGAGGGATGTTAGACCACAGCCGACTACAATTGTGAGCAAAATAAAGACAGTTATTCAAACTATTGTCAGATTTGTACGGGGACATTCTTTTTTCCCGCATTTTCTTATTGTGGTAAAATACACATGACATAAAATTTATCATTTTTACTGTCTTTTGGTGCACAATTCTCTAGCATCAAGTACATTCACATTATTGCTCAGTCATTACCACCATCCATCTCCAGAACTCTTTTAATCTTGCAAAACTGAAACTTTGTGCCCATTAAACACTAACTCCGCATTCCTCCCTCCCCCGAGCCCTGGCAGCTACCATTTCACCTTCTGTCTCTGTGAATTTGATTACTCTAGGTAGCTCATATAAATGGAATCATACAGTGTTTGTCCTTTCATGACTGGCTTATTTATATACCTAGCAAAGTGTCTTCAGGATTCCTCCATGTTGTATCATGTGTCAGAATTTCTTTCCTTTTTAAGGTTCAATATATTTCATTGTATGTATATACCATCCCCTACTTTTTTTAAAACTAAAGGGATCATGCCTACGTATGGTCTTTCTACCTGCTCAATATGTCAGAAAAAGAGAGGTAGTTAAGAGCATGGACTCAGGCCCCAGGAAGGCTAGGTCAGACTCATCATTTAACCTTTCTGTGCCTGTTTCATAACATATAAAAATGAGGTAACAATGAATTAATACACATAAAACAGTTAAAACAGTGTCTGGCATGTTTCCCATTTTTTCCCATTTTTTCAAACGTATAAGCACGTTGGATTTTTTTTAAAATTATGATTGCTTTTTTTCAGATGACGTTGTGTCAAAGAAATCTTGCTCTTTCAGTCCTTAAAGTGCTACCCATTCTTTCTCATTGTTGCAATGCATTTCATAGTATGCATATCCTTTTTATAAAAAACACAGATGAGTGGACTTCTGGTTTCTGGTCAGGGATGTAAGAAGCTTGGAAGCTGCTACTCCATCCTAACAGCAAGTAAAAAGCCAAACAAACTGAAAAATAAACACTCTTGCTAGATCCATGAGAGACGTAAGGTCACAGGGCAAACTGCTGCCCCCAAAATTGGAGCGACAGACAGGTGAGTGCAGAGAATCACAACTTACAGGAGCAGAAGGAACCCATGAGCAGAAACCTTTATGGGAACCAATGCCCAGGCAAGGGAAAACTGAATTGTAATTGACAAATTGCTGGAGGCTGTGTGGACAAGTGTGAGACATTAAAAACTCCCAGGGGACCCAGTCATTAGGGGGGCTCCCACACTTTTGTAAGTTTTACTTCCTGAAGCTCTACCAAGTTCTTACGGTGAATATTGAAGAAAAATCCCCTCATGGTTCTGGCAAGAGCAGGGAAAAAGGAACAATTCTGATGTATGCCAGGCCTGTCCTTGGGAGAAACTAGGTGACTAGAGCCTAACCTGCTGGGATTATCAGAGAGAGGCTAACTGATCTTGGGGGAAGGAAACTCCATCTGCCTCTAGCCATGCTGTCCCACCTAAGGAGGGCAAGAAAAAAACAGCAACAACTTAGAAGCATTTGTGAAATTAACAGTCCAGGGCAAAGGCTCACTAAAAGACGGAGACCTCTTTGTAGGACTATAGAATGCTTCCCCTCTTCCCACATCTTACCACCACATCACTAAAAGCCTACTTACAGCAGTTTCTTTTACCCAGTACATTATTTCCAGCTATCAAGAAAAAAATTACAAGGGATACTAAAAGGCAAAAACACAGTTTGAAGAGACAGAGCAAATATGTGAACCCGGCTCAATTATGGCAGGCATGTTGGAATTATCAGACCAGGAATTTACACATATAACTATAATTAATATTGCAATGGCTCTGACAAATAAATTAGCATGCAAGAACAGATGGGCAACGTAAGCAGAGAGATGGAAATACTAAGAGAGGACCAAAAATAAATGCTAGAGATAAAAAACACTGTAACAGAAAGGAAGAATGCCTTTGACGGGCTTTTAGTAGACTGGCCATGGCTGAGGAAAGAATCTCTGAATTCAAAGATATGTCAGTAGAAACCTCTAAAAACAAAAAGTAAAGGGAAAAAGACTAAAACAAACTAACAAACAAACTTGAATATCCAAGAACTATATGATGGCTACAAAAGTTGTAACATTTACATATTTAGAATAACAGAAAGAGAAAAAAGAAAGGAACAGAAGAACTTTTGGAATAATAATGACTGAAAATGTCCCCAAATTATTGTTAGACACCAAACCATACATCCAAGAAGCTCAGAGAACACCATGCAGGATATGCCAAAAAAAAAAAGCAAACAAACAAACAAACAAAAAACCCTACACCTAGACATATACTCAAACTAGAAAAAATCAAGCATAATGAAAAAATTCTGAAACAAGCCAGAAGGAAAACAAGAAACAAACCAACAAAAAACAACAAAAAACAAACATCTTACCTATAGAAAAGCAAAGATAAGAATTACATCTGACTCAAAAACTGTGCAAGCAAGAAGAGAATGGAGTGAAATATTTAAAGTGTTGGGGGGGGGGGAAATACTAGCCTAGAATTGTGTACTCTCTGAAATTATCTTTCAAAAGTGAAGGAGAAATAAAGACTTTCTCAGACAAACAAAAGTTGAGAGAATTTGTTACCAGTAGACCTGCTTTGCAAGAAGTGTTCAAAGAAGTTCTTTAGAGAAAAAAATGGGAAACAGTATAGGTTAGAAGCTCAGATGTATACAAGTAAGGGAAGAATATTGAAGAAGGAATAAGTTAAGGTAAAATAAAAACTTTTCTCACTTTGGGAGGCTGAGGTGGGTAGATTACCTGAGGTCAGGAGTTCGAGATCAGCCTGGCCAACATGGTAAAACCCCGTCTATACTAAAAATACAAAAATTAGCTGGGCATGGTGGCACACGCCTGTAATCCCAGCTACTCGGGAGGCTGGGGCAGGAGAATTGCTTGAGCCAGGGAGGCGGAGGTTGCAGTGAGCTGAAATCGCACCACTGCATTCCAGCCTGGCGGACAGAGTGAGACTCTGTCTCAAAATAAATAAATAAATAAATAAATAAATAAATAAATAAAGACTCTGTCTCAAAACAAACAAACAGACTTTTCTTTTTCTTTTTCTTTTTTTTTTTCTTTTTCTTTTTTTGAGACGAAGTCTCACTCTGTCTCCCAAGCTACAGTCCAGTGGCGCGATCTCCACTCACTGCAACCTCCGCCTCCCAGGTTCAAGCGATTCTCCTGCCTCAGCCTCCCGAGTAGCTGGGACTACAGCCATGCCCACCACGCCCGGCTAATTTTTGTATTTTTAGTAGAGACTCTTGACCTTGTGATCTACCCGCCTCAGCCTCCCAAAGTGCTGGGATTACAGGCATGAGCCACCATGCCTGGCTCGCTTGCTTGCTTGCTTGCTTGCTTGCTTTCTCTCTCTCTCTCTCTTTCTTTCTTTCTTCCTTTTCTTTCTTTCTTTCTTTTTTTTTTTTTTTTTTGAGACGGAGTCTCGCTCTGTTGCCCAGGCTGAAGTGCAGTGGCACGATCTCGGCTCACTGCAAGCTCCGCCTCCCTGGTTCACACCATTCTCCTGCCTCAGCCTCCCTAGTAGCTGGGACTACATGCACCCACCACCACGCCAGGCTAATTTTTTGTATTTTTAGTAGAGACGGGGTTTCACTGTGTTAGCCAGGATGGTCTCAATCTCCTGACCTCGTGATCCACCCACCTTGTCCTCCCAAAGTGCTGGGATTACAGGGGTGAGCCACCATGCCTGGCCTTTTTCTTTTTTTTTTGAGACAGAGTTCCTCTCTTGTTGCTCAGGCTGGAGTGCAATGGCACAATCTCGGCTCACTGCAGCCTCCACCTCCTGGGTTCAAGCGGTTCTCCTGCCTCTCAGCCTCCCGAGTAGCTGGGATTACAGGCGCGCGCCACCATGCCTGGCTAATTTTTGCTTTTTTTAGTAGAAACAAGGCTTCATCATGTTGGCCAGCCTGGTCTCGAACTCCTGACCTTAGGTGATCTGCCCGCCTTGGCCTCCCAAAGTGCTGGGATTACAGGCATGAGCCACCACGCCCAGCCAAAAACTTTTCTTATGCATAATTGATCTAACAGATAACAGTTTGTTTAAAATAGAGCAACAGTGTTTTCAATTATACACATACACACACGCACGCTTATTTATGCTTAAAGTGAATGAATGACAACAGTCATACATAGGATTATTCTGTTATTATAAGGTACTTGGCCGGGCACAGTGGCTCACGCCTGTAATCCCAACACTTTGGGAGGCCAAGGCGGGCAGATCACGAGGTCAAGAGATCGAGACCATCCTGGCCAACATGGTGAAAACCTTTCTCTACTAAAAAATAATAACAATAATAATAAGGTACTTGTACTGCCTGTGAAGTGGTATAGTGTTATTTGAAAATGGATTTGCATTAGTTGGAAATGTATATTGCAAACTTTAGGGCAACTACTTAAAAATTTTTTTAAGTATAACTGATATTCTAAGAAAGGAGAGAAAAATGGAATCATTTAAAATGTTCAATTAAAACCACAAAAGACAGGAAAATAGAAAATAAAAAAGAGATAGGTCAACAAATATAAAATAGTAACAAATATGGTAGATGTTAATCCACCTATAGCAATAATCATTTTGAATATAATGGTCTAAATCCACCAATTAAAAGAGATTATCAGAATAGATTTTAAAAAAAGACTCAGTTATATGTTGTCTTTTAAGAAACCCACTTAAATATAAAGACACATATTGATTAAAAGTAAATGAATGGAGAAAGTTATACCATGTTAATACTAATAAAAAAAAAAGTGGAGGCTGGGCGTGGTGGCTCATGCCTGTAATCCCAGCACTTTGGGAGGCCAAGGCAGGCAGATCACAAAGTCAGGAGATCGAGATCATCCTGGCTAACATGGCGAAACCCTGTCTTTACTAAAAAAGTACAAAAAAATTAGCCGGGCGTGGTGGCGGGCCCCTGTAGTCCCAACTACTTGGGAGGCTGAGGCAGGAGAATGGCGTGAAGCTGGAGGTGGAGCTTGCAGTGAGCTGAGATCGTGCCACTGCACTCCAGCCCCAGCAGCAGAGTGAGACTCCGTCTAATAAAAAAAAAAAAAAGTAGAAAAAAAATTAGCCAAGCATGGTGGTGCACACCAGTAGTTCCAGCTACTCAGGAGGCTGAAGTGGGAGGATCACTTGACCCCAAGAAGTCAAGGCTGCAGTGAGCTATGATCGTACCACTGCACTCCAGCCTGGGCAACAGAGCCACACTGTCAAAAAAAAAAAAAAGAAGAAGAAGAAAAGGAAAAGGAAATGAGAGTGGCTATATTAATTTAAGACAAAGCAAACTTCATGGCAAAGAAAGTTATCAAGGATAAAGAGAGTCATTACCAAATGATAAGACATAATGATTCTTAACATGCACGTGCCTAACAACAGAGCATCAAAATACATGAGGCAAACTGATAGAAGTGCAAAGAGAAATAGATGCATCTACTCTTGTAGTTGGAGACTTCGAGACCTCTCTATCAGAAATGGAAAAATCCAGGCAGAAAAATCAGTAAGGACATAGCTGAACTCAACACCACCATTAATTAAATGCATATAATGGATATCTGTAAACTACTTCATGTGACAGCAGCAGGATACACATTCTTCTCAAGTTCACATGGGACATTCACCAAGACAGGGTCTGGACCAAAAAACACACCTTAACAAATGTAAGAACCAGAAATTATACAATGTCTGCTTTCAGAACACATTGGAGTTAAAATATAAATCAATAACAGAACGATAGCTGGAAAATACCAAAATACTTGGAGATTAAACAACACACTTCTCAATAACACATGGATCAAATAAAAAATCTCAAGATAGAGGCCGGGCAGGGTGGCTCACACCTGTAATTTCAGCACTTTGAGTGGCCGAGGCAGGCGGATCAGGAGTTCAAGACAAACCTGGCTAGCATGGTGAAACCTCACCTCTACTAAAAATACAAAAATTAGCTGGGCGTGGTGGCACGTGCCTGTAATCCCAGCTACTTGGGAGGCTGAGACAGGAGAATCTCTTGAACTCGGGAAGCAGAGGTTGTAGTGAGCCGAGATTGCACCACTGCACTCCAGCCTGGGTAACAGAGCAAGACTCCATCTCAAAACAAACAAACAACAACAACAACAACAAAAAACCTCAAGATAAACTTTAAAATATTCTACTTATTTATTTATTTAAATTAGTGATGGAGTCACACTATGTTGCCCAGTCTTGCGTCAAATTCCTAGGCTCAAGTGAACTTTCTGCCTCAGCCTCTCAAAGTGCCAGGGTTACAATTGTGAGCCCTACCATGCAGCCAAATATTTTGAATTAAATGAAAATGAAAACACAACTTACAAAAACTTGAGGGATGACATGATAGCAGTGTTCAGAGGGAAATTTATAGCATAGAATGCATATATTAGAAAAGAAGAAAGATCTAAACTCAATCATTTAAGCTTCCAAATTAGGAAGCTAGAAAAAGAAGAGCAAATTAAATTCAAAGTAAACAGAAGAAAATAAATAATAAAAATCAACCAGGATGGTGACTCACACCTACAATCTCAGCACTTTGGGAGGCCAAAGTAGGAGGATCACTTGAGCCCAGGAGTTCAAGACCAGCCTGGGCAATATAGTGAAGCCCTTCTCTGCAAAGAAATAAAAAATTAGCCAGCTTATACTCAGGCTGAGGCAGAAGGATTCCTTGAGCTCAGGAATTGAGAACAACCTGGGCACCATAGGGAGACCTCATCTCTAACGAAAAAAATTAGCCAGGCATGGTGGCACATGCCTGTAGTCCTAGCTGCTCAGGAGGATGAGGTGGAAGGATTGCTTGAGCCCAGGAGTCTGAAGCTGCAGTAAGCCATGATCATGCCACTGCACTACAACCTGTTGATGAAGTAAGATTCTGTCTCAAAAAAAGAGAGAAAGAACGAGAGAGAAAGCAGAGAAACAAAAGTTAGAGCATCAGGTGAATTGAAAACAAGAAATCAATAAAGAAAATCGACAAAACCAAAGTTATTTTTTTGAAAAGATCAACAAAATCAATAGTCCTCTACCCAGGTTAACTATGAGAGAGAGAGAAACTCAAATTGGTAACATCAGAAATGAATAAAGAGGCCAGGTGTGGTGGCTCATGCCTGTAATTCCAGTAATTTGGGAGGCTGAGGCGGGTGGATCACCTAAGGTCAGGAGTTGGAGACCAGCCTGGCCAATATGGTGAAACCCCATCTCTAGTAAAAATACAAAAATTAGGTTGGGTGCGGTGGCTCATGCCTGTAATCCCAGCACTTTGGGAGGCTGAGGCAGGAGGATTGCCTGAGGTCAGGAGTTCGAGACCAGCCTGGGCAACATGGAGAAGCCCCATCTCTACTAAAAATACAAAGAATTAGACGGGCATGGTGGCATGCGCCTGTAATCCCAGCTACTCAGGAGGCTGAGACACGAGAATTGCTTGAACCCAGGAGGCAGAGGTTGTAGTGAGCTGACATCGTGCCACTGAACTCCAGCTTGGGCAACAGAGAGAGAGACTCTGTCTCTAAATAAATAAATAAATAAATAAATAAACAAAAATTAGCCAATGTGGTGGTGCACGCCTGTAATCCCACCTACTTGGGAGGCTGAGGTATGAGAATCACTTGAACCCAAGAGGCAGAGGTTGCAGTGAGCCATTGTACTCCAGCCTAGGTGACAGAGTGAGACTCTGTTTCAAAGAAAAAAAAAAAAAAAGAAATGAACAAAAAAACATCACTACAGATCTTGTGGACATAAAAGGGATAATAAAGAAATGCTTTTTTAAACAACTCTGTGAACACAAATTTGATAACCTAGATGAAATGGACCAATTCCTAGAAAGACATAATCTGCCAAAATTCACACAAGAAGAAATAGGCAACATAAATAAACCTATATCTATTGAATTAGTAATCAATAACCTTCCAAAAGAGAAAGCACCAGGCCCTGATGGGTTCACTGGTGAATTCTGCCAAACATTAAAGGAAGAAATTACAAGAATTCTCTACATTCTCTTTCAGAAAATAGGAACAGAGAGAAAACTTCCTAACTCATTTTTATGAGGCCAGCATTACACTAATACTATAACTAGAGAAAGACATTACAAGGAAAAATAACCTATAGACCAATATCTCTCATGAACATAGATCCAAAATCATCAACAAATTATTAGCAAGTCAAATCAATAATCTATAAAAAGAATGGTACACCATGACCAATTGGGATTTATTCCAAGTATGCCAACCTGGTTTAGCATTAAAAAACAATTAATGTAATCGATCACATAAACAGACTAAGGAAGGAAAATCACATGATTTTATCAGTAATCACAGAAGAAAAGCATTTGTTGAAATTTAACACCTATTCACAATAAAAACTCTCAATGAACTAGGAATGGGGGAAATTTTCTCAAGTTGCCAAAAAAACCTACAACAGACATTATATTTAATGGTAAGAAACTAGATGTTTTCCCACTAAGATCAAGAACAAGGCAAGGGTGTCCCCTCACTACTGCTTTTTGAAATCATGCTGAAAGTCCTTAATGCAATAAGAAAAGAAAAGGAAATAAAAGGAATACAGATTGGGAAGGAAGAAGTAAAACTATCTTTGTTTGTAGATGATATGATCATCTATGTAGAAAATCCCAGAGAATCAAGCAAAAAAAAAAAAACAAAAAACAAAAAAACCCAACCTCCTATAGCAAGATTGCAGAATATAACGTCAATATAGAAAAGTTAATCATTTTCCTATGTACCAGAAATGAACAAGTGGATTTTTTTTTTTTTTTTTTTTGAGACAGAGTCTAGCTCTGTCGCCCTGTCTGGAGTGTAACGGCTCAATCATAGCTTACTGTGGCCTGGGCTCAACCAATCTTCCCACCTTAGCCCCCTGAGTAGCTGGGAACATGCCACCACACCTGGCTAAATTTTTTCATTTTTGGTACAGACAGGGTCTCTGTCTGTTTCTCAGACTGGAAAAAGTGAAATGAAAAACACAATATTATTCTAATTACCACCCCCAAAATGAAATATTTAGGTATAAATCTAATAAAATATTTACAAGATTTATATGAAAAAAAATACCAAACTCTAGTGAAAGAAATAGAAGAAGAGCTAAAATAAAGGGAAATATATACCATGTTCATGGGTAGGAAGACTCATTATTTTCAAGATGTTTGTTCTTGCCAACATGATCTTTAGATTCAATGCAATCTCAATCACAATCCTGGCAAGTTATTCTGTCCATATTAGCAAACTGATTTTAAAGTTTATATGGAGAGGCAAAAGACCCAGAATAGCCATACAATATTCAAGGAGAACAAAATCAGAGGATTGATACTACCCCCACTTCAAGACTTACCAAGACTTACTATAAAGCTATAGTAATTAAAAGTGTGTGAGCTGGGCATGGTGCCTCATGCCTGTAATCCCAGCACTTTGGGAGGGTGAGGCAGGCGGATCACCTGAGGTCAGGAGTTCAAGACCAACCTGGGCAACATGGCGAAACCCTGTCTCTACTAAAAATATAAAAAATCAGCCCGGCGTGGTGGCGGGCTCCCCTAATCCCAGCTACTCGGGAGGCTGAGGCAGGAGAATCACTTGAACCCAGGTGGTGGAGGTGGAAGTAAGCCAAGATTGAGCTACTGCACTCCAGCCTGGGAGCAAGACTCCCATCTCAAAAAAAAAAAAAAAAAAAAAGATTGTGTGGCTGGGCGCAATGGCTCACGCCTGTAATCCCAGCACTTTGAGAGGCCGAGGTGGGTGGATCACCTGAGGTCAGGAGTTCGAGACCAGCCTAGCCAACATGGTGAAACCCCGTCTCTACTAAAATTACAAAAATTAGCCAGGCTTGGTGGTGTGTGCCTGTAGTCTCAGCTACTCAGGAGGCTGAGGCTGGAGAACTGCTTGAACCTGGGAGGTAGGGGTTGCAGTGAGCCTAGATCGTGCCACTGTACTCTAACCTGGGCAACAGAGTGAGACTCCAACGTCTCAAGAGAAAAAAAAAAAGACAGTGTGGTACTGGTGAAAGAACGGGCAAATTGATTGATAGGACAGAATGGAGAGCCCAGAAACAGACCCACATAAATACAGTCAGTTGATCTTTGACAAAGGCTCAAAGGCAACACAATGGGGAAGAGATGGTCTCTCCAACAAATGCTGCTGGAACAACTGAATATCCACATGCAAGATAATAATAATAATAATATGGACATAGACCTTACACTCTTCAAAATGTTTCACAGACATAAATGTGAAACCTGTGAAACTCATAGAAAATAATATAGGCTAAAAAAAGCTAGATTACCTTGGGTTTGGCAATGACTTTTTAGATACAACACTGAAGGCCCAATTGTTGGTAAGCTGGACTTCATTAAAGTTAAAAAGTTCTGCTGTCAGAGACACAGTCAAGAGAATGAAAAGACAAGCCACATACTGGGAGAAAATCTTTGCAAAAGACATATCTGGGCCGGGTGCCATGGTTCACGCCTATAGTCCCTGCACTTTGGGAGGCTGAGGTGGGTGGATCACTTGAGGCCAGGAGTTTGAGAGTAGCCTGGCCAACATGGCAAAACCCCATCTTTACTAAAAATACAAAAATTAGCCAGGTCTGGTGGCATGTGCCTGTAGTCCCAGCTACATGGGAGGCTGAGGCAGAGAATTGCTTGAACCCAGGAGGTAGAGGTTGCAGTGAGCCGAGATCATCCCACTCCAGCCTGGGTGACAGAGGGAGACTCCCTCTCAAAAGAAAAAAAAAAAAAGACATATCTGATAAAGGACTGTTATCTAAAATATACAAATAACTCTTGAGGCGGGATGTGGTAATTCACACCTGTAATCCCAGCACTTTGGGAGGCCGAGGCAGTCAGATCACCTGTGGTCAAGTTCGAGACCAGCCTGGCCAACATGGTAAAACCCCATCTCTACTAAAAATACAGAAATGAGCCAGGTGTGGTAGAGCATGCCTGTAGTCCCAGTTACTTGGGAAGCTGAGGCAGGAGAATTGCTTGAACCCGAAAGGCAGAGGTTGCAGTGAGCTGAGACTGCACCCCTGAACTTCAGCCTGGGCAACAGAGCGAGACTCCGTCTCAAAAAAATTAAAAAAAGAACTCTTAAAACTCAAAAATAAGAAAAGAAACAACCTAATTAAACATTGGGCAAAAGACCTTAGCAGACACCCCAAGGAAGATATACAGATGGCATGTTAGCATATGAGAAGACGTTCCACATCATATGCATCTGGGAAATACAGTTTCAAACAACAATGAGATAGCACTACATACTTATTAGAATGGCCAACATCCAGAACACTGACACCAAATGCTGGTAGGACGTGGAGCAACAGTAACTCTCATTCCTTGCTGGTGGGAATGCAAAATGCTATAGTCATTTGGAAGGCATGTTGGCAGTTTCTTATAAAAATAAATGTACTCTTACTATATGACCCAGCAATCATACACCTTGGTATTTACCCAAAGGAATAAAAAACTCATGTCTACACCAAAACCTCCACATAGATATTTACATCAGCTTTATTCATAACTGCCAAAATTTGGAAGCAAACAAGATATTCTTCAGTAGGTGAATGTATAAATAAACTATGGCATATCCAGAATATAGAATATTATTGAGCACTAAAAAGAAATGAACTATGAAGCCATGAGGAGATATGGAGGAACCTTAAATGCATATTACTAAGTCCAAGTCTGAAAAGGCTACATACAGTATGATTACAATTACATGACATTCTGGAAAAGGCAAAAGTATGGAGGTAGTGAAACAATCAGTGTGGTTGCCCACGGTTGGGAGGAGGAAGGGATGAATAGGCAGAGCACAGAGGATTTTTTAGGGCAGTGAAAATACTCTGTATGATATGCTACAATGGTACATAAACGTCATTACACATTTGTCAAAACTCATAGAACGTACAACACCAGGAGTAATCCTTAATGTGAGCTATGATCTTTGGGTGATAATGTGTCAATGTTGTCTCATCTGTTGTAGCAAATATGCCACCCTGGTGGGGGATGTCGATAGTGAGGGAGGCTGTGCATGTGTAGGGTCAGGGAGTGGATGGGAAATCTTTGAATATTTTACTCAATTTTGCTGTGAACCTAAAACTACTCTTAAAAAAAGCCTATTTAAAAATTGATGGGATTATACTATATACAGTATTCTGTACCTTGACTGCCTTTATTTTTTAATTTTTTTGTGGAAACAAGAGTCTTGCTATGCTGGTCTTGAACTTCTGGGCTCAAGTGCTTCTCCCACCTCATCCTCCCAAAGTACTGGGATTACAGGCATGAGCCACCACTACTAACCTTCTTTTTATTTATTAATATATCTTAGAAGATCATGACAACATATACAACTGTACCCTATTCAATCAAATGGATTAATACTATGCCATGGCATAGATACCACCGTAAGTTATATAGCCAGATGCCTCTTAGTAGACATGTTTTTGGTCCCTTGTTATAGATGGTGGTGCAGCGAACACCCTTGTATTCATCCTTTGTGTATAATCAAGGATATAGCCATAGGATAAAGTTGAGTCAAGGAGTAAGTACATTTACAAGAGTGCACGTGCCACCCTCACACCCCAAAACCAATGGAGATGTCCTACCATTACAGTCGATGATGGTGACCACTCAGTCTACCTTGTGACCTTGAGAAGCAGGTATCACCAAGAGGTGAAGGGACTTGCCCAGTGACGCACAGTTAAATGATTTTTCCCAATAAATACACATGATACAAAATTCAAAAAGAATACAACATTATGCCAGTTAGGACTAGGTTCGACTGCATGTGAAATGAAAAACCAAAATAATTGCAGTTTAATGACCCAAGGCTGGGTGCAATAATTTACATCTGTAATCCCAGCAATTTGGGAGGCCAAGGTGGGAGGATCATTTGAGGCCAGGAGTTCGAGACCAGCCTGGGCAACATAGCAAGACCCTGTCTTTACCAAAATAATTTTTAATTAGCTGAGCATGGTGGCACATACCTGTGGTCCCAGCTACTTGGGAAGCTGAGGTGGGAGAAGCACCTGAACCCAGGAGTTCGAGGACGCAGTGAGCCATGATCCCACCACTGCACTCCAGCCTTGGTGACAGAGCAAGACAAAACAAGTGACAGAGCAAGACCTGTCGCAAAAACAAAACAAAATAAAATAAAATAAATGACCCAAGGTTATTATCTCTTATATAAAACAAATGTCCAGGCCGGGCGCGGTGGCTCACGCCTCTAATCCCAGCACTTTCGGAGGCCGAGACAGGCGGATCACGAGGTCAAGAGATCGAGACCATCCTGGTTAACACGGTGAAACCCCGTCTCTACTAAAAATACAAAAAAATTAGCCGGGAGTAGTGGCGGGCGCCTGTAATCCCAGCTACTCGGGAGGCTGAGGCAGGAGAATGGCGTGAATCCAGGAGGCGGAGCTTGCAGTGAGCCGAGATCGCGGCCACTGCACTCCAGCCTGGGCGACTGAGTGAGACTCCGTCTCCAAAAAACAAACAAACAAACAAACAAACAAAAAAATGTCCTAGAGTGAGGCAGTCCAGAGCTGGTATGCTAGCCCCTGAAGTCATTAGAAACTTCCTGCTTTATGCTCACCACTCCTGGGGTATAGCCCCTATCTTTATTGTCAGAGATGCCTGCTGGATTCCTGACCATCACATCTGCATTCCAGGCAGCTGAATGGAGAGATGGATGAAGACAAATGGGACAAAGAGTACCCGGTAGCATCCTTATGAATCTGTTTATATAAAGTTGTTTCCTTAACGCCACAGAACACATCTACATGTATTTTGCTTAGTCATATGGTCACATCTGACTGCAAGAGAGGTTGGAAAATGCAGTCTTTATTCTCTACAGTCAAGGTCTTAGCTAAAAATTGAGGGTTCTAAATACTAAGGAAGAAGGGATGAATAGATATTGTGGCAAGATATTTGTCTCTGTCATGGTTAAATTGCAAAAAAATAAACTTACCTCCTTCCCCAGGCAGCCATTGTTAACATTTTTTGAATATCTAGAAAAAGTCCTTTGTTCAGGATTATTTTCCCACTCTGCCAAGAGTCACCATGACCTGCTCACACGCCACCCTTATGAAACTGCCGCGCCACTTCTCAGCTCCCATTTGATTCTCACAGAAGCTCTACGAAATGGGTTGGGCAAATGTCATGATCCTCATTTCACAGGGGAAGAAACTGAGGCCCAGAGGGGGAAACTGACTACCTAAAATTGCCATGTAGGCCGGCGCGGTGGCTCACGCCTGTAATCCCAGCACTGTGGGAGGCCAAGGCGGGTGGATCACGAGGTCAGGAGATCGAGACCATCCTGGCTAACACTTGAAACCCCGTCTCTACTAAAAATACAAATAATTAGCCAGGTGTGGTGGCGGGCGCCTGTAGTCCCAGCTATTCGGCAGGCTGAGGAAGGCGAATGGTGTGAACCTGGGAGGCGGAACTTGCGGTGAGCCGAGATTGCGCCACTGCACTCCAGCCTGGGCGACAGAGCCAGATTCCGTCTAAAAAAAAAAAAAAAAACAGTCGCCATGTAAAGGATGCAGCCAAGCCTCCTGTGGAGGCAGGACAAATTGGGGTGTGTTTCCCAAACACCAGACACATGCAAGATGCATCCGGCAGCCAGTGGCGAGCACATGGTTCCATTTCCAATTTCTTCCATAACTTTAAGGAGAAAGTTTCAGTTTGGTGCTAATGCATCTTTAACTCCTCTCACACTTACTAATAGGTCTTTTAAACAAAGAGAAATCGGCCCTCAGGCTCAGAGCACTAGGCAGGCAAAAGTATCTAGCTAGATTCTAAGAACATTGTTTTGATTTCATTATACCTACATTTATAGTGTTTTTCTATTTATGGCAAATGATCCTGGTTTCCTTCTCTTTGAAAGTAATTTAAGTTTACTTTTCAAGTAAATGCATCGAAGTTAAAATGTGAGTTTATTCAAAGAAAAACATGCAGTAAGGAACTATCTGTGCTTGAATACAGATTCCCCCACTTACAAGCTATGTGACATTGGATAAGACACCTGGTGCCTCTGAGCCTCAGTTTCCTCATTCGTATAATGAGGGTGGTATTTTTTCCCACCTCATGGCATTTTTTTTTTTTTTGAGATGGAGTCTAGCTCTGTCGCCCAGGCTGGAGTGCAGTGGCATGATCCCCGCTCACTGCAAGCTCCATCTCCTGGGTTCACACCATTCTCCTGCCTCAGCCTCCCGAGTAGCTGGGACTACAGGCACCCGCCACCACGCGTGGCTAATTTTTTGTATTTTTAGTAGAGATGGGTTTTCACTGTGTTAGACAAGATGGTCTCGAACTCCTGACCTCGTGATCCACCTGCCTCGGCCTCCCAAAGTCCTGGGATTACAAGTGTGAACCACCATGCCAGGCTGAATTTTTTAAATTAATAATAGGATTAAATGAGATAATGAAAGTCAGAAACTTAGCACTCTGGCACATAGTTAAGCACTCATCACTGCTTATTTATTTATTTATTTATTTATTTATTTATTTATTTATTTTTGAGATGGAGTCTTGCTCTGTCACCCAGGGTGGAGTGCAGTGGTGCAATCTTGGCTCACTGCAACCTCCGCCTCCTGGGTTCAAGGAATTCTCCTGCCTCAGCCTCCTGAGTAGCTGGGATTACAGGCATGTGCCACCAAGCCCAGCTAATTTTTGTATTTTTAGTAGAGATGGGGTTTCACCATGTTGACCAGGCTGGTCTCGAACTCCTGACCTCAGGTGATCCACTCGTCTTGGCCTCACAGAGTGCTGGGATTACAGGCATGAGCCATCGCGCCGGGCCACTCAACACTATTTTTAACAATAGTATCACAATATTAAAAATATTAACATTGTTCATCTTAATTTTGTCATAACACCTCCTGGCTGCTTGGAGCAGAGAAAGTCAGTAGGACCATGGGGTAGCTGGATAGAGATATCCCATCCTAGAGCCTCTGCCCCTACACCAGTGGTTTTCAGCCAGGGATAATCCCCTACATTAGGGCCTTTTTTTTTTTTTTTTGAAACCATGTCTTGCTCTGATGCCTAGGCTGTAGTGCAATGGTGCAATTTTGGCTCACAGCAGCCTTGATCTTCCGGCTCAAGCGATCCTCCCACCTCAGCCTCCTGAGGAGCTGGGACTACGAGTACATGCCACCATGTACTTGTGCTTTTCACCGTGTTTTCACCATGTTGCCCCAGGCTGGTCTTAAACTCCTGGCCTCAAGTGATCCTCCCACCTCGGCCTCCCAAAGTACTGGGACTACAGGCATGAGCCACCCATGCCCAACTGACATTTTTTAATCAGTATGACTGGGTTTGGTGGTGCCCCTGGCATCTGGTGGGTAGAGGCCACCGATGATGCTAAGTATCCCACAGTGCATTGGTTGGCCCCTCATGAAGAATCATCTAGCTTGAATGTCAAAAGCATTGAGGCTGAGAAAGCTTGTGCCATCCTGCACCCGTGTATGTGCCTAGCAGCAGCTGGGTCTTCAGCCAGCCCATTATTCCAAAAGAGACTCGAGCTTGGAGCACAAAAGCCTCAGCCTCAGTTTCTTCATCCAGCAAATGGGAACACTGAACCCTGCCTTATCTGCAGTCATTCCATCTCCTGATGGTTGGCCCTCTTGGGCACTTCCTTGGCCTAGGCTATCTCTACTGGTCCCTTTCTATCTTTCCCCTAGGTGCAAGGAACCCATCTAATTGGCTTTTCATTTGTTTGACTTCTGATATTTCCCATTCCCGGAGTGGCCTCTGGGGCCCCACAGCCACCATCTGAAACCCTGCAGCGTGAGTGCCCCAGCCATCTCTGAGTACCCCTGTTATTGTGGGTGGCAGCTGCTAGTCTTTTTCCTTTGAAGCACACCTTGACATGTGTAACTCTTCTATTTATGTGTTGACTTGTTGGCTGTATTCCTTCCCACACGCCTCTGCCCTGAAGACAGACACCCAGCCTGCTGTCCCCGGCACACTGCACAGTGCCTGGCACATAGTGGGCATGCAGGACTGTATTTGTGGGATCTATGAAGTGAGAGGCAAAAAGAGAGGATAAGGGGAGGGGATAGATATAGAGAAGCGAGAAAAGAAATAGAGAGGAGGAGGGAGTTGAATGAATGTTAAGTGCTGAAAGATCTAAATAAAGGGGAAAGCGGGAGGGGCGGGGGTCCAGACTGAGACTTGAGCACTAGGTAGACAAGCCAGAGAGAGAGAGAGGGGGGTGCGAAGAAAGATGAAAAGGGTGGGGAAGAGAAAGGAATGGAGACACAGAATGAAAGAGAGAGACAGAGGCAGAAAAAACGTGCAGGCGGAAAGCAAAAGGAAGAAAACCTCCCTGAGGCCTCAGTGCTCAGGTTGCGGAGGGGAGGAGGACCGCCCGCAGGAGCCAGCGCTGCGCAGCTGGGAGCGCCGGGATGCAGGCCCGGTTTCCACGGAGACGGGGATGCTCCTGGCGGGAGCCACCGACTACTGCAGGACCCGCGCCTCTGGCACCACGGGAATGGACGACCAGAGAGGTGGCAAAGGGACGGTGTGGGTTTGCCCCCTTCTTGGGCTCGTTCCCACTCCTGCCTCTTGCTGGAGATTTAGAGTCCGGGAATAGGGAGGCAGGAGCGCACCCGCCTGGGAAAGGGCTCTGGGGACTCCGAGGGCGGGGGAAGGACTGGGGCTGAGACCACTCCTCCCCCTGCCCCGTTGCCTTCCTTGGCGTTTGACCCTCCTTTCCTTTCAGATAGGGTCCTGGAGGGTCTGGCAAAGTGCAGCGCTATGTGGAGAGATGACGGCCAGGCCTTCTCCGCAGGCCCCTCTTCCTCCTCCTGCCCTGTTAATGCTGGAGCACCAGGGCTCAGTCCTAAGCCTTCTCTTCAGTTTCCACCATGTCCAGTCCTCGAGATTTAAATACCTAAAGTGCCCAGAGTCCCCAGATTTGCATGTCTAGCCCCGGTTTTCCCCTGAGCTCTGGCCTGTTCAAAGTTGCTAATTCTTTAACTCATCCAGCTTGTTCCCGCCGCAGGACTTTGCTTTTGCCATTCCCTTTGGCTGCAACTCTTTTCCCAGCCCTTAGGTGGTGAGTTCCACTGGAGTGGATAATTGACTTGGAGGAGGAGCATTGGTGGGGGGAGGAGCCCTGCTGCAGTGTCTGTTCGATCATAGTATTGTGGGGGGAGCCTGCATCTGGAAGAGGAGCACGTGTTGGGGAGAGGAGGAGGACTGGCTGGAATCTGGCAGTGCCACGATGAGAAGGAGGGCCCACTCCGTTGGAAGCCGGAAGAGGCTGGGGCCTGGGAGCATTCCCTCCATGGTAGATGTGGGAGGGAGCTGGCACAGCCAAGGGCCCCTTCCCACCCTGGGGACTAGATGGGCCAGGTGGACAGTGGGCAGAGCTGACCATCACCCCCACTTTACATTGCTGTCATCTAAAACCCAGGCTAAGCACCCTGTGGACCTGGTGCAGGCTCAAGGTCCCCACGGTTCCAAACAGAGCCCTCTGGAACCTTTGGGTCTCAGATACAGTAACCCAAATGTTGGCAGGACTGGCAATACGAGGGCCCCATCAAGCCGGTGATGCAGAGCTGGTGGAGGGGAAGACCCCATCTCTACAGTGGCCTGCTGAATCTGGGGGTTCTGACTGCCCTGTGACGCAGGAGGTGCCACTCTCCAAGCCAGTCACTCTTACCAGAGGAGTGCAATGTGCTGATCAGCTCAGGCTTGGGTCTCATCCACTAGGCTAAGTGCTGGCCAAGGGCCCACCTGGGCGGGGATTGGGACAGGTGGGTTGCTAAATCCAAAGCAGGTGGATGCTAGCTAGGGAACCATTGCCAAGGCCCTTCTGAGCCTGCCCCTTCTCTTCCTCTTTGCCTTTGTCCTCCTCACCTGAAACCAACTCTCCGAATTACTTTCTTATTTGTGTAATTATTACTTTTGGCATTATGACTGGTTTTGATAACAGCTAAGATTTACCCAGAACTTACTGTGCCAGGCACTTTACACTTTGCTGCCTTCCATAATCTTTACAACCACTTGAGGATACCATCATTATCCCCATTGTACAGATGAAGAAACTGAGGCTTAAAGATGAAGGAACTTGCTCAGTGTGGCATATCTAGAAAATAGCTGAGCCAGGATTTGAGACCCAGCCTTCTTAATCGCTTTGCTATTACGTACCTCTCTCCACACTACATTGCAAGCTCCATGCAGCTAAAATCCAAGTCTCCCCACCCCGCAGGCCTGGTCTAGTGCCTGGCATATGGTAGGCCCTGGATAAATGCTACCTGAGTGCCTGGCACCGTGCTAAGTGTTTTGCACGCATTACTTCATTTAATCCTCCTAATCGCCCTTGAGGTAAGTACAATGGTATTGACTGAAACAGGCCTGTTCAGGTTCAGCGGCATCTGCCAAGGTCATACAGCCAAGTTAGGGGAAGAACTAGGCTAAGTCCTATCATTGGCACTCCATAGTCTGTGCTCTTAGCAAAGTGCTCAACTGCATGAATGAAAGTATATTCTAGCATCGTGAATAAAAGGAAAATGGTGCCCAATAAACATTTGATGGGTGAAGGACAAGAATTTAAAAAATAACAATGAGGGCGGGTGTGGTGGCTCACTCCTATAATCCCAACACTTTGGGAGGCTGAGGTGGGCAGATCACTTGAGGTTAGGAGTTCGAGACCAGCCTGGCCAACATGGTGAAACCTCATCTCTACTAAAAATACAAAAATGAGCCGGACATGGTGGGAGGCACCTGTAGTCTCAGCTACTCAGGAGGCTGAGGCAGGAGAATTGCTTGAGCCCGGGAGGTGGAGGTTACAGTGAGCCGAGATCACGCCATTGCACTCCACCCTGGGCAACAGAGCGAGACTCCGTCTCAAACAACAACAACGACAACAATAATAATAATAATGAGGATGGGAGAGATGGGAGAGGGAGTTGGTCCCGATGCTAGAGGAAGTTGAAGGAGGTGGCTGTGGGTGGCTATGTTCTCATATTCCCAGAATGCTTCCTGGAGGAGGAGTTGATCTCATGGGGAAGGGAGAGGGCATTGCGGGTTCCAGAAAGTTTCTGCTACCCATCGTAGACCTCTTTCTCTCTCTCTTTTCCCTGCCCCTGCCCTCTCTTTCTCCCTCTGTGGAAGTGGGTAACAAGCACGTGGTTGGGTTGATGTGCCCTCAATAGGGTGGGGCCCAGACTGCGGACACTAGCGAGTAATGGTCTTTTCTCTTCCTTCCTGACCGTGGTGGTGGGCCCGGTGCTCTGCCCCTCAGCTCTGTGCCTCGTCCTGGGCTGCATGATCTTTCCTGATGGCTGGGATGCCGAGACCATCCGGGACATGTGTGGGGCCAAGACGGGGAAGTACTCCCTGGGGGACTGTTCAGTGCGCTGGGCATACATCCTGGCCATCATCGGCATCCTCAACGCCCTCATCCTCTCCTTCCTCGCCTTCGTGCTGGGCAACCGGCAAACAGACCTGCTGCAGGAGGAGCTCAAGCCGGAGAACAAAGGCGAGTGTGCTGTGGGCTGGGGGGCAGCGGCGGGAGCCAGGCCTGGTCCTGGGAGGCAGGATAATTTCAAATAAAAGGAGTAAGAGGGTTGCATGAATTGGAAACCCTGGCTGGGCGTGGTGGCTCACGCCTATAATCCCAGCACTTTGGGAAGCCAAGGCAGGTAGATCGCTTGAGCCCAGGAGTTCAAGAGTAGCCTGGTCAACATGGTGAAATCCCCTCCCTAAAAAAATACAAAAACTGGGCTGGGCACGGTGGCTCACGCCTGTAATCCCAGCACTTTGGGAGGCCGAGGCGGGTGGATCCTGAGGTCAGAAGATCCAGACCATCCTGGCTAACACGGTGAAACCCTGTCTCTACTAAAAATACAAAAAAATTAGCCGGACTTGGGAGGCTGAGGCAGGAGAATGGCATGAACCCGGGAGGTGGAGCTTGCAGTGAGCTGAGATTGCGCCACTGCACTCCAGCCTGGGAGACAGCGAGACTCTGTCTCAAAAACAAAAAAACAAAAAAACAAAAAAAAACAAAAACTAGCTGGATGTGGTGGCAAGTGCCTGTGGTCCCAGCTACTCAGGAGGCTGAGGTGGGAGGATCACCTGAGCCTGAGAAGGTTGAGGCTGCAGTGAGCTGTGATTGTGCCACTGCACTCCAGCCTGGACTACAGAGTGAGAGCCTATCTCAAAAAAAAAAAAGAAAGAAAAGAAAAGAAAAAAAGAAACCTGCCTGACAGTACAACCACCTTTTAAATGATTTGATGTTCTGCCTCAGATCTGATCATTTGCCTGTGACCCAGCAAACCCACCTCGGGTACAAACCCATGAGAAGCGTTCAAGGGCGCTGGTGGCTGCAGCTTCACTGTAGCAAACAGCTATAAACAGCCCAATGGCCATGGACAGGAGGCCGGATAAATACACGTGACATGTTCACATCACAGAGCAGCTCACAGCTGTGAAAATGTCACACTTCAGTTATATGTACCACAGTGGATGTATCTCAGTAATATAATGTTGAGAGAGGGGGAAAAAAAAAAACAAGTTCCAGAAGATGACAGAGTGATATATTTATTGAGCTCGAAAGTAAGCAAAACTAAGCAATGTATTGTTTAAACACACATGTATTTGTGGCAGTATTTTTTTTTTTTTGAGATGGAGTCTCACTCAGTCACCCAGGCTGGAGTGCAGTGGCGCGATCTCCACTCACTGCAAGCTCCACCTCCCGGGTTCACACCATTCTACTGCCTCAGCCTCCTGAGTAGCTAGGACTACAGGCACCCGCCACCACGCCCGGCTAAGTTTTTGTATTTTTAGTGGAGATGGGGTTTCACCGTGTTAGCCAGGATGGTCTCGATCTTCTGACCTCGTGATCCGCCTGCCTTGGCCTCCCAAAGTGCTGGGATTACAGGTGTGAGCCACCGTGCCCAGCTGTGGCAGTATATTTTTTTAAAAAGCAAAGAAATAATAAATATGAAAGGTAGGATGATGGTCATCTGTGGTTATGATGGAAGGGGAGGAAGTCAAGTATATGAGCTGGAGCGTGGAGGTATATGCAAATTATGGGTAGCGTTAGAGTCCTTTTTTTTTTTTTTCCTTGAGACAGTGTCTTGCTCAGTTGCCCAGGGTGGAGTGCAGTGGCACGGTCTCGGCTCACTGCAGCCTCCAGCTCCTGGGTTCAAGTAATCCTCGTGCCTCAGCCTCTTGCTCTTGAGTACCTGGGATTACAGGCATGTTGCCACCACACCCAGCTAACTGTTGTATTCTTAGTAGAGATGGGGTTTCACCATGTTGGCCAGGCTGGTCTCAAACTCCTGGCCTCAAGTGATCTGCCTGCCTCAGCTTCCCAAAGTGTTGGGATTACAGGCATGAGCCAGCACACCCGGCTGAGTTATAGTTATTGAATGGTGAGCTCACCAGTGTTGATTATTGTATTTTTTTAAGAGATTGGGGGAGGGGGCCTCACTCTGCTGCTCAGGCTGGAGTGCAGTGGTGCAATCATAGCTCACTGCAGCCTCAAACTCCTGGGCTTAAGCGATTCTCCTGCCTCAGCCTCCTGAGTGGCTGGGACTACAGGCATGCGCCACCACGCCTGACTAATTTTTGTATTTTTTGTAGAGACGAGGTTTCCCCATGTTGCCCAGGCTGGTCTTGAACTCCTGGCTTCAAGCAATCCTTCCGCCTTGGCCTCCCAAAGTGCTGAGATTACAGGTGTGAGCCACCTTACCTGGCACATTGTATGCTTTATAATTAGTGTATTGCATATAAACTTTCATATATATCAAGTAGCATTAAAATACAATAAAGAAAAAAGGCCAGGTTCAGAGAACTCCAGAGCTCCAGTAATTTGCCCAAAGTCACTTAAGTGGTGAAGGCAGAATCTGAACCCAGGTCCAAGTCCAAAGTCCAAGCTCTTCCCCCCTGTCTCAACCTGGTGAAGCCAGAGATTTCCTGCACGGCTTTGGGAGCTCTCCTGGGATGCTGATCTGCTAACCTGTACTCAGAGGCAGGTTCTAAATACCTGATGCAGTCCCTCAGACCCCGGGATTACTGTGGTTTTGGTGTGAAGTCAAGGCCTGCCCTCTGGCGGCAGCTTTCAGAAGTGCAAGACAGACTGAGATCTGGCCTTTCTCAAGAAGGGGTGTGGGGATGTGACTGATGTGAAGTGGGCCCCCTCGGTGTCCTTCTCCTCCCTTCCCAAAGCCCCCTAACAACTCAGTGTTAAAAATCAATGTAAAGGAGCCCCAGTTTTCCTCCCTTCAGTGTCCAGGGAGTCTCCGTCCCTCACTGGGAGTTCAAGATGAGTGAGCCTCCCACTTCAGTTTTAACCCAAAGACCTCCGAGCCAAAAGCCATGGCGCGCACCTGTGGTCCCAGCTACAGGCTGAGGCAGGAGGATCGCTTGAGCCCACACGTTCAAGACCAGTCTGGGCGATGTAACAAAACCCAGTTTCTATTAAAAAGAAAGAAATATATATATATATTTAAAGAAGACCTCTGGAACCAAAGAAAAAATAGATAAATAAATTGCTTCCATTTCCAGCATATTCTATGACCAAACACTGCCAAGTCCTTGGCTGTCATTATTTGTCTCTTTTTGACCCTTCGGAATTACCCTGTGAGGTAGGCTATGATCCTTATTTTGCAGATGAGAAAATCGGGGCTCAGAGAGGTTAAATGGCTTGCTCAAGGCCATCCTGCTGGTCAGGTGAGGCTAGGATTTCAGCGCTTGTGCAGTCTGCCCCTCTGCCCCTCTGACCTTTTTTTTTTTTTTGAGATGGAGTTTCACACTTTTTGCCTAGGCTGGAGTGCAGTGGTGCAATTTTGGCTCACTGCAATCTCTGCCTCCTGGGTTCAAGCGATTCTCCTGCCTCAGCCTCCCAAGTAGCTGGAATTACAGGCATGCACCACCATGCCCGGCTAATTTTTTGTATTTTTGGTAAAGACAGGGTTGTGCCATGTTGATCAGGCTGGTCTTGAACTCCTGACCTCAAGTGATCCACCCGCCTCAGCCTCCCAAAGTGCTGGGATTACAGGCGTCAGCCACCGCGCCCGGCCCCTCTGCCCACTTGTGCCCTGGGGAATGTGCAAGGAAAGCCTGAATGCCCAGGCAGCCTCTGACTTTCTCTAATTCTCTCTCCTTCTCTCTCTCTCTCTCTCTCTTAGATTTTGTGGGCTCTACAGTAAGCTCCGTGTTGCGGCCCGGGGGTGATGTCTCTGGATGGGGAGTCCTTCCCTGCCCCGTGGCTCACTCACAGGGACCCTGAAAGGCCAGGATCACAGCCCAGTAATTGGCCTGACCTCAGCTTGTCCTGCCTTCTGCCCTCTCGTCACTCCATTCAAGCTCTGAGGGAAGACCCTGATCTCAGACTTACTTCTCACCGACTACCCTGCAAGCTCCAGGCTTTGAGGAGAGGAAAGCCTGGATGTGGCCTGGGGGAGAGGAGAGGCCCTCCAAACCTTGGGAGGGTCTAATTCTTGCTCCTCCCTCAATTTGACCTAAGGGAGCCTGCATCTGCGTAGGCCCTTGGGCTTCTCCTCTCCTCTCTAGACTGGCCTGGAGGTCCCTGCAGATCCCCAGGGAGAGCGGAGCTGTAGTTCCAGCTCCCCAGGCCCCCTCAGTCTGGAGGGCTGCCGCCTGGCTGTATCCGCACCTCTTCTGGTCCCTGCCTCTTCAAGAAATTTATTCTAGATACTGCTCCAGGGTGGGCTGGACTCTTTCCTACTTTTTTTTTTTTTCTTTTTTGGCTGATGTTGGTTCCACCACATCTGCCACAAAGCTCCAGGTGCCACCAGTCTCCCCTGGGACCTCCTCTGCTCCATTCCGGCCTGCTCCCAGCTCACCCTGAGGGAGAGCTGCACCGAGGGATGCACAGGGCCCTGCTGTCAGCTGCAGACCGGGGCCCTGATCAGCCCAGAGTCAGAAAAGACTTTCAGGCTCTGGAGGTAGCGGGAGGGGGTACGTGGCCTCGGCAGTTGGAGCTTAGAAGCTGCTCAGCCCGGGCTGGCCTGGCCTCCTCTTCCTCTCTGCTGGAACATCTCACTGATGACTGAGCCCTTGACCTTGGCCTCTTTTGCCCAGGCCTCCTCTCTGCTGGGATGTCTCACCAATGACTGGACCCTTGACCCTGGCCTGTTTTGTACAGCACAGACTTCTTGGCCCTGTTGTCAGGGTTGGGGGTGTGGAGGGGACCCCAGAGGTGGGGAGTTGGGGGATGCATTACCCCTTCTGCCCCTTTTCATGCCCTCCATACCCCAGGCGTCTACCAAGGGCAGAGACTGTCTTGTCTCTTTGATACTTTTCTGCATAACTTGAACTTGCAGGTCATCTCTGAACAGGGTACCCCTGTCCCCCTTCCTAAGCCTTGTTACCCTGTCCCAGCCTCTTCCTCCTCCTGGCCCACCTCTCGCCTTGCGATATGCCCAGGGTCTGCACCTATGGGCAGTGCTTGGAGCCGAGGCATGAGTGTATGTGTATGTGGGTGAAATGTGTGTGCGTGTGTGTGCGCGTGTGAGCGTGTGTGTGTGTGTGTGTGTTGGGGGACAGGTGAGAAGTTTCTCCCCCCTCCACCCACTGTGGGGGCGTCTCCCTTCCCCTTGGCAGGGAGCAGGTGAGGGAGACTCCTGGTATTTTTTGAACACCCGTCATTCCCCTGTGGGTCTGGCGGCAGAGCCATCTCTCCCGGGGAGCCTCCCTGCCCTGGGGCCTGGACAGCTCCCTCAGCACTAGTTGCTGGTGCAGACCGGCTTCGTCCAGCGCCCCCTCCTGGCGGCCTGGACCTGCAGGGAAGGGGCGGTGCCCTGCAGGATGCCAGGGGAAGCCGCCTCGGGCCTCGGCGGAGGGGAGAGGGTCGCTTGAGCGCCATGTGTTTGCCAACCTTGTGTTCATTTCCACAGGACTTGGACCTGAGAGTTAGGGTTTCCAAGAAAGACCCTAGAAGTCCCCTGCCTGTCTCCCCACTCTGGACCCTAGCCGGAATCAGATGTTGGGACCTAGTGGGTTCCTGCCACCTGGAACTTACCAAGTCCCGACTTCACTCCTCCACTTACTCCTCCCGGGCAAAGCCTCCCCGCAGTGCTCTGGTCCCAGCGCTGGGCTCCCCTTCCCCGCCGGCGCCTTCCCGGACAGTCCAGTCGGCCTGGGGTAGGGGCGCTGCGGGACAGAGGGTCCGAGTTAAATGCGGGAGGATGCGGGAGCCCCGTGGGAGGGAGTTGGGGTAGGAGGGAGTTCCTCAAAGATGCAAACCAAGCCCAGCGTTGGAGGGGGAGAGCAGAGTTAGGAGAGAGTGAGGGGAGGGGCGCAGCAAGCGACTGGGAATGGGAGAAGACACTGGGGTGAGGAGAAGAGGGGTGCAGAGACAGGGAGATGAGAGATGATTGGAGAAGGAGCGAGGGGGACGCACAGGCACAGAGAAACAGCGCGAGGAGGAGAGATCGAGAGAGACGGGGCAGAGGTGGAGAGAGATGAGAGACCAGCTGAGAGGCTGCCCGAGAGCTTGGGGTGGGGGAGGGGAAATGGATGAAAAGGCGGAAAAAGGACTCGGGAGCGGGGAAGAGGTAAATGGAGATGTGGGTTGGGGGCAAGAATGGGATGCAGAGGAAGGAGAGGAGGATGAAGGAGCCAGGATGCGGGGCAGTGGGGAGGGGGTTGCTATCTGGGCACTGGGTGAGGGGAGAGCTTGTTCCCCCAAGGACGCCTGCCACCAGGTGTCCTTGCCACACCTTGTTCCCCAAGGACACCCACCAAACCTGTGCCCTGGTGCGGGGGATAGAACTGACCTTTCAGAGGCTGGAGGCCCGGGGCACAGGCAGCCAAGGCCGCATCCTTTTGGGAAGAACTGGAGTGAAGGAAGCCACTTCAGAGGACGTAGTGGGTCCAGCTGACTTAGGAGTGGGTCAGCGCCGGGTGGAGAGGAGGGAGGCTAGTTCCCTGGTGGGGTAGCCTGGCAACATTCCCATTCCACCGCACCTGGCCAGCTGCCATCTTGGCAGAGCCAGGGGGAGATGCACCAGGGAGTTTGGAGTCAGGAAGGCAGAGTTGTGTGGGCTGAAGTCTGCGGGAACCCCAGGGTGACACAGGCAAGGGGTAGAAGTCAGAGTGGGGACCAAACCATAGACTGGGGCCCTGGGTTCTGCAGAGGTGTGGATGGGGCAGGTGGCAGGTGCTCCAGTGGGGGCCCCAGGTGAGGCCCTGATGGCCCTCCTGGGGCAATAAAGACATCATGGGAAGGGGGCTTTGTGGTTTGCCTCTGCTCTCGTCGGGCGATCTGGCTTTAGCCTTCAGGAGGAGGTAAGCAGAGGAGATCAGTGCCTGTTTCTGACCCCAGGAGGGCCTTGTTGGGCTCCAACCTAGAGCCTTCCGGCTTCAGGTCCCAAGAGAAGTCCCCCCCTAACTGTGACCCCCCTAACTGTGATCAGGGGTCTGCCATTGCCCGCTTTTCTCTGCCTGATCTGGGGACTCAGGAGAGGCCACGGCAGCCACAGCCTAGGGGTGGTTCAGTCCCTGGCCCACAGTCTGGTCAGTTGAGTCCTTCTGGGAACCGGGGCTATGAAAACTTTCGTCTTTGGGGACCGGTACCCATGAAGGAAAACTTTCCTGAGGGGGTGAGGACCAAAGAATCAAGATCCTTTTCAGGCCTGATAGCCAAGATGATGAGAACTTTTAGATAAGGCTGTGGGGAGAGTCCCTGGCCTTTTGAGCATCCTGCTTGGGCACACGGGGAATAACCTTTCTCCAGCTTCCAGTGTGAACTGAGAAAGAGAAAGGGAAACCCTGTCTTTGGAGAAGCTGGGATGTTCCCAGCACCAGAAACTTCTGCAGGCCCCTGCCTGGCCCACGGCTAACCTTTGGGTGGGACTGGAGTTTCCTGAACAGGGAACAAGGGAGCCTTCCGCAGAGCTCTGATGGGCAGGCCTCCGAGGGCCTGTGCTGTGTGCTGTTAGGATAGCTTGGTGTTGTCTATACCCCATTAGTAAGTTTTGTCTGAGTGTGTCCTCGCTGTTCATTGTCTAATTTGGTAACATTTATTTTGGTCCTGACCCCTTCTGCTGCTGCTGGGTTTAAGCTTCAGTGCAGGTGGAATGACATTCAAATAAAGAAACACTTTCTATCACCCACGCTGGCTGCCACTTCTCTGAGTCACTGGGATCAAGAGGGGTAAGATTCCAACCCTATGGATCAGGTTTGTCTGGTATTAACAGAACCCTACTACTGTGGCTTAACAAGATAGTTTATTTTACCATCACATTAAAAAAAAAAAAAAAAAAAAAAAAAGCCTGGAGGTGGGTAGATCACGGCTGATATGGCTCTCAGTGTTATCCAGAACCCAGGCTCCTATCTTTCTGCACTGCCATTTTCAATCCTGGCTACATCCTCAAGAACACCTCATGGCCCAACGTGGGCTGCTGGAGCTCCAGTCACCTGGTCCACATTTCATTTGAAGACTTCTGGAAATTCCATAGGACTGTGTCACTTGGGCCACATAACAGTAAAGGAGGCTGAAAAAGTGTGGTCTGTTATCTCGGCGCATTGCCAGCCCAAATAAAACTGGGGTTCTTGGCCGGGCAAGGTGGCTCATGCCTGTAATCCCAGCATTTTCAGAGGCTGAGGTGGGTGGATCACCTGAGGTCAGGAGTTTGAGACCAGCCTGGTCAACATGGCAAAACCCTGTCTCTACTAAAAATACAAAAATTAGCCAGGCATGGTGGTGCGTGCCTGTAATCCCAGATACTCAGGAGGCTGAGGCAGGAGAATTGCTTGAACCCAGGAGGCGGAGGTCGCAGGGAGGTGGGATGGCGCCATTGCACTCCAGCCTGGGCAACAGAGCAAGACTCCGTCTCAAAAAAAAAAAAAAATAGGGTTCTGATACAAAGGAGAAAGGAGTGAATAGAGAGAGGGATACAGTAATCTCTGCACACCTCTGACAGCACAGGCACGACTTGTCCAAGTCCATACAGGCAGAAAAGAGTAGAGCCTCATCTGCTCTAGCCAGAGTGCTCAGTCCAGTCACTTTGCCTCTCTCTAAAGCCCCATTGAATAAATAGAGAAAACAATAGTGACTCCCCCAAGGGAAGCTGTAAGCAACATACCAGGGAATATATGCACTTTGCTCTGCAGGGTATCTGGCACGCTGTAATGTGCGCAGTACCAGGTAGCTACATTGAAGACTTGGAAATGGAGTCCT
Organism: Homo sapiens; assembly: GCF_000001405.40. Taxonomy (NCBI): domain Eukaryota; kingdom Metazoa; phylum Chordata; class Mammalia; order Primates; family Hominidae; genus Homo; species Homo sapiens. Next base: position 9,497,293 of record NC_000003.12, on the reverse strand, counting down.
CTTCCAACACATTTTAAGCACTTAGTGTATGCTAAGCACTTAAGCTAGAAAAAAAATGAGCAAAACAGAGATGCTGTCTTAAGCATAATTCTGGTTGGGGAGATGAACATGTGAAAATAACGCATGACTTGCCACATGCAGGGTATTGTGGGTATCCTAGGCAGGAATACTTTAAATGGCTTTTGGTGACGTGGGCAGCGTAGGAGGAGGTCTTGCTGTAGGATGAGAAGTTAGGCAGGAGGGGTCAGGAAGGTCAAAGAGAAGGCAGCTTGAGGAAAAAGACTGAGGTAGGCAGCAGAACTGTGTATGGAGGACGAAAAGCAACTTAGTTTGAAATGTGAAGTACGAGGCAGGGAGGAGTCAGAGATGAGTCTAGAGAGACAGGCGAGGGCCAGACCATGAGAAAGCTTGGGGGCCATGGACAGGAGTTTGGACTTAAGAGCAATGGGGAACCACTGAAGGATTTGAAGCAGAAGGAAAAATGACTCAATTTGCATTTTAGAAAGAGCACTCTGGTGGTAGCATTAGGGGGCTGGATTAGGGGTAGACTGTTAGCCCATTTCTGCATTGTTATAAAGCCATACCTGAGACTGCATCATTTGTTTTATTTATTTATTTTGAGATGGAGTCTCCCTCTGTTGCCCAGGCTGCAGTGCAGTGGCACAATCTCAGCTCACTGCAACCTCAGCCTCCCTGATTCAAGTGATTCTCCTGCCTCAGCCTCCTGAGTAGCTGAGATTACAGGTGTGCACCACCACACCCGGCTAATTTTTGTATTTTTAGTAGACATGGGATTTCACCATGTTGGCCAGGCTGGTCTCAAACTCCGGGTCTCAAGTGATCCACCCGCCTCAGCCTCCCAAAGTGCTGGGATTGCAGGCATAAGCCACTGCACCTGGCCTGCATAATTTATTTTTATTTTTTTGAGACAGGGTCTTGCTCTGTCACCCAGGCTGGAGTGCAGTGGTGAGATCACAGTTCACTGTAGCCTCAACTCCCAGGCTCAAGCAATCCTCCCACCTCATTCTCCCAGGTAGCTGGGACCATAGGCACCACCATGCCTGGCTATCTCTTTTTTTTTTTGAGATGGAGTCTCACTCTGTTGCCAGGCTGGAGTGCAGTGGCATGATCTCAGCTCACTGCAACCTTTGTCTCCCGGGTTCATGCAATTCTCCTGTCTCAGCCTCCCAAGTAGCTGAGACTACACACGTGCACCACCACGCCCAGCTAATTTTTGTATTTTTAGTAGAGATGGGGTTTCACCATGTTGGCCAAGATGGTCTCGATCTCTTGACCTCGTGATCCACCCACCTTGGCCTCCCAAAGTGCTGGGATTATAGGCGTGAGCCACTGCTCCCGGCCTTATTATTATAATTTTTTATAGAAACGGGGTCTTGTTATGTTACCCAGGCTGGTCTCAAACTCCTGGGCTCAAGCAATCTTCCTGTCTCAGTCTCCCAAAGTGCTGGGATTGCAGGCATGAGCCACTGCACCTGGCCAAACTGGGCAATTTATAAAGAAAAGAGATTTATTTTGGCGCATGGCTCTGCAAACTGTACAGGTAGCATGTTGCTGGCATTTGCTTCTAGTGAGGCTTCAGGAAGCTTACAATCATGGTGCAAGGTTAGGGGAAGCCAGCGTGTCACACGGCAAGGGCAGGAGCAAGACAGAGAGAAGAGGGCAGTCCCAGGCTCTTAAACAACCAGATCTCATGTGTGTGAATTAACTGTGCGAGAACTCACCCATCACCAAGGGGATGACACTAAACCATTCATGAGGGACCCACCCCCATGATCCACTCACCTCCCACCAGGCCCCACCGCCAACACTGGGGATGACATTTCAACATGAGGTTTGGTGGGGACAAACAGCGAAACCATATCAGAGACCACTTCAGTAAAAGAGAAACCAGAAGCCTGGCCTGAAACAAGGAGGTCGCAGTGGGTCTAAGAGAAGTAAGAAGTTCCATCTTCAGGAAGTAGAAGGGAACCAACTGACTATGGGAATAACACACAGGCTGGCAAAAAGAGGGTTAAAGTTTTTGCTTGGGGACTAGAAAGATCTGCCAGTATAGCAGGGGAGCAAGATGATCAGTTCCGTTTGAGATGTGCTAAGTTTAAGATGCATGTGAGATGCCTTGGTGGAGTTGTCCAGCAGTCAGCTGACATATGGATTTGGGAGCTCAAGAGAAAAATCTGGGTCAGAAGCATCGGTATCCAGGTAGTGGTGGAAACTGGAAGCATAGAGGAGCCTGCTCTGGGCGACTGTGTGGTGTGGAGAGAGCATGGAGCTCTGGAATGCTGGAGAGCACTGCAGGATAAAGCACTGTCAGAGGAACAGATGTCCACAAAGGAGAGGGGTCAGGAGGAGAATCATGAGTGTGGCTTTATAGAAACCAAGGATGTAGAGTTTAAGGGGAAAGTCAGCTGGTCAAGTCGAGCACAGAGGTCCTGTATAAGAGACTGAAAAATGTGTCCATTGGATTTGGGGACAAGGAGGCCACCCCTGAAACTTGATAAGAGCATGTTCAGGAGTGTGGGGAGAGCCAAACTGAGGTCTGTTCAGGGAGAGAGTGGGAGGCGACGGGTTGAAGATTACTATTTAGAGAAGTGTGGATAAGAAGGGGAAATGAGTGACTGGAATTCATTCAGGCAGGAGCAATTACACTCCGTGAACCAGCAGTGGGCAAGGAACAGCATTACCTGGAGCGGGTGTGGAACCTCTCTTTACTTATGTGGCATTCCCAATGCTCACTGGTCATGGCAAGTAAGAGGATAATGATAAAGAAGAGAGGATGACTAAAGGAACAGGGTCTCCAGGGAGGTGAACGTAAGGCAGCCCAGGGTATGGAAGTTGGTCTTGAAGATAAAAGAGATATCCTATTCAGAAACACTGGAGAAGAGGTGAGGGACTGAAAAGACGTACGTCTCTTTCGGGGTGGAGGGCAGGGCAAAAGTTCAGTGCGTTCTTGCCCGATAGCATCCATCTTCTCAGTGAAGCAGGAAACAAGGTTGTTTACTGAAAGAGAAAAGGGGGCTCGGCTGGGCGCGGTGGCTCACGCCTGTAATCCCAGCACTTAGGGAGGCTGAGGTGGGCCGATCACTTGAGGTCAGGAGTTACCAGCCTGGCCAACATGATGAAACCCCGTCTCTACAAAAAATACAAAAATTAGCCGGGCGTGGTGGCATGTGCCTGTAATCCCAGCAACTAGGGAGTCCAAGGCAAGAGAATCGCTTGAGCCCGGGAGGCAGAGGTTGCAGTGAGCCAGGATCACCAAGATCACACCACTGTGCTCCAGCCTAGGTGACAGAACAAGACTCCGTCTCAAAAAAAAAAAAAAAAAAAAAAAAAAAAAGAAGAGGGGTTTTGAGAAGGGTGGTGAAATCTTGGAACTGTTCCTAAAGGAGCTAAGGCTAAATAAAAGGAATGACAGACAATCATGAATCTGTCATGGCATGAGAAGACAGGAGGGTACACACAGAGAAGGTAGATTGTAGAAAACAGATGCAAGGTGAGTTGAGTGTCCTGAGTGTTTGAGATCCACCATGAGATCTAGGCTGGGTGTTGAACATGGGGAGCTCTGGATGGAGTCAGTAAGTGGAGAATATATTAGGATCAAGGGACTGAAGTTTCTGTGAAAGAGCTGGGAGGACAGGTGATTGTGGGTAGAGAGCTGAGTGTTTGATTTGAATATTCCAAGTAGATCTTGAAGAAGACTTCGAGATGACAGGAACCCTGGTTAGGATGTCCATCCAAATGGTGGGGAAAATGTCAGAAATTAGGGTGGAGGGGCAGACTAGTCAAAGTTATCTAAGAATCAGAGAGGGGTTGGAAGATTAAAAGATAATAGCAATGAAGAGATATAGGCTGGGCACGGTGGCTCACGCCTGTAATCCCAGCACTTTGGGAGGCTGAGGTGGGCAGATCACTTGGGGTCAGAAGTTTGAGGCCAGCCTGGCCAACATGGGGCAACCACATCTCTACTAAAAATATAAAAATCAGCTGGGCATGGTGGCATACGCCTGTAATCCCAGCTACTCAGGAGGCTGAGGCAGGAGAATTGCTGGAACCCAGGAGGCAGAAGTTGCAGTGACATTGCGCCATTGTACTCCAGGCTGGGGGTCAGAGCGAGACTCCATCTCAAAAAAAAAAAAAAAAAAAAAAAAAGGATAAAATCACTGATGGTGGGAGCATTGGTAGAGGAGGAGTTTTTAATCTGAGGGACAAGATGTATGTGTCTGGACAAACGTAGGGAGAACCTCTGTGCAACAAGGTATAAAAGATCCAGCAGCCTCCACTTCAATGGGCTACAAGGTAGGCAATGTCCTAAGGAAAGGCCACAATTCAGCAAGGGCCAAGAGATTAGATGGAGGGAAGTAGTGTTTTCTGCCAAGGAAAAGCGAAGATGTCCTGAATACACAGCAGAGAGCTTGGGAGAGAAAGACGGACAGGGAGAAGAGAACTGCTTTGTAGGAGTAGAGTGTCAGGAGGCCAGAGGACACAGAACACGCTCTTGTTGAAAGGGATGGGGGACAGAGGGTGAGGTTGGTGGAGTTTACCAGACGCACTTCCAAACAGAGCCCTAGTTTGAAACTCCCTTCCAGTCCACTTAGGCAGAGCTTAAGTGTGTGGGGTGCCCACACAGATCCATCCAGCGGCACTGGAAAGCTCCGTGAGGTGCCAAAACGGGTGTGGGAATGGGTTGGAGGCTTCTTCAAACTCATGTACTCACCCCACAAAACATTTATTGAATAACTTACCCTGGTCAGGTACTGCTAGGCTCTAGGCATATAGAAATAAATCAGACATGAGCTCAACAAATTACCTCCGGCCTCTTAGTAGCAGAGCTGTTCGCCAGTTTATAGTGGCCAGGTCAGATTCTGTTTGTTTTCTTAAACATAACACACAGAGAATAAAACAAATGTACAGCTTAATTATAACATACCCTTCTAACTGCTACCAAGGAGATGGGACTCTGCCAGCTACTCCAGAGCCCTTCATGTTTCCTATAAACTCCATCTCTTCCCTCCCTCCTAAGAATAACCGTTATCTTTTTACTGTAATCATTCCCCAACTTTTATTTTTTCACCCAAGTGAGCATCTTTAAACAATACAGCTTAACCTTAATTTTTTAGTTTTTTTTTTTTTGAGATGGAGCCTTGCTCTTTCTCCTAGGATGGAGTGCAGTGGCAGGATCTCAGCTCACTGCAACCTCCACCTCCCAGGTTCCAGTGATTCTCCCGCCTCAGCCTCCTAAGTAGCTGGGATTACAGGGATGCACTACCACACCCAGCTATTTTTTTTCTTTTAGTAGAGTCAGGTTTTTACCACGTTAGCCAGGCAGGTCTCTAACTCCTGACCTCAAGTGATCCACCCCCATCAGCCTCCCAAAGTGTTGGATTACAGACGTGAGCCACCGTGCCTGGCCAGATTTTTTTTTTTTTAGAGGTGAGGTCTTGCTATGTTGCCCAGGCAGGCTGGCCTCAGCCTCCCAAGAAGCTGGCACTACAGGTGCATGCCACTGTGCTGGGTTGCCACTTCTTTTTTCTTCATGTCTTTCCCCACTTAATCTCTTTTTCTCCTTTGCAATTTACTGCTGAAGAAACCAGACCATTTGTTACGTAGTGTTCTGCCACTGGAATTTTGCTGGCTTCATTCTTGTGGGATAGTTCAGTAAGTTCTTCTGTTCTCCTCTGTATTTTCAGCAAATTGATAATTGGATCTAGATACTTAACCAGATTCAGGAGTGTATGTTCTCACATTTTAATAACTTTTTTTTTTTTGGTCAAGAGACACTTAACATCGAGTTGTTTTTGTTTTTGTGTTGCTAGTTGCTGTTAATCTTCAATGCTTACATCTTTAATTCATTAGGAGCTGCAAAATAGTGATGTTCCAATTCTATCACTCTTTATTTACTTGTGGAAATACTTCTATAAAGAGAAACTTACCATCATTTGCTATGTAGTTACTCAGTGGTACAACTCAAACAGGAAAGGCAAGATAAATGCTGCGGCCTTTCAAAATATATAAATATATATATTTTTCAAAAATACAAAGTTAGTTCCTTAACATCCTTCAGAATGAACAATTTTATTTTGGTACCACTATGAACTCATGGATTTAAATATGTTCGATTTGATTATGTTGTAATGTATTATCATAATTAATGCTCAAATGTTCCATCTTTGGTCAGGAGAATTCTCTTTAAGTTGCAACACAATTCTCTTTAAAGCTAACCCTAATTATCTTTGATAGTATCCTTGATGACTGGTATGACAAGATGATCCAGGCTAATCTTAGACATTTCTTCTCCTAAACCTGGAATCAGCCATTTCTCTAAGAAGCCCTGTTTCTATGCCTTTCCAGTTGACAGGGCAAAGATACATACACGATAGATGATACATAGATAGACACATGGGATCTCTCTGTACCTATGGTAAAATGCCTCATGAGTTAATATTAATACTTAGGGTTTTGGCTAAACTTCTTTAACAGCTATACCTCCTTTCCCCCAACACTGGGAAATATTGGTTCTGAAGGACGCTGTATTTATTTATCACACGTTAAAGCACTCAGATAGACTACTGCCAGTATGATTATTTAACACATTCTCTCCTGCTTATTTATCTAAAGTTGTACTCTATCTATATTGTGCAGGTCACGTAAACCATTTTGTAGTATATACTCTCCTTATATCTCTCATTCAGTCTATTCTGCATGTAAGTATATATAAGTAATACTATCAGGCTTTTTGTTGTTTGAAGCTCAGTTTTTTTTTTTTTTTTTTTTTTTTTGTTGAGATGGAGTCTCGCTCTGTCGCCCAGGCTGGAGTGTAGTGGCCTGATCTCACCTCACGGCAACCTCCGTCTCCCAGGTTCAAGAAATTCTCTGCCTCAGCCTCCCGAGTAGCTGGAATTACAGGCACCTGCCTCCATGCTCAGTAATTTTTGTATGTTTGGTAGAGATAGGGTTTCACCATCTTGGCCAGGCTGGTCTTGAACTCCTGACCTCGTGATCCACCCACCTCGGCCTCCCAAAGTGCTGGGATTACAGGCGTGAGCCACCGTGCCCGGCCTTGAAGCTCAGTTTCCAATAGATCCCTAAGGAAGAATTCATGAAAATAAAATTCCCAAAGTTTTTGCATGATAATGATGACAATTTGTGGCTACTACCCTGGAAAGTAAGTTCAGTTCGTACAAAATTCTTGGCTTGTCTCTTTCCTTATCTTAAATTATCCCATTAGCTTTTGCCTTTTTTTTTGTTTTGAGACGCAATCTCACTCTGTCGCCCAGGCTGGAGTGCAGTAGCGTGATCTTGGCTCACTGCAAACTCCGCCCTACAAGTTCAAGCGATTCTCCTGCCTCAGCCTCCCGAGTAGCTGGAATTACAGGCGCCCGCCTCCACATTCACTTATTTTTGTATTTTTAGTAGAGACGGGGTTTCACCATCTTGGCCAGGCTGGTCTTCAACTCCTGACCTCGTGATCCACCCGCCTCATCCTCCCAAAGTGCTGGGATTACAGGTGTGAGCCACTGCACCTGGCCTCTTTTGCCATTTAAGTGTTGCTGTCAAAAAGTCTGATACAGCCTAATTTTCTTTGCCTTATAAGTAACAAATACACACACACACACACCCACACATGTCATGAACTGCATGCTTCCCTCCATGATGGACTGCATAGTGGTCCCATAAGATTATAATGCGGTATTTTTACTGTACCTCTTCCATGTTTTGATATGTTTAGAAACACAAATACTTATATTGTGTTACAATTGCCTACAGTATTCAGGACAGTAACATGCTGTACAGGTTTGAGCCTAGAAGCAATAGGCTATGCCGTATAGCCTAGGTGTGAGGTAGGCTACACCATCTAGATTTGTGTAAGTGCACTCCATGATATTCATATAGCAATGAAATCACCTAAAGATGTACTTTCTAGAATGTATTCCTATTGACATGATTGTGTGTGTGTAAATATGTGTGTGTATTTGCCTAAGATTTTTTTGTTTTTAAAATCTAACAATTTTACTGTAATATCTCATTATTTATCATTCTGGATTGAATTTACTAGGTATGCAATATGCTCTTTCACTTTGTAGTTTAAAATATTTCAGGAAACTTTCCTTAAATTATAGCTTTTATTTTTATTTTGAGACAGGGTCTTGCTCTGTCACCCAGGCTGCAGTGGTGCAAACTTGGCTCACTGCAACCTCCGCCTCCTGGGTTCAATAGATTCTCCCACTTCAGCCTCCCGAGTGTCTGGGACTACAGGTGCACACCACCATGCCTAGGTAATTTTTGTATTTTTTGGTAGAGATGGGGTTCAACCATCTTGGCCAGGCTGGTCTTCAACTCCTGATCTCAAGTGATCCATATCTGCCTTGGCCTTCCAAAGTGCTGGTATTAAGGGTATGAGCCACTGCACCTTGCCAAATTATAGCTTTTGATATTTGTTCTGTTACCTTACTTTTACTTTTTTGGGAACTCCTATTATACATATGGTGCCTCTTCTTTGCCTGTCTTCTGTTTGTCCCTTTTTTTAGACTTTACTTTTCCTTCTTTTTAAACAATTAAATTAAAATTAAAAAAAAATAGAGACAGGGTCTCATGTTGCCTAGGCTGGTCTTGAACTCCTGGTCTCAGCCGGGCATGGTGGCTCACGCCTGTAATCCCAGCACTTTGGGAGGCTGAGGTGGGTGGATCACGAGGTCAGGAGATCGAGACCATCCTGGCTAACATGGTGAAACTCCATCTCTACTAAAAAAAAATACAAAACATTAGCCGGGCGTGGTGGTGGGTGCCTGTAGTCCCAGCTACTCAGGAGGCTGAGGCAGGAGAATGGTGTGAACCTGGGAGGCGGAGCTGGCAGTGAGCCAAGATCGTGCCACTGCACTCTAGCCTGGGTGACAGAGTGAGATTCCATCTCAAAAAAAAAAAAAAAAAAAATGAACTCCTGGTCTCAAGTGATCCTCCAGCCTTGGCCTGCCAAAGTTTAGAGATTACAGGTGGGAACTACTGCACCTGGCCTTAAATAGACTTCATTTTTTCGAACAGTTTTTTTGGTTTTTTTTTGAGATGAAGTCTCACTCTGTCACCCAGACTGGAATGCAATGGCGCCATCTTGGTTCACTGCAACCTCTGCCTCTCAGGTTCAAGTGATTCTCCTGCCTCAGCCTCTCAAGTAGCTGGGATTACAGGCATGCACCACCACGCCTGGCTAATTTTGTATTTTTAGTAGAGGCAGGGTTTCACCATGTTGGTCAGGCTGGTCTCGAACCTAAGGTCAGGAGACCTCAGGTGATCCACCCGCCTCGGCCTCCCAAAGTGTTGGGATTACAGGTGTGAACCACTGCTCCCACCCAAGAACAGTTTTAAGTTAACAGCAAAATTTAGTGGAAAGTACAGAGTCCCAATATATCTCTTTCCTCCCACACACCCACAGCCTCCCCCTACATCAATATTCCCCACCAGAGTGGTACATTTTTACAACTGATGAACCTGCATTAGCATATCATTTTCACTCAAAGTCCATAGTTTACATTATGGTTCACTCTTGTTGTACATTCTGAGTTTTGACAAATGTATAATGGCATGTTTAGCCACCATTATAGTACCATACCGAACAGTTTCACTGCCCTAAAATCCATTGGTGCTCTACCTGTTCATCCTTCCCTCTCCCCTAACCTCAGGCAAGCACTGATCTTTTTGCTGCATCCTTATCTTTGCCTTTTCCGTAATGTCATGTAGTTGGAATAATATAGTATGTAGCCTTTTCAGATTGGCTTCTTTCATATAGTAATATGCATGTTAGGTTCCTCCATGTTTTTTTCATGGCTTGATAGCTCATTTCTCCGTCCCATTCCAGCTTTATTGAGGTACAGTTGATAACAAAAAAACGGTATATCAAGGTGTACAATATGATGTTTTGACATATATATACATTGTGAAACGATTACAATTGTGAAATGATTACAATTAAGTTTACATATCTGTCACCTAACATTGTTACCTTTTTTTCTGGTGAGAATGCTTTTTATTTTTAATTTTTTGAGACAGAGACTTGCTCTGTTGCCCAGGCTGGAGTGCAGTGGCATGATCACAGCGCACTGCAACCTCACCTCTCTGGCTCAAGAAATCCTCCTGCTTCAACCCCCCAAGGAGCTGAGACTACAGGCACATGCCACCATGCCCAGCTCATTGTTTTGTATTTTTTGTAGAGAGGGGATTTTGCCATGTTGCCCATGCTGGTCTTGAACTCCTGAGCTCAAGTGATCTGCCCACCTTGGCCTCCCAGAATGCTGGGATTACAGGTGTGAGCCATCACGGTCAGCCGAGAATACTTAAGATCTATTCTTCCAGCAAATTTCAAGTATACAACATATTTTATTAACTACAATTACCATACTGCACATTGGTTCTCCAGAATGCACCCATAACGGTAAGCTTGTACTATTTGACCAACATATCCCTGTTAATCCCCATCCCTTGACCCGTGGTAATTACTCTTCTACTCTGTTTCTATGAGTCTGACTTTTTTAGGTTCCACATACAAGTGAGATGCAGTATTTGTTTTTCAGTGTCTGGCTTGTTTCACTTAGTATAATGTCCTCCAGGCTCATCCATGTTGTTGTTGCAAATGGCAAGATTTTCTCTTTAAAGGCCAAATAATGTTACTGTGTGTGTGCATATATATATAATACATATATATGTGCAGTGGAATAAAATAATGTACTATGTGTGGGCATATATATACCTATATATAGATAGGCATGCACACACATATCTAACAGGTATGAGGTGATATCTCATTGTGGTTTTTGGCTTGCATTCCCCTGATAATTGGTGATAGTGATGGTGAGCACCTTTACATTTTTGTATATATAATGCATCTCCAACATTTTCTTTATCCATTCATCCATCGATGGACAGTTAGGTTGTTTTCATATCTTGACTACTGTGAATAATACTGCAATGAAAATGGTAGATGGCTCATTGAGATAGTGAGACAGCGAGATAGCCTATAGTTGGGATTTGTTTTTTATCCATTTAGCCACTCTGTCTTCTGATTGGAGAATTCAGTCCATTTACATTCAAGGGAATTATTGACAGGCAAGGACTTACTATTGTCATTTTGTTCAGTGTTTTCTGTTTTTGTAAATTTTTTGTTCCCTTCTTCCCCTTTTGCTGTCTTCCTTTGTGAAGTGATGAATTTTTACAGTGGAATGGTTTGATTCCTTACCCGTTATCTTTTGTGTATCTAGTATAGACTTTTGCCCTGTGGTTACCATGAGGCTTACATAAAACATCTTAAAACAGTCATCTATTTTAAGCTAATCACTTCCATACAAAAACTGTATACTTTTACTTTCTCCCATTTATATCTTTAAAGTAATGACTTACATATTTTTATACTGTATATCCATTAACAGATTATTGTAGTATAGTTAAATATTTGTCTTTTAACCTTCATACTAGAGTTTATATTAAGTGATTTATACACCATTATAGTATAGGATAGCTCATTTCTTTTTAACACTGAATAATATTCCATTGGATGTATCACCATTTACTTATCCATTCACCTACTGAAGGACATCTTGGTTGCTTCCAAGTTTTTGCAATTATGAATAAAGCTGTGATAAATGTTCACATGCTGGTTTTTATGTGGACCTGTTTTCAATTCTGGGGAAATACGCAAGAGTGCAACAGCCAAATTGTATGTTTACTTTTTAAAGAAACTGCTGAAGTGTATTCCAAAGTGACTGTACCATCTTGCATTCCCACCAACAATGAATGAAGAGTACCTGTTACACATCCTTGTCAGCATTTGGTTTCATTAAGTGTTTTAGATTTACCATTCTAGTAGGTGTATGATGGTATCTCATTGTAGCACTAATCTGCAATTACTGGATGATTTATGATGTTGGGAGTCTTTTCATACAATTACTTGTCATTTGTATATGAGGTGTCTGTTTAGATCTTTTGCCCATTTTTAAATTGGGTTTTTATTTTTCTTTTGTTGAGTTTTCAGAGTTCTTTGTATTGAATAGTCCTTTATCAGGTATGTTTTTTACAAATCTTTTCTCCTACTCTGTGGCTTATCTTCTCAATCTCTTGACAGTGTCTTTTGCAGAGCGATGTTTTAACTTTAATGAAGTCCAGCTTACCAATTGCTTTTTTCATGGATCATCCTTTTGGTGTTGTACCTAAAAAGTCAGTCAATTCCAAGGTTATCTGGATTTTCTCCAATGTTCATTATTTTAGGAATTTAATAGTTTTACATTTAGGTCTGTGTTCCATTTTAATTTTTATGAAGGATGTAAGATGTGTATAGATTCATATATATACACACACACACACACACACACACACACACACACACACATATATATATATAGCACGTGGATGTCTGGTTGTTCCTGCACCATCCATTACGGACTCTATCGTTTTGCTTTTGCTTCTTTGCCAAAGATCAGATGATTCTATTTGTGTGGGTCTACTTCTGGACTCTTTATTGTGTTCCAGTAATCTATTTGCCTAATCTTTTGCTGATATCACACTGTCTTGATTACTGCAGCTTTATGATGTGTTGAGGTAGTGTTAGTTTAAAACTTTAGAATTAGCCGGACACAGTGGCTCATGTCTGTAATCCCAGCAATTTGGGAGGCTGAGGCAGGCAGATCACTTGAGGTCAGGAGTTCGAGACCAGCCTGGCCAATGTGGTGAGACCATCTCTACTAAAACTACAAAAATTAGCCGGGCATAGGGGTGCACACCTGTAATCCCAGCTACTCAGAAGGCTGAGGCAGGAGAATCACTTCAACCTGGGAGGTAGGGATTGCAATGAGCTAAGATCATGCCACTGCACTCCAGCCTACATAACAGCACAAGACCCTGCCTTAAAAAACAAAACAAAACAGACAAACCCCCTTTAGAATCAGCTTGTTGATATCTACAAAATAACTAGCTGGTATTTGGGTTGGGATTGCATTGAATTTATAGATCATGTTTAGAAGAACTGATATCTTCACAATACTAGTCTTCCTATTCATGAACACCTCTATTTATTTAGATCTTTGATTTTTTTCATTAGTTTTATAGTTTTCGTCATGCAGGTCTTATACGTATCTTGTTGGAATTACACCTAAGTATTTCATTTTAGGGTACTAATTTATTTTAATTTTATTTATTTATTTATTTATTTATTTATTTATGCATTTATTTATTTATTTTTGAGACGGAGTCTCGCTCTGTTGCCCAGGCTGGAGTGTAGTGGCGTGATCTCAGCTCACTGCAATCTCTGTCTGCTGGGTTCAAGTGATTCTCCTGCTTCGGCCTCCTGAGTAGTTGGGATTACAGGCGTCCTCCACCACGCCCGGCTAATTTTTGTATTTTTAGTAGAGACGGAGTTTCACCATGTTGGCCAGGCTGGTCTCGAACTCCTGACCTCAGGTGCTCTGCCTGCCTCAGCCTCTTGAAGTGCTGGGATTATAGGCGTGAGCCACTGCGCCTGGCCTTTGGGCACTAATTTAAATGGTCTTGTGTTTATTTTTTAGTATCAGAGTGTTGCTCTGTCATCCAGGCTGGAGTGCAGTGGTACGATCATGGCTTACTGCAGCCTTGAACTCCTGGGCTCAAGTGATCCTCCCACCTCAGCCTTCCAAGTAGCTGGGACTACAGGTGTGCACTACCATGCCTGGCTTTGTTTTAAATTTCAAATTCCATTTTTCATTGCTAATATACAGAAATGTGATTAACTTCTGCACAACAATCTTGTATCCTATAGTCTTGCTATAATTGCTTAATTAGTTCCAGAGGTCTTGGAGGGCTATTTAGGGTTCTTTTGGATTTTCTACATCAACAATCATGTCATCTGTGAATATGAAGTTTTATTTCTTCCTTCTCAATATATACCCCTTTTAGTTCCCTTTCTTGTCCTATTGCATTGGTTAGGACTTCCAGTACAATATTAAAAAGGAGTGATAAGAGGGGACATCCTTGCCTTGTTCCTGACCTTATCAAGAAAAGCATCTAGGTTTTTGTAAATGTTCTAATTGAGTAAGTTCCTCTCTACTTCTGGTTTCCTGAGATATTTGTTACTTTTGAAAATAAAGAATTTTTTTTTTTGAGATGGGTCTCACTCTGTTGCCCAGGCTGGAGTGCAGTGGTGTGATCTCAGCTCACTGCAACCTCTACCTCCCAGGTTCAAACGATTCTCATGCCCCAGCCTCCCGAATAGCTGCGATTATAGACGTGCACCACCATGCCTGGCTAATTCCATGCCGGGCTAATTTTTGTATTTTTAGTAGAGATGGGGTTTCACCATGTTGGCCAAGCTGGTCTCAAACTACTGACCTCAAGTGATCCAACTACCTTGGCCTCTCAAAGTGCTGGGATTATAGGTGTGAGCCACCATGCCCTGCCATTTGTTACTTTTTAATGTTTTACCTGCATGTCTTTGGCATACTTTGATTGTCTCTATAGATGTTATTCTGCTCATTTTTACTTGTAGCTTTTTAAGACTTGCGTTTTTCTGTTATCCATTTTTATATGAAATTAGTGATTTTGCACTTTTAAAAAACAGGCATGACTTATGATAGTTTTTCATTTCATGGTTGTATTCTCATTTTTGGTGTGTATGTGAAATATTGAAATATGGACTGTGTGAACCATAGCTATTTAAATTCAACAATTCAACACAGAATATGCTTGCAACTTTATGAACAATTGTTTCTCTCAGGAGTTAAAGAACAAGTTATTTAATATCTTTATATTATTTCTGTAAGGATAGTACATTCTGAATTTTATGGGATAATCATAATTTTATTTTTCAAAATACTTCATTTAATCTAATAAATTTAATCCCTCCACACCCCCTTCCTTCATTTTGCATGTCCTGTTCAGTTTGGATTCTAACAAGGAATTTTGGTGTGGGGCATTGTCCTGTAAGGGCTTTGAATTAAGTTTCTTAGGTCCAGACCACTCCAGCCCTTTCAGGCCTAATCAAGCATCCTTTGTACTCACTGCAAACGCCACCTAGTTTCAGCTGCTGTTCTCAAATTGGCTTGGTGAGCTTTCAAGTGAGTTTTTTTTTTTTTTTTGAGACAGAGTCTCGCTCTGTCACCCAGGCTGGAGTGCAGTGGCGCAATCTTGGCTCACTGCAAGCTCCGCCTCCCGGGTTCACGCCATTCTCCTGCCTCAGCCTCCTGCCACCACGCCCGGCTAATTTTTTGTATTTTTAGTAGAGATGGGGTTTCACCGTGTTAGCCAGGATGGTCTTGATCTCCTGACCTCGTGATCCGCCCGCCTTGGCCTCCCAAAGTGCTGGGATTACAGGCGTGAGCCACCACTCCCGGCCTCAAGTGAGTACTTGTTATTTTGAAGTTCTGAGATCCATCAGATGTGCCATTGCTTCCACTAGAACAGATGGTGATACCATGCTGGTCTTGTGGCTATTAGTGGTTTATCTCTACCCGTTTTTTGTTTGGGGGTTTCTGGGGATACCTAGTTTTGCTGTCAAGTTGTCCAAGGTTTCCAGGTTTCCTATCATGGCTGCTTTGTGGTGCTTTAACGGGTAATTTGAGAAATAGTAAAACCATGATTTCAGAATCCCTGCCAGTTAATTTTTTAATGCAGGAGCAGGTAAAAGTTACAAGAGCACCATCTCCTTCAATGACTATGCTCTCCTCCAAACTGTTTCCATCATCTATCTTTAGAACTGACCATTTTAAGAACCCCTGGCAGGCCAGGTGTGGCGGCTCATGCCTGTAATCCCAGCACTTTAGAGGCTGAGGCAGGAGGATCGTTTGAGCCCAGCCTGGGCAATATGGCAAGACCCTGTCTTTACAAAAAAATAATTAGCTGGGCGTGGTGGTGCAGGAGAATTGCTTGAGCCCTGGAGGGTTAAGGCTGCAGTGAGCTACGATTATGCCACTGCGTTCCAGCCCGGGTGACAGAGTGAGACCCTGTCTCTTAAAATAAAAACAGAACGAACCCTCGGTCAACTCCTTTCTCTGAGCCTCACAGCAGATTATGCGGGTTGTCATCAGTGCAGTTTAAAAGCAAAGGGCCTGCTTCGTTTGGACAACTGCATTTTTTTTTTTTCTTCATGGTAACCTCTGCTAAACAGAGAACCCTACACTGTCAAACTGACACCTGGGGGGCAAAAGGGCCAGACTGCTGTTTTTAAGACAGTAAAGGGTACCATATACTTTTTCAGCTAGGTAAGTGATTTCTGGTCATAGTGTCACAGCATCTCTAGCTGTTTCTATTTGTTTTCTGGGTTAACTGCAAAATTTCCAAAACTGTTGGTTTGGGTCTGCCACTTAAAAGAGAGAAATCTTGAATAAGTTGTATCTTCTGAACTTATACCTACCTTGCACATTGTTACATGTAAATGAGGTAGCTGATGACTTAAGTGGAGTCCAGGAAAGTGTAAAGTGACATAGAAGGTGCCACTGTTGCACTGGCCTCTTTAATTAATATTGTCTAGCTTCTATTTACACCAAGCTTGTCCAACCCACAGACCACGGGCTGCACGTGGCCCAGGATGGCTTTGAATGCGGCCTAACACAATCATAACTTTCTTAAAATATATATATATTTTTAAGCTCATTAGCTATTGTTAGTGTATTTTACATGTTGAATAATTCTTCCAGTGTGGCCCCGGGAAGCCAAGAAGATTGGACACCTCTGATTTACACCATATCAAAAGCAAAGTCCCTAGCAACACAGTAAGTACTTGAAAAGAATAGCAAATAGGTTAACTCTGAATGGGCAGTTGACTGTCTTACCTTGATATTCTCAGCACCTCAGATATAGCCTAGCACACAGTAGGTGTTCAGCCAATGGTCATGGAACAGAACCTTCCAATTATGGCAGAAATCAGTTAGTTTTATTCATTATCAGAAGCCCAGTGCTATAGCTGAAACACTGTACTAGGTCTCAATTTCTCATCTTTAACTTCTGGCATTTGGCTTGCTTTCTTCACAGAATTATGAGTCAAAATAAGACACTGTATATGGAAACACTTTCTAAAGATCATGCACACTATTCTCTTCCTAACCCAGGTAGAATCAGGTTGTGGTTGGTGGTAGGTTACCTAGGTATTCCTAGGGCATTTTGGAGGGATCTTCTAATAAAACAAGTGGTTTTGTTATGTTTCCACTTTCTATTTTCTTTTGAGACGGAGTCTCGCTCTGTCGCCCAGGCTGGAGTGTAGTGGCACGATCTCGGCTCACTGCAACCTCTGCCTCCTGGGTTCAAGCGATTCTCCTGCCCCAGCCTCCCAAGGAGCTGGGATTACAGGCACGCACCACCACGCCCGGCTAATTTTTGTATTTTTAGTAGAGACAGGGTTTCACCATGTTGTTCAGGCTGGTCTCAAACTCCTGATCTTGTGATCCGCCTGCCTTGGCCCCCCAAAGTGCTGGGATTACAGGCATGAGCCACCACGCCCAGCCTTCCATTTCTAAACTCCTTCAACTAATAAATAGCATCTTCATCTTTGAATCCCTTATGTGCTTTGCAAACTGCAGTCTACCTTAGTTACTCAGTAAACATTTGTCAAACAAATGTTAGAATACTGCCAATTCAATCCATTGGCAAGTTCTGCTGTGTACTTGCAAAACATATCCTGACTCCAATCACTTCTTATCCCCATCATTACCGTCTTAATAGAAGCCACCACTGCATTGTTGCTTGCCTGAACAACTGCTCTACCTTCCACACCAGTTTCTCAGCTCCTATTCATCTCTTCACCAACAGGATCAAAACAATCAGAGTAATTTTTAAAAATCAACCAAATATAAATTAGACAATGTCACTTCTCTCCTTAAAATCCTGCAATGACTCCTCCACTGTACTTACTGAATGCAGATTATTTAAATTATACCTACAAGGTTCTACATTAGAGACCAGCAAACTACAGCCTGCAAACCAAATCCAACTTGCCACTTGTTTCCTGTAAATAAAGTTTTATTGGAACATAGCCACATACTGTCTATGCCTGCTTTTGCACTGCAATGGAAGAGCTGAATAGTTGTTTTTTTTTTTTTTTTTTTTTTTTTTTTTGAGACAGAGTCTCGCTCCATCACCCAGGCTGGAGTGCAGTGGAGTGACCTTGGTTCACTATAACCTCCTCCTCCCAGGTTCAAGAGATTCTCCTGCCTCAGCCTCCTGAGTAGCTGGGATTACAGGTGCGCACCACCACACCTGGTTAATTTTTGTATTTTTAGTAGACAGGGTTTTGCCATGTTGGCCAGGCTGGTCTCGAACTTCTGACCTCAAGTGATCTGCTCTCTTGGGCCTCCCAAAGTGCTGGAATTACAGGCATGATTCGCACCCAGCCAAAGGGCTGAATAGTTATGACAGAGACCATACATGGCTTGCAAAGTCTAAATATTTACTATCTGGCCCTTTATAGAAAGAGTTTGCCGACTCCTGCTCTACATGATCTGTCCCCTATCTCCCTCTTACAGGATCTTCTATCCTCTTTCCCAGCCCCATCCATTTATTACATCTTAACCAAGCTTTTTCTACCACAGAGTCTGCAACGTTCAAGAATGAATTTCACTCACATCGTCCCAGGACTGCCTCCTTGTCACTGAAGTCTCAGTTTAAATGTCAACTCCTCAGAGACTTTTCTTGACCAACCAATCTAGAGTGGCTCCTTCAACTGTCTTAGTCACATATCTGCTATGAAACAATTAACATGGCAATGACTATTTAAAATTATATACTAGTTTAGTTCTCTCCTCCACTAGAATGTAAACTCCATGAAAGAAGAGACCTTACTTTGCCCACCCCCAATCAGCATTCTAATCACCATAAGCCCAGCACCAAAAACAATGTCCAGCATTGTTTTTGAATGAAAAAGACCAATAAATAGTTGCTGAATGAATGAGGCCAAGGTCAGGAACACCACTCAAGTTCAAGGCAGTTTTTAATGTTCACTTGCCCTGCTGCAGGTTTGCCTTCACACTGTCCTGACTGCAATCATAAAAAGCGAAGGAAGATCAGACAGTATTCCTGGCCCCATTATCATGGGCAAAACAACTCCACCAAGGGCACATTCTCCTCAGATAAAAATGGCATTAGGAAAACCAGGCAAGGCAGGGCCACAAAATTGGACAAAGAAGTTCTCAACTTTATGATTATTATGGTTAAGAATTTTATTATCAAAATTATTACATCTCTTGTGAAAGTTCAAATGTTACAGCAAGGTGTAAACACTCCACTTGAGAAAGAAGTGATACTTCTTCCCTTCCAAGAGTTCCCCCCACCCCCCCGCCCCTACCCCCCCAAGAGGTCTGGTCTTGACAGCACCCTGCCCACACAGAGTGGCTGGGGTCTCTGCACGTGCCAGGCAGGGTGAGGGCCGCCTGCCCGCTGGCCTCTCCCCTTGGTTAAATAGCCAAGGGGAGAATGCAAACCCCAGCCCAAATGGAGAGACATTTACATACGTTTTATATAATATACAAAGAAACCAGCATCCCAGGCAACATGATTTCCACTCCCAATGCTCTCCCAGACTGATGGGTTTGTGGGGGAAACAACAAAAAGAAAAGTACTCTGCTGAGGTCTCAGCATTTAAAAAAAAAAAAAAAAAAAAAATCTCCCCTCATTTGAGCAAACACCTGATTTCGATTTTGAAAAGTGAAATTTTGTAACAGTCACACACAAAGAGAGAAGACTGTGCATATGATAGTTGTAGGACAGGGTAGAAAAGAAGGGGATGCAAGAGGCTGGGGAAAAAAGGAAAACAAATTAGAGGGAAGGAAGGAGGGAAACTCACAGTATTATCTTGTCCAAAAGAAAAGAAGGTCCACTGCAGCACCAGGGATTACACCTGTCATATATTCACTACCCCTACCATGGTTATAACTGAATACAAAATTAGATAAATAAAAACAC
The DNA here is from genome assembly GCF_000001405.40 of Homo sapiens. Lineage (NCBI taxonomy): Eukaryota > Metazoa > Chordata > Mammalia > Primates > Hominidae > Homo > Homo sapiens. The sequence continues at coordinate 9,477,379 of NC_000003.12, read as the reverse complement.
GCCAGATATTACAGTAAACAAGTGAAAGAAATAAGCTGGCAACCATATGGAATTTAAAAAGATTGTGTACCCCACCTGGGCTGGCTCCAGGGCTCCTCCAGGGGTGTACAACAGGCACAATGCACTGATGGGGAGAAGCCGGTCTGCTCTCATCTCTCATCCAGAACAGTGTTAGGGGTGTGGGTGGCTTGGTAACTCTTTCACTGGGCCCACTCTCACATAAGCATCCCCCAGAGAAATGTGGGGCAGGCCCACACACAATCACAGTCCTGTCGGTGCCACTCCACAAACCTATCTTCCCACTCTTACCCTGCAGTCACAAGTGCATGCTCCCCAATCATGGAGGCGGTCCTGCTCATGGGATCATCAACTCCTGATTAATTGGGAGTAGAAAAAATAAAATTCGAAGCATTCCCAAACCACTCGGTATCCTTCCTAATGAAATTTATTGCCAAAAGCTGGTAAGTAGCAATGCAATTGGCCTATATCATGTCTCATTCCTCCTTTTCTTGTCTACTTACTTCATGGGTTACTGAGCTGTGAAATAGCTTGGGAAGGGGGAGTAGGATGGTAACAGTTGGAGGCTCAGACAATCTACTCAAATAATCTGCTCCCGAATAATCAAGAGCTGACCATGAGCTTTTCTTCAAAGAGCCAGGCACCCTCCAGTTGGTGCAGGTTCCAAGCTTTACTATCCTTGCCTATTTCTTGGTGATCTTAAGACAAAGATAAACAGTATTCTTGGTGGACACACATTGGCCAGATACCTGCTTTTGGAATGGTTGTCTTAGGATGAACATTTACATACCTACCTTTTTTCTTAAGTGCATAAAACCCTAACAGTACTCAGATGGCTTGGGGCTTTGAGATTGGCTCTTTTAACTTTTTTTCCTTTGAAAACTTTTTTTTTTTTTTTTTTTAAATTTAAAAAGATGTCCTCACTGCACAAGTGACTACGGGCTACAGGCAAGGATGGGAGACGGAGGCTTCAACACAACTCATTGCACTTAGAACCGTTACTAACCGAAACACCATTTGCTTGTCAACAATGTACCCTTGACAGCAGGGAGAAACTTCTTTATAGTCTCTGCTTCAGACAAGATTTACAGCTTTCTCCAAGGCCAGAGGCCAATTGTGACCACAAGTCTTGTTTCTTGTCCACCAGACCCAATCCTCTGGCACCTTGTACCCCCCGTTCCTCAGCAATATGCTCGGCCTAGGTTCCAGAGGCAGCTGGAAGGAAGCAGCTATGGGCTCATTCAGTTCTGTTTGCCCAAATCCAGAAGCCCTAGGAAAGTCCCGTCTGAGTCTTGACTCCTGACCCTTGCAGTGGCTGGAGTCGGTACTGGTGCACACCCCCACTCCCACGGTGTGGGTAGTGCTGTGAATTGGAAACCGCAGATACCCTGGAGGCCTGGTAGACAGCTGACTGCCCAGCACTGGGCAGACTGATAGTCCGTAAGTCTGATGGCAATGACGACCTAGAGTTCTGAGGAAAGGAGGTGGAACTCAGAGTTCCTGTGCTGGACTGAGAAACTGAATCTGAGGTTGGCGAGTCTGAGGGTCCCTGCAGGGTAGGGCTAGCAGCACTAGAAGGGCAGCTCCTCCTTGGAAGATTGCTGCCAGTGCTGTTTCCAGAATGTGGCTGGCTGCTAAAATACCCTGGTGTCCCCGTAAATGGGGCCAACGAGTCTGTGGACACAGGGTGGGCGGGGCTGGAATAGGACGTGGAAGAGAGGGATGATTCTGAAGAACCGTGAGAGGGGGGGTTTCCAGGTCTCAGTGCAGTAGTTCGATAACTGTATCCTGGAGACTGTGTAGGATGTCCTCTGAAGGGGGAGGAACTCTGCTGAAGGAGGCTTTGTGATTCTGTCCGAGGACTATCACACTGCAGGAGCTAGACAAAGTTGGGAGGAAACGAATAAGGACGCGAACAAGTCCCTTAAATGGCTGGTGAACATTTATAATACCCTACATTCTTTTTTCTTCATCTTTTAACCATGTATTCTTTTTAGGAAACCAAAGGCAGTAAAATGTCTGTCTTTGATCACCGTATTCATCTTCTGGCATAATTTATTACCTGAGGACAAGCAGATGATGACTTATTTCCAAGGCTGCTGAAACTATATGCAAAGACAGCATCTCAATGGCAAAGGATGACCAGGACAATTTGGGACCCAGAACACACTCCTATGGCTAGAGACCAGCAATTTCTCATCTCACCTGGTAGCTGTATCTGGAAGGGCTGTAAACTGTTGCTCCTTTAGAGAGTGCTGAGCTTAATGTCTCTGGGCCTTCTCCATCTGCAGGGTCTGGAAGGTAACATATATAAAAAAAAATCAACTTGGCTTCTTAGAATAAGTAAGAAAGAGCCATTTTTCATTTAAATCACCAGTGCCATCACCAACCCGTACTGCTCTCTTTGTGACAAATTGGGTGAGTGCAGCATGCCAGAAGGGCAAAATGAGTGGTTAATTATGGGCTATGTTCTAAATGCCTGATGTGATTCCCGTCTTCTTTCTCTTCATCCTTCATCGAGGTAGATTTCCAGGACTTTGGAGAGATGAGAGTTACAGAAAGGTATTCCTTGGGGAAAAAAGAGCAGACAGAGAGCAAGCAATGCTAGATCTTACAAATGTGGTAGCCCAAATGAGCATAAGTGGGCTGGAACCTAGCATGCGGTGGAGCCCAACTGCATCAGAAACTGACTCACCTCAACTCAGCACTAGGCATGAACTGTACAGGACTCGGCTCATGTGTCCCTGAATGTGGTGGCAGCAGAAGGCCATGGGCTCACCTGAGTCTTTCTCTGTGATGTTACTCTCCCATGTGGGAGAGGGCTCTCCCTTTTGGGCCACCCTCACGCTGCTTCGGAGGACCTTGGGGATGCTCCCTCCTTCTCGGAGTCGTTCTACTGATGTGGGAACCATCCTGTAAAGGCAACAGGGTGCAAGTTCAAGCCACAGGACTTAACCAAAACAAATGAAGCCCTAACCAGTGCACAGTGTATTTTCTTAAAACATCCTCTTAAACATTACTTTCTTCAGAACCAATTTAAAACAACGTATTTCCTCTGCCTCCAACTATGTCAGGCACAAAAGAGAAACATCAACAACAACCACTTTTAAAGAAAAAGAAATCAAGGAAAAAGTGGGTTAAAGATGTTAACTTCCCTTAACCCCCATTTAAAATGTTAAAATTTCTCCTTTAGGAAATCATGTGCCTGATACACAGTACTGGTTTAATAAAGGTTTCATAGATTAATGAACATGAAACATTTGAGCCAGGACTGTTCTTTCCCAGACTTATTTTTTTCAGTTCAAGATCCCTGAACTCCTGTGCTTCATTCTCTATTTCACACATTTGATCCTCAGTATTTGCCACCAGTATTATTCATTTTTAAATTTGTGGTCTCCCCTAAACCAGACAAATCCTTTCAGAATGTCTTTTTGCTCTGTATATGCTAGCTGTGTGGAAGAGAGACATCTGTTGTTAATTCATGTGGAACTTGGCTGGATTCTTGACTCACCTTTCATGTGAAATGAGAAATAGGAAAGGCAGTGTTAGTGCCCACCAAATGAAAGAGCTCATCTGCATCCATAACTACATGTCATCCAAAGCACTGCTCCACAGGCATGTTGGTAATTCTTAATTCTGCAAAGCTGGGGGGTTGCAGCTGACATTATTAAATCAGCTGAACAGGACAGATGGTACTGTTGGCTGGCTGTCTCAGATGTTCCCATCAAGTGTTCCCATAGATTTTAGGTAAAACTGGGAATGATCTTAGATATATACTCCCCCCCACCCCCAATTTAACTATAAAACATCAAATATAAACTTACCACCTACTGCTGATATTCTCTTGAGGTCTGCAGTGAGATGAAGAAGTGCCTCTGGAATCTGATGGGCTTACCGCCTCCAAATGGGACATAGAGGAATGAGATGGGGAGAATTTTTTGTGAGGGGAAGATGGAGTTCGGGCTGAGGATCCCTGCACACCATGGGCACCAGTGTCGGAAACGGAGTTACTGCTGCCTTGCCCAGCTCCTGCAGACTTGCTTTTGCTCTGTGCAGAGTCACCTCCCCCACCAGCAGAATTTTCCTTAGCTTCTTGTTTCCGTTTTCGGTACTCCAGCAGGGATACCTAGAAAGGAAAAAACAAACAAACAAAAAACGGTACTCTATCTGGATATCATTAGTGGATCACCAGCAACAGGGAAAGAAGGAAAGATGGTACCTTAGTAAACCACTAGCCAAGCCACGCAAACAAAGCAGACACCAACCCTGATAACTTTTTTTGGGGAGTATGAAAGAGATCTGAGCACAGCTACATATTTAAGGCAGCTGGAAATTGGTAAGAGGAAGATAATAAACTAGGAGGCAAGTCTCTAAAGAATGTTTGCCAATTAGACCACCATCTTTTTTTCTGCCTTCAGAAAAACTTGTGAGGTTACCATTACACAGTAACAGAAGCATGCTATCACAGTTATTTGCAACAATGGAAGTACCTAGAGAAGGGAGAATTGGAAGCTTGTATAGTTTAAAAAGCCTCCCAGGTGACTGATGGCTGTTCTGTACTCCTTGGGAACCCCTAGAGTTAGCTGTTTGAGAGAAAGAAGCAGGGAGAGGAGAAGGAGATGGAGGAGAGGGAGGTGGGGAGAGGTAGGTGGAGAGAGAGAGGGAGAGAGAGAAGGAAAAACAAAACAAAACAGAAGAAAAACCCAATGCTCCAGGATACTTAAATATGTTCAAATTTTCAAGATATAAATAGGAATTTATTACTGTTTCTGTCTTACACATAGATGTAATTAATGTAAAAAGAGAGGAAATTATTATTTCCAGTTTATAATTTTAGCAAGCTAGCTCTAGAAAACAACTTGGTAACTTCTCCCTAACTTCCCCTTCATCTCCCTAATGCTTGCTCATTCTTTCCTGACAGCAGACCTCCCATCCCACCCTGCCCACCATAATCCGTGCCCTGCCTAGTACACCTTCTCTTTGTTGTTCTGGCACATTGCTTACACAGGCCGTAGAACCTATTACCATGCCTTGATTGCTCCCTGACTAAACTATAAGTTCTAGGAAGGCAAAGGCCAAGTTTATCTGGCTTTTTATCTTTAACATCCAGCACAGAATTTGGCATATGCTTAAATTTATGCTTAAATGTGCCCAATAAATTTCAGAAGTGTTTCTGAAATAAAATATCATAATTTCTATGACTTTTGCACATAGTAAATATTATAAAACCAGAAATCCAAAGATTGTTTTCATGTTTGTTTCTGGTAGTCAATGCTGTTCACGCAACAATCTTCGAAATCAATTATTATCTTAATCCAAATTATCTGCCAATGTTTCCTCCTCCTTCTATCCCCTTAGGGTTCTCATTTTTCTGTCCAAATGGAACAAAAATATAGACAGTTTTGCATATGCATTTTCTAGAAATAATTTTGGAAAGAAGTTAATAAATTCTGGTAATATCATTATAATGAAAATATAAAAAAACCACTAGGTTTCATTTCAATGAGGATACTACAGATGTTTGGCCATTACATGGGACTGTCCCCTATACAGGACATTCAGCATCCCTGGCCCTGCTCAATAAATGCAAGTCACTGGGACAATTCAAAACACTCCTACTCATTCTCAAACACCCCTAGTTGAGAACCACTTATACAAAAGCATATTTTTGGCTTTGTGACTTCTTGATCAGGCATTACTTGGAAGTGGAGTCCCAACCCATTAGCAAGCTCTCTATGGCCTGGCCCAGCCCAGCACTCTCTGCACTTTCCTCCTGGCTCCCCCGGCCTTCCACCTGATACAACAACATCCAACTGTTTGCACCATACTGCATGCCTGCTGCCTGGCCAATGGAGTGCCACCTAATTACCTGTTCTACTCCCTCTACTGTAACATACCTCACCCTCAATTGTTGGTTGGCTGACTCCTACTTATTGTTTGAGATTCAGTTAAATCAGTAACCTGCTGCCTCTCACTCCAGCCTTCTCTCTCAAACTGGGTAGTATCCTGGTCCTTCCATTTACTAGCTGTGTGACCACGGGAAAGTTACTCAACTTGCCTTAGTTTCCTCATGTGCAAAATAGAAAATTGCCTATCTTATAGGCTTACTGTGAGGATAAAACACATTTAAAGAGCTTAATACAGTGCCTCGAACTTGGGACACACTAAATAATAGGTAAAATTTCTTTTTCACTGTTCTAACCTCTCAATTGCCTAGCAAGTATATGGCACATACAGGCATTTACATTTGCTGAATATTTACAACATTCACCAAGTTGTACTAAAACAGCCTGTCTTTCACTGGATTTGGCAGAGACTATGTCTCACTTGTCTGAGAGTAGTGCGGAACACATAGCAGAAACTTATGAATATCTACTAAACTACTTGGTTAACATTCTTGAAAAGTTCGCCGATATAACATGAAACACTTACTTTTTTCCTCTGTGGTGGGTTCTGGGGGGCAGATGGGACTCCTTCACAGGCCCTTTCACCACCAGGTGACAAGGATCCACGAGAGAGGTCTTTCATTAAGCCATGTTCATATCTGCTGGAAAATCCTTCTGCAGGGGAACAATATCCCCCATCCAAATGTAAAGGCTTCCTATCCCCCACTAGAGGAGATCCTCGATACAGTCCATCTGCTCGAGGCATAGCATTCAAAGGGGAGTAGGCATACATCAAGTTGAACTCTGTCCGAAATGCCTGGTCTGAGTTTCTCACGAGGGTCTGATGTCCATCTCCACTTCTGCTTGGGAAACCAGTCTCAGAAGTGGGTCCGAGGGAGGGATGAGGAGCCAGGTCAGAATGACCTGAGTTGAGTAGGGAAGGTCTATCAGCACAGCTGTTAGTGTTGGAGTCAAGGTATCCTACTTTTGCCAAATCCAGGTCTTTTCGGTGACAAAGCTGAAAGAATAAAAATCAACGGAGACATGGGGTAGGGGAGAAAGGAAAAAGTCAAAGGGCAGAAAGGAGGGGAGAGGGACACAGGTGAACAGGGAAAGATAAGAGGGACGGAAGTAGAGCAGATAAAGCCATTATATTCTGTAAAAGTCCCACGTAGCAACAGTGTACATGGGCCAGAGTACTAAAGAATCCTGGCCTTTCCAAAATTGCTTTCAAGTCTTTCTGGATGGGAAATACTGGGAAAGTTAGAATTAGGTAATTGGCTAAATGTGACTATTTTGCCTGCTTAGCCTTTCATCAGGTTGCTGAGTCACCTTGTACTACACTAAGGGACAAGTGGTATAATTAGGAATTTACCTTAGCCCCATGCACAAAACAAAGATGAGACTGGTGTCTTAAGATAACTGGCTTCCGGGGTTATCAATTTCTAAATTAATATTGATGGAAGGTGGGGGGAAGGGAAAAAGGTGGAGGAAGGAGAAGGTAGACGGAAAGGCAAGTACTTAAGTTACTGGTTCAGTAAAGGAGGATGGCATTAAAGACATCAACCAACCAGTTCTTCACTCACTTTCACTGTTAAAGAAGCTGTGTTTCTCATACAACTTTCTGGCCACTCAATTCTTCTTTATCCTCTAATGTACGTCAACATACCACAAGACCACTAATGCTCATCACTGCAGATTCTGAAATGCTGAAATGTACCAAAAATAAACCCCACCTACTATTTGGTTATCATAACCTCCAAACTTCCAACACTAGGTCAACTACAGCTAACCGACAAAGAATGGTACCAGAAAACCAGATACCATACCATATCAGTCTTCAAATTACGTTATCTTAGAATCTTTAACAACTGAGGAGAGAGAGCTTTACTTTCCTAACAAGCTAGAGTCAAAACACCAAGAAAATCTCTAATATACTAGTGGAATAAAACCTTTTTCAGTTTCATATTAACCTGTGAACTACTACTGATTCAGAACTTAGTAGACTGTCACTGAATTATGCCCTAATTTTTTATTGGAAGGGGATAGGGTTAAAGTTCAGTTGACTATTTCTGAGAGACTCTAACTTTCTCTTCAAGAGAAAAAAGGTCCCATGTATTAATAGATTCAGAGTTAATGTTACTAAATCTGAAAGCTTATAATAGAAACTCTAGCACTAAAATCTGAGTTTGACATATCCACAGCAGTAGGGTTTGTGAGAAAACCACTCTACTGATATCCTAAAGAGATAACACTTGTATAGCAACCATATCCTAACCATTGCAGAATGGTGGCCTGTGACAGAAAGCCAGGGACTCACTTGGTTTCCTTGTGCACCCAGTAAGGAGCTGCAGAGAAAATGTAGGAAAGCTGAAAGACAGAATGACTTTCCCTTCCTGAAGAAGCTGCTCAATCTATCAACCAAAGGTCAAAACATCTGGTTTACAGAGCTGTTAGATTAACCCTAGAACAAGGCATAAGTCACCACCCAACTCAAAAAACAGCTCTTACAACTTTTGACTCAACTTTCCTGATTTATTAGCCTTTCTTTAACAAGGCTCCTACCACATATCAGCATCTTGACTTCTAGATTCTATTCTTTAATAGAACTCCAGCCACCCCCTCCCCCAAACGGCAAAAACCAACCCCACCAAACACACACACAACACACACACACACAAACACACACGCTCCTACCTTCATTTTCCTCCATCTACATTGACAGTCCTGTGTAGTCACAGTCACACAGGAAGACTCATTCAACTTACTGTGACTGAGTGGCCGCCCTCCAGCCCATCACCCCACTGACTCAGATCCCCAGCCCTCCCCACACACTCAGGAACACATTCATGAACACTCACTCTCAGCCTCCAAGTGTGATTGAGATGGTGTGATAACTACCTCGGGTGACAGGGACTCGGGCCTATGCGCAGGGGAACTCTCAGGGGAGGATATGTTCTAGAGGAGGGAAAAGCATCTTGTTATTATTCATCTACTCGAAGTCAAGAAGCAAAACAAAACAAAAAATAAAAGCAAGCATAGATGTTAGCCATAACTTTTTTCGGGGGCGGGGAAGTTGAATAAGAATGCATAGGGGAAATATTTAACTGCAGAACTCATCTCAATGGACAGAATGACTTGTTAAAATGCTTCCTGGTATCTCTGAAAGCATTTAAGGATAAATTGGTTATAATGTTTCATGCTGTAAGTAAACATCTCAAGCACATACAAGGAAAGAGTTAGACTGGTGAAATTTTAGTGTTATACGTCTTTGTATTTTAGATGAGAGTTTAGCAACCTACAGTATTTGTTATTGAGGGGCACCCTACCCCTTATTCCTCCTTACATGGACCTTGTTCCTTCATCCAATGCCTCTTCTGCTTGTCACATTTCTTTATTCTCTTATATGCCTCAGGCCCTCCCAGTGCTATCCAGGGGGAGACATTAGTGTGCTGGGGGCTGACATGGTTAGGGAGATGGCCAGTTCCTCTTGAATGACAGTTACAGGAAATGTGATTGATGGAATCCCTAGCTCACAGGCTAGAGTTGGTTCTTGGCATAATCTAATTAGACCTGAGCCACCCCTATTAATGTTATTTTGTAAAATCCATTGTACTTTTGGCAACAGAGCAGAAAAAGCATGTATGTGTATACTTAGGTCCCTGTATCCTACAGAGGGTAGGACTTTACCTTGGGACTTTCAGGTGAGGCAGCAGTCCCATAACAGAGACTGAGCAGTGAGTGCTTAATGGAAAGATGTAAATGGGAACACGTGAAGAGAGTGAAGGTGGTAGTGTGACAATGACTCAGGGGTGCTAGGGCTGAGGTAAGGAGAGGGTGCCTAATGTAGACTCTGAATAACTGTGGCCTAGGTGGCAGGCACATGCTGAGGTAGGGGAAATGAGGCTGCTTCAGCAAAGCAGGGTTTTGGCTGTGAATTTTACTTGGCATGGACAGTGGGTGGTGTACATCTAGGTGCACGTATGTGTGAAATGGCGGGTGGAGTATGGCTCTCAGGGCAAGAATAGGAGGGGAGGGTTATTCTGGTAGAAAGGAGAGGCTAACTAAGCTTGTCCTCCCAATGTTGCTTCCACTCTTCTTTCTAGATGCTTTCCCCTCCTGAAGATCTTGTTCTCTTCCACTGTTTATCTTCTTACCTTCTTCCCCTTAGCACTTAAGACTTCTCACCATTTTCCTGAATGCTTTTTTCCTTCTCAAAAATATCCTTCCCCAAACTAATCTAGTAAGGTTGTTTTTTTTTTTTTTTTTTTTTTTTTGAGAGAGAGTCTCCCTCTGTTGCCCAGGCTGGAATGTGGAATGCAGTGGCGCAGTCTTGGCTCCCTGCAACCTCCCAGGCTCAAGCAATTCCTTTGCCTTGGCCTCCCGAGTAGCTGGGATTACAGGTGTGTGCCACTGTACCTGGCCTAAGCTGGTCTTTAAATTATTTTTAGAGATGGGATCTCACTGTTGCCCAGGCTGGCATGTAGTGGCACAATAATGGCTCACTGCAGTCTTAAACTCCTGGTCTTAAGTGATCTTCCTGCTTCAGCCTCCCAAGTAGCTGGGACTACAGGTATATGCCACTACACCTGGCTAAGTTTTGTATTTTATTTTTGCAGAAATGTGGTCTCACGATGTTACCCAGGCTGGTCTCAAACCCCTGGCCTCAAGCAATCCTCCTGCCTCAGCCTTCCAAAGCACTGTGATTACAGGTGTGAGCCACCATGCCCAGCCTAAGCTGGTCTTTATACGTGACACCTTTTTGATATTTCACAATGTGTCACAGCCTTTGCTACAAAAAAGGCTCCCCACCTCTCTGTACTAGAATACAGCAAAGAGTATGGCCATTAAAATGGTGATTAGAATGGGTCAGGGTGGTGAAATCTGTTCTATTATTGATGAGAAAGGTAAAATTTCCTTAAATTGCAAGTGAAACCATGCCTTGGACCTTTTACTATTTAATATTTTCCTTCCCTCCTGGTATTCTAACATTATGCATGGACTGTATTATTAAAATGATCACCAATTAAAAAAAACAAAACAAAACAAAACCAAAACCACTTTATATTTGCAGTGTTTAATAGTTATCCCAAATGCTACAAGGGATAAGGAACACACTGAGTACTGAACCCGCTTGTTTTGCAAAGTGACTTACCTTCTGATTTTCTTTTTTTTTTTTTTTTTTTTTTGAGACGGAGTCTTGCTCTGTTGCCCAGGCTGGAGTGCAATGGCGCGATCTCGGCTCACTGCAAGCTCCGCCTCCCGGGTTCACGCCATTCTCCTGCCTCAGCCTCCCGAGTAGCTGGGACTACAGGCGCCCACTACCACGCCCGGCTAATATTTTGTATTTTTAGTAGAGACGGGGTTTCACCACGTTAGCCAGGATGGTCTTGATCTACTGACCTCGTGATCCGCCTGCCTCAGCCTCCCAAAGTGATGGGATTATAGGTGTGAGCCACTGCGCCCGGCCTCCTTCTAATTTTCATAATTCCACATTTATAATAAAACCTGTATTGATAAAGTATGACACTCTATTCCTATAATCTTATGCCCTCCAGGGAGAATTCCTCTCATGATACCTTACTATAAAGCTCTAGGTGCAAACTGCAAAGTCAATTGCAAGTAGACAAAGTCAAGTTAGAAAGGCCTGAATCAGCTGCTTTATTATCTGGCTGAAAGAATTTCATAAATAATCTGGTAAAGAGTAATTTCCCTAGATAACTGATATGTAACCAGGAGGTTTTTTCCCTCACCCAGAAAGAGGTCTGCTCCAAAAGTAGAGGTCTAGGGTAAGAAAGAATACAGTTCTGCTTTCAATGTTGCTAGCTGCCTCTTAGTTACTCATAAAAGCTAAGTATTCTGAATCCTCATACTTGGAAAAGCTGAATAGGAAACGTAAGATTGGTTAAAATGTTCACCTTTCTCAAAAAACACATCTGGAGAAGTGCAAACAAGGGGGCAGAGCAGCAGAGTGTGTTTAGTGGTCAGAACAAATTTTTCTGAGAAGGAAAAAAGAGACAGTGTCCATTTTAATTACAAATCAAAGTAACATGCAATAGATGAAGTGTTTTAAAAAAGTATACATGGATTCTATTGAAACCTGCTGTCACCCAAACCTGAACACTAAAGTGATTCAAGATTACTTTTTGAAACAGCTGAGGCAGACATTTCTAACTTAATCCAACAGTGAAGGTAATAAATTTGTCTCATGAATACATGTTGCTAGCCTCTTGTCTACTTCTGATTCCTAAGACATTATAACAAAGAGGGAAAGTAACCTGGAGTGGAAAAAACCCACATTCGCCATAAGCCATACCCCAATGTTTTCTAAATCTCTGCTAAGGCCACAATGAAAATACCAAACAACCTGGGAAAGACACTTCACTTATTTAAAGGCCTAGAAACGAAGACACAATCAATCAATATCATCTGTGCTCTCAGGCTAGTGTTACTAACAGATACTACAGGCAGCTAGAGGCCTATTTTGACCAAAGTATACAGTAAAGATAACGATGGAGATCTAGCATGCTTACTACCTAAACTTATGGAGATTGATGGACTGCATGCAAAAGATACATGAATGGGATTTGTGGTAGCAGTATGCCTATTTTGGGAAGCATAGGGGCTGCCAAGATGAGAGGCTACCAGGTAACAGGCCACAATGACCCTGAGGTTTCCCATTCTCTTACTGAGATGGGGAAGAAAGATAGTAAAGAAACATTTGGAATGGTATTATATTTGAAATGAGAAGGTACAAATGATGATTTTCATATCCAGCACTCCCAGCAACCAAACCCAAATCACCTCAAACTGTAGAGGAGTGTTGCAGCGACTAGCAGTAGTAAGAGATGTGACTGGTGAAAACATGAGGCTGTATCCATTTCGACACTCCTCTTCTCCTGGGTGAGATGAGCCAGGTGTGGCCAGCTGGGGACTCTTTGAGCCTGAATTGGGAGGGGGTGGTGTGACTGGAGACAGAGGCCGAAGTAACTTGGTGACATTCTGCTCCATCAGATAGCGAGACTTCCATTTCTTTAATGGGCTCAACAAGTCTGTGAAACACAAAGCTTGGATGAGAGTTTGAAACCACAGATTAATTTAAGGCTCTACAGTAAAGCCATTAATCTGTAATCTACAATGGCTCTTAACTGTTTTCTGCCTCATCCCATTAAGTTATCTCCTCCAATCCAACCAAAATCCCAAAGAAACTCTTTAATTACCATGCTTAAAATAACTCTGAAAACATTCTATCTCCCAAACTCCAGGTAAATCAAATGTGACTGATCTCTAATTTAATTTCTACCAGTGCAAAATATAAAATTCTTTCATTTATTCATTTATTTATTTATGAGACAGAGCCTTGCTCTGTCGCTAAGGCTGGAGTGCAATGGCATTTACTTAGCTCACTGCAACCTCCGTCTCCCGGGTTCAAGTGATTCACCTGCCTCAGCCTCCCGAGTAGCTGGGATTACAGGCATGCACCACTACACCTGGCTAATTTTTGTATTTTTAGTAGAGATGGCATTTCACCACGTTTGCCAGGCTGGTCTTCAACTCCTGACTTCAGGTGATCTGCCCGCCTTAGACGCCCCAAGTGTTGGGATTACAGGCGTGAGCCACTGCTACAGTTCTTTCTTTTACATTGAGTTTCTGAAAAGTCTTTGTTACTGTGTTACAGTTACCCTCTACTAAACTGCTATATCACCAACTAAAGGTACTGGGATGCTAAATCCAAATTCCTTTCACCATCTCTTATATATGTGTGTCCCTTTTCAGAAGCTCTTTCTATTCTTATATGATTCCTTGATCCATGTCTAGCCCCTTTTCTACCTAAAAAGCATGAAATGATTTCTACAAAAACTTCTCCCAACCATTAAAAAATTAGGTTCACATTCTTTTTGACTAGAATAATCCTATTTTCTGTACTTCTTAGATCCACTTAAAAAGCAAGTCACTACACTAAATATTTTAGTGACCATTTAGGTCAAAGCACCTTTCTCACTTGATTCTCAGAATAAAAATACAGTTTTATTCATTTACAGTTAAAAGTATATATATTTAATACCTACTGATTACTGAACTAGGTATGAAGGGAAAAATGGTCATCATACATTCTATTTTCAAGAGGCTTAAAATTTGTAAGAAATAGAAACAGGGCCAGGTGTGGTGGCTCATGCCTATAATCCCAGCACTTTGGGAGGCTGAGGCAGGCAGATCACTTAAGCCAGGAGTTTGAGACCAGCCTGGCCAATATGGCAAAACCCTGTCTCTACTAAATACACAAAAAAGATTAAGCAGGAGTGGTGGTGCATGCCTGCAGTTCCAGTTACTCAGGAGGTGGAGGCACAAGAATCACTTGAACCCAGGAGGCAGAGGTTGCAGCGAGTTGAGACTGCACCACTGTACTCTAGCCTGGGTGACAGAGGGAGGAGACTGTCTCAAAACAAAACAAAACGACACAACAAAAAAAGTGAACACATTAGTATTAGCATGATCAAGAAAGGTGATCATATTGCTATGTGTTAGTTAAAAAAAAAAAAAAGCTGTATTTTCTAAATGATGATTATATACCACAGACTATGCCATGTGCTTTATTGTGAAATATCTAATTTTAACAACTCTATAAATCAAGCACTATTATTATCATCCCCATATTAAAGGTGAGAAACTTGATGTGTGGAGAGAGACAAAACAGGTATTCTTGCTCCCATATATCTACATTCTTAATTTTTGTATTTTTAGTAGAGACAGGGTTTCACCATGTTGGCCTTGAATTCCTGACCTCAAGTGATCCACCCACCTGAGCCTCCCAAAGTGTTGGGATTACAGCCATGAGCCACCACGCCTGGCCCCATCTATCTATATTCTTTTTTTCTTTTTTTTTTTTTTTGAGACGGACTCTTGCTCTGTCACCTAGGCTGGAGTGCAGCGGCACGATCTCGGCTCACTGCAAGGTCCGCCTCCCAGGTTCACACCATTCTCCTGCCTCAGCCTCCCGAGTAGCTGGGACTACAGGTGCTCGCTACCACACCCGGCTAATTTTTTGTATTTTTAGTAGAGACGGGGTTTCACCATGTTGGCCAGGATGGTCTTGATCTCTTGACCTCGTGATCCACCCGCCTCGGCCTCCCAAAGTGCTGGGATTACAGGCGTGAGCCACCGCGCCTGGCTCCATCTATCTATATTCTTAATCAATAGGTTAAAGTATATCCCCAAGGCTTGGTGGATGGAAGGAGTGACATTTATTCCAGGCCTTCAAGGAAAATTTTTGGGCCAGGAAGATTATCTGGAAGCAATGGTCAGTATGAGACTAGTAACTGGGAAACCATCTGGAGTTAACACAGTAGTTAGCAAAGAATTATGAGGCACTAAACTAGGGTAGGAGATGTTTAGATGAAGAGGGAAGAATAAATGCAAAAAATTATTGAAGATGCATATTTTTCCTTTCTGATATCTCAGGATTTTTAATATTCCTAGATTGGAAGTATATTCACATCTTCCTTTTGTTCCAGATACTAAATTTTCTTTCCTCCTTTTAAAAAGTGCCTAGGTATAAAACAGAAACAAACATGTAATTCATGGCTTATATTCGGAATAACTTTTATATATTTAATATTTCAAGGGTCTTAAACAATGGAATCTTACAGATCTCTGTACTGCTAGGTCCAACACTATAACTATCAAAGTCAATTATGTTAAGTGATGAAGTTAGTTGTAGAAAGGAGTTATAAGATACAGGTGAAATCTGCCACGTGCAAATCAATGTACAAGGCATTCATTCAACATATATTTACTGAGTACTTATTATGATACTGTATTCAACAAGAGACCTGATGTCTGCCCTTAAGAAGTTTACAGGCCAAAGAAAGCCAAGTCATTTGCCTACTTTTTCTCTTTTTCCTGCATATATAGTTTCCAAATTTTATGTGGTCAAATCTATCCATCTTTTATTATTATTATTTTTCACCTTTACTCAAAAAATTACCAAGGTTATACAGCACATACACAACCTGAAAATCATATCCACAAATAAACGCATGCTAATATCCTGGTAAATTTTTATCGAGACATTGCTTCACTGACTCTTGCCTTACCTAAACTACTCAGTAACTATTTTCACTCAGAAATACATGGTCAACATTTTATGACAATGAATAGAAATCTACAGTTCAGGTTTAATGACTGCACAACATTAGTATTATCAAAATTTAACCAACTTTTTTTTCATTTTTTGCTATTAGAACAAATGGCTACATGTAGGATTATTAAATCAAAAGAATATCTATATATGTGTAGTTTATATTTAGTCCTGTGAGAACTGCTGGCTCATGTTCTTCAGCCTGCATTCTACTGAGGTGTTGGGGTCTTTTTCTTCATCTGTAAGGGCTCTTTAAATAGTAAGAATGTTGACCCCTTGTCAATAAAATTACAAATGTATTTTCCCAGTTTACTGATTGCCTTCAATTTTATTTACAAGTCTCTGCTATATGTTTTGTTTCTATTTAGTCAAACGGATCACTTTATTTTCTGCTTCTGATATCATGTCTTTGCTAACCCACCCTGACACTGTAAAAATGCCAGCCTATTTTCCTTTTGTCTCCATGTTTAATTTTTAATTTAGATTTTAATTAAAAAAGAACATTTTATTTCACACTGACAAACTGCCATTACAAAAAAGGAAAAAAGAACATACTTAAATATGGGGTAGCAATTAATCCATCCTTTCCCCATAACAAATAGCCAGCACCTTCTTCCAAAATCTTCTGTAAATGTAGAATAACTATAATTTCCCTATTAATTTGAAATATATTTATCTTATTAGATTCTTACATATACTGGGCTTATCTTCTGAATGTTTATTTCCGAATGTTATTCTTTCCACTTATTGTCCAATACTGAATCAACACCAGCATACTTTTTATTAAAATTGTTAGGGAAATTCCAGTTATTCTGTTCTAGTTCTCCAAAATATTTTAGCTATTCTAGCAATGAACTATAGAAGTCATTCAATGACCATGCTCATACTATTAAAAAAAAAAAAAAAAGTTAGGATTTTGATTGGTGTTAGATGAAATTCAGGAGTAATTTGAGAAGCATTCTTACCCAGGAACATGGCATAATCTTTGTTATTCACATATTATGTCCCTCTTCATCTATATATACCACATGTCTAATTAAGTTTACTCTCCAGAGTTCTTTAGTTTTTTTTTTTTACTACTATGAATAAAACGTATCTCTCCCTTTGTTATCTAAATGTTATTAACATTTAAAAAGTTTACATACTTATTTTTTATCCAGTTACCCTATTAATCTCTACCAGTTTTTCAATTAACTCTCTAGGTAGATAATAGTATTTGTACATGATAACACATTAACCCTCTTTACCAGTACTTATATCTCTTATGTTGATTTTTTTTGTGGGGGGGAGGGGGTTGGTGTAATTACTTTGGCTAACAATTACTTAGACTATATTAAATAATAATGGTAATAGTGGGATAATTTGATAGCCTATTTTGATGTTTAACTAGTTTTCATGATGCATGACAACTGGCAATTTTTCAGCTAGATATTAAAAGATCATAGTATGTTATTTTATCATTAAATTGATAAAAGTCACTGTGTTATGACTTCTCCTCCCCCATTTGACCTGCTAACAAATGACGATTATTAAATTTTCAAATATTAACTCATCCTTACATTCCTAGAAGGAACCTTAGTCATCGTATATTCTTCTTTTAATATTCTTTTTTTTTTTTTTTTTTGATGGAGTCTCGCTGTCGCCCAGGCTGGAGTGCAGTGGCGAGTAGCTGGGATTACAGGCGCCTGCCACTATGCCCGGTTTTTTTTTTTGTTGTTGTTGTTGTATTTTTAGTAGAGACGGGGTTTCGCCGTGTTAGCCAGGATGGTCTGGATCTCCTGACCTCGTGATCCGCCTGCCTCGGCCTCCCAAAGTGCTGGGATTACAGGCGTGAGCCACCACACCTGGCTATTCTTTTAATATTCTTACAAATTCAAGGTGCTAGGTAAGATCACAAATCTAATTCAAAAGTGGTACTACGCTGTTTTTGGGGGTAGAGGGAGTTAATTTGATAAAATGAATCAAAAATAAGATTTTCAATAAATAGTATATGATACTCCATTACAAGTATGTGCACAAGCAGATAAAATTACAAATTCTACCATTCCTGGGGTTGGAATTCAGATTATTTTTAACCTATAGTTTTTGCAATTGTTAATAACTAAGAATTAATTATTCTAATAAACAATTCATTCAACTTCTGAAGCTGCTGAACAAATTTGACTACAGAGTTTCGTCTCACCCGCCATGTTCACCTGACCTCTCGCCAACCAGGTACCACTTCAAGCATCTGACAACTTTTTACAGGGAAGGTGCTTCCACAACCAGCAGGATGCAGAAAATATTTTCCAAGAGTTTGTCGAATCCTGAAGCATAGATTTTTAGGCTACAGGAATAAACAAACTTATTTCTCAGTGGCAAAAATGTGTTGATTGCAGTGGTTCCTATTTTGATTAATAAAGATGTGTCTGAGTCTAGTTACAGTGATTTAAAATTAATGGTCCAAAAACGCAATTACTTTTGCACCAACCTTATATATAAATTTTGGTTTCTTTGTCTATTTCTGTAGGAAAGATACCAAGCAGAACAAATGAACGACTACTAGGTTAAGGATTATGAATATTTTTAATGCACATGATAAATTTTATCAGATTGCTAGCAGGGATATTACTCCCCGGCAGTTTTACTGCAAATCCTTTCCCCAATGTACTAATCCTCTATTAATACAGAGGCAGTATAGACACAAAAACATGGTTAATACAGTTTGAATTATTTATTTTATTATTTTTAGAGACAGATGTCTTGCTGTCATTCAGGCTGGAACGCAGTGGCATTATCACAGCTCACTGCAGCCTCAAATTCTTGGGCTCAAGTCATCCTCCTACTTCAGCCTCCTTAAGGCTACAGGCAACCCACCATCATGCCTGGCTAATTTTTATTTTTTGTAGAGATGTGGGTCTCTCTCTGCTGCCCAGGCTGGTCTCAAATTCCTGGCCTCAAGTGATCCTTCTGCCTTGGCATCCCAAAGAGCTGGAAATTGCAGGTGAGAGTCACCATGCCAGGCCCAAGTTTGAATTAAAAAAATATATATATTTGAATGTGCCTAGAATTTTCTTTGGCAAAGGACCTAGTAGTTCTTTTGAAGACAAGGTCTTGCTGTGTTGCGCAGGTTGAACTTGACTCCTGGGCTTGAGTGATCCTCCTACCTCAGCCTCCCAAGTAGTTGAGAGTTACAGGCACGTGCCACCGTGTCCAGCTAGATTCTAATTCTTTTTCAATCTCCTAACTAAAAATTCCATGACAATTTACCAACTTTTACATTTATATTTAGGCCTATTCTGACTATTTTGTTCCATATATACATCCATTCTTGCATCAATATTATACTAAATTTAACTATTAGCTTCATACTAGAAGCTCGTCTTACACCTCAAGAGAAAGTACTTCATTATTATTTTTTCAATTTTTTTCTTATTTTTTTAAAGGTAGACTTCAGAATCATTTAATCAAATTCCAAAAACAAGGCAGTTTCATGGGAACTATATAAAGACAGAGAGAAAGAGAAAGAAATATATATATACACATATATATATTCTTTCCATAATGAACATGAAATTTATCAAAGGCTCACGTATGATTCATGAAAAAAAAAAAAAGAAAAAGAAATTTCCATTTCCTCAGACTTTAAAAATATTTCTCAGTAACAGTTTACTCCATATACCCAACTAAGGTTATTCCTAGGCAGTTTCTTAGTTTTGTTAAGTTTGGGAACAAAAAAAATTGGTATTCATTTACTTTCTTGGTATATAAATGATTTTTTAAAATATATTTACACTTTTTATATATTTATCCTTCTATCCAGTGATATTAATAAACTCTTATTATTATTATTAGTATATATATATATTTTTTGAGACAGAGTCTCACTCTATTGCCCAGGCAGGAGTGCAGTGGCGCGATCTCAGCTCACTGCAACCTCCGCCTCCTGGGTTCATGCTATTTTCCTGCCTCAGCCCCCCGAGTAGCGGGACTACAAGTGCCCACCACCACGCACAGCTAATTTTTTGTATTTTTAGTAGAGATGGGGTTTCACTGTGTTAGCAAGGATGGTCTCGATCTCCTGACCTTGTGATCCACCCATCTCGGCCTCCCAAAGTGCTGGGATTACAGGCGTGAGCCACCACGCCTGGCCTAAACTCTTATTATTAATTCTAAGTTTTTCAGCTGATTACTTAGGCTCTTCTAAGAATAGACCCACATCATTTACAAATAATGAACATCATGCCCCTGCCCTACTTTGATAATAACTTTTATTTCTATAAAGTTTCAGCTTTTAGGAACTTAAAATATTTAGTGTATTTCTTTCTTCTTTTCTTTTCTCTTTTCTTTCTTCCCTCCCTCTCTTTCTTTCTTTCTTTCTTTTTGAGACGGAGTCTCACTCTATTGCCAGGCTGGAGTGCAGTGGCGTGACCTTGGCTCACTGCAACTTCTGCCTCCCAGGTTCAAGCAATCCTCCTGCCTCAGCCTCCTGAGTAGCTGGGACTACAGGTGCATGCCACCATGCCCAGCTAATTTTTTTTGTATTTTTAGTAGAGATGGGATTTCACCATGTTGGCCAGGATGGTCTCAATCTTTTCACCTCGTGATCTGCCCGCCTCAGCCTCCCAAAGTGCTGGGATTACAGGCGTGAGCCATCACACCCAGCCAGAATCTTTAATGTATTTATTAATCCACAAATACTCTACAAGAAAGAGTATTCTGTGTAGAATAATGACCGTATAATAATTACTCTTATGGGCCTGATACTATATTGAGAACTTTATATACATTATTCATTCTAATGTTAGCTCTATAAAGCAGGTATTGCTATTCCCATTTTACAAATGAGGCTCAGAGACTTGTTTTTTTTTTTTTTTTTAAGTTTTAAAGACAGAATCTCCCTCCGTCACCCAGGCTGGAGTGGAGTGGCGCAATCTCGTCTCACTGCAACCTCCACCTCCAGGTTCAAGCAATTCTCCTGCCTCAGCCTCCCAAATAGCTGGGATTACAGGTACGTGACCAGGCCCAGCTAATTTTTGTATTTTTAGTAGAGACAGGGTTTCACCATGTTGGCCAGGCTGGTCTTGAACTCCTGACCTCAGATGATCCGCCCACCTTGGCCTCCCAAAGTGCTGGGATTACAGGTGTGAGCCACCAACGCCTAGCCTCAGAGACTTCTAGTAACATCATATAGTTAGTAAAGGGGACAGCTGGTTTTCAAGTAAAGGTCTGTTTGATTTTTTCTATTATAGAAATCCTTTCCCCTTTCTTAATGTCTCTTTGGTATTCTTGAAAAAAACAAAAGAGAGCCAACAAATAAAAGTAATTCCTCAGAATTTATGCTAATTTTGTAGCAATATAACTTGCGCATTTGACTGCTGCTTGATTTTTAAAATCAAATATTTTCCTACATTGCTTTTTAAGGGCAAGGTGTGTCCTGTGAGTGTTTCTCACTGTTAGACTAGGGCAGAAGCTCAACAATAACAAAAAAGGCTGGTGACTAGGAATCCTAATTTCCTTCCAACCAGGGCATGTGATAACAAAGACACTTTTCCTATAATCCTTTGCTAGTCAGGATGTGAACTGCTATGCAATCTCCTGTTCCCAACCTTAACTATACACATGCATTAACACACACACCAGATAGATACACAAACATGATAGTCTATTTCAGCTAAGTTATATTCTTACTAACACCTTAAAAGCTGTTAAAAAAGAAATAATACAAATGGAAATCTGGTACCAAGATTTCTTTATACTATTCATATTTGACTAAATATCCCTAATTTTTGGTGAATACTAGAAGAAAATATTTTAAATAAACAGTATAATTTATCTTTCAGATAACTGGAATTTTATTATCCTGAGGTATATAGGTGGTAACTTATGAGGTATAATCTAATCTAGAGACAAAAGAATAAACTAAATCCATAATTTAAAAAATGGCAATTCACAGCCAGGCATGGTGGCTCATGCCTGTAATCCCAGCACTTTGGGAAGCCGAGGTGGGCGGATCTCCTGAGGTCAGGAGTTCGAGACTAGCCTGGCCAACATGGTGAAACCCCGTCTCTACTCAAAATATAAAAATTTGCCGGGTGAGGTGGCGGGCGCCTGTAATCCCAGTTACTCGGGAGGCTGAGGCAGGGAGAATCGCTTGATTCTCCATTTCAAAAAAAAAAAAAAAAAAAAAAGAAAAAAAGAAAAAAAGGCAATTCACGTTTTCTGAAATAAAATCTAAAAAGAAGTAAAATCCAAATGAAGTAAGAACTTTAAGAAAAGTTCTGATTTTAGTTGCAATATCTGCTACTAAAAATTTATCTAATTAAATTCAAGTTCATTACATTTATTCAGCAAGTTGGTAAACAGGAACAATGAAGTGGGTTTTTTATGAAAATGTGAAATATTCTGTTTGTTGCAACCTGAAAGGTTGCTTTAGCATCTAATTTACTTTGGTATTTTGATTGTCTAATATTTAAAAAACTGATTTAGAGAAAAGTTATGAAAATCACAAAGAACTTTTCAATTAAGCTGATATTTGCAGGAGAAACTGGTAAAAAGATTGTCACAAAATACATTAAGATATCACAAGTGCTTTCAATTACATCCTTTGCAAGTCACTGTCAAAACCAATGGAACAGATGATTTTTCATTGACATCTAGTTTAAAAATGCACAAAGACTTTAGATTTAAAGCTGTCTTAAAAAATTTGTTTTTTTTTTTTTTTTTTTTTTTTTTTTGAGACGGAGTTTCATTCTTGTCGCCCAGGCTGGAGTGCAGTGGCGTGATCTTGGCTCACTGTAACCTCCACCTCCCGGGTTCAAGTGATTCTCCACTGCCTCAGCCTCCTGTTTAGGGAGGGATTACAGGCACCTGCCACCACACCCAGCTAATTTTTGCATTTTTGGTAGAGACAGGGTTTCACCATGTTGGCCACGTTGGTCTCGAACTCCTGACCTCAGGTGATCCACCCACCTTGGCTTCCCAAAGTGCTGGGATTACAGGTGCGAGCCACAGCGCCCGGCTGTTCTTTTAAAAATTGTATGCTAATTATACAAGCCCCTTTGAAAACAATCAATTGATAATAATTTTTCACTTATTTCATTCATCCCCTGCTCCCTCAACCATGTCCCACCCAACTTAATCACTCAGAATTTTAATTCTTTCCTGAATATTAGTGTTCCACCACTTTCTTGCCCTTGCCCCATCTTATAAATATGAATATAAATTTCCTAAACTTACTACTTTAAATGTATCTAACCTTTTTTATAACCATTTCTGCTGTTATCTGTACACTGTCTAGTCCTTCTTTGTCGTCCTGGGAAAACTGATCCCTGACTTGAGATCTCTCTCTTCCTCTGTAAAGACAGATGTAAAGTAACTATTTAGAAAACACGCCATTTCTTTTTGTATCAGAAATACTCATACTTAAATTTTTTATGCAGACCTGAAACAATCATTGGTCATATAATCAGAAAGGTTTTAGATACGTACCTGCATTGTCTTTGCAGATACTAGAAGAGCTACTATTCTCATTGCTTTGGTATAGGTGCTGAGTTCTAGTCTCTTGGGGTACAGATGATGTTTGAGTCATCCCTTCTTCTAAGGCTTGTTTTATCCAGCGCTATAATTGAAAAGAACCAGAGAATTATCAATAATTATCTAAAACTATTTAGTGCACCTGTTTTAAATGTACATCAACTGGTGAGTGATACAATTCAACACACTAATTCAGTTACACAGTCAAGCATTTTATTGTCTTGTGTCTCAGCATATTGGAACATTGTCCTATCAATTCCTTTTAACTGAAAAACTTGAGGAAATCTGGATTACATATAATGAGATCCCATCAAAAGACAAAAACCAATAAAAAATGACTGCTATTCAACTTTTCATACCATTTGGGATGGTGTAAAATGGCAAGACTGAGGAAGAAATCTTAACATTTATTTAGGAGAGACTGTGATCGTATAGAATAAAACTAATATATAAAATAAGCGCCTAGAAGGAAGATAAAGATCTCTTAAAAGTTGTCTGCCCCGTGCTAGAGACGTGTGAAGAGGTAATAAAAAAGATTCATTGGAAGATTTTGGATGAGGATTAATAGCTCTTCACTACAGGTACCAAAAGCGTTTCCAAAAGGTTTATTTCAAATGAAATAACCTATGGGACTCCCCCCTCCAACAAGTAGTTTGGTTAAATTATGCATGAGTAATGCAAATCACGAAATGAGCTTCAGTAGAAATCAAAAAAAAGGGAAAAAGTCAAAAAGAAGACCTATCAGTCACAAGTTTTTGGTAGTAAAGATTAGAATAATAAACTGACAAGAAATAAATTTAGGCCAGATAGTAAACCTGCAAAGATTAGGATAATAAGATTATGTATCCTGTGGAAGACAGAAAATTTCTTACCTGTAATTGTGTTCTCTTAAGATATACAGTTGTAGGTTGCTCACCACTCTGTGGCTCTCCTGCCCTGACATAAGACAGATCGAATTTTGATAAACATCAATTTCTGAGTAAGACCCTCCCCCAATAGGAAGAGCAAAGGTGAATTATTATAATTTATACCTTTAGAGAACATGTATTACAGGTAAGTAAATACTCTCTTCACCAGAGAGCAATTCTCATAGATTTTCCCTCTTAGAAACCTAGGAAACAATCCACAAAAATTTTACCAAAAAAAAAAAAAAAAAAAAAAAAATCTTACATCATACAAATGTCATTGTGGCTGGCCAAATGAAAGCAAAACTGAAACTGTAAACCTGTAAACACTTGGAAGGAAGAGTGAACAAGGATATAAAAAAGAGCTCTCAATGGTAATTTGAATCACGTAAACATTTTAGGATACAACCAGGTCTCTGAAAAGCAAACACAAAAACAAAATAAAAAATCCGAAGAATGAACTATCTTAGATACAGAATAATGATGTAAAGATGAATTGTCAGAACCATACATATAGCCTTAAAGCTTAGAAGAGAACTTAGAAGTCATCTTGTCCAAAGCACTCATTTTATAAATGGAAAAATTAGGCTCAGGAGTGAAAAATCTTTTGTTATGGCCACCTTTAAGTTTTTCTTTTCAAAGCAGAAAACACTCATTTGGGGTCACTAAGCTTTCCTATCTGAGTAATTTTTTAATATTTCCAGGGTCTAGTAGATGTACTTGTAAAATAATTTACATTCTGGATCTGATGACTACAAAAAGGGAACATAAAATCAGAACAGGAGTATTCTAGAAGAAAGATGCTACCATGGTTAGCTATGAGGTGAAACACAGCAAATACAATCAAACCTACTCCTCCAGGTTCTGTTGTATAATTTTACAATATTTCAGGACTCATATAAAAAAGGAACATGGACATTTGTTTGTATCTAACAAGATACAATTAACCTCATGGATAATAAGTTAATTTTAGATGCACCTACTCAGCAAGTTGTTAAAATCAAAAGAACATTTCTCCCTTCTCTGAACCTCTATTAAAATATATTGCAAAGGAGTTTTCTGGGAGGCTCAAAGATGGATAAATATTTTAAAGGTCTCGCTATTATGGCGAAAGAGCAAGGAAGCAATACAGGTTTTGGAGTCCAGAAGCCCTGGCTTGACACTTGGCTGTGAGGCTGGGCTCAGTAGCTCGTATCTGTAATCCCAGCAGAATGTGAGGCCAAGGTGGGCAGACTCCTTGCACTCAGGAGTTTGAGATCAGCCTAGGAAACACAGCAAAACCCTGTCGCTACAAAAAATATGAATATTAGCCAGGCGTGGTGGTGTGCCTGTGGTCCCAGCTACACGAGAGGTTGAGGTAGGAGGACCATTTGAGCCCAGGAGGTCAAGGCTGCAGTGAGCCTGTGATGATGCCACTGCACTCCAGCCTGGACAACAGTGAGACCCTGTGAACCCCTACTATCCCCCACCAGAAGAAATCTGGCTGTGTCACTTATTAGCTGCTTCACTTTGGACAAGTTACCAAACATTTCTGAGACAAAGCTTCTGGATATATAAATTTAGGACAATGATCCCAATTTCATGCATGGTAAGTGAGATAATGTATGTGAAGAAAGCTTATAGTACAGTACTGAACACTGAGCAGATTTTCACCGAGTCCCGGTTCAACTAAATTTCAATGCTATGTTTGGAGATTTACAGATAATGCTCCAGTGTATAAAATGAAATATTAATTATCAATGCAAAGCACACTGTTTCATTATCAGTCAGACTGGTTTTTCTAAGAAGTCTGGAGACCAAATGCCCTATACACATTGTGTTTAGAAGAGGAGTTTAGAGAGAACAAGGTGAAACACTACTGAGAGCCTTGTTGGCCACTTATAAATGTTTTTAAAATACCAACTGAGGAACTAAAAAATGCAAAATGCTTCTTAAAAACTATGATTCAATTTAGAAACTCTAGGGATATCATAAAATGTTCTGTCAAATACCTGAACTCCTCTTCTTTTCAGAAGTTGCAGAATAATAATGATAAAAATAAAAATAAATAGCATAAGAATCTGAGTACAACTATACAGATACAACTTTAATTTGTCCTATACTGGTAAGTTTTTAACTTACAAGGCCAGGCCCTTACCTCTTTAGTGAGATATGAAACAGTGAGCCTATTAGAAATATACATTGTTCTAAATAATCCCATGGAGGGTTTTCTTATCTATCTGATTAACTTATACTCTGAGGGATTTTCAGAATTTTATTACAATTTTGTTGAATAATGAAAATGTTCTTAGGTTCTGCATTAGGTAAGTCCTTTCTAACCAATATTAGGAGATATTAGAAGAAGACCAATATTAGAAGAAGAACTCTTCTTCACTGCTATAAAGCCAAATTCTATTCTAGCTAAAACATTCCATTTCATTTTATTTTGCCTCATAAAAAGCTGTATTTTAAAAAATAGAATCTTGATATGTGAACAGCACACAATAAAGCAATGACTTAAACAGTTTTTAAAGATCCTATTTAAATAGTCTTGTTATGATAATCCTGTGTATGCAGCCTAAACTCTTCCTAAAGACTAACCATGACACATAGATAAAAGTGCTTGAGTAGAGCCTGTATAAATGAGATTAAGGATAGTCAGATACACTTGGAGAATATAACAGGGACTTGTGTTAAATGGAATTTCTATCTGTTGCCCGTAGAAATTTAAGGATGTGCTATAGATACAAGTATAAAAGCAGAACCAAGTTAAAAAAGCTTAAAGAAATGCATTTTCTACCAGATCTGAAGTTACAGTCCTAGACACGTTTTTGGTTTTCGTTAAGTCTCTGCTAGTTGGAAAAGATGGAAACAGAAAGACTGCAACCCAGCATTAGAATTATCAAGAAGGAATTTCAATTCAAGAGCCTAGTTCATATTATTTGCAGCTCAGACTTCATTACTTATCTGTAATAAATAATTGCCTACACTCCTTAAAGGACCAAAATAGGAGATTGTACGACCTGGCTTGATAAGATGCTTCAACAGTTAACATCCTTAGAAATGGTCAAATTTCTCTTTAGGAATTCTACGAGCGTTTCCCCGAACAAACCAATGAGTGATTCCAATGTTTAGGTAAGATGTGCAATTAGGAAAAGACTTTCTGCAATGTGCTGCTCATTCAGCAGTAGTGTCCTTCCTTTTTGCAGATTCCTATTGCCCTCCTCCCCTCCATATCCCACACCACTTTGGCTCATCTTTCATGCCCCCCTCCCCCGGAGAAATAACTTCTGTTCTTTGGGGAAAGAGAAAAGCTTTTAAGTTTGGAGGAGTCAGGGAAGACCTGCCTGGAGTTGGAGACTTCATCACATCAAATAATCTACATGCAGCATCCTCATGTACGTGATGCCAGTGGAGGAGGGCAATGGCAGACACTGAGGAAGGCAGCCTGAATCCAGATCTGAGGATAAGAGAAAAGGGTGTTCCAGGGAACAGACTCTACCTCAAAGGAAGACCAAATGAAAGGGTGTCCTATACTTCTAGAAACATGGAAAACGACATCATAGATCTGAGGGAGTGATCTATTCCTAAGAGACACCTTTGGAAAATATGCAGGGCTTCTGGGAATTAAGAAAGAGCATTCCAAAAACACCACCAAACGCTACTGCCACTAGATCCAAAAACAGTAAGTAACTGGAAAGAGGAGAAAGAGGCAGAAACAGAGAGGGAAAGAGAGTCTTTTAGGGTAGATTCTGTATTCTCTTGGAATAAACAGTCCGACTTGTCATTTGATCAAGGAACAGGAATTATGCCAATTACAATAGGATTTTTCCTCTAATTTCCTTCAAGTGATGATAGTGGATAATAACGGTTGAATTGATTCAAAACAATTTAATTTTTTTCATTTATGCAACAGTGTTCTAGAGGACCCAGGGCCTAATCTCACACAATAATCATAAATGGACATGTTAACCCATATCACAAGAGCACACACAAAACATATCCGTCTCTACCCAGTCATCCACTGCTGTGTGCTCTCACTCAGGAACCTCAAGGGTTCTCAGAAGAGACATCAGTGACCAGTCACAAATCTGAGCACTAAAAATGCAGTACATTCATTCCACCACAGTCTCACAGACTCTTGATGAATCAGTATTTATGGCTGAACAACTAACTCATTATAAACTCACATGGGCAGAGTGGCTATCTAGAGAACATTTTATTTATGTCATGATGATAGGAATCTTAGGCTTAAAAAAATAAAGCACACACACATAAACACAACACACACACAAAAACACAGACATACCTTCTTACAGGAGCTGAATGTGCCATCAGGCAGAAGGGGCCTTCGACGTCTCTCAGGGATAAAGGGTGAGCCAAAGCGAATGTAGTGTTTGGGGGTGGTGCAAATTAACGGGGAATGGATAAGACCTGGTAACATGTTTAGGGTCGTTGCCAGTACAGTTGGATCCGTTGTGATACGTAAAGGGCACTCAACAGGGCACTCTTGCTTCTCTGCTTTGTCATTCAACCATTCTGTAACTAGATACTAAGGTAAAAAAGAGATCATTAGTTTATAAATCAAGAGGTAGCAGTGTAGTTCATAAAGACAAACGTCATCTAGAAACTAGGACAGGAGGAGATGCAGCAGCTGCAGTAAGAATGAATTGAGCAACTAGAACACAAGGATATCTTCCTTCACCCTCTCCACGCCCACTAAGAGAGGAATAATTTCAGCTATCAGTGATTTAAGCTGACTAAAAATAAGGAAACAGGTAGCAGGATGACTCCAGCCTTTTGTGTCAAAGCATTTTAGAACTTTCAATCTAGTAATATTGAGATTAGTTTCTTCTAGGGATTATAGGTCCTCTCATTTCACTAAGACAGCCCTTGCCAGACTGGACTTATAAAGGATGCATTTGTGACTTACCTTTTTGGTTTTGGGGTATTTAGATGCAGCACGGTTGACATGGGATCCAGTAATTGACACCACAGTTGGGTCAGACCCTGTTAATGGCCTGTTTTCTCCTGAACTGTCTAGACTTCCAGCTTCAGTAGGAGTTACTAAACTGTTACTTCCTCCCTCTTCCAAGGCAGCTTGTGACAATTCTGCCTGCTGTGCATTGGCCTGCTTCTGACGCTTTAGTCTTTGGGCTGAACTGGTCCTGTACCGAGAAATTCGACTCTTCGGCCGGGGCCTAGAAGGCTTTGCTGGAGGTGGCTTGGGGACTAGTTTTTCTGCAGCAATATCCTGTAGCAATAGTAGGGTCAGATGCTTACCAGAAATGTTTTATCAGCAAACAGTCTAATTTCCTATTCACTTTAAGCATTCAGAATGTCTACTGATGAAAAATATAAGGATTAGAAACACTAATTTAAAATCTAATTTTTAAATACAAAAATGTATACACTTAAATGAGCTAAAGAGGCTAGCGACAAATGTTTGCGTTATTTCTAATAAGCATTTATAAAATAGGCCAATGAAATGGTTCCAGTTAAACAGTTAATGGCCTTATTTATTGTGATATGGAGCAAAGCTGAAAACACTGATTTTAAAAATTCCAAAAGTTAGGTATTGACATTAGCAAAGGTGAGGATGTCTAAGTGCTGAAGTCTTTTCAACTCTTACCCCTGCTTGGGAAGACCTCCGGGTATTCACACCAACACTCTGTGGGGTGCTTGGGATGGTAACATTTGAAACAGAGTTGCTAACTTCAGATTCAGGGGCTTCAGTTTTTGTCTCTTCACCAACAGGAGTCTCTGAGGTGGTTGTAGTAATCTCTACATCAGAGTTGCTCTGTTCCAAGGGCTGATCCCGCCGCTTCTTTCTTTTCTCTAAGTTTTCAAAAGCATGCATGATGGCTTCTACCTTTCTATCTTCCCTGGTCTAGAAAGAGATAGTACTGGTGTAGAAGGAAGCTTCAAATGAGGACGAGTGGATAGCTTTTATAAAAGTATTTTTAATGGAAATTTACAGAAATTCATTTAACTACCAGTAAGATGACACATATAACTTGGAAAACAGAAGATTAAAAATAAAATATTTCATTTTAAATGTGGGGAATAGTTGTAAATAAAGGCAAGGTCAAACATAAACTTTTCAAAAAGGGTCAGTTATTTTGAAACTTTAATATGAAAGAAAAACAGGATGGGTGCAGTGGCTCACGCCTGTAATCCCAGTACTTTGGGAGGCTGAGGTGGGAAGATCATGAGGTCGGGAGATTGAGACCGTCGTGGCCAACATGGTGAAACTCCGTCTCTACTAAAATACAAAAAATTACCCAGGCATGGTGGCGCATGCTTGTAATGCCAGCTACTTGGGAGGCTAAGGAAGGGGAATTGCTTGAACCCGGGAGGCAGAGATTGTGGTGAGTTGAGATTGCGCCACTGCACTCCAGCCTGGTGACAGAGCAAGAGTCGGTCTCAAAAAGAAAAAAAAAAAAGTCATCAAATCAGGGTCATAAACACACAGGATTGGTTTCAGCATAAAAGTAGAAAATTTTAGTTCATATGACTAAAAGGGTTTAAAAAAACTTCAGAACTCACAAAAACCTAGAAAATTCCTAATTCAGAGCAAACCAACTATAATACATTTTGATTCTGACCAGCCAGTTTTTCGGAAACCAGATTTTTTTTTTTTTTTTTTTTTTGAGATGGAGTCTCGCTCTTTTGCCCAGGCCGGAGTGCAGTGGCGCTATCTCCACTCACTGCAAGCTCTGCCTCCCAGGTTCATGCCATTCTCCTGCCTTAGCCTCCCGAGTAGCTGGGACTACAGGCACCCGCCACCGCGCCCGGCTAATTTTTTGTATTTTTAGTAGAGACAAGGTTTCACCGTGTTAGCGAGGATGGTCTCGATCTCCTGACCTCGTGATCCGCCCACCTCGCCCTCCCAAAGTGCTGGGATTACAGGCGTGAGCCACCGCGCCCAGCGGAAACCAGATTGTTAGTAAAAAAAAAAAAAAAAAAAAAAACAACCTCTTCAAACCATCACTAGATAATAATCACTACAAAACTACTGTGTGTATAGAGAAAAATAAATAAAAAAATTATAATAAAATCTTTATTACGGAAAAAGCCCAAATTATAACCTTCAGGTCAAATCAATGAGATGATACAAAGTCAAGAGAACAGAAGAGGTTCACATGATGGAGGTAGCAGGAATGAGAAGGAGCAAAGTAATGTCAGACAGTACTCACCCTCCTGCTATGAGCTAGGTTCTCCTGGTCATCTATAACCTCTTCTTTCTCTTCTTCTGGTTTTTCTTCTGGATTGTCTACTTCCTTTAAGATAGAGGCAATATTCAGCTGTACTCAAGCTCTGAGAAAAAATCAATCTGTTTTATTCTGGTAGCTTAAAACTCTCTATAACAATCTCTAGTGCTTTAAACTGTTAACTCATGTGAGGCCACATGGTAAACACAGATGATAACTAACCCCTATTCTCTGGTGCAAAACCAGCAAAGGATGTTTTTGACTTTGTAAAACAGAAAGAAATGTATGAACACAATAAACCCACATTGATATAAAGGGCACTAAGTGTTACTATAGCTCCCCTACTTAAACCATGCGGCAACCCGGGTTCCTCTTCCTTTGGAGGATTGATGCCATAGCATCATCATTTGACCAGGGGCGATTACCTCATGATCACTGGATACAGTTACTTTTTCTGGAACTTCTTGTGATTGCTGGTCATTATTCTCCTCTGAAGCCTCATTCTGCTGCTCCATCTCTAGCTCTTTCCGTCGTGCTTTTCTACGTCTAGTCTCTGCTCCAATGGTGGGTAGGCTTGGAGGAGGTGGTAGGAGTGGCAGTTCTGTAGCATTAGGATTCCTTTTTTGTATAGGACAATTCCGGTTTCCCTTGTGACAGGCACAGTCCACTTTATAATTACTGCTCCAAAGAAACAACCAAAATGCCTGTCTCAGTACCCTTGAAATTCAGTTACATTATCCATTCACCCTCTTAAAATATCAGTACAGTAACTTCCTCTGATATTGTCTCTGAATAAGTTAAACAGAGACATTAGAGAGTCCTATAAATACTTTTGTTTTTCTTTTTATTGGAGACGGAATCTCGCTCTGTCATCTAGGCTGGAGTGCAGTGGTGCATCACAGCTCTCGGTAATCTCTGTTTCCTGGGCTCAAGTGATCCTCCTACCTCAGCCTCCTGAGTAGCTGGGACTACACGCCCAGCTAATTTTTTTATTTTCGGCAGAGACGGGGTTTTGCCATGTTGTCTAGGCTGGTCTTGAACTCCTGGGCTCAAGTGATCCTCCAGCCTTAGCCTCCCAAAGTGCTGGGATTACAGGCGTCAGTCACCGCGCCTGACGTAACACTTTCAATATTCTGTCTTTCTTTGTGTAACCCCAATTCTACTCCATGGTCAGTGGGAAAAAAAAAAGAAAGCCCTCCCTAAATTCAATCCCCCCAGTGGTTTATTGGCTATTTAGCAGGCAGTTTATCAATGATAAAGTCTGATGTGGCCATACTCATCTTGTGCCCACGATTACCATGTCCTCACTTTTACCTACTAATTCCCTACTTCTTAAAACCTTTTATAACCTTCTTAAAACCTTTTTTATTTTCCTTGATGAATTAAGCAGAACATCTTTTTTCCTTATACCTGGGCCAAACATCACTTTACCACATAACCTCTATTTTGCCCCAAATGACCAAAGAACAAAAAGCATATACTTTAAAAAATCCCACATATTCATCTATGAATTGCCCTTTATGGTTTTCTGCACTGTCATATACAGCTAGATAACATGGTTTCTGTGGACAGGGTGGATCTTTAAATCTCACCCCTAGCTTTATAAGGGTATAATTGACAAATTAAAAGTAGAGGTAACATATTAAATTCTCTCTCTTTTTTTTTAAGACAGAGTCTCCCTCTGTTGCCAGGCTGGAGTGCAGTGGCGTGATCTTGGCTTACTGCAGCCTCAGCCTCTCAGGTTCGAGTGATTCTCCTGCCTCAGCCTCTCAAGTGGCTGGGACTACAGGCGTGTGCCGCCACGCCCAGCTAATTTTTGTGTTTTTAGTAGAGACAGGGTTTCATCATTGGCCAGGATGGTCTCGATCTCCTGACCTCGTGATCCGCCCGCCTCAGCCTTCCAAAGTGTTGAGATTACAGGCCTGTGAGCCACTGCGCCTGGCCTAAATTCTCATTCTATATGGTCCCTGACATAAGTACTCTGTGCATAACAACAGGATGCTATTGTAATTTCCAGGAGTGTCTCATACATACATATATATCCATTTTGCTATTCTTGCTAAAAAGGCATAAGCGAAAACACTTCTGTCAGGAAATTTGTGAGCAGTATCATACAAGGTATCCGTATCTCTAAAAAAAATCTTGCCTGTCTTTTCCTTTACAATTTCTAGGCAGAAAATTCATTAGTCATGAAAAGATTAAGTAAACAAAGGAAAAGGCAAGAAACAAGAGCAGACTTTAAATAGAGTGAATAGCTTAATATGTAAGACATGGATATTCCTGTTAGGAAAGGTTTCTGAGGTCTTACCAGTTACTATACTCATAATCAAATGCTATGGTGACCTCAGCATCCTTGGTGATGGCAGACACAGCATAGATGCACAGGTGAATCATCCCATCTGCAATCATGTGTCGCACCTGTGTGAAAAGGCTTCTGGTTGGATTTTTCATAAAGACCATGAACTTTCCGTAAGAGAGAAAAAAACCATACTTTCTCTCCATTTGGAGTTATGGTAATCTATTATTTATTTAAGGAGTTATGGTAATCTGTTATTTAACCCCTTCATTTCATCTGAAACTATTATACTGCACTGGCTTGAAAATTTATAATACTTTCTTAAATATGTGGAGAAACCTTGAGATGTTAGAAATCAGGGTAAAATCTCTACTTTCACATCTTTTTTTTGAGATACAGTCTTGCTCTGTCGCTCAGGCTGGAGTGGAGTGGCGTGATCTCGGCTCACGGCAACCTCTGCCTCCCGGGTTCAAGCAATTCTCCTGTCTCAGCCTCCTGAGTACCTGGGAATACAGGCACACGCCACAATGCCTGGCTAAGTTTTCTATTTTTTTTTAGTAGAGACGGGGTTTCACCATGTTGGCCAGGCTGGTCTCGAACTCCTGACCTTGTTATCTGCCCACCTCAGCCTTCCGAAGTGCTGGGATTACAGGCATGAGCCACTGCGCCCAGCCGCTTTCACATCTTATAGCTGTTTCCAGCTCCACCAGAGAATTAAAATTCCTTAGCCAGTAAGTAAAGCTCTGTGGATTTTCTTGCTTTATTTGATGTGGTTGCTCTGAGTAATGAATTCTAGAAATGTCTAGATCCTCTCATAAAACATTACTCACTAAAATCTAAAAAAACTGCAACCAAATAGCTTAGTTAGGCCTAACAACATCTACTTCCACCGTATGGCAATCTCTTTAATATAACTACACTTGATTTTCTTATCCAGTCTAGCTTTTTCTCCTTAGCAAATGCTAACTTGCTCTTTTCTATTTCTGCCTTCTCTAAAGAAAACTCTTTCCTTGCGCCCATTTTGTCGTATAAAAGCACCATTACTTTTGTTTTTCACCTCCCACGATGAAATATCACGACTATTATCTACAGACCTTTATCTGAGTGAAGTTTTCACACTGCTTCTTCAGTAAGCTTGTCATTTGATGGTTCCAGTCAAAGGGAAGTTGCTACAGATATCTTACCTCTGCATTTGGTGTACATGATCTTCTGATGAACCGAGCATCATTACCGAAAGTACGGGCATCCACACACATCTCTACACCATTGAATTTTGAGTAGAAGAGCACAAAGGGGTATGGTCTAGGGATACAATTAAAATTCCTGTAATTCTCAACACAAATAAGAAGGCCACCCCATGACTCCAAATATGAAGCATATGCTGAGAGAAGCAGCAGCAGTCTTTTGCAACGCCTAAACTTGGGAAAGCATCACGTTTGTCTGCTTTTGATTAAAGAACAAGCACAAAGCAAGGAATGCT
The DNA here is from genome assembly GCF_000001405.40 of Homo sapiens. Taxonomy (NCBI): domain Eukaryota; kingdom Metazoa; phylum Chordata; class Mammalia; order Primates; family Hominidae; genus Homo; species Homo sapiens. Next base: position 9,441,949 of record NC_000003.12, on the reverse strand, counting down.
TGGCTTGGAAAGGAGGTGTCACCATTTTATACATTGAACAATTTGAAGATTTACTTGCACTTCTCTACAAATAGCAGACAGGTGTGAGCTTATCTGAGTTGTGATTTTTTTCTCCCAAGAGCGTCTTATCAAACAGAATGATTTTTACAACAACACTGGTCAACCAGGTCCACCTTAGCCCTCACTGCTCAATGAATGACGTTCTTACTTTTTGAAGAAATGCCCATTGACCTCAAATTGCTGTCGTAACATGACTTTCCCACGATACTCTATTATAAGAGTGTCCAAAGCCAAATCTCTTGCAGCCCTCAGGATCTTCCGGTGCTTTTGAACACGAGTGACTCTTCCCAGCTGTAACTGAATAAAACCAGAGCAATAACATTAAACAACAGCAAGAACACCTTAGTAGACACTCAAATTACTTCATAATTAAGGAAAACATGCTAATATTTTCAGGTTTTATCTGTACATGTTATTTAGATCAATGATGAGAAATTTTAAAATGTGATGAAAGCTCAATTTTTCTAAGAGACATGCTACATCTAGTGAAATTGCCTCCCCAGAAACGGCAAGAAAATATTAAAAAAAAAAAAAAAATACATGATTAAGACTTCAGTGACTCTATCTCTAAAATAAAGATGAGAAAGAACATGCTTAACTTTCTATAAATATTACATAATTCCTACCTAGGGTATATAGAATTTCCCATACTAAGTCATCTCTCTCTCTGTTTTTTAAATAGAGCCAGGGTCTCACTCTTTCATTCAGGCTGGAGTGCAGTGGTGCAATCATAGCTTACTATAACCTCAAATTCATTCAAGTGATCCTTCCACCTCAGCCTCCCCAGTAGCTGGGACTTACAGGTGTGTATCATCACAACGGCTTTTAATTTTTTTTTTTTGTAAAGAGAGGGTCTCACTATGTTGTACAGGCTGGTCTTGAACTGCTGGCCTCAAGCAATCCTTCCACCTTGGCTTCTTGCCAAAGTGTTGTATTATAGGAGTGAGCCACTGCACTGCACACAGCCTCAATTCATCTATTTTTTTATTAATAAAGGTAGTTTAAAAATATGTATCCAGGTAGTTTCCAGTTAATATAACCTACTTTTGGTTACATATGATCAACACCTGGCTAATCTGTTATTCCATGGCCTTGTACATTTGGAAGGAACAGTAATTCCAATCCATTACCCTCTTCCTGGGTTCTTAAAATTTCAGCTACTTAGAGAGTCCTCAACCCTTTGGTGCTTACCTGCATTTGGGAACCAATAACTGTGTTATTACAGGCCAATTCAGTCTTATTAATAGTGTCTAAAATAGTAGGTTTGCCCACAAATTCCTTGCTAGAATGTAGGTGTTGTTCAAGCGCGTTCTGTACATCTGCACTGTACTGATTAGTGAAAGCTTCTTCATACTGGTCAGTCCATAGTCTTATCCGATTTTCCCAGCCCTCAGTTGTATTCTCATCTAAATTCTGTGCTTCAGAGGGAGAATTCTGTAGAAAACAAATTCAGGGAGGTTAGTAAAGTCCATGCATAAATAGAGGGTTGGGAATGGGGGTGGGACAAGCTGGGGTTCCAGAGAAAATTTATCACTTGGCAATTGATGTGGCATAAAAGAGTAATGGACTGGGAGTCAGAGGATCTGGTTTCTATCATGCTTTTGTTACCAATGAGAGGTGAGACCTTGAATAACTTCTTTAAATGGGGAAGCTCAGTTTCTCCATTTATAAAGTAAGAAATTAATCTGGATCATAGTTTCATCCCATCACTGTGATTTTATGACCATTTTAAAGTCATAAAAATCAATTTTCTAATCAAAGGACTGACATCAAGTTCATAAGAAAATCTTCATACAAATGAACAGTAGAGACCTCAAATTTATCACTGCTTAAATTTTTCATACTCACTGAATATCTGTGTTAAGTGTTAGCCCAAACTGGTTTTTTGACTATTCTCCAGGAGAATGCATGTTTTTGTATCACTTATTATTTTCATAATACATGTTCATTCTAAACCTAGATGTGATCTTAATCAATCAATCTCATTAATCCAATCCCAATCTTACTACCCATATAAAAAGTTATTATTTGAGTATATCTTTCTAACACTCTATTTTCAACAATTTAAATTACCACATTCTAAATAATCTGAAGAGGTGAAGTGAGGGGAGAGGAGTAGGTAGGGAGAATATAGAAAATGTCTAGGAGGTACTTTGCTATACTCCTCTAGGAAAACCATTGCCCTCTATGGTGACAGTATTGAGAAAAGATTACTACAACTCAGGAACAGCTTCCTAGGCAGACAGTGCCTGAGCTACAGAGACAAAGCATAAGCCCAATACATGTTCTCCTCCACGGTGTTCAAGACTTAAGTGCCATCAGAAAACAAAACAAACACTGACAGTGATGATGTCATGCTAGTGATGATTAGAAGGAAAAGACACTGTAGTACCAAAGCTACTTGAAAATCCATGTCCACATTAAACTTGCAAACAGGTACAATAAAATTAAATATACTTTCTATGAATGGCACAGAAAACACTGATGCTTATCATAACACTTTCTTTTACCACTTTTGCATCACTGTTGCTGACTGATTATTGTCTACTATCCTTTCTGCAAGGAACAGGAGTATAGAAGAAAAAAAATCAACACTATTGTCTCCACATTTCTTACTAGAGTCCAAAAGACTGAACAATAAACAAAGGGATCTAAAGAAACACCTAAAGCCAACATACTGACAATCAGAGTATCGCCTGCTTGACATCAGTAGCAGTTGCGCAAAAGAATAGTGCAAAACCTTAGGCTTAATGGAGCTTACAGACTAGGGGGACTGGCAGTGTCCAAACAATATTCCCAGCTTTAAGTGGCAATTGTTAAACTTACACTTGATAAGTGTACTGTATTCTGGAAGCCTCTGTCACAGTATTAGCCATTGTTCGCTAATCTCACTGTGTGTTTACTCTGCTGTCCCATCCTTCAAGGCATTAGAGACTCTACCTCAGTTGGGTTTAGAGTAGTGGTTCTCAATTGAGGGAAATTTTGCACCCAGGTGACATTTGGTAATATCTGAAGACATTTTTGATAATCTCAACTGAGTGTATGAGTGTTACCGGCATCTAGTGGGTAGACACCAGGGATCCTGTTCACATCTTGAAAGCACAGAACAGTCCCTTCCACAACAAAGAATTATCTGGTCCAAACTGTCAACAGTGTCAAGACTGAGAAACCCTGATTTACAATTAAGTCTTCAGTAGGGAAGCTGCTCTTGACACTGGGATTAAAAATCCAAATGATAATTTTTTCTAATTCTTATGGCTCCCACCTGGATCACTGGAGGAGTTTTAAACTAGTAATTCTGAGCATAAAATTTATAACTCAATTTAGAATTAAAAGAATCAAAATGACTAGTAATTTTTTTTTCTAAATTTTAACACACCTGTGAGGCTGTCAACCTCCCAAAACTGTAAGCAAAATATGGGGTTTATGTGCAGTTTTCTGGTAGAGCCAGTTTATAGCTTTTGAAAGGTTTCGAGCTTCTGGAGATAAGTTATGATAGTTGCTTGATAAGAGAAAAGCATTTAGTAGCCAGGATTAGGGCTATTATCTGCCTCCAAAGTCTATTTAAAAGGCCCCTCTCTAAGCAAATGAGACAAAAATAAAGGGGAAGCTAAAGCAAACTTGGCCACTTGCAAGAGACGGATCCAGCAAAGGCATGATTGATTTGTCTTCCAAGACACATCCCAGGCCTCTGATGCTCTGTAGCTCTGAGTCCTCTCCCAACTCTTTCACAGGTATGTGCAAGTCTGTTTAAAGATAGATACTAAGTGGGGCCTTCAAACTTTAGGTAAAGTGCTACCTGTAATCTTTGCTAACACCAGTCACACTGGTGCTGCACATAAAGCAATCCTAAAAAGCTTATCCTTACTGAATTTTTTTTTTTTTTTGAGATGGAGTCTTGCTCTGTTGCCCAGGCTGGAGTGCAGTGGCGTGATCTCGGCTCACTACAACCACTGCCTCCTGGGTTCAAGCGATTCTCCTGCCTCAGCCTCCCAAGCAGCTGGGACTACAGGTGCCTGCCACCACGCCTGGCTAATTTTGGTATTTTTAGTAGAGATGGGGTTTCACCATGTTGGCCAGGCTGGTCTTGAATTCCTGACCTCAGGTGATCCACTTGCCTTGGTCTTCCAAAGTGCTAGGATTACAGGCGTGAGCTACTGCGCCTGGCCTTACTAAAGATTTTAATATTTATGCCCTATAACTCTCAATAGGAAAGATCCTGCTTTTGTATCATTTAGGAATATGAATACTCATAAACTTGAATTTAATTCTATTTAAATGCTTTGAAGCCCCCAGTAATAATTTGAGAGGCATGTTTTCCTCATATATATATATTTATACACACACACACACACACACACACACACGTAAAGGAGGATACCAGACAGCATAATCAAATCTCCTTTTGGCAAGCTATTTTTAATCAACCAGCACCTTACACTTCTTTTAAACCATTCCACATACTTGCTCTATTCTCCAAGTTCTTTACAAAATCATACTTCATAAACTCTTTTATTTGATATCTTAAGAAACATGCTAGCATTACCTAAGTTTTTTCCACCAAACAGATATGCTAAGAGAAAACAGTAATTCTTATCAATAATACAAGCGTCCTGCAATTAAAGCCCACACAGTGCTAGGGTAGATGCACAAGAGATCCTGTATCATTACCAGAAAAACTCCACTCCTAAGGTTGAGTTCAATCACAGTGACAGAACACACTAGCCTCATTTTGTTTGGAAAAATGTCACTTACCCCCTAGGAAAGCAATGAATGAAAAACCAATCAATGAAGGCTGATTACAGAAAGGGAAAATATTTCAGAAAATGGCCAAGAAAATCTACTTTGGAGAAAAGCTCTATGAAAACTGAATGGCAACAACTACAAACTAATGAAAAGCAGAGTCCAAGATTCCCAGACCATCAATGTCAGGAAAGAAGCTGACCAAAATGCAAGATCACAGTGAAGTAAAACACAGCATCAGCGAAGATTACCCCTTACCTTCATCCGCAAGGACTTCCGGGATCCCTCTCGAAATGCCTATCCCAAGGAGGAAAACAAGTAGAACAAACAAAACTTGGTACCAAGAATGACAGTTATACCTATCTGAGACTAAAACTAAGGCACAAACTAGTGTTCTATTCTGTCCCCCTTTCTCTAGGTAAAAAATACAATGGAATTCCCCAAACTATTACCAAGAATAGGGGTAGCTCAAGGCCAATGAACTCTGAGACTAATTTTAATACTTTCTACTGTGAAGCTAGGTAATTAACAGGGAAGAGCATGCATCTCTTAAATCCTATATGCACCTCTGATACTAAGAGAAAAAGTAAATAAAAAAAAACTTTAAAGTTGCAGATTTACCAGTTTTGAAACTAAGAAGGAAACAAAGACCAATCCCCTTAACAAGGGATGAACAAGTCACCTAGAAGCAACAAAGTTGCTGTGATGGGGAAGAAAGAACACAAACCAGAAGAAGTTTCTCCCGTAGACATTTTAGCTGAGAATACAGGAAAGTGACCATGACACTGAGGAAACCTAGACCATACAAGAGATGTTTCCTGATTTTTATTTTTTTTGAAACAAGGAAAAACAATCAACCCAAAGACATGAGGCATGTAACCAGGACAAGAATTTCAGACTGTACTTTGGGGTTGAGAGGTGGGGAGATACTGTAAGGATAGTGGAAGCCTAGACTTGAGGCTGCAACACATACGGGATTGTGCCAGGTAGGGCTGGAATTTCATACCTGGGATGGGGACTGGAGTAGAAGAAACTTTGAGCCAGTGGTGATGATATGGTGTGGCAGAAGAGAGGTTGGTCTACATGTACATAACACAGATTAGCTGATTTTTGCAAGTAGAACAAAAGTGGCCCTTCAAACACCTGGATCAAACTTCTTAAAAGAATTTTGGTGCATTCTTGCTCCAAAATTTAAGCTATTTCAGACAATTTCTATTTAAGATATTTTTACCCTGCATACCTTGATTTTCTTCGTCTTTGGTGCTGCACGACCCTTTTCTGGACTCTTTTTCCGCTTCTTGGGTTTGGTTCTTCTAACAGTTAAGGTGATGCTTGTAGGTGTGTGCTGTGTTGCTGTATACAACACAGTGGAAGGAGAAAGCTCCTCATCCCAGCTTTCTGTTGCACTGCTATCCCCACCTGAAAAATGATGATTTCATAGTTCAGGTACTAATAGCCTCAAAAGTACATTAAAAGTAGCTTATTCTTTTAGGTGTGCCCCACATGCAGTAAGCCATTACTTCCACTATTAACTCTTATCATCTGTAAAGCAACGTTAAATACTCATCTTCCTTAAGAAAACAAGATTCTATGTCATTGGCATTAAGCATATAAACCCTGTTCCTCATGGTATTTATTTCTCCCCTTGTATTCAGTCCCTAAGCTTCGCTGACTCAATCTATAACAATTTGAGACTGGCTAATTTTTAAAACAGGAATCCATATTTTTTGTGTTCACAAGGAATACTTTGCTACAGGACTAAACTGTTCTCAACACATTTCGTTTACAATGAGAGAACTATACAGTGGTCTTGAGAGGACTTCTATCTCTTTCTGTGAAAAGAGCTGGCTGGGGGACCATGGGAACTTGTAAGAGGGGTTCTTTTTTTTTTTTTTTTTTTTTTGAGAGGGAGTTTTGCTCTTGTTGCCCAGGCTGGAGTGCACTGGCGCAATCTCAGCTCATGGCAACTTCCGCCTCCCGGGTTCAAGCGATTCTCCTGCCTCAGCCTCCCAAGTAGCTGGGATTACAGGCATGCGCCACCACACCTGGCTATTTTGGATTTTCAGTAGAGATGGGGTTTCTCCATGTTGGTCAGGCTGGTCTCAAACTCCCGACCTCAGGTGATCCGCCCGCTTTGGCCTCCCTAAGTGGTGAGATTACAGGCGTAAGCCACTGCGCCTGGCCAAGAGGGGTTCTTAAAATGAACATTCAGATCACAGAATATTTTTATGTCAAATTGTGGACCTAACCCATCTTCCGCTCACCTGATATGTTGTCCTGCTTCCGCCGATGAAGTCTAATAACCTTCCCCCTGCTCATTCCCCTAAAGAGGGAAAATAAACTTAAAGTAGTCCTTCCAACAGCATGCATCACATCATAGCACACATGGGCGAAGTGTCTCTGCATATGCTACCCCCTCCCTCCCACCTACCAAATGTTTCCAGGACATTAAATTTCATATCAAATTCAATAGCTTTAACATCAATCTCTCATTCCTTGTTGTCAGCAATTCTCACCTAGTGCAGAGAATTCGAGCCAAGGAGCACTAAGGAATCATCTACATTAACAAACACAAGAAAGAATACTTTGAGCTTTTCCCTACTTGTAAGAAACCCTAATCCCAGCAACCCAGACTTAAATTTAGATGGAACAGGATCTTACCTGCACTTGTCACAGTTGAGAAGGAAGCCATCCTGAGAAAGACCACAAGGACACCAGGTAGGTACAGTTTCTCCTTCAGAGTTCGGGCTGTCTCCACAGCGTTCCTCTACAGGCGACGGCAGGCCATTCAGGTCAGAACGAGGGATGATCGTCTGGACAGGGGGAGAAGCAGGAGGTGTCGGAGGAGGAGGGGCTCCGTAATTATGATCCTGAAAATAAGATTTTTTAAATCAACAGTGTCCAAACACTGGCCCCTCTCTCCCCTAAAGTATGGTACATATGGAAAGAAAGAAGAAAGTAGTACCCTTTGTTTTTTGGCTTCAACCAGGAAAGTGATAAAACAAAATGCCAAGGTCAACTGGGACATAAAAACAAGAACAATGATGCAGGGCTAGACGTCCGCTGGAGTCAGGGAAGTGCAAAAGGGGCAACTTCGTCATGCTGCATATAAACATTTCAAGAAAGTCACAATGTATAAGAATGGATTACACTCCAGGAAGATCACTGTTCTGGAGAGAAACAAATGCATACTCACAGCATAAGGCAGTCCTCGACACCCATGCCTCTGAGTGGTCCCATAATTATGAGTGGAATACACGCTCTTCTCATTAACTGCTGGACTAGCCTCCACAGATTCAGGGCTGCACAAAGGCGAAAAGCAATGCATGATAGCATAACACCTAATCTTCCCTTAAACTAACACTTCATTTCCCATTCTAACCCCTCCTCTTTCCACAACCACTAGCCACTAGGATAAGAGAAAGAACTCGGTGAAACAATCTTATTAACATAACTAAGCCTATAAATAACAGTAGGAGTGTTATTAAATGTGGATTTGTGTGTAACATGAAGCCAGTACAGGCAGATGTCTGAAGGCAGGCACCTGAGATACAAGGTGTCCCTAATGACAAACACAAACGTACCAGCTGAGCGGGGAGTTTCCCCTAGAGAAGCCACTCTGGGCTGGTTTAGACTCAGAACTATTCTTCTTAATTGGATCTCTTAATACTTCCATGAAACCTCACATGACATTTGCAGTGAGTGAGATGATCAAAGTGCCTTCTGCACTGCCCCAGGGACCAGGCCCTCTTCCATTCACTACCAAGACAGGATACCCTGAAGAAAGTACAGGTAAAAACAATGGCATCTTATATTTATCATACCTCTCATCTTGATGAACCCCCAACACCTTTCAAATATTAGAGTAATAATTTCTCATCCACCAATGACATGCAAGCATATTAAGGACAAAATTATTTATCAGCTGCATGATAATACCATAGAACTTCAAAATAAAAACTAAACTGTAAAGTTATGTTAGTCTACTGACAAATAATAACAACAGTAATGGCTACCATTGTGAACTGCCCAATATTTGTTAGGTGCTTTAAATACATATTAATTCATTTAATTTCAGCAACCACTAAACATGGTATATACTCCATTTTTACAGAGTGGGAAGATGTGGTGGTGAGATTACATGACTTCCCCAAGGTTACACACTGACACAGCTAAGATTTGAAACAAAGTCTGTCTGACTCCAAAGTCTATGCTCTTTCCACTACAGAAATGAGAATGACATTCAGTCCTTTAAAGAAAATTATTTGAGACCTTTATTAACCAGGCTTAGTGAGAAGCTTGGTTTAGTATCTTTTTGTACCCTTTGTGAGTAGAAAATAAACTATTCAAGCGCAATGTATTATTGTAGAATTATACATGTATTCAAACTTAGAAAATTAATATAAGCCTTTACAATAAAAAGGCTTTGATGGCAAAGGATAAAAATCAGGTTTATGGGAAGAAAGAACTTCAACTCTGATTGTTACCTGGTTAGGTTTTAGGGAATACTGAAGGGTAATTCAAAAATATAAAGTTTGTATGGCTTTGCAGAATAGAATAGTAATTTGTAATTTATATTAATTAGAACACAGATTCACAAATTAGAAACTCCGATGATTGGTATAACTCTAACTTAGAGATTAATGGGTCTTTCAGGGAGTCAAATAATGCATATTGTTCGCTTGAAATAACAAGTCATTTTTTCCTGCTTAAAGATATACAATATATAGTACAGCAGGAATAAGTGTGCAGTTCAATGTGGTGCAATGTCAATTGAGAAGTGAGGGATCAAAGAAAATTCTGAGATATGTATCCAACTCACCCAGTTATATGCTCCAAAACTGTGAGAAAGGATCTTATTAATAACAGCAAAGGAAATTTCTAAGTGAAGAACTTTAGACAGAGGAAAGTATTCTCTGTTAGTGAGGTGCATGCATTTTATTACTTAAAAGTGTCTGCAAGATGGGAACGGGGGAGGGGTACATCAAGAATGCAGGTCAGTATTCTTGAGAAAAAGATGATCTGAACATGGCTCACTGAGAGGCAATCATCTCTGAGTATTAGGAAACAGGTGGGGTTTCCTAAATGAAACCAAAGGCAGACAAGCATTAATAAAATGAAGGTATAATTTAGTTTCTATGATGGACAGTTAAAAGAAAGTAATAAATTTATACAACATTGTTAATTTACTAGGTACATTACTAGATAAACAAGTATTCCAAAGAGCTGTACATATTTTATATAGGTTTTGTACCACTGAACACATGGAGTGAAACATGATAGCTGTTTATTAGGAATGGATTTTTTTTTGGTGGGAGGGGGACAGGAAAAAGGAAAGTTGCATGAAATCAAAGATGGCCATGGAGATGGAGCTATGCTGGTTGTATCTTACCCATCTCCAAACGGGTAAATATGAACATATGCACTTCATGTGCAAGTCTAGGGAATAAAAATAAAATGTATATTGTGGAGGTTAAAAGGCCATCACACTGCACAATACTTTCTAGTTAAGCACAGCATTTAATATATTGCTGTGCATGCCAAATATAAAATTTAAACTCATATCTTCTGATGAAGAAACTCTGCAATTTCCATATTGGTTACTGATTGAATACACAGTTAGACACTTACAGGTAACTACAAGATTTCCTAAAATATTCCTTGATATATATACTAGTTTTTATATTTTAAAATATGAATTAAAAGTTTGGAATAATGGAATTACATCTCTTTAGCAGCCAACCACTTTATGCAAATGTAATTACAGGCTTTCTTCTCCTATCACTGAATTGGACACATACACAGAAACCAGGCTCACAACAGATATACTCCATCAACAGTGTTCTAAGTACAACATGCAACCCAGCTGCTATCATGCCATTTCTTGGAAAATGCCTGAAATTCTGTTATGGTAGAGTTGGAAATTCAGAAAAATCTTTGTTTTGCTTGTTACATCTACAAATTTTCCTACAAACACACACAAAAATAAATGCGTATTGCATATAGTTGCCATCAGATTTAAAATTCTATGAAGTGAAGTCTACATCTAGTTGAGTATGCTGCACTTAATACCAGGTTTAATCTTAAAGTGCCCAGAACAGCGAAATAGGCATGATGAAACATTAATAAATATCATTAATAATTTAACAGAATGGTATGTAGCTAGTTACTGACATTCTTTCCCTTTGCAGAAATGCATAACTATGTAGCTAGTTATGACCACAGTATCACAAATCTGTCTGGAGATCATGAATGAAAATGTTTCAGGAAATCCTAGGATATGTTGGTGTTAACAGAGACAGCGCAGTCACATTTGTAGACCAGAAGTATTTTTATTTCTGGAATTAGTCCTAGACTCCCCAGCAGTATTTACGGGCAGTCATGTCTATACTTTGGGGAAAACACCAATTGTAAGATTAACTGCTCTGGGTCTTTTATCCAGCAATTCCAAACGTATTGGTTTAACCTCTTTGTTGAAATTTCTCACAAATGTTAATGCTATCTATCTATACAGTTAGACAATCTACATAGTACCAGGTTAGTAGCTGACTTTATAAAAACCTATAAACACAATACAAACTGGCTACCTACTAATGCAGGGAGAGTTTTAAGTACTTTATTTGGGGAAAGAGTTGTAAAATGGTTAAGTAAGTCTCAGTTACTGACATAACTAAATACCTTTTGCATGCAAACAAAACAAAACAAACAAAAACAAAAGAAGAAAAAAGCTCTAGAAGAAACAAAATCAACCCTTCCCCACCCCCAACCCTCCTTTCTCCTTTTTATATGGGAATAAGCCCAAACACTGCTTTTCATTTTAGACTACCCCAGAATATTATATACTATTTCTCAGGGTAGCTTTAAGTCTTCCTCTTTAAGGAACTCAGTAAACAGGTAAGTTATATTAGGTGGCTTTATGAAGAAATATACATGCTCTTTAATAATATTCTGTTTTAAGGAAGAAAACCACTTATTAATCAGGGATGTCATTCAACCCAGAAATCTGGTACAGTTGCTTTGCTTTGCTGAAGGGGGAAGAATCCCCAGGGACTGTGAAAATGGCAAGAGAAACAGGGGAATTAGAGCAACACCCACCTCACTCAAGAAGTGGCTGTGGGATCAAGAGTCTGAACTGGACCTGAACATATTCAAAACACCAGGATTTTTCCAGCCCAGACCCTAATCCCTGGTACTGCCTGGAATAGACTTGGCTTCTGGGGGTGTGCTGCCCCCTAGGCCCCTTGGGTCTCTTTCGCTGGACTTTCACATCCTGGTGTAGTGCCACTTCGTCTTGAAAGGTAGGGGGCTTCCACTTCCTTTCTGTAAGCAAGGAAGATTGGGTACAAGGGAGGTAAAAGGACAAGAGGGGGAATCTGTGAGCAGGGGGAATCTCGGACAACTTAAAAGAGAAGGGATACAAAAGACTAAAAATTTTAAAACTGTGAATAATATATATAAAGTTGTATAATGAAGGCCTACCTTCATTGTCATTTGGCATTTACATTCTTCAAGAATTGAGAGTATAATTTTAGGGATTGGGCCTTTGGACAAACTCTGAATTCCTAAAGCTGCTCTTAGCTGAAAAAAAAGTTTGGTACCACTGATTTTGAAGGTCCTCTTTCTAGGCAACGAATATTATAAAAAAACAGATGACGCTGTTCTCCATGTTTTCTACCCCAGATGTCAGAAGGTCTAGGCAACCTGCCCATATAGTTTCGGCCCCTTTACTCTAGAACAATGGGAAGTACATAGGAAGAGGACTTCAAGGAAAATCAGTTGGAAAGAACACCTTCTTATCTCCCTCCATCAGAATCATTAACTCTACAGAAGCAGGTAGTAACACCTACTTTATTCCAATTTTCTCCACCCATTAAAACAAATGAAAATGAATTCCTACTTTGCAACTTTGGTTCTATTAATTATTTGCCCAGAAATACCCCTCTGAAAACTCTTCCTTCCCCTTCTAATTCCTTTTTTCCACCACCTTCAATGGGGGTAAAGGGAAAGGTCTAATGTTAATTACAGTGGAATAGGATCTGGTTAAGAAAATACTACATATTATCCTATTAGCTATCCATAAGAAGGCTGTCTCCACACAGACTGATAATGTACCTACTACCTAGAAAGTAGCACTTACTCTGATCCAGCAGCCATATCTGAGTAGGATGTATCTGATGTGGTGACTCCCAGAGGGATTGCAATGCTCATGACGTCCAACACAGCAGAGATTGGAAATCACGGGGTCCAATTAATGGAGACTGACCACTCTGAGAGTGGGGGTGAGCTGCAGAGCCTCATCCAACATGTTATGGACATGAGGAATCCTGTAACAGAAAAGGAAAATATCTAGTAAAATAAATACCTAGTTATCAGATAGTTCTTCAAGTTTATCTTAAATGTTACTGAATATTTTTCTGCATTCTTGAATAAGGCTTTTAAGGGATAATTATAAAATAAATACAGCCACAGTGTCCCATGTTTACTATGCATTTCATTAATGTTTCACAAAGTAGGGGGCAAAAAGTTATGTTTACTTTTGTTTTTCTTTTCAGTTGAAGGGAAAGGAAGAGTCTGCCTATCTCACTAACCAACACATTCTCCCCATTCTAAAACTGCCCAAACAAAATTTTCTGGCAGCCTAGGATATAGCAAACAAGTTTTAAGATAAAGGATGGTTATTAAAAATATCCCAGTTTACCTAAACTCTTTAAAAATTCAAGATCTTCATTTAAGTTTTTTTCCTAGGCCACAAATAAATGCAGTTTCACAAGCAGTCAATAATGTTATTTCTTCCAAATTAAAAGAGATCAATTTGTTGTTTATACTTGATTGGAAACAGCTGTTTCTTAGTGCCTTCTTTTGTCATTGAACACTCTCTTCCTTCTTTTAAATCATCTTAACTATAATTTTGGGAGAAGATGCAATCATCTTAGCAACTTTATTTGTGGGGTAATAATACGCTGCTAGATATGAACAAAAATATAAACCAGGAGGAGGCTATGCATGCGTGGGTGCAGAGGGTGCATGGGAAATCTCTGTATCTCCTGATGAATTTTCCTGTGAACCTAAAACTGCTCTAAAAAAGTTGACTACTTTTTAAAAACAACAAAAAAACCCCCGAAATCACGAAGAGTACAGTTTCATGATAAAGACTAAACAACTGTGTATGAAAAAGCGGTGAGGATAGCTTGACATGGTGACCATAAACCAGTGAAAGCTGGGAACAGAAAGACTCAGAAATTACTGAAGTATAAAAAAATGCAAAAATAGATTAAGAGATTTGGAGGTATGGTGCAGAGGGAAACAAGTGTTCTTTGTGTGACTTTACATTAGTAGTTTTACAGTAGTGTAAAAAACATTGAAAGGATGAAACAAAAAGCATTTTATTTGGGGGGGAATAAAGTCAATGTGAATGTCAAAGACCCATGTTAACAAGGACTTTTGCAAAAAAGACTACAAAGAGAGTCATGACTGATACACTGATTCATAATAAGACATTAGAACAATTATTAATACTAAAAAAACTAAAGGAATGAAAAGTACATGATACCGACTGAGTCAACCCAGGGGGTTAATGTAAATTTTATTTTTATTTTTTGAGACAGTTTCACTTTTGTTGCCCAGACTGAAGTGTAATGGCGCAATCTTGGCTCACTACAACCTCCGCCTCCTGGCTTCAAGAGATTCTCCTGCCTCAGCTTCCCAAGTAGTTAGGATTACAGGCGCCTGCCACCATGTCTGGCTAATTTTTGTACTTTTAGTAGAGATGAAGTTTCACTATGTTGGCCAGGCGGTCTTGAACTCCTGACCTCCGGTGATCCACTCACACCTCAGCCTCTCAAAGTGCTAGGACTATAGGCGTGAGCCACCGTGCCTGGCCGGTTAATGTAAATTGTAAATGGTAGATGGTCTGAGATGCTCCAATCTTACTTTGATATTAATGCAAATAAAAAAAATTGTGGGCTGGGTGCAGTGGTTCACAACTGTAATACCAACACTTTAGGAGGCCAAGGTGGAAGGATCACTTGAGTCCAGGAATTTGAGACCAGCTGAGACAACATAGTGAGACCCCAACTCTACAAAAATAGTAAAAAAATATCAGCCAGCCATGGTGATGTGTGCCTGTGGTCCCAGCTACTTGGGAGCTGAGGTGGGAGGATCACCTGAGCACAGGAGGTAGAGGCTGAGGTGAGCCATAATCATGCACTGCACTCCAGCCTAGATGATGAAGTGAGACCTCTGGGTATGACAATACGCCTGTTCCTACACCCAATTGGAGGTGACATATAGCTGGGCTGGGAAATGACTGGGCCAGATGAAGTGGCTCATTCCTGTCATCCCAGCACTTTGGGAGGCTGAGGCAGGTGGATTGCTTGAGCTTGGGAGTTCGAGACCAGCCTGGGAAACATGGCGAGATCCTGTCTCTACTAAAAATACAAAATTTACCTGGTGTGCGCCAGGCGCGGTGGCTCACACCTGTAATCCCAGCATTTTGGGAGGCCAAGGTGGGTGGATCACTTGAGGTCAGGAATTCGAGACCAGCCTGGCCAATGTGGTGAAACCCCTTCTCTACTAAAAACACAAAAATTAGCTGTAGTGGCACACGCTGGTAATCCCAGCTACTCAGGAGGCTGAGGCAGGAGAATCTCTTGAACCCAGGAGGTGGAGGTTGCAGTGAGCCGAGATCACGCCACTGCACTCCAGCTTGGGCGACAGAGTGAGACTCCATCTCAAAAAAAAAAAATAAATCTGGTGTGGTGGCATGCACCTGTAGTCCCAGCTAACTCAAGAGGCTGAGGTGGGAGGATTGCTTGAGCCTGGGAGGTGGAGGTTGCAGTGAGCTGAGATCATGCCACTGCACTCAGCCTGGGCAACAAAGTGAGTCCCTGTTGCCAAAAAAAAAAAAAAAAAAAAAAAAAAAAAAAAAAAAAAAGGGACTGATGAACTTTTTTGCCTTTAGGCCAGTCTTACACATGTATGTTTCCTTTCCCTAACAGTATATCCAAACAGAGACCTTGGCAGTACATCTTCTAAGCCTTTGGGAAATTGAAGTAAAATCTGTAAATGATAAAACAAGAACACTCATCAAGTAAACCCAAAAGACAGTTAAATACTGGGGGCTGTTGGTCACTACTCTTTCTATTAGTCTTACTGTATAATTCAGATTAAAAGAAAAGCCCCAAAGCTGTCTGACCAGATAATCATATGAAAGTCTGATTATCACCGTACCTCCCCTGATCAGCAAAGGGAATCTGAATTGTTTTATATTTTCAGTAAAAGACTTAAACCAAAAACCGTACTTAATATCATTAAAAACCCTTTGTTGTAGCCATTACGACTGTACACCCATTTAAAAAATGCATGGTTTCACGGTGAAACCCTATCTCTACTAAAAATACAAAAATTAGCTGGGCATGTTGGCATATGCCTGTGATCCCAGCTACTTGGGAGGCTGAGGCACGAGAATCGTTTGAATCTGGGAAGCAGAGACTGCAGTGAGCTGAGACAGGGCCACTGCACTCCAGCCTGAGCAAAAGTGAAACTCTTTCTCCAAAAAAAAAAAAAAAAAAAGTACAGTTTCTAGATAAAAGACAAGTTATAAACCCAAGATGATAGTTGATATTTTTCCTAGAGCAATTTTTAAAAGATATACTAAAAGGAAAAGATGGAAAAGTTACTTCAGATAACATCTTAATGAGTGAATAAATGATTGCTACATTCACTAATGAAACACCAACCCAGCTATTTTGGATAGTTGATGAATCCTTAAGAAACATTAAGTCAGCCCGGTGCAGTGGCTCACGCTTGTAATTCCAACACTTTGGGAGGCTGAGGTGGGCGGATCACCTGAGGTCAGGAGTTTAAGACCAGCCTGGCTAACACGGTGAAACCCTGTCTCTACTAAAAATACAAAAAAATTAGCCGGGCACGATGGCGGACGCCTGTAATCCCAGCTACTTGGGAGGCTGAGGCAAGAGAATCGCTTGAACCCGGGAGCCGGAGGTTGCAGTGAGTCAAGACTGTACCATTGCACTTCAACATGGACAACAAGAATGATACTCTGTCTCAAAAAAAAAAAAAAAAAAAAAAAGAAACATTGTCGGTAACTATAAATTTCTATTTCATAAAAATTATTCCATTTTCCTTGTGTCTAGTTTAACATGACTGTTTCATTCTTCTGATGAAAGCAACCATAATAGGTTAGCTTGACCATCTCATTCTAACTAATGCTTTAATAATGATGAGGCTTCTTAATTCAAATTCTGTTAATAATCCCAAATTTCTCAAATATTACCCTAAGAATAGTTCCTTCCCTAAGTAACTCTGTAAAATGTAGCTATTAAAATGTTAACCGAGGAACATTTAACAGATCATCTAAATGCAGTATTTTCTTATTATAATTTGTTTGTTTTTTCCTACCAGAATATAAACTCTATGAGAACAGGGATTTTTATCCACTGCTGTAGTTTCAATGGCCAAAACAATAACTGACACGTAGAGAAGTTCCAGAAATATCTGCTAAGTAAATTATAATCACAATTTACTACAACATGATTCCAGCAGTCATTAAAATGCAAAAAATAAAACAGAAATTAAAAGGATTTACTTGGGTCAGTCACCTTTATATAGACTTCTGAATATGAAGTCCCCCCAAATTATCTGCTAGTAGTTCTGAAGACCTAGAAAAAGTTGAGACAAAAATTAGTACAGAAAGAAATAACATTGATGAACACACAGAATGGAATTCTACAGCTATATTATGTTTCTGTATACTGTCTTGTTTATCATCCTACATCTATACTATCTCGTTTACCACCCTACGTCCATCCGGCACTGAATTTTTTGCCCTTTAATTTTTTATTTTTCCATAAAGCCAGAAACGAGATGGTAGAGAAGGAAATTATTTGACTTAAATGGTAAATACTTATGTCACTGGCTAATTTTTCCTCTTCCTTCAAATTAGAATTATCTCATTTTCCAAGGGATCCCTTCTTTTTCTCTCTCCTAAAAGGTGCTTCCCTTCTTCACTGAACACTTCTCAAATTCAGAGTTCTTTCTTTAACCCGATGTCCGACAACTGTCCAGCCAGACAAGGGGCCATCATCACCCATTAAATTACAAGTCCATATTTATTACTCCTTTCTTTCCCTTCATTCCACACCATCTAGTTTCTTGTCCTACTATAAAAAAGAGTGATAAAAAGGAGTCAGTTCTATTTGCGGTCAAATGGAAACATGCTTAAAAAATGGCGCTTAAATTAATTTTCTACCTTCCAAAAAGGAAGGGAAAATGATCAGTATCCTTTAAGTCTCTGGTGTTTTTTCCTAAAAGTCAAATTTAACGCTAGCCAGAGTTATTAACACCTTAAAGATTAACATATCATAAACATGAAAAGAGCTATTCATAGGATTCCAGTTACCAAGCATTAGAACGCATGCATTTCATTTATGTTGATGTTTTATGATTTCTAATTTTAAAAAACTGGAAAATAAACTATTTTTTAGAAACGATTTAAAATAGTACACCCAGAATTAGAGAAATAAAAGTATCAAAGTAACAGTAAAAGGAAGGAAGAAATAAAGTAAATCAAGGAAGAAGCAATAGCAAATAAGAAAGAAAAAAAGGAAAGGAGGAAAACAGCGAAATAGATGTGAGTGTACAGTAGGGGGTAAATGAATGCATCACAGTTTCAATTTATTATTAATTTAACTATTTCCAGAACAATCCATCAGAATCCACAGGAACACTAGTAAGTTCTTGGATTCAGAAACAGACACAGCCTGTATCTTCCAGTAGTACCGAGTACTCTCTTTAGGAGGTGCCATTTACATACAGTTTCTAGGGAAAAGGATGTTAAATAGAACATGCCAGAAATGTTTCTTAATTACCCCATCTTTTTAATTGGTTTCAGAAATGGCCAACAGTCTCTGTATCATCATTCTGACAGTCTCTTCTCTATATGACTTGCTGAAAGCACAAGACCTGTATGATCTCCCTGGTCACTCACAGAGAAGACAAACAAAAAGTGTTTTATGAACAATTCCAACAGATTTCAGAAGAAGAAATTGCATCAGACAGGTGAGGCGGAAGCAGCTGGCAGACAAAAGTCCAATAAACAACCAATCCAACGAAAGAAATTCAGAACAAGTCTGCTTCAGTAATCCTGTGAAGAGGACTGGCAGGAAGAGGAGTGCCGCTTCAGAAAGAGAACAGGCCTCATATGCTTCAGACAGTCTTTGTATTGAGGCTGTGGACCTTGGCCATTCTCCCAGAAATGATGCAATCCTGATGAACAAGATCTGCTGCCAGAGAAACAATTGTTAACAGCCTATGCAGACAGCAACTCAGCCAAGGAGCAATCTCTGATCAACTCTCTCCATAAACCAACAGAACGCCAAAATCTCTCTTCCTCAATTTCAGTGTCTGACAAAACATAAAGTGAACACAGTATATATTAAGATACATAAGAACAAGCCATTTTCTCAAAGGGTCCTTTTTCTTTTAATTCCTTAGGCTGTACAATATCCATTATTAAATTTCAGATAAAATACTGAACATTTTTTACTTTTATAAATACAATTATCCAAGCACATCAATAGTAATAACATAAATATGAAAATTTATACTTATTTTCCTCATTCTCATAAGAAAACCTTTTTGGGAGGCAGTGGCTTCCCTAAGCATAAAAACTGCTCTGAAATCTATCATCCAGCTATAACATTTCAAGTAAACACAAATATACATACACTCTAATTCAGAGACAGAAAGTATATTTCATAGATATTTTTGAAAGTAGATAAAAGTCAATGTTAAATATTGGCATCTATCAGAGAAAAGAGAAAATCTAATCTTGCTTAGGCTGACATATAAGGTATGCTGATAACAACCACTTTTTTGCAGGGCAACAATATTACTTCAGATCTTACTAAAGGATCAGATTATTTTCATCTTATTAGCCACGATTTACTAATTTAGAATCTAACTTAAAAATATCCTCAATTTAATAATCTTCCCTAGAATCCTCATCTCCTAGGCCTGGTTTCTTTTTCAGAAGTTTTGGTATCAGGTTTTTCACACAGTATTATAAAATTATAAAAAGTTATTTTTTTCTCACTAAATAAAAGATCCTGTATAAAGCACTTCTCTAAACTTCAACTAGCCAAAAGTCATGACTAACCAAATTTCTTCCTTTTGAAAGCAATAACCCTTAAACTGGGATTCATGAAAAAACACAAATATCTAAGATATATCCTGAAATAAATCTATTCAGCCCAATCTATTACTTCTATATACTACTAAATAACGAAAATGAACAGATATACAGAATAGCTCTGAAGCACTAAAAAAATCTTTAATAGGTCAATAAATGAATAAATTTAACTCAGGAAGAGAAAACACTTTTTGGGAATATTTCAAAAGGGTTAAAGTAGCTAATAAGTTTTTAAAAATCCAATTTCTGAACTTGATTATTCAAAATTTTGTTGTTACATATAGGCTGAATTTCTTCTTAAATACATCTATAGTTCTTCGATTTATCTTTTGAATGACTTTACCTTGTATGAGAATGAATGTGGCAGCTGCATTATATACTTATCTTCATCTCCATCTCAAAGTCAAATATCTCAAGTAAAATCACCGTAGCTGTACCATGACAAACAGCCTTTTACCTTAGGAGAAGAAAAGTATGCTAGGAAAAAGCACTCTTAGAGGCCAGGTGCGGTGGCTTGCACCTGTAATCCTAGCACTTTGGGAGGCTGAGGCAGGAGGATTGCTTGAGCCCAGGAGTTTAAGACCAGCCTGGGCAACATAGTGAGACCCATCTCCTAAAAAAATAAAAAAAGAAAAGAAAAAAAAGGCACTATATTAGGAGTTAGGAGACTTGAGTTCTAGCCTACAACATAATTAGTGACCTCAGAAAAATCACTTTACATAGATGAACCCTAAATTCCTCAAAGTAAAATCTTCATTGTGTTGTCTTCCTGCTCCAAATTTCTATGAATCCTGGCACTGCTGCCAACTAGCTCAGGCAATTCATAGAATGTCTCAAAGTCTCAGTTTTCTCATCTGTACAATAAAAAAAAAAAAAATACCTGTTGTGCTGACTCATAGGAGCACATGGAACAGCATTTGTAGCAAGTAAGAGCTTAAATAACTTTCTGGTCCCTTTAAGTATATGTGAAGAAAGAGGAGCTGCTGCTAATAACCTGAATATGGCTAAACACTGTTTTTACTCTTCTCCAAAAGCATATATTTCAAGTTTGCTACAGCAGATAATGTGGAAAGAAAAAATGTGAGAAACATGAAAAAAAAAAATGAGAGAGAAGTGTTAAGCATAAGAAGAAACAAATATGAGTTACTGGAAAACAAAGAGATGAACTCTAAAAGAGCACTTGGAGATACAGTGAAAAGTTCATGTATTTGGAACAGTAAAATTAGGCTTATAATCTGAAGCAAGTTAATGCAAGCAAAGAATTTTAGGGGTTCGGGACTGAAAGGAAAAAAGAAAAGAGAGAAACACTGATTGGGGTAAGCACTGAGAGACAGGAAACATCATGATTTAGTAATTTAAAGCAAAAATAAAAATTTCCTTTTCTCCCATCTCTTCTACAATACCAGTTTATTCCTTGATTCCTTTGCCTAAATTTATACTCCCTCTAGGAGCTACTGAGCTCGGCACAATAAACCGATGTCTATAAGAAATCTAAGTTTACTAGAATAAAAGGCCATTAAAAGACAACTGAAAAAAAATCCTAGTCTATATTAAGAATTTCCTTCTCCGTAAAAAACTTCATAATTAGTGCGTATTATAGAGACCAAGTCATACTTAGTAGTATGTGGAGCAGAAGAGGGGAGTGGCAGTAGGATAAGACTACATATCATAAATAACAGAATTATTATTATTATTATCTAAATATTGTGATCATAAATTATTTTAACACTGAAGAAAAATATTTTATTTACAACCCATTTAACAATGATAAAAAGGTATTTACTGCTCAACTAACCAACAATACACAGACTCTTTGTAACCTTAACAACAATCAGGAAGATTTTAGACTTCTAAGTACCAAATAAAGATGATGCCCTCAAATAATTTAGACTGACTAAACCTCTTTAAAGAGTTATACTCTCAACACTTTCTGAAGGTTCTGTTCTACTGTGTTCTGAGGCTCAGAACATGTGTTAGAGACCAATGTACCAAAGTAGAGTAGGAAAAGAACTTCTCATATCTCTACACGTGCCTCCTCTCTGTGAATTCAGATCTTCTTCATTTTCAAACCCCAAAATGGGAGCCACTTTTACTTACTATAGATGAAGTGGGTTGTGCACATTTATGAGCCATTAATATCTGTATTTTTACTTTCATTAATTTAAGCAAAATTTCTCCAACCGATGAACAAACAGAAATGAAGAAATAGAGCTACAAAAAGATTAACTTGTATGAAGTTCACTACACACCTACAGTAGTAAAGTTCAGAGGAAAGAAAATTAAGATGTTAATATATAGCTTGTTTATTATAGTAATTACTACTTACCTTAGATAGCAACATCTGAGTTATAACTAATTGTTTTTATTTTTATTTTTGAGACAGGGTCTGTCACTCAGGTTGGAGTGCTTTGGTGCAATCACAGCTCACCGCAACCTCAACCTCCTGGGCTCAAGCGATCCTCTCACCTTAGCCTCCCAAGTAGCTGGGACCACAGACGCATACTGCCATGCCCAGCCTTGTTTTTATTAAGTACCAATTGGTGCTATGTAAGACAATTAGGTCCAGATAAAATTCCTGGCTGTCTTGGGATTTATATTATGTAGATTTGCTACTTTTTTCATTCATTCATTCAACAAACATGAAGTAACTACTATTAATATACATATATTACTATGTTAAGTGCTATTTTAAGAGGTTTATTTTATCCAAAGTAGAAAAGGGTAGGCAACTTGCAAACTGTTCAGGTTTGCCTATGTGCCAAGTACTGCATTTATACAACCATGAAGGGGGAGAAAAATCCTGTAAGTGGGCCGGGTGTGGTGGCTCATGCCTGCAATCCCAGCACTTTGGGAGGCCAAGGCGGGTGGATCACCTGAGGTCAGGAGTTTGAGACCAGCCTGGCCAAGATGATGAAACCCCGTCTCTACTAAAAATACAAAAATCAGCCAGGCATAGTGGTGGACACCTGTAATCCCAGCTACTTGGGAGGCTGAGGCAGGAGAATCGCTTGAATCCAGGAGGTGGAGGTTGCAGTGAGCCAAGATTACACCACTGCGCTCTAGAAACCCTAAAATGAAAGTTATCTGCAAATTCCCAATGTTTATGTATGTGATTCACATTTTTTTTTTTTTGAGACGGAGTTTCGCTCTTGTTGCTCAGGCTGGAGTGCAATGGCAGGATCTCAGCTCACTGCAACCTCCACCTCCCGGGTTCAAGCAATTCTCTTGTCTCAGCCTCCTGAGTAGCTGGGATTATAGGTGCCCACCACCACACCCAGCTGATTATTGTATTTTTAGTAGAGACGGGGTTTCACCATGTTGGCCAGGGTGGTCTTGAACTCCTGGGCTCAGGTGATCTGCCTGCTTCAGCCTATGTGATTCACTTTTAAGACTACTACTGACTGGATGTCCTGTAAAGTTCTTACACACTAAATATTAGATCTTAGTTGCATTTCTACAAATTTGGGCTAGGAGCTTCAAAATAAACCCTAGCTGAAGCAATATTCAGAACCAAAGTACTTTCTTATAGTTGTCCTTTGACATAACCTTTAATTCTTTTAATAGACCGCACTAAGCTCTAAATTTCTTCTTTCTGTAATGAAAAAAACTTATGCTAGCCATCTGTAATCTAGCTGGCATCTGTAGAGGTCTGACTGCAAATGCAAATAAACTAGAAGATTTGAGTGCTTCGTTTCAAACAAATTATCAAAACTCTGTTCTAGCACTTTGGGAAGCCGAGGCGGGAGGATCACAAGGTCAGGAGATCGAGACCATCGTGGCTAACACGGTGAAACTCCGTCTCTACTAAAAATACAAAAAAAAAAAAAATTAGCCGGGAGCGGTGGCAGGCGCCTGTAGTCCCAGCTATTCGGGAGGCTGAGGCAGGAGAATGGCGTGAACCCGGGAGGCGGAGCCTGCAGTGAGCCGAGATCGCGCCACTGCACTCCAGCCTGTGCGACAGAGCAAGACTCCGTCTCAAAAAAAAAAAAAAAACAAAACTCTTGTTCTAGCAGTTCTGCCTCAGAAGTTTAAAATATGATGCTTCATTTTTAATCACCTTTGGAAAGAAACCTAGACACTGTAAGAGACTTATTTTAGAATATGTGGGGAAAAAAATAAAGAATAAAATAATTAAAAAAAAAAAAAGACTTGGCCAGGCGCAGTGGATCCCGCCTATAATCCCAGCACTTTGGGAGGCCGAGGCGGGCGGATCACGAGGTCAGGAGATCGAGACCATCCTGGCTAACATGGTGAAACCCCGTCTCTACTAAAAATACGAAAAATTAGCTGGGCATGGTGGTGGGCGCCTGTAGTCTCAGCTACTTGGGAGGCTGAGGCAGGAGAATGGCGTGAACCCGGGAGGCGGAGCTCGCAGTGAGTGGAGATCACGCCACTGCACTCCAGCCTGGGCGATAGAGCGAGACTCCGTCTCGGGGGGAAAAAAAAAAAAAAGACTTATCTATACTGATTTACTAAAAGACAGGAGACAAAATATGGACTTCACTTTCATCATAGGAACAAAATCACTTGGTATACTCCATTATGACACCCACATGGTCCAAATCCATGCCCTGGCCAAATGAGGGAAAAAACCCTCTTTTTTGTTGTGCTGGCACTAGCACCTGACTGAAGAGCTATTCTCCTTTGAAATTTTTGGAGACTTTTAGCAAACCACATCAGTCGCCTCCCTATGATTTCAAGGTAGCATTATATAATAGCAGTGAACTGGTCTCACTACCTCTGGGGTGTGAACCCTCCAATCTACTCTATATTCTTCCATGATGTTATCCCTTCTAGAGCATAACTTTGGTTACTATCATTGCATTATCTGAAATCTACAAATAATGGTTTCCTTAATGCTTATTGGGCTAGTCCAAACTCCTGTGCCTGAATGGAACAAGAACATTTTTGTTAATTAGCTACTAACCTGTTTCCTTCTCCTTCAAAACTTTGTTTACACTATTCATGCTTTTATTTTTTATCTTAAAAAAAAAAAACTTTATGGTGAAAAACTTCAAATAAATATAAAACCAGAGAAAACCCAATGTTCCCTACCCAGCTTTAATCAACAATCAATTCATGGCCAATCTTATTTTATCTATAACCTCTCTTCCTTCCAGGATTAGTCTACAGCAAAATCCCCAAAATACCAGTTGTGTCTATGACATCTGGTGGGTGGAGCTATCCCTTGTTTATCCTTATAATGGGTATAAGGATACATAAGAGGGGCATGTTTATCATAATGATAGGTCATGGTGATAAGAAATCAAAGGTCATAATTCTTTAGCAAAAGTTCCAATGAACAAGAAGCTTATGCAATTCAACAATTGCTAGATTTGCTGAGTAATGCTTAGGTTTTACAATTATACACTTGTGGTTATTAAAAAAAGTCTTAATCATTGAAATATTTTAAGAAAAAAATCACTGTAAACTATTTTTATGACACGAGTTTGTTGATAAATTTCTTGCATTCTTGGGAGCAAGAGCTAACTGCAAGTACATACATGACCCACAGCTGCGACACAGCATTCCTATATTTGCTATATGCCAATATACAAAAATGAATGACACAGGAGAAACACCCCAAAGCAGGCAGACAGTGAGTGTGATATTCCATAAATCTGTGTACTAAAGATAAGGACTGATTATATCACAAAAGTGACGGCTCACATTTGAGGTAGATGGCCAGCTGTTCTTATTTTTAGTGAGCAATCTCTTAGAGTACTTGGAGTCTTAGAGTGCTGACAGAAGACTGAGGGCAAAAAGGCTCACCCACTCTGAGGCACACCTTCCAATGGAAAAATGAGTCAATAATAACACTGAGTGTCACAAACCAAAAATATTTTGGATGCACGTGGAAGATTCCTATTTGAACCACAAAAAAATTACAAAGAAAGTAGCCAGGCATGGTGGTGCACACCTATAGTCCCAGCTACTCAGGAGGCTGAGGTGGGAGGATGGCTTGAGCTCGGTGGGTGGCTTGCAGTGAACTGAGATTGCGCTGCTGCACTCCAGCCTGGGCAACAGAACCAGAGCCTGTCTTTAAAAAAAAAAAAAAGTTCAACAGCAATGGGGCTGGGCAGGGTGGCTCACACCTGTATCCTAGCGCTTTGGGAGGCTGACTTAGGAGAATCACTTGAGGCCAGGAGTTTTGAGGCCACCCTGGGCAACACAATAAGACAGCCAGGAGTGGTGGTGCATACCTGTAGTCCAAGCTATTTAAGAGGCTGAGGTGGGAGGATCCCGATCCCTTGAGCCTAATTAAGAGTTGAGACTGCAGTGAGCTATGACTGTGCCACTGCACTCCAGCCTGGGTGACAAGGAGATCCTGTCTCTAAAATTAAAAAAATAATAATAATAAAATAACAGCAATGGAAGACAACGACCAACTCAAACAAACACTAATATATGTCTAGTAGGTTACTGAGCAAAATAAAATCTTTGAAATGGTAAGCACATTTGTCTTCCTAGAAGCCCATGGGGCCAAATGTCTTTGGATCAGCTAGCTAGTGGCTTGTTATGAGATCCAGGACCTTCAACAGTTCCTGTCATCTAAAGCATTAAAAATATTTAACTTATATATTACAAAAACTTTCTCTGGAAATCTTAATATGAAAAATGATTTTAAAGCCTTGACACATATGCTCATCTTTGATCCAGTTTCAATGAACATTTCAACTGTATTTGGGCCAAAATGCTCATGTCATTAATTAACTTATAATAAATTAGTCCCAGGAAACTGATAAAATAGTACTTTTTAGTTAGGAATACAACTGGTATAAACTGCTTTCTTATACAAAATATAATTAAAACCATATACCATATTTAAACTTTCCCATTTATGTTACTGTCTCTTTTAATCATCTGTTAGTTTTCCTGTCATATCAGAGTTTGACCCCAAACAAAGTCCAGAATTCTAGCACTAAACAGAGTGAAGCAAAACACAGACTATCTCAGATTTCCATAAATTTGCTATTTTCCTTTTCATTAAAATGTCTATTTATAAACTTATTTTTTCCTGAGTAAAATAGTTCCAAATCCTGAACATTACTGTTTTTGAATACTGTATTTCCTTTTCCAATACTCAGTAACCAATAACAAAAAAATTAAAAAAAAAAAATCCATGCTCCAGATTTTTAACAAATCCATTGAAGACCTCCATTAATAACTTAAAAGCAGTGGTTCTCAATCTTTTGGAGAAAAACACTTGTTTTTTCTTCTAAGTTTAAAAATTTTCCATCTGTTGATGAGGAGAATACAGTAAAAAAATACACTACGGAGAACTAGTAATTCTTCTGCACAATATCCTTCCATTTTATGTCCTTAAGGACCATTACCTATTTAGCCAAGACAGGACTAAACAATGTATATCCTGGTAAATACATGGAATGATACTACTAGGTGGGAAAAAGGGAAACCAAGATCCCTGCTCTAGAAAGGCCCTTTCACCTGTTGTGCCAAGCAGCAAACTATCATTAAGTTGCCTTGTAGAAGCAATGATAGCCTCATACTCATCCCCGAATTCTTAACAACAACAACACACACACACACTCCCCAAAAAACACACACGACCAATGGCTCTTCAATGAATTAAGAATTTCTTAAGAATTTACTGAGATTCAAGACTGCTTTTCACATTTTGAATTCCAACTCTTCCTACATCTGAATATGAAAGTAAAAAGGAAATCTAGTAGGAATCCATTTGTTCTAGTACCAATATTCAAAAACATCCTAGGCATAACTACTTTGTGACTGTTTTTCTAGAATATTTCAGACTTAATACTTAGCTATTATTTGAGCACATATACTCATTCCTCAGAAAACTGCAGAGACAAAATTTGACGTAAAACTTCTAGGTCTTGGCCAGGAGCCGTGGCTCACACCTGTAATTCCAGCACTTTGGGAGGCCAAGGTGGCAGATCACGAGGTCAAGAGTTGGAAACCATCCTGGCCAAAATGGTGAAACCCCATCTCTACTAAAAATACAAAAATTAGCTGGGCGTGGTGGCGCGCGCCTGCAGTCCCAGCTACTTGGGAGGCTGAGGTAGGAAAATTGCTTGAACCCGGGAGGCAGAGGTTGCAGTGAGAAGAGATCACACCATTGCACTCCAGCCTGGGTGACAGAGCCAGACTCCGTCTCAAAAACAAAACAAAACAAAACAAAAACAAACAAAAAATGAAACTTCTAGGTCTCTGCTGTATACTCTTTGCTGGAAGAGGCCAATTAACTTAAAAAAATAAATAAATAATACACACACACACACACACACACACACACACACACACCCCGCCTCCCCCCACCCGAAGAAGCTAGAATTTACAAATTACTCCCATAAGGGATAACATCTGAAAAACATTCATCCTCTTCCTTCATCCGTGTTCCAGATCCAGAAGGCCCATGGCAATTCTAGGCAAAGAATCCTAGAGAAAAAAGATCAAAACTACAGATGGGCAGCAATAAAGTCAGGGGGAGAGAGAAGGGCAGATTTTATCAGTAGAGGTGGAAGTCTCCTTAAATATGGTCTGATATTTATAAGATACCTTTTCAGAAATTCAACCATATCATAAAATGTTACCTATTGCACACTGAACACACTATTACATTAATTAATCCATTTGCTTCCTCAATCTTCTCTTCAGGAATGCTCTCCAGAATCTGTATAGACTTCTTTATAATATTAAAATTTCCCTCTTAGTATAAACTCATTATATATGTAGGCTACTCTATTTTTTCTGTTGATTGGAAATAGCAGGCGATGATCAGGAGAGGAAATGGGCTCAGAGGGCAAGCAGTATCAACAGGGAAAGACTGAAACATCTGATTATGTTCACTAGTCTACTTTACCAGGATCCATGATAGCCAAGTCTATGAATACTTTTATTTTAAAATTTAAAACTTTCTATTATGGGCTGGGCATGGTGGTTCATGCCTGTAATCCCAAAGCTCTGGGAGGCTGAGGCATGAGAATCTCTTGAGGCCAGGAGTTCAAGGCCAGCTGGGCAACATAGCAAGACCTTGTTTCAAATAAAGTATGAAAGTAAAATGGTATAAAGAAGTCCATTTATTCATTATCTAGTATCGACAATGACCAACTAATAAGTTGATTGTTTCATCTATTATCTCCTCTCTATCTAAAGCAAACCCCAGATAACATTTCATTTCATCCATAAATATTTCAGCATGTATCTCCAAAAGATAAAGACTTGTTTAAAAAACAAAATGTGGGCTGGGCCTGATGGCTTATGCCTGTAAACCCAGAGCTTTGGGAGGCTGAGGTATGAGACCACTTGAGGCCAGGAGTTCAATCAAGACCAGCCTGGGCAACACAGTGAGACCCCCACCTGTACAAGATATTTTTTAAAAAATTAGCTGGGTGTGGTAGCACATACCTGTAGTCCTAGCTACACTGGAGGTTGAGGTGGGAGGACTGCTTGAGCCCAGTGGTTCAAGGTTACAATGAACAATGATTGTGCTACTGCACTCTAGCCTGGGCGACAGAGTAGGACCTTGTCTCTTTAAAAAAAAAAAAAAAAAAAAAAAAAAAAAACCCAAAACTGTGCACTGTAGTTTGCTCCTTATTTTTTTGGTGGTGGGGGAAAAGGGAAGATAACTTTAGTGTACCATTTTGTC
This sequence comes from Homo sapiens, assembly GCF_000001405.40. NCBI lineage: Eukaryota > Metazoa > Chordata > Mammalia > Primates > Hominidae > Homo > Homo sapiens. The sequence continues at coordinate 9,412,304 of NC_000003.12, read as the reverse complement.
CTTTCCTAGAATGCCCATATCTAAAATACTATCTTCTAATAGGAATTCCTTATAGCACTCTACAACCTCACTCCAACCCCAGAGTATTAAAAAGAAAAACAAAAAACAACAACAAAAAAATCAAACCTGAACTAATGAACAATCTGGTGTTATATAACTTACTTTGAGGGCATGTAAAGACAAATGTATCTCAAAATTCTAGTGTTAAACAAACAAAAAAACCACCTGTGACTCTGGTCAGCATACACAATACCCTAAAGCCACAACAAATAATACAATTTCAGGATCCAGTGTTTGTAAAGGACCCTGGATCCTGAAAAGGAGACTTACTTCCTTAAAACTTTCTTTATTAAATTTTTAAATGTGATTATATTTATATAGTAAGCACTGGTATACTTGTGAAGTCAGAGGCCTCAAATTTTAACTAGATACCAATTATTCCTTTGTTAACAGTTGGTTCTTTTCATATAACCAATGAAGTATTGAAAATCAGGTGTTATTTACAGCATATGAACATTACTAATTCTAAGTAAAGTTCAGACAGAGTTTAGAGAACTGATCAAATACTCGTAACAATAACCACTTCCAAAATAAAGGCAGCATTTACTGGATGCTTATGTTGCACCAGCCACTGTTCCTTTAACCACTTTTCATGCATTAACTCAAATAATGCTCATAATGTTTAGGAGAAAAGTATTATTCCTATTAGACCAAAGAATTAAACTCATCTTGGCCAAAGCCAAAGCAAGAAAACCACAGCTAGAATCCTCACATTCTTAATCACTATTTCTTCACCTTTGGTATATCTTGATTTAGTATTTTTAAAGACTATATTAGTCATTAGAAAGTGACGTATTGCTGAAATGTGATAACTTTAAGATACTGTAATTAGGAAGGATAAAACATTTAACAGGTACAAGACTTTTAAAGTTTTAATATTTTATTTAAAACACATAAAATCAAATAACTTGGATTTTAAATGACAAAGTTAAAAAATATATGACATCCTTTCTAAATAACATACATTTCAGGTCTAAGGGCAAACCATTCAAGAAATGTTAACTGATGAGCTCTCTACACTTCAAGTAGCACCAGTGTCCCAAGTGTACCTGAAATTCCCAGAGACAAACATGGTCTGGCATTTCAAGAGAGAGAATTTTGGCCAGGTGCGGTGGCTCACCTGAAGTTAGGAGTTCAAGACCAGCCTGAACAACAAGGTGAAACCCTGTCTCTACTAAAAATATAAAAATTAGCTGGGCGTGGTGGCAGGCACCTGTAGTCCCAGCTACTTGGGAGGCTGAGACAGGAGAATTGCTTCAACCTGGGACGCCTAGGTTGCAGTGAGCTGAGATCATGCCACTGCACTCCAGCCTGCGAAACAGAGCGAGACTCCATCTCAAAAAAAAGAAAAAAAAGAAAAAAAAAAAGAGAATTTTTACTGGAGAAAGTTTCTTATCTCAAACTGCTTGTATTAAGCCAAGAAATTCTGGTTCCAAAAAAGAAAGAACAGAAATTTCCACATTCCTCTTCTACAGTGTAAAAATATTAGTTAGTGAAAAATCTAGAAGGAAATAGTTTTAGTAAATGAACTAACCTAAATGCTTCTTCTGCTAAAAGGGGAAGTATCGACAAAACATCACTCTGAAAATTCATGATGACTCTGTTGAGTCTAACATACAGGGACAGGGAGAGAACCAGCTGGAAGACACTAGGATAGAAGCTCAATTTTTCTGATTATACCCAGCTTCGTAAATTTCACTTATTAACCATTTAAGTATTTTACATAATCATAAAACAAAACCTAATCCCTGAAAAATCTGAAAGTAAAATGTAACAAATTAACCTCACTGTGTATCAAACTGGTGGCACAACCATAGAGAACTATTCTAAGGGGGATTTCAAAATACTGTAATCTGACTATATATGGTCATGTGCCACATAACGACATTTCAGTCAAGGATGGACCACATATGATAATGATCCCATAAGACTGTAATGGAGCTGCCCTACAAAGGTGTACCATTTTTTATCTTTTATACCGTATGTTTACTTTATCTTTTCCATTTTCAGATACACAAATGCTTACCACTGTGTTACAACTGCGTATAGTATCCAGTGGTCACATGCTGCACAGATTTGTAGCCTAAGAGCAATGGGCTATACCATATAGCTTAGGTGTACCATCTAGGTTTATGTTAGTACATTCTAGATGTTCACACAATGACGAAATCACCTGACAACACATTTCTCAGAAAATATCCTCATCAAGTGAGGCATGACTATCTCTATCTCTAAAGGGATATACCCTAAGGGCAAAAAGACATGAGAAAACAAAACAAAAAGCCACTTTCCAGTAATCATATTGTTCTGTCACACTAAAACTGTAGTGTGTGTATTGTGGCACAAAACAAAGAGAAATTACATTGGTGTTAGTGAAAACTGAGATTTTGGGCATGGGGAAAGGGAGAAAGATTAGGTTTACGTAAACATCATGTAGCACTGAGTTTGAAATGCAGCTTTTAAAATACCAAGTGATATTTTTAAAAAGAAATAAAATACTTTTAAACTTTGTTCATTGAAAAATCTAGAAACAAGGCCCAAACCAAGAGCAATGAACACTCCTACCATCCATACTGTGGTTTCTAAGTACCATTTTTCATTAAAAGAATGAAGAGGTTTCTGCAGAAATGGCTGATTCCAGGTTTGGGGCAAAAAATGTACAAAATTATCCTAGAACATCTAGTAATAGTAGGAAGCAAGGAAACAAGTGAGGAAAGTATTAAGAATGAATCAAAAGAATTTAGTAGCCAACAGACAAAGGTAGGACAACCTGAATGTCAAAAATAGTAACTGCCAGAGACTGTAACATATCAAACATGTTTAAAACCATGAGTACACAATAATAATACTTCATTCACGTCTTTAGATGTTGCTAAGTTACCAACCCATTATTTTGAAAACTAGTAAATAAGGGGGTAAAAAACCCAAGTGCTTATCTTACCTTCTGTATATAAACTATCTTAGTATAGCCAAATAAAAATAAGGGTGAGTATTCCGGACAATAAATGAAGAAGTAAGAAAATATCATCTAATATGAAGTAAATCATGAATATAGGCCAGTGATTCTCAAAAAGGGTGGTGTGAGAATGCCTGAAGTCCTCTAGATTCTGTCAGAGGGTTATATGAGGTCTTCCATTTTCCAACCAATTATCTGTACAAGGCCAGATTTTCTTCAGTCTTCAACCAAAACAACTTATCACAAGAAATTAAATGCAGAAGGAGTTATGAGAAAGCAGCTGTCTTCTATTAAGTCAGACATTAAAGAGATTTGCAAAAATGTCAAACGACACTTATAAAATTAAAAATGTTATTTTTATTAAAAAATCACATTACTTGTATTAGCAGGCTTTATTACTGTTATTTTAATATTAATAAATAACTTAAAATTTTTCTCAGTTTTAGTTTCTAATATGGTAAATCTTGACATAATTCACACAAACAAAAGCTCTTCCAGGTCTTCAATTTTTAAGACCACAAAGTTTGATCTAGGCAATGAATAACAACAGCTGCTTAACATTACACAGACAAGCAGAAATTATGTAACTCTTAATGGAAATACACAGTACTATTATAAAATATGCTTACAATCTATCTAAGCAGTAATTTACATGAAATACAGGTGGGGGGAGGTTGTTTAATAGAGGAATGTGTTAAATGATTATCCAACCTTCAAAATCCAGAGTACGAACTCCACAAAATAATGAATTTCTTTAACAAGAATCCTACATGGAAAAAACAGAATCTATAAAGACTCAAACTTACCAATCAAGGTATGGACCTTATCCTGATCAAATGGAACCTTTTAAACTAACAGTTTAATAAACTCCAAAGTATTTTTCTATTTTGTAGTAATTGGAGTTTTTAATAATAAAAAATTAAAAAATTAATCAAATCTATACCTACTCCTTCCCTTACTACCACCTAATGGGAAAAGAAAAAAGACATTCGAAAAACTGCTCATTTGGAAATGGGGGTTCAGAGAGGTCAACAGATAAATCGCAGCACAGGAGACTCCAGAATAAGAAGAGCTCTATCAAGAAAAACTAGGTTGCTAGGTAGCGACTAAAAGTCTCACAATCCTCTACAATTATGGTAAGCGTATAATTTATGATCCAAATTGAGACATTTTTGAGAGTGAAACGGGTGCTATTACTAATTACGCTAGGATAGCAGGTATAAACCAGGACTGTCCCAAGGAAAGTAAAACGTGGTCACTATCTACACAAGATTAATTTTTTTTTTTTGAGACATAGTTTTGCTCTTGTTGCCCAGGCTGGAATACAATGGCGCAATCTCAGCTCACTGCAATTTCTGCCACCTGGGTTCGAGCGATTCTCCTGCCTCAGCCTCCCGAGTAGCTGGGATTATAGGCATGCGCCACCACGCCCAGCTAATTTTCTATTTTCAGTAGAGATGGGGTTTCTCCATGTTGGTCAGGCTGCTCTCGAACTCCAGACCTCAGGTGATCTGCCCACCTTGGCATCCCAAAGTGTTGGGTTTACAGGCATGAGCCACCGCACCCAGCCAAAAGATTAATTTTAAAATTAATTTTCACAAGAGATATTTGACATAATCCTTTGGGGGTAACTATTTGCCACAGAAACATATTCCTAGTATTAAAGTGTTTTTAAAAAAATGAGGTGTACTATAAAAAAAATTGTTTTTCATCTCCCTTGGCTGGCATAGTCATTTCATGAAGTGGGATATGTTTATTTCTCTTGTTGCTCGGTGTACTACTGCAAACTTCCAGCCATTCCTTTTCATACTAACTGTTCATGATAAACTGTAAGAGGAAGGTTACACCTACCTAGAGCCTTCCTTCTCTAAAAATACATGTCTTCCCCTGGGACTCCACACATGGCCTAGGGTTTAAGTAAGAGTGGCATCTACAGTAACTTCTTTATTTTTTATTTATTTGAGACACAGTCTTGCTCTGTCTCCCAGGCTGGAATGCAGTGGCACGATCTTGGCTCACTGCAACCTCTGCCTCCCAGGGTCAAGCAATTCTTATGCCTCAGCCTCCCAAGTAGCTGGGATTACAAGCTCGCACCACCATGCCCGGGTAATTTTTGTATTTTTAGTAGAAATGGCATTTCACCATGTTGGTCAGGCTGGTCTCAAACACCTGACCTAAGGTGATCCACCCGCCTTGGCCTCACAAAGTGCTGGGATTACAAGTGTGAGCCGCCACGCCTGGCTGGCTACAGCAACTTCTGAGATCTGTATATGATGTTAGCATAATTTTCATATTTTTGGATTAACACTAAATATCTGGCTTTAGTACACTTACATAATATGCCACCAATAAGGTGACTACCTGATTTATCTGTGAATATTTTATGTCACTTTGTTTTTAAAGGTTTCTAAATATTGGGTAAACTTTTTCAATAAAAGCCCCAATATTAAAATGTGTAACAATTTGGTATGCAGACATTATAATTTTTAGCTCCATCCTAAAATGTGCAGGGACATGTAAACCCACCCTTATTTTGTTCTATTACTAAATTACGACATTAAAGTTCTATTTGCCACAAATAACACTAAATTTGTCTAGGAAAAAATAGCATTTCAAAAAGGACTTCAAAATTTTAGACTTGCTCTTACATTTTCCTCAGATCTATTCTTTTTTTTTTTTTTGAGACAGAGTCTCGCTCTGTCGCCCAGGCTGGAGTGCAGTGGCGGGATCTCGGCTCACTGCAGGCTCCGCCTCCCGGGTTCACGCCATTCTCCTGCCTCAGCCTCCCAAGTAGCTGGGATTACAGGCGTGAGCCACCGCGCCCGGCCAGATTTATTCTTTTTTAAGGCATTCCACCGAATATATTTCAGGCTGTGGGCATAAACACATACTTCCATGGGCATAGTAGTTTGTACCATAGAAATTGAGAAAATAAAAATTTATGCTTTCATACAACATTCTAATGCTACATTCAGCATATAATCAATCATACTGCTTCAAAGGCCCTTCTCTTTGTTCTGTTTTAGGTTAAACTCTTTTGTCTTTAGAACTAAAAGTTTTTTTAAAAATATGCCCTTTAGATTCTACCCCAAATGTTACCATAATAAACACATTTATTTTTAAAATAACTCTATCTGATTGGGGGTCTTCTCTGTCAATCTGGTTTCTCTTATAAAACAAGTCAACTCTCAACAGCCTACGTTAATAAGGGAAAATGTAAAATAAACGCAGAAGTAGTCTAATTGCCAACAGGTCCTTCCAGGTTCTTCCTTCTAAGTAAAACCTTCCTTGGATACCAAGAATGCCCAAACAGTTGATTATTAACTGCAGATCATCCTACTTCACAGAAACTGTGAAAGTACAAATTGTATGTGTTGTGGCATGTACAGAGGTTGGTGGTAGGAAACAGAATTTTTGAAACATAAGCCAAAGAACATAACAGGACACAGAGATGGGGAAGAAAATCCAACAACAAAAACCCCCTTCATACAAAACGACAAACAAGGGGCACAAATAGAAAGCAAGGAGATCCACCTGGGCATGTATTAAAATTAACATATCAACAGTATTAAATATGCTAACATGATACTGGAAACCAGATTCAAACTAGATCATAATATCTAAGAATGATGAAACAATCATCTTACTACATTCAGCAACGCATATACCTTATTAGATTACTCAGTTTTATTTGAGTCTTCACATTTCAGGAGTGGGGTGGCGAAAATCTCACCATTGAAAGACAATAAAAATGATAAAAAATAAAATTTCCCCCTTTGTGGGGGTGGTATGGGATAAAAATGGCTTGAAGAACATAAATTATGCAGCTTGAAAAAAGAACTCTAAGACATGAAAAATTTATGTTCAAAGAGCTAATTAATTTCACCCCCACTAAGGTAATAGGGTAAACATACATAGAGGTCTAATTTTTAACCTTATTTTAGTCATAAATCAGATTTATACAAATTAGTATTTTCCAAAACAAATTGCAGATATTATGTACAGAAGAGAGCCCACCTTTCTTCAAGCTAATAATACAGTGGCATCTGGTGGTAATAATGACTGTGAACGGCCAACGAAAATTAAGTATGCTTAAAACCTTTCTTTCTGTAAGGCTGAGAATCTGAAATGGTTTATCAAGAAAGAAAGTAGAAGATACAGAAGTTACAAAATCTCTATCACTAAAGACTTTTAAGAATGGGGCAAATTAGCTTTGTATTTAAGTACATATAAACAAGCCCACAACCTAGCATAATAAAAATCACATTAGCCCATCCAATTTTCCCCCTTTGTCCTAGTTTCTTTTTGATGGGAGGAGGCGTTGTGAGATAATAATAGCAGGAAATAAGGTGGAGCAGCTGCACAGGCAAGATGAGGTACAGTGCTTGTGTTTCACCTCCATTCCAGCCCTCTGCTGGCTAAGTCTTGGTGAAAATGAGATTAGCTGTTTGGGGAGCCCTAACAGTTATCAAAACCTTTGGAATCAAAATGTGGTCCCTTACTGTCTCACTTTTACCAGGAACTTCTTAGAGCCTCTAGCAAGATCCAGGTAATAGGAGCAATGGAAGCTACCCTGAAGAGATTTCTAATTATCTGGGAAGGGGGAGGGTGTAAAGGATGTTTAATACTGGCAATGTGGGTCATAGCACATGCAGAGAAAACTGTCTGGTATGGAGACTGGTGCTTGACTAGATGGCTTCTATTTTAGTCCCACAAATTTATGGAAATAATCCATGTGAATAAATTATAAAGAAAGAAATGACTACCCTAAATTTCTGTAGTAATATAAAATATAGCTCACTAGATTTTGTGTTAATGCTGTTGCTATTTTACTGATGAGAAACTTCCAACTAATTACAATAATAATTAATTACTCAAAATTTCTTTTGGTCGAAATATTATATCATTACTGCCAAGACCATTAAATAACAATATAATGTTAAGTAGTAACACATCCAGTTTTCTTTAACAGAGAGAAATAACACAAAACTTGGTCAGGCTTGCTTAATATTACGTGTACGAAAGGCAGTTTTTTGGTTATTAATCGGTTAAAACATCTCCTCTGCTAATCCATAAATGGAAATTAACATTCCAGTTCCCTTTATTGTTGCATGCAGTATAGACAGAAGGGAAAACTTTAAGGCTAGTTTAGTAACATTGCAATATAGGTGGTACCTCAACCCAAGCAACAAATGTGCTCTTGGAAAACTGTTCAAACCAATTATTTCTAAAAATTAAAGTCTTTTAAAATATATTAAGCATTTTGAAAAACCTTGTCATATATTCCTTCATAAAAGAGAAATCCTATCACAATTCAAATAATTGCCAGCTAATTTGCCTATAAATGAAATTCTTTATTTTTAAAAAAAGAACTGACGCAAAACATTTATTTTAAAAGTAACTAAAAATGTTGTTCAGAACACCGATCCTTTAACATTTTAATGAAAACTTCAATAGGGACCCAAATTTCAAAATATTTCATTATGATTTTGGTTTAAAGGACCAGATAACCAACAGATCTTTTCCAACTCTATGATTCATACTAAGTCTTAATAAACTGGATGCAACTATCCCACTTGTATGCGAGCTGAACACAAATGTATCAAAAGAGGTTGCCTAAACTAAAAGGTGGGGGAGGGAGTAATCTCCAGGAAATATCAGGTTCTCCAGGAACTAAGGATGAGGCTGAAATTAAAAAGTAGCCTTTCTTCAGTTAGCATTTTACATATGGCAACCCAACACATGAAAGCTGTAATGTGCTACCTATCTTAATGAAATAAAATTGTAGACAACTACGAGCAACTATTTCATAAAGGGAAACAAATTATTCTACATGTTCAGGTCCAATCCCAACCCAAATAAACACATTGTATTACAATGTGTTTTTATTCAGATAGAGTATTCTTTTCCATTTCTTAATGAGAATTCAGCTCTAGAACGGGTCTCCTCGGGAGGTGACTTGCACCTAGGAGGGTGCAGAGTGTGGGATTTATTTTATTTTAACCTATACAGAGCTTTATTTATTTTTTTATTTTTCCTTGGCGAGAATGGATCCCTACAAGATATTCTGAAATGTATCAAATTTGGGGTTAATAGTATGTGGTTGGCAAAAATTCAATGCTTGAGTGGGAACTAAAAATGATTTCTTTAATTGTATGCCAAACTGAATAATCTCCCAGGGAAAAGAACCTCCTCCTCTTGCCTTTCCTACCTCCTGCCCCTCCCCCACCAACATTGCCTCCCTGCTGTGCAAAGAGCCCTTTGTCCTGCCCCGCACTTATCTAGCTGTTTGGCCATATTGACAGGCCTACTGGAGGCATAATAAGGGAGTCAGTCTGACATAAGCAGCTGGCAATTTGAAACAAAAATCTTCCTTTTCTACTTAGACCAAATCCTGCTGCAGAGGTCTCTGGCTCCTCCCATGCTTCCATCTATTTCTCAAACAGAGCAGCAAGAAATTCAGCATTTTCCCCTCCATTAGGTAGCACAAATCAAAAACTTGATTCCCCAGACAGAAATCTATTTTGTATACATTCCTATAGCTACCGCTTTTTGTGATTCATAACATAGGCCAAAAGTATACATGTAACTAACATGGCTAAGGCAATGCTTCTCATTACTTCATACTGCCATGAAAGCTGTGGGAATCCTTATACCACAACGAACCCATAAGAACACAGAAGAGAAAGCAGCAGCCCAACCAAAGCAACAGACATGAGCATCAGGCAAAACTGGCCTGATGTAAAAACTTAAGTGTTTTAAAAATACTAAGACATTACTCCAAGAAGCAGAAAATTCCTTTCCCTGTCTTCATATCAAACATACTTAATGTGACCTTACATTAAGTAAGGTATTCCCTCAGGTACTCAGCAAACAAAATCAATATGATGGTATAAACGAATGAGGCACGATGCGATTACAAATTCCTTGCTCAGTGAGGGCACATATAAAGCAGACTGAGCTTACCTTCATTGTTTATTTTATCCCATAGTTCCCTTCGCTAAGTATTAAAGACAGAATGCATTTTGTCCCAGGGTAGGGGAATTCTCTCCAATGTAATGCTTTCTAACAGCACCTCCCCCCAAAGTTACTGGGTATCTTTTACGCAATTCATAATTAAAGATACAATAAAACAGTTTTCCTAAGACTTATTTAACAAAATGTATATAGACAAGTGAAGGAAACTATATTCTCTCCACCTTTCATGAACTTCCCAGAATCCCACCCACAAGATAAATCAATCATTTTGCCACATATTTTGGAATTTTTGGCAGTAAGGAATGGTACCAATCCCTGCCCATCACGGGTACACTACATTACTTTCTAAAGAGTGCCTTTGAAAGAATACTTTAAATTACAAATGACTACCAGTTATATCACTAAATATACGATGCACATTTTGCAAAGTTTGATGCCTCAAACAAAATATACTGGTCAAGAAGTTTCAGTTTTCAACACTTGAAATACAATTTTTATAAATAAAATTCACTGCTAGACCTTCTGACTTCAAATTAAACTGATGAATCACCAGAGTTCAGCCAAAAATTATTTTTAAAATTTTATTTTATTCATGATCCAGTTCCCCTCTGATAAAATGTATCCAATAGTCATTGACTGCTGTTAACTATGGCCTAATTTTTCATAAGTTATTTCAACATGGAGAGGATAAAGCAAAAGTAATTATCTGCAAATCTGTACTTTGCACTTTATTATTTCCCCATTCAAAGGTAAAAATGAAATAGTCATTCTCCCCAGAAAAGCCAGAATAATTTCAGAAAGTCAGTTCCTGGACACAAAACAGTATCAAAAGATATAAAAAAGTTTTCAAGGGTATAACTTAAGTAAATCCTTCTATGAAAAGGGCCTGTATGATCCTCTAAAAAATGATAATATCAAGAGCACAAAAGGTTCCAAACAACAGGAAATTCGAGTGTAAAAGCAATTATTTTATATAGCAACTTAAGCCACAGAGTAAAAAACTACAAACATTTTTATCTTAAACCCTAAGTATGTCAAACAGCCAGTATACATGAAATCATATTTATCTGCTATTGCATCTTATCTATGTGATAGTAATAAGAATTGGAACCTCCTAAAATAGTATCCATTAAAGGTTCTGTTTCATTGGTCTGCTTTTATTACTGGGAAAACAATGTGAGCCACATTTGTGAATGACAAAACTCATTTCCATTCTTTTTGGTTCTCTGCCACAAATGCCAGAGTGATACTACAAATTATAGATGTTTGTGAGATTTAAGTACATTTACACGAAAATGAACAAATCAAAATTCTGAGAGAAAAAAGTATAGGATACACGAGTCTTGGGGAAGAAAAACAGCACACAGGAATATGTCCAGTATTGCATATAATTGGTGGTGGTGGTTCTCCTTCAAGTTTTTCCACGCTCAGACTGTTTTGCTTAATCAGAGATCATCCTAATGTTCAGGAGTTGTGGGGGAGGGGAGATCACCTAAGGGGCTCAGAGGCCATCTTCTCAGTATCCTGAACTAGACTTATTCGATTTCTGCATATTTCTTCTGGTCTGTCCTACATTTCAGATGGATTATGGCCAAAGACATATATTTGTGATGTCAGAAGGCTATATCCAACATGTATATAATGAATCAATCTTATAAGTCAAACTCCAAAGAAAATATCTAATCTGGAGAAGTTTATTACTAATATACAAATTAAAAATATTTATTTAGAAACCACTCCAAAATGGCACCTTTTTAGAGTTTAAGAGTTCAAGCTTAGTAAAATGTTTAGCAAATCGTCTATAAGGTAAATGTGGTCTAATCGAAAGGATGGAGACACATAACAAAATAATAAGAATTGATTCTATGATTAAAGAGATGGAGGAAGGCATGATATGTGAGCTGCAGGAAAAAATTCCTGTTATTTTCTTCCTATTGTGGTTATCAGAAAGATTCTTAAAATTATTACTTGGGTTTTTAAACTGATTGAAAAATTAAAACTCTAATGGAACTTTTAGTCCTATCCAAGCACAAATGTCTAGATAAAAAACAAAAATCTGCCAAAAAACAAAAATCAAATCAAACAAACAAAAAAAGAAAGGCTTTAACCATGATCCAGTTTCCAGATGCCAATATCCATAAATGGGTAGGAGATTATGAATTACTAATTCCCATCTCCCCACCAATAAAAAGCAAACCAGCTCAGCAGTGAAAATTCCCAGAAAAGCAAGGTTTCTTCTTAGTCCTGAAGCAGCCATCGCCTAAGTGCTGCTCCCTGCAGCCAGCAGCATTAATGGACGCTGCACTGCTGTCCTTCCCTGGAGACAGCAGCCAGCACTACTCAAGCTTCTCACGTAGCAACCAGAGCTCCAGAGCCAGCAGCTGCTGCTGCCTTGTATACTCACCCCTGTGATCCAACCCAAAGGAACAACCTTCTCTTTACCCCACCCCCACTCCTTACACACACTTTTTTTTTTTTTTTTTGGACCAGTGCTCCATGCCAGAAGGGCTGGAATTATGCTTTTAAGAAAGAAACAATCCTAAGGTCACCCTTTTAAACCAAGGCCTTTTATTAGAAAAATCAACATTTACCAAATTCTAAATATCCATTTTAATTAAGCCAGCAGTTTAGGAGTGAAGATTAAGCTTTGGTCTTTTGAAAGCCAATTTCCCAAGCACTCTACAATCTAATTTAAATTTGCAGCTAGAAACAGAGCCTTGTGTCATGTCCTACCAAAGGGCATAATTCATTTTTCTACACATAATGACAGTCTGAGTAAACCTTAAAGACTCTAATCCCATAACAGGCCAGAATTTTTGGCTACAGAAGAGAACTAATGATCCTGAGAAAACTGGAAGAAATCCAATAGAAAAAAAAAAGCCCTACGTCCTCTATGGAGCCCAGAAACCTCTGATTACGTGGGTATTCTCTGCTTTAGTCCTAGCTCAGATCCCACACATCTAAAATTACCACTTAGAACTTTCTGTGACCTAAAAACATTAATAATATAAAATTAACAACCAAAAAATAATTTCAAATAGGGAGTACACACTCTCCTAAAAAGCTCAGCACACTCCACTCAGCTGGATCCTCCCCAATCACAAGTATAGCTATGTAACATCTGTCCAACAAAGAAATGTAAATATGACCTTGGTCACAAATATGTCATCTAAAAACTTGTTTAGTCAACTGATGAAGGTAATTAGCACAGAACTTGGGGATTCGTTCAGTACCTATGTGCAGGAAGGAAACTGGAGAAATGAACTTAAATATAGACAAAGCCCAGTGGAACCCAGAGGTCTGGGAAAGAAATGAGTTACCGGTGAATACATTGCACAAGTAACATGAGAAAGCAGAAAATGCAGGTCATACACGCACCCCTGACCCAGACCAGCAGAGCTGACTGCAGCATCCATATCCAAGAGAAAGACCACTGACGCCCAAGAAGTGAGACAAGCAAGGACTCTATAGAATCAATTAGCATAGAAGGGGCTTTCCCAACAGTTTAACTTTCCCTCTCATGCGATTTACCTACTTGAACCAGGGCTCTTTCCTACACTCCTCTTCACATTCCCGACTTACACGCAGAGGGAAAGAGAATTCATAAAGGGAATATTTTTCTGCCTTTGAAGATATTCTCACAAGATCGTTCTCCACGCCCAAGGCAAGTAAAACGACACAATCTGGCTCAACTCCAGGCTCGAACCCTACACATTCAACGAGGCTATCTCAGACACGCTGTGGCACACGCCACGGGGAGCCAGAGAACGTGTGGTGGGGGTGGCGAAGGTAATGCCTTTGGGAAGCAGCCATCTGAGGTGGGAAGCCAGAAAACGAGAGGGAAGGCGTCCAGGAAGATTACGGAGGGGAGATCGCGGCCCCCAGAGCGATCAGAGTTGTCTGTCACAAGGCCGCGAGAACGGGGGTAGGGAGTGGGGGATCGGGGAGAGAAAAAAAGTATGCCTGTGTATTTCGAGCGGAGGGCAGCAAGAGGCCTCTCCTCAAGGGAAAGGTAAACGTGGAGTAGGCAGTTCCCAGGAAAGGGGGTGAAGAGGCGTTGGGGGAGGGGAAGCGTCCTGACCCAGGAAAAACATGAAAGGGGGAGTTGGGTCGCCTAGATTAGAGGGGGATCTCTCTCCCTGGGAAAATGGGGTGTTGCAACGGTGTGTGCAAGGCGGCGAGGGGGGTGAGAAGTGGCAGCATCCTCCTAAGAGCTTGGGGAGGGCCAGGCCCACGACCCAAGGAGAGCGAGCGCGGGGAGACGGAGGAGGTGACCCTTCCCTCCCCTGGGGCCCGATCGTGAGGTTCGGTCTCTTTTCTGTCGGACCCTTACCTTGTCCCAGGCGCTGCCGGGGCCTGGGCCCGGGCTGCGGCGCACGGCACTCCCGGGAGGCGGCAGGACTCGAGTTAGGCCCAACGCGGCGCCACGGCGTTTCCTGGCCGGGAATGGCCCGTACCCGTGAGGTGGGGGTGGGGGGCAGAAAGGCGGAGCGAGCCAAAGGCGGGGAGGGGGGGCAGGGCCAGGGAAAGAGGGGGGCCGGCACTACTGTGTTGGCGGACTGGCGGGACTGGGGCTGCGTGAGTCTCTGAGCGCAGGCGGGCGGCGGCCGCCCCTCCCCCGGCAGCGGCGGCGGCGGCGGCGGCGGCGGCGGCGGCGGCAGCTCACTCAGCCCGCTGCCCGAGCGGAAACGCCACTGACCGCACGGGGATTCCCAGCGCCGGCGCCAGGGGCACCCGGGACACGCCCCCTCCCGCCGCGCCATTGGCCTCTCCGCCCACCGCCCCGCACCCATTGGCCCACTCGCCGCCAATCAGCGGAAGCCGCCGGGGCCGCCTAGAGAAGAGGCTGTGCTTCGGCGCTCCGGCTCCTCAGAGAGCCTCGGCTAGGTAGGGGAGCGGAACTCTGGTGGGAGGGGAGGTGCGGTACACTGGGGGGATGGGTGGCTAGGGGGGCCGTCTGGTGGCTTGCGGGGGTTGCCTTTCCCGTGGGAAGTCGGGAACATAATGTTTGTTACGTTGGGAGGGAAAGGGGTGGCTGGATGCAGGCGGGAGGGAGGCCCGCCCTGCGGCAACCGGAGGGGGAGGGAGAAGGGAGCGGAAAATGCTCGAAACCGGACGGAGCCATTGCTCTCGCAGAGGGAGGAGCGCTTCCGGCTAGCCTCTTGTCGCCGATTGGCCGTTTCTCCTCCCGCCGTGTGTGAAAACACAAATGGCGTATTCTGGTTGGAGTAAAGCTCCTGTCAGTTACGCCGTCGGGAGTACGCAGCCGCTTAGCGACTCTCGCGTTGCCCCCTGGGTGGGGCGGGTAGGTAGGTGGGGTGTAGAGATGCTGGGTGTGCGGGCGCGGCCGGCCTCCTGCGGCGGGAGGGGAGGGTCAGTGAAATCGGCTCTGGCGCGGGCGTCCTCCCACCCTCCCCTTCCTTCGGGGGAGTCGGTTTACCCGCCGCCTGCTTGTCTTCGACACCTGATTGGCTGTCGAAGCTGTGGGACCGGGCCCTTGCTACTGGCTCGAGTCTCACATGAGCGAAACCACTGCGCGGGGCGCGGGGGTGGCGGGGAGGCGGGCGTTGGTACGGTCCTCCCCGAGGCCGAGCGCCGCAGTGTCTGGCCCCGCGCCCCTGCGCAACGTGGCAGGAAGCGCGCGCTGGAGGCGGGGGCGGGCTGCCGGCCGAGACTTCTGGATGGCGGCGGCCGCGGCTCCGCCCCGGGTTCCCACCGCCTGAAGGGCGAGACAAGCCCGACCTGCTACAGGCACTCGTGGGGGTGGGGGAGGAGCGGGGGTCGGTCCGGCTGGTTTGTGGGTGGGAGGCGCTTGTTCTCCAAAAACCGGCGCGAGCTGCAATCCTGAGGGAGCTGCGGTGGAGGAGGTGGAGAGAAGGCCGCACCCTTCTGGGCAGGGGGAGGGGAGTGCCGCAATACCTTTATGGGAGTTCTCTGCTGCCTCCCGTCTTGTAAGGACCGCCCTGGGCCTGGAAGAAGCCCTCCCTCCTTTCCTCCTCGCGTGATCTCGTCATCGCCTCCATGTCGAGTCGCTTCTCGATTATGGGCGGGATTCTTTTGCCTAGGCTTAAGGGGCTAACTTGGTCCCTGGGCGTTGCCCTGCAGGGGAGTGAGCAGCTGTAAGATTTGAGGGGCGACTCCGATTAGTTTATCTTCCCACGGACTAGAGTTGGTGTCGAGGTTATTGTAATAAGGGTGGGGTAGGGAAATGGAGCTTAGTCATTCACCTGGGGCTGATTTTATGCAACGAGACTGCGGATTATCACTACTTATCATTTTTGGAGCATTTTTCTAGAGACAGACATAAAGCATGATCACCTGAGTTTTATACCATTTGAGACCCTTGCTGCACCACCAAAGTGTAGCATCAGGTTAAATCTTAATAGAAAAATTTTAGCTTTTGCTTGAGAAACCAGTGCTTCCCTCCCTCACCCTCTCTCCCCAGGCTCTCTACCCCTTTGCATCCCTACCAGGCATCTTAGCAACTCTCACTCATACTTGATCCCATTTTCCATTTGTTGTACTTGCTCCTCTAGTATTCAGACATAGCACTAGCTTTCTCCCTCTCTTGATCTTGGGTAGCCTGGTGTCTCGCGAAACCAGACAGATTGGTTCCACCACAAATTAAGGCTTGAGCTGGGGCTTGACTCTTACCCAGCAGTGCTTTTATTCCTCCCTAGTTCACGTTCTTAAATGTTTATCTTGATTTTCATTTTATCCTTTTTCCTTAGCTGGGATTCTGTCCCTGACCGTCTTCACAGTCCAGGTGATCTTGACTACTGCTTTACAGAGAATTGGATCTGAGGTTAGGCAACATCTCCCTTTTTCTTCCTCTAAATACCTCTCATTTCTGTTCTTACCAGTTAGTAACTGATCTCAGATGCCTGTGTGATAGCTTCCAAATTGCTGTCTCTGTCTTTAGTGTTATCTTTTGATCCATCTTACATCTTGTTAGGATGATTGTCCTAAAGGAAGATAGAGCATGAAAATGACAGGTGAAACTCCATTACTGGCTTGTACTGTTTACAGCAAGTTGTCTAACCCGCGGGCCGCATGGGACCCAGGACAGCTTTGAATGCGACCCAACACAAATTCGTAAACTTTCTTAAAGTTTTAGGAGTTTTTTTTGCGGGGTGTTTTTTTTGTTGTTGTTGTCTGTTTTTTTTTTTTGCTCATCAGCTGTCCTTTATATGTGGCCCAAGACAGTTCTTGCAGTGTGGCCCAGGGAAGCCGAAAGATTGGACACCCCTGGTTTACAGGATGAATTCTGTTCTCGTGAATGTGATGCATAAGGTCCCTGGATAGACTTTCCTCAATTTAACAGCTTTTTCATTTTTCACTATTTTCCACATACTACACACACAAATATGACCTCTCTCCTGAAGTCACATGGAATGAATTGCAGTTACCCAAATCATAGAGACGTCATATATCTTTGTGGGGTGGTTCTTTTTGGAATGCTACCCTTGCTGCTTTTAATCCTGCAGATTCAAATGTCATCTCCCCTTTGGTCATGCCTTCCATGGTCTGTTGTTCTATGACCCAAACTGCCCTTTTAAAAAAGCAGTTTTCTTCTGACTCCTGAGCAGTTTGTACTGCGTGGGTCATAGTAATTCTGGGGTTGTTGTCATTGCTGATTTAAATTACCTTAACTATTCTGAGCTTTTTGAAGGAATAGTGTCTTGTACTCCTGAGCTCCTAGTATACTCTGATGTCTAGCCAACTTTAAGTAAATGGAGTGAGCGACATGTAAATGTCTTTATGGTTTGACATTTTATTAATCTTGAGCATTGGAAAAGTGGCTGGTATGACTAAAGAACTGAATTTTTATTTTTTATCTAATTTGAATTGCAACTGTGGACAGTATAGCTGTAGCCCCGGACTTGTTCTGTGGATTACAGAATACGTGGACATTGATGGTTTTCTCTTTTTACTGAGCAGTAAGGAAATAAAAGCTGAAGCTCTCTGGCCCATTACATTTCATTTAACTGCTTGTTTTGTTTTATTTATTATATATTTAGCTGAAAGCTAAGTCCAACAAACCATTTTTAAAGATGTGCCTGCCTTGGACAACAGTGAAAGCAAGCGTTAATGAGTTTGGATTTCAAAAAAAAATGCATAATGAATTTTAGGGAGGTGAGATTCCATTAAACTGTTACAGGAGCTACATAGTTAAATATATCAGAACTTGAATGAAGAATAGGTCTGTGTGATACAAATGAACCCAGCCTAAATTTCTGTCCTACAAGTTTTCACTTCCTGGAAACACTTGATTGGAGGAGCTCTAAGCATCATATCTTGAGTTATAGAAAACAATCACAAAGTAAGTTTTATCCTGAGGAATTATAATACCAACATTTTAACACCAAATGCTTTTTATATTGCTAATACAGTATCTTACACATTTTAATTATCTTTTTTTTTTTTTTGAGACGGAGTCTTAGTGTCACATACTGGATTGCAATGGCATGATCATGGCTCACGCAGCCTTGACTTCCTGGGCTCAAGTGATCCTCCTGCCTCAGCCTCCTGAGTAGCTGGAACTACAGGCACACGCTTCCATGCCCAGCTAATTTTTTTGTGTTTTTTTTTTTGTAGAGATGGGTTTTTGCTGTGCTGCACAGGTTAGAACTCCTGGGCTCAAGTGATCTTCCTGCCCTAAGCTTCCCAAAGTCCTGGGATTACAGGTGTGAGCCACCGCCCTAGGCCATTAAATATACTTTTTAAAAAGACCCTTATGTCAGCGATCTTCAGGCCTCCTGTGTGTGGAGACAGTTGTCTTAATGTAGATTCTCAGATCACCCAAAAATTCTGAATTCTTTTGGGGAAGGTGGAACCCCACAGGGCAGGCAGTATAACTCAGTATCTTCAAGTTCATTTGCTGACTCGGATATGCCTATTTACCTGCCAAAAATGATTACAGTTTCAGAGAAACTCTTCTCAATTGTATAGTATGTGACCCTCAATTTTTCCTCAAATGAACTGTTTTTTCCTCCTCCTAAAAAATAACAGAATGGGAATTTTGAGAGGCAAAGAGGAATAGTAATTAATATTTTTGGAAACTTGCAGGTCAGGTTTTCCTTTTAAAAGGAATGTTGAAATATATTCTTTCGAACAAGAGAAGTTCACCTTATTTGTGTTTCTCCTGCTTAATTGCAATCCTTAAGGAAAGTGATTTTTCAGTGCCTAAGCACAGAGCTGGAAGCTCAATAAATGTTAGTTTTGTTGGTTTATACGTGAAATTGATTCTCAAGTAATAGTTAAGCTCAGAAAACATATAAACAAGGCTTTTTGGGAGAGACTTCAGGGTCCCATTTAACCTACATCTCCTAATATTCTATTCATAGAGGAAACTGATGCCTCATGGTCTCTGAGTACATCTATCCCACCATTCAGTTCTTCTTTGGGTTTCCTGTACTAATCATTGCAGTTATCCTTTTCCTGCACCTTACTTCCTTGGGCTTTTTGTTTAAATTAACCAGCTACCTATCTCCTTTTCAAGTAGTTACATACTATTTCTTACCCTTATAAGACAAATTTATTAAGTATATTACACGCTTGTACTTGGATGAGAAAGCTGGTGAAACTTTTGTCAGGGCTAGTGTGTGTGTGAGATTTGCAAAATGTAAACTTAGGTTACTTCCATATATTTTTTGTGAGTGGAGGTTTGGCATAATTACATAATTCTCTTTTACAACACTCTGGTTTGACTGTTAGGTTAATTGTAGAGCACCTTGTTAGGTCACAAATCCAGAAGTCTGGTACTGGACTTTGCAGGTTGCTTTCTTAGTGGCATATTAGTTTATATTAGAGCACATACTTCTCAAGAAGCCTTTTTTTTCTTATCTGTGACTCTCTCTTCTTGAGATGGGATAATGTATTGGATTATTAGAGAAGTGTGAGTATTGAATCAGATAGTTTTATTTTATCTAGAGCAGGGTTAAACCTGATGAATTGTTTCTGCTCTCTCATGGAGTATATCTTCTTGGTGACAAAGACTTTTCTGTCTCTGATTTTTATCTTAGTCGTGGTTACATTTAATAATCCTGCTTTCCAGCTTTTCCTAGAGATCAGTCATCAGTGACCTTTTGTCTTGATACTTTGTCACCTTTTGTTTTCTGGTTTTGGGTTTTTTTTTTCTTTTTTAAACATATGTAACATTGGCTTTTCCTGCTGACAACAGTAACAGAGTTTCAGATCATGTTTATAGAATGGTTATTTCATCACCTAACTAATCTCACCTCTAGTGTATGGATTCTGGTAAAGTCAGTCAACAGTCTTCACAGCCTTTTCTATTTTTACTGACCTTGATTTAAAATCTAATCTTAGACCTTGAGGTATTGCTTACGAATAGTGTAATAATGAGGTACTACTTATAACAAATAATGGTAACATACTCTAGTGCGTACTATAGGCAAAAGCTAATGGAAACATAGGTAGAAGAAATGAAGTAATAGTTATTGAATGCTTTTTGTGTACTGCAGGTGTGGAAACAGGAAGAGAACTAGAACTGGAAGTAAAGCATTGAAGATGTGACTGAATTGCTGCAATCTCATGATCAAATTTGAATGGATGAGGAGTTGCTTTTTAGGGATGAGCAAAGAAAGTGGTTTCTCGAGATGGAATCTACTGGTGAAGTTGCTGTGAACATTGTTAAAATGCCAATAAAGGATTTAGGAATTACAGAAACCTGGTTGATAAAGCAGTGCCAGGGTGTGAGAGAGTTGACTTCAATTTTGAAATAAGTTCCACTGGCTGGGTGTGGTGGCTCACACCTGCAATCCCAGTACTTTAGGAGGCCGAGACTGGTAGATCATTTGAGGTCAGGAGTTCAAGACCAGCCTTGCCAACATGGTGAAACCCCACCTCTACCAAATTAGCCAGGTGTGGTGCACACCTGTAGTCCCAGCTACTTGGGAAGCTGAGGCAGGAGAATCTCTTGAACCAGGGAGGAGGAGGTTGCAGTAAGCCGAGATGGCGCCCCTGCACTCCAGCCTGGGTGACAGAGTGAGACCTTGCGTTTAAAAAAAAAAAAAAAGGAAAAGGAAAAAAAAGTTCTACTGTGGGTAAAATGCTATCATGCTATCAAACAGCATCACATGCTACAGAGAAGTCTTGTGAAAGGATGTCAGTGTGGCAAACTTCATTGTCTTTTAAGAAATTGCCACAGCTATCGTAATCTTCAACCACCACCACCCTGATGAGTCAGTAGCCATCGTTAACGTTGGCGTAAGACCCTCCACCAGCAAAAAGATTGTTAGCATTTTTTTAGCAGTGATGTATTTATCAATTATACATAATGCTATTGTACACTTCTTAATAGACTATGGTATAGTGTAACCATAATTTATGCACTGGGAAACCAACAAATTCATGAGATTCGCTTTATTGTAGTGCTCTGGAATTGAGCCTGCCGTGTTTCTGAGGTATACCTGTGTATTTAGTATGTTCCTTGTATATAAAACCCCATTTTATAGGGTAGGAAACTAAGGCTTAGAGTTTGAGCAATTTTCCCATAGATAACACCAATAAATTGAGGGCTGCAGAGACCACTTAAGTGGTTCTCTTAACAGTAGTCTAGACATGACGTAATGAGATTTGGCTTAGGAGTGACAATGGTAAGGAAGTTAAAGGATTCAGGAACCAAATACCAGTTATTGAGAAGAAAGAATGGCCTCAAAACATCACTTCTCAAGGAAGCCTTGATACCCTCACCCTTACTACACTGTATCCTCCATTTGAATGTTGTCAAGAGCTCTTCTCACAATTGTAAATAATAATTGTGTAATTTTGTTTTTTTTTTCCTACTTTAGGTTGCTCCTTGAGGGCAGGACAGTTCTTATGGCTTTATCCGTTGCGTAAGCACAGAGAGGTCTGCGAGGTCAAAACTATTGTCATGATAGCAAGATGCCTGTCTTTTTCATTTATTCTCACGGTGTGCAGAGGCTACATGATGTGTGATGACATCCTCATTGATGTTAATGAATGGTGCTATACTTGAATTTTCTAAGGTGTCATTAGGTAGGTTTAGGTATGCATACTTGTTTTTAGAAATTATTTTTTTCCTTTTTCCCATTTTTAGAAATCAACTCATTTTTTAGGTTATGCCTTCAGTAATCTTTGCAACCTCAATATTGTGTAATGGTTACTTTAAAATACTGTAGTTTTCTTTGTGCCTAAGTATAAACATAAGTACATTTTGTTGTTTTGTTTGCAATAGTGGTTTAAATATTTTCCCAAAATATCCAAATTTAAAAATTCTACAACTTTAGAATTTAATAAATTTATTCTAAAATATTTATATATTTTTTCATTTAAGAATGGATCGGCTTAAAAAGACTGCTTCTCATTTACTTACTGGCTATACCATCTGTATACTAATAAAAAACAAGATTTGATTTGGAAGGACTGACTCAAACTAACGAAAATATGAAACCTGTCTTTCTGCTTTGGAGATATTTACCTAATCATGTTCTGCAGTAGAATAATTTAGTTCTTTTGTCTTTTTTTGGAGATGAGGTCTTGCTGTGTTGCCCAGGCTATTCACAGCTGCCATCATAGTGAACTACAGCCTGAAACTCCTGGGTTCAAGAGATCCTTCTGCCTCAGCCTCCTGAGTAGCTGGAACTATAGGCATGCGCCACCAAGCCTGGGCTTTTAAAAAAATTTTAAAAAGAATTTTGAGACAGGATCTTGCCATGTTGCTCAGGCTAGTCTTCAACTCCTAGCCCTGAGTGATCTTGCTTTGGGCCTCTCAAAATGTTGAGTTAATAGGCGTGAGCCACCATACCCAGCCAAAAATTTTTTTAGAGATGGGAATGGAATGATCTTGAATAGTGTTGGTGCCACCTATGTTGTGGCATCATTTTGAAACCAATCATTCAGAGTGCTTTTTTTGGTAAGGCATTATTTTTTAATGCAGGTATGCCACTACTGGGAAAAAAAAAAAAACAGGTTTTAAAGCTAGAAATGAAAAGCTACTTAAGTATCTTAAAGGATAAGTTACTTTATTATACACTAGAAACATACACAATAGCTGAAAAACTTAAAAAATCTCACACTGCTGAATGTCTCTGCTGGCTGAAGTGTAAGTAAAAGATCATAGTAGTGCCGCTGTTGAGTGATAAAGCAACTTGTCATTAAAGATGTGTGTGCAGACATGGATTCTGAGTTAATATCTCATCTGTAGAAGTATATATTTGTCCCTTGCTTTGGGATTGGTTTCTGGACAGCACTCCCCCACCCTTGCTGGCCATTTGCCAAGGACACCAAAACCCAAGGATGTTGAATTCCCTTTTATAAAATGGCGCTGTATCTGCATACAACTTACACACATCCTCCCATATACTTTAAATCATTTCCAGATTTCTTATACTTCATACAATGTGAATGCTATATAAATAGTTGTTACATTGTGTACTTATATTTGTACTATTGTATTAAATATTCTCAAATATTTTCAAGCACATTTGGTTGAATCTGCAGATGCAGAACCTGAGGATATGGAGGGCTGACTGTGCTAATACGTTATCAATGGATGCGTGCATAAACATGGCTGGACTTGTTACTTGGCTTGTATTTGCCAGGCATCAGCACCAACTAGTTAAAGATACTCTTACGTGAAAGCTTGGCAACAAACACATGTCCTGAAATAATGCAAGTGTAGAATAACTTTTTAAAATCTCATGGTTTATGCTAAACTATATGTTGACATAAGAGTGGTGATAAGGCAACAGTAGGTAAAAGTAAAATTTCAGGCACCTTGGCACAAACTGTGGCAGTGGCATCAAACTCTAAGTTATTTTTCACTGCCATGCATTTGTGGTGTGAACCCCCACAAAAGAAAAAAACCAGTTTCACTCAAGAATGTCCTTGTGAAAGCAGTGACATTTTGTTAAATCTTAAACCCTACAGTACATAACTTTTTGAAATGGTTGTCTCAAGAAAAAGCACTCATGTAAGCTGAATTATCTGCTATTTCCTTGGAGCCTAACAACTGACAGCAATTGTTTTCAATGATAAAATCCAAACGTTGAGTCAAAATCAGAATTTCGGGAAAACTTGTGTCTAATATCAGGAACTTGACAGCTTCCCAATACTTCATGAGATAGTGATATTGAAAATAATTTTTTTTTTTTTTTGGGACATCTGGCTGACTGCAACCTCTGTCTCCTGGGTTCAAGCAATTCTCCTGCCTCAGCCTCCTGCATAACTGGGACTACAGGTGTGTACCACTGTACCCGGCTAATTTTTGTATTTTTAGTAGAGATGGGGTTTCACCATGTTGGCCAGGGTGGTCTTGAACTCCTGACCTCAGGTGATCCACCTTGGCCTCCCAAAGTGCTAGGATTACAGGTTTAAGCCACTGTGCCCGGCCAATGATATTTTAGGTAGTATACAGTAAAATGGGCCAACATTTGGGAGATTGACATAACTCAGTGAAGCTATATTTTCCTAATGACTAATACGTGAGATTATAGAAAACTGCTAGTAACATTGTAACCAATTGAATGCAAAAGAAACAATTCAGTTGTCTTCTATTTAAGTCAGACATTTAGGGAAACAATTGCCAAAATGTAAAACAATGCACCTATTTTTTTAAAAATATGCATTTGTTGCTATAATATTTAAATATTTTACTTTCTAATATGGTAAGATACTAGTAAAGTGATTTGGGGCCCTCAATCTTTAAGAATGTGAAGGGATTCTCTGAGGCCACAAAGTTTAAGAAATGGCTACTCTAGCACAAACGCACATAGTAAATACTCAAGTACCTGTTGAATGACTTCATGGAGTTAAAGTGACTCCTGGTATTAAATCTGTATGGCTGGGATAATGGGCATGCTAGGACAGGAAGCAGATTTCCTTAACTTCACCACTGTAACTCATTAACAAACATGTTAGCCTGAGACAGAAGTATTAAGGGGCGACAGGAAAGCCTTTCATAAGCAATGTGATGCTTTTTTTCACATTATTCAACATGGTTTAAAATTTGGTATACAGGCCTATGGTGTTTGTCCTGAACTTTTGCCAGAGTAGAATGGTTCATGTTTTTCCTCATAGATTTTCACTCCTCACTAAACTTCATGACATCTAACATGAACTTATTAGAAAAGGCTATGCTTGAGAATAAGGATATCTTTTTTCTATGCCTATGTTGTTAATGAGTATGAAGCACTTACAGGCTTTTATGTACTTGAGGTTCCAAAGACATTTCCAAATTTTCCCATTTTCAGTCTTCAACTTAACATTTTGGTCCTTGCAGTGGAGACCTGAGTCCTATCTGACATTGGGACTACAGTTAGGGCAGAATTTCCTAAACTGCCATTTTTTAAAGAAATAAGGGTAACCAAATGTTCCCCTTAAAAGCACTCTGGTACCCTCTAGTATTGGGAGATAACTATCTTCCCCTAATTAGATTTGTAAAATCTTTCTCAATATTTATTTACATTTTTTTCCCCTCAAATATATTGACTTTTTCATTCCCAGTAACAATATGTCTGGTCTGTAACTAAGTCATTCCATGTTCAGATTACAGATTTATTTCCCCATCTTTTCACATTCTTTTAGTCCAGGAGACCCACTTTGAAGGTTAAAACCAAGGTCACACAATGAATAGGTGGCAGTGTCACATATAACTCAGCTCCAGGCCTTATGAATCCTGCTTATAGCCCACTGCCTATTCTAGTCACCAGATTGAAAAACACCATACTAGGGAAGAAGACGGCAAACTATTGCCCACTACATATTTGTATCAGTCTTGTCAAATTTTTATTGTAGTATGTAATAGAATTAAAGCTATGATGAATCAAGTAAAAAATGATTTCCTTAAAAACTAAGCTAATAGGCGAAAATACTCGCTTGTTCAACAAATACCCAGTCTGGCAGATACAATACCCTGCCCTTAGTGGGGGGTGGAGTGGGGGGTGGGGGGGTGGGGAAAGACATCGTGGTGAAAACAGACATGGTCCTTGAACTTCCTGGTTCTGTGGGTTGCTTAATTTGAGGTTTAAATGGTTTCTCCCATCAGGTGAAAAGTTTTGTGTTCGGCCCATAAACAAAGCAGCTGTGAATTCTGATAGTGGTAAAAAGGCCAGTCTAGGATATAAAACCTTCATAAACATCTTATTTCCCATTCATTATGAAGTGTGGGGTAGGAGATCAGAGAAACCAGATGAGGATTGCTGGCTGTGCTGCTAATGTGAACTCTTCTTTCAAAAGTATTGTGTCCTTTTATTCTCAATGGAGACATCAGAAAGTATTAAGAGGAGTACTATTATAATACTAATAGGATACTGAAAATCTATACTGATTGCAGCCAGAGGCTCCAAAATAAACAATACTATGATGAGTTCCACAAAAAAACCTCAACTACTCTTTGTTCCAGGGAAGCACCATTTTCCACAAAACTCTCAAGAAGGACTTGTTGCAACTGGAAAAGCAATTAAATGTGAATCGTGATCCAGGAGAAAGTAACAACTCACATAACTCCCAAATTAAAAGTTTTCCAAAGATATATCATTTTTTTTCTCTTGGCCTTTTAAGAAACTAGCCAACAAATACTCTTGACAGGTTTGTGTTTGGTTTTGAAAACACACACCTTAGTGTACTGAAAGAAAAACAATTTCTTTTAATTTGGTTTGTTGGTCCCACACCCCATCTATCAATGTATGTGCTATTTACAAATAAGTTCTATACAGTATTTTTGCAGTACCTTTGATAATTCCTAGACCTCTATTTTCATTCTGTGTATTAATGTGAATAACAGATGGATATTTTAATATTTAAGGCAGATGGTAAACTTTCCTATAGGTCTTGTGAGACTTCGTCTTATAGGCTGAACACCATTCACAAAATGTAATAATGCTTCATTCCTTCAGGTTGAGGTAAAGAACTTGAGCAACTGGATTAGCAAAGCTGCAAAGAATGAAATGTGGCCTAAGATGTAATTATGTTCTCTGCCCTTCCTTTGGGCCAGGGTAGTTTTGCACTTGACACAATGGAAAATAGGCCATAAAGCCTGAAAATAAAATGTTCTAAACCCCAATCTCACAGCACTTTAGTAGGCTTTTCACTAGGCATCTTTAAAGTATTTTCAACAAAATACTAATTAAGCTACCACTTCAAAAGAGCTTCAAGGAAAAGCTCTGCTTTCTTATAAAATCTTTTTGAGACAGAGTTTCGCTCTTGTCGCACAGGCTGGAGTGCAATGGCGTGATCTCGACTCACCGCAACCTCCGCCTGCTGGGTTCAAGTGATTCTCTAGCCTCAGCCTCCTGAGTAGTTGGGATTACAGGCGCCCGCCACCACACCTGGCTAATTTTTGTATTTCTAGTAGAGACAGGGTTTCACCATGTTGGCCAGGCTGGTCTCCGGACCTCAGGTGATCTGCACACTTCGGCTTCCTAAACTGCTGGAATTACAGTCGTGAGCCACTGTGCCTGGTCTCATAAAACTTTTAAATTCCATCACATTACATTCACACCTTTTGCTAACCAGGATGAAGAGCCTTAAACAGGTTTAAAGAGTGCAGACTGCAGTTTTGTTAATACTTTTTTCCTCTCCAAGTTCTTTTATGCTAACATTTCCAGTGGTGGGAAGTACAAGTACTATTAGTCATCTTCATTCTTTGCATTGCCAAAGAGTTCCTCTTTCTCCGTCTTGTTCTGAAGGATGAACAAAAGCTTGAGGTGTACGTATCAGAACGTAAACTGCAGCACGAAGACCACCAACGTTCACCCAGACTGTATCCACCTTTCGCCATACGTGTCGCATTCCAGATAACGCCTGTGTACACACAAAAAAAATAACAATTAGGTTGACAATCTACTTTTACATCAACTAGGATTCTTAACTGCCAAGATAGGAAACCTCAGGGGAAGAGAAAACAAATCTTATCCAAACAAACATCCCCAAATCTCAAAAAGATCCCAAAGTTGCCACAGGCTGCGATTTTGAGCTAATGTGTATAGCACCTTGGTAAAGCATTTTGTGTCTTGAGTAAGTAGTACAGCTCGGCCTGTGGTAGGTGTGCAGACACGGCTCATCTCCCGTAGGCAAGCTGGATAAAGGTTCCAGTTTCTCTTCTTGGATCCCATCCTATAATAGAAGGTCTCATGAGTCAAACACTTGCAAAAGATACAAAATAGAAGGACTATATGAAACAAAAACAGTTTCATGCATCCTGAGGCATGAAAAATAGCTGTAGTTTTAGAAACCAGACCTTTGCCATTACATGTCTATGAAATAAGTTGAGTTAGTAAACTGCTTAGAATTCTGAATCAAAAAAATTTTTTTTAGACAACTGTGTTAGTTATATGACTTGTCCTCTTAGTATAATAAGCAGTCAAACTGTATAAACCAAACAAGTGATTAGAAATCATTTAGGCCAGGTGTTTTGGTGGCTCATGCCTGTAATCCCAGCAGTTTGGGAGGCTGAGGCGGGCAGATCACCTGAAGTCAGGAGTTTGAGACCAGCCTGGCCAATATGGTGAAACCCTGTCTTTTAAAAATACAAAAATAAGCTGGGCATGATGGCATGTGCCTGAAATCCGAGCTACTCAGGAGGGTGAGGCAGGAGAATCGCTTGAACCCGGGAGGCAGAGGTTACAGTGAGCCGAGATCATACCACTGCACTCCAGCCTGGGCAACAGAGCAGGGCTCTGTCTCCAAAAAAAAAAAAAGAATCATTTATGCTGAGAAACAGAATGAGAACCAAGTCTTCTACCACCTTTTTGTGTAGGATATATAATTCAAGAATGGGCTAGAAAGTGAATTACAGGTAATTTAAAAATGAACCTCCCATGATGGTCAGGATTCCAAATGTAGTTAATACATTCCTGAGTTCTCGGAAGAAACATAATGGGTGAATCCATCATGTTGTTAAGTGAAAAACAGCTCTGCTAAGTCTGCTAAAATTCAAGATTTTTTTCCTGACTTAGAATAAACGCAAGGAAAATAATGACATATTTAGAAGACAAGCAGGTACTAGTATTTCTCACCTTTTTCCAAATGGCAAATCTGTTACAATAATATCCACAGAGCCAGTTCTCAATGGCAGATTGCAGATATCCCACTGAACAGCATCTATGGGCAAGCCCCAGGAGGGTTTGCTGTGGGGACAAAGGAAAGGTGCTTCAACATACTGTGAAGCATAAAGTTATTACAACAATTTTTGTTTCTGAAGAGAGACTGCTACAGCAAAACATAAACTGCTAAGGATATCAGTGATAATATCAACCTATTCAAAATTTAAGAAATGGCACAAAGGTAAAAAATAGGTCAGGCTGGGCATGGTAGCTTGTGCCTATAATCAGCACTTTCAGGGGCTGAGGTGGGAGGATCACTGGACTCCAGGAATTTGAGACCAGCTGAGCAACACTGTGAGACCTTGTCTCTAAAATACTTTTTTAAGAAGTTAGCAGGGCATGATGGCACACACCTATAGTCCCAGCTACTCAGGAGGCTGAGGTGGGAGGATCACTTGAGTCCAGGAGTTGAAAGATGCAGTGAGCTAGGATTGTGCCGCTTTACTCCAGCCTGGGTGACAGAGCAAGACCCCCGTCTCAGAAAAAAGGGAAACAAACTGAAAACATGATTGTAATGCAGAGAACTGCAAAAGACAACTTTAAAAACAATGCTGAAGCAGTAAATTACATAACCGATGATACAAAAATTTAAGTTGCTGATAAAACATACACTGGAGAAAAACAATACTAAAGAATAGATAATGGGGTGATGTATCTGAAGAATAAAGTTTGTAAAACTAGTAATAACAGGAGGCCTAAAAGAAAAACAGATAGTAAAATTGGCAAATATATAGGTAATTGTTTCAAGATGAAAAACCAAAAGGAAAATATGTGCCATGCTATATAAAACAAGACTAAGAAAAAAGTTAAGATAAAAAATATAGATGACAGAAGACAGAATGAATAATAATAAATACAAAGGATTTAAATCCTCCTCATTAAGGCAAAGCAACTGGTTTAAGAAACAAAATAATGCACAGGCTAAGAACTGAAGATAAGTCAAAGGTTATCAGCAGAAATTAAGGATTTAATTGACATTTAATGAAGAATTTAAGAAAAAAATGCAATAAAAGCAATCATTACATAATTTTTAAAAGTACACATAAAATATGTATTATAACCGCATACCAATAACTGCACAAAACAAAAGGCAAAAAATATTAAAAACCAAAGTAAAATGGATAGAAATGTACAGGTTGAGGCCGGGCACAGTGGCTCATGCCTGTAATCCCAGCACTTTGGGAGGCCAAGGTGGGCAGATCATGAGGTCAGGAGATTGAGACCATCCTGGCTAACATGGTGAAAACCCGTCTCTACTAAAAATACAAAAAAAAAATAAGCCGGGCATGGTGGCGGGTGCCTGTAGTCCCAGCTACTTGGGAGGCTGAGGCAGGAGAATGGCGTGAACCCGGGAGGCGGAGCTTGCAGTGAGCCGAGATCAAGCCACTGCACTCCAGCCTGGGCGACAGAGTGAGACTCCGTCTCAAAAAAAAAAAAAAAAAAAAAAAAAAAAAAAAAAAAAAAAAGTACGGGTTGAACAGACAGTGTAGGTACAAACAAGATAAAATATTCAGAAGCTAGAAAGGTACGTTTGTTTAAATGTTTATCAGTTTTAATTAAAAAAAAAAAAGACTGGCCATATACTAGGCTCATTAAAAAAAACCCTCAATAAATATGAAACAACCATTCAAAATTAATTCATCACAATAAATCAGTATTTAAGAAAATTGAAGCCTTCCAACTACTTGTCTTAATACACGTAAAAGGATTTAATGTTGATACATAGACCAGCAGCATCAGCATTGTCCTGGAGTTTCCTGGAAAATGCAGACTCTTAGGTCCCATCCCAAACTACTAAATCAGATCTGTGTTAACAGTACTCCTAGGTGATTCACATGTACATTAATGTTTGAGAAGCACTGTCCTAAAAAATTAGATCAGAGAGACAATGAAATATATAACCAATGACTTAGTAATAAAATAGAGGCGAGGCTATATAAACTGCAGTATTTCTATACGATGGAATTTATGTAGTGACTTTAAAGACTATGGTCCAGGTGTGGTGACTCGTCTCTAATCCCAGCAATTTGGAAGGCTGAAGCGGCAGAATCTCTTGAGGCCAGGAGTTTGACACCAGCCTGGACAAAACAGCAAGACCCCCATCTCTACGAAGATTTTAAAAAATTAGCTGGGCATGGTGGCACATGCCTGTATTCCTAGCTACTAGGGAGGCCAAGGCAGGAGGATTGCTTGAGCTCAGTAGGTTGAGGCTACAGTGAGCCATGATCATGTCACTGCACTCCAGCCTGGGTGACAAAATGAGACCCTGTACCCAAAGCAAAAAAGAAGCCTATGTAAAAATATACTGTTTAAAATTTTGTGAAATTAAAATGAGTCTATAAAATATTCTTCCAATATGTAGGGGAAAAGACATATGAATAAGACAAATGAAAAATTGCATATGGTGGGGAAATTATCGCTAAAATAATATTTTAAAAATATAACTTATTTTCAATAAACTTTAAAAATGTAAATGGAGTCTCATAGTATATTCATTTTGGTTACAATGACGTCACAATGCACTGGGAGTTTTAATTCATAAAGTCAATATAAAAAGTGATTCTCTAACTCTAAAAGATGCTAAGAAATCTTTTAAATTTTTACCCTTCTTTAATTTGGCTCTTGGTCAATAAAGATGCAATGTTATTTGCTGCTCTATTCACAGCCAGTGGATTATTATCACCAGCAATATGGAAACAGTCAGACCATTCAGTGGCCCCCTAAAAGATAAGAGTGTATGTTAAAACAAAAGTAGCAAACTGTAAAATATGATTAAATTGTCAACAAACAAAGAAAATCCAGTGCTTTTCTAGAGTGGCAAAACATTGCATGTTGTCAACTGTGCTATTTCCCTGGCTGAAAATGCCCTCTTATTCTTTCTCTGCTTGCTGAACCTCTACCCATCTCTTAAGACCCAGCTCAAACCTCATGCCCTTTCAACATCAACCTTAACTCTCCAAGCAGTCTTATGTGCCCCTCCCAAAAACACTTTGTATGTACGTACCTCTGCCACTGCACTTGTCCCACGGTTAATTATTTCTTCCCCTTTATGCCTCTCAACTAACCTGGGAGCTCTCTGAGGTCAGGTCTAGTATTTTATTCAGTTCCTCATCCAGCAGTGTCTGGCACACTAAATTCTAAGTTAATGCGGTTTGAAAATATTTGAGATTTGTGGTTGTGGGAGTTTACATAATCTGATATATTTGAAAATTGCAAAATAAAATGCTATTTCCGGCCGGGCATGGTGGCTCACACCTGAAATCCCAGCACTTTGGGAAGCTGAGGCAGGAGGATTTCTTGAGCCCAGGAGTTTGAGACCAGCCTGGGAACATGGTGAAAGCCCATCTCTACAAAAACACAAAAATCAGCTGGGTGTGATGGTGTGCACCTGAGTCTCAGCTACTCGAGAGGCTGAGGTGGGAGAATGGCTTAAGACAGGGAGGCAGAGGTTGCAGGGAGCTGAGATTACACCACTGCACTCCAGCCTGGCTGACAGAGCAAGACCCCAGGTCAAAAAAATAATAGTAAAATGCAATTTCCTTTGTATGATAGGCTTTTGAATGGTAACCACCATATCACTGGAAGGATTTTGTAATTATAAATAAAAAACCTGTCAGCAGAACATAAATACCAAGCTGTCACATGTCATTTGTGGAATGAGGTGACGTGACCCTAGGCCTGAACAATGTTCTATGCAGATTAACAGAAGGTTTCTGACACGAAAGCCGGGAAAGGTCTGCCTCTGCTTAGGGGTGAGTAGCAAACACCTTTGTGTTCCTTTGTGAACAGTAACATACTTCTCATCCATGAGTGCAGTGTTTCATAACTTTTTCTTTTGCCCAGACACTTGAGGGTGATAACATACCCTGTCTACAATCCTACGATGACATCAAACAAAAGGGAAGTTGAAGTATCCCAGAATTTTGGGTGGGTGGGGATGTAGAGGGGACCTAGAGTTTGAGGAAGGCTCTCAGTGATTCCGATTCCCAAATATTCTTTTTTTTTTTTCCTAAACCTATTTGGATTTTCAGCATTGGAAAGAATTGGGTTTTATAGCATAACACTTCTAAATTAAAAAAAAAAATTATTCTAGATCAAGTATTTTATACTTTGGTGAACAAATCTTTATATATACCTTGTCAATTTATTCATAATTTTATTCATTTTGATCATATATCGGCTTAGGTTTTTCTACATTGACATCTGCATGTCTACTCTTACATGGAAATGGCTCAAACTTCATGTTTTAATTTTTTTCGGCCTTTATTTTTACTCGGAGCTCTGTTGTGTATTTCTTGACATGCGGTGACCTTACCTGCTATTTCATACACATATCATGATTTCATACTAGAAAACAACACTCTGCTTTCTTCCCAGAATCCTTCTTGGCCACAAGAAGGACTGGGTTTTTACTGTGCAGTCTCTTTAAGCCACAGTAATTTCTCTAGCTTTCACGGAACACAGTCACATGTAGACTTCTATGATTTCAGTCTTGGATTTTAACTCCCAGAACAGATACCATTTTCTAATTACAGTTTGGATTATTTCTCCCCTTGTGGGCTTGCTTTGGACTTGCTCATCTGTCCAGTTTCTACCCAATCATATAATCTGCTGTGTCTCCCTGCAGTTTATTCAAATTGGCTGTCAGTATACTATATGGAAGAACTACTATGTTTCACACAAACTTCAGTGATTTTACTGGGAGCTCCCTCTTCTAAATTCTTTAAAAACATATAGATGATACTGATTATTCAAGGGGAATCTACTGTGAAATATTCTCCATTTAGAAAATGCCTTTCCATTTCTTGCTTTGCTTTACACAGTTTTTATGAGTCCTCTCAATATCATGGTAATTTTGAAAACTAAGAGCATTTGGTATTAAGCTTGTTAGACTTCCTAAAAAATCCAAGTAATGTTCATAAGTTTCCCCTTTTTACAACTATACTTATTCCCTCTAGGAACTTAAGTGGATTACAGAGAAGAAAATTGCCTTCCTCCAGTTTATGCTTATGCCTTCAATTATCTTTTCCCATTCAAGTCTACCAGCTTGTCTGTTACACAAAGAGGACTCATCGGCAGTTTGTAATTCTCAGCTTCCTCTGTAATCTAGTGAATAGATGTCACTAACAATGTATCTAGGCCAGTGGCACATGGCTCTTTGAAATAAGTAGTTACATTCTTTACAAAAAAGTTCCACTTTCTATTGTTAATTGTTTTAAAACTCTTGGGTCCACTGATCCAACCATGGAGATTTCATTATGTCTAATTTGCCCATTAGGTCTAGAATATTCTGGATGTATCACTCTTATCTAAAAGCTAAAGAAATATGATTACCTCTATTGGTATTGCCCCAGTTCCACACATTGGATCGACTATTATATCATAAGGTAGAGGATCACAGAGCCTAGAGAAAAGAAAACAGCCTATGTGAAGACTCACTCAAAAGCTGAGGCTTCTATACTGATGATTCCTGAAGCTTTAAGATTGAGGACCTACCACACTAGCCCGAAGGAACACCAATCTACACATATTTTAGAAATCAATTTGTGGCCGCGCACGGTGACTCACGCCTGTAATCCCAGCACTTTGGGAGGCTGAGATGGGTGGATCGCTTGAGGTCAGGAATTCAAGACCAGCCTGGCCAACATGGCGAAACCCCGTCTCCACTAAAAATACAAAAAATTAGCTGGGCGTGGTGGTGGGTGCCTGTAATCCCAGCTAGTACAAAGGCTGAGACTCGAGAATTGCTTGAACCCAGAAGGCGGGGATTGCAGTGAGCCAAGATCATGTAAGATGCAGCCTGGGTGACAGAGCAAGACTCCGTCTCAAAAATAAATAAATAAATAAATAAAATCAATTTATAATGATATGTTGACTGTATATTCCATTACTTGGGGAAAAAAAATCCTTATAACTAAATCTCCTTTGACTATCTTCCAAAATCCCATTTCACTCTCAGATGAAATTTAGTTTGCAGACATCTTAAAGTACACATGTGTACACACACACACACACACACGCTCATGCATACTTTTTGACAACAGTGTTGTTTTCAACAGAAACCTGTATTACATTAAAAAGACTCAAAAATGTCTCAAGTCAAACATGCATCAATATAAGGTTACTGGCAATGAGACATTCAGTATTCCTTTCCTTCTGAATTTAAAGCTAATCTTGATATAAAAAAATTGCTCTGTGGGACTAGGTAATAAAAAAAGGAAAAAAAAATGCTTTACTTTGAGCACTTAGTATTTCCTGGGCATGGACTTAAGCTCTTTCCATGCATTATCTCACAGAATCCTCAGTAAGGACCCTGTTAGATAATTATCATTATTCTCATTTTAAAGGTAAGCTGATGCAAGGAAACATGAAGTTACCTGCCCAGGGACACAAAACTAGTAGGTAACAGATTCAAGATTAGAGGCATTACTGTTAGTGGCTTAACTGTTATCCTCTTTATGAAGCATCCCACCCTGAAACAGGTCAGTAGGTTTCTTCCCTTCTCTTGTTCTTCTAATCTTTTCATGTGCTGGTGTGGGACTTATCGCATGTATGATAACTATTTATCTCCCTCACAAGACAGATTCTTGGGGGTTAATAGTGGGTTCTTATTGTAACATTGGTCCTGCTCTATCTCCTTGCTCCTACTCCTCAACACATGGCAATAGAATCCTTGGCAACCCTCTTGAGGGGGTAAGCACCCTGTACTCCAAGCCATTCCTGATGGTCAGGGGTGAATATCTGACCAAAACAATGTCCATCAGATCCTCTCTTCCAGGAATTTGGAACAAAGAGCTAAAAGCCCTAGGCAGTGTGGGTTGGTCGTTTGGAATTGGAAATACATAAATTTAGATGAGAAAGCATGTAGATGAGAAGAGACAAGAGTCCACAGGCTCTAAGGGGAGATAAAAATGGCTGCCTACATTTCTGGTGGTTTTCCAAGATGTGGTTCCTACCCTTCTTGAGAACCAACATTCAGTTTTTCTGTAGAATCCCCAAGATTTCTCTTTATCTTTCCAATAAACCCCTCTCTGGCACAATTATCACTTTTTTATCCTAAACTTGATTACTTAGGTTTTAAATATTTGCACCCAAAATAACACCCTCTCTGTATCCCTGGTTTCTACCATATGCCTGGCAGTAGATAATGCATATTTGTTAAATTAATGAAGACTAGAAGATTTTCCTTTATCAAATGGGCCCAATTTTCTATTATCGTCATTGAATTAATATGTTAGGAAGATAAAAGATTGGAAGAGAAGGAATACAGTCGTGTACTGCATGACAATCTTCCAATCAATGGTGGACCAAATATATGAATGCAGTAATTATAATACCATATTTTGCCCTATCCTTTCTATGTTTAGATACACAAATACCACTGCGTTACAACTGACTACAATATTCAGTACAATAACATGCTGTACAGGTTTGTAGCCTAGGAGCAATAGGAGATACCACATAGCCCAGGTGTGTAGTAGGCTACACCATCTAGATTTGTGTAGGTACACTCCATGAGGTTCGCACAATGATGAAATTGCGTGATGACACATTTTTCAGAATGTATCCCTGTCATTAAGTGATGCATGACTGGACTTAACTACCAGGACATACCAGGCACTGTATATAATAGGTATTTTGCATATGCTTCAGCATTTAATCCTCACTAATAATCCTTTAAGTCTCACATCAAATCCATTTTGCCATCTGGAAAACAGAAGCTTTAGAGAAAATAAACATTTTCAAGTGGTGGAAAGAAGCACCCAATAAAAGAGAGAAGGGCAAAGGAGAAGGAAAGATAGGTCGTGTACTCTGAAAAGCAAAAAATTCTAGGATGATTCCTGAGTTGCTGTGAGTATAAAGCTTAAAAATATAAGTAAAAGCTCTTTCTGTTCATTTACACGTTATACACATAAAAATCTCTGCTTTCATCTTTTTCACTGCACAGAAATGAAACAGCAAAATTTACTCTTATCTCCCAACACACATATCCTTGCTAAACAGAAATGTGGTAACCTCATTCAAGAGGCAGGTGAAAACTATTACTCTCATTTTAAAATCAAGAAAACCGGGCGCGGTGGCTTACACCTGTAATCCCAGCACTTTGGGAGGCCGAGGCGGGTGGATCACCTGAGGTCAGGTATTTGAGACCAGCCTCGCCAACATAGTGAAATGTCGTCTCTATTAAAAAAATACAAAAATTATCTGGGCGTGGTGGCAGGCACCTGTAATCCCAGCTATTCGGCTGAGACAGGAGAATCGCTTGAACCCGGGAGGCAGAGGTTACAGTGAGCTGAGATCTCGCCACTGCAGTCCAGTCTGGGCGACAGAGTGAGACTTTGTCTCAAAAAAAGAAATAAAGAAAACTGAGCCACCTATTAAGCAGTATTTTCAGATCACAAGGAGTCAATATTGGATAGAAGGGAAAGAAATAGATCATTAGCTTTCCATTCTATTCTTTATCCACTCTATTCCAACACAGTACCTCAAACACACATACACACAAATCAGTATTTTGAAGGGAACATTCAAACCAAGGTGCCACTTTAAGCTGGATGGCAAACTCATTTTCTTACCTGAGCATCCCATAGGCAAGAGTTGATCTAAGAGTTGTAGGTCCAAAATGTGTTATATTTCTTCGGTGGAGACTCTCTTCAGTCAATGCAATGCCCACAATGACTTCATTATCATGGATGTTCAAAAGAACCTATAGCAAAGTGGAACAAGACAAAATAGTTTTAGGATTGTTCAAACTGCGCTTAGTAATAAGACTTTTCTGACCTGGGCCGGTTCACCCCTCCTTAGGCAACCTGTTGGTCCCCTACTCCTGGGAGGTCACCATATTGATGCCAAACTTAGTGCAGACACCTGATTGGCATAGCGCACCACAGCCCAGAACTGTCTAAAAAGTTAAGACATTTAAAAAATACATATTAAAAAACCTCTAAGCCTTCAAAATATGTTTGTGTTATAAAAATTGGGGTGAAATCTGGTTGTAGCCAATAAACATAGTGAATTAAAAGAAAATAATAGATATTAAAATGAACGAAAAAAACTATATACTATATGATTTCATTTATATGAAGTTCAAAAATTGGCAAAACGAATTTTTGGTGGTAGCAGTCAGATTAGTGATTGCCTTGAGTGGGTACTGACTGGGAAAGGGCAAGGGGAGCCCGAGGTACTGGAAATAGTTTGTATCTCTATCTGGATGCTGTTTACACATCGTGTATATAAGTAAAAACTTACTGAAAACTTAAGATTTGTGTACTTAAGGGGTGCAAAGTGTATCTCAACAAAAAAGTTTTAAAAATTGGTAAAGTCTCAAATAAAAAGTCTTATTACACTGAGTGCAGTGGCACAGGCCCACAGTCCCAGCTACTCGGGAGGCTGAGGTGGGAGGACAGCCTGAGCCTGGGAGGTCAAGGCTTTAGTGAGCCATGATTGCACCACTGCACTCCAGTCTGGGTGATACAGCGAGACCCTGTCTCAAAAGTGAACTAAACTAAACCAAAATGTTCCCCAATCTTTCACTGAAAGACTTCCTGAGCTTAACCACAGCAGAAGCACAGCTGATACTCATACAGCACTTCCTAATGCAAAGCACTATTCTACACATTTTACATACATGGCCTCATCTCATATTCACATCCCCTAAGCTAGGTATTATTCCCTTTATAAATGAGGATACTGAGGCACAAAGACAGCTCCTCAGGAATTCCCTTTTTGAGACAGGGTCTCACTCTGTCGCCCAGGATTGAGTGCAGTGGCATGATCACAGATCACTGTGGCCTGGACTTCCTGGGCTCAAGCAATCTCTTACTTCAGCCTCCCAAGTACCTGGGACTATAGGTGTCTGTCATCATACTCAGCTAATTTTTTTTTTATTTTTTGTAGAGACAGGGTCTCCCTATGTCGCCTAGGCTGGTCTAGAACTCCTGGCCTGAAACAATCCTCCAATCTTGACCTCCCAAAGTGCTGGGATTACAGGTGTGTGTCACCACACCCAGCCTCCTCTGGGATTTAAACCAATGCAGCACGGCTCCAGAAACTCCTCTGAATCACCTTGCTAACTTTTAGACATCACTGTTCTGGTTAACCTATTCATTTTATTTTTTAAAATATTTATTTTATTTTTAGTGGAGACAGGGTCTCACTATTTTGCCCAGGCTGGTCTCAAATTCTTGGGCTCAAGCGATCTGCCTGCCAAGGCCTCCCAAAGTACTGGAATTACAGGTGTGAGCCACGTATTCATTTGCAAGGCAGTGTATGAGGAAAAAAAGGAATGGGGAATTAGACTCCTGATTTGACATGCACAAAAAAGTTAGAATCAGTGACTTGCCCCAGATTCAAGTGTCCCAAAAGCAACGGAAATTGACTCTTTGGTAAATATATCAGCTGCTAGAGATGTTTTAAGGTGTCAGAGACTTAAATACTTTAGTTCCTATGGTTCACATGTCAATCACCCAGATAAAAGAGGATTAAGACCAAGGAAAGTAAATATACTAAAATGAGGTACCTGGCTTTGGAAATCTAGCAGAATTTAAGAAAGAGGAGAGCTGACTCTAGGATGAGTATTAGCAATGATGTCCTGGTTTGAGAAGGTCAGGGTTTGTTTAAAAAATGCACTTTTTTTTTTTTTGGAGATGGAGTCTTGCTCTGTCACCCACGCTGAAGTGCAGTGGCATGATCTTGGCTCACTGCAACCTCCACCTCCCTGGTTCAAGTGATTCTCCTGCCTCAGCCTCCCCAGTAGCTGGGACCACAGGAGTGTGCCATCATGACGGGCCAATTTTTGTATTTTTAGTAGAGACAGGGTTTCACCATATTGGCCACGCTGGTCTCAAATTCCTGACCTCAAGTGATCCACCTGCCTCGGCCTCCCTCCCAAAGTGCTGGGATTACAGGCGTGAGCCACTGCGCCCAGCCTTATTTTATTTTTTCAGTAGCAAAGCTCTGCAACCAAGACACACAAAAACAAAATAACTATTTTAATTCTGGTTGAATTTTATAATATGAAAGTCCATATAATATAGTAAAAGAGTAGTCTATTAGAAATCAGGCCAGGTGCAGCTATAATCCCAGCACTTTGGGAGGCCAAGACAGGCAGATCACTACAGGAGTTTGAGACCAGCCTGGCCAACAGGGTGAAACCCCATGTCTATTAAAAAATACAAAAATTAGCCAGGTGTGGTGGCATGTGCCTGTAGCCCCAGCTACTTGGGAGGCTGAGCACAAGAATCACTTGAACCAGGAAGGTGGAGGCTGCAGTGAGCTGAGATCGTACCACTGCACTCTAGCCTGGGTGACAGAGCAAGACTCTGTCTCGAAAAAGAAAAAGAAAACAGACAACTCAACCTTGATGGCTTCCATCTATGGAGCACTTAGTGTATGCAAGGTATTGCACCAAATATTTTAAATGTACCTCATTTATCCTTCAGGATAACCTTAAAGGTACATAATATTATTGGCTCCATTTGAAACAGAGGCTCAGAGACTATCTAGTCCAAAGTTATACAGTTGTGGAGTTAAAATTTGGATCTAAATCTGTCTCCATAGCCTATGCTCTTCTTAACCACACCCTACTATTTCCTCAGTTTAATTGTGCATAACATTGGGTTAGTCTGGAAATTCTACAAATCTGTGACAGCATTCTTCAATCACCACAGTCAGAGCCTATACCTACCTCCACATCAAAGTTGGTCATGTCGGCCTTCCACTTAAAATAATCTTGAACAGCACCCCCAAAATCTCTTGCAGCCTCATTTGAGGTAAAGCAATGTTTCTCTCCTGCCCTGTTGCATGTGACTCTAAACTTCAGCACTTGAGGCTCAGTTTCTTCTTTTGAGCTTTCATCAGTCTCATCTTTGCAAGATGCCAAATCATCACCTATTAATGTTGATACATCCTCTTTGATGGCTGGATTTTCATAATAATCTAAGATATGAGAATCTAAAGCATGGCTAGTGAACTCTTTTTTAACATTTCTCTGATCGATTTTGACTTCTTGTCCATTATTAATCTTCTCTTTACTTGAATTCTGATTTATCTTTTTGCGCTTTGCTTTTTTCTTTTTAAAACTGGCATTAATTTTCCACACTTTTAAGGGGTTTGACCATGGGAGTTTTCCAGCCAAGTCTTCAAAATCCTTTAGAACTTCTTCCTGTAAAGGACAGAGAAAGAAATTCATTCATTTCTCACCACTATAATCAAACAAATAAACCTCTACTTTGCTTATGGACAGTTGGTATCCGTGGGGGACACTGGTTCCAGGACCGCCAAAGACACCAAAACCCAAAGATGCTCAAAAGTCCCTCATATAAAATGGTATAGTGTCTACATATGACCTACACACATCCTCTCAAGAGTAACTTAAATCATCTCTATCTTACCTATGATACCTGATACAATGTAAATGCTATGGAAATAGTTGTTATACTGTATTGTTTGGGAAATAATGACAAGAAAAAAA
The DNA here is from genome assembly GCF_000001405.40 of Homo sapiens. NCBI lineage: Eukaryota > Metazoa > Chordata > Mammalia > Primates > Hominidae > Homo > Homo sapiens. The sequence goes on along the minus strand of NC_000003.12, from coordinate 9,370,750 downwards.
GTCTGGGCTGGATATGGTGGCTCATGCCTGTAATCCCAGCACTTTAGGAAGCTGAAGCAAGTGGATCACTTGAACTTAGGAGTTTGAGACCAGACTGGGCAACATGGCAAAACTCTGTCTCCACAAAAAAATACAAAAATTAACTGGGCATGGTGGCACGTGCCTGTAGTCCCAGCTACTCAGGAAGCTGAGATGGGAGGACTGCTTGAGCCTGGGAGGTCAAGGCTCCAATGAGCTATGATCACGCCAATGCACTCCAGCTTAGACAACAGAGCAAGATCTTGTCTAAAAAAATAAATCTTTTACAAAAGAGAATGAACACTGACTACAATATTCTTAAGGAAAGAAAGCCTAACTCCAAATTTTATACCCAAACTATCAGCCAAATATAAAGGTGAAAGACAAACATTTCTGAACTCATGCCATTCAACAGATACAAATTATAACAAAAGGACAAATAATGTGCCTATAATCTATTTAATTATATCACTAAAATGAAAACAAGTGTAGGGATTGTGATTATAAAGCAGAAGGTAAATGTTACAAACTGGCATGTAAATGGGCATACTGATACCCTCATCTCTTACACCCAGAGGTCAAAGGATAGAAGTTAAAGCTGATAAATAAAATGTAAGTATATTTAAAAGTTTAAGGGTGAACACTAAGAAAAATAACTGAAAAATAAAGGAAAAAAGTATAAATATGCCAATTTCATCATTGCTTTTAGCAGGGATTCAAAAAATACCGTGTATATATGGTAGATAAGGTAGATAATATCAAATTGTAGTTATAAAGGTAACAGCTAGAACACACACACATAAACCTTCCAAACTATTAGAAAACACAGGCATATGAAAAAAGTAAAGACATAATGTAAAGATTTTTCAAATTAAGAAAAAACAAAAAGTATGAGCATGACAAAACTAAGACTAAACAGTTGTCATTATCAATAAGTATCAATGGGATAAACACAAAGATGACACTCAGTTTGAATATGTACAAGAATTTACATAGTGTATTTGTTGCACCACTGTAATAGCAAAAGAATGTGAAAAACCCTCATGCCCTAAAATGGGACTGGTTAAATTATTATACAGCCAAACAATGGAGTATACGCAGCCAATTCCAGCAATGATACTGCCAGGATCTCCAACATATAGGTTGAACATTCCTAATCTCAAAGTCCAAAATCCAAAACCTAAAATTTTTTTGAAGTGCCAACATGATGCCACACAGGTAGCTGAGATAGTGACACCTTTGCTTTCTGATGGTTCAGTGTACACAAACTTTGTTTCATGTATAAATTATTTTAAAAATCATATAAAATTACCGTCAAGCTATACGTATAACGTATATATGAAACAAATGAATCTTGGATTTATTTATACATAGGTTCCACCCTCAGAGTATTTCTTTCTTTTTTTTTTTTTTTTTTTTTTTTGAGACGGAGTCTTGCTCTGTTGCCCAGACTAGAGTGCAGTGGCGTGATCTCGGCTCACTGCAACTTCTGCCTCCCGGGTTCAAGTGATTCTCCTGCCTCAGCCTCCCGAGTAGCTGGAATTACAGAAGCCCGCCACCGCACCCGGCTAATTTTTGTATTTTTAGTAGAGATGGTGTTTCACCACCTTGGCCATGCTGCTCTCAAACTCCTGACCTCATGATTCACCTGCTTTGGCTTCCCAAAGTGCTGGGATTACAGGTGTGAGCCACCATGCCCAACCCAGAATATTTCAAAAAACAAACAAACAAAAATCCAAAACATTTCTGGTCCCGAGTATTTCAGATAAGGGATACTCAACTTGTATATGAAAAAAAAGCATAGCGCAGAAAAGTATGTATGCTATGCTTTCATTTGTGTAAATAAAATACATTTATTCGTAAAATATCTCCAGAATAATACCCAAGAAATTGCTAACAGTTGTTGCCTCCAGGGAGGGAGCTGCATAGCATGAGGATATAGGAACAAAGACTTACTTTTCACTCTATATCCATTCAGTCTTTACAAGTTTGCTCCAAATACATGTATTAACTAGTCTTTAAAAACCCATATAAATCACAGATTTGTTCATACTTTTAAAAAGGCAGATGGAGGCCAGGCGCGGTGGCTTACGCCTGTAACCCCAGCACTTTGAGAGGCCAAGACAGGTGGATCACGAGGTCAGGAGTTCAAGACCAGCCTGGCCAAGATGCTGAAACCCCGTCTCTACTAAAAATACAAAAATTAGCCGGGCATGGTGGCATATGCCTATAGTCCCAGCTACTCGGGAGGCTGAGGCAGGAGAATCGCTTGAACCCAGGTGGCAGAGGTTGCAGTAGGCTGAGATTGTGCCACTGCACTCCAGCCTAGGCAACAGAGCAAGACTCTGTCTCAAAAAAAAAAAAAAAAAAAATATGCGCGGGTGGAGGTGGGGAATGGGGGCCAGGTGCAATGGCTTACACCTGTAATCCCAGCACTTTGGGAGGCTTAAGTGGGAGGATCACTTGAGCCCAGAAGTTTGAGACCAGCCTGGGCAACATAGTGAGACCCCATCTCAATATTTTTTAAAAGAGGGGGGTGGGGACTAATAAATTCATGATTATCATCTGAATACTTAAGAGAACTCATTAGAATTGCTTTAAGCTTTTCTAAAAGTTAGATTTTTACTTAATACAATTTTTATCTATTTTCAGTCTGACTTTTTTTTTTGAGATGGAGTCTCGCTCTGTCGCCCAGGCTGGAGTGCAGTGGTGTGATCTCTGCTCACTGCCAGCTCCGCCTCCCGGGTTCACGCCATTCTCCTGCCTCAGCCTCCTGAGTAGCTGGGACTACAGGCGCCCACCACTACGCCCGGCTAATTTTTTATATTTTTAGTAGAGACGGGGTTTCACCGTGTTAGCCAGGATGGTCTCGATCTCCTGACCTCATGATCCACCCGCCTCGGCCTCCCAAAGTGCTGGGATTACAGGTGTGAGCCACCACGCCAGGCCCTTAAGTCTGACTTCTTTTAGGTCTGGTCTTATTGTTTTCTAGGCTGAGGGTTCATACAACTTTGACTCGTTTTTGAATAACGTTTTGGAAATCAACATGCTTGCCAATAAATAAAAGTTAGACAATTAGGTAGCGTATCACAGTTGTTTTTAAAAAGATTATTTCTAAGATACGTAAAACTGATAGAAAAATGTTTTTAAGCGGTTAACTCTAGAAACCTAACCAAAAAGCAGTGTGGAAAAAACCTAAAGCCTTGCTGCAATCTATTTTCAACCTTCAGCTTAGGCAGCAGCTGAATATTTAGGATTCAGATGCTAAATACATATTGGAGACAAAGCTGTTGTCCTAACAACTGAAGGAGTATTTAGATGTTATTTTGGCTTTATTTCAAAAAATGAAGAAAGAGAAGAAAGCAGAGCAAAAGCAGGATGGTGAGGAAGTGTTATTTGTAGAAGACACAAACTGTCACTTGTTCTTTGGTTCATGTTCTGGAAGCAATTCTCTTTTGGAACTAAATATATGTAAAAGCAAAGCAAATCTAAGGTTTATATCTCTTACAAGTAAAACAAGGTGTTTTCTTCTTTCTTATAAACTTTAATGGTTTTCAATACTAATTTTCAAAAAACATCTTTTGGGATAGACTGTCAGCAAAACTCTAGATTTTACTGTAAAAGCCTCCCAGTATTCTCTATTACAAAGACTACAGTAATGCTAAACTTTCACAGACTATGAAAAATGGAAATAATCTCTTTGTGGAAGACAGCCAAAAATCAGCCACCATGTTTAGGATAGCTCACCTTTGTTTGTTTGAACTGGTAATCTTGAAACTCCTGAACCACCACAAATAAGTTATCAACTGATCTCAGACAATGAACCTGGGTGAAAAAAAAAGAAACACATTTCTGAGAAAGCTTTTGAACAGCACAAGCTATCAACAATTAAGTATTTAAAAAATTAGGAATGATAGTTTTAAAGCAGCTACTAACTATATTTTGTATTTTTAAAATGTCCCATCTCCCTAGTTTCTCATCTCTTTGGTTACTAATCAGCTTTCCCCTAGAGAAAGGGAAAAAGGGCAGATGGAAAGAGAGAAGCATGAAGTGTTTTGTGGGCAACACGTCTTTTGTGGGAGAAGAGAAAGGTGAAGCCACTCAGGTGGGCTGTATCATATTTCCTCGATGACTTTCTAGGGTACACTGTATGCTGCAATGGTTAAAAGCAGGGGATTTGAGCTCCAGTTCTGTGATTACTAGCTGAGTGGCCCTGGGGAAATTATTTATGTGTCCTAAGCCTAATGATTAATGAGGATAATAATAGTGCCTATCTTCACAAAGCTGCTGAGGGTATTGGCTAAAATATTGGATGGAAAACATTTGCTTACCAATTCATCCCACAGATATTTTCTGGGTACCTACTATATGCCAGACACTAAGAGCGTGGGATATATTGGTGGAAAAAAAAATAGACAACAATCCTTGCCCTCTCACTGCTTATGTGGTAATGAGATATATCAGCTTTATGATAGTGAGATTGCAGTTTTCTGACCTTCACTTTTTACCTTGAGTGAGTCCTAATTACTTCTGAGCAAGAATTTTTGATGCAAATTAAAAGGAAAATCTCTTTTATGTTTCATCACCAAAGGTTAAACATCTGCTATATGCTGAAGTAAATAAATACTGAGATACTTAGAGAATTTCTTAAGTTGAACAGTATTCTTTCTGGTGAATTCAATCCTCAAGAAATACTAGATCACCTCTAAAAATGTAGCAATCCTACTACAGGTTGAGCAGCCCACATCTAAAAATCTGAAACTTTTTGAGCCCCAACACAATGCTGAAAGGAAATGCTCAGTGCAGCATTTCGGATTTTCAGATTAGAAATGCTCAACTGGCAGGCCGAGCGCAGTGGCTCAGGCCTGTAATCCCAGCACTTTGGGAGGTCGAGGCGGGTGGATCACGGGGTTAGGAGTTCGAGACCAGCCTGGCCAGGATGGTGAAACCCCGTTTCTACTAAATATACAAAAATTAGCCAGATGCGGTGGCGGGCGCCTGTAGTCCCAGCTACTGGGGAGGCTGAGGCAGGAGAATTGCTTGAACCTGGGAGGCGGAGGTTGCAGTGAGCCAAGATCGCGCCATTGCACTCCAGCCTGATGACAGAGCAAGACTCTGTCTCAAAGAAAAAGAAAAAAAAAAGAAATGCTCAACTGGCAAGTATAATGCAAATATTCCAAAACTCCCCCCACCCCCCTCCAAAAATCTGAAACACTTTTGGTCCTAAGGGATACTGAAACTACAGTCAAAATTACAAATCAGTACTCAATAGAAAATGCAGTAACTTTAAAATCACCTGATTTGGGGCAGAGCAATGAAAATCAGAAAGGATTCCAGAAGGGTCTATAAAATGAAAAGTAACCATAAAATGATCAACTTAGAAAACTATTTTAAATATTGCTCCATTCAAACCTGTGCCAGACTTTCCACTGAAATGACAAAATATATCTTGCCACGGTCTCTGCTGATTTTGCATGATGACCCAAGTTTCTCTCTGACTTCATCTGCAGCTGTTTGCTCAAAGCCAGTAGGTACAGTGGCTCCAATAGTGACTAGAAGCTCAGATTCACTTCCGAGGTCACTTTCTGTCACTTGTACAGACTTCTGGTTCTCATGAAGGTTCACATCTAGGAGTTGGTTAGTGGCTTCTTCAATGTCACACATGTTGGCTGTGCTTCCAAGATCCCTAACACTGTCTCTTTAAAAGCAGTACTGTCCTTTAAAAGAAAAAGAAATAAAGCCCAAATATTATCATCTCATATTTCAGTTATAATTAAAAACATGGGCTCTGGAGGGCAGGAAGAACAAGGCAACACATCTGATAAACAGTCACCAAAGTAAAAAGGGTTGAATAAACATGGGCACAGAGTGCAGGCTGTAAAACATGATGTTATTATTAAAGAAGCAATACAGATACCATGGGAGAAAAAGAGACAAGAAGTATTTCCATAGCATGCAATGTTTGCTTTGGGGTAACCCATGTTGACAAAAGCCATTTCATAACTACGACAGAAACTGCAGATCACATTCAAATCCATTTCTGCATCTAGATGTTAAGAACATGGTTAGTTAAGAATATAGGGCTTGGCTGGGCGTGGTGGCTCACACCTGTAATCCCAGCACTTTGGGAGGCCGAGGCGGGCAGATTGCCTGAGGTCAGGAGTTCAAGACCAGCCTGGCCCACATGGTGAAACCCCGTCTCTACTAAAAATACAAACATTAGCCAGGTGTGGTGGTGGGAGCCTGTAATCCCAGCTACTTGGGAGGCTGAGGGAGGAGAATTGCTTGAATCCGGGAGGTGGAGATTGCAGTGAGCTGAGATCATGCCACTGCACTCCGGCTGGGGTAACAGAACAAGACTCTGTCTCAAAAAAATAAATAAATAAATAAAATAAATAATAATAATAATAATAATATGGGGCTTTTGGAGTTTCAGATAGATACAGGTTTGAATTCTTGCCTCCACCATCATAGGTTGAATGACTTATGGCAAATTAATTCTCCCAAACCTTCAAATGTAATTAAGTAATTAGTAATACCTCTTTCCTAGAGTCGTTAGGAGACAAGTGAGAGTAGTACCTGGTTAGGCCAATAATTAAAACTTATTAATAGGCTATCTATCTTCTTCCCTCCTGTGAAATAGCATTTCATGCATTTAAAAATGATTAACTGGGCTGGGCACACTGGCTCATGCCTGTAATCCCAGCACTTTAGGGAGCTGAGGTGAGTAGATTGCTTGAGGCCAAGAGTTCGAGACCAATCTGCGTAAGATGGCAAAATCTCATCTCTACCAAAAACACAAAAAATAGCTGGGCGTGGTGGTGGGCGCCTGGAGTCCAGCTACTTGGGAGGCTGAGGTGGGAGGACTGCACTCCAGCCTGGGTGACACAGTGAGGCCCTGTCTCAAAAAAAAAAAAAAAAAAAAAGAAAAAATTAAAAATAAAAATGGTTAACTGAATACTTACTATCTAATGATTACAAATGTTCAAACGCCTACTACTTGCCAGACTCTGGGATCCATAGATGGGCATCAGGAGAGAGATCTTGGAAGTAATCCGAAATAGTAAAACAAATTTCCTATGCATAAGCTTTTGTGTGTGCTTGGGGTGGGGGCCGGGGGAAGTATTAGAGAGGTGGAGGGGCCATAGCTTACACGAGATTTTCAAAAGGTCTGTGACTCAAAATAACTTAATTGAGTACAGAATACCTATAATGTCCTTGTGCTGTGCCAGCGATACACGACAGTGTTTAACACTACGTCAGTTCCCGCCGTTAAAAAGCTGACAGTCACTGTGAATACAATCTCCATCTTCTAAAAAATGCAGCTGAGGTCAGCTAAAGGACGCGTTCCGCACAAGGTCAGAGAGCCAATGAGAGGCGCAGAATGAAAGAGAACTCACGTCTCCCAACTCCCACCTACAGGGCCCGGGAATCCTAGGGAGCGGGTAAAGGCCTGGGAGAGGGAGCAAGATGGGCTCCGCCACGAGATCCGCCTGAAGTCCGGCTCGGCGCCGGCCTCAACTGCAAGAGGAAGGCCACCCCTCTCTCCCCAAGCTGAAACACCAGAAGAGCCACACTCGGCCGTTCCCAACCGCCGCCAGTTACCGGCCGCCAGCGAAGACCCTTTCAGCTCCCACACTCCATTGGCCTCTTGCGGTCAGGTCACGCCGCCGGAAGCCGCCCCCGGAAACGGAAGTCAGGCTACGAGTCACGGTGGCTCCGCGCTGGCGGCGGGTTCCCCCACAAGGTCTTGGGGAAAGGAGCATGCGCTGGAAGCTGTGTGCTGTTGGTTTTGAGGATCTTCAGTAAGCTGAAAGCGGAGAGTCAGGGGCCTTGTGTCCTACCATGGTATTTGCTAACGTTTAGAGAGTGCTTCCCCTTGCCGAGCACTGGGTAAGCGCTTCACATGCGTCATCTCATTTGGAACAAGTCTCTTTTGTTCTAGCACCTATGAAGTGGCAGAGACTGATTTCTGTTTTAAAGCTGGAGACACCGAGTCTCTCCAGCTTATTTAAATATCTTTCTCAAAATGTCATGCCACTAGTTCCTGATTTCTGTATTGCCATCACTATTTTAGCACTGTTTACTTCATATTTTTCTTTAGTTTAAAAAAAATAGAAATAGTGGGGCTCACTATGTTGCCTAAGCTGGTCTCGAACATCTGGGTTCAAGTGATTCTTCTGTCTAGCCCTCCTAAAGTGCTGGGATTACAGGCATGAGCCACTGTGCCCAATCAGATGAACTTTATTTCTCATAAAGGGTTGAACCTGGCCGGGCACAGTGGCTCATGCCTGTAATCCCAGCACTTTGGGAGGCTGAGGCGGGTGGATCACTTGAGGTCAGGAGTTTGAGGCCAGGCTGGCCAACATGGTGAAACTCCATCTCTACTAAAAATACAAAAGTTAGCTGGATGTGGTGGCCTGCACCTGTAGTCCTAGCTACTTGGGAAGATGAAGCAGAAGAGTTGCTTACCCAGGAGGCAGAGGTTGCAGAGAGCCAAGATTGTGCCACTGCACTCCAGTCTGGGAGCAAGACATCATCTCAAAAAAAAAAAAAAAAAAAAAAAAAAAGAGTTGAACCTGCATGGTAGCCATTTTGACAGACTGGGAAGCCTAGCTTCCAGTCAGAAGCCAAAAACAGGCACTTCCAGGGTTGGAAGAATAAGACAGGGATTTATGCTAAACACAGTGGCCAAATATACATGTTAAATAAACTGTAAGAGGGGTCACGAATATTTATGAAAGGAGCAATTTGTGCATGTGCAGTTGAGCTTCATGCCTCTCTGTGGATCCCATGTTTAAAAAATGGTGGCCTTAGCATGATCCAAGGGTAGAGTTTTCTACCGCTTGACTTCAAAAGGTGAAGCAGGGGATGTGAAAACCCTCACTGCACGTCCTCTGTCGACTGGCCAGAACCACTCCCTGGATGGTGGGTGATCTCTTATCAGGAAGGAATGCTAGTCGGTTGTTCTATTGAAACTGCAAATGGGAGGGTCAGCATCAGGCTGGTGGAGTGAGTCTTTCAAAAGGGCTGGTTTCTGTTTAACCCTTAGGAAAGAAAATCTAATGGCGATTATAGAGGGAGGGGTTATAAAGAGGTGTGTCCGACTTCCCATCCTGTCATGAGTAGGAACTCAGCTTCCAAGTTTTTTCTAGGGTCTCCTTGGCCAAGAGAGGGCCTGTTCAGTCAGTTGGGGGGCATAGAATTTTATTTTTATTTTTCAGTTGACAAAAGTTAACTTATTGTGAAAGGAACCCAACAACAAAAAGATAAACCGAATTTAAAACAAAACAAAACCAAAAAGAACACAATTTATAAATGTGCAAAGGGGCTGGGAGTGGTGGTTCATGCCTGTAGTCCCAGCGCTTTGGGAGGCTGAGGTGAGTGGCTCGCTTGAGCTCAGAGTTTGAGACTAGCTCTGGCAACATGGCAAAACTCTGTCGCTACAAAAAAATGACAAAAATTAGCTAGGCATGGTGACACTCACCTGTAGTCCCAGCTACTCGGGAGGCTGAGACAGGAGAATAGCTTGAGCTGGGGAGGTTGAGGCTGTAATGAGTTATGATCACATCACTGCACTTCAGCCCAGGTGACAGAGTGAGACCTTGTCTCAAAAATAAAATGAAAAATATGTAAAGGGCTTGAATAGATATTTCTCCAAAAGATGGACAAATGGCCAATAAGCACATGAAAAGATGCTGAACATCATTAGTCATTAGGGAATTGCAAATTAATCACAATGGGATACTCATCAAAATGACTAAAAGTAAAAAACAAAAAATCAACAGTTCCAAGTTCTAATGAGTATGTGGGGCAATGGAGCACTTATACATTGCTGATGAAAATACAAAATGATATATGCCCTGGTATGTTTTAGCTCTGTGACTCCACCTAAATTTCATCTTGAAGTATACTCCCATAATTCCCATATATTGTGGGAGGGACCCAGTGGGAGATGATTGAATCATGGGGGTGATTCCCTGCATACTGTTCTTGTGGTAGTGAATAAGTCTCACAAGATCTGATGGTTTGATAAGAGGTTTCCACTTCCGCTTCTCCCATTCTCTTTCTTGCTGCCGCCATGTAAGAAGTGCCTTTCACCTTCCACCATGATTGTGAGGCCTCCGTAGCCACATGGAACTGTAAATCCATTAAACCTCTTTCTTTTGCAAATTGCCCAGTCTTGGGTATGTCTCTATCAGCAGTGTGAAAATGGACTAATACACGTCCATTGGAAAACAATTTAGCCTTTCGTCAAAAAATTAAACATAGAACACATTACTCACCAATTCCACTACAGATGCTTTCTGACTTAGGATGGTTTGACTTACAATTTTTTGACTTTACAATGGGCTGATGGGTTATAATGCATTTTTAACTTACACTATTTTCTGCGTATGGTGGGTTTATTGGGATATAATCCCATTGTAAGTCAAGGAACATCTGTAATAGCTTTATACCCAAGAAGACTGAAAACAAGTGTTCAAACAAAAACTTGTACACAAACTGGGCATGCTGGCTCATGCCTGTAATTCTAGCAATTTGGGAGGCAGAGGCGGGAAGATTGCTTGAGCCCAAGAGTTTGAGACCAGCCTGGACAACATAGGGAGACCTGTCTCTACAAAAAATTTAGAAAGTAGCTGGGTGTGGTGGCACTCATCTGTGGTACCAGACACTGAAGAGGCTGACATGGGAGGATTGCTTGGGCCCAGGAGTTCGAGTCTGTAGTGAACTATGATTGCACCACTGTACTCCAGCCTGGGCAACAGAGAGCGTTCCCATCTCTAAACAACAAAAACAACAACTTGTACACAAATGTGCCTAGCGGCCTTATTGATTTAGTCAAAAAGTAGAAACAACCCAAATGTTCATCAGCTAATGAATAGACAAACAAGTGTGTTATATCTATAGAGTAGAATATTATTTGGTCATAAAAAGGAATGGAATACTGTGATATGATACATTGGTTTTCATCCACAGTTCCTAGCTCATAACTTTCCTAGCCCATTTTGCAGTAAACAGAATCTCTTTCTCTGACCTTCTCTTGCCCTCCTTTCACCTGCCTACTTGGCAAGACTCTAATCTGATTGTGGTCGTAAGGCATCTATTCCAGAGAGGGCCCTACCCCATATCCTGGAGGAAGGAATGCTGCACAGAGAGGCCAAGAGGCATCTGAATAGACAGACCTTGCTGGGTTTAGAGCATGTATTTTTTTGTCCAATCACTTTTTGATATGGTTGTCCATGCCTCAATCATGAGCATGGTTGTCCATGCTTCAATCATGAGCAACCAATGAAGTCTTCATGAAAGGTCAGAGGGAGTGCAGGGAATTTTATCCCAAAATATGGCTCCCTGGTATAATGAGGATTTTGAGTTAAAAACTCTTAGGTATCAAGTTGGAAGAGACTTTTTCCCTATCTACATAAAGATAGTATGGACCCTCCAAGGAGAACAGTTGCTCCCCTCCTTGTCTCATTATCCATTACAGGAAAGAAGACCAAGAATGTACCTGAACGGACCCTTTTATAAGATCATGACTGTCCCTGAGGATCATTTAAGTTCCAAAGAGAACTATTAATGAATTAATTTCTGTTCCCCATCCAATCATTCTCCCTAGTAACCATTTATTGCCCCTAAATAGAATTTATATCCCCCCACCATAATCTGTTTTGCCAGGATCCAAGTCCGTGTTCTTTCTGTAACCTCAAGATGGTGTTAAGCTTCTGAACCCCATTGGGATATTGGGCAATCACTCTGTGATTCTCCCTGTGTACATGGTTTAATAAATTTGTATACCTCTTCTTTTATTAATCTGCCTTCTTGTGAGTAGATTTTTCAGTAAACCTTCAGAGGGCCAAGGGCCCTCTGATGGGTGTCCTTTCCCCTATCCCTTGCCCTATGCATCTCTTCATCTGTATCCTTTGTAATATCTTTTGTAATAAACCAGAAAATATGTGTTACACTGGGTTCTGTGAGCCGCTCCAGCAAATCAATTGAACCCAAAGAGGGGGTCATGGAAACCCCAACTTAAAGCCTGTTGGTCAGAAGTTCTGGAGACCCAAACTTGCAACTGATATCTGAGGTGGGGATAGTCTTGGAGACTGAACCCTTAACCTGTAGGATCTGACATTATGTCTAGGTAGATAGTGTTGAAATTGAGTTGGAGAACACACAGCTGGTGTCCGCTGCAGAACTGATTGCTTGCCTGCTGGCTGATGAGGAGAAATCCCCACATATTTTGGGGTCCCAGAAGTCTTGACTGTTTTTGTGTTGGTGTGAGAGCAGAGGAGAAGCATGGTTTGAGAGTTTTTCCAAAGTACAGATATATTCTACAATATGGATGGACTTTTGAAACACTATGCTGAGATGCCAGACACAAAAGACCATGTGTTATACAGGCATACATGATTTTATTCATATGAAATATTCAAAATAGGTAAATATATAGAGACAGAAAGCAGGTTAATGGTTGCTTAGGGCTGGGGGAAGTAGGGGGTTGGCAGGTGATAGCTAAAGGGGGTAGAGTTTCTTATGGAAGTGATGAGAATGTTCTGGAATTAGGTAGTAAAGATGGTCACACATTGTTATGAATATACTAAGAAACACTGAATTTTACAGTTTAAAATATTTCAGAGTTTGAGACCAGCCTGGCCAACATGGTGAAAGCCCGTCTCTACTAAAAATACAAAAACTAGCTGGGTGTGGTGGCGTGCATCTCTAATCCCAGCTACTCGAGTGGCTGAGGCAGGAGAATCATTTGAACCTGGGAAGCAGAGGTTGCAATGAGCCGGGATTGTGCCACTGCATTCCAGTCTGGGAGACAGAGTGAGACTCCATCTCAAAAAAGAAAAAAAAAAAAATTTCAAATGGGGAATTTTGTGTTATGTGAACTTTTATAAAGGAAAAAGGAAACTTTGGTCATATGGGTAACTCATCATTTCCCTCCTAGACTTATATTGGGAGACTTAAATGTGATTAACACATTACCAGGCAAATAATGAAAATAAATAGTATCCTTAAGAATAAATACAATGAAAACAAAGCAAAGTTATTAAATTCTGGTCAGACACTGTTCCTTGCAAAGGCTCTTAGGCTCTAATGTAAGGCCCATTTTATACTCTTTTTTTTTTTTTTTCTTTTACATACTCCCCAGAAGAGTAACATTCTCTATTCCTTAAGGATAAATTATCAAGCCAGGTATGGTGGTGTGTGCCTGTAATCTCAGCTAATTGGGAGGCAGAAGTGGGAGGATCACTTGAGCCTAGGAGTTTAAGACCATCAGATGCATGCTACAATATGGATGGACTTTTGAAATATTATGCTAAGATGCCAGACACGAAAGACCACATGTCTTTCGTTGTTGAGAAATACCTACATGAAATACCTACATGATTTCATTTACATGAAATACCCAGAATAGGCAAATATATAGAGACAGAAAGCATAGTGAGATCCCATTATCAATTAAAAAAAATGTATATATATTTTGAGATGAGGTCTCACTCTGTTGCCCAGGCTGGAGTGCAGTGGTGCGATCTCAGCTCACTGCAGCCTCTGGCTCCCAGGCTCAAGCGACTCTCCCACCTCAGCCTCTGGCTCACACCACCATGCTTGGCTAATTTTTGTACTTTTAGTAGAGATGGGGTTTTGCCATGTTGCCCAGGCTGGTCTTGAACTCCTGAGCTCAAGTGATCTGCCTGCCTTGGCCTTGCAAAGTGCTGGAATTACAGGCATGAGCCACCACACCCACCCCCCAAAATAAAATAATATAAAAAAATACAAATTACAAATATTAGAGACAAACTAGCAATAATGAGATTTTCTTGACATAATGAGAGAGATTAAGTCATCAAAAGAAAATATTCTCTTGACCTGATTTGGTGTTATTTAATGCCTATCTTTGTACTATCTAAAATCATGTCCCAGGCTGGGCACAGTGGCTCATGGCTGTAATCCCAGCACTTTAGGAGGCCGAGGCAGGTGGGTTGCTTGAGCTCAGGAGTTTGAGACCAACCTGGGCAACATGGCAAAACCTCATCTCTACAAAAAATACAAAAATTGGCTGAGCGTGGTGGCTCACGCCTGTAATCCTAGCACTGTGGGAGGCTGAGGCGGGCGGATCACGAGGTCAGGAGATCGAGACCATCCTGGCTAACACGGTGAAACCCCATCTCTACTAAAAATACAAAAAAATTAGCCGGATGTGGTGGCGGGCGCCTGTAGTCCCAGCTACGCAGGAGGCTGAGGCAGGAGGATGGCATGAACCCGGGAGGCAGCACTTTCAGTGAGCCCAGTTTGCGCCACTGCACTCCAGCCTGGGCGATAGAGCGGGACTCTGTCTCAAAAAAAAAAAAAAAAAAAAAAAAAAAAAAAATTAGCTGGCCATGATAGTGCATACCTGTGGTCCCAGCTACTTAGGAGGGTGAGGTGGGAGGATTGCTTGAGCCTGGGAGGTGGAGGTTGCAGTGAGCCAAGATCGTGCCATGGTATTCCAGCCTGGGTGACAGTGAGATCCTGTCTCAAAAAAAAAAAAAAAAAAAGAAAAAAAAGTCCCATAAACAGGTCTCACGGTTCAGGAAATATCTCTCTATCCCATGTTGTTCACCGGTAGTATGTTACTGTGGTTTGAATGTGTGCCACCAAAGTTCATGTGTTTGAAACTTAAGCCCCATTGGAACAGTGTTGAGAAGTGGGATCTTTAAGCTGTGATTAGATCATGAGGGCTCTACCTAGATGAATGAATTAATGCTGTTATCATGGAAGTAGGTTAATTATTGCAGGAGTGGATTCCAGATAAAAGGATGAGTTTTGCTCCCTTCTCCCTCTCATGTGTGTTCTCTTTCCCTTCTGCCTTCTGCCGTGGGGTGACATAGCAAGAAGGCCCTCACCAGATGCCAGCACCTTGACATTGGACTTTCCAGCCTCCAGAAATGTGAGAAATAAATGTCTTTACTTTATAAATTACTTGTGTTCTAATGGAAGAAACAGATAATACAGAAAATATATACATCACATTTCTGTGGTAATAAGCATTAGGGAGAAAAATTAAGCAAGGTGGTTGGTGGACGGTGCTGGAGAGGTGGAGGAATATGTCTATTGTATGTCAGGTGGTCAGGTAAAGCCTCTTTGATAAGGTGACAAAGTAGACCCTGAATGAAACAACAGAGCAAGCTATTTAGATAGCCAGGAGGGGAGCATCCCAGGCAGAAGGCCTCAGCATATTCAGCAGGGCCTAGGAATAGCCAGGTGGCCAGTGAGGCTGCAGAGGAGTGAGCAGGATAGAGGTGGAAGAGAGATGGGATGGATACATCGTAGAAGTCAGTGTCTCACAAATTATCACCGTGCCTGACCAAAACAAACGAACAAACAGACAATCACTCTGGCTGCTGCCTGGACAATGTTAGGGAGCAGGAATGGAAGCAGTTACTAGGTGATTTCATTGGTCCAAGTGAGAGATGATGATATCTCAAACTAGGATATTAGGGGTGGGTGTGGTGAGAACTGTCAAATTCTGGGGTGTTTTGAAGGATGGGCTGTCATTGCTGGTGTTTTAGATTTGGGTTTGAAAAGAAAGGAGAGGAAGTTTGAGGGTCAGACTTAGCAGATTTGCTGGTTTAGAGTAACCATGTCCTGCTGACAGATGCATGGCCAAGAACGAGGCTAAACTGTCACAAAGTAAGTACAAGTGGGCACATATGCTCTTTATGGTTCTGGTTTATTACAAAGAAAAATGGTATGTTCGTTTATATCAGAAAGAACCAGATGACCTCCTTGGAAAATATTGACTAAAATGGATCTTGCTAGAAAATGCCAGTTTGAGACAGGTAACATTACATGTAGAAATTGAAGCCACTCATTTCTTTCTAACTGGAAGTAGTGGTTATATTAAACTAAAGAGTAAACAAGCATATGATTAAGTGTGATGATTCATATCAGATATAGTGACACAAATGAGGAGGAGCTCAGTGGTGCTTGTTCCCACAAACCTGGATATCTTTTTTACCTTAATGTCTTCCTATCCTTGCCTATTCTTTTTTTTTTTTTTTTTTTTGAGATGGAGTCTCGCTCTGTCACCCCGGCTGGAGTGCAGTGGCGCAATCTCGGCTCACTGCAAGCTCCGCCTCCCGGGTTCACACCATTCTTCTGCCTCAGCCTCCTCAGTAGCTGGGAGTACAGGCGCCTGCCACCATGTCCGGCTAATTTTTTTTGTGTTTTTTAGTAGAGACCGGGTTTCACCGTGTTAGCCAGGATGGTTTCGATCTCCTAACCTCGTGATCCACCCGCCTCGGCCTCCCAAAGTGCTGGGATTACAGGCATGAGCCACCGCGCCCGGCCTCCTTGCCTATTCTTAAAGTAAAACAAGGTCCTGGGTAGAAAGTCAGATAGCACAGCCACTCCCTTGCCCACCTTCTTCCTCTCCTGCAGAGAGAGGCAAGGACTGTTAGCCACTTCTGCTTTTCGTTTCTATGGTGATTACCTTCATGGCTCTAAAAGACACGTTTGTAGTGCCATTTCTTGCTTTTTCAATTTTTGCTATTATCTGCGGACTTTGTTATGGTACTTGAAGTTTAGCCTATTAACATTACCACCATCCTGTCGCCCCCTTCCTTCTTCTGCCATTATAGCTACAACCCAATGTAGTTTGTTCCTCTACATTAAATTTACCTTTTAAGTGTAAGGGATATATTAGTATTAAACATCTTCTTGTTCTGTCAGTTATGCACAGCATCTCTTGATCCCCCGCACTGTGAGACAAGGGTTTCATTGGCACTCCTGGCCTTTACCTCTCCTCCCTTCCTTGTACTCCCCAATCTATTTTGTTAAAAGAAGATCCCACTTGGCCAGTTGGATTCCTGTGGGGATGTAATTGAAAGAAGGATGCCCCTACACCTGCTTTTCATTCAGTACACTACTGAAATTCCATCTCCCCCAAGAAAACCTTTTGGGACCTCATTGAGAGATAAGAGATGTATCTATTAATATAATCTTATTAATGAAATAATAGCCTAGGAGTCCATGAACCTTTAACCCGAAGGACCTTTGTCCTGTCAGGTGTTAACAACTAGAGGGAAATACAATCAGCTTTGGCTGTGCTCTAAGCAAGCAGAGGCTTATTTACTTTTCCCGTGCCCTTTCAAGCCAAGGGCTATAAAACCGCTTTAGTAACATAACCCCTGTGAGAGCTTGTTGGTGGACTTAGTGCCATCACAGTAAATTTTCAAGAGAATGTATATGAAATTTATTCTTCTCCTTGAATTTCATGTTGATAAGTAAGTTGATTTAAAAGCAGCTCATTCGTTTGGAAAGGAACTGTATCCTTATAACTGAGATTACTGGAAGAAGGTCATGAGCTGGGGAATGCAGCACCCCTGCCACCTAGTGGTTCCTCCTGCTGAAACACTGCTTTTGCAAAGCACAGAAAACACAAATTGAGTTAGTATAGGAGTCAAATACAGCGAATGTCCTGAATCTGGGAAACTTCCATTCTCTCCTCCCTGTGTGATATCAGAGGAACGAAAAGAGCACTGACAAGGGAGAATGTTGTAGGTAAACATGGATAGCCATCAGGTCTCCTGCACAAAGGGGCAGCTGCAGGAAGCAGGAAGTGCAACAAATGAGCAAAGAAAGGGACAGGATCCCTCAGCAGTGGTCACTGCAGCAGCAACACGGTGCCAAAGGCAAAGCAGAATCACCAGCAAGATCAGCAGGGACAATGATGATAAAGCCACATAGGCTCAGCATCAACAACAGCCCTAGAGACTGTGGCCTTGGGACTGTAGTACTGCTTGATTCATGGTAAACCAATCAGGACACTCAGGGAACAACAACAGAAATCAGCATTTACAGAGCACATACTCAGTTGAGGCAGAGTTTTACCTGTATATCACATAATAGTCTATGGGGGTAGATATTCTTATTAGCCGTGTTATACAGGTGATGAAATTGAGGCTAACTAACTGGCCTAAAGTCACAGAGTTGATGAGACTTAGAGCCAAGATTCAAACGCACACCAAGGTGGCCTGACCCCAGCTGCAGAGCTCTTAACTACAGACATGCATTGCTAAAAGAAGGGGATATGATCCGAGAAATGTGCTGTTAGGTGATTTTGTCATTGTGTGAACCCATAGCCAGCTACACACTGTTAACAAAAGACCATGAGGCCAGGCATGGTGGCTCACGCCAGTAATCCCAGCACTTTGGGAGGCCGAGGTGGGTGGATCACCTGAGGTCAGGAGTTTGAGACCAGCCTGGTCAACATGGTGAAACCCTATCTCTACTAATAATACAAAAATTAGCCAGGCGTAGTGATGCGTGCCTGTAATCCCAGCAACTCAGGAGGCTGAGGCAGGAGAATCACTTGAAGCTGGGAGGTGGAGGCAGCAGTGAGCTGAGATCGTGCCACTGTGCTTCAGCCTGGGTGACAGAGTGAGACTCCATCTCAAAAAAAAAAAAAAAAAAAATGTCCATAACATCTGTGGAGGAAAAGGGGAGAGTTTTATTTTCTGTAAAAAACAATCTGCAGATTGGGGAAATGCAGCTTCAGGTGTAAAACAGAAGTGGGCTCTAAGCAGGGTGGAAAGTTAGAGATTATAAAGGCAAAAACTGCAGGACAGGGGAGGGTAATCAGGGGAGTCAGAAACAGAGTGTCGATTAGATGGCCTTAAAGCCCCAAATCACCAGTCTCTCTTAATTGGCTGGTTCCAGGTTGTCTGTTGGCAGGAGGTGGTCTTGTGGTGGTCAACTGGGGAATTCCCAGCTGCCGTTGTTTCCAGGAACTCTTCTTTGACTTGGTTGCAGAAAAACAGGTTTTGCAGCATTCTCTAAGGACACGAAGAGCTTGACTGCTCCCTCACCCTTCCATGGCCCCTTGGGTCTGTTTTTACTTTTGAGCCACAGAGAATCCATTTTGTCTGTTAACTGGGGGTATAATTTGACAACACCTAGGCTGTTTGATACAGCCTGTTGCTCCTAGGCTACAAACCTGACAGTATGTTACTGTATTGGATACTGTAGGCAATTGTAACACAATGGTAAGTATATGTGTATCTAAACATAAAAAAGGTACAGGAAAAATAGAGTATTATAATCTTATGGGACCACTTTTGTATATGCGGTCCATGCATTCACTAAAACTTTGTTACGCAGCACATGACTGTTCCAGGCTCTTCTTCTTCCCTCAGGGAGGAGGGAATATGGGGTTCAATCCCTCTAACTCTACTGACCTTATTGAGGGATGCTTGTGAATTGGGATCCCTTATTGAAGGATGCTTGTGAATTGGAACTCTAACGCGATTAAGATTGGTCCTAGATCTTCCACCAACTTGCAAAAGGATATTTAGCCTTTCAGGAACATTTTCTTTGACTGGAAAATAGGGATACAATGGTGACTATCTCATAAATTGCTGGGAAGTTTCACTGAGATAAGGTAAAATTTCTGGCACATGGCAAATGAAGTAGATTGCCTACAAAGGTTTTTCAACAATTCTTCTCATGGTTATAAGTACCACTATTGCTTTCTAGAAAAGGTGGTATCTCGGCTGGGTTTATGATTTACTTTGACCCCCTAGAATGTGGCAGATGTGTCACTGGCTAATTCCAAGTCTAGGTTGCAAGAGCCTCCTTTTTTCCTCTCTTGGACTGCTCTTGCCTCTATGTAAAGAAGCCCAGCCTGAACTCTTGCATGTTGAAAGACCACATGAAAAAAGAGGCATGAGGGAGCCAGCATCCTAGCAGAGCCCACCATCTGACTACAGTCACATGAGCAAGCCTAGGTGAGCCCAGAACTCACCTGCCAACCCCCGGGATGACAAGAAATAATAAATCACTGTGGTAAACTACTAAGTTTTGGGGTAGTTTGTTATGTAGCAAATAATAAGTTCTCAGTTAATGGTATCTATTAATATTATGGTTGGTGCTGGTGAGAAATTCAGCCAGCTAGCTGGCTCATCATTAGGCCACTGATTTTTTTTCCCTTTCACCAGAGTAGCTGGAAGAAAGAAGAGTTA
Organism: Homo sapiens; assembly: GCF_000001405.40. NCBI lineage: Eukaryota > Metazoa > Chordata > Mammalia > Primates > Hominidae > Homo > Homo sapiens. The sequence continues at coordinate 9,350,726 of NC_000003.12, read as the reverse complement.
CATGTGCAAGTGAACACTGCTTATTACAGATGTGTCTGATCTCTTTATTAAAACAGAAAGACTATTCAGAAAGTCTATTCAGAAAGACTTTGTTAGCACCTCAAATTACCATCTACATTTGAAATAATGTGGAAGCATATTTCTTCAAACATAGTTACAACTCAGACTTTTCACTAAACCCATTGTACTGGGACCCTCCTAGCCATCATGTTGAAGAGTCTGAGGCATGGACAGGGACTTATCCATTTCATCCAGCATCTCAAAGCCCTGAAGATGATGCTTTACTCTAACCTTCTTCTCCTTTGCATTCCCCTCCCTAAATTATCTTTTTCTGTCCATACATATCCTTTCCCTCTCTCCTTGCCTTTCCTATCTCTTTTCTTTGTTGTGATGATTAAATAAGACCTTCCCTACTGAAATGTAAGCTCCAAGAAGGAGATTTTCATCTGTTTTGTTCTCTACAAAAATATTCTTTGCTTAGAAAAGTGCCTGGCACACACAAGGTGTGCAGTGAATATGTGTTGACTGAATTAAATTGTGCACGTAAAGCACTTAGGACAGTGTCTGACATAGAGTAGATGGCACTCAATAAATATAACCTATGGCAACTCAGGACTATAATAAATGAAATTATTCACATTTGTCTTTTTTTTTTTACAGATCACTCCTTTATTGTACAGATCAGGAAAAAGGATTTAGTACTGCTATGCTCAAATGAACACTGGGCCCATGTGTCAGGGCCAAGCAACTAGAACATGATTCAGAAATCAGTCAGAGAGAGACACACTTGGACAAGACCAAGAGGCATTTCATTGTCACGAAACAAGGTGGGGGAGGGATTCCAAAACACACAGCAGGAAGTACTTCTAACCCTCAGAGGTCAAGGAGCTTATTCCATGTTGGTATGAGGAATGGCTTATTTTCTGATGACCACATGTGGGACTATTTCAACTGCCACGAGAAATCCCAGAAGGATTATTGTTTTGTATTATTTATATATACTATACCTTTTTAAAAAAATAAAATAAATGTAACACATAAACTAAATTCAGGATTGATCCCAACCTTCTGGAGCCAGCTTCTCTGGGGTCAGGGAAGAAACAGTTGTCATATCACCATAGAGGTTATATTCATCTTCCACTGGAATGAATAGAGCCCCCAGGCAGTGGCTTAACAGGCTGTCTTGCTTCATTGGTCATGGCTTGGCATGGTTCCTCCCCACAAATCCTTAGTAAACAAAGCACTTGTGAAAACCCAGGTCACTACCTTTAAACTCTGTTGGACAAGAGGAGCTTTCCACAGCTTGGGCTGAGAAGCCTTGCCCTAGAAGTGCTGTTCTGACTAGATTGTATGAAGGGAGTGGGTGCAGGAGACAAAATGGCTAAAATGAAAATGGGAGCCACTGGTGCCCATCTGCAGCTACAGCTCAAGATGCCTACAGATGTGGTCAGTGTGACATGTGCAGGAGGGAGGGGCAGGGGGACGCGATGGGCAGGGAGGGTGCTCCTGGGGACAGTAGCCTGCCCGCTGGCCTTTACTTCTTGGCCTTACCCTGGGCAGCCACAGCTTCCATGGCTTTACGCATGGTCTCTTCATCCCCCAGGAACTGTATGGGTTTCAAGTTCTTGTCCAATTCATAGACAACGGGAATACCAGTGGGCAGGTTCAGCTCCATGATAGCCTCTTCAGAGAGGCCCTCCAGATGCTTGACAATGCCCGGGGGGCTGTTGCCATGGGCTGCAATTAGTACCTGCTTCCCCTCCTTGATCTGGGGAACTATTTCTTCATTCCAAAAGGGCAGAGCCTTGGCAATAGTGTCCTTCAGACTCTCACAGGAGGGTAGCTGATCTTCAGTGAGGTTTGCAAACCTGCGATCCTTACTGATGTTGTAGAAAGGATGGTCGGGCTCCATTAGAGGTGGTGGGACATCATAGGAGTGCCTCCAGATCTTCACCTGGGCCTCACCATGCTTTGCAGCAGTTTCTGCTTTATTGAGACCGATCAGACCCCCAGAGTGCTGCTCATTGAGGCACCAATCCTCACTACTGGCAGCCACGTCTGATCAATGGCATCTAGCACTGTCCAGAGGGTCTGGATCACTCTCTTCTGCACTGAGGTGAAGCAGATGTCAAACTCAGCCGGCTTCTCACAGCACCTGCCTGCCACACTTCGCCTCCTTATGGCCCGCTGGGCTCAGGTCGGTGTTGTACCAGCTGCTGAAGCGGTTCTCCGGATTCCACATGCTCTCGCCATGCTGGATCAACACCAATTTGTAGGCAGCCATGGTGGCGGGCTGGGGATGCGACGCTGACTGGGGTTCGCGGATTCTGGAGGCACATTTGTCTTTTTAAATGTTTGATTACTTTTAGTCTTTCTCCCTTTTCTTTCCACTCTTCTTTTCACTCTTTGTCTCTTTCTTGTTTTCTCTCTTCCTTAGTCATTGCATATTCTCTGCTACCCTTACTGTGGTCTGCCAGGGACTCTCATAGATGTCATTTCACCTACCACAGAGAATGTGCAGAGAAAAGGTTTTGGAGCTTTGTCTTGGATGAAATGTAACTATTTGTGATTCATAGCTGACTTAGTACTGCACATAAAATTCTACTGTTGCGGTGAACCCAATTTTGGTGCTACTGAATAATGAGGAGCCTAGATGATTGAAAATGGCAAGCTCATTAGGTTGTAGCCTAACAAATGCCTGGCAGTACATGTCTGTGAGTGTGTGGGTGTTTCTAGTGCCTGTTGGTGAGTAACCATGCTACTCTTGGCAGTAGAAATGTGAGCAAAATCAAGTTGTACTGATTTAGCCAATTTTCTCTTCTCTTCCTCCATACGGGAATGGAAATGTATTACTCAGTAGATCAGTTCTTTCTCAGGCTGGTAACATTACAGAATCCCTGTCGAAGTGCAAGTTGGGCTGGTGGAAATCAGATTTCCACATCCTTTTGTAAGCTTTGTTTGTCAAGGTAAATCCCATACATTTTAAAAGCATGACTTCCTAGGGCTAGATGGGAAAATAAGAAGCTTTGAACCTGTCACCAGAATCAATTGTACAGATGTCTCCATTTCCTTGGATAGTAACTTATATAGGAAGATCTGTCTCCTCTTTTCTGCTAGTCTTTCATATTCTAATAAAGAGTATGAATCTGCAGGTCAGTGGCTGAGTAGCTTGGGCCGAGCACAGAGCAGTGTTAATGTAGTTCTCAACACAGCCTTGTTTATGCTTAGATTAGGCTCATCGGTAGCTCAGACCTCGTAGCCCTGCTGATATTTAACAGAGTCCTGCATATATTCTTCTGTAATGTAAGATCAGTGTTTGAAAAACTGAAAGTTGCCCTGTCTCTACAAATTAAAAAAAATTATCATTTAAAAAATTATACATAGATGTATGCCTACTCACCAGCCAGGCATGGTGGTGCATGCCTGTGGTCCCAGCAACTTTGGAGGCTGAATCTCTCGCCTAAATCCGAAAGATTGAGGTTGCAGTGAGCCATGATCACGCCACTGCACTCCTGCCTGGGCAGCAGAGCAATACCCTGTCTCAAAAACAAAGAAACAAAAAAAGCAACAGAGTTGGGAGGGGAGTGAGTCTTTGAGCCTCCCTGTCATCTTTCCTCAAAATTGCTTTTAGTTGGCTGGGCACGGTGGCTCATGCCTATAATCCCAGCACTTTGGGAGGGCGAGGTGGGCGGATCACCTGAGGTAAGGAGTTCGAGACTAGCCTGGGCGGATCACCTGAGGTAAGGAGTTCGAGACTAGCCTGGCCAACATGGTAAAACCCCATCTCTACTAAAAATACAAAAACTAGCCAGGTGTGGTGGCAGGCGCCTGTAATCCCAGCTACTTGGGAGGCTGAGGCAGGAGAATTGCTTGAACCCAGGAGGCAGAGGTTGCAGTGAGCCAGGATCGCGCCATTGCACTTCAGCCTCAGGGGAGAAGAGTGAGACTTTGTCTCAAAAAAAAAAAAAAAAAAGAAAAAATTGCTTTTAGTTGCTCTATTCTTGTTCCTCCCTTGAAACATCTGATCATCTTATAGTCAGTAACTTACCAGCTCTCCTTAGGAGTTAGCCAATGTAGTAAATCTAGGAAACAAACCTAGACTCAGGGTGGGGAGATTTGGAGGCATCTAGACCATCAGTTCTTGAACATGCTCACTTAATTGGGTCAAAAGACCCCAAGATATACCTACCCTAAATTCATTTCACTTCTGGTGGGGAGTAATTTGGTGAAATTAAAAATGAAAGAGGAACAAAATAACAACCAAAAATGGCAACATCATAGCATGTTTAATGAACAAAATGATTAAAAATAGAAAAACAAGTCTGGCATGCTGGCAAGTGCCTATAGTCCTAGCTACTTGGGAGGCTGAGATGGCGGAACACTTGAGCCCAGGAGTTCAAGGTGCAGTGAGCTATGATTTCACCACTGCACTCCAGCCTGGGTGACAGAGCAAGACCCAATCTCTAAAAAATATAAAAAATAAAAAAATTTAAAGATAGAAAAACAACATTACACTTTAACATACTAAAAAAAAAAATCCTTGAAAATTGTGGAAACTCCAGCAACCTGTGTTTTCACATGTGCAGTAAGAAATTTGCATCATTGCCAAACTTTCTGTGAAGAGCAAAGTTTTCAATACTTGGCACTACTGCACGTTTTTTGTGAATATAAAATTTTAATTACAGTTAATAATGAACAAAGGAAGCTATTAAGGACTTAAGTCATATGTAAAAATGAAAGTCCTTGGGCTGGCATTTGCTGTAAGAATTAAAGAACTTGGATTTAAAAATCTCTTCTTGGTTCATCCAGAAGACTAATGGGCCATACTGTGCTTGGAGGCACTATGGCCTAGATTACTATGACAGTCTTGTTTCTGGGCCTTCTCTGCTCTTCTGTTCTCTCTCTCTTTCTTTTTTCTTTTCTTTTTTTTTTTTTTTTTTTGAGTTGGAGTCTTGCTCTGTCACCCAGGCTGGAGTGCAGTGGTGCAATGTTGGCTTACTGCAACCTCCATCTCCCGTGTTCAAGTGATTCTCCTGCCTCAGCCTCCCAGGTAGCTGGGATTACAGGTGCCTGCCACCATGCCCGGCTAATTTTTTTGCATTTTTAGTAGAGACGGGGTTTCACCATGTTGGCTATGGCTGGTTTTAAACTCCTGGCCTCAAGTGATCCACCTTCCTCGGCCTCCCAAAGTGCTAGGATTACAAGCGTTAGCCACCGCACCTGGCCTCTTTTTTCTTTTTTTTTTGAGATGGGGTCTTGCTCTGTTACCCAGGCTGGAGTGCAGTGGTGTGTTTATGGCTCACTGTAGCCTTCACTTCCTGGTGGGCTCAAGCAATACCCTCACCTCAGCCTCCAGAGTAGCTGGGACTACCACCCCTGGCTGTTTATTTTTATTTTTGCAGGGACAGGTGTCTCCCTGTTTTGTCCAGGCTGGTCTCAAACTCCTGGCCTCAGGCAATTTTCCTGCCTGGGCCTCCCGAATTGCTGAGATTACATGTGTGAGCCATCATGCCTGGCCTGCTTTTCTGTTCTTGAACCTGCAACAGTTCTCCCAGTCTTTGAGTCACAATCTGGCTTGTACATTAAAATGATCATTCTACTGGTAGAAGTATTGGATAAGACCTTTCTGGGAGAGTATTTGGCAACAGGTTTAGAGTCTTAAATATGTAGCCTCCTTGGCTTTTTTTTTTTGAGACGGAGTCTCGCTCTGTCACCAGGCTGGAGTGCAGTGGTGCAATCTCAGCTCACTGCAACCTCTGTCTCCCAGGTTCAAGTGATTCTCCTGCCTCAGCCTCCTGAGTAGCTGGGACTACAGGCGCACGCCACCACACCCAGCTAATTTTTGTATTTTTAGTAGAGACAGGGTTTTTCACCATGTTGGCCAGGATGGTCTTGATTTCCTGACCTCGTGATCCACCCGCCTAGGCCTCCCAAAGTGCTGGGATTACAGGCATGAGCCACCACGCTTGGCCAATATTTTTTTAATATTAGGAAATATAGAAAGGTAGTAGGGGGTTGGTTAAACAAATGATGCTATTTCCATTGGATAAAATCTCCTGTTTTCTTTCTTTCTTTTTTTTTGTTTTTTGTTTTTGAGACGGAGTCTGACTTTGTCACCTAGGCTGGAGTGCAGTGGTGTGATCTCGGCTCACTGCAACCTCCGCCTCCCGGCTCCAAGCAATTCTCCTGCCTCAGTCTTCTGAGTAACTGGGGATTATAGGTGCCTGCCGTCACACCTGGCTAATTTTTGTATTGTTTTTATTTTTGGTTTTTTTTGAGACGGAGTCTCTGTTGCCCAGGCTAGAGTCCGGTGGCACGATCTCAGCTCATTGCAACCTCTGCCTCCCAGGTTCAAGCGATTCTCCTGCCTCAGCCTCCTGAATAGCTGGAATTACAGGCACCCACCACAATGCCCAGCTAATTTTTGTATTTTTAGTAGAGACGGATTTTCACCATGTTGGCCAGGCTGATCTCCAACTTCTGACCTCAGGTGATCCGCCCGCCTCGGCCTCCCAAAGTTCTGGGATTACAGGCGTGAGCCACCGTGCCCAGCCAATTTTTGTATTTTTAGTAGAGATCGGCTTTCACCACGTTGGCCAGGCTGGTCTCCAACTCCTGACCTCAGGTGATCTGCCCGTCTTGGCCTCCCAAAGTGCTGGGATTACAGGTGTGAGACACCGTGCCCACGCTATTTTCATTATAAAAATGATAATGAGTGTTACTGATACAGAAAAATTGTTCCCAAGACTAATTTTTAATTATAATTTTTAAAAGTAGGGCAGGCTGTGTGTGGTGGCTCATGCCTGTAATCCTAGAACTTTAGGCAGATTAGAAGTTCGAGGCCAGCCTGGGCAACATGGCAAAACCCTGTCCCTACAAAAAATACAAAAATTAGCTGGGCATGATACTGTGCGCTGTAGTCCTGCTCCTCGGGATGCTGAGGTCGGAGGATAGCTTGAGACTGGGAGGTCAAGGCTGCAGTGAGCCATTATTGTGTGTCTGCACTCTAGCCTGGGTGACAGAGAAAGACCCTGTCTCAAAAAATTTAAAAGTAGAGCATATAAGAGTATGCATAATATAATCTTTTTAATATAAAGATGTATGCCTATTCATAGAAAATGGCTAGAAGTATATATAATACAATGCTACTAGTAATTGTGTTTTTGTACTATTAAGGATTTTTCTGAAATGTCTACAATAAACATATATGACTTCTATAAAAAAGAAAAAAGTATTTACAAATACTTGAAACAAAAGATTACTTTGGCAGCATTTATGAGAATGTGAATGAGAGAGACTGGATGAGAGATTGTTGTAGTAGTTCGGGAAAAAGGCAATGTAAGTAAGAACCAAGGTCATGGTGTGGATGGAGAAGGAAAAGCTGATTTAAGACATATTCAACAGCCCTACGAGGACTATAAACACATACCACACCTTCAAGTCAATAATAAAATTGGTCTTTCAAAGAGCCAGCATGATTCTTCCATATCCTTAAAGTATCTTCAAATACGCATTTGAAGAAACTTGGGGTTTTGGCTTTCCAGCTTGTTTAGCTACGTTAATGGACATACAGTTGAGCAAAAAGGAGAATATGAGAGGAGGATCAGACTGTGGAAGAAGACAATAAATTTAATTTTGCATGTGTGCAGTTTGAAGGGCTTGTGGGAGATGTACTAAGAGCTGAGCAGGGGATGCCAGGGGACAAGGAGTCCAGTGAGAAGATCGAAGAGGCATGGTGGGCCCGGACAGCCCAGAATGGGCTAGTCTGGGTTGAAAGCCTGGCAAGAATGACCAGTTGGACAAGTTCGAGGTTGCTTTCATTTCAGCTTTCTGTGAAACCTGCAAGTAATCAGAACAGGCACAGGAAATGAGAATAATAAAAGCGAATGAGTACACTCTGGAGGTTCTTCTGCCTCCTCATGGAGTTGTAACCAAAGTTCAAGGGTGAGTGAAGCCATTCTCAAATCTGATCTTCAATTCACTGTTTTTCAGGTAGGGAAAGCCCTCAAGAGTCTAAGTAAAGGCACTGAAGGCCACTTTATTCCTTGCTGTGCCATAGGCACATGTTGATGTGTTTTCTTTTCTTACTACCTCTTCACTGGCATCAGGCCCACCCATGGTATAACAAGATGGTCAGAGAGACCAGAGGAAGAAGTCAAAGGAAGAGAGAATATCAGGGAAGAAATTGTCAACAATGGCAGCTGCCAGAGAAGTCAAGAAATATAAGTACTGAAAAGTTCCGGTGACACTTGGCAAGGTGCAGGCTATTTGCAGCCATGTATGTAGAGTACCACCAAGCTCAGATTCCCGTGAAAGTCATTTTGATTCTCATGAAATACAATCAAAATGATTTTTTGCTTTCCTTTTTTTTTTTTTGAGATGGAGTCTTGATTTGTCTCCCAGGCTGGAGTACAGTGGCGCAATCTCAGCTCACTGCAACCTCTGCCTCCCGGGTTCAAGCGATTCTTCTGCCTCAGCCTCCCGATTAGCTGGGACTATAGGCATGCGCCACCACGCCCAGGTAATTTTTGTATTTTTAGTAGAGATGGGGTTTTGCCATGTTGGCCAGACTCGTCTCCAACTCCTGGCCTCAGGTGATTCGCCTGCCTCGGCTTCCCGAAGTGCTGGGATTACAGGTGTGAGCCATCACCCCCGGCCTGATTTTTAGCTTTCCTATTTGACTTTTAATTGAAACTTCGGCAAAAGTTACTGTTGTTAGCAAAGTGTTAGTAAAGCCTGTATCTAGATTCTCAAGCAGTTTGGGATAAGATGATTCTATGAGTCAGTGATCTGTAGGGTGTTAGGAGAACGCCGGTAGCACAAATGTCTCTTGGCCTTACCGACTGGTGAAGACAAATGTGACATTTACAGCCATACTTCAATCCATGTCTACCAGAAAGCCTAGTCAGTCTAGAAATCAGTGGCCCAGGCCCGGTGCGGTGGCTCACACCTGTAATCTCAACACTTTGGGAGGCCGAGGTGGGTGGATTGCTTGAGGTCAGGAGTTCAAGACCAGCCTGGCCAACATGGTGAAGCCCCATCTCTATAACGCAAACAAACAAACAAACAAATGTAGCAATCAGTGGCCCAAGTAGTTGACCAAGTTGTCTGCCAGCCTCCTTTGGGTGCTGACCTGCACCCTGCTCAGGTAGGGACCACAGCACAGCCTGTGTTGCTGCTGACCTCTTCTCCCAACACTTTCCCCCCAGAATACTGATCTCCAGTATTCTTCCACAGCTGTAAGCAGCTGGGAAATATTTTCCTTCTCCTGGGTATTTATTTCAGGGGAGGCTCCTATAGCTGAGCTCTTGAGCCCTAGGGACACATTCTTTTCTTCGTGCTTTAAGCATCTCTTTCCCAGAGCAAAGGAGCACTTGAGTGTGGAGGGTAGGGAAGAAAATCCTACTGGACTGGGGGATAATCAGGCAACTGTTCTAGGAACCTTCAGTGTCCACATCGTGCTGCTCTCTCTAGCCCACTGCTATGGACTGAATTGTGTTCCTCTCCCCTCCTCAAATTAATATGCCGAAGCCCTAACCTGCTATGTGACTCTATCTGGAGCGAGGGTGTTTAGGAAGTAATTAGGGTTATATGAGGTATTAAGAGTGGTGTCCTAATCACATAGGACTCTGGCTTTATAAGAAGAGGAAGATTCCCATTCTCTCTTTCTGTCTCAATCTGTTATGTGAGGACACTTTCTGCGAGACAGGAAGAAGGCCCTCACCAAAACCCAGCCATACTGGCTCCTTGATCTTGGACTTCCAGCCTCTAGAATTGTGAGAAAATAAATTTCTGTTGCTTAAATTACTTAGTCTATGGCATTTCGTTATAGCAGCCCAGGATGCCAGACTCCTTCATTCACGGTGATTTTCTTTTAGTGGCCCCATTGTCTCTTCTAATAGTCTAGCCTTTTCTTAGAGCAACTCCCAGTCCGTCATACAGGGTTGTATATCTCAATTGTGGGCAGAGTCCAACATCTCTTCCACAGGGCTCTTGTACACATCAAGAAATGGGGCTGGGTACTCATTTTATTGTTTCTAGATCTTCCCAGCAAGTAAAAAAACTACTGGATGTTGGTTTTCCCAGAGCATATGATGGACTTCTGGGATGACTCAGGTCTATCAGGGTCATCTCTGACTCATGGAATCCTGTTACCCTTCTATGGCTGGACAAGAGAAACACATTAAAGGAGGGCATGTGAGTCTCTAGCACAATTATAATTACTGGGGTTTATAAAGCCAGGTGAATGTCAGAGTTAATAATGCTTAGACTCTTCTGGAAGGGGTGAGGCAGCTCCATTCTAGTAGTCTATTGGAGAAGCTTCATTTGGGGCCTTAAACCAAAGTAATACAAATCTTTTTACATCTGTCACTGTTTATTATTTAGTTTTCCATCTGGCCTGCTCTGAAGCAGGAGGGGGAAGAGAGCACAGAGGGAAATCATGAGCTCTTTGGAGGAATAGTGCCAGATATTAAATCTATAAACAAAATAGATTGAACTGGAAAGAATGAGTCAGAGACAAAGGAAGCAGTAGAAGCAGTGAATATCACCTTGGGAAATATCACCTGAAAGTGCTGGCAGAATCTTTCTGGTGTATTTGTGATCGTCCCTGTGGTAGATACCTTTAAATCCAATCAGCACAATTTGGTGCCTGAACTGCTTGTGCTTCACTCCTCTCTGTTGGGGTCCCTTTTCATTGTTTCCTCCTGTCTAGCCCTATATTCATTTCTATAATGCAAGCTGATGACCCATGGTGAGATTTTTCTTTCCTCTGGTGATAATGATCCTGTCACTCCAGGTTCCTGTTTCAGCAGAGCATGAAGAGAGTTATGCTGATTGATTGAGACCAAGCTGGAGTGAAATAAGGATTTTACCTGAGGGTCCATTAGCCTTCCTGCATCATGCCCCAGAGAGTACTGAAAACTGGGAGTTATCCAAGTGCCTTGCCTTCTTGGGGTTAGCTTGTATAGAGGTTGCAAACTGGCAGCCCCTAGGTTAGGTGTATTTTATTTGGCCCACCCAGGGTTTGAAATTAGTTGTCAACATTTAAATATAGGGATATTTCCTGCTTCTCTTTAAAGACTGGGAGAACACTTAATCTGCATCCCCTTCTGGAAACAATCAGCCGATGCTGACTGGGTCTCTACCCTTTAATGAAGTCGTGAGCTCTCCATATCACATTGCCACAGTCACATATCACATTGCCACTGCTGCACATGTTTATGTTGGCCACCATAGGCACTTGAGTTTGTGTCCTCTGATCTATAGGAAAGAAAGGAACTAGTGTTTATTGAGTCCCTTTTATGCATGAACCACTGTACCTTGTAATTTGCATACATCATTTGATTTTTTTAAAAACCCAGTAAGATTTAAGCTCCCTGCCTTTAGGGACCATGCCTGCTTCTTTTGCCACTGTGAGAGTGCTCAAGACTTGGTATAGTCGTAAGTGGGAGCTGAACAGTATTTGCTGAATGAAGGTATGTATGAATGCATAAACAAATGAATAAGGTATTTTTTATCACATTTTTGTAGGTGAGAAAACCAAGGCCCAGGGCAGTTAAGTAACCGGTTCAGAATCATAATCATATGGCCCATAGGGCTGACAGGATTCAAATATGGGACTGTGCAACTCCAGAGGTCCAGTGTGGAGAAGGGAAAAGACCATGGGTCATTTCAGGGCTAAGTACACGAAGACTCTTTGTAAGTCCCTGCAGAATTGATTGACAGTGCACAAACATATTTTCGTAAGTACTAGCTTCCAGAAGAATGCACGTTTTTTAGCTTATGAAATTTGTCTAAAACCTACTGTGTATGGATACCTTCAGCTTTGGGATTGTATAATATTGAGGCTCTGCAGTAGAGGGTACGTGCCATTGGTTTGGCATGTAATGAGAGCAGAATATTTCTGTCTACAGTTGACTTGTGTTCTGTAAATGTGGTAACATTCCAAAGTTAATTTTCCTTGTATATCTAAGGAACTCCTTCCAGGGCTTATTTTCGTTAACTTCTTGCTGATGGTGCATGGTTAACACTATTCAGTGCAGAGCTGCATTCAGGAATGACTATAATTAAAAGTGCTTCTTTGTGAGGCTTATCAAGAAGACCTGAGGCTGATTGAGGAAGCATGCCTCTGAAAATGAAGCCACTTGCAAAGAGAAGGGATTGGTCTGGCTGAGGGAAATGGGAAGGAGAGTAAGAGTTTAATCCTATGACTTAGTTTCCATCCCAATGCTGGTGATTTCCAAATTCATCTATAATTTTGACATCCTTCACACAAGCCTCATAATTCCAAAATTGGCTAGATATTTCTTACAGACCTCTTTCTACCATGATTCTAAACCGAACATATCAATAACTGAACACATCACATTTTGCCCCTGAACCAGCCTTTCCTTTGGTGGCTATTTAGTCTTTCACCTACCAAGCTCCAAACTGTGGAGGTTTCTACTACTCTTTTTTTATTTAGAATCTATATATGCAAGCACTTTTCCATAAAATGGCTCATTATCTTCCTTTTCTGCCCCATTCCCCCCCAAGTGCAAGCCTCTATCACTTCAGACCTGGATTGCTAAAGTAGCTTCCTAGCAGGGCTCTAGCTTCTAGGCTGTTTCTGCTTTAATATCACTGCACACGACTTCAAATTTATCTTACTAAAATCCTGTTTTCATGTCCCTTTCCACATTCCAAATCCATATTATCTTCTACTGGCTTAGAGTAGCTTTTCCCAAAGTATGTTATGTGAAACTTTAGTTCCATGGGAGATTAATAGGTGTTAAGTAAAAACTGGCATTGTAATCAAATGCCAGAATTGACAAAATTATAAACCATTTCTTTCCTGCAGGATGATTCATAACTTTGATGTGTTAATATGCCTTAGTATGTATTGTTTTCCAAGACATGTATTTTCACAGAGCCTCTTTTGGTGGAGTATTTAATTGGCCTAGGTCTTCATAAACTACATTTTGTGTCTTAGTCTATTTTGGGTTGCTGTAACAGAATACCACAAACTGGGTAACTTGTAAATAATTGAAATTTATTTGACTCAACAGTTCTTGAGGCTGGAAAGTCCAAGAGCATGGCACTGGCATCTGGTGAGGGCCTTCCTGTTGCATTATCCCATGGCAGAAGGGGGAATGGTAAGCAAGCCTGCAAGACACAGAGAGAAAATTGGGCCAAACTTATCCTTTTTTATCAGGAACCCAATCCAGTAGTAACAGCATTAATCTATTCATGAGGGATTCTCTAATCACCTGTTTATCATCCTACCTCTTAATCTCATCAAAATGGCAATTAAATTTCAACATGACTTTTGGAGGGGACATTTGAATCATAGCATTTGGGAAATGCTAGTCCACAGATAATAAGTCCATATTTCCTGTGATGATAAATTTTGTGTGTCAAATTGACTAGGCCATGGTTACCCAGATATTTGGTCAAACATTATTCTGGGTGTTTTTGTGAAGGTATTTTTCAGATGATATTAGCATTTAAATTGGTAGACTGAGTAAAGCATGTTGCTCTTTTCATGTGGGTGGGCCTCATAAAACCAGTTGAAGGCCTGAGTAGAACACAAAGGCTAAGAGTAACTTTGCCTGCCTGACTGACTTTGAACTGGGACATCAGCTTTTTCCTGCCTTTTTGCAAGGGCTCACCTGGGTCTCCAGCTTGCCAGTTTACCTTGCAGATCTTAGAAATTGTCAGCCAGCCAGACTCATGCCTGTAATCCTAGCACCTTGGGAGTGAAAGGTGGGAGGATTGCTTGAGGCCAGGAGTTCGAGACCAGCCTAGGCAACATAGTGAGACTCCATCTATATTAAAAAATAAAAGAGAGAGAGAGAAATTGGCAGCCTCTATAATTACATGAGCCCATTCATGTATAGATATATCTCCATTTTATTGGTTCTGTTTCTCTGGAGAACTCTAACATACTCTCTGTTGTCTTCTTCAAGGCTGTTTAAAGTAAGACTCTTATTCCACCTATCTGAGTTTATTTACTTCCATTTCTCAACACATATCTTCTGCCCCAGCTAAGATGGTCTCCTCACTCTCTAAATACCCCTTGCAGAATTCACCTCCAGGCTTTGCTCAAGTTGTTTCTTTTGTTCAGAATGTGGCCCTCCCTTTTCTTATATATTCACATTCTACCCATCGTGCTCTCTTTTTCTCCTTCCCTCTCCCAACAACATTTCTTTAAAATTAGAAAATAAACTTCAGCCAGGCATGGTGTCTCATGCCTGTAATCCTAACAACTTGAGAGTCTGAGGTGGGATGATGACTTGAGGCCAGGAGTTTGAGACCAACCTGTGCAATATAGCAAGACCCCATCTCTACAAAAAATAAAAATTTAATCAGGCACAGTGGTGTGTGCATATAGTCCCAGCTACTCAGGAGGCTGAGGAAGGAGGATCCTTCTCTCCAGGAGTTTGAGGTTACAGTGAGCTATGATCACACCACTGAACTATAGTCTGGGTTACAGAATGAGACTCGAGAGGGAGAGGGAGAGAGAAGAGAGGGAGGGGGAGGGGGAGAGGGCTTCCAAAAGACAAGTTCTGAAAAGCATTGAATTACATTCATTCCTGTGCACTGTGCTTTGTGGGGATGACCAAAATACTGGTATATTTGAAGTTCAAGGAAGGAAGACCTAGGGGAAGCCTCCGTTACAAATGAATAGAGAAAAAAGTGAGTTTATTTCCTAATGTTCTAATTCCCCAGTGTTTTTCCCCAGAGATAGGTAGAGTCTCAACCATCTTCTTTTTTCCCCTAGTTTCAAGGTCCAAGTGAAGTCCCATGGCTGCAAATTAGAGTCATTTAAAAATTCTAAAGGCTGGATAAGCAAGAGACTGACTAAAAAAAATAATAATAAGAAAACGAAGAAAAATCCTAAAGTCCAGGCTGCATCCCAGACCATTTAAATCTTAATCTCTGTGGCTGGTACCTTGGCATTGATATTTTATAAACTTCTCCAGGTGATTTCAGTGCATAGCTAGGATTGAGAACCAGTGTGAAGTCTTCCCGATACCTGAGTTTCATCCACAGAGTATAAGAATCAGTAGGTCTGGGGTGGGGCTCAATAATGTGCATTTCTAACAAATTCAGAGGTGATGCTGATGCTACTGGTGTGGGGAACCTCACTTTGAGAACTACTGTCCAAAAGGACCAGGACTAAGGAAGAGAGCCCAAATGAGCCTGATATGGCTCCCTGTGATTGAGGAAAACCTAATAGAATGGACAGAAAAGTAAGGACCAGCTGGAAACATTACTTGGAGGTTACTAATTGATGGCCCAAGCCCCAAATCTCCTAGTCCATAGATATGTTTTGTAGAGTCACATGATGTTTTCCATTTAAAAAAATTAGTTAATATTTCAAAATCAAAGATTTATACACACATATAAATTCACTCACACGTACAAATCTTTTGACTTTTCAAGAAAAATAGGCTGGCAACAAGGAGCCCAATTTCCTACATGGCAACATTCAACATTAGCAACAAGTACTAGCGGCCCTGCTATCCCAAATGAGCCCAGCCCCCAGGCAATCTTTCAAATCAATGGGACCATATGAGTGAGCCCAGGCAAAACCAGCAGAAAAACTGCTGAGAAAACCCACAAAATAGTGAAAAGTAATATACATTGTTAATGTAAGCCACTAAGTTGTGGGATGATTTGTTATGCAAGAATAGCTAACTGATACAATTGGCAGAGTTCCCATAGGCCTGCTTTGCTCAGTTTTGTTACCTCCCTGGCCCCTGTAGGCAGGTACATTTCCAGCCTGGCTCTTACCCTGAAGACACTGGACAGATTTCAAAGCCTTTTCCACACCCGTTATCCCAACAACCTTGCATGGTCAGCTGGTATTAAATCCCCATTTTGCAGATGAGGAATCTAAGAACCAGAGGGCTAAGGGACATTCCTAGAGCCACGTAGTAGCAGAGCACGATTTCTCATCCTATCACTTTTCACTTTTGGTTCAGTGCTTTTTTCTTTCCATTTGGGTAGTTGACTGTCAGTCTCCTGAGGCCATTAGACCTGGCAGTCACCAAGGCCAAACTCTGTAAACTAATGGAGTGGGATGTTTTCAAGAAGGGGGACCCTCCATCTTGTCTTTGTTTATGAGAATATTATCTGCAAAGTGCCTAATATAGTGACTAGTACATAAAGGGCCTTAATGAGAGATGATTACTCATGTTATTACCCACTCTGTTTCCATAGTATCCATTGATGTTTCTTTCCTTCTTTCCCTCCCTCCATACCCTGGTTGGATTAGTTAATCTCTTATCTAAGATTGGATACATTTTCTGTATATCTAGTACAACACATATCACATTGTATTATATTTTTCGTGTGTCTCTCTACTGCCTCAGCCCTTGGGTGCTCTAGTTTCAGGAATCATGGATTTCCTGTTTATTTCCAATCTCTCTAGCACAGGACCTGGCTGAATAAATGATGATTGAATACCATTGAAATTGAATTACACAGTTGCAAGATACGTTCAATCACATTCTTGTTTAAATTTTTTTAAAAAAACTTTATTTTGAAATAATTATATATTCATAGGAAGTTGCAAAAACAAAATAAATCAACATTCACACACACATTCTAGTTTGACTCTTACAGCAATCATCCTGTGAAGTATTATTGTTAATATCATGTTAAATGATATTAATATTAATATTAAAATATTAAAATATGAGGAAACAGAGGCTCAGTATCCTGAGAATTTCTTTGCAGTTGGTGATGCTAAAGGGGTGTTTATGAGGTGATTGCTATTCCTTGCATTTCTTTACCATTTCTGCCATGTTTTCTTCTTGATGGCAGAGCCCAAGTCTTATGTTGACCTCTATCCCCAGCATGAGGCATAGCAGGTGGGAGACTCTCAGTAATTGTTGATTTGAATTTAATTTTCACTTGTATATGTTAGAAGTTATGTCTAGTACCACTCTAGGGAAATGTTTAAAAATTGCCTATGATTAAGTCTACCAAATTGTACCCTCATTCTTTTATCGCAGATCAGATGCTTACAGAGAGAGAGGGAGAGAGACTGGGAGAAAGAAAGAAAGGGAAAGAGAGAAATCTTTGAGAAAAGAAAGACATGGGAAATTGCTAGGTAACCCAACCCTGTCTGAAGAAATAATTGTTTCTTTGTGCCACCACCGGAGAAATGCAGGACTGTTATGTGAGGAACAATTTTGCTTTTTGTGTATCAGGTAAGGCAGAAAGGAGCGGAGTAAGGTTCAAGACAAGGAGGAATTAGAAGGGGCCAAGCGATTGAAATCAACAAAGGGAACAGACCAAGAAATATGAGAAATGGAGAGGAAGGAAAGGCTGAGTGGGTGTAATGTTGATAGCATTTAAAAGGGAGTAGGGAATGCAAAGTGACCTGCTGTGAAGGAGCCCTAAGATATCATCTGAATTATTTTTCCTGTGAGATACTTTCTCTTGAAAAGAATTCTTGTCATCCAACCCTAAACACCACTACAGTATTTTTTGGGTGTAGTTGCTTTTAACAAGTTACATAGCTTTATACCAGTGAGTCTGATGGCTTTATTATTGTTTGCATTCTTCCTTTCCGAGAGTAATAACAAGCTTTAAAAAGTAGACTATAATTTTAATTTAATAATTTGATTAATCTGTGATAATATTCTGGTTTTTATAAAACTAAAATATGCTAAGTCATTCTGTCAAGAAGCTAGCGTATTTTTTCCCCCTGCCATTGTGGTTGCGAATGTTGTTAAGGAATGACCTATATGCAAGAAACATCTCTTGGTATAGTGGGTTCCATATCATGCTTTGAGCTAATATGATTTTCTAGTGTGGAGCCATTTGAGTCTGAATAAAAGTGACAGCTACGGGAACAAATTGTCATATTCTCCTTGCAGCAAGTTCCGTTGCTCACGAGTCTATTATTATTGAAGAAGCATTTAGTTGTAGGTAAATGACCCTTGCCTTCTGTCTTTAATTGAAACTCAGCCTGCCACAGTTAATATGTTTTATGAGTCAGTAAAGCTTGGAAGAAAATCCTAATGTGTTTTTAAAAGCAAAGGAAAAAAATTAATTGGTTTCAGCACACGTTTTCCTATGCAAACAATTCTTTTCTTTTATATAGAAAAAAACTCTCTTGACATTCTTTTTTTTGCGTAATCTTCTGCACTGTCTCATCAGTATCTGTTCAGTTGCACATAGTTGTGTTTTGAAAAGAAGAAACCTTTGGTCCATTTGGAAGGGAGTGTGAGACCTATAATCACTCTCTGACCATGGAATTTGGGCTTGATCTGTGAACTAGGAGAGGAGATACAAGATAACCTCACTGGGCTGGGTGTGGTGGCTCATGCCTGTAACCCCAGCACTTTGGAAGGCCAAGGCAGGTGGATCACTTGAGGTTGGGAGTTCAAGATCAGCCTGGCCAACATGGTGAAACCCTGTCCCTACTAAAAATACAAAAATTAGTTGGGTGTGGTGGTGCACACCTGTAATCCCAGCTATTCAGGAGGCTGAGGCATGAAAATTGTTTGAACCTGGGAGGCGAGTTTGCAGTGAGCCAAGATGGCACCACTGCACTCCAGCCTGTGTGACAGAGTGAGACTCCATCTCAAAATAATAATAATAATAATAACCTCAATGAAAGGGCTTGTACCACATTGAATAACTTTAATATTTCTTCGTAGCATTGGCCCAGCATAGGCACCTCAATGACTTGAGATCTTCTTTCACTTTGTAAATTGAAGTTGTATCAGTTAGCTATTGCTCTATAACAAATAATCCCACAACTTAGTGGCTTAATTAACAACAGTATATTACTTTTCACTATTTTATGGGTTTTCTGGGTAGTTTTTCTGCTAATTTTGTCTGGGCTCACTTATATGGGTTAATTCATTTGGAAGGTTGTTGGCTGGAGGCTGGGTTCGTTTGTTATAACAGGAATGTCTAGGCCTCTCTCCATGTGGTATTTCATTTTAGGCTTGTTTACACCATGGTGGTCTTGGACAGGGGTTCTGAGAATATGAGAGTGAAATCTGCAAGTCCTCTGCAACTTATGCAATGTCATTTCTGCCCTATTCTGTCAGTCAAAGCAAGTCTCAAGGCCAACTCAGATTTGAGGAATGGGGAATATACCTCTTGAAAGAAGGAGCTCCAAAACCTTGTGGCCAAGTCTTTTTAGTCTACCATGTGGCTAGTTATCGAGGAGAGAATTATTAGGACATATGGGGCTGGGGTGGGTGGTCATATCTGGGTTTTGAGTCTCACATAGTTGCCATCTGAGCCAGCCAGCTCAGCTGAGTCTTTATGTATTTATGAGGGTAGCTGGTTCTGTGCATGCATGCATGCATATGTAATTGCATTCCAAAGTCAGTCCCCATCATATGGCCCCAAGCTTCATCTCTTCATCTTTAAAGTAGGAATAATAATAGTGCCTCTTACATAAATTGTGAGGATTAAATGAGAGAGGGAATGTGTGGAAAGTGCTTTGCAGTTCCTGGCACGTGGTAGGTATTCAAATGAATGATAGCTAATTTTACTTTTAAATTTTCTTATTTTAAATTCTTAGCTATTTGTGTGTGTTTGTTTTATAAGCAATCCACATTCTTTGCAGAAAAATTGGAAAATATGGAAAAGCAAAAAGAGAAAAAAAGCTAATTTCAAGTTACTCAGTATCTTACTGCCCAGATTTAGTTACTGTCAATCTTTTGGTGAAATCCATTTATAGTTGTTAAAGCAAACTAAATATGGTCTGAGAAGGACTCTGTACTTCTATATTTGAGTCCTTTTGGATGAACTGTAACCTAGTTTAATAGTCAGACAAAAACCTAACTTAGTAGTATGCGTCTGTAATAATAGCTGAGTGTTGGCCAATCCCAGCAGCCATAATTTAACCACTCATTGACTGCTGAATCTTCAAACTCCATTCAAATAAGGCAAATGCTGAGCTGTAATCAATCTCACTGTTTCTGTACCTCACTTCTGATTCCTGTACGTCACTTTACCTTTTTTGTCTATAAATTTGTTCTGACCACAAGCTACCCATGGAGTCTCTGTGGGTCTGCTGTGATTCTGGGGGCTGCCTGATTCACAAATCATTCATTGCTCAATTAAACTCCTTTAAATTTAATTTGACTGAAGTTTTTCTTTTATCAGATGATGTCAGAAGTGGGATCCGAAGTGGAGCTTCTGGTGACGCCCAGGAGTGCTGAGTGAACACGCAAGGTACCTGCAGGACCCGTTTGTGTCCATTGATCTCTCAGAGTGGCTGGGGATCGTGGGTGCTAAGCTCCCTTTCGGATTTTGGAGCTCTACGGATTTGTGTTTTAAGCTCTCCAAGTTTCTTTGAGCAAATTTCTGATCCAAACTGGGTTTGGAGTTGCAACAGAAACTGGACTGGGTCCAGGGATGGATTTGATCTGGGAATTAACTGGCTTGGATCCAGTTAGAGGACTCTCATATCTGACTGGGTCATAAAGGAACTGGTAGTAAGCAGTAATATTGCAGGGATTATAAAATATGGCTTTTGGAAATTCACAGGGATTATTGTGTTCTGCCTCTTTGTTTCATTTTTCTTGCACACTTAGGAAAAATCATTGGCTAAGTTATTCAGGAAAACCTGAATAAAGTCAATATTTTAGGTAGAAATGTGATCCTTAATTTCTGGAAAACTGAGTTCCTTCTGGCTTATGCATTAGGCCTGGGAGGCAGCGAAGTCTTATAGAAATGGCAAAATCTTACTAAAGATAACTTGCAGTGGAACATTCCAAATGAACAATAATGCATTGAAGTACTTTTAAAAATGAGGGCTCTTGGTAAAGTCCCTTTTGGCTAAGAACGGGTTTGGCACTGTGGGATGTCAACTGCTCTTCTGTTTGGAATAATCTGCCTTGCACTCTTTGCTGATGGCTGTGGGTGACAGGATTAGGCATGTACAGGATCGTGGGACATGGGGAGCTTTTTCCTCCCACCCAAAAAAGGGGAAACTTGAGAGCTGATGGGACTGCTGGAAAAGATCCCTTTGCTGCTAACAAGTGGCCACCTGAACTTTTCAGTGTTGCTGAAACGAATGGGTCTTGCTCTGGCCTCCCTGAGCTCTTCACCTTCCGCACCCTGCCATAGGCAATACTTGCTCTTTTCTTCTTTTCCTTTCCTATCTTTTCTGTTATTCAGGGTGACCATCTTACCCAGACACCATGTGTTGAAATTTCTAGTCGGAGGTTGGGTTAAAGATGAGGGGCCCATCTGAGGGCAAATGTAAGCCTTGCTGGTTTGATATTGGGTGCTAAGCAGAGTAGCTAATGTCTGTGTTTTATCACACGTATTTTGCTATGGCCAGAACAAAAAAAGATCATTTTTCCTTTATGATGCAGCTTGGCCCCCAGTGTGATGGTGCAGCAAGCTGGGTCACTGGGGCCCCTCAGGGAAAGGAAACCCAGAAGCCTGGCATGCCGGCAAAAGGGCAAGAATTTCTTACCAGTCAGATTTCTGGCTTCTCTCTTTCTGTGCGAATGGTTGAATGAATGGTAAAAATCACTGTTTTTCTCCTCTGTAAAGTTTTGATTATGCAAAAGAAGAATTCTGAGGCTAGTCTTAAGCTGATGTATTTTGTGCGATGAATTCATTTTTCTGTGTCGCGGAGTACCTTAGGATAAAACGTGGGGTTAGGACCCCATAAACTCGTGCTCAGGATGGCCCAACAAGCTGTTCCATAACAAACTGCTGCAGGTCCCTGAAACAAACAAAAAAAACTGGATGGGGTCTCCATCTTGTTTTATGTCCTTGGGAGCTTGACCTTGTAAGCTTGTGGCAGTACTTTCTCTTGGTCTCCGCCTTCCAGAGAACAGGAATTTTAGGGTTTATGTCATAGTTAGCTCTAAAAATTATCTTGAGTAGTTAAAAGCCTTTGCAAGTTCAAAATTAACTACTCTAGATTCCTTCTGGGAAGAGCAGTGGAGACTACCCCACGCTGTAGCTCGGTAGCTAAGGTTCTGCCCTTTCACACTGGTGGTTGGGGTTGGAGTCCCTGGTTGGGAAGTAAGTCCTTTCTGGTTTAACATCTGCATGACCTTGTCTATTCTCTTCTCTTCCACAGACTATTTTAAATTTTCCTTTCTCTGAGCAACTATTTTAAATTTTCCTTTCTCTGAGCACCTGGGAGGTTACCTTTGGTAAAGTTCAGAAGCCAGAAATATCAGCCGTTTGGCCTGGCTAAAATTGGATAATAAGAAGTTTTAAAAGGACTTTATTAAAGAGTGCTATGGTTAAAAAGTCAGCTTAATTAAAAGTGGATATTCAAGCTCCAACAGCCTGGACTCCTTGGGAAAAACAGGAGGCACTACAGACCCCTTTCCTGGCCCTGCTCTTCCAAGGACTCCACCATAAAGCCTATAACCAATTAAGAAACTTAAAATGTGGCAAATGAAAAATCGTACAACTACTGTAGTAATCTTCTTCTGTCTGTCTGTGTAATTATATATGTGTTGTGTGTAATGTTTATATAAAAGAGCTCTAATTAATTGGCTTAAAAGTAAGTGCTTAAATCAAGTATTTTGAAAGCAAAATAAAAACTGTAATGCCTTTAGTTCATGTAACTTTAGTAACCTTTGGGAAATAAAAACAGCTTTAAAGATTATTGATAAAATAAAGACATTTTATCTAAATTATGCAGGGCAGATATTAGGTTTTTTAAATGCTTTAAGGTCATAAACTGCTTTGACTTTTGAAAATTGTTCAATTTATTTTGGAGACCTTAAATTCTAAATAAGGTCTGGGGATATATGGAATTAACCATACCCAGTAACTATGCAAAGAAGGTTATGAAGAAAAGAGATCTTATATAAAAAGGATGTTGTATGGTAAATTCCTGTCCCGAAGTAAAATGACTGGTTGTTTGAATTTAGGGCAAGTCAGAAAGTCTAAACATGTCATACATGGTCTGTGTAAGTCATGAAAGAATTTATGAAATGGAATTTATGCCAGAAATATACAACTGAAAGGTAATTAGGCCTCCTAAATGCTTCATAAAATGCTACTATGACTTTTAACTGTACAGCTTGCCTGCTTTACAGCTAGGTAAGGCCTGGGACATGTGGAGTTAGATGCTGGAAAGAGTCAGACCTTATCTGCATTTCTGTCTGGGTCCTAGGCTTCACACCTAGTGCATAATTAAAATCCTATACTTACCAAGATTTTCACCAAAAGTAAAAGTTGCTAAGAGTTAACATTGTAATATGTAGTTGAGACTACTGAAAAAATAGGTTTACATGCAAGGTGTGTAAAGAGAATGAAATGTGTTATTTGTAAGGGATTATAAGAAGGTATGGAAATGTAAATTTTTGCCTAGGTTAGAGGGTTAAAGGATTGTTAAATAAAGCTAAAGATTTGAACAAGTTACGGAAGGTTTATAGAACATTAATTGTAAGAGATTCTGTGTGTGAACATGTTGGCTAAAGTTAAAATGGTGTTATTCAGTTTTTTCCATAAATTGCACATTGGAATAAAAGTACAACAGAGTTTTCTTAGAACATTGTTCTACTCAGAGAAAAAAATTGTAAAGGGTTATAAGAGGTTTATAAAAATCTTACCTTACGGTAAAACTGATTAAAACTGAATAGATTATAAAATGTTATTAAAAACTAGCTTTAACATTAAAAATACACTAATGGAAACATAAAATTTGGTTTTCTCTTTTAAAAATGATTTTTATGTAATATTAAACAATAATGAAAGGTTTTTATTTACCTTTTAAGTAAACTACAAAAGAAAAAGCGGGGAAGGGAAAGAAAGGAGACAGAGTCAGTTGGCCTCATGCTATCTTCATTGGGTCTTGTTTGGAGAGCTGAGTCTCCTCTGTATCAGACTAATGTTTCTTCCTTTAGAAAATTTTTGACTTATCATTTTGGTGAAATGAATGACTTATGGTAACGTGAGATTCTATTTTGTAATATCCAATGTTTTAAACCTTTGGTATTTTAACAGATTTTTCAAAATCAAGCTCTAGATTATCATGCTAAACCAGCCAATACTAAAATTGTTTAAATATACAATTTAAATGAACTCCATGGTCTTAAGTCAAATTACCTGTGATAACTCAGTAGTTATCACTGCTGTGCACCTAAATTGGAGAAGCAACTGGCATTCGAGAGGACATAAGTTCAGTGTTAAGCATGGACTCATGAAGAACCAGGACAGCCACCTTATCCTTCCCAAGTCCTTAAAGCTTTTGTTATTAAAGGTTCTGCATTCCATGACTCGCCATGGAAAAGATAAAATAATCCAAACTGAATATATTGATGTGGTGACTTATACATTGTGGAAATAGTTTAAAACCAATGTTTGGTTCCATATACCTGGGAAGACAGTCAAAACTTTAGGTACATTTGAGTACCTGATGGTCCATTTAAACATTTATAAAGGGATTTCATTCAATTGTCATTTTCAGTGCATGTTTTCTGGTTGTATAAAAGCTTTCCCATGCAAGAGGGCTGTTGTTATAACAGTAGATTATTATGCTATAGTGTATTTTCACCAGGTAAATAAAGCTTTTTATGGTTCACTGATAACAATCCCTTTACAATCTAGAACCCAAAGATTGGATCTTCTGAGAACATCAGAGAAAGACTGTCCTTACCATCCACACCACAGCAAAACTTTGGAGCCTTGAACATTGGGTTCATAATCTCACAGCTGAGAAAGGTCCCTCCACACTCCTGGAACTGTACACCTATTGGAACCCTTAAGGTAAAACTAACCAGGAAAGTTTCTCCCCAGAAGGAGATGGCATCCTTGTTGTGAACAGCTTTTCCCCACAAGAATGGATCAAGACTTCTGCTATCATGAGATTCTTATCCTTGAATATTTTTTCTCTGTTTATGCCTCTATGAACAATAGAAATGAAAAAGGGGTCTATTATGTACACTTATAGGGTATAGTTTTATTTGTGAATGATTTTGCAGCCAGCCTTATACATGAATAACTTTATACTTTAATAGATAAAAGATGAAGGCCCAATGTAGGTGAGAAACCTTAGTGGTACATACGTTGCCTCATAATCAGTCAAAACACCTCTTAACCCACATCATGGATTAAAGAGAATATTGCCAGGAGGCCTTCACTCGTCTAGAAGGACATCATTTGTTAGGCCCTTTTCCCAGGATTTAGGATGAAAGAGGCAATAATTAGAAATGTCTCCTTCATAATAGCCTCCACAGCAAATTCTACTTTAAAGGCCATCATACATAACAGACTTTAAATTCTTATGTGAAAGTTATGCTAAATAATAGAATTGACTAAACAGAAAAGTACATGTGCAGCTGCTGACACTTGTGGCCTATGGAGAAATACATCAAATGTAGATTATAAAAATTCAGTTTTATGGGATTAATGAAAAGACCACTCAGTCAAGTGAATAGACTCTTTATCTAGCTCATTCTTTAATCTATTTAACTTTATGTGGTTTGGTTTATGGGGACCCTGGGTAAGGAGCATACTCCAAACTCTTGGTATTATCCTCCCGATAGTCATAACAATAGCCTCCTTAGTGCTCTCTGTTCTCTAAAAGGTTTTAAATGTTTGCATGCAGCCATCTCTAGAACGTCAAGTAGTCTCTCTTCAAGTGGAATGACAAAAACTGAAAGAAATGTGCGACCATGAGGACATTGTACCCTATGAATGACATGCTGGGACTGGAAACCCAAAATGACGGTAACTGAGAGTGGTGCTAAGGCCCTAAGTTTTGGTTACACTCTCACCTAAGTGAGAACCTGGCCAAAAAGGGGGAATTTTTTTTTTTTTGAGATGGAGTCTGGCTCTGTCGCCCAGGCTGGAGTGCAGTGGCGCGATCTCGGCTCACTGCAAGCTCCGCCTCCCGGGTTCATGCCATTTTCCTGCCTCAGCCTCCCAAGTAGCTGGGACTACAGGTGCCTGCCACCTCGCCCAGTTAATTTTTTGTATTTTTAGTAGACACGGAGTTTCACCGTGTTAGCCAGGATGGTCTCGATCTCCTGACCTCGTGATCTGCCCACCTTGGCCTCTCAAAGTGCTGGAGATGACAGGCGTGAGCCACTGCACCCAGCCCAAAAGGGGGAATTTTTCTAAACAAAATTATGAGAGGCCATTATTTTGCACTGAGCTCATGCACTAGGCCCCGACAAACGAAACCAAACTAAAATGAAGTCACTCGTGTTAAATGTGACATAATCAAACTAAGGCTTTAAAGAAACATAGATCCTAGAACAGATCAGGTTTTGTTTTTGTCCTGTAAACAGGATGTTCCAGCATAGGGAGGTAGCTTCTACTCAGTCTTTATTCTTTCCTTGGAAAACCCACTGCTCTTCTGTTTCCCAGTGGGTTTCAAAACCATGTAAGTACATTTACAATAGTGATAGTAGTTATCAATTAATGAGGTTTTGGTCAATCTCTCAAAATTGAGAAAATGACCAAAAGGGGGGAATTGTTAAAGCAAACTAAATGTGGCCTTAGAAGGACTCTGTATTTCTATGTTTGAGTCCTTGTGGATGAACTGTAACCTAGCTTAATAGTCAGACAAAATTGAAAACCTAACTTAGTAGTATGCGCCTGAAACAATAGCTGAGTGTTGGCCAATCCCAGTGACCATACTTCAACCACTCATAGACTGCTGAATGTTCAAACTCCATTCAAATAAGGCAAACTCTGAGCTGTAACCAACCTCACTGTTTCAGTACCTCACTTCTGATTCCTGTACGTCACTTTACCTTTTTTGTCTATAAATTTATTCTGACCATGAGGCACCCCTGGAGTCTTTGTGAATCTGTTGTGATTCTGGGGGCTGCCCAATTCGCAAATCGTTCATTGCTCAAACTCTTTTAAATTTAATTCCGCTGAAGTTTTTCTTTTATCATAATTTAAACCTTTTTTTCAGTGGTATGCATATATGAATAAGTGTGTGTGTGTGTGTGTGTGTGTGTGTGTTAGATACACAGGGAGAGACATTTGTGTGTATTTGTACTTAGATACATTATTCATAAAATTTAATAAAGAAGAAAACCAGAACTGGTCATTACTTTTTATCATCTGTACCTTCTCATCCCAGAATTTGTTTAGGGCACAGAGACTGCATTGTTAAGTAGTATCTGATTCACAGCCTACCATTTTAGTTTTCCTTGGATCCCAGAGATCAAGACACCAGCTCATACCTGCTACTAGACCTGAATCTTCCAGAGTGAGTCTAGAAAACTCTAGGCCTTCGAGATGTTCTGAGAAAGAAGAGTTCCTTGTCAAATAAATTAGAGAAACGCTGCATATTCCCTGCCAGTCTTTGAGAATCATAGATACCAAATGGTATATTCAAGGCTCTGATATGTCCTGTGATAAAGATTCTTATTTCACTTTAACACAGTATTTTCCAAATTTACATGAAGTCTTCCTTTTATTTTGAAAAGTAATACACAGTAAAATTAACTTTTTTTGGTATATAGTTCCATAAAATTGCACACATACACAGATTCATGTAATCATCACCACAGTCAAGATACAGAACAGTTTCATCCCACCCCAAAACTCCCTGTGCTGTCCCTTTATAGTCAGCACCCCTCCCTGTCCACCTCTGGCAACTATGAATCTGTTTTCCACCACAGTAGTTTTCTTTTTTTCCAAGAATGTCATATTTTGGACATACAGATGGAATCATACACCATGTAGCCTTTGTAACTGTCTTTTTTCACTCAGGGAATGCCTCTGGGACATATCTGTGTTATATGTATGAATAGTTAGGTCTTTTTTGTTGCTGAGTCATATTCCATAGTGTGAATATACCAAAATTTGCTTATCCTGTTGAAGGATATTTCTAGGCTTTGGTGAGTATGAATAGAGCTGCTAGAAACATTCACGTACAGGTGTTTGTGTGAACTTAAATTTTCACTTTCTTGAGGAATGGGATTGCTGGGCCGTATGGTAAGTGTATGTAAACAATTTTTTACTTGTTTTAATCTATTAAGATGGCAGTCCCCAACCTTTTTGGTACCAGGGACTCGTTTTGTGGAAGACAATTTCCATGGACGGTGGGGGGTGATGGGGGGATGGTCTCAGGATGAAGCTGTTCCACCCCAGATCATCAGGCATTGGATTCTCATAAGGAGCATGCAACCTACATCCCTTGCATGTGCAGTTCACAATAGGGTTCACAGTCCTGTGAGAATCTAATGCCACGCCGATGCAACAGGAGGTGGAGCTCAGGTGGTAATGCTCCCTTGCCCACCACTCACCTCCTGCTGTGCAGCCCTGTTCCTAATAGGCCACGGGGACTGGCACCAGTCCACGGCCCAGGGGTTGGGGACCCCTGTATTAAGATCCCACATCACCAGGGTTTCATAGAACATGCTATTAACATCCTACAGACCTAGTCTTTCATGGAACCCACTTTGGGAAGGCCTTGTGTGCTGCCACTTAACGCACTTGGAAAGTCCAATCCACCTTAAATCCATCTCACGTACCCAAATCTTGCTGAGGTTCGGCCACAACTCCCACCACACTCCCCTTTGTTGAGTGCCTACTGCCAGACATTGGTATCATTATCTCATTTAATTGAACTCACACCACAATCTACGATTTTACAGCTGAGGAAACTGAGGCCCAGAGAGGCTAAATGAGTAGCCTAAGTTTCCATAGCTGGTAAGTAGCTAAGATTTGAACCCTGGTATCTTATCTCCAAGATCAGTGCTTCCTCTCCTATCCTACTTACTTGCCTTTTTCTTCCTTTCCTTCTTTAAACATTTATTATTATTATTATTATTATTTTTTAAGTTGTATTTCAGGTTCAGTGGTATGTGTGCAGTTTTGTTACATAGGTAAGCTTGTGTTACAGAGGTTTGTTGTGCAGATTATTTTGTCACCTAGGTACTAAGCCTAGTACCCAAAAATTTTTTCTGATCCTCTCCCTCCTCTCACCCTCCACCCTCTGATAGGCCCCAGTGGGTATTATTCCCCTCTATGTGTCCATGTGTTCTCCTCATTTAGCTCCCACTTATAAGGTATTGGGTTTTCTGTTCCTGTGTTAGTTTGCTGAGGATAATGGCCACCAGCTCCATCCGTGTTCCCGTAAAAGACATGATCTGATTCTTTTTCGTGGCTGCATAGTATCTTTGAACATTTTTATCTGGGTTTGTGGTTGGTTGTAGACCAGCACCAACAAATGACAAACCCGACTGCTGTCACTTCCCACTTCTATGCTCATGGCAGACATCATTAACTGAATTTCATCTTCTCTTTTTCACTCAGTCCTGATGCATCCTTCTCCAGACAACTATCGGTTGGTCAGAGTTAGCACTTGAGCTAATTACCATTCACTGTTTTGTCCTTGTATTAGTTATCTATTGCTATATAACAAACTACCTCAAAACACAGTGGCTTAAAAATAGTAAAAATCACTTATGATCACTCATGATTTCTATGGGTCAGGAATTCAGACAGCAGAGCAGAATGGCCATCCCTGTTCCACCATGCCTGGGGTCATGTTCACTGGAAGACTTGAAGGCTGGGGCTGAAGTCCTCTGAAGGCTTGTCCACTCTCTTGTCTGGTGGCTGATTCTGACTGTTGGCTGAGGGCTAGCTGGGGCTGTTGTCTGAACACCCACATGTGTTTTCTCCATGTGACTTGGGCTTCCTTGTCATATGACACCTTGGTTCCAAAAGCTGGCATCTCAGGAGAGTGAGAGGCAAGTAGAAGTAACAAAGCATTACTTCCACCACGTTCTATTTTTTAGAAGTAAGTCACTAAGTCTGGCTCATTTTCAAAGGGCAGTAATTAGATTCTACTTTAAAAAATGTATATATTACATATACTGTCTGTATATACACACTATATATATATAATGTGAACATATTTTCATTATTCAGAGTAAATTTTTATGTATAGTGCATTAGCAAGGTCTCTTTCAGAAAGTGACAGATACTCAAAAAGGGAATTTATTGGTTTACTTAACTGAGAAGTTCAAGGTGATCAATTTGTCATGACTGGATCCAGGGCCTCAAGGAGTGTTGTTAGGATACAGTCTCTCACTCTCGGTCTCTGTATTAGTCTGTTCTTGCACTGCTATAAAGAAATACCTAAGACTGTGTAATTTGTAAATAAAAGAGGTTTAATTGGCTCATGGTTCTGCAGGCTGTACAGGAAGCATAGCAGCTTCTGCTGCTGAGGAGACCTCAGGAAGCTTCCAATCATGGCGGAAAGCAAAGGGGGAGCGAGTCGTCTCACATGGCAGGAGCAGGAGCAAGAGAGAGAGGTGGGGGAGGTGCTGCACACTTTTAAACAGCCAGATCTCAGAATAACTCACTCACTATCACAAGAACCAGCACCAAGGGGATAGTGTTAAACCATTCATGAGAAATCCACCTCCATGATCCAACCACCTCCCACCAGGCCCCACCTCCAACATTGGGTACTGCAGTTTGACATTGAGATTTGGTGGGGAACACAGATCCAAACCATATATATCAGTTTTCCTCTATATTTTAGCCCTACTTCCTTCTCTGTTGGCTTTATTCTCAGGGAAGCTCTACCTGGGAGATGGTCCGGATGGACATGCCAGCTCCAAGTTTACTTACCAGGTTAACAAGCCCAGAGGGCCATGTCTCCTCTTTTTCCATAGCTCCAGGAAAGCACCAAGATTGGCACTGATTAGCCTGCATTGGGTCACACACTCACCCCTGAGCCAATCCATGTGACAGGGAATCCAGACCCAGCCAGTTGGCATGAACTAGGTTGGGGGAATTTGTTCCTCAAAAGGATGAGACCAGCTTTGTTCTCAGAAGAAGGCTGCTAGACAAAAACAAAAGATGTTCCCTGTGCACGGTGACATGCTTTTGACTCGGGGCTTTCTCTGCTCCCTGCTCCCCTGAGCCTGTCCTGGCTTTGCACTTCTTACTCTCACAGTCATGTTCCTGCTCAACCGCAGACACTCTGAGTCTCTGCCCCAGGAGGACAACTAAAGGGCAAACACACCCTTTCTAGTATAAGGTCTAGCTCTTGACTGCCAATACTTTGATTTACTTCCATAACTCCCTGGATTCCTGACTCCTAATCTAGTGAGAATTTGAGGGATTCAGATCGCTTTGGTTTTGGAGTTAATTTTCTGCACTCCTTACCTGTCTCTCATAGTCAGGAAATGATTACTCCTTGACCTGCGACCTTGACTTTGAACCTCTTGACTTCTTAGTCCCTGGTGTTTACATACCTGTTAACTTTTACTTTCCTTGAATCCCGTCTCTTGGTTTTTTTCCTCTGCCTGTTACCACCCATTCTGGCCCTTGCTGTCATCTGCTGTGCAGTTGTCAGTTGAGGACTGATTTCTATGCCTTGTGTCCACATCTTGAATTAATAGTATCTCTTGGCCCAAATGATTTCCTAACACACATCCCCTGATGAGTATTCTGGGTCATACCTTCTGCACTGACAGGCCTCCCTCTGTCCCTTTCTCTTTTGGAGGACAAGCTAAGGTACAAAGGAATGAGCCTTGAATTCAGAACCAGCATCGCTGGGTTTGGCATTATGTGACTTTAGGCAAGGCTTTTTAATCTCTCTGAGCCTGTTTTCTTATTTGTAAAATGGAGTGAATGACATCTACTTCACAGGATTGCCTTGAAGATTAAACAGGAGAATGCAGGCATTGCAAGATAATAATTCTAAAATACTAATATGTGTGTGTATGTATTTAAAATGAATGTATTTTTTCCCCTTTTAAGCATCTCCCTTTATTCAGTTTTGTCCCCTCAAGCAGGCAAGCCATTCTGTGCTTATTGACTCAGGGAAGAAAATGGCAGATCAGAAAAAACAAAATAAGGATCTTCCTGGCTTTGATTTTCTTTCTTTCTTTTCTTTTCTTTCTTTTTTTTCTTGAGATGCGGTCTCAGTCTGTCACCCAGGCTGGAGTGCAGGTGTGTGATCACAGGTCACTGCAGCCTCGACCTCCCAGGCTCAAGCGATCCCCCCATCTCAGCCTCCTAAGTAGCTACAACTACAGGCACATGCTGCTATGCCTGGCTATTTAAATTTTTTTTTTTTTTGTACAGATGGGGTCTTGCTATGTTACTGAGGCTTGTCTTAAACTCCTGGGCTCAAGTGATCCTCTGCCTCAGCCTCTCAAAGTGCTGGGATTACAGGTATGAGCCACGGCACCTGGCCCTGGCTTGATTTTCAAAAGCTTTAAGTTCTCAGGGGACTATTGAGGGCACCTGCATGTGGCCAAAATAAGTGAGGGCAAGGGGGTTGAAGAGAGTCCCCCTCAGACTAGCAAACATTCCACTGCTCTGGGCAGAGAAGCGGGGTAGGTAGCAGGGGGAAGGAGGAAAGAGGAGGTGTGATGAAAGCAGATATACAGCCAGCCCCAGAGAGAGGGGCCCTGTGCCCTGCTTTCTGTGTGGAGCCCTGTGGAGCAGAAAGGACATGGCTGGGTAGTAAGCCGGTAGATTCTGGGTTCCCAGTGTGGCCCAGAAAGGGTGCTGGGCTGGAGGTGAGGGACATGTCGGTGGTGATGAGTGAGGACTGGTGCCTATGGGCCAGACAAGGTGATGAAATTGTCTGACAATTTCAACAGACAACTGCATGGATAGACAACAGCAAGGACCAGAATGCACCACTCTCCCTCCCATGATTCTCCATAAACACCGAGAACCTGGAGGCATTCCCTGAAAGTGGGAAGAAGATTTCAAATTAGCGGAGGTTATATATTTGCCACTCTAGTCGGATAGGGGCTAAAAATGAAATTGAAATGTTATATTTTGTGTACAACTGTGCAGTAGATTAAGAACCATAACCAGCACCTGTAGAAAGCATGTAGCCTGTATCCATAGGTGGGTACCACAATATGTTTACTGAGTCTGAATCCAGATGTTGTTGAGCCTTTGAATATGTCCAATGTCTTGCTTGATGTGTGAGGCCTGATGGAGTCACTCCCCGTATCAGTGGTTTTCAAGTGTGGTCCCTGGACCAGCAGCATCAGCATCAGAGGGCACTTGTTAGAAATGCACATTCTCAGGCCTTGTCCTGGAGTGACTGAATTGGAAAGTCTCTCAGGTCTTTCTGATGCATACTAGAGTTTGAGAACCTCCCTTCTACATCACTTCTGTTTTCTCTTCTTACACTCTCAGTTTCTCAGACTTATTCTTAGATTTAAATAGCCAACTTACTGATTGACACTTGACCAGCTTTAGCTTTGGGCCAGCCACACATTTTAAGCTTTTACTCTGAAGACAGGAGAGAGCTTCTGATTTTACCCAGAGCTTTTGGCATAGCTATCCCAGTTTCATTGAGGATCTAGTTTCTGGAAGGAAAACAGTGAGATGGGGAGAAGACCCTTTAGTAAATGAGAAGGAATTGCAGGCAAACATGATCTTAAAAACCTTTACCAAATCTTCATGGAGCCGGTGAACTTCACAGGGAACGATTTTGTAGCCAGGCCAGCTCCTAGGGAAATTTACGGCCGAAATATTTCCCTGTTTCTGGGTCAGGAAGTGATAGCACACAGATGGAATTTACAATGGGAGCGTGAATGGAGTCTACGTTAGCTGGTGGCCCCTCCAAGGCTGCAGAGCAAAGGCGCTTTTCACTGGCTCTATTCACATATAATGAGTGCTCCCCAGGCTCTCGGAAGAACGCGGCTGCTGGCTGGCCCCTTTTTCTTTTTCCTCGACTGCTTTCACTTTTCAGAGGGTTGCCCTGTTGCGGTCCACTTGGGATTGGTGTGAGCCTTGATTTGGCAGGAGAAAGGAAGAAGTACACGGTGGCCTACAGAATTGAATTCTCTGCCTCTCTGGCCCCTTTCCTTGAATAATAGGCCTTTGTGCTTTGAAATGCAGGGAAGTCCCAGTTTCTCAGGCTTTAAAAAAACTCAGACCTTCCTCTAACCTCCTCTCCCGCCTTCAGATGCTTAGCAGGGAGTAGTTAAGGGGGCAGAACAATTATCAAATCAAGTATTTCTTTAATGTTAGAAATTGCTTGGATAGTTGATTTCTAAACAATATATGTGATGCATTCCTTCAGATGGACAAAAATATTGGCTTAACTTAAAAATTCAGCTTAAAAAATTATATGAGATTGCTATATTAATTTTTTTTTGTTTTTGAGATGGAGTCTCTGTCACCAGGCTGGAGTGCAGTGGTGCGATCTCAGCTCACTGCAACCTCCGCCTCCTGGGTTCAAGCCATTCTCCTGCCTCAGCCTCCCGAGTAGCTGGGACTGCAAGGCATGCGCCACCATGCCCAGCTAATTTTTTTGTATTTTTAGTAGAGACGGGGTTTCACCATGTTGGCCAGGATGGTCTCAATCTCCTGACATTGGGATCCACCCGCCTCGGCCTCCCAAAGTGCTGGGATTACAGGCGTGAGCCACCGCGCCTGGCCTATTAATTTTTTTTTTTTTAACCAAGAAGGCTGAGTGTGGTGGCTCACACCTGTAATCCCAGCACTTTGGGAGGCCAAGGCAGGTGGTTCTCTTGAGGCCAGCAGTTCAAGACCAGCCTGGACAACATGGTGAAACCCGGTCTCCACTGAAAATACAAAAATTAGCCAGGTGTGGTGGTGTGTGCCTGTTATCCCAGCAACTTGGATGGCTGAGGCATAAGAACCTCTTGAATCCAAGAGGCGGAGGTTGCAATGAGCTGAGATCGTGCCACTGCACTCCAGCCTGGGTGACAGAGGGACACTCTGTCTCAAAAAAAATAAATACAATAAAATATTAAAATATTCAACAAAACCAAGCACTGTTTGACTCTAACCTGTGATCCACTTTCGTGAAGTATTTGACAGAGCAAAATTACATTGCCAAAGAGGAATTCAGCCTTTGCAGTCTATTGAGATGGGTTTTTATAATAAATATAGTTTAAGTAATTCATCTCTGTTTTCCCTTCCCTAATTTTATGCTGCAGTTTCTTTTAAAGGTGTGTGTTAATAGCATTGCATTCTTTTTTTTAATCTTGAAAGCAAATTTTGTAGAAAAATCATTATCATCATTTAGGCGCTCACATTTTCAGTGGTTTAAGCATATTTTGTACATCTTTAATTTTTATTTCACTGTAAAACATATGATTTCACTACATGTATTTGAATTTTGTACAGTGTGGCAGAAGATGGAAAACATTCTTCCATCAAGGACTATTATTGAACTGTTTGGCTGAGTTACTCAAGGTCTTGCTTTAGAACTATAAACTTCACGTAAGAGGTTATTGTCTCCCATCCCCAGCAGCCATTACCCTTCCTTTCGTTTCAAGCCCAGATTTGTGTTTTCTCCTTGTCTCAGTCCACGTGCTCTCTGTGAGGTTCCACTCACAGCTCCAGGACTGGAAGACATGACCCTCACCTGGCCAATCAAATGATCAAATCCTCTTCCCAGGATGGGGAAGGGAGGCTAGAGTGATTGGTTTAAGGAGGGGGTTGTGGTCCAGCCATAGCCTGTGAAATGCAGTGGGACTTTTCTGGGATTGGTGGGAGAGAGGCAGGGGCCCTCTTTCCACCCAAGCTTCAATCTGGGAAAAGGTTGGGTGGGAGGTGCAGCAGCCCAGTTGAAAGCCTTAAGCTGCTGGCAGAGGTTGGGAGCCTTGGAAGAGCCTGGGGCTGAATGAAGCCAACCCAGCTGAAGATAGACTGGAGAGGTGGAAACATAGTCCCGATGATGTCATTTGAACCCTGGTGTGAGGCCAGCCCTACCAGACCAGCCTGACCAGTATAGTTTTTTGAGCCAATAAATCTTCATAGTGCTTATGCCAGTTTAGTTGGGTTTCCTGTTACTTTCAATGGAAGAGGCTTTTTGATAACACTGGTCATGCCAAGGCTGGTCTGGAGTTCAAATGTGCTGGGAATTTGCCAAGATGAGGCTCCAGGCACTGAGAATGAAGCTGAAGTCTGGTTATCAGAACCCGGGCTCCAGTGCCAGGTCCCCTCCCTGGCCTCTGCCCAGAGAAGGAGAATCCCTATGCTGGTTTCTGTAGAGGGGCACTGAAGCTACCTACAGCCTTACTTTCCCGGGTCAAGTCTGTTCTGAGAGCTGAGAGCAGGACTGGACTTGGAGGTGGGGGATCACAGCCCTCCAGCACTGGGGAGAGGAGGGCAGGGTGGAGAGAGGAGGGCAGGGTGGGGAGAGGAGGGCAGGCTGGACACATATTGTGAGGGGGCTATAGTAAGACAAAAAACTCACCCAGTATTACATCTCTTTCATTGCAGGGACTTTTCCCTGCTCTGTTTCTCAGTGTGCCCATGAGAGCAGGGAATGTGTCTACTTTGGGTCTCTGTCCCGAACATTCTTTTCTTCTTCTTCCCCTTCTCCTTCTCCTTCCTTCTTTCTTCTTTCTTCTTCCTCCTGTCTCCCTTCTGTCTTCTCTCTTCTTTATTCTTCGAGATAGGGTCTCCCTGTGTTGCCCAGGCTGGTCTCGAACTCCCAGGCTCAAGTGATACTCTCAGCTTGGCTTCCCAAAGTGTTGGAATTACAGGCATGAGCCACCACACCTGCCCTGGAACATCTTCTCACCCTGTTGTGGTCTGCCTAACTTCCACAACTGGATTAGACATCTCTCCTCAGTATTCTCCTACATGCCTTTACTTAATGATCATCACATTTCTTGTCCCGTATTTTTATTCATTCATTCAATAGCTATTTATCAAGTGCTATTCCAGGCACTGGTGGTACAGCAGTGAACAAGACAGACAAAAGTTCTGCCCTGAAGGAGTTATGTTCTAATAGGCAGAGATATACAAAAAACAAAATAAATTATAAGCTATTTTCTTTTTCTTTTTAGACGGAGTCTCACTCTGTCATCTAGCCTGGAGTGCAGTGGCACGATCTCGGCTCACTGCAACCTCTGCCTCCGGGTTCAAGCGATTCTCCCACCTCAACCTTCCAAGTAGCTGGGACTGCAGGCGCATGCCACCACACCCGGCTA
This sequence comes from Homo sapiens, assembly GCF_000001405.40. Classification (NCBI taxonomy): domain Eukaryota; kingdom Metazoa; phylum Chordata; class Mammalia; order Primates; family Hominidae; genus Homo; species Homo sapiens. The sequence goes on along the minus strand of NC_000003.12, from coordinate 9,313,845 downwards.
ATTTTTGTATTTTAGTAGAGATGGGGTTTCGCCCTATTGGCCAGGCTGGTCTCGAACTCCTGATCTCAGGTGATCTGTCCATCTCGGCCTCCCAGAATGCTGGGATTACAGGCGTGAGCCACCATACTGGCCAATTATGAGCTATTTTCTTTTTTCTTTTTTTTTTTAAGACATAGAGTCTTGCTCTGTCACCCAGGCTGGAGTGCAGTGGTGCAATCTTGGCTCACTGCAACCTCTGCCTCCCAGGTTCAAGCAATTCTCCTGCCTCAGTCTCTTAAGTACCTGGGATTACAGGTGTGGCTGATTTTTTGTATTTTTTAGTAGAGATGGAGTTTCGCTATGTTGGCCAGGCTGGTCTCGAACTCCTGACCTCAAGTCATCTGCCTGTCTCAGCCTCCCAAAGTGCTGGGATTACAGGTGTGGGCCACCATGCCTGGCCAATTATGAGCTACCTTTCAAAGTAGATAAATGTGAAGGGGAAAAACAGAGAGGATAGGAACTGACAGGGAAAGGGCTTGTAATTTTTAATGGACTTGGAAGTGAAGACTTCATTGAGAAAGTGGCAGTTGAGCAAGACTTGAAGAAGCTGAGTGAACGTGCCATGTGGGTATCTAGGGAGGGAGAAAGCTTTCCAGGTGAATGCAACAGCAAGTGCAAAGGCTCTTAGGCGGGGGCTTAGTGTTTGAGCAAGGAAGCCAGTTTGGGAGGAGTGGAGTAAGCACTTGGGAGAGGAGTGTGGCTGGGAACATGGGTAGATTGCAGATCACCCCCAGCCTTGTAGATGGGGAGCAATGGGGGCTTTTCAGGAGAGGAGGAAGATGACGTTTGTTTTTTGTTTTATTTATTTATTTTTAGAGACAAAGTCTCGCTCTGTCACCCAGGCCGTAGTGCAGTGGCACAAACATAGCTCACTGTAACCTTGAACTCCCGGGCTCAAGTGATCCCCCTGCCTCAGTCTCCTTAATAGCTAGGACTGCATGTGGGCACCACCACACCTGGCTAATTTTTTAAATTTTAATTTTTTGAAGAGACAGGGTCTCGCTATGTTGCCCAGGCTGGTCTCCAACTTCCAGCCTCCAGCATTCCCCCCAACTCAGCCTCCCAAAAGGCTGGGATTACAGGTGTGAATCACTGCGCCCAGCCTTGTCTATTTTAAAAGAACCTTTGGCTACTCAGCTGAGGATGGACTGTTAAATAACCTCTCTCCCATGCTCATCAGTTCATTTCATAACAGCAGAGACTCTAATTGTGTCGTTCATGACTGCTTCCAGTGACCTACCCAATGTCTGGCTCTTTGAGCTTGTTGAATGAACAAAAGAAGGCCTGAGCATGTGGCTAGACAGAGATATTCGCTGTTCATTGCATGACACATGTCAAAAATTGAATCTCGGCCAGGTGCGGTGGCTCACGCCTGTAATCCCAGCACTTTGGGTGGCCGAGGCGGGCAGATCACTTGAGGTCAGGAGTTTGAGACCAGCCTGGCCAACATGGTGAAACTCCGTCTCTACTAAAAATACAAAAAAATTAGCCGGGCGTGGTGGTGGGTGCCTGTAGTCCCAGCTACCTGGGAGGCTGAGGTGGGAGAATCACTTGAACCCAGGAGGCAGAGGTTGCACTGAGCCAAGATTGCACCATTGCACTCCAGGCTGGGCGACAGAGCAAGACTCCATCTCAAAAAACAACAACAATAACAACAACAACAAAAAACAACATAAACAAAAATTGAATCTCAGCTAATTGTCAGTTTTTCAGAGTAATGAAAGAAAACTGTGGTTCCTGTGGCCCACATGCACAGACGATTGTGCAGATTAGATATAAAAATTATAACATTTGCTCAACTTTCATTTACTAGTCCAGCTGAACTCTATGCATTGGCAAGTGGATGCATTAGCACTCATGTAAATTACTTTAGAAATAGTGGAGTGTTACAGTTACTTTCTGTTCAATCCTATCAGCAGAGATTTGACACAGAAAATATTTCTAGTATTACAGCAGGGTAAGTAATGGCAATGCATGAGTGCTCCCTGACCCTACCCCCACCTCCTCCAACCCCAGCATCATTAATTTTAGGAAACCCTTTATAGCAGAGGAAGACAACCTGTGGTCTGCAGGCCAAACGCAGCCTGTGGCCTGTTTTCATACAGCCTGTAAGTTCTAAGAAGGGCTTTTACATATTTGAATAGTTGAAAAAAAGTCGAAGGAAGAATAACATTTTGTGACATGTGAAAATGATACAGAATTCAGATTTTAGTGTCCATAAATACAGTTGTATTTGGGTGCAGCCACACGCATTCATTGGTATATTGATGTGGCTGCTTTTGTACTGCACCTGCAGAGCTGAGTGGTTGCGACAGACTTGATGGATTGTAAAGCTCAAAATATTTACTAGCTGGCTCTTTGCAGAAAAAGTTGGCTGACCTCTATTTTACAGTAATGCCAAAGTTTCCTTCCCAAGTTGTCCTGAATAGTTTGTATTTTATGAGTGTGCACTTTTTCCTGAAGTACGTTACCTTGCACTTTACGTGTATTGAAATGTATCAGCCTCTTTTCTGCATATTCTTGCCTCTTCGCGATTATCTTCCTAGAGTTTATTACAATTAACTATTAACCATCTGGAAATTCAGGTGTCCTTTGTAAACCTGGAAGTGTCGGTGTATGTATCTTTTTTTTTTTTTTGAGCTGGAGTCTTGCTCTATCGCCCAGGCTGGAGTGCAGTGACGCAACCTGGGCTCACTGCAACCTCCACCTCCTGGGTTCAAGAGATTCTCCCACCTCAGCCTTCCGAGTAGCTGGGATTACAGGCACCCACCACCACACCCAGCTAATTTTTGTATTTTTAGTAGAGATGGGGTTTCACTATGTTGGCCAGGTTGGTCTTAAACTCCTGACTTCAAGTGATCTGCCCACCTCAGCCTCCCAAAGTGCTGGGATTACAGGTGTGAGCCACAGCACCTGGCCGACTGTATATATTATTCAGGAATCTTTAGATTGCAGGTAACAAAAACCTCATTCAAGCAGCTTAAAGAGTCAAGGGAATTATCACCTTCTATAATTGAAAAGTTAGGTTTAGGACTAGTTTCAGGTGAGGTTTGAGTTGACCTCTCAAATAATGTCCCTAAAGACCTAGTTTGATCCTTCTTTCTTCTCAGCAGTCAGCTGGTTTTCACTCTCTGGCCCTGCATGATGATTCCAGGTTCTTTTCTTGAGGTATCAACTGGTTATAGCAGTTCCAGACCTTGTAACCTTATATCACACCTTAGTGAAGAGGGGAATGTCTCTTTCACTAGCTCATGCAGAAGCACCTCTTCCCAGAAGCACTGGCAAACATCTCCTGGAGTGCCATTGGCCCTGATCGGGTTGCAGGCCCACACCTAAGCCAGTCTCTGTGGTCAAAGATGGGATACACTGATGAGCTTATGGTAACCAAGATCCACCTCTGCAGCTAGAGGTGGGTTATTCCTACCCAAACTGTGTGGCTGAAGACAACAGATAGGGATACTGTTGGCAGGAGAAGAGAGGAGTGGATGCTAGGAAAAGCACCAATAAGCATCCACTAGATTGGACATTCTACCTTTGTGCTTATACACAGCTCTGACCTTGGGGCCACTCCAATATTTACCCATGTTCATCCTGGGAAGTGTCTGTTTATTTCTACCTGTTCTTTGTGATGAAAAGGAAACCTGGTCCTGACTTGGCTCTGCTACCGATTAGCTTAATGAGCTCAGAGAAGTAACTTACTTTTCTCGTCCTCGGTTTTCTTTTCTGTATAACAAGAAAGGGATCAAACATGCTATGGTGAGTATTAATTCCACCAGTTTGTTAGGTGAGACTCAATGAGTAGATGTCAGGGTCCTCTCTAGGATGTTCTTAATGACTGTAACACCTTGTGCCCAGTACTTATTAGATGCTCAGTAAATATTTATTGCATGAATAAGTGAATGATCATGTTGGTGGACTAGCAGTTCCTTGTGGTTTTATCTCTTTTTTTTGAGACAGGGTCTCACTCTGTCACCCAGGCTGGAGTGCAGTGGTGATCATGGCTCCCTGCAGCCTCGACCTCCCATGTTCAAGCAGTCCTCCCACCACAGCCTTCTGAGTAGCTGGGACTACAGGTCTGTGCCCTCACATCTGTCTGATTTTCAAATTTTTGTAGAGATGGGGTCTCACTATGTTGCCAGGCTGGTCTGGAATGCCTAGGCTCAAGTGATCCTCCTGCCTTGGCCTCCCAAAGTGTTGGGATTACAGCCCTGAGCCACCACACCTGGCTAGCCTGTGGCTTTATCTTGATTCCTTTCAAATTTAGGTGAATGACATTGATCCTAATTTCCTGGATTCTCCCTGAAAGCGCAGGGTTGGAGGCTACTCTCTAAAGCAGTGTAATGTTAAGGAGGTGTCCTGGGTATGGCAATCAAACCGAGCAGGAAGGGGTATTATTGTCAAGGTTAACTAAAGTGCATAGAGGAAAGGAGGAAAGAGGGTAGTGAAGGTTACAGGGAAATAGGGATCAGAGGCTACTTCAGTATTAACTGCTGCCTAAGGAGACACTCCAAAAGTTAGTAGCTTAATACAACACTCTGTTGTTCCTCTTAGTTCTGTCATTTGACTAGGCAATTCTGCTGGTCTCACCCAAGGTCCCTCATGGGGTGCTCAGCCAGGATGCTAGGAGGGCTGGGTCTCACCCCACATGGTTTCTCATCATTCAGTTGTCTTGCCTGGTCTTACACAGCAAGTGAGTCCCCAAAAGGAGCATCCTGAGGGGACAAGCCTGAATGTGGAAGCACTTATCTAGCCTCTGTTTGAACCATACTTGGTAATGTTCCATTGGCCAAAGCAAAGTCATATGGCCAAGCCCAGAATCAGTGTGGGAGAGAACGACATATGAGGATGTGAATATCAGGATGCCTGGTTCACTGGGAAGCATCCAGAGAGGCTCAGGGATCCTGGTTTCTAAACCCATTGAAAGAGTGGGGCAAGGGTGTACATGATCGATGGGCTGTGGGGTTGGGATGGGGTGGAGGAGAGGCCAGGTCAAGAATGTTGACCACATTCCTGTTGACTAGCTTCATCCCTTGGTAGAGCCAAGGAATCACCGAGGAGACTATAATTCCCCATCATTTCCATCAGCCTCTGCTTCCTTTTATAGAAATACTTGGTGTCATTGCAGTCTTATTTAAGGTGCTGTGCAAACATGGCTTCAGCATAAGTTCCCAAGCTGAATATCCAACTAGACTGCTGCCTGTAAGTTCCACCTATATACACATTTTGGAATTACCACTGACCCTGTAAACAAGAGGAAATGAGATTTAGTGAATCACATGGGCCCTCAGTGATAATTGCTACCTTTGTTAAATGCTCATAAAAAGATCTGGCAGGCCCTCTTCTCTGAACTGCAGTTCTCCTTCTAGCTCTTTATTGTCCTTGGCCTTGGGAGTCATTTCAGTGCCCTTCTGATTATTTTGTTTTTCAAAGTGAAAACTTTACACACTGTTTTTCTTGGCTTTATAAATGTTATATGCTTTTTAAAACACCCAAACAACACAGACCAATATAAAGAAGAGTGTAAAATCCTCTTGAAAGTTCACCACCCAGAGGGTACCACTGTTGATGTGTTCATGAACATGCTTCAGTTGTCCCTCAGTGAACATACGTGCACACATGCAACAAATGGGATGGTGCTGTGGCCTGTTTTTTGAGACAGAGTCTAGCTCTGTCGACCAAACTGGAGTGCAGTGGCATGATCTCAGCTCACTGTAACTTATGCCTCCCGGGTTCAAGTGATTCTCCTGCCTCAGCCTCCCAAGTAGCTGGGATTACAGGCATGCACCACCACGTCCAGCTAATTTTTGTATTTTTAGTAGAGACGGGGTTTCGCCATATTGGCCAGGCTTGTCTCGAACTCCTGACCTTAAGTGATCCGCCCGCTTTGGCCTCCCAAAGTGCTGGGATTACAGGTGTGAGCTGCCACGCCCAGCCTGTGGCCTAACTTTTTAAACCCCATTTTATGAATGTGCAAATTTGTTCAATCCCACATTTATGGATACATGGGTTGTTTCTAACTTTTGCAATTCTGATTAAGTAATTTTTGATTCTCTGATTTTAAATATGCCCCTGAGGTTTTCCTTTCTCTGTCTGGAATCTATTCCTATTTTGCCAAAGATGCCATCTGTGTAGGCTTTCTTTTCTTTTGTCTCAGCAGCTTTCATCATGGACATACATTTTGTTTAGGACCTTTAATAGTACTCCTTTTATAAATGGTTTTCAAGTAATGTGTAATAGACTTTTAAAAGCTTGTTTTAATCTTCTCTTTAAATAGAGTATGCATTTTGGTTGACTAAACATTCACCTGTATAGCTGGGTCGTAGGTTCATGGGCTGCTCTCCCTCCCATTGTTCAGTCACATTGTGTGTAACCACGGTTACCAGGCTTGGTGTCATTACTTCCTTAAGGTGATTTCATGCCATCAGCATTTCCAGCCCCCAGGACCCCTGGCTGTTCACAGGCTAAACTCCTTCCAGAGGTTTGATGCCCTGGCGGTGCTGGAGTGGGGCAGGCAGTGACAGATCCTAACTGGGGGCTGGGCACAGTGGCTCATGCCTGTAATCCCAGCACTTTGGGAGGCTGAGGTGGGTGGATTGCTTGAGGCCAGGAGTTCAAGACCAGCCTGGCCAACATGGTGAAACCCCATCTCTACTAAAAACACAAAAAATAAGCCAGGCGTGATGGCACGTGCCTCTAGTCCCAACTACTCGGGAGGCTGTGGCAGGAGGACTGCTTGAGCCTGGGAGGCTGAGGCTACAGTAAGCCATGATTGCACCACTGTACTTCAGCCTGGGTAACAGAGCAAGACCCTATCTCAAAAAAGAAAAAAAAGTCATACAAGTGTGTAAAGAGCCGTGTATAATGATTACACATAAATATTTGAAAAACAAACATCTCGCTTATGAACGTATTTGAAAAACAAACATCTCTCTTAAGTCTCTAAGTTAAAAAAATACTTTATAGAATGACATGTATAATAGGTTGTCATTTTTGTGACTTTTTTTTGTGGCAGCCAGGAGATTGTGCTGCTCAGGTCAGGTTTAAGAGAGGACCTCCTCCTCAGAAATAGCACCACACATCTACAACCATCTGATCTTTGACAAACCTGACAAAAACAAGAAATGGGGAAGGGATTTCCTATTTAATAAATGGTGCTGGGAAAACTGGCTAGCCATAGGTAGAAAGCTGAAACTGGATCCCTTCCTTAACACCTTATACAAAAATTAATTCAAGATGGATTAAAGACTTAAATGTTATACCTAAAACCATAAAAACCCTAGAAGAAAACCTAGGCAATACCATTCAGGACATAGGCATGGGCAAGGACTTCAATGACTAAAACACCAAAAGCAAGGGCAACAAAAGCCAAAATAGACAAATGGGATCTAATTAAACTAAAGAGCTTCTGCATGGCAAAAGAAAGTACCATCAGAGTGAACAGGCAACCTACAGAATGGGAGAAAATTTTTGCAATCTACCCATCTGACAAAGGGCTAATATCCAGAGTCTACAAAGAACTTAAACAAATTTACAGAAAAAAATCAAACAACCCCATCAAAAAGTGGGCAAAGGATATGAACAGACGCTTCTCAAAAGAAGACATTTATGCAGCCAAAAAACACATGAAAAAATGCTCGTCATCACTGGTCATCAGAGAAATGCAGATCAAAACCACAATGAGATGCCATCTCACGCCATTTGGAATGGAGATCATTAAAAATTCAAGAAACAACAGATGATGGAGAGGATGTGGAGAAGAAATAGGAACACTTTTACATTGTTGGTGGGAGTGTAAATTAGTTCAACCATTGTGGAAGACAGTGTGGTGATTCCTCAAGGATCTAGAACTGGAAATACCATTTGACTTAGCAAACCCATTGCTGGGTATATACCCAAAGGATTATAAATCATGCCACTATAAAGACACATGCACACGTATGTTTATTGCGGCACTATTCACAATAGCAAAGACTTGGAACCAGCCCAAATGTCTATCAATGATAGACTGGATTAAGGAAATGTGGCACATATACACCATGGAATACTATGCAGCCCTAAAAACGGATGAGTTCATGTCCTTTGCAGGGACATGGATGAAACTGGAAACCATCATTCTCAGCAAACTATCACAAGGACAGAAAACCAAACACTGCATGTTCTCACTTATAGGTGGGAATTGAACAATGAGAACACCTGGACACAGGGTGGGGAACATCACACACTGGGGCCTGTCGGGGGGTGGGAGACTGGGGGACGGATAGCATTAGGAGAAATATCTAATGTAAATGACAAGTTGATGGGTGCAGCAAACCAACATGGCACATGTATACCTATGTACCAAACCTGCACATTGTGCACATGTACCCTAGAACTTAAAGTATAATAAAAAAATAAAAATAAAAAACAGCAACAAAAAAAATCTAAAAAAAAAAAAAAAAAAAAAGAGAGGACCTCCTGTGAGGGCTGTGGGTAGCTTCAGCCCCTCCCTGTTACACCGCAGCGTTCGCGTGGAGGTCACACTCTTCTTGAGCTGCCCTCACCAGTGACTGAGCACCAGGAGGACACTACAGTCCCGAAGCCTGAGGCTCTTCCTGCCCAATCCTTCCTCCCCTTCTCTCTTCTTTGGTGGCAGACCTGCAGCAGGGTCTGAGACTTTCTGGGCCTGCTCCTATTCCCTCACTCCTTTATCCTTCTTAGATGTTTCTTCCAATTAGTCTTTTGTATGTCTAATTTTGTCTTAGCGTCAGCTTCCTGGAAGGCCCAACCTGACATTTCTTTGTTCTCAGGACCCTGACATAATGGAGATGGAACAACCTCTGAAGGTTGTTGTGAGGATTAAATGAGGTATTGTTGAGAAAGGCTTAGCAGAAGGCCAGCACAGAGGAGGAGCTTAGTGATATTATTCCCCAGGTGAGCAGGTGGAGAATGGTATCTGTCAGATGTCAGTTTCATTAGCTGTTGCAACCCAGTGGACTGTCCCTGAATACCTGTCCCCTGGGAGTTTCTTCAGGAATAAGGGACTCAAAATTGGAAATGGGAAGCCCTGGGAAGATGCATCCCAGGCCCTCAGGGAGTGAGCATACGACCTCTGGAAGAAACTCCTGGTTTTGGGGAGGTCCTAGTGCGGAGGGGGAGAAGCCCAAATGGGAGGCTTTGAGCTTTATCCCTCACTGACAACAGCACCGGCCACTCGCTGTAGCTTGGAGGAGAGAGCCAAGGGCAGCAGAACATGGTGAACCTGGGCGTCAGAGTAAAATCCCAGCTCTGCCATTTACTACCTACCCACCAGGGCTGCTGTTAGATTTAAGATGCTAAAGATAGAATGCTGAGCACAGAGTGAATGTCTAAGACCTACTAGTTCCACTCCCCTCCCCGATACCATTTTCATTCTACCGTTCTTGTAACTACTCTGGGTTTGAGAATTATGGCAGGAGACTGTGCTAAGGAGCCAAAGTCTAATCTCTGGATTGCTGAGAATAAAAGGAAGGTCTGGGGAAAGAAAGGAGGGAGGGCAAGTGGGCATGAAGAAGAACAGAGCTTTCATTAGGCAAGTGTTTATGGGCAACCCCCACGTGCCAGGCTCTCTGCTGGGTGTTGGGTTATGCAGGTGATTAGGACACAGGCACTGTTCTTAAGGAGCTCAGGTGCTGAAGGGGAAGTTACTGTTGTGGACTAACTGGTCTGTAAGTCGTACATGGGGTCCCGTACCACAGGCAGGCACAGAGCTTGGCAGCAGTGCGACCCTGGACAGAATTGTTTGTGAAACGTCTCCCCTTCCAGACGAAGTTATTATAGCTCTTGTGATTTTGTGTGGTGCCTAGATTTCCCCCGTTGTACACTCAGTTCAGGAGTACTTACTCAAGTCTCACTCAAGGGCATGGGGACCCCAAACACCTTGTTCATGTGCACCCCAGGGCCCAGCACACTGTAGGCAGATGTGTGTTGACTGAGTGGTCTTCAGTTTCCTTATTTTAAGATGAAGATAATGTTGATCTTAACAGGCTGTTGTGTGGATTAAATGAAGTAATGTTTATCAAGTGTAAATCGCCTTCCAAATGTTATTATTGTAGACTTTTCAAATTGGTGCAGTCTCTTGTGGATTAAGCCAGTGACTTGAGCAGTCATTCTATACCTTCCTCATGGCTATTTTGAAGATTAAATAAATTAATATAAATAAAATGCTTAGAACAAGGCTTATCACATCACAAACACTCAAAAAGTGTTAGCTAAATCAACAAGGATAAAATTTCAGGTATGCAAGATGATTAAGTTTTAGAGATCTCTATATAGGTGTAGTATATAGTTAATACTGCTGTATTGTGTACTGGAAAATCCATTAAGAGGGTAGGTCTTATGTTAAGTGTTCTTTTTTTTTTTTTTTTGAGATGGAGTCTCACTCTGTCGCCCAGGCTGGAGTGCAGTGGTGCGATCTCAGCTTGCTGCAACCTCCACCTCCCGGGTTCAAGCAATTCTCCTGCTTCAGCCTCCTCAGTAGCTGGGACTACAGGCATGCGCCACCATGCCCAGCTAATTTGCGTACTTTTAGTAGAGATGGGGTTTTACCATGTTGGCCAGGCTGGTCTTGAACTCCTGGCCTCAAGTAATCTGCCCGCCTAGGCCTCCCAAAGTGCTGGGATTACAGACATGAGCCACCGCGCCTGGCACGTGTTCTTGCCACAATTAAAAACAAACAAACAAACAAACAAACAAATGTAAAGGAAAAAATATAAGTAAGAAAAAATCGAGGCAGTGTTACAGCTTGTCAGAGTGCTCAGAACAAATGCTGTATAACTTCTAGAATTTATCATCTACATTGGTTTATAACCATTTACTATTTCAAAAGTGGTGACAAAAGGTGGTGGTGGGAGATATTAGGTACTTTAAGTATTATCTTCGTTGCCATTCTTCGGTGTCATTTTACCCATTCGAATTCTGAGGTTCAGAGAACTGAAGCCCCTTGCTCGGATTGCAGAGCCTCTCCCCCTTGTACCCGGGAGACTGTTCCTAGTGGCTGTTCTGGGACATTCTCAGAGCGGTTCGCCAGGTGGCGCTCTTCCCCCGGGATAGGATCCGGCCAAGACCCACCCCGCGGCAGACGCTAGCCCTTCCTCACTGCAAGAACCTGGCGTTCTACAGCCAGCAGGGGTTTTGAGCGTGTCTAAGCTCTCATTTTAGAGGGAGAGAAATAAAGCTCTGCGAGAGTATGTCCCTGGGCTCAGAGCCACCCACAGGCTCCAGGTGGTGCTGGGGCGGAGTCCCAGTTTATCCAGTGACGAATCCCATTTGCCTCTTACCTCCCTGCGGCATCCTGACCTAGCTCCCCACGCCCACCTGAGCCCCTTCCTTGCAGACACCATGTCATGCCTGGCTGCAGCTGGGCAGAGCGAAGTGCTTCTCTGCCGAGCTGTCGCAAAGCTCCACTATCTAGGAGTAGAGCGAGTGTTTGGGAGCAGGGCAAGCGTTTAGGCAGGCTGGGGAGGGGTGAGGGGGATACCCAGGGACGCACCCTCCCGTTTCTCATTCGTCTCTAGCTGCAGTCAGAAGCAGTGTATGCACTGCTAAGGCCAGGGCCCCTGGAGTCAAACTGCCTTCGCGGAAACCCTTGGCCTCCCCTTACCCAGCAGTGGGCCCTGGGGGCTCACTAAGTTTCCCATCTCTAAAATGGGAATAGTAATACTTACCTCATTGGGTCACCGTGGGGACTCGGTGAACGTACATAAGGCACTGAGGACGGTTGTAAGCACATGATAAGCACAATAAAAATGTTAGCTCTCGGCAAGACGACTCACCAGCACCCTACCTGGATAGAAGAGTTTAGGTGAGAATTTCAGGATGATTCATCATACTCCTCGCCTATTCACTCACCCCACAATATCCTTTCAGAGTAACAACTGCCGTTTATTGGCAGTTATGCCAGGCAGTATGCGAAACCTGTGATTTCCATGATCTCAATTAATCCGCAGATCAACCCTGTGAAGTAGGTACTATTATTGTTCCTCTCTCATGGTTGAGGCTTACACAAGATTAAGTCATTTATCCCAGGTCACGCAGTTAATGACAGAAGTGCGTCCCACGCTCATTCCTGTCTGGTGCCAAAGATGAAGCTTTTTACTACTACTCAATATTCTACCTCCTCTTGAAGCCAGTTAAAAACAACAAACACAGCCCCTCAACAAACACAGGCTCCCAAAGGAGCCACAGGCATCAGCCGTGCTCACTGTAATTCTACAGGACCCACCCCTTACAGAAACCATGGTCTGTAGAGTGAGATTTCTTTCTGCTCTTACGTGGCACAAAAGAGAGAATTTTACAGATGTCTCCCTGCTCCCCTGCAAAGTGCTTTGACTGACACAGAGGCCTCTACACATTAAAGCTAAGTTAGCCATGGAGCCTTTAAGGGCCACCTTCCCCTCTTCCTGTTTCTTCTGAACCTCAAGGCCACCCATCTGGGCAGGCGGGGGACCTGCATCTCAGGCATGTGCGTTAACTTAACTTCTGGGCCATCCCGGATGTAATGCAAGGGCTCAGTGACTCAGGCCAGTCTATCTGGGATTTGTCCTCTCTTGGCATGTGAGAGTCTGTGCAGCATTGACATCTTTTGGCCATGAATGAAACAACAGGAACCAACCTACAAATGCAGAATCCCAGAAAGTCAGGGCCGGAAGAGGCTGTAGGAAGTTAAAAAACGAAACTTCACCAAGGGAAGGGTCTTGATGAGGATCACATTGAGAGGAAGGAAGGTGACCAGATTTAAGCCCTTTTTTAACTTCCATACCTTCCTGGTACCCTCTGCTCCCAGAGGTGCTGAGCTGGGAGGGGTGGGAGTGGGCAGCCAGGTTGCTAAGCTTGTGCATTCAGTCAGGTGTCTCTTTCTTCCCCTCCCCAGCATGTGATTATCCTCTAAAACAAGACTTCTCAACCTCAGCATAGCCCAGACATTTAGGGTTGGATCATTCCTTGTTGTGGCAGCGGTCCTGTGCATTGTCTGATGCTGAGCACAATATTTGTCCACTACCCACCACCCACTGGTTTCCAGTAACACTTCCTTCTCCCACTCTGTTGCATGACAACCAAAAATGTCTTCAAACATCATGAAATATCTCCTGGGGGACAAAATTTCTCCCCTCTCTCCCTTCTGTTGAGAACCACTACTCCAAAAGCAGACTCCTTCCTCCTTCCCTTCCTGGAACACATCTTAAGAGCTTGGTATATGCCATGCTTTGCTGGCTCATGAATCAAGCCCTGGCTCTGTCCTTAAACAATTCAGAGTCTAGCTGAGGAGACAAGGCCCACACAGGTGGCAAAGATGGGAAGCCTCTCCACAGAGACAAGGGCGAGGTGCCCAAAGGAGCACAGGGGCAGATGCCTCACTGTCTGGGGAGATGTGAGGAAGCGTCACAGAAGGACAGATGGCAATTTCTCAGGCAGGCAAGGTGGGTAAAGGACATTCCAGGCAGAAGAAATGGAATGTACAAAGGTAAAGAGTTGTGAAGTGTGAAGTTTTGGGGAAAAATATTTTAGTATGACTGTACTCCAGAGTGCACATGAGGAGAGATTAAGGAAAGGGGCTGGAGAGTCAGGCAGCACAAGTTGATGATAGTGTTGTTGGTGGTGGTGATGATGGTGGTGATGATGAAGATGATGATGGTGGTGGTGACGATGGTGGCTAACACATATAGAGCACTTAGCGTATGCCAGACATTGTTCCAAGTATTTCTCATACATTATCTCTTAATTTTCATGGCAATCCTTTGAGGAAGGTGCTATCATTACCTCAGTTTACATATGGGAAAAATGTTGCAGAGAGATGAAGTAACATGCCAAAGTCACATAGCTTGTGAAGGTTCCTTGTGAGCCCTGAGAAATTTGGCTATGGAGAGCTAAGGGTGTTTGTTTGTTTTTGAGATAGAGTCTCACTCTGTCGCCCAGGCTAGAGTGCACTGGTGTGATGTTGGCTCACCGCAACCTCCGCCTCCCAGGTTCAATCTCCTGCCTCAGCCTCCTGAGTAGCAGGGATTACAGGTGTGTGCCACCATGCCTGGCTAATTTTTGTATTTTTAGTGGAGATGGGGTTTCACCATGTTGGCCAGGCTGGTCTCGAACTCCTAAGCTCAGATGATCCACCTGCCTCAGCCTCCCAAAGTGCTGGGATTACAGGCGTGAGCCACCTCACCTGGCCGAGCCAAGGATCTTAAGTAGAGCAGCAACATGATCAGTGTTTCAGTTATTTTTAGCTGTATAATAAACCACCAAAAACGTACTTGCCTACCACCAGCGTTTTATGATAGCTCATGATTCTGTGGGTTGGCTGGGGCTCAGCTGGGTTGTTCTTCCACTAGTCTGGCTTTTGCAGTGGCAGTAACATGGTGGATGGGGATGCTAGTTGGGGCTGGATGTCTACTATCTTGAAGTTTCTTTTCTTTTCTTTTCTTTTTTTTTTTTTTTTTGGGACGGAGTCTCGCTCTGCCACCAGGCTGGAGTGCAGTGGCGCGATCTTGGCTCACTGCAGTCTCCGCCTCTCGAGTTCAAGCAATTCTCCTGCCTCAGACTCCCGTGTAGCTGGGACTACAGGCATGCACCAGCATGCCCAGCTAATTTTTTGTATTTTAGTAGAGACAGGGTTTCACTGTGTTGGCCAGGATGATCTTGATCTCCTGACCTCGTGATCCATCCGGCTCGGCCTCCCAAAGTGCTGTGATTACAGGTGTGAGCCACCATGCCCAGCCATCTATTTTCTTTTTTTTTTTTTTTTTTTGAGATGGAGTCTCACTCTGTCACCCAGGCTGGAGTGCAGTGGCATGATCTCAGCTTACTGCAACTTCTGCCTCCCTGGTTCAAGCGATTCTCCCACTTCAGCCTCCCGAGTAGCCAGGATTACAGGTACCCACCACCACGCCCGGCTAATTTTTCTATTTTTAGTAGAGATGGGGTTTCACCATGTTGGCCAGGCTGGTCTCAAACTCCTGGCCTCAAGTGATCTGCCTGCCTCGGCCTCCCAAAATGCTGAGATTACAGGCATGAGCCATGCCACCTGGCCTTAATGTTTTTTCATGTGGCTGCTATTTCTCTCTCTATCTAAATCCTTCTAGGTCTTTCCCTGTGACCACTCTCTCCAGCAGAGTAGCCCGTCCTTGGTGGCTCAAGCTGCCAGGCCTTCTTAATGCCTAAACCTGAAAGTCCCAGGACATCATTTCCTCTGCATTGTACTGGTCAAATGGTTACAAGATTTATGGAAAGGGTACATAGGATCCATTTCTGGTAGAAGGAGGGGCATGTGCATACAGGGAGGGGTGGAATTGTTTGGCCATCTTTGGATACTAGCTATCACAGCCAGATTTTTATAGGGAAGAATGTTCTGGCAGCATTATGTAGGGTGTTTTGAAGAGAGCAAGACTAAAGACATGATGATGAATTATGAAGTCATGGATAATTCTAGTTGAGTTAGTCAGCTAGCTTCTCTTTTTCCTTCTGTTACTGTGGAAAGACCAGAGTAATTATGTTTTAATAGTAATAATAATAAAACAATAATCCTACTAACCTACATTTCTTGAGCACATACTGTGTGCCAAGCACTATGGTAAGTACATTTCTCCACAATTTAATACAGTTATCTCACGAGATATATATATTCCTATTTTATCTTTCAGAAAACTGAGGTCAAGTGTATTAGTGTGCTAAGGCTGCCATAACTGTAAGTACTACTGACTAGGTGGTGTAAGCAACAGACATTAATTTTCTCACAATTCTGGATGCTAAAAGTCCAAGATCAAGGTGTCAGCAGGGTTGGTGTCTTCTGAGGCTTATCTCCTTGGCGTGTAGGTGGCCTTCTTATTCCTTGGTCTTCACATAGTCTTCCTTCAATGCACATCTATGTCCTAATTTTCATACTCTCTTTCTCTTTTTTTTTTTTTGAGACTGAGTCTCACTCTGTTGCCCAGGCTAGAGTGCAGTAGTGCCATCTTGGCTCACTGCAACCTCTGCCTCCTGGGTTCTAGCGATTCTCGTGCCTCAGCCTCCTGAGTAGCTGGGACTACAGGCACACGCCACAATGCCCAGCTAATTTTTGCATTTTTAGTAGAGATGGGGTTTCACCACGTTGGCCAGGCTGGTCTCGAACTCCTGACCTCAAGTGATCCATCTGCCTCGGGCTCCCAAAGTGCTGGGATTATAGGCGTGGGTCACCGTGCCTGGCCCTAATTTTCTCTTTTTTTTAAGGAAACAGGTCATGTTGGATTAGGGTCCACCTGAATGACCTTATTTTAATTATCTTGTTAAAAGACTCTGTCTCCAAATTTAGTCACATTCTGAGGTACTAGGAGTTAGGATTTCAACATGTGCATTTTGGAGACACACAATTCAGCCTATAATATTATGTAATTAGTTTATCCTCATGTAGATAATAGGTGGGAAGTCAGACTTTAACCCAAATTTGCCTGACTTCAAGCTCCTGCTATTAACTACCCTGTATATTATTCTTACCCACAAGTGTCTTTAGTTTTTGCCCCAAGCAGGAAAATAGCAAGGTGGAGGAGGACACTGGGCCTGCATAGCTTTGTATTTAGGACATAGCTCTTTCTAACCTGAGGAACAGGGCTTGGATTCCAGTTATGTGTTCTGTGTCTGTTAACCCGTAACTCAATCATAATGATCTTTTTGGAAGGACAGTGAAAGGCAGCAGGGATTTGCTTGAACCCAGGAGTTCAAGACCACCCTGGGAAACATAGTGAGACCTTGTTTCTACAAAAAATAAAGAAATTAGCTGGGTGCGGTGGTGCACACCTGTAGTCCCAGCTACCTTGGAGGCTGAGGTAGGAGGATCACTTGAGTCTGGGAGGTTGAGTCTGCAGTAAGCTGTGATTGCACCACTGTACGCTAGCCTGGGTGACAGAGCAAGACCCTGTCTCAAAAAACAAAAACAAAAACAAAACTAAAGGTGGTAGAGGTGGCATATCCTGATGGATATGGTTCCATAATAGGGGATGATAATAATCACTAATACTTCAGGGATGTGTGCTGTGTGCTAGGCACAATGTTAAGTGCTTTACACATGTTATTCTCACAATAAATCTATTTGGTAGTATTATGTTTCCTATTTTACATATGGGGAAACTGAGGCAGGGTGGTGAGTTAACCTGCCCAAATTCATTCTGCTGATAAGAAGTGGCAGAGCCAAGCTGAGCATTCAGGCAATCTGAATCCAGAACCTGTACTCTTAACTATTATGCTTCCACACTGCCTCTGGGGACCCAGTGAAGAATGAATATGTACCATTTCTACAAAAAGAATCTAAGTCAGAGAAGACTCATTAGGCTTCCCTTACTCTGCCAAGATGGCTACCATTCCTCCATCTGTTTTCCATCTTCTAGAAATGAATGGGATAAATGGCCAATAAGCACATGAAAAGATGTTCAACATTACTAATCCCTAGGGAAATGCAAACTGAAGACACAGTGAGACACCACCAACATCCATTAGGATGACTATTATCAAAAACAGAAAACAATAAGCATTGGCCTGTGTGTGGAGAAACTGGAACCCTTGCGCATTGCTGTTGGGGATGTAAAATGGTACAGCCATTATGGAAAACAGTATGATTGTTCCTCAAAAAATTAGATATAAAATCACCACATGATCCAGTAATTTGACTTCTGGGTATGTACACAAAAGAACTGAAAGTATGAACTTGAACAAATATTTAGATACTAATGTTCATAGCAGCATTCTTTGCAATAACCAAAAAGTGGAAACAGCACCAGACATCCATCAGTGGATGAATGGATAAAGAAAATGTGCTCTAAGTATACAATGAATATTATTCAGCCTCAAAAGGAAGGAATTCTGATAAATACAGCAAGTTGGATGAACCTTGAAGACATGATGTTAATTGAAATAAGCCAGGTACAAAAGGGTATATGTATATGATTCCTCTTACATGAAGTGTCTAGATTAGTCAAATACATAGAGAAAGTGGAATAGAGGTTACCAGAGGCTGGGGAAGAGGAGAATGGGGAGTTCGTGTTTAATGGGTACAGAGTTTCAGTTTGGGATGATGAAAATCTCCATTCTGGAGATGGATGGTAGTGATAGTTGCACAATGATATGAATATACTTAATGTCATTGAACTGTACACTTAAAAATGGTTAAAATGGTAAAATTTATGTTATGTGTATTTTACCACGATAGAAAAAAAGAGCTAAAAAATGGAAATCTCTTGCCCATTGTGACATTATTTTCCATTTTCCTTGTCTGTATGTCTTTTTATGCCTTTGCTGTCATTTTAGTGGGCTCTCAGGATGAAGAAATAAATGTGTGTGGTTAATCCACCAATCACAACGAATTCCCCTGAAATGTATTTTGCATGCCTGCTACCTGGATGGCACGATGCTAGAGTGTAGAGATATGGTAGGTTTTCATGTTGAGGAGAGGAAGAAAAACAGCAGGCACAACACTTCTTCAAAACTTCCATGCTGTAAAACAGTTTTGGTTCTGAGGTCACTAAAGAATGAAGAGAATAGATTTGCAGCAATATTTAATATATTTGCTGTCATCTTGTACTACAGTCCTAAGTTGCCATAGCAACAGACCAGAGCAGAAACTTCATTAGAGGAAGAGCTCCTTGGATTTTAACCCTGTTATTCAATCAGGCATGAGTGATGGGGAAGGCCATCAGATGGCACCCATAAGATCTTTTACTTTGATAAGCTGTATAATTAGCTAAATCTAATAAGCCTTTGTAACAAGTAAAACAACAACCCCAAACCTCACTTTTTGCATCTTTTCCAGAGTCAACAAGTAGCCAAAAGATTTCCTAGGAGTTTCCTTCGTGGAACTATTCAAAGCAATGCTAGCAATAATATTGGAGCATCCCATTCATCAACGAAGGGCAGGAAGGAACACTAACAGATTGATGATAGATAATAGCTTATTTTATTGGCATTTGGCATTTGGAAGAAGATGCCTGGCATAAGCAGGTCATCAAATAAAGAGATTACTGTGTAATAGTCAAGTCTGTGTCACAGGTGGGGGGAGCTGTTTCTTTGGAGAGGAGAAGGATGCCCTCCCAAACACACACACACACACACACACACACACACACACACACACACACACGAAAGCTTCAATAGCAATTTCAATGCAACATGCAGTGAGTTCATATTGCTAAGGGAATTTAGAATAAAATGTGGTCCGAATCAAGCAGGTGTGGGTGGTGGTCATTCCCACCAAGGATGGCTTGCAAGAATTGGTGTTTTTTTTTGTTTGTTTGTTTGTTTTTTTACTTTTATTTTAAGTTCCAGGATACATGTGCAGGTTTGCTACATAGGTAAATGTGTGTCATGGGAGTTTGTTTTATGGTTATTTCATCACTCAAGTATTAAGCCTAGTACCTATTAGTTATTTTTCTTGATCCTCTCCCTCCTCCCACCATCCACCATCTGATAGGCCCCAGTGTGTGCTGTTTCCCTCTATGTGACCATGTGTTCTCATCATTTAGCTCCCACTTGTAAGTGAGAACATGCAGTATTTGGTTTTCTGTTTCTGCACTAGTTTGCTAAGGATAATGGCCTCCAGCTCCATCCATGTCCCTGCAAAGGACATGATCTCATTCTTTTTTTGGCTGCATAGTATTCTATGGTGTGTATGGATCTCATTCTTTTTTATGGCTGCATAGTATTCCATGGTGTATACCACATTTTCTTTACCCAGTCTATCATTGATGGGCATTTACGTTGATTCCATGTCTTTGCTATTGGAATAATGCTGCAACAAATGTATGTGTGCATGTGTATTTATAAGAGAATGATTTATATTCCTTTGGGTATATAACCGGTAATGGGATTGTTGGGTTGAATGGTGTTTCTTTCTTTAGGTCTTTGAGGAATTGCTACACTGTCTTCTACAATGGTTGGGCTAATTTACATTCCCACCAACAGTGTGTGTTTCTTTTTCTCCATAACCTCTCCAGCATCTGTTATTTTTTGAATTTTTAATAGTAGCCATTCTGACTGATGTGAGATGATATCTCATTGTGGTTTTGATTTGCATTTCTCTAATGATCAATGCTGCTGAGATTTTTTTTCGTATGTTTGTTGGCTGCATGTATGTCTTCTTTTGAGAAGTGTCTGTTCATGTCCTTTGCCCACTTTTTAATGGGGTTGTTTGTTTTTTCTTGTAAATTTGTTACGTTCCTTATAGATGCTGGATATTAAACCTTTGTCGGATGCATGGTTTGCAAAAATTTTCTTCCATTCTTTAAGTCTGTTTACTCTGTTGATAGTTTCTTTTGTTGTGCAGAAGGTCTTTAGTTTAATTAGATCAGGACAGCAGTTTTAAGCAGAGTTTTGGAAAAAGAAAGAGTCACGTATTCTCGAGGAAGACAGATATTTCTGAGTCATTAAGATCTTACCATCAGTCCACATCCTCAGTTTGTCCGTTTGTGATTAAGTTGTACTCATTTCAAACATTTCCCCTTTACCAGCCTTCCAGGAGGCACCAGTCAGAGCAATCAAATGGAATCATCTCCTGGTGAAGTTACCCAGGCAAGTGGATATTTTCAGGTCTCTTTACCAACCCTGGAAAGGCCATTGTTTTGTTGACTCATTTTCCTCCCACAAAGGGTAACTTTGGAATTTAACTCTCCTATTTACAATACAGGTCTGTTTTACTGCAAATATTCTTTTATTGTGTTGCTCTCCCCTGGATGCAATTGTGATATAGTCAAACATATTTGAAATCAGCAGTGGGTGGGTTTTTTTTTTCATTTTCTTTTTTCTTTCTTTCTTTCTTTCTTTTTTTTTTCAGCTGCTAAATCTAAAGCCCTGAGCAAGGTACTGTACAGTTTACAAAGAAGAGTCAGATGCAGCCCCATTGTACTCTTAAGGGACAACAATAGAAGAAATGACAGAAGACAATCAGAGATTAATGACCAGATGAATGATATATACCAGGTGGTCCCAACCTGAGCTCCCAGGCTCCCAAGGGTCTTAGAGAGCAGTAATGGGGGGAGAAGGAAGGGGTGCTTATGAGCTATTTGCAGTACTTCAAAAAGACTAATCCAAAGAGCTCATATTTGCTAGATATTAGATGCACAGGCTAATTAAAAGAAAACATCAGGTTTCTTTGCTCGGGGCTAGAAACACCAGTTACCCCATGCTGACTGGAAGATCTGATTGGCAGTTACCGTTGTCTTTGATTAATAAAACATGAGAAAATGAATTAATTATTACTTGATAAATGTCTTTTATTTGATAGACAAAAAACATTTCAAAGCATGGGATTTGTGAAATGAGAATAATAAAATGTTTGCTTTGAGTGAAAAGAATAGGAATCAATGAGATGGACAATAAGTGACTATTTTGGAAGTGTAAGGTGGATAGAGAAGGCAGAGAAGGCTTCATGGAGGGCAGAAAAGGAAGGACTCACCCAAGCAGGGTTTTGAACGATGTATAGGATTGATCTATGCAGTGGTTCTCAACGTGTGGTCTCAATCAACAGCATCAGCCCCATCTGGGAACTCGTTAGAAATACAAATTCTTGGGCTTTGCCTACTGAGTCAGAAACTCAAAGGATGAGGCACAGCCATCTGTGTTCTAACGGGCCCTCTGGGGGATTCTGATGCACGCTACAGTTTGAGAACCAAAGATCTATGTCATTGTTTCTCAAAGTCTGAGATGCGAATGCAACAGTAGGTGATTCCAAGAGGTATCTGTTCAGCCTAAAAACAAAACAGAATCACTACCAAGAAAGTTATTTCCTTTTCCAATCTCTTATGCCTTCTGTTAACATCATGGGAAAACACTCAGTTTGATCCTAGTAGGGCTTTAATGAGAAACAGCCACATCTCTTTTTCTTTTGGACAAAGAGAAGAGGCTCTATTTAGTTTCTGGGCTTTGGCTGGCAATAGAACTTAAGTTGAGTGTGATAATTTGGCTCACTCTGTCTTACATTTATTTTTACAGTTGCCTTCTTTTTTTTGGCAAGTGAAACTAATTTTCCATTTGCTGAAAGGGTATAAACTATTTTTTATGAAAATCTTATTTATATAAAAATCTGATTCGATTTAAAGAAGAAAGGTAAATAGTAGTGCCAGAGGTATGTAGAAATGGAAAACATAATAAAGACACTGAGTGAATGAAATTTGTGAAATATATTTAAGACAACAAATGTGTGTGCGTGTGTGTGTGTGTGTGTGTGTGTGTGTGTGTGGTGTTGATGCATGAATGGATGCATTTGTATTTGTCCTTGCTTATTGATTGTTTTTTGGGAGAATAGACCATAGATATATACACCATTGCAGCAAATACAAGAGCAAGGAAAAAAGTATCCAAATAAAATGTATTCCAGGCTACAACCTGTGACCCGTTGGTGGAAGCAGTGCTCAGTATAACGAAATCCTGTACAGCAAAGGGACTCACATGGTACTTTGTGCCAGTTGTGCCAGGATTTTGTGATACCTTATCTCCTTAAATACAGGGCTGCTGAGATGTAATGAGAGCGGGAACACAGGTTTTGTAATCTCTTCAGGCAAATAAGAAAACGCTTGTGGAATAGGTGACAATTCGCAGCATGCTTTCACCATACCATGTTCATTGAGATGCTTTTCATCACTTTACTTTGAGTCAGAAAGTGCCGAGATGAATTGATCATGTATACACATCAATGTGAGCCTGCATGCTACAGGAAGGAGTTATTCAGGGGGGAATTTTATTGCACTCCTTTTCCTCTTAATATTTTATTTATCGGTAAAGTGTGATTAAAAAGAATATAAAGGGCATCCTCCAAGGCAATGCCTCTCTTTTTTGACCTCAGCACATAAAACACATTTTATAGCTTAGCCCAGAACACACGTACACACACACACCATCACCACTACCACCACAACAAAAGTTTTGTGAAATAATACACATCCTTATAGCAAGATATATACTCTGAGAGTTTTCATTCTATTTTAGCTCATTAAAAATGATTTCCCATCTTGCTAGTGGTCTCATTAGCTGTTAGGAAAGCATTGCTCTGACTCACGGCTCTGGGAGTTTAGTGTGCATAAGGTTTACTTGCAAGCTTGTTAAAATTGTGGGTCTTGAGAATTCCCCCCTTCTAACACTCACTCCCTAGGGATACTGATTCAGTAGGTTTGGGGTATAGCTTGGATCTGCAAGTTTTGATAAGTGAGTTAGAGGATTCTGAAGAGGGTAGAGCTTGGACCACACTTTGAGAAACACTACTTGAAAGGAAACAATAATATAAAAAACTTTATGAACCTTGTGATCTGAATTTGGAAGTCCCTCCATTACCTACTGGATAAGGTTCGAATGTCAAATGACATTTAGGGCCCCTCATTGCCTAGTCCCTACTGAGCTTTTCAGGTGCATCTCCAGCTCCAATCTTGCTGTCCCCCCACACACCTGTCCTATGTAACCAAACAACATCAGACCATTCATCATTTACATAGCACATACTTTGATGTGGACTTTCATTTCTTGCAGTATGGCAGAAAAGATACCTTGACTTATCCTCCTGTTGTAAACAACTAAAAATTCTGGATAACATTTAAAACCATTAAAAATATGTTAGTGAGCTAGCAAGTTATGAAGAAATACTCAGAGGCCAAAAATGAAGAAAGGTAAGCAGGGCCCCAAACTGGCTTGTGTTTGCTTCATAGACACTTGCTGAACTGGGTGATGGTGGTTTTTTTTTTAAGACCGAGTCTTGCTCTGTCGCCCAGGCTGGAGTGCAGTGGCACAATCTCAGCTCGCTGCAACCCCTGCCTCCTGAGTTCAAGCGATTCTCCTGTCTCAGCCTCCTGAGTAGCTGGGACTACAGTTGTTTACCATGACACCCGGCTAATTTTTGTATTTTTAGTAGAGACAGGGTTTCTTCACCATGTTGGCCAGGCTGGTCTCAAACTCCTGACCTCAAGTGATCTGCCTGCCTCAGCCTCCCAAAGTGCTGGTATTACAGGCATGAGCCACCATTCCCAGCCTGAACTGGGTGAGTTTTGAGCTTTGGTTTTTTTCATTGTCTCAGTTACGGGAGACAGAAGATGAAGCCCAGAACCTGTCCAAGGTAAGGGTCTAATAGGACCCCTCCCATAAAGTTATGTCCTTAAATAGCCAAGTGTAATGGTAATTTAGTGTGAGGGTGATTTGGAAATAAATCTGTCACCTAAAGGATAAAAACAATTGTCTGTCTTGAACATCGGGGCTGGTTGTAGGGCCCCCCCAAAAAAAATCTCTGAGAATTTGTAACTACAAGTAAACTGTTACGAGGATCTATAACATGAATTCACACAACCAAAGTGATGTTAGACTAGTAGTGTTCTTAAGATGCCTAGCAGAAACAAATGCATATCCCATAGAAGAACTTGTCTTTTCCCAGATCTCAAGGAATTCATTTTGATGAAGTTTTAAGAGATTTCAATTCATGGTGAAAAATTACAGGGAAGCAAGGCAACAAGTATTGAGCCAGCAGAAACAACAGATAGCAGAATCAGATCCATGGAGACTGCAGATGGTATAATTATCAGTCACAGAATATAAAAGAAGTATTCGAATATGTTAAAAGAAATCAGAAATAAAATTGTGAATAAAGAATTAAACTAGGTAAACTAGGCCAGGCATGCTGGCTCACGCCTGTAATCCCAGCGCTTTGGGAGGCTGAGGTGGGTGGATCACTTGAGGTCAGGGGTTCTAGACTACCATGATCAACGTGGTAAAACCCCATCTCTACTAAAAAATACAAAAAATTAGCCAGGCTTGATGGCGCATGCCTGTAGTCCCGGCTACTTGGGAGGCTGAGGCAGGAGAATCGCTTGAATCCAGGAGGTGGAGGTTGCAGTTAGCCAAGATCACGCCACTGAACTCCACCTTGGGTGACAGAGCGAGACTCCATCTGAAAAAAAGAAAGAATTAAACTGGAAAAATGACAATGTGTGGCCAGGCATAGTGGCTCATACCTGTAATCCCAGCACTTTGGGAGGCTGAGGTAAGAGAATCACTTGAGCCCAGGAGTTCAAGACCAGCCTGGGCAAAATAGTGGAACCCCTGTCTCTACAAAAAATTTAAAAAATTAGCTGGGTGTGGTGACATGCACTATAGTCCCAACTACTTGGGAGGCTGAGACAGGAGGATTACTTGAGCCCAGGAGTTGGAGGCTGCAGTAAGCTCTGATCACACACTGTACTCCAGCCTGGGTGACAGAGTGAGAACTTGTCTAAAAAAAAAAAAAAGACAAAGTGAATTTTATAAAAATAACTTCTACAAATGAAAAATTATAGATTCCACAGTTAATTAGACAAGTTGAGAAGAGAATTAGTAACCTAGGGGAGAGTTCTGGAACAATATCTAGAGCTCTGGAAGATAGAATGAAACAAGGCTGGATGTGGTGGCTCATGCCTGCAATCCCAGCACTTTGGGAGGCTGAGGTGGGCAGATCATCCGAGATCAGGAGTTTGAGACTAGACTGGCTAACATGGTGAAACCCGTCTCTACTAAAAATATGAAAATTAGCCAGGTGTGGTGGTGTGTGCCTGTAATCCTAGCTACTTGGGAGGCTGAGGCAGGATAATCACTTGAACCTGGGAGGCAGAGGTTGCAGTGAGCCGAGGCTGCGCTATTGCACTCCAGTCTAGGCAACAAGAAGTGAAACTCTGTCTCCAAAGAAAAAAAAAAAAAAAAAACAAAGATAGAATGAAACAATTCAATATTGCTTTATTGAATATTGAAATGTATAATTAGTATTCCATAAGAAGAGGAGACAAAGAATGTGGAGATAATATTTGAACAGGTAGTGGTTAAGAATTTTTCAGTACTGGTGAAAGATACCTGTCCATACATTCAGGAAGCCCAGTAAATCTCAAGTAAGATAGATTAAAAAAAAATTCACACCTACATACATCACAAATGAAACTTCAGAACATCAAGACAAAGAAAAGATCTTAAAGCAATCAGAGTGAAAGACAGATGACCTCTAAAGAACGATGATTATTCTGACAGTTGTCTTCTCAATGGCAATAATACAAACCACTAATGAGTCTTAAAAAAATTAAAATTTTCATGTATTTAGGGGGTACAAGTGCAGGTTTCTTGCATATATGTATTGTATAATGTTGAAGTCTGGGCTTTTAGTGTACCCATCACTCGAATAGTGAACATTGTACCCAATACACAGTTTTTCAACGCTTACTGCACCTCACCCTCCTGCCTTTTATAGGCTCCACTGCCTATTATTTCACTCTGTGAGTTCATGTGTGGCCATTGTTTAGCTCCCACTTCTAAGTGAGAACATGGGAGAAACCACTAAAATATCTTACATATGCTAAGGGAAAATCACTGTGAATGTAGGATTATATATGCAACAAAAATATTATTCACCAGGAAGTGGAAAAACATTTTCAGGCAAAATCTGAGAGAACTCGTCACCAGTAGACTCTTTCCAAGGGAAATTCTAAAGAATATACTTTAAGCAGAAGGAGGACTAAAATGCAAGAAGAAATGAGGATCAAAAGAGTGTTAATGTGCTGGGGTGTGGTGGTTCACGCCTGTCATCCCAGCAGTTCACGAGGGTGAGGTGGGAGGATCGCTTGAGCCAAGGTGTTCAAGACCAGCCTGGGCAACATGGTGAAACCCTGTCTCTACTAAAACTACAAAAATTAGCCAGGCATGGTGGCACCTGCCTGTAGTCCCAACTAATCAGGAGGCTGAGGTAGGAAGATTGCTTGAGCCCAGGAGGTCGAGGCTGCAGTGAGCCATAAATGCAGTACTCCAATCCAGCCTGGGTGACAGAGCTAGACCCTGTCCCAAAAAAAAAAAAAAAAAAAAAAAGAGTGTCAGTGTGTGGACAAGGCAAACGAGTATTACCTCTAGAAGATAATAACGATGTCCTGAAAGATTAAAAAAACACAAGATAGCCTAGGGGCGGTGGCTCACGCCTGTAATCCCAGCACTTTGGGAGGCTGAGGCAGGCAGATCATGAGGTCAGGAGATCGAGACCATCCTGGCTAACACAGTGAGACCCCGTCTCTACTAAAAATACGAAAAATTAGCCGGGTGTGGTGGCGGGCGCCTGTAGTCCCAGCTACTCAGGAGGCTGAGGCAGGAGAATGGCGGGAACCCGGGAGGCGAAGCTTGTAGTGAGCCGAGATCGCGCCACTGCACTCCAGCCTGGGCGACAGAGCGAGACTCCGTCTCAAAAACAACAACAACAACAACGACAAAAACAAAATAAATAAAGTGACTAAAGTTAGGAGTCATAGTCTTTATTTTTCATGGGGTTATTTTTAAGGTACTGATCAATCTTGGATTTAAAAAAAAATAGAGATGGGGTCTTGCTGTGTTGCCCAGGCTGGTCTGGAACTCCTGGTCTCAAGTGATCCTCCCACCTCAGCCTCCCAAAGTTCAGGGATTATAGGTGTGAGCCACCGTGCCCAGCCAACCTTGGATTTTGGTATGTATCCATGTTAACATTTCTAAAATAGTGTGTGTTGGGGGGCATGCTGGAAGAAATCTTTCCTCACCCATTACCAGGTTCAAGGTTGAGGCCTCTATAACAAAAGACAGATAAACGAGAAGAAAGTATACAGATCTATTCATTATAAGTGTTGTGTGACACAGGAGCCTTCAGAAATGAAGACCAAGACACAGATAAATGTGTGTGTGTGTGTGTGTGTGTGTGTGTGTGTGTGTGTGTGTGTGTGTTTGAGATAGGGTCTCGCTTTGTCACCCAGGCTGGAGTGCAGTGGCATGATCACAGCTCACTGCAGCCATGATCTCCCAGGCTCAGGCAGTCTACTCACTTCAGCCTCCCAGCAGCTGGGACTACAGGTGCACGTCACTAAGCTGAGCTAATTTTTAAACTTTGTTTTTAGTAGAGAAGAGATCTCACTGTATTGCCCAGGCTGGTCTCTTGGGATTGAGTTTAATCGATCCTCCCACCTCAGCCTCCCAAAATGCTGGGATTACAGGAGTGAGCTATTGCACCTGGCCAACTTCTGTATTTTAATGCTTAGGTTTGTTTTTCATTTAACTTTTTTTTTTTTTTTTGAGGTGGGGCGTCACTATGTTGCCCAGGCTGGACTTTGAATAACTCCTAGGCTCAAGTAATCTGCCTGCCTCAGCTTCCTGAGTAGTTGGGACTACAGGCACATGCCACCACAACTGGTTTTATGCTTAGGTTTGATGAAGAGTGGACAGATACGGACAAGTATGGTTGTGGAACAAGTAAGTGTGAGATCTAATGGTAATAAACTGGGGGAAACTTAGCAAGGCCTGTTTGTTCAGATTCTTTTCTGCATCCCTGTGTCTTCAGAGATGAGGACATTTTTTTTCCTCCAGGTATAGGGAGGATACCTCTCAAATATGAGTCTCCTCACAGGTAGGTTGGAGAATTCTTTTATGGCCTGCTTTAGAAGAGAAAAGCGGGGTCAGAGAGACCTTCCTGCTTCTGCTGTTTTCTCAAATGCCAAGGTGTCATATTTTAGAGCAGCAAGTTCTGAGCCCCATCATTAATCACTAAAACAATAGAATGGTGGCCATCTCTTCGCTACACAGCCTGCCACTCTAACGTCAGTGGACCCTGGTGCTTCGGTCTGTGCTTCTGGACAGTAGGATGGTCTGCCCACATAGGGAGAAGTATTTTAGCCCTGGTTTTGTTGGGAATTGCCAGTATGTGATAACAATGAAAGCATATAAACTTCTAGTGGATTTTGTCCTCTTCACTCCCCTAACTCTTGCACTGTTCCTAGATTTTCACTGATTACTTTTCCCTTTCCAAGTAGTGATCCCTGTGAGGTCTGGTTATTCAGTTTGCAGATATCTGGCTCTTAGCTTCTTTTGCTTAATCTTCTTCAGGTCATTTCCTTAATCAACAGCATTACCTTAGGGCAGTGGTTCTAAAAGTATGTGCCACAGACCCCTGGAGTTCCCCAAGGTCCTGTCGAGGTCCTCAAGATCAGACCCATTTTTTTTTTTTTTTTTTTTGAGGCAGACTCTCATTCTATTGCCCAGGCTGGAGTGCAGTGGTGTGATCTTGGCTCACTGCAGCCTCAACTTCTCAGGCTCAAGTGATCCTCCTGTGTCAGTCTCCCGAGTAGCTGGGACTACTACAGGTGCATGACACCATGCCCAGATAATTTTTGTATTTTTTGTAGTGATGGGATTTTATCACGTTGTTCAGGCTGGTCTCAAACTCCTGAGCTCAAATAATCCATCCGATCAGCCTTCTAAAATGTTGGGATTACAGGCATGTACCACCACACCCAGCCCAGAACTATTTTTATATTAATACTAAGACCATTACTTGCCATTTCACTGTGTTGACTTTCGCACGAATGGTGCAAAAGCAATGGTAGCTAAAGCTTCTGGCACCTTAGACAGCAAGGTGGTGACACCAAACTTTACTAGTAGTCATTGTATTCTTTGCCACACACACGTGGTAAAACAAAACAAAAACCTAGTTTCACCTAAGAATGTCCTTGACAAAGCAGTACACATTATTAATTTATTAAATCTCAACTTTTAGGCACACATCTTTTACACATCTTTTTGGTATTTTATGTCATGAGATAAGAAATACACATAAAGCACTTGTGTGGCATACCGAAGTAGGATGGTTGTTTCAGGAAGAGCACTTGTGTGACTGTTGAGTTGTGAGCTCAACTACCAGCTTTTTTTTTTTATTAAACACCATTTTTTTTTAACTCGGGAGAATGAGTGACATACAACTCTAAGAGAAGATTTGTGCTTCGAAGGAAAACTGCATTGTTTGTTGCACATCCTTAGTTGATTCTGATTCTATGGGAGCTATTTTACAACTCTGTTAAGTTGTAGATAACTGATGGCAATGCAAAATAATTCTTGTCTATAAATGTTAGGCAAATGAATTCTGCCTGGTGGAGGGACAGCCCTTCTCCATCCAGTAAAAAAGCCAGTCTTGTGTCCATGTGTACTATCGTTTTAACATTTCAAAATTCCTTAAGAATTTGTGCTTGTTTGGTTTCTCCTTTGAACTGGTTTAAATATCTGCCTGGTTCCCTCATTATGAGTTTTAAAAAACTTTAACATGTGTTCATTTTGTGTCAGTATAAGAGTCATGGTTTTACCTTTTTTTCTTTTTTTTAAAAAAATTATCTTTTAACAAAGACCGTAATTGCTCTAGCTTGGGTATTTAGCAGAAAATTTCTCAAAAATAATTAAAATGAGCCTGTCAAGGAAAACAACTGACAGTATTTGTTACCAAAGATCCCATTCAAGCTTTCAAATGAAAATTAGAATATCTGCTGCCCTGAGCCTGACAGCTTCCCAATACTTAAAGACTTAAATTATGAGATTGGTGGTGATGTTAGTGAATGTGATGTTGGATAATAAAATGTGACAGTGTTTGGAAGATCTGCATAATTCAGTGAGCCAATATTTTCCAATATCATCCAATGCATGATGTTACAAAATCATGCATAAGAAAAAATCCATTCAAAGTACATGATAGGCCAATAGATTTTAATGTTAACGGAGTATGAAAAGTTCACTGATATGGTTTCAGATTCTACATGCAACTAGTCTTTAAGAAACTACCAGCCTGGTGCGGTGGCTCATGCCTGTAATCCCAGCACTTTGGGAGGCCGAGGGGGGGTGGATCACCTGAGGTCAGGGGTTCAAGACCAGCCTGGGCAACATGGAGAAACCCCGTCTCTACAACAATAGAAAAAACTAGCCAGGTATAATGGCGGGTGCCTCTAATCCCAGCTACTTGGGAGGCTGAGGCGGGAGAATCGCTTGAACCCAGGAGGCAGACAGAGATTGCAGTGAACCGAGATCCTGCCATTGCACTCCAGCCTGAGTGACAGGGTGAGACTCCTTCTCAAAACAAACAAAAAAAAGAAACTACCACTTGCTGAATTTTGGCATAGTGTCAAAGTAGAAAATTCACAATTATCTGAAAAGACTATTACAATATTCCTTCCCTTTCCAACTATATTTATCTGTGTGAGATCATATTTTCTTCATACCCTTATTCAATCAAAACAATATATCATGGCTGGGCACAGTGACTCACTCCTGTAATCCCAGCACTTTGGGAGGCTGAGGTGGGCGAATCACTTGAGGTCAGGAGTTCGAGACCAGCTTGGCCAAACCCTGTCTCTACTAAAAATACAAAAATTAGCCAGGCATGGTAGTGGGCACCTGTAATCCCAGCTACTTGGGAGGCTGAGGCAGGAGAATCGCTTGAACCTGGGAGGCAGAGGTTGCAGTGAGCTGAGATCTCACCACTGCACTCCAGCCTGGGCGACAGAGTAAGACTCTGTCCCAAAAGAAAACAAAAACAAAAACAAAAACAAATATATCATAACAGCTTGAATGGAGAAGCAGAAATGAGAATAAAGCTCTCCTCTATTAAGCCAGACATTAAAGAGATTTGCATAAATGTAAAACAATGCTATGCTTCTTATTAAATATACATTTCCTTAAATTTTGGAAGATACTTATATTTTATAAAATATGTAATGTTCACATGTAATGAGTTAATTGTTATCTTAAAGTAAACTAATAAGTAGTTTTAAAAGTCTTAGTTTTAATTTTTAATTTGGTAACTATTGATAGATAAAACCTCATAAACAAAATCTTTTTGGGAGTCTTCAATAATATTTAAGTGTTGAAGTCCTGAGATCAAAATGTTTGAGAACCATGACCTTAGTGGAAAAGATTGTTAAATTTGAGCTGGTTGAATGGTCGGTTTATGTCAGAAGACAGGGTTTGGAAAGAGGTAGGATTATGGATTAAGGTAAAGTTGAATTCCCTTCTGTATTGTGCAGAAGTCATTGGCTTTGCCATTAATAATAATAACATTATCAGGTTGAGCACAGTGGCTCATGCCTGTAGTCCCAGCACTTTGGGAGGTTGAGGTGGGCGGGTCACTTGAGGTTTGAGACCAGCCTGGCCAACATAGCGAAACCCTGTCTCTACTAAAAATACAAAAACTAGCCAGGCGTGGTGGTGCATGCCTGTAGTCCCAACTACTTGGGAGACTGAGGCATGAGAATCGCTTGAACCCGGATGGTGGAGGTTGCAGTGAGCCCAGATCATGCCACTGCTCTCCAGCCTGGGCAACAGAGCAAGACCCTGTCTCAAACAAACAAACAAACAAACAAAAGTATCTACTAATTGGGGCGCGTATTGTGCGCTAATTACACTACATAAATTACTTTGTTTATTCTTACACCAACATTAAAAGGTTTGCCTTTTCATAATAATAGTAATAATAATAATAATAATAAAAGTAAGTACATCTAGGTCCAAAATAAACCCAGATTCAAAGAAGTTGAGTGACTTGCCCAGAGTCTAACAACCAAGAGGGGATCCTTATTTTGTTCTTCTCCATAGCCAGTAGCCTTAACCAGGAGTCCACATTATCTCCTGATTCTGAGTGGCCATGGTCAAGTCTAATTTTCATGAGTCTGTTTTCCGATCTGTAAAACAAATGGGATCAGAGAGAGTTTCACCTACCACGGGCCAAGTCCTCAGCCCTGTATGCAGAGCATATTGCACATTCCCTTGCCTTCAGGAAGCTCCCAGTAGGATGTTCTTTAAAAGCTGGCCATGCTGCCTGATACTGTAATTTTCATAACCCATATTCTTAATGCTATCACTGTGAGTCCTGGGATTTCAGTGGCTTTGTGGTTGGAGAGTGAAGAAACCTAAGTAGAGAATGCAGAGGCTGCCAGTTTATTAGTGTGGAGAGGCGAGATAGCAATCCAGTAATTTATTTATTTTGCCACTGAATCCTAGAGGCCGGGAACTAGAAACCTAAGCATAAAGCCTCCACTGCTGGAAGACTCCCACCACCCCCAACAATTCAGGAATTGCTTTCAGCCAACATTACCTCTGCTTTCTGAGCACAAGCCAGGCTATTGTGCTGGAAATAATCGGTGTTAGTCTTATTGGAGTGGCTTGCGTTGCCATAGTTACTATTTGGGTTCTGTGCACCTAAAATTTCAAGTATTTAACAGGCAAAAAGAGTTAGCTTATTTTTTTCTTTTTGCCTTTGGAAAATCAGATTGGAGAGAAAGCAGATTCTGCATCCTATTAAATGTCTGTGTCGAGTGGGTACTGTCATATCCGGCATTGCAGAGTCATAGTTAACTCTCAAGCAGTGAAAAGCAGCTTGGCCGTGGCCTTGAAAAAAGGGGTTATCAGCATCCTGCTGAGGACCCACCGTTACTGCCTCCTGATGGATGGAAATGCAGATTGTCATTGCTGGTTGTGCAGCTAAAGAAATTGGGCGAGGCAGCTGGTTATTTATGACGGAGCAACACAGAGCTGGTCAGTAGTTTCCCCAGTTGCCACCACGCTGTACATGGCAACCTGCCCCCCAGCTCTGAAGGCTGGGACAGAAGTTTGCAAAGAGATGGGAAGGGGAGGTGGGCACAAACTGGTGTGTGCGTGGGGGCGGCAGCACAGCAGTAGCAGAAAGGGAGCAAACTTGGCCACTCAGCACCTTGAGTGTGCAACACATGAAGACTCTGCTTTCGAAGCTATCATGTTTATTCGTGCTGTCTGTTTGCCTGTCTGGTTCACAGGCTCTGAATCGGCCCACAGTGGTGCCTAGAAATAGTCCCCTTTGCTTGGTCGCCATGAGTCAGACTGGTCTTTATGTGGCTGTCTCCTAGGAACCCAAAGCTATGCCACATGGCTGGAAGCTGTGTTTACAAGCTTTTCATCCGTCTTCCTTAACTTGTGGTCGCTATGGTTTCCTTTGCCTGCTGGGCTGGCCCTTTAAGGGGGACAAGCTGTCCACTCAACCAAATGCCAGAGGCACTGGCTCCAATAGCTTGGGTCTTTTGGCTATGGGCTTAACCATATCTCATCACCTGCTCATTCTGAGCCCCAAACTTCTCCCCTGGTGAGGCTGACCTTGACCTTTGCCCTGTCATGTGTCCATTGTGGGGTCTGCCACCTTACTGCCTGTCCTGGCACCCTCTGCATTTGCCACGATCAGGGTGTTTGTGGTCGGGTGCAGTGGCTCACCCCTGTAATCCCAGCACTTTGGGAGGCCGAGGCGGGTGGATCATGAGGTCAGGAGTTTGAGACCAGCTTGGTCAAGATGGTGAAACCCCGTCTCTACTAAAAACAAAGAAAATTAGCTGGGTGTGGTGGTGGGCACCTGTAATCCCAGGTACTCGGGAGGCTGAGGCAGGAGAATTGCTTGAACCCGGGAGGTTGAGGTGGCTGTGAGCCGAGATTGCGCCACTGCACTCCAGCCTGGGCAACAGAGTGAGACTCCATCTCAAAAAAAAAAAAAAAAAAAAAATCAGGGTATTCGTTTTGCTTCCCGTTGGACTGACTTCTTAGTAGCTTGGATTTTGCTCAGACAGAGAGCCCTGTCTCCTCTGCCATGGTCATAATGACTTACTTAGACACAGGGCTCATGTTCACTTGGAGGTGCCATCCTATCCTCTGTCACTTTGTCATGGACACCTGTTTATCCCCTTTTCAGGTAATAGCACTTTGTGTTTTGGGGATCTGCCCCATTCTCAGCTTATAGGTGTTTCTAGAGGGGCTTATCCCACCCCTCTTCGATGACTGATGCAGGGATGAACACATAATGCAAGCCAGGCCAATGACAATTAATCCTGGAACTTTTGCTAGGAGAAAGAAGTTTTTTTCTCTGTGGTTGTTTAGGGTATTGGATATATCCCCCCCTTTTTTTTTCCCTGTTGCCCAGGTTGGAGTGCAATGGCGCAGTCTTGGCCTCCCAGGCTCAAGCGATTCTTGTGTCTCAGCCTCCCAAGTAGTTAGGATTACAGATGTGCACCACCACGCCCGGCCAGGGTATTGGATGTAATCCTGATGTGCTGGGTGATGTGGAGGTGGGGGCTACTATTTAAAAGAGAATCAATCAACACACAGGAGAACAGAGCTAAGAGATCAAAAGACAGCCTGTGACTTGACATTGTTCACATGCCTCAACTATAGTCCAGATACCTGAGTCAGAACAAACTCCCTTTTAATGCCAATGCCTATTCAGGTTGGGCTTTCTGTCACTTGCAACTGAAAGAGTCTGGTACATCCCCATTCACGAGGACACCAAGGTTCAGAGAAGTGAGGTAATCTACCCAGGATACCCGGCTGCTGTGATTTGACCCTGTTTCTCTTGGCTCCCATGACTGTGTCTCTCCCACTATGCCTACTTTAAATAGTAATCTTACGTTTGTGACACATTTCACAAGACACAAAGCACTTTCTCGTGACATACACCACCACAACAAATTCTACTGCTTTCATTGTGTGCTTCCAGCACAGGGCTGTTATTATTATTACTAGACACACAATATTATCAATCTCATTTTCCAGATGAGGGCATTGAGAGTTGGTCACATGCACACTTGGCTGGTGAGTGGCAAGTGGGACTCTCTGCTTCAAGGTTGACTTAATATTCTTGCCATTTCCCTACATCACTTCCTGGGTATGCCATGGAGAGTAATTGCCTCAGCTGGTGGCCTCTTGTCCCTTGCTTTTCCCCCAGGGAGTCTTGACCCGTGCATATCTTGGAGGTAGTTGCTTTTGGAGGAGGCCTGACACAATGGAAAGGGCCTGAGGCCTGGTGATCAAACAGACTCAAGTTTAGATCTTGCTTCCCCCACTTACTGGCTTTGTAACTGACTTAGTCCACTCAGACTGCTATAAGAAAATACCATAAACTGGGTGGCTAATAAACAACAACCATGTATTTCTCATAGCTCCTTAGGCTGGGAAGTCCAAGACCAAGATGCCTGCAGATTCCGTGTCTGGTGAGGGTCTGCTTTCCGGTTCATAGATGGCATCTTCCAGCTGTGTCCTCACATGGTGGAAGGGACAAGACAGCTTGGGCCTCTTTTATAAAGGCACTAATCCCATTCATGAGGGCTTCACCCCCTTGAGCTAATCTTTTCCCCAAAGGTCCTATCTCCTAATACTATCATCTTATTAGGAGTGTTGGGATTTCAACATACACATTTTGGAGGGGACACAAATATTTATTTATTTTTATTTTTATGTTTGACACAGAGTCTTACTCTGTCACCCAGGCTGCAGTGTAGTGGCGCCATCTCAACTCACTGCAACCTTCACATTCCCAGGCTCAAGCAATTCTCCTGCCTTGGCCTTTCAAGTAGCTGGGATTACAGGTGTGTGCCACCACACCTGGCTAATTTTTTTTTTTTTTTTTTTTTTTGAGATGGCTTCTCACTCTGTCATCCAGGCTAGAGTGCAGTGGTGTGATCTCGGTTCACTGCAACCTCCGCCTCCCGGGTTCAAGCAATTCTCCTGCCTCAGCCTCCCAAGTAGCTGGGATTACAGTAGCATACCACTATGCCCAGCTAATTTTTGTATTTTTTTTTTTTTAGTAGAGATGGGGACTTGCCATGTTGGCCAAGCTGGTCTCCAACTCCTGACCTCAAGTGATCTGCTCGCCTTGGCCTCCCAAACTGCTGGGATTACAGGCGTAAGCCACCATGCCCGGCCTGGTATACAAATATTTAGAACATAGCAGTAACCGTGGGCAAATCACTTGCTTTATCTGAACTCTTATTTCCTCTTCTGTAAAACCTATGAGTCAGAGAGAATAATGTCTTGCAAGGTTTTTGTGAGCATTAAATGAAGACAATGCATGTGAGTTGGAATAACATCCACAATTAATATTAGTTGAGCATTTATGACATGTATTGACTCACTTAACCCTCAAGATAATCTTTTATAATAGGTATTATTCTTATCTCCATATGCTATATGAGAAAATGAGGCACACAGAGGTTAAGTGACTTGCCCAAGGCCACATTTCTTGTGAATGGCTGAGCAGTATTCAACCCAAACGTGCTGGTTAAGAGCTCTGAATCACAGCATTGTGACGCACCTAGCTCAGTGCTGAGCGCAGGGTAAGTGCTCAGATAATGGGAGACCCTTTCTCCATTCCAATTCCATTTCTTTGGAGACCTTAGCATCCAGTATTTAGGATAGAATTGAAGCAGTGGAACTAGTGTTGAAGAGGGCCACATTTGATGGTACAGATTAGAGCAGGGCTGGAAGCCCAATCAGGGAGGTAATAATGGTAAAAATTCGGCTGGATGCGGTGGCTTACGCCTGTAATTCTAGCACTTTGGGAGGCCAAGGTGGGCGGATCACAAAGTCAGGAGTTCAAGACCAGTCTGGTCAACATAGTGAAACCCTGTCTCTACTAAAAATACAAAAAATTAGCCAGGTGTGGTGGTGTGTGCCTATAATCCCAGCTACTCAGGAGGCTGAGGCAGGAGAATCGAGTGAACCTTGGAGGCAGAGGTTGCAGTGAGCCGAGATTGCGCCATTGCACTTCAGCCTGGGCGACAGTGGGAGACTCCATCTCAAAAAAAAAAAAAAACAAACAGTCAAAAATCTATGTAGATCAGAGATCAGGAAGACAGTCAGGGTCTGGATGCCAATGAAGGAGGGTCCAGCAAGACAGGTGGGCTCAGGAATTAAAGACTCACAGGAACAGGAAAAGCTAACTAGGGGACCCCTTAGTCACCAGAGGCTTTTTATCTCAGCCCCAGAGCTTTGCTGTGGTTTCTGTTAAGCCAGGAACCCATTAAAGAGTGGCTGACCTGGGCTCTGCAGAAGAAGGGGTTAGGATTAAGGGAGGCTATGGCTTCTGGTGAGCATCTGTGTTTTGACATTGACTAAGTCTTGATGGTGATAATCTTGATTCATTCATTCAATACATGTTTATAACCCAGTGGAGATCCTTCCTTCCTTCCTTCCGACTTTTTTTTTGTACAGACAGGGTCTTGCTATGTTGCCCAGGCTTGTCTCAAACTCCTGGCTCCAGGTGATCCCCCTGCCTCAGCCTCTGGTAGTGTTGGGATTACAGGTGTGAGCCACCATGACTGGCTGAGAAACTTATTTTTTTAGCAGTAGATTCTACCCTCCCTTAGTATCTGC
This sequence comes from Homo sapiens, assembly GCF_000001405.40. Lineage (NCBI taxonomy): Eukaryota > Metazoa > Chordata > Mammalia > Primates > Hominidae > Homo > Homo sapiens. The sequence continues at coordinate 9,275,868 of NC_000003.12, read as the reverse complement.
CTCACCTTTCAGGAGACCTGTGGAGGTGGGTTGTATTAGTTTGTTTTCATGCTGCTGATAAAGACATACCTGAAACTGGGTAATTTTTAAAGAAAAAGAGGTTGAATGGACTCACAGTTCCACGTGATGGGGTAGGCCTCACAATCATGACAGAGGGCAAAAGGCACATCTTACATGGCAGCAGGTAAGAGAGAATGAGAGCCAAGTGAAAGGGGAAAGAAACCCCTTATAAAACCATCACATGTCGTGAGCCTTATTTACTACCAGGAGGACAGTATGGGGGAAACTGCCCCCATGATTCAATTATCTCCCACCACATCCCTCCCACAACATATGGGAATTATGGGAGCTACAATTCAAGGTGAGATTTGGGTGGGGACACAGCCAAACCATATCATGGGTGAACATTTGGATCTACTGCTTGGGTAAGAATGAGTGTGAGCATTAGGTTTGAAGAGCAGTGGATAGATGGTTGTACTCCATTAACCAGACACCAGGCTCTTATTTGGCTGAGTGGGTTGGCACTCTGAGGCTGAAAATGGAATAGTTTTGAGACAGTAGAACATATTTTTTAGAGGCTGAGATAGAGAGACAGGAAGAGAAGGAGGAAAAACAAAGTAGCTGGCAGAGAGAGGACTTTGAGGGAAAAGAAGATAAATATTTAAAGGAAGTTTTATGAAGTTTTCCCATGTTATGCACAATGTAAACTTTCTTTCTTGTCTCCCCAAGAATTTTTCAGTAAAATAGACATTTCTTGTTAATGTTGATAGGGAGAAGAGGCAGGGAAACTCTGGGCAGAAGAGGGCAGGTCCCTGGTGAGGGTTCCACCCTCAAGCCTGGAACCTTGGCTCAAAGTGAGAACTTACATCCCTGTTTTCCTGCTTGAATGTTGCCTTTTCCAAAACCACCCATGGCCTGTCTCACCCCTCCATCCTGTGCCCATAAAATCCCCAGGCTCAGCTGGCAGAGAGAGGAGAAGCAGCTGGATGTCAGAGACTATGGCTGGACATTGGAGAGAAGTGGCTTGACTTCAGAGGGACAGCTTGATGATGTAGCTTTGGAGAAAAGTTCAGCTGGGAATGGCCAGATTTCAGGGGAAGATTACCTTCCCACTCTGTCACCTTTTCAGCTCCCCTTCCCATTGAAAGCCACTTTCATCAGCAATAAAATCCCCCTCATTTACTACCTTCAATTTGTTTGTGCAACCTCATTCCTCCTGGATGCCAGACAAGAAATTGGGTGCAGGTGTAAAAGGCTGTCACACTGACCCTCCACCGAGCTGTTAACACTTAAGCTGTCCTCAGACGACAAAGCTAAAAGGGCACTGTAACGCTCCTTCTGGGGCTTCAGGGGTCACAGGCACTTCCCCCTAGATGCTGCTGTGGGGCCACATGAAGTTTTGCTTCTGCTGGTGCCCAAAAGTACTCGCCCTGGCTCCTGCACCCACTCACCTGCATGCTCCCCCTCCCATGATGGGTGAAGCCCAGCAGGTCTGAGTGAGTGGAATTCACTCCTGTCAGTGCTGAAGCAGCTGGCTAGTTCCACTGCCCCTGAACTCCAGTTCCCACTTGTGAAGGGGTCAGGGAAATATTCTGCTTCAATGTGTTGTAGAGTTTAATTTCTTTTGAGGACACCTTGAAATACTTAGTGGGATTGGAATGAACACAAAGTCACCCACCAGGATTTTGCCACATTGGGTCACATATTTTTGGGGCACCTCCTATGTACCAGACATGATGCCAGGTACTGAGGTGACAAAGATAGCTAGGACATGGTCTCTGCTCTCAAGAAGTGTAAAGTCTTTTGGGAGAGCAGGTGTGGAAACAGATTAGAGTGGAAGACCTTTAATCTAGAAGGCTGAACATCAGAGTTATTCTAAAAGGATATTAAAAATGATCACTTGCATAAAGACAGACATATAGACCAATGGAATACAATTGAGAGCCCAGAAATAAGCACACACGTATATGGTCTAATGATTTTTAACAAGGGTGCCAAGAACATTCAGTGGAGACAGAATAATCTTTTAACAAATGGTTTTGGAAAAACTGGACATCCACATGCAAAAAAAAAAAAAATGAAGTTGAACCCTTACCTTACACTATATACAAAAATTAACTCCAAATAGTTCAAAGACTTCAATGTAAGACCTAAAACGATAAAGCTCTTAGAGAAAAGTAGGGGAAGCCTTCATGACATTGGATTTTGCAGTGATTTCTTGGCTATGACACCAAAAGCACAGACAGCAAAAGAAAAAATAAATCGGACTACATCAAAATTTAAAACTTTTGTGCATCAAAGGACATAATCAGAGTGAAAAGGCAATCATGGAGTGGGGAAGATATTTGCAAATCTTATGTCTGAGAGGGGTTAATATCTGGCTTATATAAAGAACTCCTAAAACTCAGCAATGACAAAAACAAACGACTGGATCAAAAATTTGGCAAAGGACTTGGATAGACATTTTTTGAAAGAAGATACATAAATGTCCAATAAGCACATGAAAAGATGCTCAACATCACAAATTAATAGGGAAATGAAAATTAAAACCACAATAAGACAGGGTTCTCTAACCCCTGTTAGGAACTGGGCCGCAGAGCAGAAGGTGACTGGCTGGTGAGTGAGCATTACCACCCAAGCTCCACCTCCTATCAGATCAGCCATGGCATCAGATTCTCATAGGAGCGCAAACCCTATTGTGAACTGCACATGTGAGGGATCCAGGTTGCGTGCCCCTTATCAGAATCTAACTAATACCTGATGATCTGAGGTGGAACAGTTTAATCCCAAAACCATCTCCTTGCAACCTCGTCCTTGGAAAAGTTGTCTTCCGTGAAACCCGTCCCTGGTGCCAAAAAGGTTGGGAACCACTGCAATAAGATACAACCTTACACCCATTAGGATGGGTACTATCCAAAACAAACAAATAGACACTCCCCTGCCCCCAAAATAATAAGTGTTAGTGAGGAAGTGGAGAAATTGAAACTCTTGTGTATTGTTAGTGTGAATATAAAATGGAGCAGCTACTGTGGAAAAAAGTACTTAAGTTCCTAAAAAAAAAATAAACAGAATTATTATATGATCCAGTAATTTCACTTCTAGGTATATACAAAAAATAATTAAAAGCAGAGACTCCAACAAATAGTTATACCAATATTCATAGCAGTATTACTCATAATAGCCAAAAGGTAAAAGCAACTCAAGTGTCCATTGATGTATCAAATTTTGTTTTAAAACTTGATACATATATACATTAGAATATTATTCATCCTTAAAGAGGAAGGAAACTCTGACCCATGCTACCACATGGATGAACCTTATGAACATTGTGCTGAGTGAAATAAGCGAGTCACAAAAAGACGAATACTGTAAGATTCCATACTTGTATGAAATACCTAGAGTAGTCAAATTCATGGAAACAGAAAGTAGAATGGAGGCTACCAGGAGCTGGGGTAGGAAGGATGGGAAGTTTAGGGGATCCAGAGTTTCAGTTTGGGATGATGAAAAAGTTCCTGAGATGGATGGTGGTGCTGGCTGCACAACAATGTGAATGGCTTAATGCCAAAGACCTGTACACTTAAAAATGATTGAGATGGTAGATCTTGTGTGTATTTTACCACAAGTTTTAGAAATTTAAAAAACTTTAAAAAGTGATTACTCACTTAAAAATCACACCACCGTAACGACTGACAACATTTTCTACTACGAAGGGATGGTGCAATCCAGGGGGCTGTGAATGACCTGTGGGTAAGGTCCTAGCTGCCCAGTAAAGGCAGGTTGTAGTGGACAATGTCCAAACATTGCAACAGATTTGTAGCAACTGAAGTTGTAACCGGTTTTGGACATTCATCTGTTTTGGCAGGTCATATGACTTTAGTTTGATCGTTGTGGTCTTTTGTTATTAAGATAGCCATATTCCAGAACGACTATAATTCCAGAATGGAGCAGGTCTCAGACCTTCCATGCACATTATCTTCTGTTGTGATGACAATGTGAGAAATGCCATAAAAGATAGAGATAGGTGCAGGGTACCTATTTGTTCATTCATTCTTGAGACAGGACAGAGGTGTAAATTACTGCTTCTTTGCTACATCCTCTGCCACGCTGTGCTTTTTTCTTAGTGCATCATGCTTTGGCTGTAGGGTTTTTCATCTTATTAATGGGGCACTTTATGTTCAATGGGGAAGCTAATTTTCCTAAGTTGGGTTCCCTGGAGAACAGACCCCAAAGTGGAGATCTGTGCACAGGTTTATGAGACACCTCTCAGCAACAACAACTGTGAGGGAGTGAGGGTGGCAGGCTTGGAAGAGGCCTCAGCCAATCCCATGGGAAGTTCTGAAACCGGGAGGGTCCTTCTGAATTATCCACAGGGAGGTAAGGGGGTGGGATCCTCTGCCCCATGGTCTCGGACATAGGCTGTCCTGGGGAGGGAGAATGATCTGGGGTGAGATAATGCTCCTTGGCTCAGGACAGTGCTTGAGGAGTGTTTTAGCCATGAGACCTCAATAGCCAACACTTTATTTATTTATTTTTTTGAGACAGGGTCTCGCTCTATTGCCCAGGCTGGAGTGCGGTGGTGTGATCTTGGCTCACTGCAACCTCTGCCTCCCTGGTTCAAGCGATTCTTGTGCCTCAGCCTCCCAGGTAGCTGGGATTACAGGCGCATGCCACCAGGCCTGGCTAAGTTTTGTACTTTCAGGTAGAAACGGGGTTTTGCCATGTTTTCCAGGCTGTCTTGAACTCCTGGCCTCAAGTGATCTGCCCGCCTTGGCCTCCCAAAGTGTTGGGATTACAGTCACGAGCCACTGGGCCCGGCTGATAGCCAACACTTTAGGCATTTGAGGGAGTGTGAGCCTTAGTCCAAAAGCCCAGGCAATGAAAGAAAAACAAAACAAAAATCCTCTGCAGGGGGATCTGGGCAGCACAGCATACACATACATGCTGTACCAGTCTTCTGCTTTTGTCTTCAGCGGTTATTGGTACCAGAGGTAAGGCATTTCCGGGAAAGGCAGCACAGAACAGTACCAGAAGCATAAACAGGAATTGACTTAAAAAAAAAAATCTCTTGCTTAAATAATAACAGTAAAAATGGAAAAAAGAAGGATGAAACTCCCACCTCCCTTCTGAATTACTTGTTTTCACTTGCTGTGTTATTGTCTGGTCAATATCCATCTGTACTCATCAATTTTACACACTTATGATTATAGGTATTGTGTATATGTGTGTATATAATATTTGTATTATGTGTATGTATATAAAAGTGATACTTCTTTTGCTGATCACAGTGAGTTTTTTTAAATGAGTTAAATTTGATAGAGAGAAACAGGGATATTAAATGCACAAGTCGATTAGTTTTGATAAGCGTATGCACTTGGGTAACTACCACCCCAGTCAAGGTAAACATTTCCATTACTCCAGATGGTTCCCTTGGGACCCTTTCTGGTCAATCTCCACCCCCATAGGCCACTATTGTTCTGATTTCTATCGCCATGGATTAGTGTTGTCTGTTTTTGAATTTTACATTAAAGGAAGCAGAGAGGATTGACTCTTTTGATACACATATATGTAAAGATTGACTTTTTTCTTTCCATAATACTACTAATGTGTTTTTTCTAATTATAAAATATGTATACTTTTATTATCAATATTACACAATACAGATTAATATTATGCAGCCTTCAAAACAACTGTGCTCAGACCCATTTCCTATAGGTGTCCACTGAATTTTGGTATATTTTCTTACAGTGGTTCTCAAAGTCTAGTCTCCAGACTAGCAATGTCAGCAGAACCCAGAAAGCAAAATTTTCAGCCCCACCCCAGATCTACTAAATCAGAAACTCTGGGGGTGTAGACTAGCCATGTGGTTTAAGAAGCCCTCCAGATGTTCCTGACACATCAGTATTTGAGAACCGTTTCCTTATGATTTCCTCCCTCCCTCCCTTCCTCCTTCCTTCCTTCCTTCCTTTTCCCTTCCTCCCTCTGTCCCTCCCTTTCTTCCTTCCTTGCCACATTTTTGTATTCTACTTTTTCATATGACACCTTATTAGAAACATTACTATGCCATGACAGGTAATGAGTTAATTTATTCAGACTAGGAAAAACTGGTGTGGTATTTAAGTGTAGAAATCAGGGTAGATATGGCCTGATTGGCCTTTTGCCCTCTCTTGGGATAACTGTTTCCCAGCCTGACCACATTTGTGAAAGGCCTCCTTACTCCCTCTCATCCCCACACAGCATGAGGATGCTGGAAATGTTTCTGGGTGGAGAGGTTCAATTGTATCTGGGAAGACTTACAAATAAACCTTGTCTCATTTATAGCAGGTGAATAAGAACTTTGTCCAGGCAAATAACACAGAAGGCTGGCACTTGTGGTTCCCAAATAAGAATTGGTCTTGAGGAGTCTAGGTGGGTGGACATGGATGTGCCAGTTTCAGGGGAGACATCCTGAAGGAAAGATCACTATGTGGCTCTGCAGGAGACACTGTCTGGGTCCTTGGTTGTGGTAGAACAAGGACCCCTTCTCTTGCCTCATAATACAGCACTGCCGGGGAGCACTGTGTCCACTAGTGGACTCCAGACTGGCAGGCCTGACTTTGGTCCTCCTTGGGAAGTGCCTATTGACTCTTCTTGTTTTCAGATGACATTTGTTAGGCTGAAAGAGGAGAAGGGACTTTATCCACAATCATCCCCAGAGTATAGCCTTCCACACAAAGGCTTTCTATTCATCCTGCAAGAAATGACCTTTCAAGATATGACCTGTGAGCACCCAGAGATTGGGGAAGTGACTTGCCCAAGGTCACACAGTGGGCGTGTTCCGGCCAACACTGAGATTCCAATCCTAATCACCTAACTCCAAATTCTGCCGTCTTTCCACTCTGTGGTGCTGCCTCCTGGAGCAGGCAAGGTTTTGTTCTTCTTCACAGTGGACAGGGCAGTAGGAAAAGGGACAGCGTTGGATGTCTCAGGGAGCAAGAGGCACCTATATCAGAACTTCTGGGGAAAAGGAAGGAAGAGAACATGAAATGCAGTGTGACGTAGTGCAAAAATGAGTGGGTTCTGGGGCCAGTGTGACCTGATTTACAATCAGAGCTGAGGTTCTTACGGGTCGTGTGATGTATCAGTTATTGATTGCTGTGTACCAAATTACCCTTAAACTTAGCAGCTTGAAAAAACCCACACATTTGTTATCTCAGAGTTTTTGTGGATCAGGAATCCAGGTTTGCCTTACCTGGGTCCTCGGCTTGTGGGTCTCTTACAAGACTGCTTTTGATGTGTTGGCTGGTGCCTGGTGCTGAGGTCTCATATGAAGGCTTAACTAGAATGATGCTGTCTTAGTCTCCCCAGGCTTCTAAAACAAGATGCCATAGACTGGGTGGCTTAAACAGCAGACATTTCTTTTGTTACAACTTTGGAGCCTCTCAGTCGGAATTTAGAGGCCAGCTAGGTTCTGGTGAAGGCTGTCTCTTCCTGGTTTATAGACAATTGCCTCCTTACTGTGTCCTCATATGGCAGAGAGAAGAGAGAGGGGGGAAGAGAGAGAGAGAAAGAGAGAGAGAGAGAGAGAGAGAGAGACTCTTCTCTCTGGTCTCTTCTTATAAGGGCACTAATCCCATCCTGAGGCTCCAACCTCATGACCTCATCTAACCCTAATTATCTCCCAGAGGCCCTATCTCCAAATACCATCACATTGGGGGTTATGGCTTCAACATGTGAATCTGGGGAGGACACAGCTCTGTCCATGGCAGATCTGCTTCCAGGCTGACTCACATGGTTGGTGGCAGGATTCAGTTTCTCCTGGGTTGTTGGATGAGGGCCTCGGGTCCTTGCTTCCTGTTGGTCTGAGGCCATCCTTGCTTCCTTCCACAGGGGTCTCCCCAGCATGGCAGATGATTTAACTCTTCTGAATCCCTTCAACCCTTTTAACATGTAAAACAGCAATAGCTGTAGCTATCTTAGAGTTGTCATAGGGATTCCCTGAGATAATGTAGAAAATGGCCTTGCACAGAAAACGGCACCTTGTTGGGGCTTCCTAAATTGCAACTGTTATTCCCATTATTATAATTTTTAGGGTACCTGATACTCAGAAGCTTGGCTGTTGTCCAGACAGCATATGGAGATATACCCCTGTCCCCTGCTATAACACAAAGACTTCCCCAGGTGAAGGACAATTTCTAAGTACCAGAGAAAATACATCTGAGACTACGTGACTGGCAGTTCCCAGAGGTGTGACCTGGGAAATACAATGGTCGCATTTATTGTCCCTTCATGATAAAAACAGGACTCAGCTTCTCAGAGTAGGCCCCAGAGTGTTCTTCACATCCTTGGGAACAAACCCAACTGCAACCGCTGCCTGCGGAACAGCCTCAACTGCACCCACAACATCCAGAACAGACCCCAGCTGCCCCCACGGCATCCAGAACAGACCCCAACTGAAACCACTGCATGTGGCACAGCATGAACTCTCTAGGAAGTTTAACTTGAGCCACTTTTGTAGTTGATCTCATCTCTCAACCATCATTTCTGGTTTTTATCCCATATTTGTTAATATCTGAAAGCATCTCTGTCTGCTGTTTTCCCAGCCAATCCTGGGCACAATTAACAAGGTGTTTTCCAGAGGCCTTGGGAGCTATATCTTTCTCAGTCATCATTTGGGGCCATTACAGGGGGAAGTAGAAGTCTTATTGCTGTGGGATACCATAGATGTCCTAAATCCTCGCTGGGTAGAAACAAGACCAGACTGAATGTCTGTTCTGAATTATCTTTCTCTGCTTAAATGGAGTCCAGGAGGAACCCTTACTTGCAAAATATATATTATTCAGCCCGATGCTGCGTTCATTTCCTAAAAGAGATTGGGTCCAAATAACACTTTAATTGAATTCAGTTTCTTGACCTAACACTGACTTGGTTCTCCCTCCTGTGTCTTCCAACATTAGACAGAGGAGGAGGAGGAGGAGGAATAGACAAAGCGATTCACATGGATTTATAGGCCAAGCCACTCACTTCCACATTCCATAAAGCCCAAATGACTGTATAGGAAACAGCTGCAGTATTTATTGGGGCCTGGTAAGGCCTCATTACCATCCCACCTCCTCACAGGGGGTATTGCCTCCAAATGGAGTGCAGTGGAGGGAGTAATTGACTCTGCTGCCCTGGCACCTGGTGTTTCTGCCAAATGCCTAAGGTCAGTGCTGCAAAAAAAAACCCAAAAACCAAAACCAAACCAAAACAAAACAAAAAAACCGGATGGAAGGAGGCCTCCAGTGAGAGTGGGGAGTGGAGCCGAGAGATGATCAGAAGGGATTTCATTTGTTTGTATTTTTCTTCCCTCACATAAGGAATGTTTATTGATCACCTATTATATGTCAGGCATAGTTGTAGGCACTGGGGATACAAGAACAGACATGGCTCCTGCTGTCTTAGAACAGACACTCTAGGTGGCTCTGCCTAAACAATGATCCCCTGCCACATGTGGCTATTTAGATTTTTTTTTTTTAATTATTATACTTTAAGTTCTGGGATACATGTGCAGAACATGCAGGTTTGTTATGTAGGTACACATGTGCCATGGTGGTTTGCTGCACCTGTCAACCTGTCATCTACATTAGGTATTTCTCCTAATGCTATCCCTTTCCTTGCCCCCCATGCCATGACAGGCCCCAGCATGTGATGTTCCTCTCCCTGTGTCCATATGTTCTCATTGTTCAACTCCCACTTATGAGTGAGAACATGTGGTGTTTGCTTTTCTGTTCCTGTGTTAGTTTGCTGAGAATGATGGTTTCCAGCTTCATCCATGTCCCTGCAAAGGACATGAACTCATTCTTTTTTATGGCTGCATAGTATTCTGTGGTGTATATGTGCTACATTTTCTTTATCCAGTCTATCATTGATGAGCATTTGGGTTGGTTCCAAGTCTTTGCTATCGTGAATAGTGCCTCAATAAATATACGTGTGCATGTGTCTTTATCGTGGAATGATTTATAATCCTTTGGGTATATACCCAGTAATGAGATTGCTGGGTTAAATGGTATTTCTGGATCTAGATCCTTGAGGAATCGCCACACTGTCTTCCACAATGGTTGAACTAATTTACACTCCCACCAACAGTGTAAAAGTGTTCTTATTTCTCCACATCCTCTCCAGCATCTGTTGTTTCCTGACTTTTTAATGATCCCCATTCTAACTGGTGTGAGATGGTATCTCATTGTGGTTTTGATTTGCATTTCTCTAATGACCAGTGATGATGAGTTTTTTTTTTCATATGTTTGTAGGCCGCATAAATGTCTTCTTTTGAGAAGTGTCTGTTCATATCCTTCGCCCACTTTTTGATGGGGTTTTTTTTTCTTGTAAATTTGCTTAAGTTCCTTGTAGATTCTGGATATTAGCCCTTTGTCAGATGAGTAGATTGCAAACATTTTCTCCCATTCTGTAGGTTGCCTGTTCACTCTGATGGTAGTCTCTTTTGCCGTGCAGAAGCTCTTTAGTTTAATTAGACCCCATTTGTCAATTTTGGCTTTTGTTGTAATTGCTTTTGGTGTTTTAGTCATGAAGTCTTTGCCCATGCCTATGTCCTGAATAGTATTGCCTAGGTTTTCTTGTAGAGTTTTTATGGTTTTATGTCTTACATTTAAGTCTTTAATCCATCTTGAGTTAATTTTTGTATAAGGTGTAAGGAAGGGGTCCAGTTTCCGTTTTCTGCATATGGCTAGCCAGTTTTTCCAACACCATTTATTAAATAGGGAATCCTTTCCCCATTTCTTGTTTTTGTCAGGTTTGTCAAAGATCAGATGGTTGTAGATGTGTGGTGTTATTTCTGAGGCCTCTGTTCTGTTCCATTGGTCTATATATCTGTTTTGATACCAGTACCATGCTGTTTTGGTTACTGTAGCCTTGTAGTATAATTTGAAGTCAGGTAGCGTGATGCCTCCAGCTTTGTTCTTTTTGCTTAGGATTGTCTTGGCTATACCAGCTCTTTTTTTGGTTTCATATGAAATTTAAAGTAGTTTTTTTCTAATTCTGTGAAGAAAGTCAATGGTAGCTTGATGGGAATAGCACTGAATCTATAAATTACTTTGGGCAGTATGGCCATTTTCATGATATTCATTCTTCCTATCCATGAGCATGGAATGTTTTTTCATTTGTTTGTGTCCTCTCTTATTTCCTTGAGCAGTGCTCTGTAGTTCTCCTTGAAGAGGTCTTTCACACCCCTCGTAAGTTGTATTTTTAGGTATTTTATTCCCTTTGTAGCAATTGTGAATGGGAGTTCACTCATGATTTGGTTCTTTGTTTGTCTGTTATTGGTGTATAGGAATGCTTGTGATTTTTGCACATGGATTTTGTAACCTGAGACTTTGCTGAAGTTGCTTATCAGCTTACAGAGTTTTTGGGCTGAGATGATGGGATTTTCTAAATATACAATCATGTCATCTGCAAACAGAGACAATTTGACTTCCTCTCTTCCTATTTGAATACTTTTTATTTCTTTCTCTTGCCTGATTGCCCTGGCCAGATTTTCCAATACTATGTTTAATAGGAGTGGTGAGAGAGGGCATCCTTGTCTTGTGCCAGTTTTCAAAGGGAATGCTTCCGGCTTTTGCCCATTCAGTATGATACTGGCTGTGGGTTTGTCATAAATAGCTCTTATTATTTTGAGATATGGTCCATCAATACCTAGTTTATTGAGTGTTTTTAGCATGAAGGGGTGTTGAATTTTATCGAAGACCTTTTCTGCATCTATTGAGATAATCATGTGGTTTTTGTCATTGGTTCTGTTTATGTGATGGATTATGTTTATTGATTTGCTTATGTTGAACCAGCCTTGCATCCCAGGAATGAAGCCATCTTGATTGTGGTGGATAAGCTTTAGAACGTGCTGCTGGATTCGGTTTGCCAATATTTTATTGAGGATTTTTGCATCTATATTCATCAGGGATATTGGCCTGAAATTTTCTCTTTTTGTTGTGTCTCTGCCAGGTTTTAGTATCAGGATGATGCTGGCTTCATAACATGAGTTAGGGAGGAGTCCCTCTTTTTCTATTGTTTGGAATAGTTTCAGAAGAAATGGTACCAGCTCCTCTTTGTACCTCTGGTAGAATTCAGCTGTGAATCTCTCTGGTCCTGGGCTTTTTTTGTTGGTAGGTTATTAATTATGCTTCAATTTCAGAACTTGTTATTGGTCTCTTCAGGGATTCAAGTTTTTCCTGGTTGAGGCTTGGGAGGGTGTATGTGTCCAGGAATGTATCCATTACTTCTAGATTTTCTAGTTTATTTGCATAGAGGTGTTTATAGTATTCTCTGATGGTAGTTTGTATTTCTGTGGGATCAGTGGTGATATCCCCGTTATCATTTTTTCTTGTGTCTATTTGATTCATCTCTCTTTTCTTGTTTATTAGCCTGGCTAGCAGTCTATCTATTTTGTTAATTTTTTCAAAAAAGCTAGCTCCTGGATTCATTGATTTTTTTTTGAAGGGTTTTTCATGTCTCTGTCTCCTTCTGTTCTGCTCTGATCTTAGTTATTTCTCGTCTTCTGGTAGCTTTTGAATTTGTTTGTTCTTGCTTCTCTAGTTCTTTTAATTGTGATGTTAGGGTATCGATTTTAGATCTTTCCTGCTTTCTTCTGAGGGCATTTAGTGCTATAAATTTCCCTTTAAGCACTGCTTTAGCTGTGTCCCAGAGATTCTGGTACTTCGTATCTTTGTTCTCATTGGTTTCAAAGAACTTATTTATTTTTGCCTTAATTTCGTTATTTACCCAATAATCATTCAGGAGCAGGTTGTTCAGTTTCCATGTAGTTGTGTGGTTTTGAATGAACTTCTTAATCCTGAGTTCTAATTTGATTGCACTGTGGTCTGAGAGACTGTTATGATTTCCATTCTTTTGCATTTGCTGAGGAGTGTTTTACTTCCAATTATGTGGTCAATTTTAGAATAAGTGCTATTTGGTGCAGAGAAGAATGTATACTCTGTTGATTTGGGGTGGAGAGTTCTGTAGATGTCTATTAGGCCCACTTGGTCCAAAGCTGAGTTCAAGTCCTGAATATCCTTGTTAATTTTCTGTTTTGTTGATCTGTCTAATATTGACAGTGGGGTGTTAAAGTCTCCCACTATTATTGTGTGGGAGTCTAAGTCTCTTTGTAGGTCTCTAAGAACTTGCTTTATGAATCTGGGTTCTCCTGTATTGGGTGCATATATATTTAGGATAATTAGCTCTTCTTGTGCATTGATCCCTTTACCATTATGTAATGCCCTTCTTTTTCTTTTTTGATATTTGTTGGTTTGAAGTCTATTTTATCAGAGACTAGGATTGCAACCACTGCTTTTTTTTTTTTTTTTTTTTTTGCTTTCCATTTGCTTGGTAAATCTTCCTCCATCCCTTTATTTTGAGCCTATGTGTGTCTTTGCACGTGAGATGGGTCTCCTGAATACAGCACACCGATGGGTCTTGACTTTATTCAATTTGCCAGTCTATGTCTTTTAATTGGGGCATTTAATCCATTTACATTTAAAGTTAATATTGTTATGTGTGAATTTGATCCTGTCATTATGATGCTAGCTGGTTATTTTGCGTATTAGTTGATGCAGTTTCTTCATAGTGTTGTGGTCTTTACATTTTGGTATGTTTTTGCAGTGGCTGGTACCAGTTTTTCCTTTCCATATTTAGTGTTTTCTTCAGGAACTCTTGTAAGGCAGCCCTGGTGGTGACAAAATCTCTCAGCATTTGCTTGTCTGTAAAGGATTTTATTTCTCCTTCTCTTATGAAGCTTAGTTTGGCTGGATATGAAATTCTGGGTTGAAAATTCTTTTCTTTAAAAATGTTGAATATGGGCCCCCACTCTGTTCTGGCTTGTAGGGTTTCTGCAGAGAGATCCACTGTTAGTCTGATGGGCTTCCCTTTGTAGGTAACCCGACCTTTCTCTCTGGCTGCCCTAAACATTTTTTCCTGCATTTCAACCTTGGTGAATCTGAGGATTATGTGTCTTTTTTTTTTTTTTTTTTTAAATATATGAGGAGTATCTTTGTGGTGTTCTCTGTATTTCCTGAATTTGAATGTTGACCTGTCTTGCTAGGTTGGGGAAGTTCTCCTGGATAATATCCTGAAGTGTGTTTTCCAGCTTGGTTCCATTCTCCCTGTCACTTTCAGGTACACCAATCAAACGTAGGTTTGGTCTTTTCACATAGTCTCATATTTCTTGGGGGCTTTATTCGTTCCTTTTCATTCTTTTTTCTCTAATCTTGTCTTCATGCTTATTTCATTAAGTTCATCTTCAATGTCTGATATCCTTTCTTCTGCTTGATTGATTTGGCTATTGATACTTGTGTATGCTTCACGAAGTTCTTGTGCTGTGTTTTTCAGTTCCATCAGGTCATTTATGTTCTTTTCTAAACTGGTTATTCTAGTTAGCAGTTCCTGTAACCTTTTATCAAGGTTCTTAGTTTCCTTGCATTTAGTTAGAACATGCTTCTTTAGCTCAGAGGAGTTTGTTATTACCCACCTTCTGAAGCCTACTTCTGTTAATTTGTCAAACTCATTCCCCATCCAGCTTTGTTCCCTTGCTTGTGAGGAGTTTTGATCCTTTGGAGGAGAAGAGGCATTCTGGTTTTTGGAATTTTCAGCCTTTTTGCTTCGGTTTTTCCTCATCTTCATGGCTTTATCTACCTTTGGCCTTTGATGTTGGTGACCTTTGGATGGAGCTTTTGCGTGGACGTCCTTTTTGTTGATGTTGATGCTATTGCTTTCTGTTTGTTAGCTTTCCTTCTAACAGGCCCCTCTTCTGCAGGTCTGCTGGAGTTTGCTGGAGGTCCACTCCAGATCCTGTTTGCCTGGGTATCACCAGTGGAGACTGCAGAACAGCAAAGATTGCTGCCTGCTTCTTCCTCTGGAAGCTTTGTCCCAGAGGGGCACCCGCCAGATGCCAGCTGGAGCACTCCTGTATAAGGTGTCTGTCAACCCCTGCTGGGAGGTGTCTCCCCGTCAGGAGGCACGGGGGTCAGGGATCCGCTTGAGGATGCAGTCTGTCCCTTAGCAGAGCTCAAGCACTGTGCTGGGAGAACCACTGCTCTCTTCAGAGAGATTTCTCTGTGATTTCTTCACTTCAGAGCTGTGAATCTTCACTTCAGAGCTGGCAGGCAGGAACGTTTAAGTCTGTTGAAGCTGCGCCCACAGTTGCCCCTTCCCCCAGGTTCTCTGTCCCAGGGAGATGGGAATTGTATCTATAAGCCGCTGACTGGGGCTGCTGCCTTTCTTTCAGAGATGCCCTGCCCAGAGAGGAGGAATCTAGAGAGGCAGTCTGGCTACAGTGGCGATGCCACGCCGCAGTGGGTTCCGCATCGTTTGAACTTCCCAGTGGCTTTATTTACATTATAAGGGGAAAACAACCTACTCAAGCCTCCTTAATGGCGGACGCCCCTCCCCACACCAAGCTCAGCATCGCAGGTCGACTTTAGAGTGCTGTGCTGGCAGCGATAATTTCAAGACAGTGAATCTTAGCTTGCTGGACTCCATGGGGGTGGGGTCCACTTAGCACAATCACTCGGCTCCCTGTCTTCAGCCCCCTTTCCATGGGAGTGAACGGTTCTATCTCTCTGGCATTCCAGGCACCACTGGGGTACGAAAAAAACTCCTGCAGCTAGCTCAGTGTCTGCCCAAATTGCCACCCATTTTTGTGCTTGAAACCCAGGGCCCTGGTGGTGTAGGCACCCGAGGGAATCTCCTGGTCGGTGGGTTGCGAAGACAATGGGAAAAGCATAGTATCTGGGCTGGATAGCACTGTCCCTCACGGCACAGTTCCTCACGACTTCCCTTGGCTAGGGAAGGGGGTTCCCTGACTCCTTGTGCTTCCCAGGTAAGGCGACGCCCCACCCTGCTTCTGCTTGCCCTCTGTGGGCTGTACCCACTGTCTAACCAGGCCCAATGAGATGAGGTGGGTACCTCAGTTGGAAATGCAGAAGTCACCCGTCTTCTTGGTCTCGCTGGGAGCTGCAGATCAGAGCTGTTCCTGTTTGGCCATCTTGCCAGCCCCACCCCTGGCCCCCAGCTATTTAGATTTAAACTCATTAAATGAAGCCAACCTAAAAATTGAATTCTGCAGTCACACTTGCCACATTTTAAGTGCTCAATGGCCACCTGGGACTAGTGACAATCGTATTGGACAGTGCAGGTACAGAAAATTTTCACCGATGCAGAATATTCTCTTAGACATGTTGGTCTAGTGGAGGTGGGGTGTGGAGAGTCCAGAAATAGTCATTAAGTGAACAAACAAATATGTAGCTGGGTGCAGTGGCTCATGCCTGTAATCCCAACATTTTGGAGGCCGAGGCAGGAAGATCCTTTGAGCCCAGGTCTTTGAGGCCAGCCTCAGCAATACAGTGAGACCACCACCATCTCTACAAAAAAATAAAAAAATTAGCTGGGCACCTGGTGTTTCAGGTCACACCTGGTGTTTCAGTATGATCTGTAGTCCCAGCTACTTGGGAGGCTGAAAGGGGAGGATCGCTTGAGCCCAGGAAGTCCAGGCTGCAGAAGTCTGTGATCATGTCATTTCACTCTAGCCTGGGTGACAGGGCATGACCCTCTCTCTAAAAAAAAAGAAAAAATTACCCACTCCCCACCAAAGTAGGTAAATAAGATAACTTCAAATGTGGTAGCCATATGAAAAAAAAGAAACAGGGAAATGTGCTGGAGTAGTCGTTTGGTTAGGGTGGTCTGGGTGGGCCTGTGTGAGAAGGCGACGCAGGAGCCAGGACCCGGGGAGGATCTGAATGAATAGCAAGTGCTGGGAGCACTGCAGAAATATAAGAAGGCCAAGCATGGCCCGGAGTAGGGAGCAAGAGGGAGAGAAGCAAGAGATGGGCTTAGGAGCGAGGCGGATGCCCAATCCCGTGGGCTCATGGGGAGGAGCGTGCATTCAACTCTTAAGTGCGAGGAGGACATCGCAGGCTGCCCACGGGAAATTATTATGATCTGATTCACACGTGAAAAGCTCACTCGGGTTCCAGGGTTGATCGCAAATAGGAGGGAGGCACGATCAGAGACAGAGGGACCAGCAGGGAGCTCTAAAGCTGTTCAGGTGGGAGAAATTGAGGCCTTGGGATCACGGAGAAAGGGCAGTAGCTAACCCTAGAGGGAGGCAGTATTCGTGTTGTAGCTCAATTCTGCATCCGAAAATACAGGGGGCAATGATAGCACCTGGTATGTGGTGCCACTGATAAGAGGATGCAGAGAGCTAGTGTCTATAAAGTCGCCAGTATTTTCAGTATGATGGTACGTGGCATCATCTTGTCTAACCCATCTTTGTCTCTCAAAATATTTTCTAGCTCCTTGTCTTGCCTGTTCTAGTCTGGTTTCCACACTGCCACTAGAGTCACCTTCCTCAAAGGCCAATCTGATGTCAGTTCCCTTCAGGGCTCCTGGGGGAACCCAGATGAAACTCCGAGCTTGTTAATACAGCCTAGGAAGCTTCTCACACTCCAGCCCATGTCTCTGTCCAGCATCACCTCTCCCACTCTCTGCCTGGCACTCTGCTCCAGCTATACCAATTGTCCCCTTGGCTCATGCAGTTCCCTTAGCTGGGAATACTTTCCCTCCCCTACTTGGGTGGGTTCTCTCCAGCTGTTTGTCTTTCTAAGCTCAGCTTAGAAATTTTCGCCTCCAAGAAACCGCTTCTGTGTTTCCAAGTCTAGGTCAAGTGCCCTTACATGAGATCCCATGGGACCCTGTGCTTCTCCATAATGTTGAATTACAATTGCCTGTTTACCAGTCTCTTCCATTAAACTGAGGTCTTCACAACAGTAGGAACTATCTCTGTCCAGTTCATGATTGTGCATATCTCAATGCCTAGACTATATCGAGTGCTTAAGATATATTTTGTTTAGGCCAAGTGTGGTGGCTTATGCCTATAATCCCAGCACTTTGGGAGACCAAGGCAGGTGGATCACAAGGTCAGGAGTTCGAGACCAGCCTCACCAAGATGGTGAAACCCCGTCTCTACTAAAAATACAAAAATTAGCCAGGCGCGGTCGTGGGTGCCTGTAATCCCAGCTACTCAGGAGGCTGAGGCAGGAGAATTGCTTGAACCTAGGAGGCAGAGGTTGCAGTGAGCCAAGATCATGCTACTGTGCTCCAGCCTGGACGACAGAGTGAGACTGTCTCAAAAAAAAAAAAAAAAAAAAAAAAAAGGAGCTATTTTGTTTAATGAGTGAGTAAATGAATTCGTAAAAATCATCTATTTATAGCATTTGGTAGACCACTCTCTTTTCCTATGCCCTTCTTTTGCACATTGTTATTATTATTTTTTTCAAACAACCATTATTTAGGCTTCCTAACCTGAATGTGTTAGCTTAGGGTGCCATAAAGAAATACCATATACTTGGGGGCTTAAAAATCAGACATGTATTTTCTCACAGTTCTGGAGGGTGGAAATCTGAGATTAGGGTGCCAGCATGGTCAGGTTCTGGAGCAGTCTCTTTTCCTGGCTTTCAGATGACCATCTTCTCAATGTGTCCTCATAGGGCAGAGAGAAAGAGAGAGAGTTCGCTTTGGTGTCTTCCTTCAAAGGGCACTAATCCCATCATAAGGGCCCCATCCTCATGACCTCATTTAACCCTAATTACCTCCCACAAAACCATTTCCAAATAGCATCACATCGAGAGTAAGAATTTCAACCCATGAATTTTAAGGGGACACAAGCATTCAATCCATTGCATACCCCATGCTTTAGAATTAAAAAAATATAAGGTGTAAATTATTTTGTGTTGGGCTTTCATAGGGGCAATATATAACACCTTTCTTTCCCATTTAGGTTCTGAACTAACTGAGGAATAGATAAAGAATGTAGACAGATGGAGATTTTAACAGATGCTTATGTGGCACTTACTGGGTGCCAGCTAACAACTTGCCCAAGGTCACACAGCTTATCAGTGGTGGAGCCAGGGTTTAAACTCAGCTCTAGAATCTATTCTTGTTATTCTGTTTCTTAAAGTGTAAGCTTTAAGCTAGATTGCAGGACATGGTAGGTATGTGTCCACCAGGCCAGTTAACTCTCCATCACCGACTTAGACTCTCCCAGGCAGTTGCAGAACCAGAGGTCTCCTCCACAGGGGCAGAATGCAGGCGGAGCTGAAAAGAGAAGATTAATGTGTGAACTTAGTCTCTCTCAAATTCACCAATCAGCTAAGTCACTTTTCCTCCCCTGGGGAGGAGTGGATGAGGGATGGGGAGTGGATGGCTGGAAATGTGCATCAGACTAAGGTCTCATCAAGGGAACAAGCATTCCCTCAAACCCAGTGGAAGCCATGCTGCAAATATCAGCTCTAGAAACTGTTCTTGTTACTCTGCTTCTCAAAGTGTAAGCTTTAAGCTAGATTGCAGGACATGGTTTAGGTGCATATCCACAGGGCCAGCTAACTCTCCATCAGGGACCTAGACTCTCCTAGGCAGTTGCAGAGCCAGAGGTCTCCTCTACAGTGGGAGATATTTAAAGCCTTTCCTGTCATCACTGGAAATGAGCAAACTTTGCTAGCAATGTAGTCAAGGGCTTGGGTGTTTGAAGTCTTTACTTCTGTTCTTCCAGAATTAGGATCTGGGGCTCAGCTGTGAATTGCTGTCACTGAAGCTGTCCAGTCCTTGGACACACACGCAGACATGTGGGCTGAGTAATGGGAATGTTCTTAGAAAGCCAGAGGACCTTGGCAGCATTGCCCAGCAGCTCCGTGACAGGTCCTGATGGCTGAGAGACTGATTTCCCATCCTTTCCTAAGGAAGCGGGGACTGGTGAACAGAGCATGTGTGAGGCCTGTGAGGTTCCTGTGTGCATTGCAGGGTCTCTCGGTAGAGCCTGGTACCTGGGTGGATGGGAGAACAAACACCAGATGCAGGGTCAGGTGACTTGATTTCTTGCCCAGCTCTCCCATTTGTTGTGAGCCATGGGATGCTGGGAAAGTCATTCAGCCTCCCTGTGCCTTCATTTGCTCAACTGTAAAATGGGAAAAATATAACCTATCTCAAAGGACTGTGTGAGGATCATGATACTAAATGAGAAGATGCTTTATAAGTATCAAGGCTGGATAATTTCAAGCTATTACTCCATCTTCCTTCTTTCCTGCATTGTTTTCGTTAGCAGACACACGTTGACTTTGCCCAACCTCCTCTTTCTGGAATAGCACCCTGATCCTCCTTTGGGAGCTCCTGGGGCTCACCTCTTGGGGCCATGTGGATTGTTCGGGACTGACTCCATCCCAAAGTGCCAGGGCAAGCCCACTCTACAGGCCTGGCCAAGCAGAACACCCCTGGCTCCAGCGATTGGTTCAGGGATAGCCAGGGGCCCCAGCAGGGGCCAGCTGACCATTCCAAAACTTTTGCTGGAACTCCTGGGAGAGACTTTGCCTTCCTTGCCAGGATTGCCAACCTGTGAGAATGTAAGCTTGGGGGTTTTGGGGGCCATCTTTGCCATCTTACAGGGAGAGCCTGCCACCATACAGAGGCAGAATGGAGAGCAGGAGGAAGACACAGTGTCCTGTGGGCATTGTTAGAGCCCGTGTTTCCAGTCATGCCTGACTTGTGTTCATTATGAGTGAGGTGGGCTAACATTTCATGTGTATTTCCCTTTCTGTGAGCTGCTGTTTATATCTATATCTTTAATTGACTTTTCTACTGGGTGGTTGGCATTATTCTCATAGATTTGTGGAAACTTTCTTTTCTTTTAGTAGTTATTCTTTGTTGAGGTCAAATTCACATAACATAAAATTTACCATTTTAAAGTGTACAATTCAGTGGCATTTAGCCCATTCACAATGTTGTACAACTGTCACCTCTGTCTAGTTCCAAAATCTACCTTTCTTTCTTCCTTTCTTTCTCTTTCTTTTTCCTTCCTTCCTTCCCCTTTCTTTCTTTTTCTTTTTCTTTCCCCTTTCTTTCTTTTCTCTTTCTTTCTTTCTTTCTTTTTCTTTCTCTCTCTCTTTCCCCTCCCTTCCTTCCTTCCTTTCTTTTCTTTCTCTCTCTCTTTCTCTCTCTCTCTTTCCTTCCCTCCCTCCCTCCCTTCGTTCCTCTCTCTCTCTCTCTTTTTCTTTCTTTCTTTTTTTCAGAGCCTTGCTCTGTTGCCCAGGCTGGAGTGCAGTGGTGCAATTGCAGTCACAGCTCACTGCACCCTCCACCTCTTGGGTGCAAGTGATTCTCCCACCTCAACCTCCCAAGTAGCTGGGACCACAAGCATGGACCACCACGCTTGGCTAATTTTTGTTTATTTTTTGTAGAGAAGAGGTCTCTCTATGATGCCTAGACTGGTCTCGAACTCCTGAGCTCAAGCGATCCTCCTGCCTTTGCCCCACAAAATACTGGGATTACAGGCATGAGCCACTGCTCCTGTCCCAAAACATTTTAATGATCACCAAAGAAACTTGGTACTTCCTATTAAGCAGCTACTGCCTGTCCTCGCTCTTTCTAGCCCCTGACAACCACTCTTCTGTGACCATAGAGATGGAATTTCCTATGGATATATCTATTCTGGATATTTCATATAAATGGACTCATATAATCTGTGTATTTCTTTGACTTAGCATAATATTTTTAAGGTTCCTCCATACTGTAGCATGTATTGGTACTTCATTTCTCTTTATGGCTGAGTAATATTCCATCATATGGATATGCCATTTTTTGTTTATCCATTCATTCAAACAACATTTGGGTTGTTTCTATCTTTTGGTTGTTGTGAATTGGGCTCCTACGAATATTCATGTATGAGTATTTGTTTGAATTGATATTAGAAAAATTATTCTTTGGCCTATGATAGGTGTTGCAACTATTGTTTCTGAGCTTGCCATTGGTCTTTGACTTTGCTTTTGTCAAGCAGAATTTTGTAAGTATTGTTCTGTGGTTGAATTTGTCAGCTTTTCCAGCTAATGGGTTTTGTGACACAGTTGGAAAGGTCATCCTTATAACTTGAGGTTATAAAACAACTGTACCATCAAAACCTCTGCTTATCCACGTATTTCCTTACCAATGAAACAGGTATTGAAAACAGCCCTACTTGCCATTCCGTCCCCTCCCAGGGTTATTGTGAGGACCACATACGACAAATGATATGAAAGAGCCTTACAAAATATAAAGCAATATATACACATTAGGCATGTTGTCATCATCACTATTAATTCTATTAAAATCTGCCATCAACTAGCTGAGTTCTGCTTGTTGCTTTCATTTTGCAGAGCAGGGCTTGAAGGGCAGAATTATTCACTGAGCTGCCCAAGGATGTATTTGCTGGTAGCAACGTGGAGAATGTTACAAAATTAGTCATCTCGGCGAGGGGGAGGTGTTCATATTCGACCAGAAAAATAAAAGTACTTTCAACCAAAAACTATTCTGGCCACTTTTCCTTCAGATGAAGCCTTTTTTCTTTCTACCAGGAAAAGAAACCGGTTCAGTGAGTTTTGCATTGTTTAGCTGTTATTGTAATTTATGCCTCACTAGTGGTCACTTGTGACATGTTTTCCTTATATTTTTAACCCCAAATTCTTTTTTTAAATGGAAAACTTTACGTTGAACTCCGTATTGAAACAATGTAATTATAGGGAATGAAAAAATGGGTTATTACTTGATAGCAATTATTCCTATGCTGATTCCTCCGGGATAGAATCGTGCACTGTTTAAGTCCTTGGGCTCCGCTATGAGCCATACCTGGGCTTCAGTGCAATTAAGTTACTAGCTAGCTTTGTGATCTTGGGTAACTTGCTTCACTGCTCTTGGCCTCCGTTTACCCAACTTCAAAACAAGGATGATTTACATCACTGGACTCATGGGGCTGTAGCAAAAAATCAGTGATAAAATCTACATAGAGTGCTTGGCCCTGTGCTTGTGTGCAGGGAGAACTTGGTAAATACTAGCTATCAGTATAATTTAGGAAAATCTAAAAGAATTCAGGAGATGAGCCCCAAGGAAATGGAATAAACACTTCCAGGGGCTTTTCTGGTCCTTAGTGGGTGGCATAGATCAAATCACATGGTAGAGGCCCTCCCCTCACACCTACCACATTTATTTGGAGACAAATCTGGTTTCTGTTACTACCATGTGAAGGGTAAACATTGGGAATAGCAGTTGGTTCTCAGACAGCAAGGAAAAAGTGGGCTCACAGAGGAGGAGTCACAGGAGGGCAGCGGGAGGGCTGGGGTGGGCTGTGGGGAGGACTGGAAGGGTGAGGACCTGGTGCTGGGGGCCTGCCCAGGTCACACCCACATCTTCTTGGGGATAGAAGATTCCAGATGATGTGGGTTTATTGTGTGTGGTGATGGATTTTTCAGGGGACACAGACCTTTTCCTCTTTTTTTTCCTCTCTTCCTTTTCCCAATCTGGGTATCTGTGGAGACCAAGCTCTAGTCCTAGGTCTGGCTTGGCTGGGCCCTGTATTAGTCCATTTTGCATTGCTGTAAAGGAATACCTGGGGCTGGGTAATTAAAGAAAAAAGTTTTATTTGGTTGGGTGTGGTGGCTCACTCTGCAATCCCAGTACTTCGGGAGGCTGAGGTGGGAGAATTGCTTGAGACCAGCCTGCCCAACATGGTGAGACCCCCATCTTGAGAAAAAAAAAAGTTTTATTTGGCTCATGGTTCTGCAGGCTATACCAGCATAACACCAGCATCTGCTTGGCTTCTGATGAGGCCTCAGGAAGCTTCCAATCATGGTGGAAGGTGCAGGCATATCACATGGTGAGTGAGGAAGCAAGGAAGAGGAGCGAGGTCCCAGACTCTTCATCAACCAGATCTCTTGTGAACCCATTACCGTGGGGTGGACACCAAGCCATTCCTGAGGGATCCATCCCCATGATCCAAACACTGCCCACCAGATCCCACCTCCAACGTTGAAGAACACATTTCCACAGCTCTAAAAAAGAAATTATGTCTGTGAGACTTCTGCTCTATGCCAGGCACTTTAAATCCATGATCGTGTTGGATCCTGTGCCATGGGTGGATCACTACCCTATGACAGATGAGGAAACCAAGACTCAGAGAAGGTGTATTCCTCCATGAGCCCCACACACAGCTGGTGCACAGCAGAGCCAGAAGGTAAACCACCATCTGACTTACTCCAAAACCCAGCCTCTGCCAGGTGTCAGCTCAGAGCGCTATACCATCTTTGGCCTTGGTTTTGTATGGCTTTTTGTGACATTTTTGTGACATTTCCATGGCTCAGCACCCTACACATAGGTCTCCTAGAACTATTTGTGGATTTAAAATTTTAATAATGGTGAAAATAGCTGACATTTACTGAGTTCCTGCCACCAGTGGGCACACAAGCAGGTTGAGCCACTTGCTCAAGTTCTCATGAGCTCAAGGCTCGTGGCAGAGCCAGGAGAGGATCCAGTCTGTCGTACTCCAAGGTGTATGGTTTTAACTTTCATTTTTCTTGAAGAATCTAGACTTGCAGCAGGGATGTTAATCTCTGTGCCCATCTTTCTCAGGTAACGTGGGGCTTTTGTGGGTTTGAACTAGTTAGAAGAGGACAGCAAAGGGCCTGAACATGTCCAGGGGAGGCGTGAGGCAGTGGGGTGATGGCAAGGGCTGCGGGCCAGTGGCATCTATTTCTGAACTGGTGACCTCCTGCCTCCGGGTACAAGGCTATAATAAGCCCCATGATTCACCAGTTGGACTTCTCCCTGTCGTTGCTCCAAGCAGGTCTTGTGCTTTGCCACCTGTGGGCCCCAGCTCATGCTGTGTGCTCCAGGAGAACATCCTGCCCCGCCTCACTCCCTTTGCCATACTTGCCTGGGGACGCCCACTGCAGCTGCCATGTCCTCTAGGAAGCCTTGATGGACTAGCATGGATAACCTATTCATTTCTGAGTCCAAACAGAATCATTTATTATAGACTCAGAAAAAGGCAAATGGAAGACTATACCTATTTTGAGAAATTTGGGAACATTTATCTCAGGGGACAGTCAGGGGCCAATACACATTAGTGACAATCTTAGCATATGAAATTCCAGTGATCAGCGACTCTTTAGTGCTTGACTCAGTTTTTACAGAATGAATCTTATTCTACCTTAATTCCACATGAAATGGGTTTGGTCTCCCTTGTAGAATGCAGGAGACTTTGAGCCTGGGTTGGAAGGCTGGTGACCTTGGGTAAGTCACTTCCCATATCTGAGCCTCTGCTCCTTTGTCTGTGAAAGAGTGGTGCTTATACCTATGTTGTTAGGTTGTTGGGGGATATAAAAGGGTAATAACAGTTGCTACTGTTTATTGAGTGCTTGCTATGCACCAGAGACTGTGCTAAGCTTAGCTTTGCATTTTTCTTTGATCTTTTCAAGAGCTCCTCTCATTCCCGATGTTCCTTACCCTGCAATATTTTTTCCCATAGCACTTTACATTTTGTATGATATTATATAATATACTTACTGTGCTTATTTTTGGTCTTCCTCTCCCAGGGCCTCTTGCCTCGTACAACTCCAGGGGGCACCATTCACAATGCTTTCTACTCCAGGGGTGCTTTTTACTAAGAATATTAGCATGAATGGTGGAAACTGCTGGAGTTGTGTGATGTGGAGCCCCGGGAGCTTCAGAAGGTCAGGGATTTTTGTGTGTGCCAGTTCTGATCATTGCTGTATCCCTGTACCCAGAACGGTGCTAGACCTATAGTAAGCATTCAGTAAATATCTGTTGAAAGAATGAATAACATAGCCTC
Source organism: Homo sapiens (assembly GCF_000001405.40). NCBI lineage: Eukaryota > Metazoa > Chordata > Mammalia > Primates > Hominidae > Homo > Homo sapiens. Next base: position 9,250,208 of record NC_000003.12, on the reverse strand, counting down.
CAAAGAGAGCTGATTTTACTATCTAGGAAACTGAGGCTCAGTCTGACTTATGAATTTGCCCAGAGCCCCACAAGCCAATGACCCACCCAGCTGTTCTGCCTCCAGTGTGCCTGCTCTGCGTGGCTTTGCTAAGCTGCATGCCTTTAACTCCTCGCATCGTCTCTGCCACCAAGTAACTGCTCAACAAATATTGATGCTTTTCCCTACATGGGTCAGGCCCTCTGCTAGACTATCCCAGTAGAGTGACAAACCATCATATAGCTGTTGATTCCAGAAACTGAATTAAATTGCACAGTGCAAAAAAAGGGAGGATCTTAAGTTTTTGGAAGAAAAATCCCTAACCCAAGTGCTAATGTTTGGAGTTTGCAGAAGCCTCTCAAGACTTACCAACCCGATTACTTTTCCTGCTGCCTTCCCTTTTGTGAGCGTTTCTTCCCCTTTTTGCTTGCAGTGAGTTCTGCTCTCCTGTAGGCTACAATGTGTCAGTTGTTATAAAATCCGGGAGGCGGAGTCTAGTGACGTGAGCAGTGGGGGAGAGCTCAGCCAGCCCTGCAGGGCGAGCAGTCCAGCCTTGTGTTCACCGGAGCTTAAGCGTTGCAGCAGGAAAACTTCCATCTCGCTCTCCTGGCTTTGATCCTCACTGGACATCAGACCAGAGGCACCGAAGGGAGGGAGGATGCGAGATGACCGGCCCTTTGGCAACCTGACCATCGACTTAGCAGAGCCTTCAAAAGCAAGCCAGGGGCTGGCTGCACGACCAAAGAGGCGCCGCGCCTCTCGTGGATGTGTGTGTGTGAGTGATCCAGCGAGTGTGTGTGCGTGTGAGGGTGTGTGTGTGTATGCCTGTGTGCACAGCACAACTGTGTGCGTGTCCCGGTGAGTGTGCCTGTGCATGCGTGAGTGTGTGTACGTGTGCATGTGTGTGTGAGTGCGCTTGGTTATTACTATTATTATTATTTTTGGAAGAAAAATCTTTGAAAATCTGGGGCAGGTTACTGTGCTCCTAGGGTGATTCTTCTTTTGCAAGAGGAGCTGACCAGGGCAAGCTACTAGAGCCATTTCTCGGCAAGTAAAGAGATTTTTCCTTCCAGAAGGAGAAGGATTTTTCTCCCTGCTCTGCAGCCAAGTGAAAGAGATTAGTCCCTAAACCTGTGAAATCGACCAGAGCTGTGTGATTACCAGGGCTTGAGAGAGGACTCGAAAAGAAAAGGAGAAATAAATCAAACAGCCTGTCAGTTCCTTTGGCCACGTCAGAAGATGTCATCTCAAACTAAGTTCAAGAAAGACAAAGAGATCATTGCTGAATATGAAGCCCAAATAAAAGGTGAGATGCGGGCTGGGAGAGTTTTCCTTCTCCTCCCCTTTCGTTTTTCTCTTGTTCTGGTTCCCATCCCCCGCTGCCCCCCGTTTTCCTCTCTGCCATTATGAAATGTTATGCATCAATAATCTTTTTGTGAGGAGTAACAGTGGCAGCCGCACAAGTCCGGACTGGTTTCAACTGCAGATAGCGCTGGGGCTGGGAGTGTGGATTATGGAATGGGCAGCAGTCTCTGCATTGCAGGTGTGTGAGGAGGATCCTATGCCTGACTTTAGGAGTGTCGCTGATACCCCATCATCTTGGCGGTGACATGTCACTCTAAGGCCATTTTGATAGTCACTACCTCCACCCCTTCCCTGCCATGGTAAAAGCCCTTTAATATTGGGGTATTTTTTTACCATCTGCTCTTTTTTTCCTCCCCCTTTTTGGTTTCTGTTGGTGGTGGTGGTTTTGCCTCCGCCTCTTTCTCTGGGCCGGAATTCACATGCATGTGCACAGCGAGGCAGCATCCCTGGGCGGCACTTCTTTGTCGGTGTCTCTGGGCTGGCCTGGGTTGCCATGGATTAACTGTTATGGGGCATATTGATCCAGACTAATGCAGGCATTTGGGCATAAAAAGGGAGCTTGGTGCAGAAAATGTATTATCTCGCAGTGTGCAGCCCAATCACTCTGTGCCCTGGCGTTTAGGTTCATCAGCTTTCATTCAAAGCCAACACCTCGGCATGCCGTTTGGGCTGGTCAGCGCTGCCTGGCTTCCGGGGTTCCAGGAGAAGCCTGCCGGGAGGGCGAGATGACCTCTGGCTGCTGGTTGCACCTTCTGTGCCACCGGGTGTATACTTCTTTCAGAAGCCGCTCCCTAAATCCACGCTAGCCAGGCGAAATAGGAAAGGGAACACAATTGCATGGCTAAATGCGGGCTTGCCGCATCCTCATTCAGGCCAGACTGGGGCTTCTCCCACCCCTACACGTTCTAGGCTCAGCTTTGGCAAGGAAAATCTAAAAGCTCCATCCAGCAGGCTCCTCCTTTCTCTGAGGATGTGCCCTGTGGGAAGCCTGGGCTCGTGCCTCTTGGCGTCCGCTTTCTTTCTGGTCATGGTTCTCCTTGCTGCGACACAGGGTGTGTTGTGGCCTCTCCTAGAAAGAGTAAAGACAAAATGCATCTTCAGCGGACCTTGAGGCCTATCTTTGAGGTTATGCACAGGCTGTTGAGCAAGTTGGGTATTTGGGGCTCAAGCAACCTGAGGTTGCCACACCTGCTTCTGGGCGCTGCTGCAACTGAAGACCCAATGACCCAGGGAGCTGGGTGGCCTCCTTAAAAGCAGCGGGAAGGCTGGGCACCGCAGCTGCCATACACGCTTCAGATGCTTGGGAAACTTTGGGAGTGGAGCAGCCACGGGGGGAGGGATCTGTTTTTTTTCCAGTCTCACCAACAGTCTTTTTGCCTTTTAGTCCTGGTCAAAAGCCCAGCGTGCTCATCACCTCTGGGCATATCCTAGGGCAAGAGGAGCAGAAAACCCTGCTCTTCCCTGGTCTCCTGTCTTTGGTTTTTCAGTTCAATGTGGAAAACAGTGACTTACGATGTCTCAGCCTTGCTGAAAATTTAGAAATAAGCGCTTTATTGGTCAGAGATTTTAATTCACCCAACTGCTCAATACAAAAGCCTAGTTTCAATCTTTGAATAGACTCTTTTTAGGGAGTTTATGTTTTATAAAATGAATTTGGCCAATTATTATTATTTTATAAAAATTAAGGTTGCCATGAAAATGCCTTGAGAGAGAAGGGGATGTTGAGTTTTGGACAGTTCAGGTTTTATGATATTTTCTTGGTAGGAAATGTGCTTATCTCATTTTGGAAGGATTGCTACTACTGGGCCAGTGAACTTTTCTTCAGGGCCAGTTAGGCATTAATTGCCCTGGCTGATCCTTTTGCTTTTTACCTTTCATCTTTTATTTTAACAACTAAGCAGCGAGTACCCTGAGTTTTATCAGAAATACACCAATTACCAGGCATTCATCAGGAAATGTGTCCAAATGATCTTGTCTCTTCCAAATACTAAATTTCCTTGCATTCTGGCTAAAGGAGTTACATCTTATTCCTTTAGAATTGACACCCACAAGGTCAGGTCAGGATATGGCTGTCCCTGAAACCCTCTGGAATCTTTTCTTTTAAAATTCTGTGTGTTAATCACCATCATAATTATTGATGTGTGTCTAGGGCCCTGCATTTTCTATGGCTAACTCCCAGACATCACTTACTCTTGGCCCACACAATGTACAGTAGGGTTAGTGTGAACTCAGTTTCAGAGACAAGGAAACTGAGGCCCAGTTAATGTTAAATGACTTGCCCAAGGTCACAAGGCCGATTTTCTCCCAGGCTTGTGTTCCCTGACACATTGTTTGCCCGAAGCTGCCCCTTGAAGGATTGATGTCAGCAGCAGATGGCAGTTTTGTGGGGGGACTGGCAGCCTCTTGATGGAGTTCCATTGTTTACCCTCTTACTTTCATCCCGTTGCCTTTGTTGCATGCCTCTGAAGAACATTTGACCAGTCACCAAAAACAGTGCCCGAGGCCAATTACCTTTCTCCCTGGGAATCATCTGGCCAGTGGGATGCAAAAAGTCCACCTAGTCAGACAGATTTTGTGCTTTGTGAATTTTGTGAAGGGAACTTTTGATTTTTAAAAACAGTGCTGAGTTCTTTGTTGACTTGTTCCCTTTTATGTCTTTTTCAAGAATTTATAGACCTAACACAAAGGAATGTTTTAGAACAGTATTTTTTCTATTGTAAAATAGAAGGATTCATGCCTTCTCTTGCCTCATCAGATACTTGAAGCCTTTTGATTATGAAGCAGTAGTAAACCATATGCTTGCACATTTCTAGTGATGGGGAACTCACTACCTCCCAAGCCCACGTAGTCTATCATCTTTGGACAGCTCTGGCTCTTGTAAGCATTTTTTCTTTTTTCTTTTGTGACAGAGTCTCTCTGTGTCGTCCAGGCTGGAATGTAGTGATGTCATCTTGACTCACTGCAATCTCCGCCTCTTGGGTTCAAGAGATTCTCCTCCCTCAGCCTCCCGAGTAGCTGGCATTACAGGCACGTGCCACCACATGTGGCCAATTTTTGTATTTTTAGTAGAGACGGGGTTTCACCATGTTGGCCAGGCTGATCTCAAACTCCTAGCTTCAAGTGATCCACCCGCCTTGGCCTCCCAAAGTGCTACGATCATAGGTGTGAGCCACCGTGCCTGACCCTTGTAAGCATTTTTTCTTATGTTGCATTGAATATGTCTCTCATCTACTTATTGGTTCTATAGTTCCTTTCCCTTTGGACTTCACAAAATAAGACAGATGTGTCTTCCCTTGGACTGCCCACTGGGTGTGTGGAGCCTGGGAATATAACCCCTGACAATGATTATCCTCATATAATAGGATGGTTCGCTACCACTTACCATCTCCACTCTCCTCTGTCTCTACTGCATCCTGGGTTGCAAACCTCAGTGTCATTGGGTGCTTGGCAGATAGAATAAATGGATAAAGTTGGCCACGTGAAACAATTTGTGGCAGCTGGCCTACCACCTCAGTGCAGGCAGTAGAAGGGTGGTGGTGGTGATTGTGACGGACTTCAGAGTACATGTTCTGTCTAAATGGGCAGTCACTACTTAGGTTCAACCAATTATTGCTGTTTAGGAATGTAGGCCCAGACAGATTTTTCAATTTTTCAACAGATGCCAGAAATCTGGATGAGAGCTTTATGTTTTTAAAGAGATTTTGCCAAAAGGACCTCCAAAAGATTATATTATCAGTATCCTATTTCAAGAGTGGCACTGAGTTCTAAATGTGGTTCTCTAGATGTGGCCAAAGACAGAAAACAACTATCACCTCCTTTCTGCTGTCTGCAATACTACTATTAACATAGCCCAAGGATTGAATTAGCCTTTGGTGCTGCTCACCCCCTCAGTGCACCATGTATATTAAGTCTGCTGTGTTTCTCCAATACACTAGCCTAGGAGCCTTGTCAGAGAGAAGAAAATGAAATGCATTTAACATGACTTGTTCTTGGTGACCCCATGCTGGTGCCAAATGGACATTACTTCCTGTCCTAGGTGCTCATAAGTGTCCTTAACAAATCTGTTTAAGAACCTTGCCGGGAGTGATATCATATTATCTAGTCTGGAACTGGCAAACCATAACATTTTTCCCCTTTTGAAAATCAGAACATTTGCCAGGCTCCAGCTTTTTGGCACCTATCCTATTCTCTACAATTCCCTCAAAGATCACTGATGATATTTGGTGATCTTATCTGCAGGCTTTCTCAGTATCCTGGGGCTCTAATTCATCTTGCTGCCAGACATGATGGTTAGTTCTGCATCTATTCAGAGTTCCTATTTCCATTGCAACCTGATAGAAAATTGAAATAGAAATGCAATGATTGACTTTGGTGCTTTTTTTTTTGTTACATATTCATCCATCTTCTTAGTAGCAAAAGTCTAGAGGTTTGAGGAAGAAGGGCAGGTATGGAGGATGACCACAGAGGGGCATGTATTTATTCATTCATTTCTGCACTAATTCAACAAAAGTTGATTATCTACATTGTACCTAGTCTTGTGCTGAGTGTTGTGAGAGACACAAAGTATATGATACATTCTTTGCTTTCTAAGAGTTTTCTTGGAATATGGTGATAAAAATGAGAGAAAGAAATAAAAAAATCCCAAACACAAAAACTTCGAGAGCCAGAACGAACTGAATCTTAGAGCGTATATCATGCAGTGATTAGAAGATCACCTTAGGAATGCTCGCTGGTTTCAACAGGATAAAATGAAGAAAGCAGGCTGGGCTGGGCAAACAGAGGGGAGTAGTGGGGGCTGTGGCCAAGTGGGGAGTTCCTCTAGAGAAGGCAGATGCTGCTCCAGCCTGCTCTTCCTAGGCAGGAATGTGAGCCCAGAAAGGTCAGTTCCTTCAGTGTTTCAAGGGAATCTGGATTTTTAAGCAAAATCTCTTGATTTTTAAATGGTGGCTTAAAAATTTAAAAACACTATGCTTCCTGAACAAACATGTCGGTAGAACAGTTTTAGCCTGTTGGGCCACCAGTTTGCAAAATCTGGTCTACAAGTTGAAGTCCGCACGAAGCCTTGGTGAGGGGCCTCAGCCAATTTTCCTATTTCATCTTCAGTCATTTTCTCTGTGATAGGCTTGTGCTCTTATAAACGCAAAAAACCAGTCCCTTTTCTCTCTCTCTCTCTCTCTTTTTTTTTTTTTTTAAGACAGAGTCTCTCTCTGTCACCCAGGCTGGAGTGCAGTGGCACAATCTTGGCTCACTATAACCTCTGCCTCCCGAGTTCAAGCAATTCTTGTGCCTCAGCCTCCCAAGTAGCTGAGATTACAGGCATGCGCCACTATGCCTGGCTAATTTTTGTATTTTCAGTAGAGACGGGGTTTCACCATGTTGGCCAGACTGGTCTTGAACTCCTGACCTCAAGTGATCCGCCTGCCTCGGCCTCCCAAAATGCTGGGATTACAGACGTGAGCCACCATGCCTGGCGACCAATCCCTTTTCTCTAAATCCTCCATACCCTTCCCCTCCTCCAGGTCTTTCCCATTTGTGCCTTTACTCTCCTTACCCCCTGCCTCCCACTCCTATTTGCCTCAAATACTTCTGATCGCCCTTCAATGTCTACTCAAATGATGCCTTCTTCCACGATGCCTTCCAAACTCTTCTAGGCAGAATTAGTGGTCCCCTCATATCTCCCCCTCTGTTCCAAACCTTATAATCCTTAATTGAAATTTTATGTTTAGGTCTTTGGCCACGAACTCTTGAGGGCAGAGAGGCTTATGGTCATCTTTGTTTCTCCAAAGTGCTTGGCATGTGATTGGTTGAAGGAGTGGCTGATAAGTTACTAAAATAAGTTTAGGCTGGGCTCAGTGGTTCATGTCTGTAGTCCCAGCACTTTGGGAGGCCAAGATGGGTGGATCACTTGAGCCCAGGAGTTTGAGACTAGCCTGGGCAACATGGCAAAATCCTGTCTCTACAAAAAATACAAAAATTAGCCAGGTGTGGTGATACATGCCTGTAATCCCAGCTACTCAGGAAGTTGAGGTGGGAGGATTGCTTGAGCCCAGGAGTTCAAGGCTGCAGTCAGCCATGATCATACCACTGTACTCCGGCTTGGGTGACAGAATGAGGCTGTCTCAAAAAAAGAAAAAGTTTTAATCTTATAACTCATAGCTCAGTGTTTTTGTTTTGTTTTGTTTTGTTTTGTTTAGATGGAGTCTTGCTCTGTCTTCCAGCCTGGAGTGCAGTGGCACGATCTTGGCTCACTGCAACCTCCACCTTCTGGGTTCAAGCAATTCTCCCGCCTCAGCCTACCGAGTAGCTGGGACTACAGGCACTCGCCACCATGCCCAGCTAATTTTTGTATTTTCGGTAGAGATGGAGTTTCACCATGTTGCCCAGGCTGGTCTCAAACTCCTAACCTCAGGTGATCCACCCGCCTCGGCCTCCCAAAATGCTGGGATTTCAGGCGTGAGCCGCTGTGCGGCTTCAGCTTTTTTCTTTGATATCCTTCTTAGTTGGCTTGGGCTGCTATAACAAAACACCATAGCCCGGATGGCTTTTATTTACTTCTCAGAATTCTGGAGGCTGGGAAGTCCAAGATCAAGGTGTTGGCAAGTTCAGTTCCTGGTGACGGCCTGCTTCCTGGCTTGTAGACAGCTGCCTTTAGCCATGTGCTCATCTGGCCTTTCCTTAGTGTATGCTTATGGAGAGAGAGAAATCTCTCCCTTTCGCTCCTTCCTCTTTTTTTTTTTTTTTTTTTTTTGAATTAGGGTGTCATTCTGTCAGCCAGGCTGGAGTGCAGTGGTGTGATCTCAGCTCACTGTAACCTCCACCCCCTGGGCTCAAGTGATCCTCCCACCTCAGCCTCCCGAGTAGCTGGGACTATAGGCGCACACCACCATGCCTGGCTCTTTTTTTGTATTTTTGGTAGGGATGGGGTCTCACCATGTTACCCAGGCTTGTCTTGAACTCCTGAGCTCAAGCAATCCACCCGTCTTGGCCTCCCAAAGAGCATTATTACAGGAGTGAGCCACTTTGCCTGGTTGGCTTTCTTCCTCTTCTTATAAGGGCACTAATACCATCAGGAGGGACCCATCTTCATGATCTTATCTAACCTTAATCACCTCCCCAAGGCTCCACCTGCAAATACCATCACACTGGGGGTTAGGGCTTCAACATATGCATTTTTGGGGGACATAAACATTCAACTCATAATAACATCCACGCTTCCTATTCTATTGAAAGTAGAGGTTTCACTGGGAGAGGAAATATTCTTAATGGTTTGCTCGATTTCCTTGCATTTCCTTGGTAGATGAGATGTTTCTTAGTGGAGATTTGGTGAAGGCTGTTATGTTGACAGCCGTCTCAGTGGGGTGTGGTCTAGGGAGCACTTCCTTCCAGGCCCCTCCCAGTCTGGGGAAATTAATGGATCTGAGAGTTCATATTAGCCATTTCTGGAGTTTTTACTACTAGAGTTTATATGTTGGAGATGACATTTCCTTTCCAGAAACTCCTATTATTCATTCATTCAGTGACTTTGTAAGCCATGCTTCAGGCTGTATAGCTTTATTTAGCAGTGGGAGGTAATTCATTTTTTTTTTAGCTTCTATGTCTCAGTCATATATGGAGTATCTAATTTTGTGATCCCTGTAACTCTGTGAGGTAGTCATTATTATTTTCATTTTATAGATTAAAGTCTGAAGTTCAGAGAAATAAAACAAATTGCACTGGATTGCACAGTGAACAGTGGCAGAGCTAGGTTTAATTCAGCATCTTCCTCACTTTCCGGGGTGCACGAAAGCAACATGCATGCCAAGGCAACAAGGGGTTCCTTCAGTGGGGGAAGTGTGGGGTGGGTCTTAACCTTTGACTTCCTTCCCTTCCTGACACTTCCACACTCCTGCTAATCCAGCCTCTCCTAGTTTGCACTTGATGCCACCGCGGTGTGTCAGATCCCTTCAATCCCACCCCAGGAAGTCACCTTTGGGAAAGTGTCCACTGCAAAACTGCCCGCACGGCTGTGATGCAGGCTGCCAGAGCTACCTCTCACCAGCCAGCCCAGTCCACCACCAACCTGGAAATACGGAACCAGAAATTTTAGGTGTCTTCTAGTCCAACTCTATTTGTTTTTCAGATGTGGAAATTGATGATTGGAGAGGGGCTGTGGCTTTCAGATTACTTTTAGACTGTCTCTCCATGACGGTGGAAGGTTTATCTGCTTGGTTCATTGCTGTAGCGTAGTGCCCACCATCTAGTTGGTGATCAATACATATTACTGAGTTGAATTGTTCTGGTGTGTGATGGTTGCCTGGGGAGGCAGAGCTGAGTAGTACCTTGGAAAGAAAGATGAGGCAAGGGTGTCTAGCCGGGTAAGGATTGGTGAGGTCAGGAGGGGGTGAGTTTGGGCTGCCTCCTGAAATTGAGTCCTTTCCTTCACAGCTATTAGGAAGGGACGGGGTTGACTTTTTAAAGGTGCTGAGCTTGAGAACTTCTGGCTTAATACAGGGCCCAGGAAGCTGTCTTGGGCTTGATTTCACTTGGAAAATATTCATTCCTGATGGCTTGTTGGTGTTCATAAAACATCTTGGCTGGCAAATAATGGCACTTTAACTCTATTCCCTCAGTTTGTTGAATCATTATGCTAGTTTATGTTTGGGATAATGTTCCCTAAGAGTATTCCTTTAAATTGGTTGTAAAGAGGTGTTGGGTGAAAAAAAAGTAGTTGTGTGCTCTAATAGATTTTGGAAGTTCTAGAATAAACAGTGTGAAATAGGCCTGCTTCCCCCAGGACTTCTGGGAATCTTGCTTGTGTTAAGTGTGAATCGCTCAGTAGGGCCCATGGAGTTTCCTCAAACTTACTTGATTGTGTAGATATTTTTCATGGACTGGGTCACAAGACTCTGTTTTCTGAGTTACATTTTAGAATATGTCAGGCTGCACAATTCATGGATCATCTGGGTGCTTTTTCTTTTTGCCTCTGGCTCAGTTCCCTAATGTTTTATACTTGTCTCAGAGAGCAGTTTGAAGAGGGAAAGAAGTAAAACAAATGCACATCTAGTTGAGCTGAGTGATATCAATGTAGTGCTTTGAGTTCACCTAGGAAATGTGGATTTTGACATTTCCAATTACAGAGTGCTCAACCATTGATTTAAATGGTAATTTGGAAACAGTGCAGCCCTAATCAATATGCATTGCGTGTGCCCATCTGTGCGTGATGGTAATGGGGTGCACACTGCTGCAGCAGAGTGTTCCAGGTTCCTTGAATGGACCTGGCTCTTCCCCCTGGGATTGCATAGCCAGTGCTAGGTGATAATGGCACAGATGAACACAGAGAAGCCCATGTTCCCTTGTGCCTCAGAGTGAACAAATCTCAGCTACAAACCCAGGTGCACAAGAAATATATTTTTCTTTCTTTCTTGGTGACTCAGTCTCCATTTCACATCTCTATCTTTTGTTTTTTTGAGACAGAGTCTTGCTCTGTTGCCCAGACTGGAATGCAGTGGTGCAACCTTGGCTCACTGCAACCTATGCCTGTTGGATTTAAGTGATTCTTCTGCCTCAGCCTCCCAAGTAGCTGGGATTACAGGTGCCAGCCACTACGTCCAGCTAATTTTTGTATTTTTAGTAGAGACAGGGTATCACCATGTTGGCCAGGCTGGTTTAGAACTCCTGACCTCAAGTGATCCTCCCACCTTGGCCTCCCAAAATGCTGGGATTATAGGTGTGAGCCACTGCGGCCGGCCTCACATCTTTATTCTGCTGGGGGTGACAGAAATAAGTATAAGTCAATTTGGGGTTTCCCTCCAGGGTTGTGCTCCAAGATCCAGGGGGACTTAGGCAGCACCAAGGCCCTTGTGAGGACATCTGTTGTGGTTTATCATCAATCTACTTTGGCAGCTACTGGGACATCCTCTTTCTTATTGAGTCTTTGGTGGTTGGTCTGTGTCAGCAATCCTTCTTTGTTCCTCATGTGTCCCCCTCTCCTTGGTTCCTTCCATGCAATTTGCTGGCACCAGAGGCGATTCTGCTGCTCACACACCACACTGGGCCATGAGGGACCCTGGATATTTGCCTCAGGCCTGTCTTGGCCACACTCAACACTTGCTTCTCCCCTGGTGCCTCCCTAGGGCTCTGCCTGGGGAAGGGATCCGGCTTCTCTCCACTCTTAGATTCTGTGAATCTGTTTGGTGGTTGCCTCATCATCTCCCTCCCCGGGCTTGTTCGGGATGAGTTGGGCAGGGTGCAGATTTTTTTCTTATAGATCCCTGTACCTACATATACTTTGCTTTACTGATTTACTCTCCACTTTGGTCTAGGAAATCTTTACCCATATGCTCGTGTGGTGGGGCGGGGAACAAGGGTGGTATCCTGGCTTTGTCATCAGACATTCTGTCAAAGCTGTTTTCCATAAATCTCACGTTCTTTCTCTCCTCCCTAAGGACTTTTGAAAAAATGCCAAGAATTGACTCTTTTTCTGCATTATCCCTGAGGCAATGAACACAGAATGCCCTCCCTGACTGAGGAGGGACCAAGGGGGTCAAGAAAATTTGGAGAAAAGCATTCAATATTTCAAAGTATTAACTACAGTGAATTTCCTTCCTTCTCCATCTCCTCCATCCTGGCCTAGCCTGCCATTACCTCTTGCTGGGACCAGTGCAACCCAAAGTTTCTCAGGGTCTCCTGACTCAGAGCTTCTCACCCACAGTTGGCATTTTGGGCTGGATCATTTGTGGTTGAAGGTGCTGTTCTGTATAACATAGGATGTTTAGCAGCATTCCTGACCTGTACCCACTAGATGCCAGTAGCATCCCTGCTCCCAGTTGTGACAATCAAAAATGTCTCCAGACATAGCCAAATGTCCCCTGGGGACAAAATCACTCCTAGTTGAGAACCACAGTTCTAAGCGGTCTCCCTGCTTCTTTTCTTGTCCCATAGTCTACTCTCCCCACAGCAGCCAGCAGTAATCTGTACACCATTTAAATCTGGCCATGTCACTTCCCTGTTTAAAACCCTTCAGTAGCATCTCATTGCATGAGACTAGAATCCAAGCCCCTCAACTGCACTTAGAAAGCCACGCTGTGCTCACCTCTTTCCCTCCCCTGGTCACTCTCCCCTTGTCATTCTATCCAGTCATGCTGGCCTGTACTGGTTTCTGGACTTCTCCAAGCTTGTACTTGCTTTGGGCCTTTGCACTTAGATTTTCCATCTTTCTGGAATGCTCTTGCCCTGGATTGCCACTTGATTGGCTCCTTCTTGGTATTCTGCTTTGAGGTTGCATGCCACCTGCAGACTAACCCATCTTAAGTAGCCGAACAGCAACTCTCTATTGGATCAGCTGACCTGAATTCTTAGCAGAGCACTAAAAGCTATATGATATTTTTCACGCTTTCTTTGTTTCTTCTCTTCACCAGGACTGAAACTCAATAAGAGCTTTGATTTCTCTTGTTCATTAGTGTTTTTTGGCACCTAGAACACAGTGTAGGATGTTTAGCAGCATTCCTGACCTGTACTCACTAGATGCCAGTAGCATCCCCGCTCCCAGTTGTGACAATCAAAAATGTCTCCAGACATAGCCAAATGTCCCCTGGGGGCAATGGGTGTTCTAGGTGCCAATGGTCACAATTTTTGTTGAACGAATGAATGATTATAGGTGTTCTTGTGATGGACTTTGCATACAAGAACACATAGATATTACGTTTTGGGGTGCATACTGAAGCAGATCCAGTCTTTCCCCAAACCCTGATTGAGACGTAATGCAGGAAGATGAAAAATCCAGAGATGGGATAATTGTATCCATGCAGAGCCACCCAATGGATGACTTAGAAGGAAGTGAAGTGAACAGGTGGCCGATTGCAGGAATACTGCAGGGAATCTGGCATATATTCTATTAATTGAGTTCCTAGTATGTGTCTGAGATGGGGACACAAAAATAGTTTCATAGTTTTATGAAACTTAAGTCTTATCAAAGATAAGAATGGGAACTATATTTCACCAATTTTTGCATCCCCATCTCAGACACATAGTTCTATGAAAAGACAGTGTTAATCTCTTCTTTCACTGCTATAAAGAAACACCTGAGACTGGGTACTTTATAAAGAAAAGAGGTTTAATTGGCTCACAGTTCCACAGGCTGTACGGGAAGCATGATGCTGACATCTACTTGGGTTCTGGGGAGACCTCAGGATACTTACAATCATGGCAGAAGGTGAAGGGGAAGCAGGCACATCTTACATGGCAGGAGTAGGAAGAAGAGGGGGGGGGAAGTGCCACACACTTTTAAACAACCAGATCTCCTGAGAACTCACTCACCATCATGAGAACAGCACCAAAGTGATGGTGCTAAACCATTCATGAAGGATCCATCCCCCTGATCCAATCACCTCCCACCAGCCCCCACCTCCAACACTGGGGATTACAATTTGACATGAGATTTGGGCGGGGACACAACCAAACTATCAGACCGTTATAAAAATAGGTTAATAAATTATGACACAGTGTAGTAAGTACTGGGACAGTGGTAGAACCAGGCACTGTGGAAACTTACAATGAAGTTTCAACTTTACCAGGGAGAGCTGGAGAAACTCTTATAGAAGAAGGATCTTTTAAGCAGGATTTTGAAGGATGAATAGAAGCTCTCCAGGTGGTGAAAGGCATTACCTGAAGAGAAGACAGCATGTGCAAAGGTATGGGGGTCACAAAAGGGTCAGGGTACTTGAGAAATGGTGAGGAGTTTGAGGTGGCTAAAATCCTGAGTAGGTGGAACAAAATGGTGGTGGGAGATGAGGCTGGAAAGGAGAAGAGCTTGAAGTTCCTGTCTGATCATCAGATCCTGTAAGTCTTTGACCTTGAAGATGGTATGGATGAGAGTCGTATTTATTTGTTGTGGTAAAATACACAAACACAAAGTTTACCGTCTTACCCATTTTTAATTGTGCAGCTTAGTGGTATTAAATGCATTCACATTAAATGCCACCCATCTTCATAACTTTTTTCATCTTGTGAAATGCAACTCTGTACCCATTAAACAATAGCTCCTTGGCCGGGCGCGGTGGCTCGTGCTTGTAATCCCAGCACTTTGGGAGGCTGAGGCGGGCAGATCACGGGGTCAGGAGATCGAGACCATCCTGGCTAACACGGTGAAACACTGTCTCTACTGAAAATACAAAAAAATTAGCCAGCTGCAGTGGCGGGCGCCTGTAGTCCCAGCTAATCGGGAGGCTGAGGCAGGAGAATGGCGTGAATCCGGCAGGTGGAGCTTGCAGTGAGCCGAGATCATGCCACTGCACTCCAGCCTGGGTGACAGAGCGAGACTCCATCTCAAAAAAAAAAAAAAAAAAGAAAAAGAAAAAAAATAGCTACTCGTTTCCTCCTCGTTCCCAACCCCTGGCAGCCACCATGCTACTCTTTGTGTGAATTTGACTCCTTTAAGGAAAATATAAGAATCTAGAAGCCCCTACCTGAAATAACCACTATAAACATTCAATGTATTTCCTTCCAGACTTCACGTCTCTATCAATCACATTTGTTTTATATCTGTGTATAATAAAAATGGGATCATAGATCTTTAAGGCAGAGTTATAAAAATAAAGCTGATAGGAAAATAATCATAGGCCTATAGGCTGAGGACTTGAAATAGAGTATGGCCTAAAAATAAACAGTTTGTCAAGTAAGAACATCAATATGCGTGACCTCCTACGTCCGTTTTAATGGTCCTTTAGGGAGGGGACACCACTCTCTTGTGGCGCCTGGCTTGTGTTGGTCACTTCTGTCTCAGGTCTTTGTGATTTGGGTAAAACTGGGGGGAACTGAGCTAACTCATCAAGAACTTCCCTCACTGCCACATTTGTCCCAGCCACTTTCAGCTAGAATTTCCCCCTTCCCATCCCTGACAGTCTTATTTCCCTGTTGGTCCTAGGCAGCAGTTTCTGTCTTTGGCAGCAAGTGCTAAAGGGAGAGGCTTGTCTAGGGCAAAGGATTCATCTTCAGCAGCTGGAGACCCTCCCTGCTGGTACCTGTTCCCTGGTCTACCTTTCCTTTCCTCCTTGTTGCTCTCTGCTGGATTTCCTGGCCATTGTGATACTTTTTGGATTCCGGATTGCTTGTCTGCTCCTGGCAGATGTAGCCTGCCATCCCCTTGCTTCCGATTGCTGGTGAGAGCATTTTCAAAATACAGTTAATGTAGATCAGTAAGTTTTCCAACCATTTGTCAAATAGAAAGACCTGGATTTCTGTAGGCGGGTAGAGTTCTCGCTGAGAGATTCAAGCTTGGCAGGATGAGACAGTTCCTTAGGGGACCTTCTATAGCTTATAGTGCCTTAAGAGGGTCAGAGAAATGACATGAGAAGACTCTTACCAATGAAACATCTCAGCCACCTTCAGGGACACAAAAGAATGGATGTCATGTCTGTGATTTAATTTGTACTAAAGAATGTGAACTGGCCAAGCGACATGGCTGTTCTCCAACTCAGTGTCTCGGTAGGACACTTCCAAGCAGAGTTGGCAGTCACAATGTCTTTACTTTGATCAGTGGCCTCTCCAGACAGGATGTTTTGGGTCTCCCAAAGATCTATTACCTTGGGGAAACTGAGGCAGAACAACAGTCACTCTCTGGCTTCTGACGTCTTATAGTTGATTACTCCTTGACCTCTTGCTCCGATCTTCTGGACCCTTGATCATTTGCCTGGTTGTGGTTGTTTGAATTTATTTGTCCCGTGACCCTCAGCTAATCTAGGGCTCCATCCTTGGCCTGATCCTCCAGGTTCAGGCCCCACCCTGAGCATCTCTGTCTTGCTGGATCTCGTACTTGGCATAATATCACCATTGAAACTCTGCTCCAAAAATGGCAGAGGCTCTACTGCTGTCTGCCAGAAACATAGAATTATGTTACTGGGAATTGTGTGAAAGAAATGCTGAGAATGTGGTGGGCCAGTTCACATAGATTTAGCTTAACAAATATTTATTGAGCTCCTACTATGTTCCCTGCCCGCACAGACTTTATAATTCTGTGGGGAAGACAAAGGATAATTTGTAATTACAAAAGTGTTGAGTGTTATGGAAGGAGTGGTGCAGTGTGCATGGGGGAATCTATAGCAAATGGATCTAAAGGGCTGAAAATGCTGTGGGTGATTTACTGATACTGATTTGTAAAGCTGAGTTGTATTGACTAAGCTTACCTCACCATCATTGTTTCCTGAGCTCTTTAGGATCTAGACAGAACCATCTTTCCATTTAGAGAAGGGTCAGAAGTCATCAAAATATTTAAGGGGTCAGAAAGATCAGTGCTTCTAAGAGAAACACACAACTCCAGGTGTAAAAGATAAAAGTGGTTCCAGAAAGGGGATTTTATAATAGCTCTATTCAGGATGGTAAATACCATCGTGGGATGAGTGCTTTTAAGGTGAAATTAAAGCCAGGAATCAGCTGAAGAAGATTGAAACCCACCTTCTCTTGATAGAATTAAGCTAAAGTCACAGAGATAGATGAGACAAGAAAGTGGAATGTAACGTGGAAGGAGGCAGCTGTGATGCCCTGGGTGGAGTCACCCAGACCGGGGTTCAATCACGGCTCATGGTGAATCAGCTGAATGACCTTGGATGAAAGTCATTAACTTTTCTGAGTTCCAGTTTCCTCATGTGAAAGAGGGACATAATAACACCTCACTGTGTGTGTGGGTAATTAATTGAAATAACATAAGTCAGAATTTCCAGCACAGTGCTTGGCACACAGTAGCATTAATTAAACACTAGAAATGTCGGCTAAGCCAGTAAGTGGGGCACCAGCATTCAGAGTCCTGGACAGTGATTCTGAACCAACAGCTGAAGCCATTAGTAAGTGCACCTGGTTGGGAAGGAGAGTAAGGTGGGGCAGTACTAAAAGACATCAGGAGACGTGGAGTTGGCAGCATGGGTAGCTGGGAAAAGAAAATACTAGTAAGTTGTAGACAGGCATGACACTTTCTTTGCCTGTTATGTGTGTGTTTCTCCCAGTGTGGTTCCTGGACCACCTGCAGCAGAATCACCTTGGAGGAACTTGTAACAAATTCAAGGAACTTGAATTCTAGGAACCACCCCAGACCTACTGAATCAGAATCTCTGTTGGGGGGCAGTGGGTGGACCCTGGGAATCTGCATTTTACAAGTGCCTCAGATTTCATGAACTTAACATAATTGGCCCTGGTCTATAGTAAACTCACCAGTTTGGCTGTGTATCTTTTTTTTGAAAGCAAAAGAACATTTAATAATTAGGTAGACTATTGCTGAGTGAGGTGGGAAAAATAACACCCAAAGTGTGTGTGTGTATGTGTGTCTGTGTGTGTATGTATTACAGTTTTAAAAATAAAAACCCTATGTCCTTATATATTTAGATATGTATAAAAAGAGTCTTTGGTTTTTGACGATTGGTAATGAGGTTTACCCTTGGGGACGAGGGGTGGAATAGGGTGGTAGTGTCAGGGGACAGGGGAAAGAAGACCTTTTCATCTTTATACTGTTCAATTTTGATTGGCTTCTGAAAAAAATGAGCATGTATTCCTTTTCTGATTTAAAATTCCACGAAGTTGACAGTAAGTAAGGACTTTGTTGGCAAAATTCCTGCTAGAGAGGATGCTCAGACATCAGCTGAACTGTAAAAGAAAGAAAGTGACACCTGCAAGAGCTATTTAAATTATGCTGAACTTACTGTGGTGCTCATTATGTAGTGTAAGGATGATTGCTGAAATGAAACGTAATATTTTACCGAATTATTCCCCCACGCAGTGAGGAAGTTTTTCCATACTCTTTCAAAACTTTGAAATATGGGTAGAAGAGTGGAAAAGTTCAGCTTAACCTTTTAATTTACCGAGTTTCAGTCAGGAGCCATCGTGATGCAGTGGCCAGAGTCTGGGGTTTAGACTCATAAGACCCGATTTTCCATCTCTGGTCTGTCTTTTGAGCGAGTCACGTCTGCATTCTTCATTCTGCATCTTGGCTTCCTCATCTGTGAAATGAGGGCATTATCAACCTTAAAGGGTGGTTGCTGTGAGGATCAAATGAGGTGGTGTGTGAGAAAGTAAACTCTCGAGTGCTGCGGAAATGTTCATTATTTCTATTTTTTGTCCCACTCCTACCCTGGACATGCTGCTATTACAGTGGGGTTGTTTATGTGTCTGTCCCTCTGTGAGCTCATTGAGTGCAGAAGCCTTGTTTTATTCATTCCCGAATTCTTGTGCTTAGGGCCTGCCACACAGGAGGCATTCAAAGCAACTTCTGGAATAGCTATCAAGGAGAGAAAAATACACACACAGTTCGGTGTTGGCCTATAAAAATATTAAGATAGTCTTCCAGAAAACATTATCTTCCATTTCTATTTAAAGGAATTAAAAAACATTTATCCAAATCCACAACAGAAATTATATTGCTAGGAGAAAATAAAGAACTTCATTAAAGAAAATTTAATTGCCCAGTTTTCTAAAGAGACAGAACCGCATCCTTCCATCCTCATTACTGCCAAATGGGTGACGGCCGTTTCCAAGGGAGGCAAGATGAATGACAAGGGATTGTGAGAAGGCAAATCCTGATACTCTAGGAGAAAAGTCTCCCAAGAAACGGGAATGCCCCCCCAGATCACCAGTTACACTATTGTTTGTCAGAGCTGTGGAAGAAGCCTTCTCTGAGCTCCTTGGACAAAAGCCCTTTTTGGCTTCCACCCCAGACCTTGGCCGATAAACCACAAAGTCCCTATTTCCCCTGGAAGTGGGAAAACTTCCAGTGGCTCGACAAAGCTGGAAGGATTATCTGAGATTCAATTTGGGGGCTGTGGTACCTCCAAGACCCTGATAATTATCATCTGAATGGGCAGGGGGAGGATTGAAGCCAAATCTAGTAACAGAGCCCTGGGGTAGACCTGCAGTTAGAAGACAGGGGACCGATCTCAGCTTTGGCCCCTTTTCATGTCCTGCTACGAGTCTGCTCTTTTTTCTTTTCTTTTCTTTTCTTTTTTTTTTTTTTTGAGATAGGGTCTTACTCAGGCTGGAATGCAGTGGCGCCATCATAACTCACCGCAGCCTTGAACTGCTTAAGCAATCCTGCCTCAGACTCCTGCGTAGCTGGGACTATAGGTGCATGCCACCATGCCTGGCTAATTTTAAAAAAAAATTTTGTAGAGACAGCGTCTTGCTATTTTGCCCAGGCTATCTTAAACTCCTAGGCACAAGCGATCCTCCTGCCTTATCCTTCCAAAGTGCTGCGATTCCAGGCATGAGCCACTGTGCCTGCCCAAATCCATGCTTTCTTTTTCCCTCTCCCACACCAGTTCCCAAGCACAGACCAATCAGGTAGCACCATTAGATGAGTTCATAACTGTTTGAAGATGTGATTCTGGCATGGGGGTACGATTGTCATCCTAGGTGAAGTCTCCAGTGGCATGCCAAAAGGCTGTCTCCTGTTCAGTGTTTTAATTACCTGGATGAGGATGTGAGCATGCCCATCCAGTTTGAGAATGTCAGGAAACCAAGGAAGGCAGGCTTAGTAATTGGGAACACAGTTGTTGGTATTGAACTGACCAGGGTTTGCAACCTTTTAGCCACTTTCTAGCCGTGTGACTTTGGGCAAGTGTTTTCATCTCTTTGAGCCTCACTGTCATCATCTGTAATAATAATAATCCAACCTCAAACAGTTATTGAGCCAGTTAGATGAGATAATGTGTGTAAAACCCTTAGCACAGTGCCTGGCACTCAGTCAGCGTCACCGATTGTTATTAATAAATCACAACTGTAAGAGCCGCGCTGCAGGCTCTGGAGTCTGGGTTTAAATTCTAGTGCTGTCAGTGAATGAGTTGCTTAACTTCTCTGAGGCTCAGCTTCTTCCTCTGTAAAATAAGGACAGTAATACTTACCTTGGGAGTTGCTGTAAATAAAGCATTCAGGCCAGAATAGACACATAGCAGATACTCAATAAACCGAGGTTACCATTCAGAGAAACAGCGAATCCTGTGGCAGAGAGAACCAGGAAGCAGAGCGCTTAGCAGGAGGGGATGAGGAATTGACTCTAAAAATGCGAAGTTTAATAGTATCTTTAAGAGAAAAACCACCCACTCATTGAAAGAAGCTACATTGTTTTGGATCTTGAGCCCTGAGAAGAATTTATCCTATAAATAGATAGAAATATGAATGGGGTAGGGACCAACTGGCATTTGGTTAGGATGCCAGACCTCAGGCCCTGACCCCATCCTGTCCCTTGTCCAGTGGCTTTTGGCCCCTCCCCAAGAGATTCTAGCGAGATATGTGTGACACAGGCCGCTGGCTAGGAAATGAAATCTTATCTCAAAGCTGTGGCTGAACACAGAATTCTGGTGAGCTGTTCTCCACGTGGAGAACGCCTTTGGCCTAGGGAGGTTGCCATGCCGGCCTCTGTCCGGGCCCACACCTGAATCTCAGCTCTATTGCTCCAGGGTAGAGGAAGCTGATCTGGAGTGGGTCAGCCTTGGGGGACAGCTGGAGTATCTGACCCCTTTCCTATAGGGACCAGCTAGACGACTGCTCCTGCTTCTCTCCCAGATGTGACCAGGCCTACCTAGCCACAGAAAGAAGAATGTCAAAAGTCTGGACCCACCCAGACTGAACCTTTGAGCTTCTTAGAAGTGCAATGTCTGGGAATTTTGGTTCATGACTGTATCGTAGAACCTAGCTAGTCCATAATATCACCTTTCCTTCCAGTGGGTGGACTACTATGCCCTTAATAATAACCCTGATTTGGGGAGGAGTAAGTAGAGTTGACTTTTTTTTTTTTTTTTTTTTTTGAGACGGAGTCTCGCTCTGTCGCCCAGGCCGGACTGCGGACTGCAGTGGCGCAATCTCGGCTCACTGCAAGCTCCGCTTCCCGGGTTCACGCCATTCTCCTGCCTCAGCCTCCCGAGTAGCTGGGACTACAGGCGCCCGCCACCGCGCCCGGCTAATTTTTTGTATTTTTAGTAGAGACGGGGTTTCACCATGTTAGCCAGGATGGTCTCGATCTCCTGACCTCATGATCCACCCGCCTCGGCCTCCCAAAGTGCTGGGATTACAGGCGTGAGCCCACCGCGCCCGGCCTAGAGTTGACTTTTAGCTTGCTAGGTGTCAACATCACCCTCCTTCTTCTACCTTGTTGATCTTTCTTCTGTTGCCCCCAAGAACTTAGCAGCCAAACCTATGATCAACTTAGGATGTGGCTGTTAGCTGTCTCCTACTGCAGAAGAAATCAATGAAGTCCAGGCTGCATCCCCAGCACCCCTCCATAGGGTGCCTGCCGTGCATCCAGGAGCTGGCTAGTGTAACCCCCAAGGATTTAGGAAGGCCTCTCTGGCTTCCCTCCTCTTCTCTGGATGTTTGAAGCAGTTCAGGACTCAACAGGAGAAAAATTCAACTTACTTTTTTTTCTGGACCAACCCTGAGCACTAGGCAGGAAGTGGTCTGGCTGTGCATTTGCTAGCATTGGCCAGTGGTGCATTTACTTGAGATGCACAACAAAATTGGGCAACTTCATTTAAATATCTGCATTTCTGACTTTTTAAAAGCAAATTGCATGATCTGGCGGCACTGGGTGCCTGTTCTCATGCAGTAACCAATCAGCCAGAGCTGACTGGCGGCTGCCTTTTTTAGACAAGGTATGTGCTCTTGAGCCCCTACACCTCCCTATCCCAGAAGCTCTTGGGTCCCCACGACACCCTTCTCTTACACCTGCTGCTGCTTGTCATTGGCCTAACCTGCCTGGTTTCTACATGTGTTTGAGTTTGCCACCTTTGGATTAGGCCAAGAAGTTATGCTTTATTTTCTGTCTCAAACTATGATCATCAGATTGGGTTGTACAATGAGAATTGCATGACAGCATAACAAACCATTCTATGTCTGTGATGGAAAACTGCCTCCGACTTACCATCATCCTTTCAAACTTCACCATGGAGACTCCCTGTCATTACTTCCAGTAAAACCTTTGTCATCTCCTTAAGGATGAGTTTGAAGTTTTACTCAAGGGCAGGATACTCTCCCCCAACAAGAAGTGCTGCTGTATTTGTCTCTGACTGCCCCCCAACCCCTGAGGGGAATGAGGGAGGGGCATTCAGGTGCTAGAGGCCACTGAAGACCCAGTGATGCATTAGATGGTGTCCTTAGTCATTCCTATCGTAGCCACCGTAATGCATTTTTAGTAGTTAAAAACATCGCAATGTAATTTGATAATTTTAACACCAAAGCACAATTCACAAGAAGTAATTCTGCCCAAACAGTGTGGTCCAAGGACTCTGCATTGGACTGGGAAGCCAGACAGATCTAGGACTGAATCCCAACATTGTCACTTACTAATTGCTTGACCTTGGGCAAGGCATCTCCCCTCTCTATGCCTCAGTTTCTTCCTCTTTCAAATGGGCACCCATTGGACTCTTGCAAGGATTAAATGACATAACCCATGCTTACCCAATGTCTGGAATGTGGGCCACACTCAATAAGTGCGCTCTGTTATTACTCTTACCCAGATTTTGAGGGGTCGATTCAATCCAAGAGTGAAATTTACAACATTCATGGCAGAACGGATGGCTTGCAGGCAAAGTTAGACCCACTAGCATGTTTTGTTTGGCCTTTGCAGGATTTACAAAAATGAATTCATCATTTCCAACACTTAAAAATGAAGAGAGTTAAAAAAAATCAGGGGAGTTCATGTAAAAATCCAGACTTCTGGCAGCTCTTAGAAAATGGGAAGATCTAGGAACACTGGGCCCTCATTCTCAGAGGCAAAAATTGGCTGTTCCCTTCCAATGGGACAGGGGCTCGGACTTGTGCCAGTGCCCACCTGGCCCACTTTGCTCATTTCTGTTGCCTGCTTGGCTCCTGTGGGCAGGTGGGTTTTTTTGACCTGGAGGAATGGATCCACCTTGAGCCAATCCTCCATAAATATCATTTCCTGCAGACGGGGTTTGGAGAAGGTGAATAGCAGGTTGCATTTCCTGGCAGGTGCTCATGGTGCCATCTGTGTTATCGATGAAATGAAGAGCCATCAGCTTCAACAATTTGAGGGGCAGAGATGGGGTCATGGTCCTCTGAAAACAATCTGAGAAATTAACAGATTTGTAGCTGTGAATGGATGGCCATCTCATCACCCCATGTAGGTGGGCTGAAATTTAATGAGGAAAAAGTGTAAAGTCTTGCCCTTATGTCTGAAAACCAGTCTGTAGACTGGGGAGAGGTGTGCTTAGCAGCAGCACTTGTGAAAAAGACTTAAGGTTCTCGTTGACAGTGAGTTTTGCTGTGAGTCACTGTGAGGCAGTTGCCAAAAAACCTAATCTGATTCTGGGCTGCGTTTATAGAAGTCTAGTGTCTGGAAGACCTTTCTAACAATTAGAGCTGTCTTGAAGGAACAGGCAGGCAGTCTCCTAAGCCTTGATCTCCCAGGCGTAGGAGGTGCTCGAGGCTGGGTGATGAATCCCTGGAAGAGATTGTCAAGAGTGGGGATTTAGGCATCAGAGGGAGATTTGTTCTAGGTGACTTAGAAGGTCTCTGCCAATCTGAGATTTTCTGCTTTCTGCAGCCCAGTAGAGGAAAATAATTTCCATAACAAAAGTAAAACTCTTTCTGATAGAGGAAAGCAGGACTCCCTGAAGAGGCTCAAAATGGAAATGTAAACTTCCAGTTCTTACCAAGTAATGTGGGCAAAAGATATCACTGCCTCTACCCCACCCCTGACCCCCTGCCTTATTTCTCAGAGATAGGGGTCGGGGGTTGGGGTTGCGGGGCAGGATCTGCTCTGCACATTACTGGTAATTTTTTTTTAAAGCTGAACTTTTATGCAGAGCTTGCAGACTGACAGCACATGGGCCCGATCCAGCCTCAGGTGTGTTTTATTTGGCCTGTACTGTGTCTTTTAAAAATGTGAGTTAGATGCCAACTTGTAAAAATGAGGAGATTTTGTATAAAATATGGACTTCCCAGCAGCTTTTATAAAAGTCAGAAGGTCTGGCAGCGCTGGGCTTTTGTTCTGGGGATGAGCACCGATTGCCCTTCTGTGGCAGGACTTGAGCTCTCCCTTGGTCATGGTCCTAAACTCCCTACCTGGCCTGCGTCACCTGTTTACCCGGCCTGCCTGGCCCCAATAGGTGTTGGAGTTTGCCATCCCTGGTGTCATGGCTTGTTTTAAAGGCCCTGCGCTGTTGTGACCTTAAGGTGCCATTGTGGACTCTGCTTGGTCATCCCCTAGCAGAAGGGCGGGCAGCTGGGAGTTTGCCAGGGGATGGGGTTGGGGTAGAGGGAGTGGGAGCAGAAATGCTTTTATAGCTGCTTTTAAAAAGTACCTGTGGCTCACACACAGTCAGCCTCCAATTCTTTCATCTCAGTAAACACCCCCAGCTGTTCTATTGTATGGCTCCAAGGCCCCCAGTGGTTTTCCTTATAATGACCCAAGTCTTCAACCTGGTAACTTCCACACTGTGGGCCTGTTCTGGAGCTGTTCAGGACAGTGGCTTCCTCTTCCTCAGCAAAGCCTGCTAGACATTTGCAGACAGTAGTCTCCTCTCTCCTGGAAGCTGCTGACCATCCTTGCCCTGAGAAGGTGGTGTTGGGTGCAGAGAGACCAGATGGATTTCCTGGAAGTGGCTGAGACAGAGCTGCTTTCAGGTGGGTCCTGAGCTGGGCAGTTTCTGCTTGGAAGCCCTGAGTGTCACGTGAAGCACTGTTCTCTCCAAAGGCCCCTCACTCCAGGCTCAGAACCTCTCTGTCATCTGCTGGTGAGAGACAGAGAACTGAATCTTTTTATGAAGTTTGGGGATTTGGTGGTAGAAACTGCAGGCACTTTACCCAGAAGCAGGAATCTTCAAGGACTGTTAGCTCTAATCTGTTGGCTGCTACGAGTTGAGGGGAGTGAGGCCTGCCTGTAGACCTCTTGATTGCCCTGCTCTGCAATAGAATTTGCTAGACTTCCACGCTGTTTGACTCTGTCTCTCTGCTTTTTGGTTCTCAGGCTGAAATTGTCCATCCTAGACCTTCACAACCTATAGGACACCCTCCAACACCACTTCCCTGCACAGCCAGCCCCTCCCTGTGTGGTTCTGCAGGCTTCTCACTTAGGAGATGCCCTGCTGTTCTGAGTTATTTCTAGTGTAGACATAGGAGCTTGTCTGGCCATCCATGGTACAGCCATCTGGTGGCAGTTTCGTGTTTTCACTGTGGTTGCCTCAGTGTATTCTTTTATTGAGTCATCCTTTGAGTTTCCCTTTTACTTTTCCCTTATCTCTCTGTTTAAGGACTCGCCCTTTCTTGGGGCCTTTCTCCCACAGATATGAAGGTATTTGTGAATTGTGGCAATTTTGGGAAGGCGGTATTTCTTGGGAATGGCAGGGTGCTCCACGATTACTCGACATTTGGAAGATGCTGGAGTCTGCATGGGGGGAGAAGATGGGCAGGCACCCTCTGACCTGCCTGAACAGGGTTAAGTGTGCAGGGTGGAGGAGGGGTGCGTGGTGTTCCCACACGTCCATCTCCCTTCACACTTTCCTCCCTCTATTCCCTTTTCCACACCACTTGTAAATGGCATGACATTTCAACACGAATGTCATGGCTGCTACCTAGTTTGGGGTCCTGACCGGCTCAGCCTTCCCTGGGGGCTTCCAGAGGTCTGAGTCAGAAACAGCCAAGTCTCATGTCTAAATGAGTTGTTCTATTAACTTGGCTTGGGTAGCACTCGGTGACGAAACCTGACTGTTGCTGTAGGTATCATGTGGAAGGGCTGCGGGCATGGTGTATGCATGTGTTTGTTGCAGGCGTGTTTGGAGAGGAGGGTCAGGCCTTCTCTTCTGCAGGGGCGTCTGTTTTCCTTCAGAGCCCCGTGGCTTGTGAAATGGCATTGCACAAGGAAATGATCTATCTGGAGCCGATTTCACTCCTGTGTAGTGCTGGGAGCTAATTGAAACTTCGAGAGGAGAAGTGCCTGTCTTCCATCCAGAATCAAGATTAATTGATGTTCTTTAATGGAAACAAATCGAATCTCACAGCAACCCTTCCCATTAACCTTACAGTCATGCACTTTTCTATGAAGGCTGGGATGGTTCTTCAGAATCAGCAGGTTCTTGGAAACAGTTGATGCCTTGAAGCCATTTGTGTCTGTCCTCATAATGGCTGGTGGGAAACGGGGATAAAATGCCTTTGGAACACCTGATGAGTGGCTGGGATGAAGGGGTGATTCTTGTTTGCCTTGTGGCTTGCATGGCACACTCATGTTGCATTGCATTTGATCTCCCTAGCAACCCCGTGATGCAGGTGGAGTTGGACTGAGTATCTTTAATGTATCATGAGGAACTCCTCCTGACTTTGGAGCACCAGTCCCTCAAGATGTGTGCTGAGCAAAGGGCTCTGTGTTCAAATAAGTGTAGAAAACATTCTACTGCATCCCCTTCCTAAAGATTCATAGCTCACTTCTATGTATTAAAGACTCTGATAAGTCCTGTAGAAAAATCTATTTAATTCATTATTTCCTGAACTTATTAACCTAGGTACTCTTTTTCTTTACAGTGTAATTATTGGCATCTTCTAGACCTACTGACATGTCCTGTAAAAACCAGGTGATAAACATTTTAGGCTTTGTGGGCCATATGGTCTTTGTTGTAACCAATCAGCCCTCCCTTTGTAGTGCAAAAACATCCACAGACAATAGAGAAATAAGTGGATGTGGCTATGTTCCAATAACACTTTATTTCCAAACATAGGCTGTAGGCCAGATTTGACTCATGGGCTGTAGTTTGCTGACCTCTGTTCTGGAAAAGCATCCTGCGGTATATCTTTTTGGGAGATGATTCTTTAAGTGTCCAGTGAGTCTCACACAAGGACTGCACTCTCAGCCCCTAGCACTGGTGGCATAGTGGCAATGTCTTGTGGAGTGTGGCTCAGAGGCTGAATATCTTGCTCAGGGTATGTGACTGTTAAGTGCTATCACAGAGATATCACCCAAGCTGTTGACTATAAAATTGATTTATTTTTCATTATTCTCTTCTCTTTTGGAGTACAAGAAGCGGAAGGGGCAAAATGCTCTTGGGAAGGGGGCAAAATGCTCTGAGTGTCTGCTATGTAGAATCACAGTGATATGCATGCTAGGTGCACGTGGGCATTTATGTACAAGTTGGTATCAGTGCGACCATGATATTTGTGTTAGGAAACACAAATGTGGTTGATGGATAAGTTAGCCAGTTAGAGGCCTTTGTTTCAAAGCACTTAACAGAAGATGCTAAAAAGAAGATTCAAAGTGCAATTTGAATTGAGATCTGTGGTGATAAATCATTAATAGAATCAGCAACGTGCAGGAGTTTACTAAACACCTAACATGTTCCCTTGCTTTAATCAGAACTTTGAATTGTAAGCAACAGAAATCACCTAAAGCTGGTGGTAGTAGAAATACATGGATTTTATTATAAAGATGCAGGGTGTCTTGTGGAATCCAGGTGGGGAAATGCAGTTGGCCCCAGGCTGGCCTGGGACCAGGAAGGAGGGCCAGGGAGCCCTGGTTTGTTCTACGAATCGGTAGTACACTTCCTCTCATTTTGTCTTCTCACTGCACATCTGCTTCATCCTTCCTTCTCAGGAAGCCAGTCATTTCTGGTACTTCAACTACATGACAGGTACACAGTGGTTGCCCATTGCTCCCAGCTGTGTGTTTCAGGTGGAGGTAAACATATGGAAAGACTGTTGGCTGTCTCTCTCACTCATATTCTCTCTCTCATTTGTCTGTGATGCCTCCTCCCTAACTCTGAAGGGATCAACCTAGGCCATTCCTGAACCAGTCACTGTGGCCAGTGGGATGGGATTGACAAGAGATCTAGGTCAGCCAGACCCTACTCCTGTGGATGGGGCAGGCGGTTTCCAAAGGAGAGGGGCTACTACAGTCCTGCCCTGGCCAGGCGCTGAGCAGGCACAGAGTTAAGAAGAATCCTTTGATCCCCCGACATTTATAAATGAGTTGGGAAATAAAACCAATACATAGTAGTAATGACAATGTCACATGTGCTAAGTTGTTTCATTAGACAGTGGAAAAGATACTAAATAAGGCGCCAGTTTGGCTGCATAGACGTTGAGCACCAAAAGATGGAGTCAGGAGAGGGTGTGTGGACTGACCTTGTCAGGAAGGGCTGGCTTTCTGCAGCACATAGACATTCTCTGAGGGTGAGTGGGAAGCAGAGTTCTGACTGGGAGATCAGCATGGACAGAGCCAGAATTGTAATGTAAATGCAGTCTGGGTGGGAGTGTTAAACTGGGAGGCTCTTTACCAAGAGCAGGGAAATAACTTTATTTAAAAAATTTTTTCATATTAAAATTTTGTCTTTAAAAGATAGGGCCTTGCTCTGTTGCCCAGGCTGGAGTATGGTGGTGCCCTCATAGCTCACTGCAGTCTTGAACTCCAAGGGTCAAGCATTCCTCCTGTCTCAGCCTCCTGAGTAGCTGGGACTACAGGCGTGCACCACCACCAGGCCTGGCTAACTTTTAAAAATGTTTTTGTAGAAACAGGGTCGTGCTCTGCTGCCCAGGTTGGTCTCAAATACCTGGCCTCAAGTGATCCTCCTGCCTCAGCCTCCCAAAGGGCTGGAATGACAAGCATGAGCATGCCTGGCCGGAGATAACTTTAGAAAGCAGTGGGAAATGTGTTGAGGGAAAGCAGGAAGCTTTGCTGAAGACCCAGTCCCCAGTGGTCTCTTAATTGTACCAGGAGGGGCTGGAAGTTGGAACTGCTGTTCCTGGGGGAAGGGGCAGTGCTGGGGAAAGACCCTCAGCTCTACACAGGCAAGAGGAAGTCCAGGCTGGCAGATGCATGTCCTGGCCATGGGGCTGGGATACTCAGGAATAAGACTCAGGCACTGGGGACTAAGGCAGATGCTGTCACCAGCGGGGTGGGACAGAGGTGGGACCTGAGAGGATGGGAGGTGGGGTCTGCCCTGGGCTGTGAGGCAGCAGCAGGACTAGCAATGTGGATGGAGTTGCTTTGCCTTTCCTCAAGCCATCCTCTTCCCTGTCCTCTCATTAAAACTTTCCTGTGTGTGTCCCATTTGCTTGGGACCTCAAGGCCAATGATGAGCTAATCATCTAGGGAGCCAGTGATCAATGTGGCTTTAGGTGCTACCCAATTTTAGTGACATTTGCATTGGGACAGATGCCTTAAATGCCTTGATCCAAAAGAATGATAGTGCCTGAGATTTGGGGACAAAGACACTAAGCCCAATGTCAAGGATCCCATCTGTGTCCCTTTGTGGAGAGTACTCTTGTTTGGAGATATAATGATCAAACAAGATGCCTGCTGTCCAGCAGTATGGAAGCTGAGCCCTGTGCCTGAAACTTTTGGAGCAGCAGCTGTTGGGCCATTGCATGATAATCTGGGCAGCATTTTTAGGGAGGAAAGAGCAGGCAGCAGAGGCACATCTGAGGACCCAGGAGCTGCAGAGGAGGCTTCATCTTGATGTTTGCAGCCTCTCCTGGAGGTGAGTGGACTACATGCAGGACTTCGAATGATCTGGATATGAATTCTTTTTTAAAAAATTGCTTTAATTGATGCATAATAATTGCACATGTTTATGGGGTACATGTGGTATTCTGATACATGCATACAATATGGAGTGATCAAATCAGGATGTTGAGGATTCCTATGACGTCAAACTTTTATAATTTCTTTGTGTTGGGAACATTTGAAATCTTCTCTCCTAGCTACTATGAAATAGCCAATATCTTGTTTTGAACCATAGTCACCCTATTGTGCTTTTGAACACCAGAACTTACTCCTTCTATCTAAATATATGTTTGTACCCATTAACCAACCTCTCTTCCTCCCCGCCCCACCCTACCTTCCCAGCCTCTGGTAATGATCAGTCTACCTTCTACCTCCATGAGATCAACATTTTTAGCTCCCACATATGAATGAGAACATGTAATATTTATCTTTTTGTGCCTGGCTTATTTCACTTAACATAATGACCTCCAGTTCCATCCATGTTGCTGCAAATGACAGGATTTCATTCTTTCTTTCTTTATTTTTTTGTACTCTGTCGCCCAGGCTGGAGTTCAGTGGTGCGATCTTGGCTCACTGCAAGCTCCACCTCCCGGGTTCACACCATTCTCCTGCCTCAACCTCATGAGTAGCTGGGACTACAGGTGCCCACCACCATGCCTGGCTAATTTTTTTGTGTTTTTAGTAGAGACGGGGTTTCACCATGCTAGCCAGGATGCTCTTGATCTCCTGACCCCGTGATCCACCCGCCTTGGCCTCCCAAAGTGCTGGGATACAGGTGTGAGCCACTGCCCCTGGCCAGGATTTCATTCTTTTTAAATGGTTGGATGGTATTCCATTCTGTAGATAGGAATTCTTGATCTTCTGCTTCCTCATGGGGTAAAGTTACTCAAGCCCCCTCATCTGTAAATAGAGGTGATAACCTGTGTGCCTGTTCCTGCCACATGTTATGGCTTAGTACATACCTGATTACACTGAACCTCAAGAATCACAGCATACGTCCTAACTCTCACCTGATGCAGAGTCCTCGACAACCATGAGGCTTCTGATTGGAACTTCCTGCAGTAAGGGGCTGACCACCTCAGAAATGAGACTATTTGCATTGTTGGAAAGTCTTGCTAGGAAAGTCTTTCTTGAGTGGAACTGCAAGATGCCTCTCTCCTTTAGAACAATACAGACTAAAATCTAAGCTGGCTGCCTCATGGTAGCTGTTTCGTCATTTGAAGACAGCTTTTGGCCAGGCATGATGGTTCACACCTGTGATCCCAGCACTTTGGGAGGCCTAGGTGGGAGGACCACTTGAGGCCAGGAATTCAAGACCAGCCTGGGGAACATAGTGAGACCCTGTCTCTATTTAAATAAAATAAAATAAAAATAAAATAAGATAAGATAAAATAGGCTGGGCGCAGTGGCTCACGCCTGTAATCCCAACACTTTGGGAGGCCGAGGTGGGTGGATCACCTGAGGTCAGGAGTTTGAGACCAGCCTGGCCAACATGGTGAAACCCCATCTCTACTAAAAATACAAAAATTAGCCAGGTGTGGTGGTTCACACCTGTATTCCCAGCTACTAGAGAGGCTGAGGTGGGAGGATCACTTGAATCCGGGAGGTTGAGGTTGCAGTGAGCCAAGCAGAGATTACAACACTACACTCCAGCCTGGGCAACAGAGTGAGACTCCATCTCAAAAAGTAAATAAATAAATAAAAATAATAAATAATAAAAAGTAAAATTAAAAGATAAAAAATTCAATAAAATGAAATAAAATAAAGACAGCTTTTATGTACTCCTAAATCAGCGGTGGGAAATAGTTTCTACCTGATGTGCCAACTGTGCTGGATTGCAGTGACAGCTGGCGGTCTGTGTTGAGAAGTATTCTGAGGCTGTGTCAGGGTCAGCAGGAGAGTATCAGATCTGCCCTGGGCTTGGGGCTGGGCATGGTGTATATGGACGGTGTGTTTATTTTCTCTGCTAAGCGTTTATGCTTAGATTCTGCCATCATGCTTTAGGTGACTTATTCCCTCATTCTCTGGTCTCTTTTTCTGGCCACACTTCAGCTTATCAACATTTAAAAAGCCATCTGGCTGCCATCTCTTCTCCCTAATTCATTTCTAGGGTGGATTTGACCAATCTGGCTGGCCCAGCTGTGGTCTCTCCTAGAGCATTGTTTCCTGCAATATCTTCCCAAATAGAGGAGGACCATTTTTGGATCTGCAGTCTGCTAATAAACCTTCCAAATTATTAACGGGTCTCTTAAAATCTGGAGCCCAAGCTAAGTAAGCACTGTCTTTCAGAAGTACTCTCAATGGTTCGGAGGCTAGCAGGACTAATAATACATCCCTTGATCCTGTTAATGCGGCTTAAAGGTTGTGTTAGCTTTTTCCCTGTGTTTGTAAAGCCGAAGCTGTAGTGTACCCCCTGCTGCGGATGGTGAGGGCAGGAGAGCCAGATGCAGTGGGGGCAAGATCTCCTCCTGTCCCCTCCCTGCCTCTGTGACTCTTGGTGGCTTGGGGGGCCTGGGGCCTGCAGGGGTGACATATGGCCCCACCGAGGTCCAAAGGCCACAGGTCTCATTCTGTCACAATGAAGTTGTCTGCCCTAAAGGTCCCTGGATCACTGTCAGTCTTGACACTGGAGCAACCTGAAAAAAATAAGGACAATGTAGACATTTTCTCATAAACCTAATGGCACACAATTCAAGACCTGCTCTTTATTACACAAATGATGGTCTTCATTTCCTGCGTGTGGTGTGGTGTGGTGTGTGTGTATGTGTGTGTCAGAAATTATCCTTTCTTAAACAATTGAGGTAGTTCTTCTCCCTGCCCCGAATACCCTTTGAAAAGTTGGCCACCCTCTGTAGATCCCCTTCCTTTTGCGGGGAGGAGGGAGTCTTACCAGGCTGTGAAAGCTGGTCTAAAAACCCCAGCCTTGTCCAAGGTGAGGCCCATCAGAATTTGACGTGCCCCCTTGGAGGGTCTTGAAGAAGCAATCTGGCATCTCAATGAGGCCCCTGTGGCACAGGATTGGGCCATTAATAGTTAAAGTAGTTAAATTTCTCACAGCCCAATGTATTGGAAAGGCAGCAATGTTTTCATTTAGACCTTAGGGCTGGGGTATAATTTAAGGAGAGTGGATTTTGATTTAGGAACTCAGTTAACGAGTGCCAGCCTTGTCAATTTTTTTTTATTGTGTCGAAAAGCACATCACATAAAATTTACTATCTTAACCGTTTTAAATGCACAGTTCAATGACGTTAAATACATTGATAATGTTGTGCAACCGTCACCACCATCCATCTCCAGAACACTTTTCATCTTGTAGGACTGGAACTGCACCCAGTGAACAGGAACTCCCTGTTCCTCCCCCATTCCCTGGCAATCACCAGTCTACTTTCTGTTTCCGTGGTTTTGGCTCCTCTAGGCATCTCGTGTGAGCGGACTCATACAATATTTGTCCTCTGTGTCTGCTGTAGTTTAGTTAGCGTAATGCTTCAGGGTTCATCCGTGTTGAGGCGTGTGTCAGAATTCCCTTCCTTTTTAAGGCGGAGTAATATCCCATTGTATGCGTAGAGGCCGCATCACGTTCATCCGCTCCTCTGGGGAGGGACACTTGGGTGGCTTCCGTGGTGTGGCTCATGTGCTGCGGTCTTGTCAGTTTTTAGCCATGGCTCGGGAAAGTGACTTGGCCCCTCAGTACCTCCGTTTCCTCATCCATTACATCGGAGCCTGTCCTCTACGTGGGACTGAAGTAAGAATCGTTGTTTGTGACAGTGCGTAACTGCAACAGTCCATCGAGTTGAAGTTATTTCTGAGAGCACTGGGCTAGCATTTCTTAGGGTATCTGCTCTGTGGCCATTCAGCTTTGCCAGCCTGAAGTGTAGGAGGAAGGTGGGAGACGGTTCAGAGAAACGATACGGAGAGGACCGGGCTGTGGCTGCTCCACAGGGTGTTTTGGGTGGGGCAGTTCTTCACTGTGGGGACTGTCCCTTATATTGCAGATGCTTAGTACCTTGACCCCTGCCCGTTAAATGCTGGTAGTACTCTCCAGTCATTGTGTTGACTTAAAACGTATGCCCATAATTTTGTATTCCCCTTGTGGGGGATGGTCCTGCCTCCAGGTGAGAGGCAGGGCCTGAGTGTTCTAGAAGGGTCTGTGGAAGTAAGAAGATGAAGCACAGAAGAGGGAAAGCATAAGAGAATGACCTGGTGGGCTGATACATCTGCAGTGTGCATACTAACAGTTGGTGCTCAGGCCCTCTGAGTGTGCATTAGTCAGGGGCCTCCAGATAGAACCAGCTGGAGAGTATATATACATATATATATGTATACATGTGTGTATGTGTATGTGTGTATATGCCTATCTATCTGTGTGTCTATCTGTCTGAGGGGAGTTATTAGGGGGATTGGCTCACATCATAATGGAGGTTGGGAAGTCCCATGCTAGGCCATCTACAAGCTGGAGATCCAGGGAATCCAGGAGCGTTGGCCAGTGTAAGTCTGAAAGTCTCAGAACCAGAGAAGCCAATGGTGCAGCTTTCAGTCTAAGGCCAAAGGCCTGAAAACTGAGGGGAGGCCGCTGGTTCAAGTCCTAGAGTCCAAAGGCTGGGGGACCTGAGTTCTGATGTCTAAGGGCAGGAGAAGAAGGATGCCCCAGCTCCAGGAAAGAGAGAGAAGCAGTGTGCCTTTCCTCTGCCTTTGTGTTCTATTCAGGGCCTCAGCTGATTGGCTGGTGCCAACCCACATGAGTGATCTTCCTTACTGGGTCCACTGGTTCACATGCCAGTGCCTTCCAGAAGCACCCTCACAGACAGACCTAGAAATAATGCTTTACCAGAGATCTGGGTGTCCCTGATTCCAGTCAAGTTGATACCTAAAATGAAGCATCAGCATTGAGCAGAGAGGAGCTTGGGTCACAGAAGGACCACAGCTCTGGGAGGGAGGCAGAGGTCTGTGTTCAAATACCAAGCTTCCTCCTAACTAGTGAGGGAGGCTTGAGAAAATCTCCCACCTCTGGGCCCCATCTGTAAAGTGAGGGCTTTGGAAAAGGTGGTCTTTTTCAACTCTGTGGCTCCAGGATTTGAAGGCCGAACAGCGTAGATTTCAGTGAGCCGAAAGTAAGGGCTGCTCGCCTTTGGGATTGGGTGGAAAAAGGTAAAATCTAACAAGGAGGCTGGAGTGGGAAGAGCTGACCTGCTGAAATTGCTTCCTAGACCTTCTCATTCTCTTTCTTTTGATCGTTTGTTGAAATACAGTTCATTTTTGAATATGTAAAATAGACACACAGTATCATATTCAAAACATAAAAGATATTATAAGTAGAGTAAAAAGTAAATTTCCCCCTCCACCACTTAGCTCTCCTTCCTCAAAGGCCACCTCACTTTATCCTCCCAGGAATACTGGACTCTCATTTTCTTTGAACCAGGACTCAGAAGATTGTTTCAAATGCAGCTTGCTTGTTGTGCCTTTGACTTTCTGGTCTGAAGGGTGAGAAATTTGATCCATCCTCCTGTAGCGTGTGGTTAGTTTCCTACAATGAATTTTCCTTATTAGTCATAGTTTCTTTTTGCAACTCTTGGATAGAGATACTGCCTTTTTCATCACTCTTTTTATTTCTCTTACCCCCAAATTCCTGGTCCTTCATCTGAATCAAAGGATGCCATAAGCACAGATCAAAACCGAGATAGGACATCTGGATGCCTTCCAGCTTCTCCATCCATGGATTTCAGAGGGGCTCATTTTACATAATTGTCTATTTCAGTGATTTCTAAAATGGTTTCATAGCTTCCTATTTTCTTTTGTCTTGGAGTTTAACTTAGTCCTGCAAGTAACTGCTTTGCTGTTTATCTGGTGTTTAAAAGTTTTTGTTCAGTGACTGGGAAGCACTGTTGGATGTTAACAGTAAACCGAGGGAGGAACCCTGGACTCGGAGGCAGAAAGCCTGGGTTTGTGCAAAGCAGGCTTCTTTATTACTGTGTGACCTTCGGCAAGCTCCTTGGGCTTTCTGAATCACTGCTTCCTCATCTGTAAATAAGGGTTATGCTACCTGCCCCATATGACTGTTTCTATTGTTAAATAAGGCAATGAATATGAGTATTCTTTGCAAACTGTTAAGGGTCTTGCAATTATAATTATTGTAATTCCTTCAGAAAATATTTATTAAGCTTCTGTTGTGTTCTGGTTACCAGTGATCGTGTGGGAAATGAGCTTATATTCTTGTGTGTGTGTGTGCATGTGTGTGTGTGTGTGTGTGTGTGTTGGAGGTGGGTAGGGGTGACAGAAGACAGGGAGGCTGTCAATAAAAGGGTTAAGTAACAAATAGGACGGATTCAGATAATGGTAACCATTACAAAGAAAATAAAACAGAGCAATGAAATAGAGAATGAGTGGAGGGGAATGGTTCCTGATGAGAAATCAGGAAACGTCTGTAAGCTGATATTGAAATGTCATGTGAAAAGCAGGTAAAGAGAATCCAGGCCTGGGAAGCAGCAAGTGCAAAGTCCCTGGGGTGGGAACAACAAGCTTAGGGAATTGGAAAAGAGAAAGGGCAGAGGAAACTACAAGA
Source organism: Homo sapiens (assembly GCF_000001405.40). Lineage (NCBI taxonomy): Eukaryota > Metazoa > Chordata > Mammalia > Primates > Hominidae > Homo > Homo sapiens. Next base: position 9,213,810 of record NC_000003.12, on the reverse strand, counting down.
AAGTATGTGCATCGGGAATGAACTGAGAACGAGGCAGAGAATGTCACAAGAAGTGGGAGAGGTTGGCCAGATCATGGTCATGGAGGGCCTTGTGGGCCCTGTTAAGAGTTCGTATTTTATTCTATGTGCAATTGGAGATTTTAACAGGGAGGTGATGGGACCAATTTTCTGGTTTAGAAAGATCTCTCCTCCTAGAGTGTGGAGAACAGCTTGTTAGGCAAGGGGAAGCGTGAAACCAGTTGGGGGCTATTGCAGTAGCCTAAGCAAGGGAAGATGCCTGCACACCAGAAACAGCACAGATGAAACCACTCTTAGGGCATGTGGCGTGAAGCTCAGGGAGCTGCTTTTGTATGAAAAGGGCAGTCTTCTGGTGTAAAGGAGGATGCCTTGTGTTTCCCCTTTGCTCTTCTGGTTTCTTGCTCTGAGGAGTGTGGAGGGAGTTGAGGAAGTGGGCAGGGGCAAATGTTGCATTTTTTTTTTTTCAGATGATGCAGGTTTTGGACTGCAGGTGCCTATGATGAATCAACAAGCATTTATTGACTAGAGAAGGGTTTTTATAGGCCTTTGGTTTCCACTTCAGACCAGTCTTTTCTGTGGACAAACTGGGCATCCTTCCAGAAGCCCAACAGGGAATAGACTCCATTATTTGTGTCTCCAGTGTGCACAGGAGCAGCCGTGATCCCAGAGAGGGCTACCCGTGTGGCTATGGAGGTTGTCCCCTACAGAAGGACACCAGGTCGAGAAGTGGGGCCCCAAATCCAGGGGAAGTTTTTCTCACCAAGCAATTTGCCCCGGCATGGAGCTGCATCAGCAGGGGGAAATGGGAATCTTTTCCAGTGGGCTCCAAGTCACCATCTGGGCTGGCAGTAGCCCTTCCCAGGCCCTGGAGATTTCTGCTTTGTAGCCTGGTTTCCCGGGAGGCTCTGTCTTCACCTACTTTATTCCAGTCAGTCAACATTTATTTTAGCAAATATTTATTGAGTAGCCACTGTATGCCCAGCAGTGGATTTACACTGATGAACAGGAGGACACACGTTCTGCCCTCATGAACTTATAGTCTAGCAGAAGTCATTCCAGCTTTCTTTCTTTCTTTTTTTGAGACGGAGTCTCTCTCTGTCACCAGGTGGGAGTGCAGTGGCTTGATCTTGGCTCACTGCAACCTCTGACTCCCTGGTTCAAGTGATTCTCCTGCCTTAGCCTCCCGAGTAGCTGGGATTACAGGCACCCGCCACCACACCCAGCTAATTTTTGTATTTTTAGTAGAGGTTTCACCATGTTGGCCAGGATGGTATCGATCTCCTGACCTCGTGATCCGCCTGCCTCAGCCTCCCAAAGTGCTGGGATTACAGGCATGAGCCACTGTGCCTGGCCCCAGCTTGCTTTCTTCATGGCAACTGGAGGGAGATGTCTTTCTAGGGAAGCCTGAGCTGATCTCAGCCCCTGTTCTTTGAGACATTAGCTATTACCACCTGACTTGTGAGCACCTCTTGGGGTTGGGAAACAATGACCATCATCCACTATGCACACATATACCTTTGTCTAGAGTTTAGGGGAGCTGGGACCAGCGTGGTTTATGGACTGTTAATAGCTTAACTCCTTCATCCTCTACTTGGGAGCAGCATAAACTCACACGCAAAGTGACACTGAGGTTTCCATTGGAAAAGGGGAAAATTAATTATTGTGCCTTGAGTCTTCATAAAAACCCTCCTTTAACTAAGTATACTTTTCTGTATACCTAGTTTTCTATATTGCACTTCAACAAAAAGTTAAGAAAACACCACTTAAGTTTGTCGAACTGCCAGGGTCTGAGCTCAGAGAAATTAAGACAGAGCTGAGGCCGGGAGTGGTGGCTCACACCTATAATCTCAGCACTTGGGGAGACTGAGGTAGGAAAATCACTTGAGGCCAGGAGTTTGAGACCAGCCAGGGCAACATAGCGAGACCTTATCTCTACAAAGAATAAAAAAATTAGCTGGGCATGTTGATGAGCACCTGTAGTCCCAGCTACTCAGGATGCTGATGTGAGAGGAAGGCTTAAGCCCAGGAGGTTGAGGCTGTGAGGCTGCAGTGAGTCATGACTGTGCCACTGCACTCCAGCCTGGGTGACAGAGCAAGAACTTGTCTCAAAAAAAAAAAAAAAAAAAAGAAAAGAAAGATGGGTCAGGCACATCCATCAGGTCTTCCTGTTGTCTCTGCATCTTGATGGGATCCTCAGGTCCTTGGCCTATTTTTCAGCTTAACTGAGTAATCAGATTATTTTATCAGACTTTGAGGAATCCATAAGAAATTGCATTATAAACTGTGATGTCCCTAGATACAACAAACACTGAGGTTAACACTGGGGGATATCCCTCTCTAGGGCCCTCTTTCTCCCCAGCTTCAAGGTGGTTGGGGAATAGAATTAGTCATAGCTTGTTTGGGAAGCTTGGAATGAGAGAAAGAAAGACAGAACTTGGTGGTTTTCAGATGTTTTTTTTCCAGGCTGCGGTGGAGCTGGGAGAATGAGAGATTCCATACATCTTGTGACCAGATGTGGTATCTTCAGCTGGGACTAGGCTGTATCAACAAAACAGAGTCAATTTTCAACCTTCCCTCTTTATTTACCTGTTTATTTTACTATTACATTCTGTGTGTGTATCTTTAATTATAAAAATAATGCCCACTTCTCCCCCCTCAACACCTTACTAAGAAAATGTTCAAACGTGTAGCAAAAATACCTAATTAAGAAAATCAGACCTACTGGAAGGGAACCACAAAGAAAGTGAAAGTTTCTGATAACCCTATCTTCTGGAGAGAACATTGTCATTACTTGTTTGTTATATAATCCTCCGGATTTTTTTGTTTTTAGTACGTACTAATGTATACTATTATGATTGCTTTAACAATCAGATATTATTTATACTATTTTGCTTCTTTAAAAAAATTTAACAGTTTATCCTGGACACCTTTGCATGTGAGAATTTATTTATTATTATTTTTTTGAGACAGAGTCTCGCTCTGTGACCCAGGCTGGAGTGCAGTGGCTCCATCTCGGCTCACTGCAACCTCTACCTCTTGTGTTCAAGAGATTCTCCTGGCTCTGCTTCCCAAGTAGTTGGGACTATAGGCATGCGCCACCACCCCTGGCTAATTTATTTTTTGTATTTTTAGAAGAGATGGGGTTTCACCATGTTGGCCAGGATGGTCTCCAGCTCCTGACCTCATGTGATCTGCCCGCCTCAGCCTCCCAAAGTGCTGGGATTATAGGTGTCAGCCATTGTGCCCAGCCCATCATGTGAGAATTTATTGATCTACATTATTCTATTTTTTAAATTTTTATTGTTAGAGACAGAGTCTCACTGTGTCACCTAGGCTGGAGTGCAGTGGTACGATTATAGCTCACTGCAGCCTCAAATTCCTCGGCTCAAGCGATACTCCAGCCTTGGCCTTCCAAATGCTGGGATTGTAGGCATGAGCCACCACACCTGGCTATTCTATTTTTAAAAGTTGTTCTACTGAAATGTGAATTATGTACCACAAAATTCACCCATTTTAAGTGTACTGTTCATTGACTTTGGTAAATATTCAGAATTGTGCAGCTAACACCATAGTCCAATTTTAGAACATCTCCATCACCCCTAAAAGATTCCTTCTGCTCATTTGCAGTCACTCCGTGTTCTCATCCTTATCTCTAGGCAACCACAGTCTATTTTCTGCCTCTATAGATTTGCCTTTTATGGGCATTGCATATAAATGGAATCACACAACGTCTGTTTTTTTTTTTTGTGTGTCTAGCTTCTTTTAATAAGCATAATGTTTTTTGAAGTTCATCTATGTGGTAACATAGATCCATACTTTGTTCCTTTTCATTGCTGACTAATATTCCATTTTAGGATATAGCACATTTGGTTTATCGCACATTTGTCAGTTGGTAGACATTTGGATTGTTTCCAGTTTTTGGCTATTGTGAATAATGCTGCTGTGGACATTTATGTGCAAATCTCTATGTGTACATAGGCTTCATTCTTTTTGAGTGCCTAGCTACAGTTCCAGTGTATGGCTCTACCATTATGCATTTAGCCAAACTCCATTGGTGGCAATTTACTTGGTTTTCAACTTTTTGGGATGATATAAATAATGCTTTATCAGCCATCTTTGTACATACATCTTTGTATATATGAGGGACTGTTTTTGAAGGATATGTATTTAGAAGGGAAGGTTCTGCATCAGTGGCTATAAACCTTTGAAATTTCAATAGCTAGCATCAAAGTGGTCTTCTAAGAGAAGTTGCCCCTAATTTATGCCACCACTGTCCTCACACACTTGTCAATATGGGCCGGAATTAATAGTCTAATCTCATAAGTGAAAAATCTCTCATAGTCATTTGAATGGGAATGTCTCTCATTATTAGAAAGGTTATTGACCATTTGTAAGTCCTTTTCTTAATTTTGTATTGGGTTGTTGATCTTTTCCTATGGCTTTGAAATAACTATATTTTAGGAAATTGGCTCTTTGCTTATAAGATGTACTGTGAATTTTTTTATTTGTCAGTTTATCTTTTATTCCTCCAAAACCGTGTTCATGGCTGTTGTGCTGTACAGATGTTTTACATTTTTAAGTAATCATATGTGTTAGGAGAGAAACCCCTGTGAACATTTTACAGTATCACTTAGCTATTTATAATATCCCCAGAAGGAGGTGAGGAAGGTAAAATATTGGTGGGGAGAAACCTGAGGAATGTTATATGTGCTCCATCTACCAAACATCTGGATGATTAGGAGACATTTTTTAACCTCTTATTTAGTCATTTTTGTGTCCTATAAGCCCAGTCTCCATGTATTAGTGTGAAATCTGAGAAGTGAGTCTGGATTTTTTGGGGCCTTCTGGCCCCTTGCTGGTAATAATACTGACAGACATTGATTGAATGCATGCTGTAGGCCATTTGCTCCAGTTAATGCTTGCAATAACGCTGGAGATAGGCAGTTCTTTCCCCATGGAAAATGACACTGGACTTTGACAGCAACTTGCTCAACATCATACAGCAGATGCTGGAGATGGGATTCAAACTCACATTAGCCTGACACCCGAGCCCTGTGCTGAACTAGGACTCCCTCCATCCTCCCTTCCTGAAGCATTGGATGAGTTGGCCTAGCACTGACCAATAAGGGGATATTTCAACAGGGCTTTAGAAAAGGACAAGATCCCCAGCAAGGTACATGTATGGTGAGAAGGCCACTGACTTGAGCATGGCTGGCAAGATCTGTGGGTCCTAGTCTTACCTGCTGCCCAAACTCTTTTCTTGTAATGAGAGACAAGGCATGTGATTGCAACAGAGTCCGGGGAGTGAAAGCAGGAAAAGTGGATGGGTTCCTAAGACCTTTGTGGGTTTTCTGTTTGCTACATGGCAGGAATTAGCTGACTCTTGGCAGTTGGATCTCGGTCTGGTGGAGAGACAACTGGGGCAGTGGGAGAAGAGAGGGGTTTCAGGCTCCAGCTCCAAAGTCAAAGTGGTTTCTAGATTCATATTGCTCTGCCTGCGATGTTTTGACACTGGGAGATGCTGTAGGGGGGTTGGCTAGACTGACTAGGACTGGAGATATGGAAGGCCTAGAAAGGATATGGTCAAAACCCATAAACATCTCGGGGGTCTGGGAAAGGGTGGACATACTCTTGCTCATTCACTGCTTCCTCAGGAAGGCTACGGTGCCCAGTGCAACTGTGGGAGGGGGCCACACAAAGATGAATCATTTGCGGGCCCTGCACTCAAAGGACTCACTGTCTGGATAGGGAGATGGGATCTGTTCAGACGTTGCTGGAAGTAAGGTTGAAGTGATAACACAAGAGGTTCAGGTAACAGAGCAGAAGGAGCTCAGACTCCGCAGTGAGACAGGCCTGGCCTGGAATTATGTTCCATAAGAGCAACAACAACAATATCCCTCATGTGTTGCATGGTGTGGTGGACACAGAGTTCCCTCGTCAGGATTGAAGGACATATCCCCAGGTCCGGGAAGTTACTGTGAGATGATAGCTCTCAGCCGCCTGCCCTCTTGGAGAATTGCTTCTGCTGAAGAGAGCTGCCTCACCCAAGATCACATCCCCTTCCCAAAGGCCCGGCTACCTCACCACAACCTGGGACAACTCCAAAGGGCCAACCTCAGCTTCAGTGCTTCCCCGTGGAGTCTGCTGAGGCCTTTACTGGACCTGTAGTGTGGCCTGGCTTCTTGCTCAGCTCAATCCTTCTTCCTTCTCCTCCCTCCCGCGGGTTTTGAAACTAACAGCACATCCTAATACACTTCCTGTATGGTAGTCTACATCTCCGAGTTTGCTTCCCAGGGAGCCCAATCTATAATACATAGATGATCATGATAGACCTCTGAGTTGGGATTACTTGCTTGATTTTGCAGCTAAAGCACTTGAGATTTAGGACTCAATGGCTTGCCCAGAGTCAGTGGATAGCAGATCTCAGGTTCAACCCAAATCTAGTTCTTCCCAAAGCACTCTCTTTCTTTGTTGCCACTGTCTAGGTGTGTGACTCTAAACAGTAGAAACCATGGGGTTATAAAACCGGCTTGCAGGAACTGAACTCAAAGTTCATTTGGTTACAGCTCCTGTTCTTTAATCTCTGGATCTGAGTTTCCTCCTCTGCAAAATAGGGACAACGGTACTTAAAGCAAGGTGTTAGAAGGATGGAGTGCCCAACTCATCCTGATTTGCCTGGGACTTTCCTAATTTCCCCACTGAAAACCTTATATCCTAGGAACCCCCTCCATCCCTGAGCCTTGATGGTTGGTCACCCTATGTGAAGATCAGCTGAAGTTGATCCATTGAGTCATTCATTCAGCAAATCTTTACTGAGCATCTACTATGTGCCAGGTGCCATTTTAGGGTCTAGGGATACTGCATGAACAAAGCAAAGTCCCTGCCCTCCTGGAGTTACCTCAGGAGCGGGAGGCAGACTGTCATGAAATAGACAAATAAGGACATACTATGATGTTAAGCACTGATAGGTGCGATGAAGGAGACTGAAGAGACTAGGGGGATGCGGTGTGCTGGGCTGGAGGCTGGAGAGAATGTCCTGTTTTAGGGAGAGGGGACAAAGGAGGCCTCTGGGGTGAGGGGATCTTTGTGCTAAGACCTGAATGAAGGGTGAGCTGGCCATGCAGATCTCAGTGGAAGTGTTTTGCAGGTGGGAGAAACAGCATGTGCCATGGCCCTGGGCATTTTTAGCAGGTTTAAGAAAGATTCAGGAGGCTGCTGTGGCAGGAGCACCATCAGCCAAGGGAGAGAAATAGAAGATGAGGTCAGAGAGGCATCGAGGGGCCATAACCATGCAGGACAGTGGCACAGTCAGGGGGATTTGTGACTGTTGTGCTGAGAATAGATGATGAGTCTATTTGAGGATCAGAGAAGTTTCATGTGGGAAGCCATATTGAAAACATGGGCTCGGGAATCAGACTCCCTGAGCTTCCGCACCAGTCAGCTGTGGAACCATGAATTATTCGCTTACTGTGTTTAAGCCTTGGCTTCCTCAGTAGTAAAGCAGGGATAATACAGTACCTGTTTTATGGAGTAGGTTTGTTGTGAGGGTTAAATGCAATAATGCACGTAGAGGTTAGCACAGAGCCTGCATTTTTTTTACAGCTTTTCTTTTTGTTGTGATAAAATTTACTTCATTTTAAATATTTATTTACAATATACTGAAGATAAAATGTACAGTTTTCACCATTTTTAAGTGTATGTTCATTGGGATTGAGTTCATTCACATTGTCATGCAACCGTCACCACTATTCATCTCAGAACTTTTTCATCTTCCCCAAATGAAACTCTGCACCCATTAAATACTAGTTCCCCTTCTCCTCCCCAACCCCCTAGCAACTCCTATTCTACTTCTGTCTTTGTGAATCTGACTACTCTAGGTACCCCGTATGAGTAGAATCATACACTGTTTGACCTTTCGTGACTGGTTTATTTCACTTGCATAATGTCCTCGAGGTTCATCCACGTTATAGAATGTGTCAGAATTTCCTTTCTTTTTAAGGTTGAATAATATCCTATTGTATGGCTAGACCACATTTGTTTATCTGTTTATCTATGATGGGCATTTGGGTTGCTTCCATCTCTTGGCTATCTGTTGAATAATGCACCTGCATTCTGTAAGCACTGGACTTACTTTTGCCATAGTTTTTATCCTGGTTTGCTTGAGCACAGGGAAATGATAGGCACATAGGACCAGGAGGCAGGAGATGTAGGTTCTAGATTTGGGTGGGGCTGACTCATTTATTGAGTCTCAGCTCTGTCCTCTGTGTGGTGATGCAAATGCTTACTTCAGGAGGCTTGTTTTAAAGACCAATTAGATATATTCTGTAAACGTGATAGTTGTACCATCCAACATGGTAGCCACCAAGCCACATGTGGCTATTGAGCATTTGAAATGTGGTTAGTCCCGTGTGAGACGTGCTGCAAGGGCAAAATCCACGATGGATTCTGAGAACTTAATACAAATAAAAAGAATAGAAAATATCTTGTTAATAATTTTTTATATTGATTACACGTTAAAGTAATACTATTTTGGACATATTGTATTAAAGAAAATATATCTTAACATTAATTTTACCCCTTTTTAATTTTTTAGTGTGGCTACTAGGAAATTTAAAATTACACTTGTGACTTTGTGTTTTGATTGGACAGCGCTGGTGTAGTGTTCACTGCGCATTTTCGAATCATAATCAGCAACTTTCTGGGTGCCCCTTCCTGGGTCTGGGATCCGAAGGGAGATTGTCTCTCCCAGAGCTCCAGGCTGACAAGTGATTTACATCACCAAGGTGCTGTAGTCTAAATGGTGATCAATGTTTATGGCCCATGGAAGCTTAAACAAGCCAAGAGTAGAATAGGCCTGGGCATTGCTGCCAGTAACGTCCAGCCTTTAACGTGCAGTTCTTGGCTGCCTCCACAAAGGGCGGTTTTCAGCGTCACCGCTCTGCTGGGATTTGTGATTTAGCTCCGTGCTCCCCAGCGACAATAGATTTCTTCATTTCAAAGCCTAACTCCTACGAAGGCTGGGGCTGGGGGTAGGGAGGGCCTGTGATTGCCCGGCTTACGCCTTCTGTGTATCGCTAATTGTATTACCACAGTTTCTTTAGGGAAAAATCATGCATTCACTTAGGACTTAAAAAAAAAAAAGACCTTAGGGAGAGTTGGTACCTCGTTTGGGTGTAGAATGTTTTCCCCCTCTGGGGCAGAGGAGAAAAGAATTTCTGTTTTGCAGCTAGGAGAAAGCTGTTGTGTACACACCCTCCCTCCTCCATTTTATCTCCCAACGGATAAGATCTGCAGGGAGCTGAGACAGCCAGTGTTTGTCACAGAAACAGAGATCAGTTCAGAGCCCAAGGCCGTGGGGGCAAAGGCATGTCTAGCCCAGGCCCAGGAGTGAGCGGGGTGGCAGTCAGGGAGGCCTGGGGAGTGGCCTGGTGACCTCCGAACTCTCTTCATGCTCTGTCAACGCCACTGCTTCCTGGCTAAGGCTCTGTCCAGGGCTGTGTGTCCAGGCCCTGAGGCTGTCACTTCTGTGGCCTTTCTGGCAGGCCCTCTGCCTTCTCCAGCTTTTCTGAGGGTCACACAGGGCCCTACTCCCTTGGAATTTTGTCACAAGAAGTATTCTAACTTGGGGTCTAAGTAGTTTCCAAGATGGGTTCCCGGTGTTTGATGGTTTCATTCATTCACTGCTGAGGTGTTGGTCCCTGAATAATGGAAGCCACAGGGCTAGGGGTGGTGGTGGTGGAGACAAGTGCTTCCTAGGGTGTCAAACTGTAGCGGTAATATCTACATCCTCCTCTCATGTTTTGGTGGGGCGTGGGGGAATGGGCCAGAGATGCTGCCTTAGCAGGCCAGAGACCAGGCCCCATCAGTGAGTGAACCACTTAGGGCAGGGAAAATGGTTCCTGCCCTGCCTACTCTACAAGGTTGTTATGAGGATCAAATGAAATCCCGGGTATGAAAGCCATTTGCACGTTGTAAAGGGCTATGTGAACACAGTATTACCTTTGCTTTTTCTGTAGCACCTAGCTTTATTACTTAATTAGTTCCCAAATAGTTTTGAACCTTTACCATGTTCCAGGCTCTGAGGTGGGCACAGGGGCATACAATATTGAATAAACACATTCCATCCCCTTATAGCTCAGGGGCCAATATAAGGGAAAGACAAAAAGCAGACAATTGCAATTTAGAGGGTAGCAGCTGCAGTAAGGGTGTGGGCAGAGGGTGCAGGAGCACAGAAGAGTTCTCGATCTCTCCTTTGAGGGCTGTAGAGGGCTTCCTGGAGGAAGTGACATCTAGGCTAGGGTCTGAGGGATGGAAACAAACATGTGGTCGGTTCTCAGTTAATATTTGATAAATGAACAAGATAGTTGTAAATGTCTGTGAACTCTCAGGATAACTGTCCCAGTGTTTAGTTATCAATGTATAGATAGGAAATTGATTCAGAGAGGTTAAGTGGTTTCCCAGGGTGCCCAGCACCTAAGTGGCAGAGTTAGCACTAGAATCCAAGTTCAAGGCTCAGGGTGATTCTCCTGAGCTTGGGAGAGGGGGTGATTGTTTTGGTCATAGTGACAAGCTGCAGCTGCAGGGACATAGCTGGTGGGGGCATGGGATATGGTGCCCTCCAGTTTGAAGAGGACAAAAATGTCTTTATGAGACCCGATTCCCGAGAAACAGACTGGGAGTCAGAGACTTCTGTGCAATAAGTTCCCTGAGGATTACTCTCAGGATCGGTGTCTATGGAGGAGGGCAGAGGAGAAGATGAACTGGGCTGGAAAGCCTCAGCTGATCCCACAAGGGTTGCTGAAGCTAGGGTGACTTTTGGAGTTGGCCTGGCTTGGGGAGAAGTGGCTGAATTTTATGCCCTCCCATCAACCAGTCACTGCAGTTGGTTTTCCCACAAAAGGAAAGGAAGGAGGCTTACTTCAGCCTAGAGCATGTTCTGGAGAGGGGCTCCGCTGGGAGCTGTCAGCCACTGTGGGCAGCTGGGGAAATGGTCTTGCCCTCCTGGCATGGGGCATGGACTCCAGCAGGGACAACACTAGAAGCCTCAGCTGCGAGGCACAGAGTCCCAGGCCTGCGGGAGATTCAGGCCCAGCATCAGCTCAGGGGTTCCCACAGAGTGGACAGAGGGTTTCCAGGGGGTGAGCAGAGATGGGGCAGGAATCCAGGAGGGGGCTCGAGGGTGGGGCAGGCAGGCAGTTTCCATGTGGAGGTCTGTGCCTTGGCAGGGAAACCTCTGCTCCAGACAAGAGTTCACTTTAGAGTGCAGGTCTTTGCTGGAGCAGGGCAGGCTAGTGAACATCAGAGTGGTATCCTGTGCAGGAGCTGCCCCAGGAGGGTTTTCAGCTCCCTGGAGTTGGGGCTTAGAGGGTGACGAAGGCTTAGCTTCATGGAAAGCTTGGTGTCTGGATAGGCTGTGTCTTGGGAGGGGGCTGAGCTTTCAGCTGGTCCAGCTATGGGGACAGAAGAGGCCAAGGCTGGCAGATAACGTGGGCACTAATACCACTCTTCCTTCATCAAGGAAGAGTCTCCAGAGTCCCCAGTCCAACTGCCTCAAGGGCGAGCTAATTTGGCTGCTGCTCCCGCCATAGCTGTTTCTATGGATACATTTCAAGACTTAGTCTGGTCATCTTCAAAAGCATCAAAGGCAGCAAACCCCATCCATGCATAATCTTTTGTTATAGCCCCACAAATAGCTTTTGTTATAACCCTTCCCCCGCCTCCCTTCCCCCCATCCTCCAAACCAAAGAAACCGGCTTCACTGTGGCACAGTCCTCTAGCAAAAGAAGCATTCGACTTTTTTCTGGAAGTTGAAAGGCCTGAGTTTGAAGCCTATCCTTGCCATTCGTAAAATGCAAATAGTAACACCCAACGCACAGAGTTGTTGTAAGGATTCAATGAGATACATGGATCTGAAAATGCACAGCACATTGCCTGGCCCATAGTAGGTCTTCATGAAATGTTGGTGTCTTTCCTTTCTCTTTATTTATCAGTTAGGCAACTTAAGAATTACATCCCTCCAGTAGCACTCAAGTCTCTGTAACGTGTCTCCTTGAGTGTTACATGCACTTGATACAGAATAAGCTCTCCTTGATGTCAGTGTACTCTCCCTGATGACAAACGCCAAGTCATTGGTGATTGGAGCCTCATAAGGCGTCTCTTGACTGTTCTTCCTGCTGACTCCCTAGTTAGGAAGGAACCGGTTATAGGGTCCTGAAGGCAAGTGGACTGGTCTTTTCCTCTCTTGTCAAGGCCAAGCCTTTGCTGGGAGCAGGCAGAGGCACACAGGGCGGGGACGCTCCTTGCCTCTGGAGAGTCTGTTCCAGCAGATGGCTCTGCTGCAGTTCTGCTTAGGAGGTTAATGGACACCAGATGTCTCAGCAGGCAAGTTTTCATTTTCTCCTGGAACCACTTAATTTGGCTGAACATCTGCCTTGGCTTCCAGGCTTTTCTATCACCTGGGCTTCAACACTGGGTCAGTGGCCAGTGGATGTCGGAGGAGCTTACAGTCCCTTTTCCTCACCTGAGGTCTTGGGGGCTGGGGGTGCCAGCCTGATTTGTGGGTTAAAGGTGGTGGTTGAGAGGGCAAGTGTGGGGCATGGTTGGCTTCCGTCACCGTCCTTCATGTCTGGTCTGTTGTCACCGAGCCTTCCTATTAGAAAACCAATATTAAGCCAACAAAATGGTGTGTGCCTGAATGGGGAATATATCCATCTGGACCAGGATTGGCTGATTGTCAAGAGCAGAGGGAGGCCTCTGGAATTGGCTTGAGGGAGGTGCCAACATGCTGACCCTCCTCTGCTCCAGGGCCTCCCTCGGTGCATTTCCAAACCACTGGCAGCTGATCATCTCTGGGTAGTCATGACTTGAGTTTTGTTTGGAAAGTGCCATTCTGTTACTGGTACTGCTGGTTTTTAAATGAGAGTGTGTGTCAGCCTGGCCTAAGGACCTTAGTAAGCTGTAGATTGCTGGGCCCCACCACGGGATTCAATACGTCTATGGTGGAGCCCGGGAATCTGCATTTGAAGCAAGCACCCCAGGTAATATTGATGTACGTGGTCTTTGGACTGCGCAGAACAATTCTGCCTGGAACCCTGTCTTTTTGGGATCTGGAAATTTCTTCTGCTTTCTATCCCAGGGAGGCACACACTCCTTCATGGTCTTCCTTCTTTGCCTGGGAAACTACTCATCCAGTAAGACCCAGGTCAAAACTGGCTTCAGCTGTGAGACCTTTTCAGCCCACGCCTTTTTGGGGGCAGAATTACTTGCTTTCTCCTTATTGCTTCCATAACATTTTGCAGGTGCTTTTGTAGGATGGCACTACTCACATTTACTATGGTCTTTTGTGTGTTCCTTTTTGGCTGGGAGCTTGTCTTTTTCATCTTTCTATTTGTGCTAGAATATAGCAAAATAGCATGTCATAGGCACCAACAAATACATATTGAGTGAATGAAAGAATCCTTGTCCAACCCCCTAAATATTAATAACATATTCTTACTGTATATAGGTTCTTTCTAAAGTTTATACAAATGAAACAATTTTAGTTTTGATAATATAGCTTATTTATCTTAAAAACAAAGTATATTGGTGACATATAAAGGACACATACTTTTTCTTTTTACAGCTCATGGTATGAGTCCTCATGGGACACAGTTTACCTTCTTGGCTGTAGCTATGCTCCCCTCCAAGCACACAGGCGATGCCTTGCATACAGCCACCATATTGTCAGCCTCTCCTTTAATCAACTTGCATTTAAATGCCATTTTCCTGGTTACTAGCCAACCTACGGCCTGACAGTGTGACTTGCAATTCATAAGGCCTTTCTGAAGGCTTGATTTTTTTCTTAAGCATTTATACTGGTTTTTCATTTCTTTTTTGTCATTGTTCCTTTATTTAAGAGCTCAATGGTGTCTGTCTCAATGGCACATTTCCAGGGGACAGAGACCATGTGTTTGTAAATCTTTTTGGATGGGGCTTGGTATGTCGAGAAAGAATGAATAATTGTAGAGTGCTCATATAGTTTATAAAGCACTTTCCCATCAGCCATGCTTTGAGTTAGAGAATACGATTGCTTCCCCTTTAGGGACTCAATAACTAGGAAGAGACACAGCCAAAAACTGAATGCAGTTCTTTAAATCCCATGCTCTCGAAAATGATCATTGTAGCACTATTTATAATAAAAAACAAACAAAAGCAGAACCTATTTAATAATGTTACAACTCTTTGATGGAATATTATACAGCCATTAGAAATGAGGCCTCTGGAGGTGATAGAGCCACATGGAAAGTATTGTCACAGCAGTCATATAAAGTGAACAAAGAAAAAAACAAAGGACATTGGAAACCATTTGATTGGTGGTGGGAGGTAAAATGCCATGGCTTAAAAAAAAATCTCAGTCAGCGTTGCTAGCACATTGGTGTGATTGAAAAACGGGAAAACAAAACCGAACCCTCCACCCTGACTTCTGCCGGTACACATTTGCATTTATGAATGCTTCTGAGGTGCTGATGAAGTGAGAAGAACTTTCAGCTGGAGCAGAGAGGTAGCGCGTGTGAGTGAGTCGCGGGAGTGTGCTCTGATGCAGATGATTAAGCCCATTGCAAATGCAGAATTAAGTAACTCTGATAACGGAGCCCTTGAGCATCCTTCTTGGAGATTAAACCTTTCAGGCTTTTAGCAGCTGAGAGGTGCTGGGGATTGGAGATAGCTGGCTTAAAAAGGATGGGAAGGGGGGGCAGATATTGGATGGGGACAGGAAGGAAAATGCGCCACATTCAGGTCAGGATTCTGTTCTGAAATTGGCTGTCGCTGCGAGAAGTGCTGGAAAATGTCCCATTATCTGGAGAGAGAGGACAGTGTGTCTGCTTGCTGCCCGTCTTTTCTTGCTTGTCTTTCTACAGGCTGGGGTTTTAATTTTCTGTGCTGGCCGATTCCTCCAGTTTGTGTATGAGTTTTCATTCTTGTTTGGTGCCTGGGCCTGTTTTACATGTGAATGCCCTTTAGAAGAAAGGACAGTCCTAGCCCCGTTTGCTGGGGAGAGAAAGGACAAGGCCTCTGGGCCCTGCAACCTCTTCCTTGCACCTATTGACGTATTCATCCTGTGCTAGACACAATGCCAGGTGCTGGGAGTAGACAGACATGGTCTTTGCCTTCATGGAGCTTACAATTAAACAGTGGTTGCTCAGGACTGGATACCTAATTTGGAGGGCCCTGTACAAATGAAAAGGTAAAGCCCCTTTTCAAAAATTAAGAGTTTCAAGACAGTACTGGCACAGCACCAAACCAAGCACTGGCTACTGAATGCTAGGTAGATTGTAAGTCCAGGAAGCTGGCCCCGTGGTTTCTTCCCAGAACCTTGTATAAGGAGAGGGAGTTATTCCTTCCTTATTACCCCAGTCTTCCTCATCACTGCATGTGGGAATTGAACAGCCTCTGAAGAAGAAGATGTCTTCCTTGACTCAGTGGGCCTATGTAGAGAAATAATAAAACACAGATAAAAGGCACGACAAACATTAAATAAATACTGGTTGCCCGAGACATGTAGCTAAGGCCATGTAGACATATAAAGAATGTTCAACTTTTTTGGAAACATCTGAACATAAATCAGATGTAATGACAGAAAGCCTTGTCATCCAGTGTTCCTTGGAGCAAATAGGCTGTGACCAGTCTAATTGTTACAGACTTGAAAGACAGTCTCTATAGAAAGGCCTGTGCCCTGTATGATAACACAGTTTACTAGTTTCTATAAAGCAACAGACAACCTACCTGCAAGTCATAATATAATGAAGAATAACTACAATAGGATAGTTTTTGTATTTCCCAAATATTCTCTGGAATATTATTTTTAAGAAAGAGATTCTACCTAAATTGGGTAATTTGACAAATAAGTTTTGGAAAGGCTCATATTCTATTCCCTCTTGGAGATACACAATTCATATTAAAGTCCCATGGCTGTGAAGGAAGCCCTTTAAACTTTTAACACAATGTTATTTGATTATGACACCTCTTTTAGAAAGTAATAACTAATAACAATGTAGTTAGAGAACAGGGATTCTGAAGCATATGCTTTGGAAAATGCCGGTGATGTACTTCTAAACTTCTGAGATGCATGATCTGGGATCACAGGATCTGGGTTTCAGAGCCACTCACAACTATAGACAAGTTACATGGTCTTCTGGAGTCTGTCACCCAATCTGTTAAATAATAATACCCATATGACACAGTTGTGTGGTTTAAATGAGACACTACAAAATGAGAAGAAACATTTTGCAAACTGTGAAGTTGTCAAGCGTTT
This sequence comes from Homo sapiens, assembly GCF_000001405.40. NCBI lineage: Eukaryota > Metazoa > Chordata > Mammalia > Primates > Hominidae > Homo > Homo sapiens. The sequence continues at coordinate 9,197,501 of NC_000003.12, read as the reverse complement.
AGTGATTATTTAACTGATATTGAAATAAACAGGAACTATTATCTCTGTTTGAAAGTGGGTAAACCGAGACCTGGAGCGATTAAGAAAGGAGGCTGGAGATCCACAGCCATTTCATGGCAGAGCCAATCTCCCAATTCACAGTTCTCAGCAGGATGACTTTTAAACCAACTTTGCTTGTAGATTTTAGTTTGGAAAACGGGCCACCTCTTTGACAGGCATGTCCTGTGGAACAGCTAGAGGCAGAGGCTGGCATGAAAATGCCAACTTTTCTTTCCTTTCTAGCATTGACATCTGATGTTAGCAGAATGATGAATTCAGGGGTGACAGATTTCTAGAGGATTTGTGTCCTCTTTAGGCCAGTACACCCTGTCATCTATACGAATCCCTTTTCTACCCTGAAAACCATCGTTGAGGCTGATTTAAAAGGGAAGGTGGCTTTTCTTGTCGTGAGTGAAAAAGAACCTGGTATGTTCTCTGTTGTGCATCTTTGAATGGGGAGGACGAAAACTTTGGAGAGGTGTGTTTTAGAAAAGAATATGTTGTTTTTCTTCCTTCTTTAAAATGGAAATCATGCCAGAGTGGAAAATGTAGAAACGGGAATTAGAAGACCTGGGTTTTAATCCTGTTTCTGCACCTAACTGGCTGCCTGACCTTTGGCTGTTCCCTTACTTTATCTGGGTGCAACTTTGCTATCTTAAAATAAGAGTATTGGACTAGTTTGCAAAATTTAGGGTTTTTGTCTCTTATCTTTGCATTTTTCCATGTTTATGTCACCTTTATTATTTTCTGCATATTTTTCTTGAAACTGATCCATCTATTCTGTACAAATTGTTTTGGAGGGAAATGTTACAAACTTCTGCAAATAAAAAGTCAGCATTGATGCTGTATATTGGAGGTAACTCTAAGACAAAAGATAGGCTGGTTCAGAGGGCACATTTTTTGTTATGTATATTTTGTCTCAATTAAAAAATTAAAAACAAAGAAAAAGCAAAAATAAGAGCAAAGAAAACATAAAACACAACTATTAAAACAAATATACTGTATTTACTCTTTTACAACTGAAAGCTTTCATCCATCAGTGGCAGTAAATGATCCAAAGACGACCTTCTGGCTCCAAAGGTTTTGGTACAGATGATGTTTCTAGTGCAAACTAGCACACCATACTGCCCTTGCCAGAGAGCCACACATCTTTCTTAATCACACCGTAGCCATGGAAACGCCCCCTCCTCCAACTTTGGCAGTCCTTAATGGGTGGTCCCCAGGGCTCATGGCTTGTCTCTAGGAAAACCCCGCCCCGCTGGGCAGACGGACTTGTCAAATGCATGGTTGTTGGTTTCACCTGGATTAAACTGCTCTCTCCGTCTGGAGGGTTCCTGGCTTTCATTTCCAAATCAAAATCCTACCCACTCTTTGGATCCCACCTCCTGCAGAAAGCTTCCTGGGATTCCTCCAAAGCCACAATGATCTTTTCTAAATTTTCTCCCTAAATTTTCACTCTGTACAAGTATTTTCGATTGGGTTCTTTTCTTTTTTGTTGTTTTTTTTGGAGACAGGGTCTTGCTCTATCACCCAGGTTGGAGTGCAATGGTGTGATCATGGCTCACTGTAGCCTCAAACTCTTGGGCTCAAGTGATCCTCCTGCCTCAGCCTCATGATTAGCGAGGACTGCAGGCGCACACCAGCACTCCTGGCTAATTTTTTTATTTTTTGTAGAGATGGCGTCTTGCTGTGTTGCTTGGGCTGGTCTTGAACTCCTGGGCTCAAGTGATCCTCCCACCTTGACCTTCCAACGTGCTGAGATTACAGGTGTGAGCCAGTGTGCATGGCTTAGGTTGAGTTTTTTAGAAATAGAGCCTGAGACGGGGCCTTGGGTGCATGCTGTTTATTGGTGTGCCTTTCTGGAAATACCTGTAAGGAGGTGGCAACAGAAGGATGGGGAGGGGGAGGAGCTGAGGGAGGAAGTGGCTTCAGGTAATCCTAGTCTGGGCCTGATCCATGGGAGCTCTGCTATTAATCACACCACAAGTTGTTCCTCACCCCTAGATGAGATGAACAGCCAGCTTTTTGTATCCTCATGTCATCAGTCACTGGCCTCAGGCTGGCAGGGTGGGAGTGGGGGTAAACCAGTGTTGTGTTGGACCTGACCCTTACGAGCTTGTGGTGGTCACGTTTTTAGGAACGTTGTGAGCCACTATTAACAATTAAATCATGTAAAGTTATAATTAAGTAAATAATGCTGAAACAATGGAAATACATATTCAAAAGTCATCACTTCCTAATTATTTTACTACAGTTTTAAAAATCTGTGCACTTGCAGTTATTTTTGGTTATTGGATCTTTATGGTGGAAACACTATGTGATGGAGAGCTATGTGCATCTCTCCACAACTCCACCTTCGGTGATGTCTTGCTGGGAGCTTGGAGTCGGCCATGGTGGGAATATTTACACCAGGGAAAGTGGCAAATACTCAAGCCAGGGCTCCTCCTACCCCACCAGAAAGTGGCTGCTAAACATTTGCCAACACAGCACTGGGTATAATCTCCCTCATCAGCTGGGTGTGGGGACGGTGGGGGTGGCAATTCTCCAGAGGACAGGGCAGCTGTGAGCCACTGGTAGCCACCACCCAAAGCAGCCAAGGGATGGTACATGGCCTGGGAACAGGGATCTGGACAGGGCACAGTGTTCTCTATGGCAAGTTATTTGAAATTTTATTCACGTCCTGACTTGTGGCATCCTGTCATTAGGTTTTTATTGGAGGGGAAAGAACAATAGAAGCCTGGAGCCCTGGGTTCTAGTGTTGACTTTGGCACTATCTTGCTGTTGACTTTGGGAGAAGGTTGTTTTACATCTCTGTTTTCTCACCCATGAAAATAGGGGATCAGATGACCTCTCAGGAGGCTTTCAGCCCTGCACAGCCTCAGACTATCCTCTCAGCTGTTGCCACCTAAGTTAGGAGCATGAGTACAGAAACCATGTCTCACTGTATTACCTGCAGAACCCAGCATGTGAAACTTTCCTCCTTAATCTCCAGACTTAGAGACTCAATCGTAAAAATAGATAACATTTATTGAGCACCTACTGAATAGAAGACATTTTAGATCTTAGCTCATCTAATCTGTTTATCAACGTTATGACATAGGTTTTTTTTTTTCTATTTTACAGATGAGAAAAATCGAGGCCCAGAAATATGAAATTACTTGTCCAGTCACACAGCTAGTAAATGGCCCATTTGGGATTCCAGCCCCACTTGGCTTGTGCTTTCAACTATTTTCCATATTACCCTATTGGAAAAGGATTTAAAAGAGGCTCTTGCTACATCAGGGTCCCCATTTGGGATCTAGAGATTGCTTGGTTTCATCTCCCCTTCCACCTATTCTCTGTCTTGCTCAGTCTCAGTTCTCTTTCTTCTGGGTGGAATGGGTTGTAAGCCCCTTTGCAACTCAGGCCTTTGTAACTGTTGAATAGGCAAATGAAGGAGGAAGGCTCCGAGGATGGAAGCCAGCTGTGCACTTCGCTGATGATCTGGGATGCACAGAGGTGGGATGGGGCGGGTGAGCAATGGAAGGCTGCTAATGAGCGTTTCCCAGTGTTGCCTCCGAGGGCGGCTGCAGCCTCTGCGCTGCTGTTTGGGGTTGTTGGAGCCATCACAGCACAGCCAGGATTTGCCCTTAGGCTTGGTGACAGGTTGGATCACCTTCACTCAGAAGGCCTGGCCACTCTTTGCCATGTCTGATCTGTGGTGTGGATGACGGCAGCTGACATGGACTCCTCGCCACCTGGAAATGCATAAAGTGCAGCTTAGCCCCAGGCCAAGGGGAGACGTTCTGTGCAGCCCCCAGAGCCTTTGTTTCTCATGATTTCCTTCAACCCTGCCCCCAACTCCAACCCAGTGTCACAGGGATCTTAGTCCCACCTCCCCAGGGTCTGGCCCAGGATCCCCATCTCCCGCCAGCACTTGGTGTTTGAAACCTCCTCGCATAGCTGTGGTTTATTTAGGCCCCTGCCACCCACCTGGGCACCTCCTCTGCATGGCTCCCCATTTCACAGAAGGTGCTGATGCCTTTCTTGTGATTCTGCCAGCAGAGAAATTGAGGTCAGGGAGATCAGCCAAGCACACTTTTCGGTGGCTTTTAAGGAGGAGCAATCAGTTAGTGATCACTGTGGGCAGAGGGCTAAGGGGATGGCTTCAAGGAGAGAAAAAAGAGCAATCGGATGGTTCCTGAATTGTAGAAATGAACACAGTGAAAGTACCAGGCTGGGCTTGGGGGTCAGAACCTCCCTCAAGCCCCTGAACATCAGCTTCCCCACTCAGGATTTCTCACTTCAGTGACTGACTTCATCATCCCTCCAATTGCCCAGGCCAGAAATCTGGGAGTCGTCCTTGACTTGTCTCCCTCACCCCACAGTCTAATTGGCTGGCAAGTCTTGTTGTATCTATTTTCTGTCTCTTGAGTTTAGTCCTTTGCCGTGGCCACTGCCCACTACCAAGGGCCCACCAGCTCTTACCTGGACTGGTTCAGCCATCTCTTTCCAGGCCATGGTCTTCCTGCTTCAGCTCTCCTCCCTCAGCTCCCCCATCCATTCCCCTCTGCAGTCGGAAGTCTTCTAGAGGTGTACATTTGACCTTATCATGTCAGCTCCAGGTTAGAGCCTGGAGTTACTATAACGATTACCTCCAGGGCGAAGTTCAGACTCATTAGCCTTCCAGGAAAAGCAGCTCTTCTTGCCCTGCCCCTGTTTGACTCTCTGTGATGGGGGTCCCAAAACTACCTTAGGTTTGATAATTCACTTGAGGGACTCACAAAAATTAGAAAAGCTGATATACTCATGGTTATGGTTCATTGCAGCAAAAGGAGACAGGTTAAAATCATCCAAGGAAAAAGGTGCATAGGTCGGAGTCCAGGAAGACACCAGGCATAAATTTCCAGTTGTCCTCTCCCGGGGGAGTCACTTGGATAGCACTGAACTCTCCCAGCAATGATGTGTGACAAAACATAGCAGGGAAACCCAACTGCCCCTTGGTGTCCAGGGTTTTTGTTAGGAGAAGGGAGTCAGTCACGGAGGTATGAGTCACCCACGTGACTGACCTTGGCTACTCAGTCTCTATGCAACCCCTGCATGCCTGGAATCAAACCGATACAGCATGGGCTGGGACTCCAGGTAAACAAAAACAGGCCTTTATCATGAATTACACTGTTAGCATAAACTATGTGGGGTGGCCCAAAGCCCCAGCGATACAAAGATACTCTATTCCATCAGGCACGATATTCCAAGGGCTCAGAGGTTATTTCCCGGGGGCTGGTCAAGGGCCAGTTCTTTCTTTGGAAGGTGCAGAGTTTGAGGACCCCAAGCTAGTGGAGTTAACCTTTTATTGCATACCTCACATCCACGATTCTCTCCAGTATTAGGCCATTCTTGCATTGCTATAAAGGAATACCTGAGACTGGGTGATTTATAAAGAAAAGAGATTTAATTCGCTCATGGTTCTGCAGGCTTTACAGGAAATGAGGTGCCAACATCTTCTGGGGAGGCCTCAGGAAACTTACGATCATGGTGGAACCTGAAAGGGGAGTAGGCATATCACATGGCAAAAACAGGAGTGAGAGAAAGTGAGGGGGGAGATGCTACACACTTTTAAATAACCAGAACTCACAAGAACTCACTGTGGTGAAAACAGTACCAAGGGGGATGGTGCTAATCATTCATGAGAAATCTGCCCCCATGATCCAGTCACCTCTTACCAGGGCTCACCTCCAACACTGTGGATTATCGTTCAATGTGAGATTTGAACGGGGACACCCATCCAAATGATATCATCTCCCATATCTCCCACATTCCAGCCATATTATTTAGCTTGCACATTCATGACTCTGCCTTTGACCATACTGTTCCTTCTGCCTTGAATTCCCTTCTGCCTCATCTTCCCTAGTCTAACTGGAGAGCTCTCACTCATCCTGTCCTGTGTGGAGCCTTCCCTGATGCCCCAGGCAGGCTGAGTTTCCTCCTTCCCATGTACATAGGCACTGTCAATGCGTGCCGTAATTTGTGGATTCTTCAGCATCCTGTGGATGGGTTCAGGTCTGTTTTCCACACAATAGGAAACACCATTAGCTCCTTTAGCGTGAGAAATGTGCAGTCCATTAAAATGTTTATTTTATGTTTTTCCAATGATAAAAGCAATACTTGCTCATGGTAGAGAAATTTGGGCAGCATATTCCTTTTCAGCTTTTTCTCTCCAATGTTTTCCGTGTGTGAATCATTATAATCCGGGAGACCATAGTGCCTGGGCCTGGGCTTGCCTCCACAGGGCTGCTGATGTTGTTCCAGTCTCTCTAAAGTGGTGAATGAGGGCGACTCCACACCTATGCTCTCCCAGTCTCCAGAGACTTGTGGGATGGGCTGGGAACTGAGGACAGAGTGTGGAGGAGGGGGACGAGAAACTTCTTTTTTTTTCTGTAGGAAGAAGAGGTGGGGTAGGGATGGAGTAAGGGAAGACTTCCCAAAGAAGTCGACACTTGGGCCAGAACTTGAAGGAACTTTAGGATTTTGCTCAGGGATGGGAGGGAAGAACTTTGCAGGCCAAGGTCGTGGAACAAAGGGGTGACTGGCTGAGCTCAAGGCAGTGGGGCTCCCCTCCCCTAAGGGTCCCCAGCCCTGGGATGTGACATACCACTTGACTTTCCTTTGATCCTACACAGGAGTTGTTTCCAGGGGGCCACCCTTACTGAGCTGCTGACCCCAAGTTCTGTTTTAGTCACAGGGCTTCTTTTGTTTGTTTTGTCATTTGGCTCTGGATGTGTGTGAAATCCTAATTCAGGCCCCAGATAGCTGACCGACTAAAACCTAATGAAACAAAAAGATGGAGGAAATGTGCCCTAAAACAGTTGTTGAGTAACCCCAGGTAGCTTCAGTGCATGCCAGCTTTAAGCCTATAAATACATCGATGGGCGCCTCTTTCTCTTCTGAAACAGCAAGCCCCGAGGATTGGAGCCAGCCAGTGATATTCCGTTATACTACATTTTCAGTTTCAGGGAATCTTTTGAGCAAAACTGGACCTTTTGGGACCAACCTGTCATACTCGAGACCATGGCGAAACCTATCTGTTCATGCCAAGAGCTCAGCGTCCTACCTGAGTCCTGCTGAATTGCCTGTTCTCATCTCCTGCCTTCTAAATCACTCACTGGTGCTTCCTGTCATGGTAACTAGGACTTTCCACTCCTTATTCTGCAGCCTTTGACATCACCAGGGCTGAAAAGATCACTGGGCCTTCATGGGGTATTTTTCCAATGCGAATTGACTTTGTATGTGTTGGTGTAATTACCAGAATCTTCCACCGATTGTGTGAGGATGTTTCTAGACCCAGTTCTGTTCTATTCTTGCCGTGTGTCAATCCCTACTTTGTCACTTACTGGTCCTGGGATATTGGATGGGTTACTTGACCACTCTTGTGTGTCAATTTCACCCGTTAAGCGGGGATGATTATTTCTCAGTGTTCTGGCAGGATTAAATGCGAATATACATGAAAAGCACTTAGGATAGTACTTGGCACATAGTAAGCATTTAGAAATGGTTATAGTATTATGACTGTACTCTTAGATCCATCTCCTGTCTTAAACTCTGGATTATAGGAAAATAAGAGATTCAGGGAGAGCTGGGTTCTTTTTATCAATTTACTCTGTGATGCTGGGTGTCAGTTCTTCCTTTAAGGCCTTAATTTGGCCACAGTGAAAATGACAGGGGTGGACTCAATCAGGAATGACAGAGATGTGAAGGACATGAAACTTCTGGATTTTCTCACCCATTTCCTACTGATCCCAGACATGCTCTCAGACTATTCTGAATATAGCCCTCCTGGCAGCCATTGTAAATGGATTAGAAGGCACTTGAGCTGAAATCTGTTTTCTGTCCCTGGATTACAGGAAGTGTAGGGAATATGGGGTGCATGGGAGATGATACAGTTTGGATGTGTGTCCCTGCCCAAATCTTGTATTGATCTAATAATCTATGATCTTGAATAAAGGGATTGGAGGAGTCCAATTTTCAGGCTCCACAGATACTTCATCCCCTTCCCATACAGCTCTGCCCATTAAATATGACAATAGATAAAAACTGACTTCCAGAAGGGACTCGGGACAAACGATTTGATGGAGAATAAGCAGGGGCTTGCCTTACCAGCTGAAACATTTCCTAACCTTCAGTTTGTCCAGTTCTCTCTGCATAATATTCAAGACAGTTTTACGGAAGGTCTGAACACATCTCATCCCCGGCTTTGGATTTGTTTTTAATTTGATTTAGCCAAGGAGCAGAAAGGAGACAAGATTGACTGGAGCTCAGGGTTTGTAGGATAAAATCCTGAGTGGACAGGACCAAATTATGGTGGCTCCTTCTTGACTGTGATGATATGTCCTCCTCTGAATGGCAGAAATCTAGACAAGTGTTTTGTCTTCAGTGGAACCTACAAAAAAAGGACAAAGACCCTGTAGCAGTCACTGGTCTGATTCTTTTAGCTTCTGTTCTTTCTTTCTACCATCCTTCAATGAATCCAGTGCTCTGCTTAGGAATACCACCCTTTCTCAAGTTTACTCAAATTCTTTCTTTAATAATGTAAAGAGAATTCCCAATGTGGAGAGAATGGGCAGGGGAGCAGGGAGCAGTAGTTCTTAGGCCAACTTTGCATCTTTCCCTATTTGCATTTATTATCATGCACTAATTATTCACAGAGAGCCTTGCCCTTTGTGGGTTCGCATTAATTTAGATTGCTTTTGAAAAGCAATCAAGGAGGGAATGAAGTGATCACACATCAAAGGGAAAAAGATATGGCACCAAAGAGAGGCAATATGCTTTGCACAACTGGCCATGTCAGGTTGCTCTGAGCTTTCTCCAGCACAAGAAATATCAGAAAGTCCATCTGAGCTCTCCTAGCCCTGGTGTGGCCCCATTCATCTTTCTTCGTGTCCATTCTGTCAGTGGATAAGAAGGTGGAGAAGGCATATGTGGCAGATGATTGCTGGGTGGAGACAGGACTCTTCCTCACTCAGCCTCAGTTTCCTCATCTAGAAAATGAAAAGGTGGATTAGATTATCTTTCATGCCCTTCTCTCTAGGTCTACAACTCTCTGCCAAAGTTGTTTTGAAGACCTATAATTGTGTAACATAACAAATGGACACACTAATTACCTGCTTCTAATCCATAAGGTTCTCCTTGCTCAGTCTTCCCTTGGGTATTATTAGGAACAGAAAGGTGAACTAATATTTCTGTATCTCTCTCCTGCTTCAATTATCCGTGCTATTAATTTTGGTCATGGATTTTTCAGTTGTCAGCCTTTTGTTTTATTTGGGTTCTTACAAAAATCTGTGTTATTGAAGTATAATGTACACATAGAAAAATGCACGTTTGGTAAGGGTACAGCTAGATCCTTGCTTTTTGTGATCACTGTCTTGTATTCTTTCTCCCCTCACCCCCTCATCCTACTTCCTTCTAATTTGGGATGGGCACAGAAAGGGTCTAGGACCAGAGTCCCATTCCAAATCTATTGTTCCCATAGGCTTCTGGCAGAGGGTTGTTTGCTAAATGAGTTTGGGGGATTTGTTGTGAACCTGGTTTCTGTTTCTGTAGTCACTGTCAAGGGTGAATATGAAGGATTGCAGGTGTTCTGAGGGCGTCTCTGACGGGTATAAGTCACGTCGTACACGGCCTTGCATGGGACATCCAGTGAGCGAGCGTTCGGTGAAATGAGATCGAGCCTGAGGGTAAGACCCTGGTGGATTGAAGAGGTTGTGAGGGAAAAAGGAGGCAGGGCAGGAGAGAGAGGCAGAGCATGCCCTGTCAGCAAGAAGCAACACAGATGAAGCTGTGGCAGGGTCTAGATTTATATAAGCCAAGGGGGCTGGTGGTGTGCACAAAGGGGCAGCCAGTAAGAGACAGTGGCTGACTTCTTAAGCTATTCTTCCCGGGGGAAGAGGCCCAGGGCTGGGTAAGACTGCTCGATTTGTGATTAGGAGGTTGGTGAAGACTGTGCTTCCTTGAAGAGGTGAAAGGTGCTGTGTGGAGAGAGAAAGGATGTGGAGCACTCAGCACAGCGTCTGGGCGTGGGCTGGTACAGTTCTCCCCGACTTGCCCTCAATCACTGGACAGCAGTGATGAAATACCACTCTGCCCCTTCCTCAGTTAGTCCACTGACTGTACCCCCTCTCTGCAACTTTTCACCTTGGAGGCACATTGCCTTTTAGAAAGATCGCCATTAAAACTTTTTGCTGAGGGACAAACTAACACAAGAACAGAAAACCAAACACCGCATGTTCTCACTCATAAGAGGGAGTTGAACGATGAGAACACATGGACACAGGGAGGGGAACATCACACACCAGGGCCTGTCGGGGGGTGGGGGGCTGGGGGAGGGATAGCATTAGGAGAAATACCTAATGTAGATGACGGGTTGACGGGTGCAGCAACGCATCATGGCACGTGTATACCTATGTAACAAACCTGCATGTTCTGCACATGTGTCCCAGAATTTAAAGTATAATAAAAAAAATTTTAAAAACAAAAAACTTTTTGCTGAAGGAAAAGTAAGAACGTGGGGAGACTTCAGTGCCCACTGGCTATAGAAAGGGCTAATTAACCTTGCTTTGGTGCTGCTGAAATGACAAGCTGTTCCTCTGTAGAATAGCAGATGCCCCCGATGTTTATTCAAGAGCAGCTTATTGATTGGTGGACTCAAATTGAGTAGATTTCAATAACTGGAAATAAACATCCACCTTAGACCGCCTAAGGACACAGCATGATTATTCCTGGGGTCAGTCGTACATGGCAGGGTTTGGGGAGGGCGGGAGTTGACCTGCTCAAGCTGGTTCATTCCTTCATCTCACGGTTAGCTGAGGTTCTCTGAAGGTCAGGTTCCCTATCTACAAGATGGGCGAAGTAATACTTCACTGGTGAATTACATGAGGATTAAACAAGTTTCTGTTTCTCAAGTACTTATGGTAGTCCTTAGCATGTGGTAGGTATTTCATAAGAGATGATATTGATAATACTACCAGCAAGCATTTATTGAGCGTCCCAGGTGCTGTTATAGAATAAATAATACAGAACCCCTATTCTTAAGGAGCCGACAATGTAACAATAAAGAAAGATTTATATTACTCAGGAAGTAGTCACAAGACAGTGTGATAAATATTGTAATAGAGAGACACTCAGGGTACTATGAGAACATAGAACGTCAGATTCTCTTTGGGAGAGAAGGACAAGGCTTCCCTGGAGGTTAAGTTAGATCTTGAAGGCAGAAGGGCAGAGAAAAGCCTTCCAGGCCCACAAGACTCCAGGTTCAAAGGCGACAAGGTTTGAGACAATGTGGTGCTCTTTAAGCTAGCATAACTAGTGTGATGTACCATGAGCAAAAAGGGCTTTAGCAAGTATTTATAACAGTTTGTGGGTTTGAAGGGGTGACACGGTTGGAGAATGCTGAGTTGCTGGGTTTGGTTGGAAAGTGGAACTTTCCCAACACTTAGCTAGGTTATCCTTGCTAACCCTGTGTGCCTGCCCACTCCTGGCCGCTCAACTGAATCCTCCTGGGAGCATTTGGGGAACAATCAATCTTGGCATCCAAAGCTCATTACAGTCTGTTTCTAATCTTTCTTTCCTCTAATCTCGTACATCAAGACATCTCAATCAGGTGCAGTGGCTCATGCCTGTAATCACAGCACTTTGGGAAGCCGAGGTGGGAGGATCACTTACGCCCAGGAGTTTGAGACCAGCCTGAGCAACATAGTAAGACCCTGTCTCAAAAAAAAAATTAGTCAGGCCTTAGTGCTACTTGAGTGACACACGCCTATAGTCCCAGCTACTTAGGGAGCTGAAGAAGGAGGATTGATTGAGTCTGGGAGATTGAGGCTGCCATGTGCTATAATCTTGCCACTGCACTCCAGCCTGGGTGACAGAGTGAGACCTTGTCTCTAAAAAAAAAAAGAAATAAGGAAGGAAAGAAAAAAACGACTTCTCAACATTTATCCAGTGCAGTGCCCCCCCACCCCAACAAAGGGGTGCCATTGATATGCCTCCCTTCCACAGTCAGCCCAGTTCACAGATGGCTCCTTCTTCCTCTGAAACCCCTCTTTGACCACTCCAGTCATGATCCTCCCTGCCCCGTCTTGGTGCTCAGGGTAGCTAGTGTGAGGGGCTGGAATCTGGCCTCGCCAGGTAGGTAAGGGATAGAGAGGCTCAGTGTGGAAGAGGCCTTGCATGGTGTCCAAGGGCATGCAGCCTGTCCATGGGAGGTTGGAATCCAGGCAGGCAAAGAGGTCAGTAGTGATTGTGAAACCACAAATGCCCCAGTCAGTGGATGGAATACTGCCAAGGGGACTCTAGGGCCTATGACCCTTGGGAATCATGTGGGAAGACCGAAGACTCTAATAATGTGGGAAGACCCTAATTTTTTATAGTTTTAGAGATGGGGTTTCACCATGTTGGCCAGGCTGGTCTTGAACTAGTCTGGGGAGGGAGGATGGGAAGAACAAGGTATACTAGGGAGATGACCAATACAACAGCCAGCCCAGGGCTTGGGAACAAGGTGGGATCCTTGCTGTTGCACTGAGGTTTACATTGTGGAAGCCACAGGGTGGGGTCCAAGCTGATTTATACCTTCTGAGCTGATTTATACCTGAAAGGGATGGTTCTGGAGCTGGGGGAGGGAGGCTCTTGGGAGGAGGGGTGCAAGGATAAGGAGCCAGGCTGGACTGGATAACCTCCCTCTTCTCATCTCTCCTGTAAAGCACCTAGTTCGTTCTTTACCATTTGTTTGACCCTTAGCCTCCGAATGCCTTTTACACTGTGGCCATGTCCTCATGGAACTTCCGAGTGGCTCTGCCTAATTCCCATTCTAGGCTATAAATACCTTGAAGGCAGGATCTGTGTCTGCATTTCTAATAATAATAATGACATTAACAACACCCATTTACTGAGCATTTCCTTTGGATGCTAAGAGATTACGTGGATGGTTGATTCCATCCTCCTGTTAAAACCTTGAGGTCTACTTATCCCTGTTTTAAAACCTTGAGGTCTACTTATCCCTGTTTGACAGATGAAGAAACTGACGCTCAAAAGACCTTAACACCTGGTGTTGAAGGTCCCACAGCTAGTAGCTGTGGCAGTTCAGATTCAAATTCAGTCTGATGCAAAGTCTCTATGTCTAATCCCCTTGCTGTGCTGTGAAACAAAATCATTCTAACTCACTGAAGCAGGTTTTGTTAAAGGTCATGACTGTGCCGGGCAGCACCATGCTCCTTCCTTGCCATGGCCTCTGGCTTCACCTTGCCCAATATTAATTAATTGATTGAAATGGGAGGAAGTCGAGGGTGTGGGCAATGCAGAGACACCTGGCTTGGTGCCCTTTGCTTCCTTAAGCCCCTTTACAGAGGGGACTCCTGAGAGCAGATGGAAATGTCTGCAGGGAGTATTTTTTTCAAAGGGCCCCCGAAAGCATTCTGCCTAGCAACAAAGAGCCTTTCAGAATGCAGCTCCAAGAGGAGGCGAGGAGCTTGCAAGCTGAGAACCGGGAAGGGCTGGAGTCGCTGCTACAACTGGCTCCACAAAAGAGGCAAGCCGCAGAGGATTGAGTTTCATCTCGGGGTACAGCTGTGGGGGCTGAGGGGCCGGGGCTGGGGGTTAAGGCTAGGGAGACTGAGAAGGTCTTTAGGTGAACATTACAGTGTGTGTGTGTGTGTGTGTGTGTGTGTGTGTTAGCAAATTTGTGTTTTAGTACTATATATAACACAACCATGTGGAAGGACATGTTCAACTAGTTTCCTAGGGAGCCGTGTGTTCTTAATTAAGAATAGTTTTAATTATAAAAGCAATGCATGCTTGTTATAAAATTAAAATATTCTAGAGGTATGTAAAGTAAAAATTGAAAGCCTTTGCCATCTGCCCCAAGTAAGCACTGTTAACATTGTGCTGTGTATTCTCCCAGACTTGTGTGTGTGTGTACAATGTTTTATACGTACATAATTAAACATCTGTATAATAGATATGCAATTATAATGACTAGGTTTTCTTGAATGCTTACTATATGCCAGGCTCTCTAGTAAGTAAGTGCCAGGTATTCCATGTTTTCATGACCTCATTTAATTCTTGCATCTCTGTGAAGTTAGATATTGTATACATTTATAATCTGCTTTCAAGGGAGAGGGATGTGAGACTCAGTAAGGTGCAAAGAGGTAGAAGCAGAGTTTGACCCAGGCGCCGTGGCTGCACTGTGCACACTCTTCCCTGCCAGCACTGTGCCTGCTATTTAAAACAATGTGGCATCAGTTCAGCTGTTTTTGCAACTTGGCCATTTTCCTGGTCCCTTCCTGGGCCTCCTCCTCTCTCAGATTCCCAGTTGATGGCTCTTTCCTCTGTTCAATGGGTCTGAGAATGCCAAAGCATCGGGGACTGATAGTCACTGGGTGAGTTTGGGTGACAGAAGAATGTTTCCCCAGAGATCCTGTGAACCTGTGAATGTTATTTCACACAACAAAAAGGACTTTGCAGATATAATTAAAATCTTTGGGCTGGTCACGGTGGCTCTCGCCTGTACTCCCAGCACTTTGGGAGGCTGAGGTGGGAGGATCACTTGAGGCCAGGAGTTCAAGACCAGCCTGGGCAACACAGTGAGACCTCCATCTCTATAAAATTTTTTAAAAAAATTAACCAGGCATGGTGGCACATGGCTGTAGTCCCAGCTACTTGGGAGGCTGAGGCAGGAGCATCACTTGAGCCCAAGAGTTCACGGCTGCAGTGAGCTGTGATTGTGCCACTGTACTCCAGCCTGGGTGATAGAGCAAGACCCTGTCTCTATAAAACAAACAAATAAATAAAAATTAAAAAAATTTTAAAATAAATATTTGTATTAGTGTCCCAGGAGTGCTGTAACACAGCATCAAAAACTGGGTGGCTTAACACCCACAGAAATGTATTGTCTCATGGTTTTGGAGGGTGGATGTCTGAAATCACTCTATCAGGAAGGCCTCGCTCTCCCTGTTGGCTCTGGGGGAAAATCCTTCCTGGTCTTTTCTGGCTTCTGGTGTGCCTTGGCTTGTAGATGCCTCGCTTTGGTTCCATGGCTGTGTCCCCACTGTGTATCTTCCCGTCACCTTCCCTCTGTGCCTCTGTCCAAATTTCCCCTTTTTACAAGGATATCAGTCATATTGGATCAGGACATGCCCTGATGACCTCATTTTAACTCTATGACCTCTATAAGAGCCTTTTCATTTTTTATTTTATTTAATTAATTTATGCCCCCAAATTAGTAGATGCTTTTTTGTGTTTTTTTTTTTTTTTTTTTTTTTTTTGAGACAGAGTCTTGCTCTGTCATCCAGGCTGGAGTACAATGGCACAATCTTGGGTCACTGCAACCTCTGCCTCCTGGGTTCAAGTGATTCTTGTGCCTCAGCCTCCCGAGTAGATGGGACTAGAGGCATGTGCCACCACATGCAGCTAATTTTTTCTATTTTTAGTAGAGATGGGATTTCACCATGTTGGTCAGGCTGGTCTTGAACTCCTGGCCTCAAGTAATCCACCCACCTTGGCCTCCCAAAGTGTTGGGATTACAGGCGTGAGCCACCGTCCCCAGCCCATGTAAGACCCTTTTTAAAATTAAGGTCACATTTCGAGTTATTGGGATGAGGACTCCAGTCCACCTCTTTGGAGAGTTAGAGTTCAACCTGTAACAATTTTAAAAGATGGAGATTATCCTGGATTATCTAGCGGTCCCTATCTAATCACGTGGGCCTTTAAAAAATGATAACTTTCTCTGGCTGGAGCCAGAAGAGCGGGGGCACCAGAAGGGAAAATCAGAAGGTTATGATGCGTTGTACCCTCCCTGGCTCTGAGATGTTTGGGCCCAGGCACAGAGACCGGAGAGGCCTGAGGAGCAGAGGGCATCCCTTGCGGGCAGCTAGCCAGGAAACCTCAGTCCTACAACTGCAAGGAATTTGATTCTGCCACAGCCACCATTCATGAAGAAGCAGATTTTTCCGAGAATCTTCCAATAAGAGCTCAGCCTGATAAGACTCTAAGCAAAAAACCCCCTGAGTCAACCTGGACTTCTGAGCTACAGAACGGTGAGATAATAAACTTGTGTTGTGTTAAGTAGCTAAGTTTGTGGAAATTTGTTTCACCAGCAAGAGAAAACGATTACCATTACCTTCCCATTTGGCTGGCCCTTCAATGCCTTAAACCAAAGAAATGGCCTATGCTGGAAATTTCTTTGGGTCTCAAGTTTACCTTCTTGAGTCTTTGAATAATGCCACCCACCTGTGCAGCACGTGACACTTCCCGGTACATTTCACACATAATTTCATTCAATTCTCTCAGCAGCCCTGAGAAGTATAGGTATATTATGCTTCTTATTTTACAAAGGAGGAAACTGAAATTTAAAGAAGTGATTTTGCTTGAGGCTTCACAGAACTGGGGTTGCAAGCCAGGTTTCCTGCTTCCAAATCACATGCACTTTTTTGCCACTGCCCCCGGCTGCCTCCGTGTCTCCAGACATCTGTTGTCTGAACACAGTTTCTCCTATCCAGTGGGCTGGACTTTCTGGTGAGACTGTGAGCTTCCTGTTGCTGAGAAATGACTGAGTGAAGCCGGCGGATGGTGTACTTGGGATGCTGAGGAGAGACTCGCTGGCATTTGCAGGAGGTGCTGGCGGGTGCCTCCTGATGCCATGTTCAACTCAGGATCTACAGTGGGAACTGGGATCTGCTCTCGGGGCTGCATTCAGACAGGGTAAAGCTCTCTGGGAATTGCCCTGGCCAGGAGACAGATTCGCGGAGCAGATGAGGTCTGAGTGAGGGTTTGAAGAACACGTAGGACTTAGAGAGGATGCTTGTGTTTGGGTTTCTCGTGTGATTGCAGGGTATGGCTTTTGCCCACGCCTTCCACTCCAGTTGCTTTGGTGAAACTTGCCTGTAGGAACTGGACCAGACTTGAAGTCAGCCTCTGGGCCTGTCCTCCCCGCCCTGCTCCCCGAGTTCATCTTGGTGGTTGAGGGTACACGATGTGGTCGCCTGCTTCTGCAGCCAAAAGAAAAGTGGTGGGACAAGAGAGGGTAAGGGGAATACACAGGCTGAGAATAACTTCCTCCTAGCCTCACTTCCTGTGGCTTCCCGCTCACCCTGCTGTAACTCTTATTAACTCTCCGTGTCTTTCTGTGGGTGGGAACCAAACAGCCTGTCTTGAGGGCAGCTGTCTGCCTACTAAAAGTTCCCTAGCAATGGCCACTTGTCCTTCCTGAGCCTTGGGTGTTCCCTCCTCAATCTTGTTCCCTGCACTGCCGAGGTGACTGACAATGTGTCCTCCCCAGGCCACACCTCTCTTGGCAGCTGTGAAAGGTGGTAGAAGCCATTCTGTCCCTCCCTTTCTCTTGAATGTCTTGGAGTGCTGTTCAATTCAGGAGTTCCTTCTAACACATCATGTGTTCCTGCACTGTGCCGAGTGCAATGGGGATGCCCCAGAAGTGTTGGCCTCGCAGGCTGCAGCCTGGAAGGCAGTGTGGCTCTGTAGAGAAAGAGAACTTGAGTATTGACCGGGCATCTGGCCCTGTGCTGGACCTCAGGGACACAACACTGAACAGGACAGCCCAAAGTGGGTGTGCAAGCCTTGATTCTCCCACTTGGTAGCTATGTGGCCTTGGGCTAGTCGCTTGACCTCTACGTCTTCACAGTCAGGTCTTATGAAGGCCAACATGGCACCTTGGAAGTGTGTTGCAAACTGTAACACTCTGTGGAGATGACGTTGTTAGTTATTATGCCCTCGGTTGATTCTCTCAGTTTCCTTGTGACAGAGGCCTGGAAGAGCTGTTATACCCATTGTACAGATGAGAAAGCAAAGCCTTCAGGAGAGTGAAGAGCAGGAGCAGGAATGAGAACTAAATAGTTGACTTCTTGTTGTGACCTTACTCTTATTTTATCATGTGGCTATAGCCACCAGGCATCCATTGGTGATGGCATCTGATGACATTTTCAACATCAGCAGCATCAATAACTAACATTTGCCAGGTGCTTACTAAGTGCCAAGAACTAAGTTAAACCTTTTGATGCCTATTATTACCTCTACTTTCCAGATGAAAAAAATGGAGACTCAGCAAGGATAAGTAACTTGCCCAAGGTTGCTTTTCTAGGAAGAGGCAGAGCCAGGCTTCAAACTTAGGTATGCCTGATTCCAGAGCCTAGACTGGTAGCCTTGATGGTACCTGCGCATCTCATCCAGTTGTGCATCTCGACCTAACATATTGAAACAACTAGAAATTACACAAGGCAGTAGGAAGGGGATACGCTGGCAGGAGTCAGTCCTCCTCCCAACCCCCAGAGGAGTGATCCAGGCAGCTGGGACTGTGTGCATCAAGAAGAGATGGTGTCCTGAAGCCTTGGTGTATGGTGTCCTGAAGTTACTGGGTGGATGGATCTTGTTCGATGGGCAGGATCGGAAACTCAGAAGGACAGAGGCTGGTATGAACAGGGGACATGGGGGAGAATGGGGTCAGGTAAGATGGGCAGGGCCTCAGAGGGCTGTCAGTACAGCAAAGGAGGTGAAGTTGGTTTGGGCAACCGTTGCAGCTGTGGCCTGAGGGTTAGCTGAGCTGCCCACGTCCTGGCCACAGAAGGAAATTAGTACCCAGAGACATCTCCGGGTCTAGGGCGGAACAAAGATCCTGCCCTATTTGTTTTTCTTTCTGGGGCCTTGAGGTTAGAAGAGGGGCACAGCTTCTCCCTAGGGACTGGGAGGAGGAGGTAGGAGAAGGGAGGGATCCAGGCCATGGGAGGCATTGGGAGCATCCGTCATGCCGTCAGCCTGCTGCAGGAGCACTGGCCTGGGAGTCTACAGGCCCAGGTGCTGTGCTGCTGTCTGGCTTTGTGAAGTTGGATGATTGATTCCTCTCTGGATCTCAGTTTTTTAAACTGTGACTGGAGAGATCTATCAGTGAAAACTGTTGGTTGCAAGTGTCAAAAACACAATTCAGACTGGCTGGAATCAGGCATTTATTGGCTCATGTGATTGGAAAATCCAGGGAGAGTTGTGATTATAGGAAGGCCTAGGTCCAGAGGTTCACACGGTACCATCAGGGGTCTGTCTCTTTCCATTTCTCAGTGCCAGTTTCCTCAGTGATGCCTTCTGTCACAGGTAGCCTCAGTCTTTGAAATCTCAAGGTGACTGCCAGCTGCCCCAGGCTTATCTTATTTATTTTTATTTTTATTTTTTTTGAGACAGGGTCTGGCTCGTTACCCAGGCTGGAGTGCAGTGGCATGATCTCAGCTCACTGCAACCTGTGCCTCCCAGGCTCAAGTGATCCTCCCACCGCATCCTCCCTAGTAGCTGAGACTACAGGCATGCGCCACCATGCCCTGCTTATTTTTGCATTTTTAGTAGAGACAGGGTTTCACCATGTTTCCTAGGCTGATCTCGAACTCCTGGGCTCAAGCAATCTGCCCATCTTGGCCTCCCAAAGTGCTAGGATTACAGGTGTGAGCCACCACGCCCAGCCCCAGGCTTACCTTCTTCAGGCATATCAACCTGCAGAAGGAAAGCAGCTCCTAGTAGTTCCTGCAGAGGTCCTGGGGCAGGTGCTTGCTGGTCCTGCTTGGTTGTGTGTCCATCTCTGGGTCTATCCCTATGGCCAGGAGATGCCCTTCTTCTCTTGGCCAGACCAGGGTCACATGGTCTTCCCTAGAGTAGGAGTTAAAGTTAATTCCACAGAACCCACAAGGAGTAAGAATGGGAGGTGGTGATTTCCCCTAAAGAAACACTCAAGTGTTGATGCCAGAAAAGAGAGAGTAAATATTGTACAGACAAAAACCACAGATGCTGTCCTTGGCACCCAGTGGCTGGTCTGACTGTCTTCAAATGAAGCCAGGGACTTGGGCCCCTGACAGTGGAGCTCCTCTCAACTGTATTAAGATCATGGAGACCTTTGAGTATACATGAAAGCCACGGACCTCCTTCCTAGAAAGGCACATGG
The DNA here is from genome assembly GCF_000001405.40 of Homo sapiens. Taxonomy (NCBI): domain Eukaryota; kingdom Metazoa; phylum Chordata; class Mammalia; order Primates; family Hominidae; genus Homo; species Homo sapiens. The sequence goes on along the minus strand of NC_000003.12, from coordinate 9,177,511 downwards.
GTCAGACTCCGTGGCATGGTCTCTGAGGGGCTGCACCATCTCTCCTGCCTCCTCCAGGTCCCCCAGCCAGTTCCACCGGCCTCCTCGCTGCTCCTTGTACTCACCATTCCTCCTTCCAAAGGGCCTTGAACTTGCTGCTCCCTCTGACCTAGTTAATGCCTCCTTTACATATGGTCAAATTGCACCGTAAACCTCTTCATCGCAATTTCAACTGAAGTTGTAAATTTCTTATAGGATTATTTGGTCAGTATCTGTCTCTCTCACCAGAATGGAGACTCCGTAACAGGAGGGACCTGGCTTTGCTTCCTTTTGTGTCCACATCACCCAGTAGAGTGTCTGGCACATAGCTGGTGCCCAGTAGTTGGTGAGTGAATGTGTGCCCTTGAACACACGATTTTTCCTGAAGTTTTAGTTGCATACACTTCCCTAGAGCCAGTCTCTGAACTTCAGGTTAAGAACCTCAGGATAGAAAAAATAGGAAAATCAAGGCATTAGCAGCAAGGTCATGCAAATGAGGACCTCCCAGGCCAGCTCTCCTGATAACCTTGCTGCTATTGACTTAGGTTTCTGTCTTTTAAGTGGAGTTGATACAGTCTGGATATTTGTCCCTGCCCAAATCTCATGTTGAAATGTGATCCCCACTGTTGGGGTAGGGCCTGGTGGGAGGAGTTTGGGTCAGGGTAGAGGAGGAATCCCTCTTGAATGGCTTAGCCCATCTCCTTGGTGATGAGTGAGTGAGTTCTTGAGAGATACAGCTGTTTAAAAGTGTGTGGTTCCTCCCCGCCCCCCACTTGCTTCTGCTTTTACAGTGTGATGCACCTGCTCCTACTTTGACTTCCACCATGATTGGAAGCCTCCTGAGGCCTCCCCAGAAGCAGGTGCCACCATGCTTCCTGTACAGCCTGCAGAACCATGAGCCAATTAAACCTCTTTTCTTATATATTACCCAACCTCAGACATTTCTTTATAGCAGTGCAATAATGGACTAACACAGGAGTCCCATGGATGATTACTTGTGGGTAAAATCTGTGGTCAAATAAATCTGAGGAACACTGTCTAATCTGTGCTCCTTTTGGAGAGTCACAACATATACTAATAACAGTAATATTTATTTCTTATGATCATTAGTGTAACTGCCATTTATGAAGGGCTTCCTACATGGTAGGTACCCTATGAGGCCCTTCATATGCATTTTCATGCCATCTCATCATAGCCTTGTGTGACAGATGCCATCATCACCCTGTGTTACAGAAGAGAAATGAACATGTGGAGGGATTAAGAATCCCAAGCTAGGCTGGTTGTGGTTGCTCACGCCTGTAATCCCAGCACTTTAGGAGGCCGAGGCGGGTGGATTATGAGGTCTGGAGTTTGAGACCAGCCTGGCCAACATAACGAAACCCTATCTCTACTAAAAATACAAAAATTAGCCGGGCATGGTGGCACGTGCCTGTAGTCCCAGCTACTCTGGAGGCTGAGGTGGGAGAATCGCTTGAACCCAGGAGGCGGAGTTTGCAGTGAGCCGAGACTGCGCCATCGCACTCCAGCCTGGGTGACAGAGTGAGGCTCCATATCAAAAGAAAAAAAGAATCCCAAGCTACCTTCTAGGAAACAGAAGATTTGGTGCTCAACCCCTGCCAGTCTGATATGTGTCTATGCACTTTAATCCCTCAAGAGGTGGGAAATCACCTTTGCTGATAACGGAGCCCTTTTTCTCTCTAAACATGTAGAAGCATCCCAAGGACCACACCTGGTTTGGGACATGCTGGTAAAGTGTTGATTTCCGTTGATGGTCTAGAACAGAAAGAATGTAGACCTGGCACAGGCTCAACTCCACAAATATTTCCTGTACCAGGCGTGGTGCTAGGAGTGCCAGGAATGCGGCACAAAGCTGCATCCTCATTGCCTGGGGGTACCCAGAGTCCCAGCTTTTCCCCATAGCAGACCAGCCTTTCCCTGAGCTGCCCCACCTTGAGGGCTCCCCGTGCTGGGTCCTTCTGGGACCATCCAGCTGTGTCTTCCCTCAGGGGAATAGGGCTCTGTGTCATGTTCATGATGAGTTCACAGCAAAATGCACATTCATTCTGTAAATGTTTATCCAGGACTTTCTGTGGCCCTGGCTTGTGCTAGGAATTGGGGATACAGAGGCAAACAAAATGCTCTCTTTTCGTAGGACACCCGTCGTCTAGTAGGGGAGACAGAGCAGTGCAGAAGAAACCATAAGAAACCAAAGTATAAGACAGGTGAAGTGCCCTGTTAGAGATAGAAACCAGCCTGCTGTGGGAGTTCTGAGATATGGATGAGTTCTTTCTTTCTTTTTTTAATTAACGGAATTATTTTGGCTTGGGATTTAAGCTCATGCTTAAATGATGTTGGAACATCTGGCTGACAAACAAACCATTGTCAGCCTCCTAGGTGTTTGGCTGACAGGGCCTGTGTTCCTAAGCATCCCGGGGAGTTTCGGATGTAGGGGGACTGTGGGAATGAGGCCCAGCAGTGCCTGCATGCACTGAGTGCTATCACCCCCACTCCTGCACACAGTCCTCCCAGTCCACGGAATGACGCCTCCCTGGTGTCTTCCTTTGCTGAGCTGCTCCCATTTCTCACATGGGCCTCAGTCACTCCCATGAGCCTCAGGAACAAGCCTACACTTGCTTTCTGCTGCCCTCAGTTTCCTCCTCTGTCAGCTGCGAGTACTGATTCCTCCTCGGGAGGATCAAATGAGATGAAAAACATGGGGAGAACTTTGCAAATGGGAGTCCCCCTGGAGGAGAAGTAGCAGATTCCAGCCCCCTCACTCCCGTCTGGGTGCGACTTCCCTCTGGTGAGAACGGGCAAGGTCAGGCGAGGCTGGAATTCTTTCATGGGTCCTGAAACCTTAGGTGAACTCCCGCCTGTGCGTCTTTGCTGGTACATTCAGTGAGATGATCAATATGACGCCTTCAGTGCAGCACCTGCCATGAAGTCGGTGCTTACTAAGTAGTGGTGGTGGTGGTTTTTCTCCCTTCATTCTGCCCGCAGTCTCCTGCTCTCCTTCCCTACTCCCTCCACCTTGCTTTCTCCCTCCGTTTCCTTTCTTCCTTCCTCCCATCTTCACTTCCTCATTTACTCATTTGTTAAACACTTCCACCCTTTAAAAATTATTTTAATTGTGATAAAAAACACATAGCAGAAAATGTACCATCTTAACCATTTTACAACGTACAGTTCAGTGGCATTAGATATATCACATTGCTGTGCAGCCATCACCACCATCTGTCTCCAGAACTCTTTTCAACCTGAAAAACTGAAACTGTACAAACTAAACAATAACTCCTCATTCCCTCCTTCCTCTAGTCCCTGTCTGTGAATCTGACTCCTCTAGGTACCTCATATAAGTGGATTCTTACACGATTTGTCCTTTTGTGACTGGCTTATTTCACTTAGCATACTGTCCCCAAGGTCCATCCATTCTCTTCCTTTTGAAGGCTGAGTTGTGCCCCACTGTGTGCCTAGACCGCATCTGGTTGACCCATCCATCCGTCGATGGACACATTATGAATGGTGCTCCTGTGAACACTGTGTACCAATAAGTGCTTTTTGAGCATGATCACGTGCCTGGCATTGTGCTGGGCTGCAGTGGGAAATGAACTTGGTTCCCATGCTCTGGGGGTAATGTTAAGAAGCAAACACCAATAGATGTTTACTAAGAGACTGCAATATGTCCCGTGATGGGAAAGAGCAGTGTTCGGGGAGAGAATTATGGCAGGGGTGGAGGTGGGTGGCTGGGACAATGGTCAGGTCTCAGGAAGTGGCCTGAAGAATGGGGAGGAGAGGTGGGCAGGGGTGGGGAGGGTCCAGGCAGAAGTAACAACATGTGTGAAGCCACTGGATTGCGACAGAGTTGCCCGTTGGAGGGATTGATGCTTAGATTTCTGCTTCAGTGTCTTCTCCAGCAAGCATCCTATCAGCCTCCAGGCCCACCTCTCCCCATCATCTTCTCCTCTCTGCTCTTATTCTAGTTCATTCAAACTGCCTCTTTGCTCAGCTATTTCTCCCACTGTCCAGTGAGCGGCTTGAGTGCAGGAACTGTTTTATTTTATGTTTGCGCCTTCTTTTCATATCTTAGTAGGTGTCAGTGACTCTCAAACAGATACTCTCCTGAAGGAGGGTAGTGCTTTCACTGGCAATGACCCAAGACCATCATCTGGGGCCTGCCAGAGTCAGGCACAGCCCCGGCATTAGAACTTTGGGCTGTAAGCCTGTCCTCTGTGCTTATGTGGGTGGTGCACAAAGCACTTGCAAACATCTGTGTGCAGTGCTGCTCCATTCGGCCTGCTGAAGCTTTCCTGCCCTGTTGCCGCTGAAGCAGGGAGTGTGGGAAGCGCCCAGCTCAGAGCTGGGCCAGATGTGGCCATACCTCCCAGCAGTGCAAGCAGCATCACTGCGCCAGGCCAGCTGACTCGGCTGGCCCTGGTGCACAGTGCTTAGGGGCTTGTGGCCACGAGCCATGCCCCACCACCTCTCCTGTTTGCCTTGGTAGCTTCCCAGCTTCCTCTCACATGACTGTTTCTGTTTACTTCTCCCTCTGGCCTTCCTGCCTGCGGCGTCCCTGTGCCACCTAGAGTCTCATCTACCGCACTAGACATAGCCTCTGCAATGGCCCCGCACCAGGGCCTCCTTCCAGGGCATATCCCGTCTCTGTCTCACCCTTCTAGTCTGCGCTTGCCCTTCTCACTCCCCAGCTCTCTCTGTTACTGTCAGTGGAGGGTCTGTGCACTTTGTCGTTTTGATCCTATGACGTTGTATCTGTGGCTCTTCCTTCAAGTGCCCAGGAGAGGCCCAGCTCCTGGGGCCAGAAAGGGGTTAGTCTTGAAGTCTTGGGTTGGACATTTCACCATGGCCAGCCCAGAGCTCGGCTGGAAACAGATGAGAGACAACATGTGAGGAGGCAGACAGGAGCTGGGGATCCAGGCTCTGAGCACCTGAGAGGTTTGGGGGAAGGTATTGGTAATGGATTGGATTGTGTCCCCCAACAAAAGATTTTCAAGTCCTAACCCCTGTACAGGTGAATGTGACCTTATTTGGAAATAGCGTCTTTACAGAGGTAATCAAGTTAAAATGAGGTCATTTGGGCAGGTGCAGTGGTTCATGCCTGTAATCCCAGCACTTTAGGAGGCTGAGGTGGGTAGATCACTTGAGTCCAGGAGTTCAAGACCAGCCTGGGAAACATGGTAAGACCCTGTCTCTACAAAAAATACAAAAAAATTAGCCATTAGCTGGGCATGGTGGCATGTGCCTGTAGTCCCAGTTACTCAGGAGGCCGAAGTGGGAGGACTGCTTGAGCCCAGGAGGTGGAGGTTGCAGTGAGTGGAGACTGCACCACTGCATTCCAGCCTAGGCAACAGAGCGAGACCCTGTCTCAAAAAAAAAAAAAAAAAAGAAAAGAAAAAGTCATTTGGAAAGGCCCTAATCCATTCTAACTAATAAAAAGGGAGAATTGGGACATAGAGACAGACATACACAAGGAGAAGGCCATGGGAGCATGAATCCAGAGATACGGCAGGAGACGAGAAATGCCACATTGCAGGCAGCCCCCAGAAGCCAGGACAGAGGCATAGAACAGATTCACCCTCACAGCCTTGGAAGGAACCAACCCCACCGACAAGCACCGTGTCCTCTTCCGGCCCCCAGAACCGAGGCAATACATTTCGGCTGCTTAAGTCACTCAGTCCGAGATGCTATTGGGCCAGCTCCCAGAAATGAATATAGTATTTGGATCCCATCAGAGCCTCTCACCTCTGAGTATGGGTTGGTGTACTTTAGCTATCTGGTTCCTTCACATCATATTTAGTTTGGGCACACAGGGGCTATTTTGAAGCATCCAGGCAAAGATTTTAATAATAATAAAAAAACTTTTAATAAGACTTTAATAAGAATTTTAATAAGGTTCTGATGAGAAACTCTTGGATGTCCTTCCAAGTCATGTAGAACCATGCGAGGGATAATAAGACTCATAATCCCACTTATTTTTATAGGGCTTCAGTTCACAAAAAAAGTCCTTCTCATTTATTATCCCACTTGACCCTCAGGGCAATCCTGTGCTGTTAGCACTGTGGGCATTCCCATTTTGGAGAGGAGAGAACTGAGGCGCACAGATGTTCCAGAATTGTCTTAAGTGGCAGAGTGGGGATTTAAATGCAGGGCTCTGACCCAGCCTCACCCTCTTCCCATGCGCTGGAGGCTGCCTCTGAACTTGGAGCAGATTGGATGTTTCGAGGGCAGCTTGGCCTCTGCCTGGGGCCCAAGGAGTAACACGTTGTCTTAATTCTTTTCCAGTAGTGAGGGAGAGGGGACCTCAGGTTTCCAGGACTTTTTCAGGTTCTCATGGGGCTCTGTGGAGGCTGCTGGGGCCTCAGGGGTTCTTGGGTTTCTCTTCCACAATATTCTGTTGTGGGGCCCAGGCCCTGAAGGGTCAGGCCATCTATAGCAGGGCACAGCTGGCGGAAGCTGACTGCCCAAGGCCAGGATCAGCACTCCTCAGATGCGTGCGCTGTCCTGCTGCTGAGGGACAGAACAGGCCTGAATCCCATGGCCTTGCTCTGCCAGCAGGCTGGAGCGTGAGGACACTGTGTGACCCAGGCCTCTTCATGGCTCCCCCAGCGCTGAGACAGTGCTCATTACACACCAGCAAGTGAAGGGCTTGGGGGAGAGGAGCAGTGCTGAGCTGTGGCGTCCGAGGCCTGAGGGCAGGTATCTGTGGTGTGTGACCTGGGCATGTGCCCTCACCTCCTTGGGCCTCAGACCCACGCTTGTGAAGTAGCTCCATAAGAGCATCTGCCTCGCTGGGCGAAGGTGCAGAGGAAAGGGTATGCTGGGAGTATTTTGCAATGGTTGATTTCAGCATCATTCACAATCAGAACCACCGGGAATGTCCATGAGTCTTCAGGGACTGTGTGCTAAAACCTTCTCCCCATTTGGAGCCATGAAGACCATTTGAGTGCGACTTCCTAAAAAGCAGCCCACCTCTGCTCAGGTCGCCTCTCTTCTGTTGTGTGAGAGTGTGAGTCACATTCTTTTGCTGCTGGAGAGTTTCTTTCCCCTGGAACCCTCTTGCCCCCACCCCGCTGCTCCCCGCACTACTACTCCGAGGCTGTCATGTGAGTGTTTTCCACGTAAAAAAACACAGAAAGTTCATTCAAGCCAAATACTAAGACAATGTTACCAAGTCTCAAGTGTATGGAGTTCATTGCACTGACGTGATGCAGGGCTTCGGCAGGCTCAAAAACTTCCCAAGTGTCAAAGAGTTTTGGTTTGTAGATTTGAGAGGTGTGAGACTGGGGGCGGTTTCTTCTACGGACATTCACCCACACATCCCACACACCAGCACTGTCTAAACGGCAGTGATCAAATCTTCTATCATTTCATCTGTGCTTCCTGTGGGGCGGTGTCAGGTGCTTTACATAGATTAAATCTTCATTTTGTCCTCTTAACAAATGTCAACACAGGCTTGTCTGACTTTAAAGTCCAGGCTGTAAGCAGTTAGGTGTACTGTCTCCCAGTTGGAAGAAACTCCAACCCAGCCCCCTTCATTTTACAGGAGAGGAAACTGAGGCTCAGGAAAGGGGACCATGACTTGCCTAGAAAGTGGGGCAGGAACCCAGGAACCCTGACTTCCAAGGCTTTTCCCCCCTAACCCATCCTCCCCTTCAGAAAGCACTGATCCCCTTCCTTCTGTACCAGAGGGAACTCCAATTTAGTGATTCTCTAGCAAGCAATAACATTCCAGGTCCTGGAGTAACCTGAGAAATGTGGTATTGGTTAATTCAAAGCCATTGTCAACTTCACAAGGTGTTGGCCTAATTGATGCCAAGTATGGCTACTTTGAGTTTCCCAAGTGTTGAGACTCATAAGTTTGGCACTGGAGGGAATTATTTACTCACTTATTGTGCATTTCAGCTTAGCAGAAATTCATAATTAGTAGTTAATAGTGTGGGAACTTCTCACTGTTCCTGGAACATGCAATGACATGTAACTCCTCTACCTTTGTACATACTGTTCTCAAAGCCTTGAATAGTCTTCCTCCCACGCCCACCTTTTCTTTGCTGCTTGAATTCCTACTCACCCATCAAGAGCAGTTTTCTCACTCATGTCCTGCTACCCCACCTCCAACCCTGGACATAAACAGATATAATGTTTTTACAATCTGCCTCTCCCACCAGACTGTCAACTCCACAAGGGCAGGGGCTATGTCTCATATATAATGATTATAATCATACTTACAAAGTGCTTCTTTGCAGTCAGGTTCTGTGCTAAGCACTTCCTGTGCATTATTTTATTTCATGCTCCCCAATATTGTAAGATAGATACTATTACTATCCTCATTTCCTAGATGAACAGATAGATCCACAGAGAGGCTCAGAAACTTGCCCAGGGTTACACAATAGCTGAACGAGCCGGGATTGAAATCAGTGCTACCATGTACAGTTGTGCTGGCCATGCACTGCACAAGGGTCCACAAGGGTGGAAGGATCAGTTGAGTCTGAAATCTTGCTCTCACCTGGGTGCAGAGCTGTGACTGTTGGGAGGAAGGGACACCTTTCTCTAACTCCTGGAGAGGCACCACAGGGTCTGGCTCCAGGGTTCATGCTCCTAACCACTGTAACATATCAGAATATAAATATGCATATTCATGTTGCCACTCTGTGCCAGTCTGGCTGAGTAGGGGCCCAAAAAATGAATGAATGAGAGATTATGAATCAATAGGTTTTTCCTTTTTCTCCCTTCTCTCTTTCCTCATATCTGCAGGACCAGTTTGTTACTTAACAGCTTACTTGGTTTAAGAAACACATCTTTTAGTTGGCTTGCCTCCAAGCACGTACGAAAAGATGGCTGAAAACCCAGAAAGAGGTCTCCATTTGGAATGTCTTTTATTCTAAGTAATTTCATTCTGCCACCTTTGGGCTTTTGAAAGTTGTTAAGCGGATGTTAAAAAGCGCAGGTGAATGGAAACAAAGGATTCATTCTGAAACCAGCTGCAGGAACTGCACATCCTGCTCATGCGTGATGTGCTGGGCCTTGGTTTCAGTGAGGGAGGGCACACGTGCACTAGATTCTCCTGCAGGGCCTCAGCTCCAGTCCTGAGCGGGGTGGGGTTGCTTCTGACCAATCAGGTGACTTCTGAGCACACTTGGAGCAGTTGCTAACAGCAGAGACGATGGTTGGGCTCCTGCCACTGGCAAAAATGGGGCTTTAGGATGAAATGTCTGAGTTTGTCCAGATCCAAGCAAAGGACTGGAGAGGGCCTGGGGCCAGGCTGTCTTTGATGGGCTATTGGGCTAAGTCAAGACTGCATTTTAGACCTCACTTCTGACTTCGTTGCACTCCTGTTGACAAAGACATGCTGCCACTTGCTAGTTATACCCTTGGATGTGTCTCTTAACCTCTCCGGGTTTCCTTTTACTGCCCTGCAGAAGTGGGGAGAGTGTCACCTACCGCATAGACTTGTGGTGGGGAATCAAGGAGCTAATGTCTGTGAAAAAAGCACTTTGTGAATTGGAAATGGCTGTACAAATGCTATAGCTACCATTATTTGTCATTAGGTGGATTTAGTTCCCTGGAGGTATTTTCTGCTTCTGCATGCACCATGGAGTGCGCTTGGAGGCAGTCTTGAGGGAGGAGTAGGGTGGGAAGAAAACAGCGAGGCATGCTGAGGACTGAAAGATATCTAGGCTGGGCTCTTGTGTAGAAGTAGAGAAAATAGCTTTTGCTTTCAATCTGAAGTGGGATGAGTTGATGGCCTTCAGCAGATGCTGCAGAGTAGAGTTTAGGAGCTGGATTCTCCTCCTTCCTGAAGTTGCACCCTGGACATCTGGGGATGTTTCTTAAAACCAGCACATCCCAAGGACAGAGCTGGCCAAAAGCTAGGGGCTTGGGAAAGGAATGCGGTCCCAACTTCCTGCTCCCCCCCTAGGCGTTGACAGCAGGGAATTCAGCTCCCAGAATTTAGGAGCAAGGTCAGTGGATGGGCCATGGATGTGGGCATGTCAGCATGTGTGCAAAGTGAGGCATAGGCCTGGGGAGGGTTGCTGCAGGGGAACATAGGTAGAGAAGAGGAAGATAAATGACTCCTGGGAAGCAGCAAATGTCAAATGTGTAAGTACAGAAGGGAACTAGCAATGGAGAATGAGAGAGAGAGTGAAGAGGCAGTGAGGGGAAACCAGCAGGATGAGTCAGGGCCTCTGTGTCTTGATCCAAATTGGAATTGTGGGGAGAGTGAGCAGTCAAGGCAAGGCTATAGTGAGGGCAGGTAGGATGGAGGCTGAAAAAGCCACTGCAGGACCACCCTCAGCCCTGGAGGATCAATCCTCCCCCTTTCTCCTGCCCAGGAGAATTGCTGTCACAGGTGAGCTTCTGCTGATGGTGGGAGAGCATCATGTCTCTCAAGGCTGCTGGTTCGCAGAAGGATTAAGAGCCCGAGGACTAGGGGTCTCCAGGAGGCTGAAGAACAGGGATAGTTGAGTCAGGTAGAAACAGAGGGATGAGAAGTTGTAGCTAGAAAGAGGGGGTTTCTAGTTGAGGATTTCAGAGGTAGGGCAGTTCCTGGGAGTTGACAAGGTCAGGGTGGGGCCATATGAGTAAGTTCTAAGAAGGGATGGAATGGAAGACAGTTTGATTAGTGAGGATGAAGAAATGAAGTCAGGGTGATAACTGGTCATCAGCATGGATATTTCTGTGGCCCTGGATGACTGCAAGAGTGGAAGTCATGAGGAAGGCTGTGTGCTGGCAGCCAAGTTTACATTTGCTGTGGCTTGGAGGTCTGTAAATAACGAGGTGTTAGTTAGAATAGAGACACCCCAAAGTACTATGCTTGAATAAGATAGAAGTCAATTTCTCTCTGGCTTAAGCTGTCTTGGAGGCTCTGCTCCATGAGGTCATTCAGGGTCCTCGTTCCTTCTACATTGTTGCTCTGCCATTTTCTAGGATGTTTCATTCATCTGCATGTTGAGGCTGGGTCACCGTCACATCCACTCACATTCCACTGGAAAACTCTTAGTCACATGGGCATCCTTAGTTGCAAGGGAAGCTGGGAAATTTTTTTCCTGGGGGCAGTGGTGAGCCCAGCTAAAATTCTATCTTTGTGAACAAAGAGGATAACCAAATTTGTGGGACCATCTAGCAGTGTGGCCCAGATAGCTTTAAAGATGAGAAGTCATTCATTCAATAAACATTCACAGAACACTTCTATGTTAGGTACTGGGGTTACAGAGGTGAAGGAAATGGGCATGATGCCTGCCTTCCTGGAGCTCAGACCTAGTGGGGAAGGATTAACTGAAGGATGTGGTCTTCCAAGGAGGAAGAAAGGTTATAGACTAGACACATGAGAGCAGGCAGATGGAGATTCTTCACAGGCAAAGGCTGTGATGGGAATGGTGGTGTCAGGGAAGGCTTGGGTTTGGGGAGTAGGGTAGAAGATTCATTCATTCACTACTCACTCATTATTGTGTATTCAACAAGTATTGATTGATGGCGATACAGTGATAAGTGAAAACAGATACAGTGCCCCCTCACATGGGGTTTTCTTCCTCATTAATCAGATAATCACATATATAAGATGTATGATTACAACCTGAGATAAGGCTCTGAAGGAGCAGAATTCAGATCTGTGAAAGCATTTCACAAGGCATCTGACCTAGCTGAGGGTTCAAGGAAGGACAAATGGTGATAGGGAGCTGAATGGGTGTTAGCCAGGTTAAAGGAGCGCTGCAGACCAAGGCAACCGTGCATGCAAAGGCTCTGGGGATGGAAAGACTGAAGAACACAGGTGTGGCTGAGCAGGGTGGAGGTGGCAAGGAGGAGGAGGATTGAGAGGTAATCGGGACAAGCATGCAGGCCTTGTGGGTTCTGCTGAGGATTTTGGCATTTATCCTAAGAACTAAGAGAATTCACAGATGGGTTTTAAGCAGGAGGGGTGACGTGATCAGAACCCTGGAAAGAGCTAAGCCTGTGAGGCAGTATCTTTGCAGTAGAGCAGAAGAAACAGAAAGATCAGAAAGGAATCGGAAAGTCTGAGAGAACCAGGAGGAAGGAATGATGCCTTGGTGGGGTTTGTGGCTCACAGGGATGATGAAGGAGGGGGTTAGGAGCAGAGAAGAGGGACAGGGAAGGGACTCATGCACTTCAGGTTTCTCTCCAGAGCAGGACATGAGGCTTGTGCTGGGGCCTTCCCTGGGAAGGGCCCCATGGCTGCCTGACTTGCTGGCCAACATGGTGGGCATCTCGCTCCAGCATGGCTCTTTCCCAGACCCAGGTAGCATGACCCTCCCTTCCTGGTAGGAGAAGATGGCAGGAAGATAGGCCTCCACTGGGGGGCCCCCTTTTTTCCTCTGAATGTGGCACTGGAGACTGCCAGCAGACCCAGGCCCTGGGGCATCCTCCTGGCTCAAAGGCCTGACCTTCGACCCTAGCTAAGCCCAGCCTGCCTCTGCATCCCCCAAGGGGAACCACAGGGCAGGTGCTGGCTCCAAAATGTATGGGATCATGGGACTCCACTCACCTGGAGACCCAGAGACGGAGCAGGGAAACAGACTGGGCTGGCACTGGGTTGGTAGCCACAGGAACCTTCCTACTGGCTTATTTACCAAGCATGACTTTACCTGTTTTCTTATCTGTAAAAGGAGGATTTCTCTGTGGATCAAAGGGAAGATCACCTAACCTCAAGGTGTGGTATGAACACTGTAGACGCCGACAGTAGTAGAGGCTATCTGAAGTACTGAGTGGCCATGATATTTACCTGAAATACCTATATTGTTTGGCAAGGAAGATGATATGTGTTCAACCAGCAAGGAGATGCTTAGCATGTGATATCAGATGCCTCTGAGCTGTTTTTCAGAAAAACTGTGTGCATCTGTGAGTGTGTGTAAATTTTGTAAAATAGTCTGGGTGGGGCTGGGTGCGGTGGCTCACACCTATAATCCCAGCACTTTGGGAGGCTGAGGTGAGTAGATCACTTGAGGTCAGGAGTTCGAGACCAGCCTGGCAAACATGGTGAAACCCTGTCTCTCCCAAAAGTACAAAAATTAGCGGGACATGGTTGTACATGCCTGTAGTCCCAGCTACTCTGGAGGCTGAGGCACAAGAATCGCTTGAACCCAGGAGGTGGAGTTGCAGTGAGCTGAGATCACACCATTGCACTCCTGCCTGGGGAATGGAGTGAGACTCCATCTCAAAATAAATAAATAAATAAATAAATAAATAAAATAGTCTGGGTGTCAGGAGATTTGGGGTCCAAGCTCAGCATCAGCAGTAGTTGCTGAGTGACATTGAGCCTGACCAACATGGAGAAACCCCGTCTATACTGAAAATACAGAATTAGCCAGGCGTGGTTGCACATGCCTGTAATCCCAGCTACTTGGGAGGCTGAGGCAGGAGAATTGCTTGAACCTGGGAGGCGGAGGTTGCAGTGAGCCGAAATTGCGCCATTGCACTCCAGCCTGGGCAACAAGAGTGAAACTCTGTCTCAAAAAAAAAAAAAAAAAAAAAAAAAAAAGAATAGTAGTTGCTGGGAGCATTAAAGGAGATGCTACATCTGAGGAGCTTCATACGGTGCCTGGAATAGTGGGTGCGCATTCAATGGAAACAATGGGTACTAAGTCCCAACTTCCTCATCTGCAAGGAGTTGAGCTGAGTCTACCCCAGTGGTGACAATGACAAGGGTTTCCACTGGGAGTGTCAGTGTTTCCTATAGGGATGTTTCCCACCGGTGGGATCCCAGGGTCTCTGACTCACCCCAGCCCTGACTGTGCAGAGGCCTTATTTCTACAACCTGTTGCAGCTAGGAGTATGGAGCAGAGATCCTTGCAGTGGTTCAGGCCAGGCCGATCCCAACATCTGGAAGCCCTTTGGGGTCTGCCACCTTTTTCCTGTGTACCCCACCTCCCCTGCCCCCTCTGCTTTGACAGCGGCAGCCTTCTAGCTGGGCCTGAGTGGCCGCATGGCTTAAATTTAGCCCCACTTCAGTGATGAGCCACAGGCCAAGACCTAGGGGAAGGCCAAGGGGCAGCCACATTCAAAACGCCTTCGGTCAATACCAAAAGCCGAGCAAATGTCAGGCCGGTGAAGGGAGCCGCACCGTCTGCTTGTTTTTGAGGGAAGACTGGAAAACAGTCTTATTTCCTTCTTTTCTGCTTCCTTCGCTGGTTGAACCGCCCTGGAGGAGGCCCCAGGCCCTGCCGCCTTAGCTTGGAGCCGCAGGTTGGAAGTGATCTCTCCCACGAGAGTGGGCGCTGATGCCTGTGTTGGGTTTGGCCCGGACAGACTGGCTCCTCTCATGTGGCTCCATCCCTCTTGATCTCAGCCAGGGCAGCCTGGACAGACTGAGGCCTGGGCCAGATGATGTTAACAGCGATTGTTCATGTTTATTGAACACTGACTGTGTCCCAGGAATTGTTCTACCTGTATCAGCCCACATAGTCTTCATAATCACCTAAGAAGCAGGTACGGTGACCTCCCTCTTTTTATGGATGCAGAAAGTGAAGCACAGACAGGGTAAATAACTTTCTCAAAATCACAGAGCTGATAAGTGGCAGAGCTGAGACTGAAATTCAGCCTGCCTCCAAATCCCGACCTTCATCCACTGCCAGACACTGCCTCTGCTGTACTGGCTTGCCCCTTTTGGAGTCATTTACACTATTTCAACTAAACCTCAAAACACCCTACAAGGTAAGTACTCCCATTGTTGTTTCCATTTCACAGATGTGGAAGCTGAGACTCAGTGAGGTTAATCACTTGCCCAGGGTCCAGCCATGCTGCTGGGCTCTAAGAGCTCATGCTCCTTAGCCTTGCCCACCCTTGGTGCTTCACCCATGGCCAGCTCCCCACGCTGTGTGTGCCCCCACCTGCCAGGTCATCCTTTTCCCTGTGTTGGAGGTGTTGCCCTCACTGTGGTTTATCTGGCGGGGCTTAATCCCAGGGGCCTGCAAGTGGACCAGAAGGAGCAGGGATCACTCAGGATTCAAAATTGTTGGCAGCAAGTTCCACAGGCAGATGTTGCTCCCAGAGCCCCAAATATTAGGATTGAAATCGCCCATGTACTCCTCAGGGAGGAGGATTCTTTGCAGTTATCTTGGGGGGAGGTGTGTAAAGGGGGCATCTTAATATCCCATTCCCTATTTTTGCTTCATCTTTGCATATACTGAGGTTATTTTTATTTGCTGAATTGTGGCAAAATAGACATAACATAAAATTTGGCATTTTAACCATTTTTAAGTGTGTAGTTCAGTGGCATTAAGTACATTCAAATTCTTGTGCAACTGTCACCTACATCCATCTCCAGAACTTTTTTTTCTTCCGCAACTGAAACCCACTCCCCATTTCTCTCAGTCCCTGGCACCCAGCACTCCTCTCTCTGTCTCTATGAACTTGACAACTCTAGGTCTCTCATGTAAGTAGAGTCATACAGTATTTGTCTTTTGTGACTGGCTTATTTCACTTAGCATGTCTTCAAGTTCATTCATGTTGTGGCATATGACAGGATTTCCTGTCTCTGAAGGATGAAGACTATTCCACTATGTGGATATAGCACACCTTGTTCATCCAGTCCATCTACCCATGGACACTTGGATTGCTTCTACCTTTTGGCTGTTGTGAATGATGCTACATTGAGGTTTTGACAAAGGTTTGCTTGAAAAAAAATTTGGCTG
This sequence comes from Homo sapiens, assembly GCF_000001405.40. Classification (NCBI taxonomy): domain Eukaryota; kingdom Metazoa; phylum Chordata; class Mammalia; order Primates; family Hominidae; genus Homo; species Homo sapiens. The sequence goes on along the minus strand of NC_000003.12, from coordinate 9,161,834 downwards.
CTTAAAAGAAGTTTGAAAGCTACTGGCCTGGTCTAAAGTTGGGGCAGATGGAGACCCAGCCAGCATGAGTGAGATCCCTGTGCATGAGGAGCAAAGCTGAAACTGCAACCTTTGGATTCGACATCTAGCACTTTTCTCCCTCCTATTGTTGGTACTGATATTTATCAAAGGAAAGGAGAATGCAACTCTGTCCTGGGCAACTACCCTGGTTTCCGAGAAACCTCCTGGAGCTGCAGAAAGGACTCAATTCAGCATTTATTGAGTGCCCAAGGGAGCCAGTCCAATGTGGAGATAGAGCAGGGTTTATATCCTATCTCTGCCTCTTCCAGCCCACGTGACCTTGGGCAAGTTGTTTCACTTCTCAGAGCTTAGAGGCAATGTGAAGATCCAATGAGATGACACGTGTCTTGTGCTTTTTGGTGCAGTGTCTGGCACACAGCACCCAGGAACCAGGAGCTGCCCCTGCATATGAACCACTGTTGGGGATAAAGCGATGAGCAAGAGAGGCACTGGCCCATGGGAGTTCTTTTCAGTGGAGCATATCAGCAGTCATGTGATGTTGATTTGTCCCATTACTGGTGATACTGACATTTATCAGTTGATTAAGGTGGTATCTGCCAGGTTTCTCCGTTGCAAAGTTAATTAACAAGTATTTTGTTCTCATTAATTAATTAGTATTTAATAAGCATTTTGTAGGCACTCCTTTGAGACTGCATAAATATTCAATTCCTCGTCAAACATTCACCCTCTAGTTTTAGCATGTTTTGTCAAATGGTGATTTTTATAATTCCATCATTCCTTCTACCATTATATTTGGAATTCTGCTGCAAGATAGAGCTTTTACCTCTCCTTTATGTGTTTGTTTATTCTTTCATTTATTCATTTATATCAGCATGGACTCATTATTTTCTATTTTATTCAATGGTTTATATCCATTACAATCATTATTTATTTTGGTGCTCAAGTTGTATTTTTCTAAATTTTAAAATGTGTGATAAACTTGGGGAATAGTACATAGCCTAGTATTATTATTATAAAATAATATTAAGCACTTTGTGTAAGCCAGAAACTGTTCCAAGTCTCTATTAACCCTTTACGTATATCAATTCTTCACATATGTAATATTTATTGCTGTGAAATAAATTATTCCAAAATGTACCAGTTTAAAACAAACACTTCTCATATGACACAGTTTCCATGGGTCAAGAATCAGGAATGGCTTAGTTGGATGGTTCTGGCTCAGGGTTTCCCATGAGCTTACAGTCAAGATCTTGCTAGTGCTGCAGTCAGCTAAAGGCTTAACTGGGACTGGAGGATCAGCTTCCACAGTGGCCGACTACATGGCTGTTGGCTGGAGGCCTGAGTTCCTCGCCACGTGGACCTCTCTATAGGGCTGCTTGAGCATCCTCAGCATGGCAGCTGGCTTCCAGGTTGAATGCTCCCTCAGAGAAAAAATAAGGAGGAGTCCACAATGCCTTGTATGACCTAGGCTTGGAAGTCATACACCATCAACTCTGCCATATTCTATTCATTTGGAAGCAAGTCACTAAATATGTCCCACACTTAGGGGGAGGTGAAGGATGCTCTTAGGTCTCTTTTAAAGAGAGAAGGTCAAAGAATTTATGGTAGTATTATAAAACCACCACAACATATATTAACTCTTATTCACTCTTTAATCTGCACCATAACCCTGTGAGGTAGGTATTACTCTGAGCAATTAAATGACTTGCCCAAGGCCACAGGTAGCCAGTGGTAACACTGGGATTTGAACCCAGGCAGCCTGGCTCCAGAGCTTACATTCTCAACCACTACCTGATCTGACAGGGCCTTGAATAGTTTTTTGGAAAGCATCCTGAGGCAGGCTGGATGATGATGGGAGAGATGAGTGTCCATTCCTTCTCAGGTGGGCCTTACAGGCAGACTCCCTCTTCCTTCTTCCATCTTCTGCTTTCCATATTCTCATTTTGCAGTGTATATCATCATTTAAAAAAATAACGGGCAGGGTGACAGTATTGGCCTCTTCTGGCAAGCACTGGGGAAAGGCTCCATGTGGCGCACTTATAGTTGGGGGAGGCAAAGTGGGACAAGTGTGAGATGTGGTTCTTACTCTCAGGGGCATATTGTCTACTTGGAAGGCAAGAATATAAACACAACATTATTATGATTTTAACTTTTATTTTAGGATCAGGGGTATACGTGCAGGTTTGTTATATGGGTAAACTGTGTGTCATGGGATAAACACAAAATTGTTTAAAACCCAGGTTATGTGTCTTTAACTGTTGAGTGGTTATGTAGCCCAGGATCGTGTCTTTGTTGCCCTTATCTCTCTCACTGATGTGGCGGCAGGGGGCCCTGTCACGCTTGCTGATTATTTGTTAAGTGAAAGACAAATAGATCCAATGATGGTGTCCTACAGTGGCCCAGGTGGCAGAGATAAGAAGGAGGTGGGTGGTGAGGCCAGGCGAGCTGGCCGGGGGAGGTAAGTGATTTGAAGCATTGGCCCCAGAAGGCAGGTCCCGTCAGGACAGTCAGCAGATGTGAAAAGCGAGAGGACATATCATCAGGGATCTACACAGACTGACAAGCACCAAGAAATGGGCCGAGGCTGGGAATATACCAACAGGAGTCTGGTGGGATGGTGGGTGGTGGGGAGGGTTCTTGGGATAGGCAGGTGTTAGCACCTTGGTTCTAGGTGGGCAGGCAAAGAGAGTGATGGCCCGAGGACCCCAGTACAGAACACGAGTTGGAACCTGGAACAGAGGCCCTTTGACCTTTGGTGCCCTTTGACCTTGTTTGGGCCAGAACTGGTATCAGAGGAGCTCCATCTCAGGCATGTGAGCAGCGCAGAGACTAGGGTGAGTAGGGGAGACTCTTCCTCCTCTGGCTGCCGATGGGCTCTGTCAGAGAGGCTTGGAGAGTGGGAGGGCATTTCATTTGGGTCAGCCCACGGCTATGTTTCCTGCAGGCAGCTGAGGCCTTCCCATGCCTGAGTTGTGGGTCATGGTGCAGGTTAGAGTGAGAGCTTACCTGTTGTCAAGGGATTTGTAGTGTTGAGTCCCACAGGAGAGACTCAGACCTGCACTGCAAATGGGATCTGAGGAACGGAACAACTGCGTTAGTCTGTCTGAGATTCTGTGCTTTCCCTACTGTGCAAAGAGAGAGAATAGCTTCTTAAATTTCTCTGCAGAGGTGGTTTAAGTGAGTGATTTGAGCCCCAGCTTTGCCACTTTCTGCCTGTGGGACCTGCAGGTGATATGGGATAATTTCCCACCTGGAACATGGGGATAATGAATGAATACCGGGGGTATTTTTGAGAATCAGTTCAATCACACAATCGAACATGATTGTTCAAACAGCAAAGTGCTATGTGAACCTCAGGGAATATGACTGTGAAATAAACTCCACTGGTGACAGCTGAAAGGCCTTAATATTGACAGTGGACCTATATGTCTAGTCACATTAACAGGGGGCTGCATGTGAATGAGCAACTGCCCTTCTCTGGCGTTTGAGCAAAACCTCAAGGAGAACCTGGCTAATAAGACCTCCAATCTGACTAGAATCCCTCCCCACCCCACCTCCTTGTAAAGAACCAGCTTCTGTAATAGTATCCTACAGAACCCTCCCAGGTTTGAGCGGACAGGAGAGCCGGAGAGAAGCCCTGATTTGGTCACATGGTCCTACCTCAGTAGGAAGCAGCTTTGCTCTTTTACAATTTGTTACAGGCCCGAGCAGGCTCCTGGAGCACAGCCTTGGGGTTGTCCTGACAGTCCTGGTGGGCTCAGCCAGGGGCAGTACTTCTTGATAATACCTGGAAGGGTTATTTTAGGTGGACTTTCAGAGACTACAAAAAGGATTAGGTGAAAATAACAACAGCTGTTATTCACTGAGTAGTAAAAGAGAAACTTGTGGGTCTGAGTCTCCCCTTGAAGAATCTTCCCTCGAGCTGAAAACTTTTCCTGTAGGATTACTTCCTGTGTCACATCATTAGTTGTCCCCCTGACTGTAGCAGTTTGTATTTTAACAGTGTGACATATACATATGTGTGGGTTATAGATGTATAAGTTGTCCTCAACTGTTTAGCCTGGGTTTCATTTTCCTCTTAGGATTCTCTTTAATTCCTGGTATCCCCCAGCATAATTTAGAGAAGGTCAGTGGTATAGTGGCCAAGAGTAGGGACTCTGGGGACAGACTCTATCATTACTCTGCCGTTACCAACTGTGGGCCTTGGGCAAGCTACCATTTCCTTTCCATAAAATAAGGACAACAGCATCCTGTTTTAAGGCTAAAACTTGCTAATGTGTGTAAAGTGCTTAGACAGTACCTAGTGTATAGTGAACACTCAACAAATACATGTTATTGTTATTATCTTTAAGTTGCTCTTATGGTATTTGATATGGTTTGGCTCTGTGTCCCCACCCTAATCTCACGTGGAATTGTAATTCCCAGTGTTGGAGGGGGACCTGGTGGGAGGTGATTGGATCATGGGGGTGGATTTCCCCCTTGCTGTTCTTGTGATAGTGAGTTCTCATGAGATCTGGGATGTTTGGAAGAGTGTAGCACATCCCCCTTTACTCTTTCTCTGCTGCCACCATGTGAAGACGTGCTTGCTTCCCCTTCGCCCTTCTGCCGTGATTATAAGTTTCTGGAGGCCTCCCAGTCACGCCTCCTGTATAGCCTGTGCAACTGCGAGTCAATTATAAATTTTCTTTATAAATTACCCAGTCTCAGGTTGTTCTTTTTAGCGGTGTGAGAACAGACTAATACAGTATTCATTATGCTCAAGAAACATACCCCACTACAAATAGAAACATCTTGAAAGGTTCAGATCAACCCATGGATCTATACTTGGAATATTAAAGAAAACTAGGGTGCTTAGGGGCACAGAGTAGGGTCTTAATAAATATTTTTACTTATTTGGGAATGAAGGGTACAGGGGATGCCCCTTTGAGGTCTAGGCCCTGCTCTGCTTGGCTGCCTCCTGTCTGTTGAAATACACACTCAGGCTTTTCCTCACTGCTGTCACCCTCCCAGAACTAGTCCAAGTCCCTTGGGAAATACGTTACTAGATCTTGCTTCCCTGCCAGTGCAGTTCTTCCCTACTCCTGGGCCAAAGCCTCAATGCTTTAGTGACAAGACCAAATGATAGCTTCCCTGGAATACATTAAGGGAAAGCAAATGGGTCTTAAAGTGCCCCTTGACAGGCAGAGTCCCAAACCAGGCTTATTACTTGAAATTTGGGGTGAGACTTGGGCTCCCTGACCTGGGAAAGGAGGTTAGAAAGAAAGCTTCTCTGGATTGATGTCTAAGGCTATGGCAGAGTAATATACCAACACATCCTTGTAGACAGTACCTGGCTAAGCCACCCAGCAGCTCATTGTCAAGACCTGCAATGTCCCCAATATCACCATGGGATTTAAGCCCGGAGCTGCCACAGGGTCTGGTTCTGCACTGGGAACTCTGCTGGGCCAAGACAAGCCAATTGCAAAATGGCAGAGGGCAAGAGAGCAGAGAGTGAGATTGAGAGAGAATGCAACAAACACAAAACAAACCTCCCATTCAACAGAGCAAGACCCTGTCTCAAAACAAACAAAACACACACAAAAACCCTCCTGACACCCTCCCAAACTCACTTCTGATGATAAGAAATAAGCAAAAGCTAATAATGACTTCAAAGCCTGTATACTGAGGATCCTGCAGGGGCTGAAGAAAGGAATAGCATTGGCCAGGCGTGGTGGCTCACGCCTGTAATCCCAGCACTTTGGGAGGCCGAGGCGGGTGGATCACGAGGTCAGGAGATGGAGACCATCCTGGCTAACATGGTGAAACCCCATCTCTACTAAAAATACAAAAAATTAGCGGGGCGTGGTGGCGGGTGCCTGTAGTCCCAGCTACTCGGGAGGCTGAGGCAGGAGAATGGCGTGAACCCGGGAGGTGGAGCTTGCAGTGAGCCAAGATCGCACCACTGCACTCCAGCCTGGGCGACAGAGCGAGACTCCGTCTCAAGAAAAAGAAAGCAATAGCATCTATAAAAAAGAATAAGTAATAATAAAATAAAAAGCAGGCAGAAACCAAACAAGAACACCGGATATAAAAAGAATCAACTAGAAATCAGGAAATACAGAATATAGTTTTAGATTTATTACTAAAACCTCAATAGATGACATTGACTTGATACTGGACATAATTGAAGAATTAGTGAATTAAAAGCCAGTGCTGAGGAATTCATGAGAGACCCAACCCGGGGCAATGAATAAAAATTATGAAAGATTAGTTAAGAGACACAGGAAGTAGATGGAAAGATTCCAGTATATGCCAAGCAGAGTTCCAGAAGAAGAGAATGGAGGGAATGAAGGAGAAGCAATATTTGCTAAGATATTGAATGCAGATTTTCCCATAATTGAAGAAAGACATGAGTTCTGGGATTGAAAAATCACCATGAGTGACAAAAATAAATCCACACCCAGACAGATTGTAGTGCAACTTCAAAATGCAAACCTCCAAAGAGAGACTCTCAAAGCCTCCAGAGAGAAAAGACAAATTACCTACAAAGGGACAACGGCTAGCCTGACATTCCCATCAGCAACAGCCAGCTGCCAAAAGGCCATTAGGAAGAATCCTGAAAATGCTGAGGGAGTCTAACTGTCAGCCAGAACTCCACGCTCAGCTAAACTAGCACTCGGGAGTGAGGATGCTATAAAGGCACTTTCAAATATACAAAAAGAAGACACTTTAATACACACCGAGGCCTGCTGAAAGAAATACTAAAGGATCAACTTCATCTAGAAGAAAAGTGAATATTGAGATTAAAAAACAGGATGCAAAAAAAAAACAAAAAACAAAAAACATAAAACAAACCACCTCTGAGCCTGGAGATTGATGAAATATGTTGGTTGCAAATTTATATAACCATTGATTATAAAGAGAACAAAGCAAAAAAGCAAAGCTAAACCTTTGTGCAAAAAAAAAAAAAAGTTCTAGAGAGGGCAGTTTCTACTCCCTTTCATTGTTGCATTGTGGGAAGGAAGTTTGGTGTTTCTAGATCACTGGTTTTTTCAAGATAATCCAGAAAGCCAGTTTTATGTGGAATGTCCTGACTTTTGAGAGCTTGCAACAAAAAATTTTAGCACCCTGAGCTCTGCAACACTTGATATGTTAAATAAAACTTCAGTTGGCCGCTCAGCCCGCAGTTGGTGATACTTCATGTTCCTTGGGCTCTCTGGTTTCTATCACGTGAACAGGAAAGTCTTCACGGAGGAGTTGGTGCTTATACTGGGAATTGAAGGAAGGATGGAATTTAAGTAACTGGAGAGGAGTGGGGTGGGGCCTTGAGACGTAGAGGTAGGAATGAAGCTGCAATGTCTTGGGAAATGGTGAACTTGATGGGGGGTGGGGCTGAGCAGGGGGAGGCGAGGTGGACTGGGGCTGAGATATTTGAGTCTCATCCTGTATCCTCAGGCCCTCTCTCCTGTAAGAGCTGGAAGCCAGTCTATTTTGAGTTACGTTGTTTAGCGTCTTACCTCATTCCCCAGGGGCGGCGGTGGTGAAGAAATGAACACTGTTTGGTGATGAGGGTGAGAATGCCAATGAAAAAGGCAAGGAGGAGAAACCCAGGGACATCTGGGAGAGTGTGTGGTGTGATGGGATGCTTCCCAAGGAGCTACGTCATGTGTCAGCCAGGGCTTTAATTAGAAACAGTGATCTGGAAAGCGGGGCTGCAGTGGGGTAATTCACGTGGATTTCTCAAGAGCTTGGGTCTCAGCTCTTGAATTTTCCTAAATGGCAGTGCTTCAGTGCTCAGAGCTGGCTTGGTTTTGTTGAACTCAAACCAGATAAACAAGTGGAGGGGACGTGGGTGGGAGTGGTGGGGGGAAGCTGGATCGTGAGTCAGGAGCCCCGGACTGCTGCCCTGTTCTTGCTGTCAGCTTCTTCAGAGGCAGATCCCATCTTACAGGGGTTTCAATTCCAAAGTCAGCCTGTCGGGCCACAGTCCCTAAAATTGCCCTTAGAATATAATGCACATGATTTAGTGCATACAACACTATACGATAACATATGTATATGTATAATGTATACAATAATATGTCATAATTAGAGTACATATAGCAAGATGTATTATTTAAAAGATCTTTTTGTCACTCTCTTTCCCTCCATGTGTATATTTTGATTATGTCTGTGTTAAATGTTCCTATGTTACCACTGCATTGCATGACTTTGAACATTAAATTAAAAAGTCATCCCTTTGGGTCTTAACAAAATAAAATGACTAACCTAGATGAATACAGGCCCCCATCCAGCTCAAAATCATTGACTCTTTCTTTGGCATTGTAGTTGAGTGTCCTTGTTGGAGGAGATGGGGTAGAATGTGGGTAAGGATATGTTGAGTGGATTGGGTTTTCATAACTGTGTGACTCTGAGACGGTATGCCTCAGGTTTTTTTCTCTATAAATCTGTAAAATGGAGATAATAGTATTTGCCTCTCAAGGATGCTGTGAGGATTAAATGATCCTTGTAAAATGCTAGGCAAATGCCTAGCACATAGTATTTGCTCAGTAAATGTTACCTATTATTATTATTGTTATTATTTGCAAAGCACTGTAGTAAGTGCTCTTGGGAAATGCAAAAGAAGGAGTCATTGCAATTAAAATGGATTTTGCAAAAACTGTACCATCAGTCCAATCAAGACTCACTCATACTGGGTGAGGTAACAAGAGTTTATTGTAAGGATATAAAACGCAACGTTACAGCTGTCACAGGTGGGGTTCCATGCTCCCTGGAAGGTGCTAAGATAGAAATGAGCATGTGGGGCATTTACTGGAGAGTTTGATTGGGATCAACGACTGTGGAAGCCAGGCAAAGGCAGCAGGACTGGGCAGAGCGAGAAGCTGAGCTCTGATATAGTCCTAATGAAGGCCTCAGCTGACTCCACGGGGCACTGTGGGACTTGGAGAGGCCCTTCAGAGTTGTCCCAAGTTATACCCTCATGTTGATCAGTCGTGGATGTGGGCTGCCTCTGGAAGGCAATCTTTATAGAAGGCTGACAGCCAAGGACAGTCTTCTAGTACCTGTCCCAGCAACTGAGGAATAAGGCCTTCCTTCCTGAAGGGGAATCTGGTGGCCCATCACAGAGACCACCACAATGTCCAGGGACTGAGAACAAAGTTCGGCCTCTCCTCCTGGTGATGGAACTGGAAGCTTGGGAATGGAGGCCACACTGCTCGTCTCTCAGGGGCTATGCCAGGTTTGTCTCTGCTTCTGTCTGCTCCACTCTCCAGCCTCTGTCTCTGCAGACTGGCTTCCTCCCCCTGCTCACTTTGCACTTGGCCCAAGGTGGCCGTCAGCTGGGCCTGCGTGGCTTTAGGGCTTGTACCTATCATAACTGCCCTCAACTCTTGTGTCTTGGTTCAAATGTTAGAGAGACAGAGAGAGAGAGACACAGAGAGAGAGAGAAATATTGGCTGGCTGAGGCCAGCCTATGAGTGGACACCCTCTCCCATCTCCACCTTGGATCACTATCCATTCCTGGTCCAGTCGCTGGAGGGAGAGGGCTGGATCATGTTATGCCAACATGGCTGGCTACCCATACTTCCCCTTTCTAGAGGTTGTGGCCAAGTCAGGCACATGTGGATGGGACATTTAATAAGGATTTAACAAGGACATTTAACAAGGATTGAGCACCTATGATGAGCCAGGCAATGTTCTAGGTACAGGGGATACAGCAGTGAATCAAACAGACAATGATCCCTGCCCTCATGGAGAGTACATTCTACTCAGGGAGGCCCAGCTGTGCAGAAATAAATAAGACACCATTAAGGCAGAGGTTGGGGATCTAGAACAGCATTTCCATAGGACACATGGATGATGTGGGGAGGAGCAGGAGGGGCTCTGCCCAGGAACCCGGTTCTATCCTTGTCTTCTCTCTCCCTTGCAGCTTCGACAGTTCCTTTCCAACTGGATTCCCGTTGCCTGCTTCTGCTTATCTCTGACCCTGTCCTGGGCTCTCTGGGCTTTCAAAGGCAGCAATACCTTTCCTTACTTCGGCTCTCCCTTGAGCTCCTTGCTGGCCACCCCTAGACAATTCAACCCTACCATGTCTGACAGCCACTTCCCTCCAACCTGCTGACCCTGTTGCTGGGAACTTCACAGTCATCCTTGCAGACTTGAAATGTTGGGATGCCCCTTGGCTCTGCTGTTTCCATCCAGCCAGTTATCCAGTTGTTTAGAGTGTGTTCCTCACATCTGTCTCTTCTTCTCTGACCAGTTCTGGCAGGTCTTCTTAATTGCTCCTCTTGGCTTCATTCTCTCCTTTCCAACCCATCTCGTTAGTCGGCCAGATTAATATTCCTAAAATGCATCCCTGATGTCACATCCTCTGACTCATCATTGTCTTCAGGACAAAGTTCAACCTCTTCTCTGGGCATCTCGGGACCTTCTTGGTCTGGCTCCAGGCTGCCTCTCCAGCTGCCCTTCCACGTTCTCCACATTGTTGATGGCTGCATGCCAAACATCCCGAACGAGCCTCCAGTAAGTTCTGGGCTCCCCACCTCCGTGCCCTTGGGCTGCTTCCTTCCCCCGTATGCTCTTCCCCCATTCTCCTCAGTCCTTGACTCATCTTTCTAGAAGCCTTGCCTGATGTGCTCAGCCAGATATGGCCCATCTTGCCTTCTTCTGGACCCCCTGGACTCCATTTGAATCTCTTTGCCACCCCACCACTAGCTGACTGTACTGCATGGCATTCTGTACCCTCACCTCCTCAAGCCATCCCAGGTAAAGACATAATCTAAGTGGAAATAGAGTCTCATTCTTCTCAACCAGCCTCAAGACAATTTCCCTAGTGTCTGCTTCCAAAAGATTGCCACCTCTAAGCTCTGCTTATGTAGAAAGTCTGGAGTTGACCCAGTTTCTTCTAGACTGGAAGGTCTTTGAGGAAAGGACTGAGGTTCAGCCATCATTCAGTCCTCCATAGCATGTGATCTGGGGCTTGCAAGATGTGGTCCATTAGGGAGTTCTTGGCTGAATGAATGAATGGATAAATGAATGAATGCCACAACACACAGCCTCCGTTGAGATGTTCTTTTTCCCTTTTTTTTTCCTTCATAGAGGCGGAGCATACTTTTGTTTGCCTCTGATGGGCTGCTGTAGCCCAGGGCTGTAGATTTTAGTAGTAAACCTTCAATTCCTGTCTCAGTCCCTGTATGAGAAACAGCAGAGAACCTGCAGCTTTAGGTGGGTGGCAGATGTTCCTTACAGTGGGGCCCACTGTCTAGGGCTTCTCTTGCTGCCCTCAGAGGCTGTCCTGGGCCCTGCCCTTCTGAGTGTACACTGAAAGTGTTCTGTGGCCTTTGCCTTCCTTTCTCCATCTGTGCATGGAAGAAGTTTCTATGATCTCTTCCGGGTTTAACTTGGCCTTGAAAATAAACATGGAAAAAGTGCCTGGGATGAAGATTGGGTCTTCTCGGTGCTGGCCTCTCCAGGCTCCCTTTTCCTCTCCCACCTTCTTACTTCTGGGCTCCAGCCAGATGGTCACTTGCCTCCTCCAGCCTTTGCCCAGGGTGTCTTCTGCTGGGGACATTCTCCCTGACCCTCCTCTCCTCACCCCATAGCTCTTTCCCTGGCCCACTCCTCTTCAGCCTTTAGATTTCAGCTGAGATGCCATTACTTTCGGGACCCCCTCTTGATCTCCCTGGCACCCCCTCATCTCATTAGGCTCACCTCCCTGTATCCACCCTGTGCCCTGCACTTGCCCTATCCCAGTGTTCATCTCACTGGATTACAGTTGCTTGTCAGTCCTCCTTCGTGGTCTGTTTACTCCATGAAGAAAGGGGCAGGTGTGTTCTTTGCCCACCACTGTTTCCCCAGCACCTGCACGGTATTGGACACGTCGGGGGCACTCAACAAACCCATGGTGAATGAATGGATGGAGCCATGGCTGGCTGGATGGGGTGCATGAATAGATGGGGGAAACAGGTGCTAGGTGGTTTGAGCCTGTTAGCTACTGCCGTAGAATTGTGCGTGACAACCATATCACCTTGGTGACATCAGTAACAGGTATTTATTGCTCACATGTCTGGAGTTATCTGGAGGTCAGCTAGGCAGTTCTGTTGAACTTGGCTGGGATTACTTGCATGTCTGAGGTTGGCTGTTTGGCTAAGGTGACTAGGGCAGTGCAGCGCCACTGCTTTTTCCCTCACCCTCCTGCAGGCCAGCCCAGACATGTGCTGCTGGTGATGGCAGGGGTGCAAGAGCAAACAGAGACACTCAAGGCATCTTGGAGCCCGACTGTAGCTGGAGTAGCACATTCTACTGGGCAAAGCAAGTCACAGGGCAGCTCTGTTTCAAGGAGTGGGGAACTAGATTTTGCCCCTTTAGTGAGAAAGGAATTGTAGACACATGGCAACGATTATGGATACAAGGAGAGACTGAAGAAGTGGGGCTATTAATGCAATTAACCTGCCTCATGGGACATCAAAAGTCCTGGGTCATAGCTTAGGATTAGGAAACTGAGGTGCAGTTAATGAACTTGGCCAGCTCTCAACTAACTGGGACCTAGGGGAAGACACATGTGCCAGATGGGCTCTCTAGCTTCAGGTTTCTTTTTTTCTTTTCTTTTTTTTTTTTTTTTTTGAGACGGAGTCTTGCACTGTCACCTGGGCTGGAGTGCAGTGGCGCGATCTCGGCTCACTGCAACCTCCGCCTCCCGGCTTCAAGCGATTCTCCTGCATCAGCCTCCTGAGTAGCTGGGATTACAGGCGCCTGCCACCACGCTCGGCTAATTTTTTGTATTTTAGTAGAGATGGGGTTTTACTATGTTGGCCAGGCTCGTCTCGAACTCCCGACCTTGTGATCTGCCTGCCTCAGCCTCCCAAAGTGCTGGTATTACAGGAGTGAGCCCCCATACCCAGTCTCCAGTTTCATTCCCTAGAAATAAGGGAATGATGTTGATGCTGCTCAACTCACATAATTCCAAGGAATCCATTCTTTCTTCAGCCCACTCTCAGGTTTGGGGAAGGATTACAAACTGTAAAGTGCTGTGTCATGGGAAGCAGAATTGCTCTTCCAGAAGCACTTGGCCCCCAGAACTGGGGAGGAGCATGGGGTAGTGGAGAAAGGATGGACTATGAGATGAGGAACCTGTCTGTAGGCCCCATGTCCCAGGCCCCACGTCCCAGGCTTCTGATATCTCAGGTTCTCCATTGTAAATTGGAGGCCCCGTGGGGTCAAATAAATAATGGATGCAAATGGATTTCAAAAAAATATCAAACACTCTGTGGTTGTAAGGTATTATTGGAAATGGGGGTACCCTGTTTCAAATAATTGCCAAAGTAGCTATTTGACAAGTCTGGCTTCACCCCATGGCACTTCCTCTGTCTCCCCAGATGAGATGGTTGGGAGTAAACTGTTCTGAAAAGATGCTTCCAGAGTCCAAGAAAATGACAAACAAGACTTCCTAGATGTTCTTTTCCTGCATGACACCATGAGGCACTGCCCCCAAAATTGCTGGTGCTTGTAGCACACATTCCTCTGCTTGTTTTCTGCCTAGCACAGAGAAATGCTGGGGTTGATGGTTTTTCTAGGGCGTTTTCTTCTTCCAGTCCCTGAAATAAAAGCCGGCGTTTCTGGAGGAGAGGCAGGCATCTCCGCCCTCATCCCTTTATCCTCCTCCTCCTCCTGCTCCTCCTTCTCCCTCCCTGAAGTTGATGCCCTTGGTGATTAGCGTTGTCCTCCCTGAGATGCTAATGGAGGTTCTCTTGGACACTTAAGCTAAACTGGATCCGTGGGTATTTCTCTCACTGGCTTTGGAGGAAGAAAACCAACAAAACAGCCCCTCCCTGGCTCTGGAGACAATCTCAGGCGTGGGAGGTGAGGCTTAATGCCTTTTATTCCCAAACTTTGCAGAGGGGCTTCTGAAAGATGGGAGGGAGAGGCCAGAGTGTGGTGACACCATCTGAGGGTCTGGGCCCCATCACAGCCCTGGTGGACCCTGGCCTGCCCATGTCATCTGCTTTAGTGGCTCTGGCACAGGCTGCATTCCTTTCTCCTGGAGGCTTCACCTCTCTCCAGAGGCCACCACTCTGGACGGCTGTGTGGAAACACCTGGGCCAGAATGCATCCAATTCCCGCAGAGCAAAAGGAAGCGCTTGGATGCTTCTTGCTGCGAGCACATTGTTATTTTTCTTTCCTCTCTCATGAATCATTCTGCCTGGAATCTTCCCTGGAAGGGCTCATCTGGCTAATGATTCTGTGCCCAGAATCAGGGATTTTGATGCACTGATGAGTGACAAGCTGAGGTGGCTGAGATTTAGGGGCAGGGAGCCTTCAGTCTGGGCTCACCTAGTCCGGGGCTCAGGTTGTGGCTACAGCACCTGACAGCCGAGTTCATTAACTCAACCACCGTTTCCCAGTCCTAGGCTGCTGTAGGTTTGTGGTCAGTGTTAAATGAGATCAGGTGTGTGAAACTGCCTCGCACAGATGGGTTTTGAATCTGACTGGAGTATGATCAACCCTTGAGCCTACTGACCCCTTACCCCACTTCTCTGGTGGCTGCCACAACCCCATATTCTTGTCCTCTACAGTAGAAGAAATCAAGGTGGGGGCCTGGCAGGCTCTGACTTCCAGAAAGCATTCCTCTTGTTTTGTGTTTACTTCTGCAAAAGTAAGAAGTAAAAATGGGGGTGTGTCCTTGGGCAAGTTATTTAATCTCCCTGAACTTCAGCCTCCTCATCTTGACAATGGGAATGGTATTGTCTGTGTTGTAGGGAAAGTTTTAGAAGTAACAGATGTAGAGTTGGGTATAGATTCAGTACTTGGTAAGTGCTAGCTGGATTAATTTCACATCCCACACGTCTCTGGTCTTACCAAACTGCAGGTGTGCGTGGAGGGGGTCCATTTCTGCCACTCATAGCCTACATTGCATCACAGCAGGCTGCCACCGCTGGGCGTCAGGTCTCCAGAGGCATCTCACGTGTACATGAACAATTCTGCTCATGCTGTGGTTGACCTCTGCTTCCTGCCAAGCACCCAAGAGGGACGCATCGTCCTCGCGCCCTGCAGGGTGTACCTTGTGGGGTTCCCGCTCCTCTTCTAGCACCTGGTCCTGGTGCTCTCTGTCTGCATACCTTCAGATGCCCCTGTGTTCCCATCAGTCTGTGTTGCTCTAGAACCATCCCTGTGCTAAGCCAAGGTGTGGAAGAAGCCCTTCCCTTAACTCTGCCAAGCTTTCTCATGAAATCTCATCATCTCCCATGAGACATCTGAATTGGGCCTTGAAGTATGAGTAGGAGTTCACCAGGTGAGGGGTAAATGTAAACTTATATTTCACTTAGAGGCCACTTCTTCTCCCAGACTGGCTTCCTTTTCATTAATTTTTGAAATCAGTTATAGAAATTGATGCTGGGGTTACCTGTCTGCACCTCTGGTTTCGCTTGGGGCTATAAAGTCCCTGCTATTATAGCAGCAGCTTCACATCACTGCCACTCTTATCACCAACTACAGGTGGAGCGGGACTCTAAACTGGGCAGTCTAAGGGAAATGCTGTGTGTGAACTCTACTACAAGAACCTTTGCATTTGAGATGGGCCCTGTGGCACTCCACGCATGGGGTTCTTGTACAAGTTAGCAAACCAGGATTTGTCAGTCAACACGTGGAATACCTGCTTGATGGAAGGAGCTCGATTGATAAGTCTTAGTTGAGTCTCCCTGTCCCTAATTGTAGTATGGCAGTAGCCTTCTAACTAGTCTCTTCTACCGATTCACTTGCCTCTATGCTGCCACCAGGTTTTCTGTAACATTGACTGTGGGGTAAGGCCTAAGCCCCTGAACATGGCCTTCAAGGCTATTCACCATATGGCTACAAGGAGCCCTTTCTGCCTGAGCTTCTTCCATGCCCTGCTAAACTTCTTAACTTTTAGCCTTGTTGAACCCCTCGCCAGTCCCTGAACAGGTCACATACTTCCAGACCTCAGGGCCTTTGCCCACTCACCATATCCCTCATGCCTTCTCTCTCCTCACCTGGTGAACTCCTATCCAACCTTTGAGGCCAGGCATGCATGCCCAGTGAAACCTCCCTGGCCCTTTTAGTTCCTACCATCTCCCCTACTTCCTGAGTTCCTTTCCTTCTTGATGTTCTTCTTTTGTGTGTACCCCTGTTTTAGCTCATTGTAATGTTGTGATTTTTTGTATTTGTTAGTGTCTGCCGAATTCCTCAAGGGAAGCTCCTGAGTCTCTCCCAGGGTTGTACATTCTTTTCCTAGCACAGAGCCTGGCAGATGCTAATAAATGTTGTATGAATCTGTAAATGAATGATTGAATATGGAAATAGGGAGTTCAATATGAACTAGGTTAGCCATGTCTTAGGAGGAAAGGGGATTTTGAGTATTTGAGTCAAACATAAAAACTTATATTAAAAACTTACATAAAACAGAGAGAAAGGAAAGAGAAAGAGAAAGCCAGGCGCAGTGGCTCGTGCCTATAATCCCAGCACTTTGGGAGGCCAAGGTAAGTGGACCACCTGAGGTCAGGAGTTCGAGAACAGCCTGGCCAACATGGCGAAACCCCGTCTCTACCACAACTACAAAAATTAGCTGGGCATGGTGGCATGCGCCTGTAATCCCAGCTACTTGGGAGGCTGAGGTAGGAGAATCGCTTGAACCTGGGAGGTGGAGGTTGCAGTGAGCCAAGATCACGCCACTGCACTCCATCCTGGATGACGGAGTGAGACCTTGTCTGAAAATAAATAAATAAATAAATAAACAACAGAGAGAAAGGAAAGTATCCCTGAGATTTTACTTGCTAGAGTAGAAGATAAAGTTACTAACTTAGAGAAAAGAGAGAGAAAGATTATATGGGCATGAATAACAATGAATTTTCAGATTTAAACATTTATAATGCACATGTAACCTTCATTGAATACTCAGGCACTGTGCCAAGCACTTTACATGCATTATCTCATTTAATGCTCTTAGCAAAACCATAGGGTAGTTACTCAATTTCCCCAAACGTGAGTATACCACAGTTGAGATAAATAGGAGTTAGACAGGTGTATTAGTCTGTTTTCACGCTGCTGAAAAGACATACCTGAGACTGGGAAGAAAAAGATGTTTGATTGAACTTACAGTTCCACATGGCTGGGGAGGCCTCAGAATCATGGTGGGAGGTGAAAGGCACTTCTTACATGGTGGCGGCAAGAGAAAATGAGGAAGAAGCAAAAAGCAGAAAACCCTGATAAACCCATCAGACCTCATGGGACTCACGTACCATTACGAGAACAGCATGGGAAAGATAGGCCCCCATGATTCAACTACCTCCTCCTGGGTCCCTCCCACAACATGTGGGAATTCTGGGAGATACAATCTAAGTTGAGATTTGGGTGGAGACACAGCCAAACCATATCAATAGGAGAGGGGCTGAGGTGGAGAGGAGAAGGGCATTCCAGGCAGAGGAATCTGCATCAGTACAAAGGCCCTGAGGCAGAAAAGAACTTGGTATGTTGAAGGGGAAGAGAGAAGGCTAGGGGACTGAAAGATAGGGCACAAAGAGCAAATGGGACAAGATGGAGCTATGGAGAGAGGTGGAGACCACACCACGTAGGTCTTACAGGCCACATAAAGGACTTGATCTGTTATCCTAAAAGCACATTAAGGTTTTGGTCTTTATCCTAAAAGCAACCATGATCCATTGAAGAGGTTTAGGCTAGAGGTAGAGAGGGAGGAGAATAGGAACTTGCTAGTGGTAGCATGAATTTGATTTTTGCGTTCTAAAGAAGAATTGATCTGAAAATATTGGAAGGGGGGAAAAGTGATGTGGGGGCTAGTTTAGGAGGAGGCTGTTGTGGTTGTTCAAGTCAGAGACAATGAGGATTTTTAACTAGGATGATGGCAGTGGAGATGGAGAGGAATTTGTGAATTTAGAAGAAGTGTTGGGCTGGTAGAACGGATAGGACACAGTGATGGGGAGGGATGGAGCATGGGGGAAGGCAAGGTCAGGGTGATGGCCAGTTTCTAGCTTGAATAGCAGGAAAATCAAGGTGTTGTCTCCTCAGGGAAAACTGGGGCAGTGGTGGAGTTTCACCGTGGGAATGGGGGTAACTCATGGGGACAGGGCTCTGTAGAAGCCTGCCATCATGTACACTTCCTATGGGGGAGGGTGCTGTGGGCTCACACCTTGTCATGATCATGGTTTTGACAGTGCACCCCAACCTTTCAAACACAGACAATGAAAGGAATCAGCATCACTGGCATTTGTGCCTCTCTTATATTCCTTGTTGATATTTTTATATATTCTATTATGGAGTACTTTCAGGATCCAAAAGGCTTGGTCCTGGAAACTGCAATGCAAAATTCAGTGGCATTTTATCCATTTGTTTCCCTGATAAGCCAATCTACATCAGCCTCCTTCATTCAGAAGGGAGAACATAAGAGAGTCAAAGCGAAGGGAACAGGCAGTGCAGTGGAAGTTAGAATCTGTTAAGTTGTGTTCTTGCCAGAGCAGACTGCACTAGGCAACCCACTTTGGTGCTGGGGAGAAATGTCTGGAGGTTGAGGGAAGAGGAATGCGGAAGGCCTGAAGGCTGGAGTTCATCTCCCTGTGATCTGGATAGGTAGTGGGCACCTTGGCCCAGAGGTGATTCCTATGGGACTGTTGAGCATATAACCTGATTTTTGGCAAAACAGGGAACAGAGGTATGTTAGATTAAGCTATTGAGGCTAAGCATGGTGGCTCATGACTGTAATCCCAGCAGTTTGGGAGACTGAGGCAGGAGGATCGCTTGAGCCCTGGAGTTCTCGACCAGCCTGGGCCACATAGTGAGACTGCATCTCTACCAAAAAATGAACAAAATTAGCCGGGTGTGGTGGTGCATGCCTATAGTCCCAGCTACTTGAAAGGCTGAAGTGGGAGGATCACTTGAGCCTGAAAGGTCAAGGCTGCAGTGAGCCGAGATCACGCCACTATACTCCAGGCTGGGTGACAGAGAGAGACCCTGTCTTATCAAAAAAAAAAAAAAAAAAAAAAAGGAAATTGCCCACCAACTTGGTTGACACGCAGTAGGCTCTTAGTCCTGGAATGGACCTCGATCCAACTACCTTGCTTTCTGCAGAATTTAAGTCCCAGGGCTTGGCCCATAGTGGGACCACAAAGGCAATCCACTGACCGACTGACCTAGAGTAGTGAAGAGACTTGCCCCACGTCTCACAAAGAATTATTGCCAGAGCAGGGAACAGAAAGAACCCACTACATTATGCTGCCAAGTGACAAGCTAATAAACATGAGGTGTTTTTCCTCTTTGGTAACAGGACCCAAGACATGAAATATGAGCTTGGCAGAGAGTTTCACATTGCATTAAAAGGACAAATAGATTTATATAGGGGTAGTAAGTGCTCACTCTGAGCCGAAGTGTGAATGATTGGATTCCAGCCTGACTATTGAAATTTGCTACGACATTGGGAGATGTGTCTACAAAGGGAGATATAAGCTTTTTCATGTTTGGTTGATCTTGTGTGAATATTACAGTTAGTGAATGTGTGAGCAAGATTTTTTGCTAATTCTCAGGCAGCAGAGTCTTATATAGTAATAATAATCATACCAAGGAAAAAAATCATGCCCATTTGCGTAACTTTTTACTGCTTACAGAGCTCTTTCATATGTATGTATTAATATTACCTAATTTGAATTTACCACAATTCTT
The DNA here is from genome assembly GCF_000001405.40 of Homo sapiens. Lineage (NCBI taxonomy): Eukaryota > Metazoa > Chordata > Mammalia > Primates > Hominidae > Homo > Homo sapiens. The sequence goes on along the minus strand of NC_000003.12, from coordinate 9,142,157 downwards.
AGGTAGGTTCCATTAATCCCAGTTTACGAATGAGGAAACAGATGAGGTTAATGCCTTGAGGCAGGGCTGGAACTAACCCAGAACTCGTTTTTTCAAGTTGGAATTTGAGTATGAAATAGCCTTACTGGATCGAGGGTATGTGCATATTCCAACATTATCTGCTTTCAGGCTTGCAATCCATTATTAAGCCATTAGGCAACGATAATGATTTTGTATTTTTTTCTGAGGCTTTTCCTAAAAGTTTGCTGGACTCAGCATTTGAGAAGGTACTTGGCTGGAGCCCTTTTCTTATGTCTTGCCAGCCTCCATCTATCCTCAAAGGCAGAGAGGGTCTCCTGAAGAGTTTATTTGGAAACTTGACCAGCTGACAACAGGAATTGATAGTGATGACCGAAAGGGGTTGCTTGATGTGCACCATAAAAATGAAGCTCATTCAAACAACCAGGCCCTGCTGGCTGACCTCCTGGAAAATCTAATCTCAGTCCCTGTTGTGGAATGGATTGAAATTTGCTTTGAAAATCTTTGCAGAGTCTTACAAGGTTAAAAAGAAAAGAACACACACACACACACACACACACACACACACACACACACACACACACACCCCTGAAGTCAGATCCTTCTTGTTTCTTTCTCTCTTTTCCAAAAATCAATTGGCAAGAATTTGCAAAGTTGCCAGGATGAGGTCATGGGTAATAACTTACGTGGTTTTCAGAAACATAAATCACTCAGCCTGATGTAGTGGCTTTCCATCCCATGCAGTAGCCGCAATGTGCATAAAATATTTGGGCGGCATGGTGGCCTTAGATATTCTTCCATGTGGCATTCTCATCAGAAGGTCAAGGGAATTCATCCTGCACCCTATTAATGTCAGGTGAATGCACACATGGCCAGAGGCACCCTCTCAATGAAGATTAGTGGCTCTGTCCCTGGCTGGTCATTTCAGTGTGAGTTAATGGGGTCAAAGTGGAGACAGCTATGGCAGAGTGGGGGCTGGCCTGCTCTGGGTTTGAATCCAGCAGGGCCAGCAGTAACTAAAGTGAGATTTTCTGGGAAGGTTTCCAGAGTCATAAGCTGGAGGCGATATGGTTATTATTTAGTATTAACATGAAAAAATGAATCTGGATATATTTTGTCAGATCTTGTGTTCTTCATATTGTTTTACACTGGGTCTCTAATCACATTTTTGCAACCTTCCTATGCCTGCCTAACCCCTGGGGAGAAATGGGATTGCCACAACTAGAGGACATCTCACTGTGGTATGATCCAATAATTACTTTCCCAGGGCCAATAGATATTGAGTGTCTTAAAAAAGTTTACTGCCTCTCCCCTTATTAGAGGAGTAATGCCTATTATGTAGAGTATTTGGAAAATATAGAAAAACACAGTGATTACTTAGTAGAGGAGTTGGCAACCTATGGCCCACAGGCCAACCTAGCCCATTACCTGTTTTTGTAAAGTTTTATTGGAACAGTTGTGTGCATTCCTCTGTATATGTATTCTATGACTACTCTTGTTGGGTAACGATAGGGTTGAGTAGTTGTAATAGAGATGATATGGCCTGCAAATGCTAAAATATTTACTATCTGGCCCCTTGTGGAAAAAGTCTGCTAAGCCTTGGCTTAGCACATAGGTGTTCAGTGGATATTTACTGATGAAATTAATTTATCTGTAATCCTACCACCTCAAAATAACCATGATTAACATTTTGGTGTATATTCTTCTATCTTTTCTCTGTGTGTAGGTAGCTATAATTATGTTTTGGGAGGACTAAACCCTACATCCTATTTTTGTAACCTACTTTTGTCATTTAACAATATATTATGGGCATTTTCCAAGGCTATTTGTATGCAACGTGAATCTTACACCACATAGGAGTTTATTGCGTGAATGTGCCAGAATTATTTAACCAATCCTCTGCTGCTCCATAGTTATGCCGTATCCAAGTTTTCACTTCTATAGACAATGCTGTGATAAGTCTCCCTGCACATACATTTGTGTATGTATGTGTGTGTGTGTGTGTGTGTGTGTGTGTATGCCTCTGAGCCTAGAAGGAGAATTATTCCATTTCATACTGCTAATTATTTTTTCACTTAAGCATGCCGTACCATTGCACTACATTGGGATTTCCTTGAGGGAAAGTATGCTGTTGCATATGTATTTTTATCACTCTTGCTGCCCTCTAACACAGACATAGTAGGTGATCATTAAATGCTTGATGTGGTGGTGTATGATAGAATACCCCTGTCCTTCTCTCTGCTGGTCTAGATCATGCAAATCTTGCTTCATGAGGCCTCAGCTGACTCCTCTACAACACATTGTCCTTCCTTCTTCTGGTCATCTTATATTCAATACCATTCCCCTTTTAGACGATACTCTATATTCTTCAGAGCTTTAGACTGTACTCTGTAATTCTTCAGAGATTTCAGAGTGGCGCAATGCACATTATACTAGTTTCCGATAGCTGCTGTAGCAAATTGCCACATACTTGCTGACTTAAAACAACACGCATTTATTCTCTCACAGTTCTGGAAGCAAGGAGTCTGCAATCAGCTTCACCAATCCAAAATCAAGGTGTGGCCAGAGCCACACTCCCTCCAGCGGCTCTAGGGGAGAACCTGTCCCTTGTCTCTTCCAGTTTCTGGTGGCTACCAGCATTCCTTGGCTTGTGGTTGCATCACTGCAATCTCTGCCTCTATGGTCACACTGCCTCCTCCTCTTCTGTGACAAATCTTCTTTTTTTTCCCCTCTCTCTCCTGTAAGGACACTTGTAATTGCATTAGGGTCCACCCAGATGATCCAGGATAATCTCCTCAAGATCCTTAATTTTAATCACATCTGCAACGTCCTTTTTTGCCATTGAAGGTAACATTCCCAGGTTCCAGGGATTAGGAACTGGATGTCTCTTGGGGGTCATTATTCAGCCTAACACATACAACATTTCATTTATTCATTTAAAAAGATTTGTGAGGAACCAACTTGGTGGCAGGCACTGGTGCTGTGCTAGCTGCCTTTTGTAACAACAGGGCAGAAAGGATTTGCAAATGAAGAACTATGGACAAAAGGGTTGAGCACTGGCCAAGCAGCTGGGAGACACAGGTGCTGGTACAGCTTTGGGGTGTGGGTCTCTGTTCCTCAGTTTCTCCTCTTGTGAATTAAGAGGTTGGGCCAATCACTGTTTCTTGAAGATGAGGCATGAGCACTACTGTTGGTACAGGTTGAGTATTCCTTATCTGAAATGCTTGGGACCAGAAGTGTTTCAAATTTTGGAGTTTTTGGATTTTGTAATATTTGCCCATTCATAATAAGACATCTTGGAGATGGGGCCCAAGTCTAAACATGAAATTCATTTGTTTCATATACACCTTTTACACATAGCCTGAAGGTAATTTCATGCAATCTTTTAAATAAACTGTGCGTTGTGTATCTAAGTTTTGACCGTGACCTGTCCTGTGAGGTCACGTGTGGGATTTTCCACTTGTGGCATCATGTGAGTGCTCAAAAAGTTTGGATTTTGGATTTCAGATTTTCGGATCAGGGATGTTCAATCTGTATATATACAGGATGATTTTAGGTGGTCCGCAGAGACAGAACTAAGTAACATAACTCATGACAACAGATAGTTATTTTCTTTTTAGTCCTCCTTCAACCCTTCCTGCCTTCAACCTTTTTGATTACCTCAATGAGAAAGTTGCTCTTAGGTGCTAGCATGTCTTCAACCCTTGCTTGAATACTTACTTGCTAAACTCCTTTTATATTAAAAAATCAGGTCTCAGACTACAGAATCTAGGTATAATTTAATAACATTATTTTGTGTTCATTGTGTTTATTTTTATAGTTACATTCCATTAGTGGCACATTTTTTGTGTGGGGGGGGTTCCATTTATGGTGGTACCATAAAGCATCCCAGGTAAAAAGTAAGATGATTTAAAGAAATATATTAGACAAATATACAGCAGGTAGTTTTTAGAAGGGGCACATTGTAAAGATGGCTGTGAAGTTTGGGAAAGATTTAGATGTTTCCAGCAGGCCCCCAGTTCTCTGACTTCTATTTTAGCTCTGGGAGGAAAGTATGATTAAAAACATAAAGATAAACATCATCAGTCAGAGGACGCAGCTGGAAATTCAGCATTAATGAATCCTGATCTCTTCTCATTTAAATGGATCTGATTCTTCAGGGACCATTGGGCAGCAAAACCGTGAATATTAATCTCGTGTTGAAATTGATCACACCCAGCCAGCTTTAACTCAGTCTCTGGTAGGAGGAGGCGTGGCCTCACTCTGGCTGTTCTTTGCATTTCACTGAACATCTGGAAGGTGTGGAGGCAGCTTCTGTCTGACTTCTTCATGGGAAGGAATGGCTATTATTTGGACACAGCACAGATGCTATGGGAAAACCCTCTCTCCCTCCCATTCTGCTTTCTGCTGCCTGCTTCCTATTCAGGGGCACTGGTTTAGCACTCTAGGTAGGGGTGGTCAGGGGGCTGCAGAGCTGGATTTCTGCTTTCAGACCACTGTGGGAAGTGGGACTCCTTTCTTTAATTTCTTCAGCCGTGCATGTATATCCAATGCTAATTCCCTAGTGTGTTGGGGACCTTATCATTTCCTCTTACATAGAAGAAAATTTTCCTGGTTGATAGCATCATCATTATTAAATAACTCTTATTTTTTTCAAAGTACTAGCCAATATACTGTGCTTCCTTTTTGGAGGAGCTGGTAGTGGTGAGAATCAGTGTGGGAGATGCCAGTCACTTCACCCAGCACTGCCTTCCCAGCATATGTGTTCCCCCATCCCCTAGAAAGCTGCAAGCAGATAAAATTTGCTTCAGGGAAGCCTTCGGAGTTGATATGCTTTGATTCTCTGTTCTAAGCCTGGCCTTTACTACCCTGAATAATCGTGAGGTGGCGAAAGACAGAGCGTAAAAACCTGGCTCACTTGGTATAGTACATATGGCAGGCACTCATCTCTCTGGCAACGTGGTATAAGATTTGGGGCCAACAGATTTCTTAATATTTACATGAAATTAGGCATGTCATTTCACCTCTCTGTGGCTCAGTCTCCTCCTCTGCAAAACGGGATAATAGTAGTAACTTCCTCCTAAGGCTGTAGCATAGGTTCAAGGAGACAATTCGGGGAAGCACACAGCTCCAAAATGTCTGCTCTTACTTCCTCCATCCTGCAGATGGGAAAACCAAGGCCCAGAGAGGTTGACTGACTTGCTGAAGGTCACACAGCTAGCCAGCGTCAAGGTCAGGCTCTGAACTCAGCCAAGTCTGATCCCAGATCCAGCTTTTGGCACTGCAGAACCCAAAAGGCCTATTGATGAGGGGCAGACTCCGCAGGAACCGTGGGGATCAGGGATAGACCCAGGAAGCTCCTGGCGGAGTCTCCGGTGGACTCTGGCATCAGGCAGGCCCAGGTTCCAATCCTGTGATTCAGGCAGCCCCTTTCCCTTCTCTTGGGCCTCAATTTCCTCATCTGTAAAAGGGCGGGACACCCACTGCCTCCTCTAACGTGGTATTATTTAATAATTGAGGATGGCCGCTGACCGGCCTGGCTTGATAAAGGTTAATAAAGAATGGCCTGATGTCGGTCGTTGGCCGAATACAGGAAGGGGAGAGGGAGAGACTACAGGGTGCCAGGAGCTTGCTCGCGTCTGCGAAGAAGGAATCCGAAGAGATGGCTTAGGAGCCCGCTTTCAGCCACCCCGGCTGCTGCACGTGGCGCGCGGGGCGGGGCGGGGCGGTCGGGGGGGGGGGGGGTCCCAGCGACGGTTGCCGTGGCAACGGCGCGCGGCGGCTGACCCCGGCCCGGCATCTGCTGCCTCCAGCCCCGGCGCTGGGCGCACGGATCCTGCGGACCCTCGGGGCCGTCCCGGAAGCCGCCTCTCGGTGTACAGGAGGCTAGGAGAAGGGCGGCAATGGGGAGCCCGTGTCCGGGCAGCGCACGAGTCTTTTGTGCAGGGCCTAGAGAAGGAGCGAAACGTGGGCCAGGCCTGCGAGGAGGGCGGGCGGGGAAGGGGAACCAGCACAGAGAGGCTGGAAGAAGGTGGCTGGTGACACAGCCCTCCTTGTGGGACTGTGGACGCGGGGCGCGAGATGGCGCCTGGGAAACACTTAGCTCGGTGCCCAGCGTGCCTGGTGCTCACGGTCCATGACTACAGCAGCCGCCATGGCTCATTTCTTGCGTCCCTGCAGTGCCCCAGGCACCACGCGCATACCACCCCTCACCCTTTTAACAACCCCAGGGGGGAAGGTATTATTCCCTATTTTACAGATGAGAAAACAGAGACCAGGCTGAAGCCACTTCCCCAAAGTGGAGAAAACCAGATTTGGAGCCTAGGCTGACTGTCCTCAGAACTTGTGAGCTTGTGAGTGCATGCCCTTCCGCTGCGCCATGCCACCTCTGTATAGATGCTATTCGCCGAGGGTCCACCAGGTGCCTGGCACATCATGTGCATTATTTCCAGTCTGATCCTGGCAACAACCCTGCAAGATAAGAATACTTACTTGCCTTTTACAAATCCGAAGACAGCTCAGAGAAGATACTGAGTTGACTGCCCAAGGCTTCACAGTGCAGATCCGGCAGAGACAATAATCAACCCTGTGAGAGTGGCTCCAGAGTCCAGGCTCTGCTGGGTCTATCCACTGGGCCACATCATCTCCGCTAGGGCTGGAGTTGGAGGGCAAGGGACCCCACCAGGATGCTGGGTTTTGGGCTGGGAGCAAGGAGAGTGAGTCTCCATCATCATGTTTTCTTGAGGGGAGGGTTTGGAAGACTCCATTACACTGCTCTTGTTGGAGAGGTCGTGCGCAAATTCGGAGTAATAAAACATAGTGCCATCCCTGCCTTTCAGGACCATATTTTCCATTTAAGGAGATGAGAAATGGCCACAGAAAGAAGTTATAATAAATGATAATCATAGCTTAACTTTATAAAGCCTCTGACGCAGTGCTGTCCAATGGAAGTTTCTGCAATGATGGAAATATTCTGCACTGTCCAGGATGGTTTAACACGTGAAATGTGGCAAGTGCAACAGAGGAATGAGTTTTTTATTTTAATTAAATGCAAATAGCCACATGTGGCTAGTGGCGACTGTGTTGGACAATATGGTACCAATATATGGAAAGCACTATGCCAGGAACTTCCTTTGCATTAACACATACCATTCTCACAACAATATGAGGTAGAGATTATTATCATCCCCATTTGACAGAGGAAACTGAGTCTCAGGTTGCCCACCTGAGCATGTGGCAGGGCCAGGATTTGAACCACCGGGCAGGTGAACCCAGAGCCCGCTACATTGTGCTATGAAGCTGAGATTTCTCTCCTCAGAGGAGGGCCTGAGGTCAGGGTCAGGATGCACTGGGATGCATATAATGACAGCCAGACTGGTGCTCTGTGTGGATGGCACAAAGATGACCACTGAGAGTGGAGACAGGAGGTACAACAGGACATGATCCTTGAAAGAGGAGGCAGCAGGACTGCCACAGAAAGTTCCCTGACCTGGGCATTGGGTGATGTTAGTTCCTGTCTGCCCTTTACTCTCGGTTTCAGCCCTGGCTTTGCCACTTTCTTGGTGGTCTTGGGCAAGCCATTTCCCCTCCCTGAATCTCAATTGCTTCATCCGTAGAAGAGGAGTGGCAATACTACCAGCCTCATAGGATGTCATGATAATCAGATGTGATTGTGCGTAGATGTGATGAGATGTTGTTGGCTGTAACATACCAGGTGGTTCATCTTTATCGGCTCCTAAAAATTTACACTGGGAAGGTACCAGCTGCCCCTGTGGAGCAGAGGGGGCAAGTGCTCCCTTGATCTTGGTTTTCAGGATGTATGCAGACTGTGAGTGGTGCCTCTCCATCCCAGGAGGTGCCAGAACAGTTACTGTGTTTTCAGGACAGGGTCCAAAGATTGGAATTGGGTGGGGTCTGGGAAGCTACATTTAAAATTGCTCTTTGCTGTCATACTCTGGCCCCTCTTACTAACCCAGGAAAGCCATCTGCAGGCAAGGGGCAGAGGCCTCCAAGGGTGCAGGCAAGGGGCAGAGGCCTCCAAGGGCAAGTTGCTGGCGTTCCTAATGGGTCAGACCTGTTAACCAGAGGTGCAGGATTTGCATTGGCTTTATCTGCTTTTTCTCCCTTTTTTATGATGAAAAATTTCAAACATTCCAAAAGTAGAGAGAATAGTATAATAAGCCCCTTCCTGATACCTAGCGCTAAACTAAACTTTAATGATTAACTCAAGGCCAGTCTTATTTTACTTAAAACCCTACCACTCCCCGTCTCCAAACCTAAGGCTATTTTGGAGCAAATCCCAGCATGTCTGCTTCTAAATAGTTCCTGCTTTGTCCTAAAGTTTTCATCGTAGTATAAACTGGTAAAATTTCAGGAGAGGGCAGTTTAGCAGTCTTGATATCCTTATGTGATGTTGCTTTAAGAACTTATTATATAGATGATATTCCTGCACATGTGCAGAATGAAGCCTGTGTATGATTATTCATTCCAGCATTGTTGATGATAGTAAAAGATTATAAACAACCTAAATGTTCAGCAAAAGAGACTGGCTAAAAAAAACTTACAGTGGAATTCTAGTGTGCTGTAAAAGGAATGAGGAAGTTCTTTATATAATGATTTGGACTGATCTCCATGATGTATTATTATTACTTTTTTTTAGATAGAGTCTTGCTCTGTTGCCCAGGCTGGAGTGCAGTGGCACAATCTCAGCTCACTGCAACCTCCACCTCCCAGATTCAAGCAATTCTCCCGCTTCAGCCTAACAGTTAGCTGGGATTACAGGTGTGCGCCACCATGCCCAGATAAGTTTTTGTATTTTCTAGTAGAGACAGGGTATCGCTGTGTTGGCCAGGCTGGTCTCAAACTCCTGACCTCAAGTGATCCACCTGCTTCGGCCTCCCAAAGTGTTGGGATTACAGGCATGAGCCACTGTGCCCGGCCTCCAGGATGTATTATTAAAAGAAAAAGATAAGGTACAGAACACTGTGAATGATATGCTCTAACATGTATAAAAACAGAGGAAATAATATATTTAACATTCTATATATGTAAATTCTATATATAGATATTCTCTCTTATATATAGATCTATATAATATATCATATAATATAAATAATATGATCTATATAACATATATGTTTTATATATATGCCATTATTTCTGGAATGATGCACACGATCATGGTAGTTTGGTTGTTTTGCGAGAGGGGAACTAGGTGGTTGATAGAGGTGGGAGTAAAACTTTATATACCCTTTCTACCTTTTCAGTTGTGTATGTAATATTAAAAAAAACCCTATATTTCCTATTTAAAAATGTAATTCCTTTTTTTCAGTAAGCCTAAAACTGCTATAAAAATAAAGTCTATTGATTTCAAAAAGGATATTTACCCAAATGAGTTGAAAACATGTCCACACAAAAACCTGCATACAGATGTTCATAACAGCTTTATTCATAATTAGCAACCAACATGTCTTTAAATAGGGGAATGAATAAACAGTCTGTCAACATTATTCCGTAGCACAGAATATTATTTGGTGATAAAAAGGAGCTACAAAGCCACAAAAAGACATGGAAGAACCCTACATGCATATTGCTAGGTGAAAGAAGCCACTCTAAAAAGTCTATATACTTTATGATTCCAGCTGTATAACATGCTGGGAAAGGCAAAACTATAGAGACAGTAAGAAGATTAGGGTTTGCCAAGGGTTGGGGTAAGTGAGAGGGAAGAATAAGGGGCGAAATAGGTGGAGCACGAGGATTTTTAGGGTGGCAACACTATTCTGTATGATACTGTAATGGTGGACACATGACATTAGACGTTTGTCAAAACCCAGAGAATGTACAACACAAAGGGTGAGCCGTAATGTAAGTGACAGACTTTGGTGTGTCAGTATTGGCTCTTCAATTGCAATAAATGCACGATGGAATGCAAGATGTTAATAATCGGAGAAACTGTGCAGTGGAGAGGGGATATATGGGAACTCTCTGTACTTTCTGGTCAATTTTTTGGTAAACCTAAAATGGCTCTAAAAATAGCCCATTAATTAAAAAAAAAGACTGATCTGAAGAATCTTCCTACTATTGCTGGTGAGGTTGTGGTTGTGAGGAGCAGTGGGGAGTATGAGGAATCTTGCTCTCCATACGGTGGGTCACACGGGCTGTTTGCCATAGGTGGCAGCCTGGGTGCATGCAAAGTGATCTTTAGTAAGACTGTTGCTTGGAGAGTGAGCAGGAGTGTTATGGGGATGGGTAGGCAGGCTGTGCATTCTTGGACTTTGAATGTCAGAGGAGTTTGGCTTTGATCCTATAAGCAATGGGGAACCATGGAGAATTTTATCAGGAGGGTGACACAGGGAGATTGGTGCTTTAGGAGACCTGGATTGAAGAATTAGTTCTTACGGCCGGGTGCAGTGGCTTATGCCTGTAATCCCAGCACTTTGGGAGGCCGAGGCGGGTGGATTACTTGAGGTCAGGGGTTCAAGACCATCCTGGCCAACATGGTGAAACCCCGTTTCTACTAAAAATACAAAAATATTAGCTGGGCGTGGTGGTGTGCACCTGTAGTCCCCAGCTACTTGGGAAGCTGAGGTGGGAGAATCACTTGAACTGGGAAGGCAGAGGTTGCAGTGAGCTGAGATCGCACCACTGCACTCCAGCCTGGGTGACAGAGTGAGACTCCATCTCAAAAAAAAAAAAAAAAAAAAAAAGAATTAGATCTTCCCCTTCTCTGGGCCTCATGCCCCTGTCTATAAAACCAAGAGACTGCACCATGCAGTGAGGTCATCTTCAGCTTTCAGGTGTTGAGTTCAAAGCCTGTCCCTCTTTCCAACCCCTTTCCCTCCTTGCCACATCCCCCTTTTAATTTTTCTGCCACTCAGCTCTGTGTTATGGCTGGAACTGTCCCCCGGGGGGGAAACGTCTGCTGAATGAAGTCTGTGCCTTGGGAACAATTCTGTTTTATTTTATTTTATTTTTCTCTCTTTGAAATCTTCAAGGAGAAAACCCAAATCTGTGCCAGCTCGTAGGCTCCTAGCAGCAACTTGGATGGGAATTAGAAATAATGAGATGGGTAATCAAATGCCCTCAGGGTTCCAGATCAGGGCAGGCTGCAGAGGATGCTCTGCCAGGGCCATTTCCTGCAAGAAGGACTTGATTTTGAGCCCGGCAAACTGCTGGAGGGTTCCATGCACAGCCCAGCCTGGGAGGCTCCAGCTGGTTGTGTGAACTGGGGGAGGTTGCTCTGCTCTTTCCAAATCGTCTGCTGTCATCACGATGTGATTTATGAGCTTTTCCTCTAAAATATGAGAATGTCATCTCCTGATAATGCTCTGTAATGAGGAAGGCTGTGGCTGCAGCTTTTCTAATAAATAATATCTCTTTAGATCACCATCTTGCTACAAAAAGAATGCAAGAGGTTGAATACAGAGGGATTAAAAGTGTCTTTTGTGTTTGTTTTGTTTTAATATGGAAAACAAGGATAATTCATGGAATGCAGACCAAGAAGTTCCTGTAGGGGCCTCGGTCTAGCATCATGTCAAGGGCATTATGGTAAGCTTCTGAGGGACCTGGGTTTGATTGCTGGCTCTGCTCTGAACCAGCTGTTAGGAGCACAGGCTAGCGACTTCCTCCTGAGCTGCTACTTCCTTGTCTATGGGGAAAAAGTGGAGAAACACTAGTAGCACTCACTGCATAGTTATATTTTTATGACTGTGTGTTGATATGACAAGGTTTGGTCTTGTGGGAGTGAGGCACCTCAATACAGTTCAGTTCAACAGGTAGACCATCTAAGAGGGGACCTGTGTAGTTTGTTAGAGTTCAGAGAACGACGTGTGACCTTGGATGAGTCCCTGATCTTGGTTTACGTAAAGCCTTGGTTTCTTCATTATTATACATCCACGTTGAATGTATGTATGTGTGGGGGGTGAGTGGTGTTGTGTGTGGTATGTGTTGTGTGTTTTGTATGTATTTGTGGCGTGAATGTGTGTGCCATATGTTTGTTTGTGTGTGTGTGAGCTGAGGCTTCCATAATCACAACACTTAATGTACTTGGTAAAAAGCGCTTGCTAAAGGGAAATAGTAGGCTGGGCGTGGTGGCTCATGCTTGTAATCCCAGCACTTTGGGAGGCCGAGGTGGGCAGATCACCTGAGGTCGGGAGTTCGACACCAGCCTGGCTAACATGGTAAAACCCTGTCTCTACTAAAAATACAAAAATTATTCAGGTGTGGTGGCCGGTGCCTATAATCCCAGCTACTTGGGAGGCTGAAGAAGGACAATCCCTTGAACCTGGGAGATGGAGGTTGCAGTGAGTTGAGATGGCGCCACTGCACTCCAGCCTGGGCGACAGAGCAAGACTCTGTCTCAAAAAAAAAAAAGGGAAATAGTAATTTGCTATACAGATATTGATATCCTGATGACCTATTATGTGCTGGGAGAATCTGCCCTCAGAGCTTAAATTTCATTTGAGGAGATGAGGCAGAGATGGCATGCATGAAAGAATGAAAACTAACAAACAAAAAAACCCAAACAGCGCTAGGCAATCTGAGATTTGCTGTACGTGCCATGGGAGTTCAAAAGAGGGTCACCAGGCTGGCAGCCCAGGCCTTCCTGGGAGGAGCAGTGCTTTATGTGGGCTCTGAAGCAGTGGTTTTCAACTTTTTTTTTTTTTTTTTTTGCTTACCTACCCTCTACATGAACTTTGGAAAGAAAAATATCTCTTCTGCTTCACACATTTTAAGTTGACATCTAAAATGTCTCATTCTTTAATTTGCACTAAATAAAATAAAATATTTTATTCTAAGTTTGATTAGTTACAAAGGATATAATTTTGGCCATGTTTTAAATATTCACATTTTAGAGTAACATTATGTATAATACCACTCTCTTAAAACTGTATCAAAATGTTGTGGGGAGGGATGGGTGGGGTGGCTTACCTCTTTAGTCCCAGCTACTTAGAAGGCCAAGGCAGGAGGATTGCTTGAGCCCAAGAGTTGAAGACCAGCCTGGGTAACATAAAGAGGCCTGTCTCTACAAAAAATTTTTAAAAATGTGTCAAATAGAAACTAACATAGCAATTTTAAATTTTGTCTTTTTATTGAAGCCTCACTTTGATGTAGTAGAATGCACAGATCTTAAGTGAGCAGCTCAGTTAATTTTTATCAGTGTCCCTTCCACCCTCACCAAGGTGTGGAACATCTCCAGTATTCAGAAGCCATGCTTGTTCCCTCTCTCCATCAATACCCGTCAAACGTGACCACTTTTCCGACCTCTATCACCATAAACTAGTTTTGCACAACCTCATTCGTTCTGGCTTCTTTCAATAAACACAAGATCTGTGGATTTCAAACATGTTGCTGTTGGGAGCAGTAGCATTCCTTTTTCATTATTGTATATCATTCCACTCAATGAATATCTCACATTCAAAAAATCCATTCTATTCTTACTAGACATTTTGGGTTATTTCTAATATTTGGCTATAAAGATACTAAAAGTATTCTTGTATATATTTTTTGGTGATCATAAGCACTGATTTCTTTTGTGTATGTATCCATCAGTGAAATTGCCCGGTCATAGGATAAATACCATAATACATTGGTTTCTACAATCATCCATCAAAGTTACCTGAACAAGTCAAATGTTTTACACTGCTCCTTTCTTTACCTTCTTGAACTCCTAATTCCCTTTCACTTGCTTCATAAAATTTAATCTTAACATATTTTATGCTTGAAAGTTTTTTAAGATTATCATCTTTTTTAAAACTCTACTTATGTAAGCTGAAATGGACATTTTAATTTTTTCCTTTGAACTCTAAGGATCTTCCTTTTATATTGATTTATGTATCATTGCAGTGATCAGTAATACACAATTTATCAAAATAACATTATTTTACACATTTGATAAATCATTAAAGCATAACTTTGTATGGGAAATGCTTCTCATAATGAGATGGGCGGGATGGTTGATGGCAGTGCTTATCAAACTTTAAGGTGTACAAGGGCCACCTTGGGAGATCTTGATAAAATGCAGATTCTGATTTGGATGGTATGGGCTGGGGCCTGAGACTTTATTCTGAATTTTTTTTTTTTAGCTTTTTTAAGGTATAATTGAAATGCCCCAAAAATGAGCACATTTAATTTATGCATCTTGATGAGTTTGGATGATTCTGTATTTCTTCTCCTTCCCCTCCCCTCCCCTCCCCTCCTCTCTCCTCACCTGTTCTTTTCTTTTCTTTTCTTTTCATTACAGGAGTTCCCTCTAAGCATCATGGTATGGTCATGGCTCACTGAAGCTTTGAACTCCTGGGCTAAAGCAATCCTCCCACCTCAGCCTCCCAAGTAGCTGGGACTAGAGGCATGTGCCACCATGCCCAGCTAATTACTTTTTAAAATTTTTACTAGGCCGGGTGCAGTGGCTCACACCTGTAATCCCAGCACTTTGGGAGGCCAAGGCGGGTGGATCACGAGGTCAAGAGATCAAGACCATCCTGGCCAACATAATGAAACCTCGTCTCTACTAAAAATACAAAAAACTAGCTGGGTGTGGTGGTGCGCACCTGTCGTCCCAGCTACTCTAGAGACCGAGGCAGGAGGATCGCTTGAACCCAGGAGGCGGAGGTTGCAGTGAGTGGAGATCGGGCCGCTGCACTCCAGCCTGGCGACAGAGCGAGACTCCGTCTCAAAACACAAAACAAACAATAAAATTTTACTAGGCATGAGGTCTTGTTATATTGCCTAGGCCTCTGTATTTCTAACAAGCCCATTGGTGGTGCTGATGCTGCTGGTCTGTGGACCACATTTTAATGTTTTTGAGACAGAGTCTTGCTTTGTCATATAGGCTGGAGTGCAGTTTCACAATCATAGCTCACTGCAGCCTGGACCTCCTGGGCTCAAGCAATACTTCTGCCTCAGCCTCCTGAGTAGCTGGGAACACAAGCCCATGCCACCACACCTGGCTAATTTAAAACTTTTTTTTTTTTTAAGTTTTTATGGAGACGAGGTCTCCCTATGTTTCCCAGGCTGGTCTTGAGCCCCTGGCCTCAAGTGATTCTCCTGCCTCAGCCTCTCAAAGTGCTGTGATGACAGACGTGGTCTCATGGACCACACTTTGAGTAGCAAGGGTTTGTGATCCCTTGATTAGAGGAAGATTTCCAAATATCAACTTTTTAAAAACACTTTTTATTATTTGAAGAGAATATAACTTTGTACATGTATTTATTTACGTATAAATTTATGGAGTACAAGTGTAATTTTGTTACATGCATAGATTGTGTGGTGGTGAAGCCAGGGCTTCTTGGGTACCCATGACACAAATAATGTACATTACACCCATTAAGTAATTTCTCATTATCCACCTCCCTCCCACCCCCTCACCCTTCTGAGTCTCTGTTCTCTAGCATTCCACACTGTACATCCAAGTGCACACATTATTTAGGTCCCACTTATAACTGAGAACATGTGTAACATGAACATTTTACATTATTTATTTATTTATTTATTTAGTTAGTTAGTTAGTTAGTTAGTTAGTTTTTGAGACAGGGTCTTGCTCTGTCGCCCAGGCTGGAGTGCAATGGCGTGCAACCTCCACCTTCTGGGTTCAAGTGATTCTCCTGCCCCAGCCTCCAGAGTAGCTGGGACTCCAGGCGCCTGCCACTATGCCTGGCTAATTTTTGTATTTTTAGTAGAGACAGGGTTTCACTGTGTCAGCCAGGATGGTCTCCACCTCCTGACCTCGTGATCCACCCGCCTCGGCCTCCCAAAGTGCTGGGATTAAAGGCATGAGCCACCATGCCTGGCCAACATGAACATTTTAAATGGTCTATTTTTCCTTTTGACACCCAGATGTCTCGACATTTTGGGACACTGCATCATAGATTCTGGACGAGTGAGCAGTTGCTCTTTTTCCTGTAAAGAGAGAACAGGACCATTGTGAGGAGGGGAGGTAGGAAAGGAGAGGGGCCGTGCATCTAGACTGAGGCACGTTGTCAGGCAGTGGGAATGGATGTGGAGGATCTCAGGTTGATTCCCTTCTACCTCAGCTTGCATACCCTGTGGGGTGTCTTTGTGTACCCCAGAGTAGTTCTGCCCCAGTTTGAAGTCCACTTCTCTGAAGGATGCTGAAATGACGCTGGCCACCATTTCAGACGGGGCACACATTTAGGCAGGTGAGATCTGATATTCCAAGGACTGGCTTGAATGGTTTGGAGAGTCCATTGGGGTAAAGTCCTGAGAAATGAAATTTGGGACTGCTTGGTGGATGGTCTTGAATGTCATGCTGAGGAGTTGGACCTAATACTCAGGCAGAGGGGAGCCGTGGGGTATTTCTGAGCACGTTGCTGGTGTGAGCAGAGTGCTTTGGAGGCTGATCTGTTGAGCAGCTCTTGGGATGGCCTGGAAAGAATCTATGCCTGGGGGCAGTGGCGGTGACAACCCTACAGGCTTGAAGACAAGAATGGATGTGGTTATTGGCATTCAGCTGTGATTTTTAACTCCAGCTTCCAGCTTTTGAATTGTTGCCCTGGTTGCGTAGATCTGGTTTGAGCAATCAGTATTTTCTGAAGTGTGATATCTGAGAGGTTCATACATGGAATTCAAGGTGATTTAAAGCAGGACACAGATGTGGCCTTAAATAACACTGAAACCCACGAGGGAAAAGCATGCCCTTCTCAGCCCTCTCTCAGTCCTGACTACACATGGAGAAAGTCACACTGCCGTTTTCCTTTGGTTGATAAAGAGCCAGCAGCTTAGGCTTAGAGCCTTTGGTAAACAATTGTCTCTAGATAGAATTTTACAATACTTTTGTTTTCATTGAATTATTTCCTACGTCCCAGGCTGCAAGGGGTCCTAGTGTTTCACTTTACTGTATTGATAGAAACCTTTGCATTTTAAGCAAGATCATCTCCGTAAGAAAGGTGAGTCAATTTACTAGATCATGTGGAAGAAATAAGAATGCTTGGGGCCTGTGAATATGGCAAAAATCGTGGTGGTGACATGCAGTGATTCAAGTTTTGGAAACTTTTGGTTAGATCAATGGCAAAAACGAGCAAGAGAGAAATCTTTGTGCCAATGCTCTGCCAAGCAAGGTCTGAGCTCTGGCTGGGCTCAGAGAGGCTCTGGATGGTGTTAGGAGGGAGCTGCCTGAATTGCAGGGCCCAGGCCAGCAGCAGAGCGGGCCCCAGTGCCCCCGTCCCCACCACCAGTCTCATGCTCCTACCCTTGTGTGCCCGCAGAGATCCGCACGCAGCTGGTGGAGCAGTTCAAATGTCTGGAGCAGCAATCAGAGTCGCGACTGCAGCTGCTTCAAGACCTCCAGGAGTTTTTCCGCCGGAAAGCTGAGATTGAGCTCGAGTACTCCCGCAGCCTGGAGAAGCTGGCTGAGCGCTTCTCCTCCAAAATCCGCAGCTCCCGGGAGCACCAGTTCAAGTAAGAAGTTGGGTATGGGTGCACAGAGATGGGAGGCAGCACTGGGGTGGGCGGACAGTTGGTGGCAAAGCAGAAAGGAGGCCAGCCAGCTTCATTGGAGGCAGAGGGTGTGCCTTCAGGGCCCTGGCTCTGCAGGTTACTTACACCTCCAAGCCTCAGTCTTCCTCATGTGTAAAGGGAAGCTAGAAAGAGTTCCTCTGCAGAAGTTTCCTGAAGGGAATAAATGAACAACCCAAGAAGAGTGTTTGTCACAGACAATAGGTGCTCAATCAATTGTTGCTGTTATTATTATGCTACCAAGCACCGGCACTGAGCTAGCCTCCATTTGTGCCCTGGTGAGACCCCTACCTCCCTTCAGGACATCCTGTCCCGATCCAGTTGTCCTTTATTTGGGTGTCAGCCAGCCTTCTTCTGAATTTTGTTAGCTCAGTGAATTTCTTCTCCATGGAATTGATGCTCAAACATTCCTCTTCCTTGCTCTCCTGGAGGACCTCAGTGCCCCGGCTCTTTCCCTGCCTTATTTACTTATTTTCGATGCACAAACTGTCATGTGTCCTGATTTCTCATATCCCAAGCTCTGAGATCATGGAGGCTCCATCTGCTTGGGCATTGACTTGGCAGGTCCTGAATCCTCCAGCTACAAAACCTTCTGTGCTTAGAACTCCCTGGCTTCAGCTCATTAAATACAGGCAGGCAGGAAGCAGCAAATCTCACTTGGACTGTGTCAACCATGCAGGGCTCCACTTGGCAGGTCCCCCGGCCAGCACTGTCTCTCCTTCAGCCATGCTTCCTGGACTCTCCCTTCTCCTTGGGTCATCTCTCCAGCTGGTGGCCCTCAACACCAGGAGATCAGCGACTTGCTTTATCTCACCTGACCTGATCCTGATCCCCCTTCCCCTGGGTCCTGTCCTGTTTCTCTCTCTCTCTCTCTCTCTCTGTGTATACACACACATACATATATACACACATACACACACACACACACACACACATATATACATATATATATATATATATTTTGAGACAGAGTCTCACTCTGTCACCCAGGTTGGAGTGCAGTGGCATGATCTCAGCTCACTGCAATCTCCAACTCCCGGGTTCAAGAGATTCTCCTGCCTCAGCCTCCTGAGTAGCTGAGATTCCACGTGCACCACCACGCCCAACTAATCTTTGTATTTTTAGTAGAGATGGGGTTTCACCATGTTGGCCAGGCTGGTCTTGAACTCCTGACATCAAGTGATCCACCTGCTTCAGCCTCCCAAAGTGCTGGGATTACAGATGTGAGCCACCATACCCGGCCTCTCCATGTATGTGTATGTATGTGTATTGTGTATGTATATATATATATATATTTTTTAATTGTGACAAAGCACACATAATATAAAATTTACCATTTTCATCATTTTTAAATGAACAGTTCAGTGGCACTAAACACATTCACAATGTTATGCAACCATCGCCACCATCCAACTCCAGTGCTTTTTACATCTTCCTCCACTGAAATTCTATCCCCATTAAACACTAACTCCCCATTCCCTGCCACGCCTTCCAGCTGCCGGCAACTACCATTCTACTTTATGTCTTTATGAATTCGACTGCTGTAGATATGTCATATAAGTGCAATTATACAATATTTGTCTCTTTGTGACTGGCTAGTTTCACTTAGCATAATGCCTCAAAGTTCATCCCTGTGGTAGCATGTGTCAGAATGTTCTTCCTTTTTCAGGCTGAATAATATGGTGCAGATAGACCACATTTTGTTTGTTTGGTCATCTGTTGGTGGACACTTGGGTCGCGTCCACCTTCCTGTCCACATTTTTTGCATTCCACTCTGGCCAGGGAGCTCTCTGCCTTTAAACTCCTCTAAACACTTCCTTGAGTCTGTGCCACAGCATTTGAACACTCACTTATGTGCCTTCTCTTGGCATTTGGGGATAAGAAATTGGTGCATTACACATTTGCAAATACCGTGCTTCTTTTTCTACCCTATCTTCTCCCTTTTTTTTTTTTTTTTTTGAGACGGAGTCTTGCTCTGCCACCCAGGCTGGAATGCAGTGGTGCGATCTCGGCTCACTGCAAGCTCCGCCTCCCAGGTTCAAGCAATTCTCCTGCCTCAGCCTCCCAAGTAGCTGGGACTACAGGTGCCCGCCACGATGCCCAGCTAATTTTTTGTATTTTTAGTAGAGACGGGGTTTCACCATGTTAGCCAGGATGGTCTCCATCTCCTGACCTCATGATCCGCCCGCCTCGGCCTCCCAAAGTGCTGGGATTAAAGGTGTGAGCCACCGCGCCCAGCCACCCAGTCTCTTCTCTTCAAACTTCTGCTGCAGGAGGAAGCCTCTATTAATAACATTCACTCAGGCACAGTCTAGACCCTTTCACACATATAATCTCATATTTTTTTGGAGAAAAATTGTGTTTTTTCAAACAACAAAGGTAAAATGCTCATTGTATACAATTTAGAAAGTACAGAAAAGAGAAAAATATCATTCATAGTCCCACTGCTCACAACCACTGCTCACATTTTGGAATCATTTCTCCCTTGTCTTTTAAGAATAAAAACAAAGATAATGTATCGAACCGAGCACTTACTTTGGTGCCAGGTGGGTATTACTACCCCATCGTAAAGATGAGGATGGTGAAGCTCTGAGAAAGCAGCTTGTCCAAACATGTCTGTGAACCCGCAATTGGAAAGAGACAGAATTGAACCTTTGTCTCTTCTCTGCCTCCTTGGCCTGGGATAAGAAAGGGCCTAGGTGCAGCTTGAGAGTAGCCATGACATCTGGACCCTCCCTGGAACCACAGGCACAGCAGACATAGGCTCAGAACCCCACAACTCTGGCTGAATGGCCACTGGAGCCAGCAAGTCTTGGGCTCTCCCTAGCTGCAGACAGGGCCATGTGGTAGGGCTGGAGCATCTCTCCTGTCCGCTCCTTCCCCTTGATTAGGAATCAGCTCTCTTCCCATTCTCAGTGTGCACATAGGGAGAGGAGAAAGGCAGGGATTGTGGATATGGGGGGGCACCCTATTCCCTTGTATCACCTATAATGAGCTCGGCCAGCCCCTCATGGGTTCATTAACTGAGGCCACCAGACGGAACGGGAGCCCCAGCTGGCAGCCCGGCCATGCAGGCTGCCTGACGCACTATGAAAGTCTAATTAGGGTGCCGGCCCAGGCCAGTGCAGCTGGAGGGGGCCCTCTGCACGATGCTAATGTGATGGCAGAGCCGTCTCCGCTTCTGGAAGTGGAGTCTCTAGGGGCAGGCTGGACTCACCCTTTGACCCCAGGGCACTGACTGGCCTCGGGCTGCCTATTCCTTGGAGCCCAGCACACAGGACCTGTGTTGCTCTCTGCTCCCTTCATCTGGGCTGTTCCGAGAAGCCTTGTCTCACCGTCGTAAAGATTCTTGGTTTAATAATGTCCATCTACCTGCCAAGTAGCCCCTCAGTGCCTTAAGGGCAGAGCCCAGGACTTGTCATTTTATTCCCATTGCAGTGGGTCAGGTGCTTGGCAGAGCTGGGGTGCGTGTGCATGGGTGGGAGGGAGGAAGGAGGGAAGAAGACAGGAAGGAAGGAAGGGAGAGGATTGACTTGGTCTATCTAGTCCACTTTGGCTGAGAGATTTGCCTCAGAGATGGAACTGATTTGCCCAAGATTTTACAGTAAATTAGGAGCAGAACTGGGATGGAGACTCAGTTCCCTTGGCTCCGAGTCTATTGCTCCTCCTTGTGCTCCATGGGCCGTGTCTCCCTAAGGCCCCAGCCATTCCCTCCCCACCTGGGCAATTGAAGAATGTGCTGCTGCCCAGGAATACGCACTGTGCTGTGTTCAGGGCTAGACTCACCTGGGCTGAGTTCCCTGTGACACGTGATCCAAAGAAAGGCCCACGTGATGGTTCTGAAGGTTTCCCTGGGACAGGTTAACATTTAGAGAAAAATATCATCATATTTCTTTTCTACAACACATATCCAATTCTAACAAACCTCTTTCAAAGCACTCTGACATCCTTGCTCTCTTATAAACCTGATGACAACCCAGGGAAGTGGAGAGGGAATCAGTGGTTTTATGTCAAGCAAACTGAGCAACAGAAAAGCTGAGCTGCTTACTTTAACGAGGACCCAATGAGCTGTCGAGCATGAAAACCCAGGGTTCTTGACTTCCAACTCAGGCTTCTCTCTCCAAGAAGCCATGTGGGACTTCATTTGTTTGAAATGTGTGCATTGAAGACCTCATATTTTCCTGGACTGTGCTCAGTGCCGAAGACACAAAGATAAATGAGGTGCGATTTCTGCTGCCAGATACTGAGAGACAAGAACATGGCTTGGGGAGGCCTGGTAGTTGGTATGGCTGAGGAGGCCCCAATCCCATGGCTGTGCCCTTTGAGCCCTGCACCTGCGTGCCATCAGCCTGCAGCACTGAGATGTCACTTCTATTGAAAAGCTTCCTTGATTCCCACCTGGTGCCTCCCTCTGTGTGCCCGTCGTACTCTGATGTACTTATTTGCTTATTCCACCAATATTTATTGAGCACCTACCATGTGCCAGACCCTGGGTTTACAGTGGTGAACAAGATAGACTTGGTTCCTGCTGTGGTGAAATTTACCATGAAGAATAAAACATTAAAAAGCAGCTAAAAGAAAGACCAGCTATAATCCAATGATTGCTATGATGGAAATAAATACACTATGGAGTATTCTGATTATCTCTCCCGTATAACTGCAATGCCCCCAAAGTTAGTGTACCTTGTGATTTAATGGATCAAAGATTTGGACAGGGCTCAGCTGGGTGATTTTTCTGCTGTATGTGGCATTGATGGCTCAGTGATATTCAGCTAGCAGAGGGCCTGGTCTGGACAGTCCCAGAGAGCTTTACTCGCATGCCTGGTTCCTCCATGGGGACGGCTAGTAGGCCGGGCCCTGCTGGGCTGTCTCCCTCTCCATGTAGTGTCAGGGCCTCCTGCTTCAGCCGGGCATCAGACTTCTGACAGTAGCTCGGGGCTTCTAGAGAGCAGGACAGCAGCTGCAGTCCTCTTAACTGCTAGGCCTGGAGCTGGAATAGCATCACTCCCCACCCAGATGCTATTTGCCAAAGCTGTCTCAGCCCTAGCTCAGCTTCAGGAAAGGGGAAATAAAGCCCTCCTATCATTGGAGGAGTGTCAAAGGGTTGGCAGCCCACACCAAGCTAGGACCACGATCAGGAAGGTGTCTGGAGGAAGCGTGGTTTAAGCTGAGGCCTGAGAAATGAGAAGGAGCAACGTGCAGCAGTGGAGGGGGATGGAAGCCAAGTGGCTGGAACTGGTGAGTGTGGGAGTGGGAAGAAGGGAGTTGCATGATGTGATTTATATGTTTAAAAGACCACCTGGGTTGGAGGGTGGAGCCGAGGAGCCCACTCATGGGCATGTGGGTATAGCTCTCCAGGCAGGGACAGTGATGGCCTGGGTGGGAACAGAGCAGATGAGAGAAGCCATCAGATGCCAGGAAACCTCTCAGAGAGGAATGGAGGAAAAGAGAGGCAACAAGGATGTCTCCTGTTTCTGCCTTGAGATGGGAAGGACTTGGGGAAGAGGGTGAGGTAAGAGCTACAGCCCTGTATTGTCATCGTCTGTTTACTTGTCTGTCCTCCTTTGGACAACCACTGGGCTGCAAGCTCCGAGATGGCAGAGAGGGTGACTCTTGACCCGGGGTCCCTAGCACCTCTCACAGGGCTGGCACCTGGTTGTTACTGAATGTCATTGATTAATGAACTAATGAATGAAAGGCAAGTGATAATTAGATTTGCATAGGGAGGACAGGGAAAGGGGGCATGTTTGTCTTCTGGCTGCCTTAGCTCAGTGAGGCCATCTGGGTGAAGTGTCACTCGCTCATGTGCCTGTCACGGGTCCTGTATTGCTGAAAGGACAGAGTGTGGACTGTGCCATGGTCTCCCTGTTTGGGGAATGGGAGCAGCGGCATTGGCATCACATGAGGACCTGCTAGAAATGCAAGATCTGGGGTATTTCCTGAGACCTGCTGGATCAGAACTTCTTGGGGGGGGGGCCTGGCAATCTGCATTTAACAAGCCCCCTGGGGGAGTCTGTTGGCAGTTCACTTTGAAGAGCCAGTCTGATGTTTTTCTGGGGAATAAATGGTTTTCAACTCACTTTTGGGCTGTGCTGGCCTTCCCTCCTCTTCACCAGCGTCAAATCCATAATCCACTGCCCTCTCCAAGCTAGGCCTAACCTGAGTTTGGCTTTTCCTTTGGAAGGCCTGGAGCTGAGCCCTTCCTGAGCAGGACTCTGGTGTAGCAGGCAGCACATATGGGGCCCCCAAACCTGCCTCTTGGGGTAGGTGGATGGTCTTGTCCAAATGAATTTGGCAGCTCCATGAACACAGATGTTTCCTGGGAATGAGACTTTTTCTTCCTCCAGGAAAATGTCTCTAAAACACCAATACTTTGAGATGTTTGAATGGGAGAGAGAGAGAGGAAGAGGAGGAGGAGAAGGAGGATACGAAAGACTGATTTTTGTAATAATTAAGCCTGTTGACTTCTTTCTGAAAGCTATTTGACCACAGGATTCCCTCTCCCTATTTATTTATTTACATATTTACTTATTTTTGAGACAGAGTCTCACCCTGTCGCCCAAGCTGGAATGTAGTGGTGTGATCACAGCTCACTGCAGTCTCAAACTTCTGGGCTCAAGTGATCCTCCTGCCTCAGCCTCCCAAGTAACCGGGACTACAGGTACATGCCACCACATCTGAAATTTAAAAAAAAAAATGAATTATTTTTTTGTAGAGGCAGGGGTCTTGCTATGTTGTCCAGGCTGGACTTAAACTTCTGGACTCAAGCAATTCTCTTACCTTAGCCACCCAAAACACTGCGATTATAGGCAGAACCACCGCACCTGGCTCTCCCCATGATATTTACTAGTATTTCACAAACTAGCACTTCTTGAGACCTAGTTTGAAAATCTCTGTTCTAGACAAATGCTGGGGTTACCCTCTGTAGTAGTGACACTCCATGCAAGTAGTGCCCTGTGTTTGGGGTGACAGAGTCCCCTTCTATTCTAGCTTTCTCAGTTTTTGATACCCCTCACCTTCCAGGAGCTGTACCTGATGAAAATGCTCCATGCAGAGGGTTAAGTGCTGGTTGCTGCTAGTTTAACTGCTGTGAAAAAAAGCAGCAGGGAGTTCTATTTAAATATGATTTAAACATTTGGGAAAAGCCAGAATTTGGGAAGTGCTGGGAGGCACTTGGCTAGTTAGGGAATAATATTCTATGCAGATATCCTGTGCAAAGGAGGTTTGGAGCATCTTTCAGCTTCACAGAGCAGTTGGGAGAGAGGATTCCTGTGAACAACTAACTTCATTTCCAAGAAAACACTTCTTAGCGGGGATAAAGCATCACAGGATTTTTTTCACAGATGTAGCAATTCTCTAAAGAGATGCTATAATTTAGACTTAGCCTTCCAGGCTATTCCTAAACAGAGAATCACTTTTGTAGCATATAAATTGAGCATATAAATGTGAAAAGGAGTCAGAATTAAAATGTTTGCTTAGAATGAGATGGAGATGGAGAAAGCCCTCCAGTAGGGCTTGTGTCTCCATTCACAGCTATTACTATTACTGCGATTGGTATCAAGCTAGTAATGGCTTTCTGGGGTCCTACTTTCCAGACCTGCTGTTCTCTCAGCACCGTGTGCCAGCTGGATCTTTCCTGATTGTTTGGTGCCTGTGCTGTGCAGGTCGTTTACTCTTCCAAGCACCCCACACATCCACATCACCGTGGACCAAGTGCTGTACTGGATGTCTGATAGGCATCATCTCATTGCACCTTCATGGGAAATGTGGTCTGTGAAGAAGGGGCTGTCTTTATCTTTCTAGGTGAAGACACTGAGTTTTCGAGAAATTAAGTAATTTGCCCAGAGGGACATAGCTAGCACAGGTGAGTGGCAGAGCTAGGATTCCAATCTTTGTTTACCTGACTCCAAAATGCAAAACTGCATCTAGCTGCTGACTTTGTTCCCTCATCTTTCTGGGCTGGCTTTGAGCTTCTTGAGAATTACCCATGCATGTCGACCATATCCTCCTTGGATGAGCATCAGGGGTTTGCTATTATCCTCCTGGTCAACTCCTACACAGAGGCCAGCTTAGGGCTTGCCTTCTTGGTGAAGCCCCTGCTGTTGGTTGATCCCAAGTCTACAGTCAGCTGCTCCTCTCGCCTCCCATGTGAGTTGTGTGGGGCTTGCATCAGATTATCAAGGAGTGATCCAGTTCCTATATCTGGTTCTCTCACTTCAGTCGGCCAGCTGCCTGAAGGCAAGGGACCATTTCTAGTCTCCCTCTCTCTGGTATATAATTGATGCTTTATCAAAGTTTTTTCAGTGAATGGCTGAATTAACCAAGACACTACCAAATGCTTTCTTTAAATATATTTAACAAATAGACTTATTTTGTGTGGCTGCGAAAGGAGATAAATGATGTCCGAGGATAGCATTTTCAGAGAAGCAAACTTCAATTCAACCTTAAGGACGTTCCAGTAGCCACAGCTGTCCATCAGTGAAAGGGCTGCCTGGGGAGGTAGTGAGTTCTCAATGCACAGAGGTATACACACAAAGGCTGGGTATTTTAAGGGTGTCATTTCGGTAATATGGATGATCAAAATGAAAGGGGATTCTTGATAACACAGGAACCATAAATATTGAATTATCTTCTCAATTCTCTTTCAAGGTTTCTGGTAGCCTGGAGGAGAAAGTCTCAGTTTGGTCCTAGTGTATTGTTAATGTCCTCCAATCTCCTTTTTAGCAAATAGAGAACAGACCTCAAGATTGAATATACTGTTTGGTTTTTGTTGAATTTAGTTTTTTGGTTACCTTCTATTTATAACAAACCATCCTGTTTTTTTTAAAGCTGAAACTAGGGAAGTTCTTTGTAAATAAATTTAAGTTAAAAAAAGACATCAACAGGGAGATATTAAGTGTGGTGGTGTGCAGGAATGGCAAAAATCCTGAAGCCAGCATCAAATCACTCTAAGTCCCATTCCAGTTTCTCCTGCAAAGTGAGCATCTTTCATCTTTACCTTCTTTATCCTCCACAATTTTTTTTTTAAATGAGGGGAAAGGATTTTAACATAGGAGGCTCAGCCTGAAGAGTGGATTTTGCAATGGCTGTAGCTCCTTTATCTCTTTCCAATGTTTCCATCTGGCTCTTTCCCAGGTCCCACACCAAATTCCCTGGAATCCTCAGAGACTCTAATCAGCAACTACCAAAGCATTAACTAGGACGTGATTTCTTTATGCATGCATATACTTTGATATGCATATATACATTTCTATCATTTAATTTTTATACTAGAAATGAAAAATAGATGTAAAAATTAGATTTTCACAAACAGTAATATGTACGGGTTTAGTTTTGATGCTATTCTATTAGGCAAATAGGATAATAATAACCTTCAAAGACTATATAGCACCTTACACTTTGCAAACTCCTTCCTCAGCCCTTAGCTGCTTAAATCCTCCCAAGAACCCTGGTGAGAGTTGAAGGAGTCAAGGAAGGTGTTGTCATCCCCAACTGATAGGCAAGGGACCAACTGATAGGCAAGGCAGGGTGAACCCTAACTTCAGACCCACAGCTGACCCGTGAAAGAACTGACCCAGTTTTGCATTTTGGAGTCAGGTAAACCCAGATTGGAATGCTAGTCTGCCACTTACCTGTGCTAGCCGTGTCCATCTGGGCAAATGACTTAATTTCTTGAAAACTCAGTGTCTTCACCTAGAAAGATAAAGACAGCCCCTTCTTCACAGACCACATTTCCCATGAAGGTGCAATGAGATGATGCCTATCAGACATCCAGTAGAGCACTTGGTTCACGGTGATGTGGATGTGTGGGGTGCTTAGAAGATTAAATGACCTGCACAGCACAGGCACCAAACAATCAGGAAGCCATGGATCGGGGTCTTTTCCTCTGCCTAGTGCTACACATGCCACACGGTGCCACCCATTCTGTGGGCAGATAAACCAAGGCAAAGGGGCTTGCAAGGAAAGAGTTGAGGTTGACCAGGCATTGCCTATGAGGCAGAGTTTTTTGCTCTGATACCAAGAATCCATCCAGAAAGTCAAAGGGGAGCTCAGAGGTGCTGCTGGACACCAGACACCAACGTGTACCCTCATGCTGCAGTGTGAGGAATGGGATCACAGAGGAAGCAGTGAGCCCGTGAATCATTCTGCCCTGGGATGAAGGGGGAGTCACAGGGACATTTGCACTGAGCATTGAAGTTCACATAACAGTCTGCAGAAGGAGAAAGTAGTAATGGAGGAGAAAAACCAATAGTTTTAGAACACTTATCATAGGCTGTTTGTCTATGTACATCAGGCCTTAGATCTTCCCAACAACTTATTGAGGTGCTAGTGGTAATAATGGTAATGACAATAAAAAGTACTATTATGTGCAGGGTTTGACACCAAGAGAATAGCATGGGTTGTGTCATTTAGTCCTCCAGGCACCACTATGAGGTAGTCGTCACTTCGTTTCACAGATAAGGAAAGAGAAGGTTTAACTATAATAACTTTCCAAGTTCACTTTGTTGGTGAGGGACAGAATTGGCATTTGAACCCCAGCCTCTTGACTCAATAGCACCCCAACTGATAAGCAAAGCCTGCTTTGGCCAGGGGACTCAATGGATGGAATTAGTCCCCTTCAGGATGACTCTGTCTCCGGGCTGCCAAATAGTGCCAGAGCTAGGCCCTGAACTGCGCTCTCTGGCTCCCAGCATGGCAGCCTCACACTCCTCGGGGGACTCCTGGTGGGTGGGGGATAATAAAGTAAATATTTATAAAGTAATTTATAAAGAAAAGGGGTTTAATGGACTCACAATTTCGCATGGCTGGGGAGGCCTCAGGAAACTTACAATCATGATGGGAGGCACCTCTTCACAGGGCAGCAGGGGAGAGAAAGAGTGCCCAGTGAAGGGGGAACCCCCTTATAAAACCATCAGATCTTGTGAGAACTCATTCACTATCATGAGAACAGCATGGGGGAACCGTCCCCCATGATTCAGTTATCTCCACCTGGTCCCACCCATGACACGTGGGGATTATACTACAATTCAAGATGAGATTTGGGTGGGGACACAGCCAAACCATATCAGGGTGGAACTGTGTCCCCTCAAAATTCCTATGCTGATGTCCTAAACTCCAGTACCTCAAAATGTGACCTTATTTGGAAACAGGGTCTTTATAGAAGTAATCAGATAAAAATGAGGTCATTGGGAAGGGCCCTAATCCGACATGACTGGTGTGTATCTTTACAAAAAAAGGAACTTTGGGCACAGAGACCAACACACAGGGAGAATGCCTTGGAAAGGTGAAGGCAAAGATTGGGGTGCTGTGTCTACACCAAGGACACCAAAGATCTCCAGCAACCTACCAGGAGCCAGGAGAGAGGCCTGGGACAGATCCTCCTTCACAGTCCTTGGAAGGAACCAACCCTGCCGACACCTTGATCTCGGACTTCCAGCCTCCAGGACTGTGAGACAACACATACCTGTTGTCTGAGCCACTCTATGGTCCTGTGTGACAGCACCTACAAAACTAGTACGCAGCCCCATGCACGTCTTGTCCTTCAGGGCCCTGGCTGTGCTACATGTTCAGTCTTGTCTGACCCTCATCCAGTCCCTGTCTGCCCTCTGGCCACACTCACTTTCTGTCAGTTCTAGATGATGCCCGTGCCCATGAGGGCTTCATGCTTATTTCTGGGAATGCTCTTCTTTATCACTGTGCTGTGTTAAAACCTACCCATCCTTCTAGTCTGAGCTCAGGGGGCACTTTTCACCTACTCACAAATATTTTCTGAGAGTGCCTGTGTGCCCAGGTTGGCCTGGGCACCAGAGAAGCACTGATGAGTAGGACAGACATAAGCTAGAGAGGGGACAAAGACCAGAAGCAAAAAGGAAAAGAACACAACAAGCATCAGGTGTGGAGTGCTGTAATGACAATGACATAGTGTGACATAGGGTGTGTGGGTGGCCAGGGAGGCATCCAGGAGGAGAAATAGCTCAGCTCAGGTCTCAGTGATGAGAAGGACCCCAGGGTCCCCTGATGCTCCCTCCCCTCCGCCTTCCCCAGGAGAGGGCAGCCCCCTGTTAAAGACTCTCCAGGCTCCATGTATTTCTCCTTCAGAGCCCTTCTTCCCGCTGCCATTTTCTATTGATTTTTGTGATTATCTGATTGTTATCTGAGACCCCCACTAGACTGTAAGCTCCACGAAGTGGGAAGTGTGGCTCATTTTGCTTACCATTGCCTGGCACAGAACAGGCACACACTTACTATTGGCTGAATTAATGATTCATGCTACAAGCAAGTGCAATGAATGCTGAATCCTGCTTGGGGCAGCTTAGGTAGCAGGAGGTTAAATGCACCTTTCTGGCCACAGAACTGATTGAGTTAGCATTTCTCGGACGCAAGCCCAGTGTGAGGCCTGAGAAGGTCCTGGAACGGGGCAGGAAGCCCAAGCAGGAGCTTGCCTTCCTCCCAGAGGGACCCTGATCCCAGGGCAGTGGCTTTGGATTCATCTGGAACATGGGACTCTGCAAGCTTGGAAATGGGTTTTGTTTGCTAAGCGGAATTTTCCGGCCCTCAGCCGAGAAGCTGGAGAAACTGGCTCACTGCTAATTTCATTTTCCCAACTCACTAGCTTGGCAAGGCCTGGCTCCCCTAGCTGCAGTCTCCTGGAACCTCATATCCAGATCCCCTAGCCAAAGAAAGAAAGCTGTGACTCACCAGAAATGTTCATTGCTATTTTCTGGCCATAAAAAAAGAAAATAGATACATACATATGCAAAATTTCTAACGTGATGTCTTAGTTCAGCAGCTTCTGCTTGCTGGGTCGACGCTTGCATGAAAGATTGGAGAAGCGGAAGGGTCACTCTGAGTGCCTTGGCCGAGGGCACTGGCCCTCATTCATTCTGATGTCTTCCAAAAATGAGGCTGCAGAAGACAAAAGTGGCTGCTGGCACAGAGAGCTGGATCTCAGGTCAAAGGGGTTCCACTTTCCAAAGGGGCAAACAACCCCAGGAACAGGGAAGGCAGAGGCTCAAGTTTTCTGCAGCCTGGCGTCTGGCTCTGCGGTCTGCGGCCCTCGTGCTTCCTCCCTCCTGCAGTCCCATTGTGAGCCAGATGGGGGCAGGATGGAGTGTGTGAGACCCTGCAGGCCCCTCCAGCCTCACTCTTCACCCTCTTCCTCCTCTGCCTTGCCTCCCACTCCAGCCAGGCTGTTCTTTACTTAGTTCCTTAAATGCACCAGGCTCTCCGCCCTGAGGCGCCTTTGCCCATTCTGTTCCCTCTGCCTAGAGCCTTCTCCCGCCAGCCCACCTGCCCAGCCCCTTTCACTAGCGCCCTCCAACTCTTCCTTTGGAGCACAGCTTAATGACCTCTTCCTTGGGGACACTTTAGTGACCCACAAATCAGGCCAGCCCCCTTATTACAGGCACTCATGGCACAGGCTCCCCTCTGTTCCAGCACATTCTGCACTTCTAACTCTACCCACATTCGTGGGCTCATGGTAGGTGTCTGTCTCTTCACCAGACTGTCTGCTCCATGAAGGCAGGAACTGTGTCTGTTGGGCTCAAGGTTGTGTCCCTGGGGTCTGATCTATACAAAATATTCAACAAAAATGTATGGAATGCATGAACTGCTGAAGAATGACTGCAGAGCTCTCTTCTGGCATTTAAGCCCAGAGTGACTCCATGGTGTGAGTGGCCAGGCTACAGGGAATAGGTGGCCTGCCCGGAGTCCACAGCTAGCATGGCAGACGCCGGTGAACACCCATGCCCACGTCCAGGTGGCTTTCTGTTCTCTACTGCTGTGCTGAGTCCCACCTGTGGGCCTTCTTCTTTCAGATGTGGTAGAGCCTGCCTGGTACCATTGTGGCCAAGGCCACACATGCTAGCTTTCTACAGAGCAGCTCTTGACCCTGGCTGTGGACAGTTCACCCCAGCCTTTTAGACTACAAATGACCTGCCCCACAGGAGGGAGCCAGGGCTGGGAGAAGGTGGGGGTGCAGACCCAGCAGTTTCCCATGCTGGGATGGACCTAGAGAATGGGCCGCTGATCGGACGGCAGGCCTGGGACAGCATCTCAGAGGAGGCCAGGCTGCACATTGCCCCATCTTGCCCTCTTTTAGGGAAGCAGGAGGGGAGGCGCCACCGCGGCTTGGCCCTGCCCCAGCCCTCCGGCCACAGCCTTGCCATGCTTCCCGGGGATTGACCTCTTCTGCCATGTGGCCACAGCATTTGTAAAGCCTTCCTTGTTGTTCTGTGGTTTTAAATAGCATCCAACTCCTTGCTGCTGGCTTCCATGTTTGTCTCTCCAGCCCAGATAGCTCCATCTGGATGCCCCACAGCCTTTTAGACTCGTCGTGTTCGACTCGAACTCATCATCCTCCCTCCCCGCCCCACCCTTGACCTGCTCCTCTTCATCTCCACAGAGGCTCCTTCTACTCCCCCAGGTGCCCAAACCAAAAACTGGAGAGTCATCCTGGACATCTTTTGCTCTCTCTCAACTTCCAGCCCTAACTCCATCCCGTCAATCTCCCTGTCCAGTCAATTTCCTACCTAAGCCTTTCTTGAATCCCTCAGTTTCTCTCCCGGCCCCTGGCTCTGTACAGCAGCCAGAGTGAGAGTTTGAAAGTGCAGTTTTACCCTTTCACTCCCCTTCTGTAAACCCTTCAAGGTCTGCCTGCTGACCTCAGGACGGAGCTTGAACTCTAATGAGAGTTAAAGGCCCTTTCCCAAGTGGCCCCTGCCTCAGTCTCCATGTTCACCTGCTGTCCTCACTCTCCTACCCCAAAACACCATGCTTGGGCCCCCTCCCTACCTGCTCCTCCCTCTCCTGCTCCTCCCTGGGCCTTTGCTCATCACATTTCTCCCCTTTGAAGGCTCCTCCCTGTGAAACTCCAGTCCGGCTTTTAGTTCTCAGTCTAGAAAGCGTTTCCTCCAGGAAGCCATGCATGACCAACCTCACCACCAGATCTGGGGAAGGAGGCTCCTCTCTGCTCCATAGCCTCCTTCCCATGACTGCACTGATGAGGCTGCCTCATCACTTTCTGTTCCTTGTGAATCTCCTTACTCAAGTGGAAGACTTGCAGGGCAGGGTCTTGCAGCCTTGGTTGCTCCTGCACTCGCAGCACCTAGTCCTGCCCAGCACAGACACACAAACGCAAGGAGTGAACGAGGGCTGGAAGGAATCTTCACAGCAGCTGCTCACTTCAACTTGAGTCTTTGGCTGCTTTCGGGTAACATCCTCCTCCTTGCCTTGGCTCGCTCTGCCTCCTGCAATTCTGTCTTATACCGCACTGCCTCCTGGCTTGCAGCTTCTGATAAGGACAGCGCTGTGCTCTCTGCCCTTCCTCTCATCTCATCTCTCTGGCTAGATGACCTAGTTAATGGTCCCCAAACTGTCCCAGCAATTCCCCATCAGTTCCAGATCAGTTGTCTTTTTCCTTCCCTCTGAAACTCACCTTCTGGCTGTGGCTTCCATAATTTTGCACAATTTAATTCCCTGGTGCTGTTCACTTCTTGCCTCCCAGGTTCAGCTAAGCCCCTGAAGTAATTTAGGTAACAGCTCAATTATCTCATCTCTCCTTTAATCTTTCCATTTCCATCACCACCTAGGAAGCAGTGAAAATGAGATAAGCAATGCATTTTCTGTCCAAACCTACTGCTCCCCTTGCAGTTCTTATCTCAGTTCATGTCATCAGCATCTACCCAGTCGCCTAAGATCTGAGCCTCGGAATCACTGTCTGCTCCTTCCTCCTCTTTCTGCTGTTTTCCAGGAAGTTTCCAAGAGGATCTGCTCTCCTGTTGAGAAATCTCTCAAGTCCATCCTTCGCTGGCTACAAGACCACACCCAGGCCTCACTATTTCTCTTTTGAACTAAGATTACCTCCTGCCTGGTCCTCTTACCAAAAGCCCCATATCCCTGCTCATCCACCCACCCACCTACCCATCCATCCCTTCATCCTCCAATCTGCCTTCCATGATCATGCCAAAACACATGTTGGTTATATCCTACCTCTGCTGAAATAACTTCCATGACTCCCCACTGCCCATAGCAGACATTCTTATTTATTTTAGAAACTGGGTCTTGCCTATTACTCAGGCTGGAGTGCAGTGGCATGATCATAGCTCACTGCAGCTTCCACCTCCCGGGCTCCAGTGATCCTCCCACCTCAGTCTCCCAAGTAACTAGGACTACGGGTGTGTGCCACTATGCCCAGCTAATTTTTAAATTTTTTGTAGAGACGGAGTCTTGCTATGTTGCCCAGGCTGGTCTTGAACTCCTGGACTCAAGTGATCCTCCTACCTCAGCCTCCCAAAGCCCTGGGACTCAGGCACGAGCCACTGCACCCGGCCTAAAGCAGGCATTCTTAACCCTGGCTGCACATTAGAATCTTCTAGAGAGTATAAAAATATGAGTACCACGCGCTACCCCCAGAGATTCTGATTTTGTCTTGGATGGGTCCTGGGTCTTGGTGTTTTTTTAAAAGCTCCCCAGTTGATTCTAGTGTACAGGACAGGTTGAGAACTATGTGGTCTAGAAGATAAGGGGTCCCACCCCCTTAGTCTGGCAGTCTCCCCCAACATTGGGCCTTTAATCTGTATCCCCAGCCTCATGTCCTACAGTCCTCCACTAACACACTCAGAATTCCAGCTCTTCTGAGCTACTTCACTATATTTGTACCCACTGGTCCTTCTACCCACAATTCCATCCTCTCTCTGACTTCTGACCATTTGGAAAACTCCTACCCATCCTTCAAGACCCAGCACAAATGCAGTCTTTTTTCATGGGTCTCTCTTCCATAGCATCTGCTACATGGCAGGCACATTGCTGGGTGCTGGACGTGATGACACAATAGAAGTGATCCCTGCTCTCAAAGAGCTCACAGTAGGGTGAGGGGGAGGGATGGAAACTCCTTAAGGTAGAAGTTCTGTAACTTGAGTATGCATCCAAATCACCTTGAGAGTTTGTTAAAACACAGATTCTGGGCCCAGCCCTAGGGCTTCTGAGTACACGTAGTCTGGGGCTGCCCTGAGAACTTGTATTTTCAAGTTCCTAAGTGATGCTGCTGCTGCTGGTTCAGGGGCCACACTGAGAACCACTGCCTTAGCGTGTGGTCAACGGGGTGTTCTCTAGGGAGGTATCATCTAAGCTGAACCTACAGTAATAGAAACAGGCATTCATGAGAAGAGCAGGGACTGTGGTATTCCAGGCAGAGGGAAAAGCGTCCAGGCCCCAGTGGGAATAGAAGAGGCCGCGTGCCTGGTACCCAGAACACACTGGAGGAGAACGATGCCTTCTGCAGCTTCTCCAGCAGAACTGATGCTCTGCGTATGTCTCTGTTATAGACTGGAACCACCTTCCTCTCTAATTCTTTTTTTCTGATGCAGCCACTCAGCAGTGAGCCCCTCCAAGGCAGAGTGTGCATCACGGCCACCTTTGGGTGCCCAGAACCCACCCAAGACCTGACACAGTAGATGCTGAGGGATTCTAGTTGGGGTCTAATTGTAGTGTCCTGGCTTTTACTCTAGGCTATAAGCCAAGGAGAAATCTGGTTGTTTCACAGCAGTGTTGTAAATGCTTCATCATCCTCCCTTTTCCTTAGATAGTTCCCATCCTTTATCTAAATCTAATTATCTTCTCACAAATTTCTGCTGCCTAGATAGATTTTTAGCACATTTGGTGAGAGAAAGAAAAATTCCTTGAAGTCAAGGTAGCCCTGCCCCACCTACCTTCCCAAGCCCCAGGAGATAGGGAGAGGTGGGGTGGTGGGGGTGGGGTGGGGACAGCAGTTCAGGGGTCCTTCTGCTTGGCTTTGGGGAGGTGGATGTGGTCATAGTGGGAGTCAGCAGAATTGCTGTATTAGTCCATTTTCACACTGCTGATAAACACATACCCAAGAGTGGGAAGAAAAAGAAGTTTAATTGGACTCACTGTCCCACATGGCTAGGGAAGCCTCAGAATCATGGTGGGAGGTGAAAGGCACTTCTTATATGGTGGTGGCAAGAGAAAATGAGGAGGAAGCAAAAGCAGAAACCCCTGATAAGCCCATCAGATCTTATGAAACGTATTCACTATCACGAGAATAGCACGGGAAAGACTGGCCCCCAAGACCATTCCCACAACATGTGGGAATTCTGGGAGATACAATTCAAGTTGAGATTTGGGTGGGGACAAAACCAAACTATATCAATTGCCTTCCTCAAAAAACGCTAATAGTGGGAGGCTGTGTTTTCTAAGAACAGAACCTTGGCCAGCTCCTGGAGGTGGTCCACACTCAGGACAGGGGTGGGACAAGGCAGGCCTGGGGGAACCCTGGAGCTGCCACCTCAGGTGGTGGAAGGGCCTCTCCCCTCACATCCTGCCTTTCCAACATCTCTCTCCACACTGGAAAGGAGTCAGGGAGATACCCTGGGTCAGAGGGCAAGAGCTTTAGCATAGGTGCCCTGCGTGGCAGGAAAGGGTTATTGGTTTGGTTTTGCTTTTGAATTGACCTTTCTCTTCCTTCCTGGATAACAGGGTGTATCCACCCTTTCCTGAGGCTCACAGAGGGGTCTTTGGCAAATACAGATGGTCCTTAATTTAACTATGGGTTGACTTATAATTTTGAGAATTTACAGTGTTGTGAAAGTGATACACATTCAGTATAAACCGTATTTCAAGTACACATAAAACCATTCTGTTTTTCACTTTCAGGATAGCATTCAACTAATTACATGAGATATTCAACAGTTTATTAGAAAATAGGCTTTGTGTGCAATGATTTTGCCCATCCGTAGGCTAATGTGTTCTGAGCACGTTTAAGGTAGGGTAGGCTAAACTATGATGTTCCGTAGTTTGGGCTTACTAAATGCATTTTCAACTTAGGATATCTTCAACTTGTGAGGGGTTTATTGGGATGTAGCCCTGTAGTAAGTTGAGGAGCATCTGCAGAGCCAAGAGACAGATTTTCTCTGGTCTCATTAGCATCCTGAGCTTTGGGAAACAATAGTATAAGGATCTGTGGTTCTCAGACTTGAGTGAGTATCCGAATCCCCTGGAGGGCTTGGTAAAGCCCAGATTGCAGGCCCACCCCCAGAGTGTGTGACTCAGCAGGTCTGGAGTGGGACTGGAGAGTCTGCATTTCTAACCAGTCCCCAGGTCATGCTCTTGCTGCTGGTCTGGGAGCACACTTTAAGAACCCCTGCTTCAGCATCACACCCAGCTAGAGAGTGCTAATAACCTATCAGTCATTGCAGGACAAAGGGTTATTTGTCTTGTAGGTACTTGCATTTTCCTTAACCCTTCCTCCTGAACACAGAATCTGAGCCCTCCTAGCCCCTTTCCCAACAGCTCCGTGGAGGGGCAAAGGCATGTGTTTCCAAGAGGCCAAGAGACAGAAGCCAATCCCTGGGGAAGAACAAAGAAGTTAAGAGCCCAAGAAAATTACAGGGGTTGAGGCAGGCAGAATGGGGGAGTGGAAGTATCTACTTTTTGTTCTTTCTATTGCATAGTTCCAGAAATCATACAAGTATAATATTTAAAAAACAATTGGTTTAGTATTTCTTAGCCCCAGGGGAGGTAGCTTCTTCCCAGAAGGTAGAGGTACCTGGAGCAAGCACCACATTCAGTGCTAGAGTAGAACCGCATAGGCGTCAAAGACCTGGGTTCTGGCCCCAGTGCTGGTCTGTGACCTTGGAGGATCCCTTCAGCTGTTGTAGCCTGTTTCCCCAACTGTATAAGGTGTAACAACAAGACTGACCTTGAAGGGGCACCGTGGAGGTTAAAAGAGCTGAAGTGGGTGACAGCATAAACCACTGTTGGATGACAGTTCCAATGTAGCCAACCTGAGCTTTCTTGGTTTCCACAGGAAGGACCAGTACCTCCTCTCGCCTGTGAACTGTTGGTATCTGGTTCTGCATCAGACCCGGCGGGAGAGCCGAGACCATGCCACCCTCAATGACATCTTCATGAACAATGTCATCGTCCGCCTCTCCCAGATCAGTGAGGATGTCATCAGACTCTTCAAAAAGGTAGGCAAGTGGGCTGCTCTACGTGTCCCAGGTCTTTGCCCCAAGCTGGCCCATGGTAACAGTATACCAGCCAGGGTGGGATGTGGTTTGGAGACAAGGGACCAGGAGGGGCAGGTGCATTGAAGGATGCAAGTGGCTGAGGGCTGGACTTGGGACCCCAGCCCATTTGAACCCTGGATGTGCCTTTTAAAGAGTGTGTAGTCTTAGCCACTTTAGCAACCACTGCCACAAAAATGAAAACCTTTGCATGGCTAGGTAAGTAGTACATATTCATTGTAGAAAATTTTAAAGAATGACGATGAGCACACACACAAAAATTAAAATCACCTGAAATGGCATTGTTTGGAGATAATCACTTTGATATCCTAGGAATTTCTCGTGTACAAACGCAAATGCATTTTCTGAGAGTGCTTAGATTTGTATATTTTCTAGTGTACACATGCATTTTTTCTAAATCAGATCATAATGCATATATGATTTTACTACCTGCTTATGTCACCTAACAAATTACGTAACACTCTATTACATTTTCCCACATCAATAGTATATTTCTATAACATTTTGAATGATTACACAGTATTTCATTATATAGATGTACTCTATTTAATCTCTTATTGTTGAGCACTTAGTTTATTTCTGTTATTTTACTCTTATAAATAACACTGCCGTGAGCTTCTTTGTCACATTCGCTGTTACTTTCTTAGGATCAGTTTCTGCAGTGGGAATTTTAGAGTCGAAAGTATGCTCATTTTTAATGCTTTTGACAGTGTACCTTATTGCCTTCAGAAAGGTTTTACCCATATAAACATCCAGAAGCTGAGTGTGGAAGGAGCACTGAGGTCTCTGTATCCCACGTTCCTTGCACAGTGCCTGGCATGTACAAGGTGCTGTGCAAATGTTTGTAGAACTAAACTCACTTTTGTGAATTTCAGTTTCCTTGTCTGTAAAATGGGTAAGTTATTTAGCCTCTGTGAAACTCATCCTCTTTGTCTATCCTGCAGGGTTAAGATCAGCTACTTCCCAGGAGGGTGAGCGTTAAACAAATGGTGTGCGGGGAGAGTGGCATTATTGCAAAGTGGTTTGGGATGTGGCCTCTGGGTCCAGAATTCTTAAATTCTTGGGTTCATAATCCTGGTTCCATGATTTATTAGCTGTGTATCTTCGGGCTTGTTACTTCAATGCTCTGTGCCTCAGTTTCCTCATTTGTGAAATGGTGATGGAGATAAATACCCATGGGCAGATGGAAGGATTAACAGGCTTGTTGTTCCTGTGTACAGCATGGAGAGCATCACTTGGCACTTAGTAGGTGCTCATGAAAGCTGACTATTATTATGCGAATTTAAGAGACTATTATTACCAAAAGAATCTAGCTCATCTCTTCTTGCCAGGTGCCAGTTTCAGGGGTTTGGTGATCTGAGATTGCTAGAAGCACAAAGAAGGGGACAAGTTGATTGAAAATATAATCATCTCTCCATGGTCTGTGTTTGGATTGTCCACTTTGAGGATTACTTCTATAGCAAAAGTGTAATCGCAGGCTAATTTTCTCCTGCCACACAATATGCTTCTGGTCTCCTTCTGGGGTTGTGTTTATGAAATGTGGGCTAAGTTTCATATTGCATAAGCAAACACAATTAGGAAGGTAAATACGGTGCAAAGAAAAAAAAATTACACAGTGCTTTGCAAAGCCAAACTGAAGTGATCCAGACGTCTGCAAGTTTGGACTGTTGGTCCCATTCCCAGCCCCCGCCTGCTGCTGCTGTCACATCTTTTTTCCTTGGTGGGAGTGACTCACAGAGAAAGGGTCATCAAGGCCTTTAGGAAATGAAGGGTCTTTTTTCCTGAGCTGAGCCCTGGGACAAGTGAGATAAATCTTTTCAGTTCTCATTTAGGCTGACAGCAGCCTGACTTGTGATGGAGGTTAACAGGGTGGAAAATAATGAAAAAAATGTCTACAGCTGAGCTCCTGGCTGCCTTGTTACCAGGCCTGTGCCTGTGGAACAAAGGAAACAACCCAGCCCACAGGGGCTTTGGAGAGAGGCGCGGACGGAGCCTGGCTGGCTGACTTTGCACAGCACGGCCCCTTTGTGTTGCATCAGTTACACCTAATTTCGGAATGGAGGCCGGCACTCTTTACATAATAATAGTTCCCGCAGACCTCAAAGCAACTATGGAGGCTGCTCTCTGGTCAGACTGGGGATCCTCACTCACCTCATTTTACAGGTGAGGAAGTAAAGCGTTGGGAGGCTGCAAGGAGAACCCAGACTTGGTTGCTTTGGGCCCCTTGTCATTACCAGCAGGAGGCGGAGTGGCTGGGCTTTTGGAGTTTGTCTCAGAACTGCCTATCACTGCACCCTGGGCAAGTCTCTCTGAGTCTCAGTTTTGTCATCTGGGAAATGGAGCTGGTAACAATGCCAACTTCACAGGGGGCCGCTTTAATATGCAGAGGTGAGCCAAGTGTCCAGCCCAGGCCTGGTATCCAGTAGGTGCTTATTAAATGGTAGCTTGCCAGTGATCCCTAAGAATAGAAACCACTCCCCATGTCTGAGCTGGGGTCCTAGGGCTCTACCAAGCCACAGTCTGGCAGTGAGGCTGCGGGAGATGGGAGCGGCTTCTAGGCCAGGTGTCTGTCCTGTGCCTATCTTCTGGCTTGGGCCTGGGCAGCTGCCCTGCCTGCCAGCTTCTCACTGATGCGGGAGGTGGTTTGACTTAATAACTTACCTTTTCATGATTCTCCATTTCCCCTTTTGCAGTGGAGTCTGTTCTTATGACTAGAGGAGCACTTCAAATTCCAGAAGCCCCTGCACGTGGCCCTTGCTTTAAGTGTGAGATGTGGATCAGCCCTAGCAAAATTAAACTGAATGAGATCCAGGAGGCCATCGTTAGTGATCAGGACTCTTATGGTGGCAGACAGCAGAAATGCAGCTTGCCCCTCTTTAAGAGAAAAAGGGACCTTACTAGTTATAAGCCTGGCTTCGGGCATGCGGGGCTTCAGAGGAACAAAGGATGTTACTAGAACTCTGTCTTTCTGCAACTCTTTCGGCAACTCTGCTCCAGTTTTCTCTGTTTCCCGTTTTTTGTGGGGAGGCGAGGGGCTCTTTTACAGTCAGCCCCACCCGCTGGCCGTGTGATAACCAGAGGGCCCCTGGCATCTCCAGACCTACATCCTCTCTGCTTCAAGTCCCTTTTCCCAGAATGGGATATTTTGGTCTGTGATTGGTCCAGCACGGGTCACGTGAGCACACCGGGTGCTGCGTCTGTGGCTGGGGCGCTGCAGGGCTCTGCCTCGCCAGGCCGGGACACATACCCATCCCTGAAGCCAGATGCACACTCAGTTCCACCTGACCCATGGGACTGAGAATGGGTGAGGGGTGGTTCCCCAAGAAAAGTAGGGGTGCCTTTACAAGAAGAAGGGAGAAATAAAACAGGAGATGGCCACTGGACTCTCTTTTCCAGCCCTTTTATCATCCTCTACAGCAGCTGTACGCCTCTGCTAGATGTCCCTCAATAAAGAACGCTCCTTACCTCTCAGGATAGCTCATTCCATGTGGGAACATCCGTGATCAATAGAAAATTCTCCCGAATGCCGAAATGGAATCTTGTAGTGTTTTCACTCACAGGTCCTGATCATCCCTAGAGGGCCAAACAGATCAAACCTGTCACATGGAAACCTGTCAGTTGCTTGAAGGCAGAAATCGTGACCATCCACTGGTCCTTCCTGCCTATGGGCAGATGTCCCAGGTTCCTTCCATCGTCCTCCTGGAATTTGGCTTTGTGTTTCTGTCCCCATATCAGTCGCCCTGCCTGGGTCATGCTTCAGGTCTTCTCTGACCTACAGAAGTTACTATTCAGAACCAGTCGGAATACTCTAGGAAGGTCTGAGCAGCTCAGGGCAGAGCAGGGCTGTCCAGACACTTTATTTCTCATAAGACCCGTGATGGTGTTTGCCGCTTTGATGATTGTTTTACCACATGATTGACACAGTGAACTCTCAGTCAGCAAAAAGTCCCTTGTATTTTTGTACCAATTGTTTTTTAATGCAGCCTTTGACTTCTGCTTTTGTGTTTCTTCATATTTACCCTTCTAAAACTTCATTTTGTTAGATTCTGGTCAAATGGGATCGGTGTCCTTATTTGAGTGATTTTTCAAGCAGCAGGAGGGTAACTGCCAAGAGGTCCTAATTCCTCCTCTGTGGGAAAAGGCTGTTTTGTAACTTCTCCATGTCTTCCTCCTCGGTGTCACCTTCTGTGTGTCAATTCTTTGGCCTCCTGTTTGCTTCTTCTCTGTCTTCTTAGTGAGAGGTGGAAAGTGGGGCAAAGAGTTGAGAATAAATTCACAGTGGAAGTGCCCCTGGAGTTGGGTGTTGACGGATGAATAAGAGCCTGCTGAATGGGGAAAGGAGGTTGGGAGTTCAGGGTCTGGAGAAAGGTAAGAGCCAGTGGGTAGAGTTTATGGTGATGGAGGTCGAAGGAAAAAACTCAGAACAGAGGCTGAAAAATGGCAGTGCACAACTGAGTTTGGCTCTGACGTATAATCTTCTTGGCCCTTACTATGTTAAGAAAGATTAAGTTGACATTTAAACATTTAAAGATTTCTCCCAAAATCACGATTTTGTGTTTCTCTTGCAAAATCAGAAGCTTTGACTATACCAGCCCCACATGGACTCACACGTGGCATCAGCTAGCGGTAGCTGAGTGGCTGCCAGCCCCGTCAGCCTAGGCACGCTGTCTCTGCCACTCCACTGACCCTGCTGGCGTATTTTACCTTACTTGGCTCCTTGATTTTGCCTCTCTGGCCCTTTGTGCATTTGAGTATTTGGCCTT
This sequence comes from Homo sapiens, assembly GCF_000001405.40. Classification (NCBI taxonomy): domain Eukaryota; kingdom Metazoa; phylum Chordata; class Mammalia; order Primates; family Hominidae; genus Homo; species Homo sapiens. The sequence continues at coordinate 9,099,859 of NC_000003.12, read as the reverse complement.
GTCTTTAAACATTACCTCACTGCGGTTCTTAAAATCTAGCATGCATCAGGATCACCTGGAGGCTTTATTAAATGCAGACTGCTGGGCCCCAGCCCCACAGTTTCCGATTCAGTAGGTTTAAGGTGGGGCCTGAGAACCTGCATTTCTAGCATATTCCCAGGTGATACTCATGCTTCTGGTCTGGGGACCATACATGGAGAATGACTCCTAGTCCAACCTCCTCATTTCACAGATGAGGAAACTGAGGCTCATGTTTGGCAAATGCAGAGTCTGGCTCCAAACTCAGGTTTTCACCTCCAGCTCCAGGACTAAAGCCACTATCCCATGTGCTGCACCAGGTGGGAGGGTCAGTCTGCATCCCACTTGCTCTCCTGCTCCCCGCTAACCGTTTCTGAAACTGGGTATTGAAGCCCATTCCATTTCCAGCCTCATTCTGTTTTCTTCAGCTTCCTTAACAATAGCCATCCATTATTCTATGCTCTGATGCCTGTGGAATTTAATTACTTGCCCCGGCCGTGATGTGAATTTGATGGTTGGAAGCTGTGGTGTTGGGAGGAAGCACTAATGAGGAAAGACTCTTTGCAGAGAAGCGAGGCCATGTGGGGGGCTTGTGTTTGAAAGCAGCCATTCACTGTGTGGCAACAAGGACTTGGTCTTGAGTGAGTTTTCTCGTTCCCGCCTCGAAGATGTCCATCGCATTTTATAAATAAATCAGGGCTTTTTGTGTTCAATAATTGCCTTGCTTTGTAACCGAGATCAAAAGCACCCACTGGCCTTGGATTCAAAGCCAAGTTTATTTTTTATTTTTTGGTTGCATGAGAGAGTGGAGTGAGTGTTTGCATGCTGGAGGGTCCAGCTATGAGGCCTGCATGGGGAAGGAGGAGGGAGAGAGCAGAGTGGGCACCCTGCCAAGGGATGAGGCGCCTTCAGCCAATCTCCACCGTCTCCCAGGGAGATGAAGTCGCGAACGGTCACTCTGCCAGTAGAGCCTGCTAAGCCGGTCATCATCAGGCACTCCCAACTCATTTAATAAACATATATTAGCACTAGCATGACAGTAGGTAAACAATAATTATAGATAACAAACAGTGAGCAAACGCCTGCAGTGTGCCAGGCTCTGGGCTAAGCATTCTATACACATTTAACTCTTCAAACCTAAGATGAAGATGCTGCCATTATCCCATTTTACAGATGAGGAAACTGATGCCAAGAAAGGTGAGGTTAGGGTTTGAATCCAGATGTGTCCAATCCCAGAGCCCATACTCAGTGGTAAAGGCAGGTGCCAAAGAAGATAGAGTCAGGTGCAGTGGCTCACACCTGTGATCCCAGCACTTTGGGAGGTTGAGGGGGAGGATCGCTTGAGCTCAGATGTTTGAGACCAGCCTGGAAAACAGGGACACCTTGTCTCTACAAAAGGTAAATTATCCAGGCGTGGTGGCATTTGCCTGTGGTCCCAGCTACTCGGGAGGTTGAGGCAGGAGGATCATTTGAGTCCAGGAAGTTGAAGCTGCTGTGAGCTGTGATCACTGCATTGCACTGGGTGACAGAGTGAGACCTTGTCTCAAAAAAATTAATTAAAACAAAGTGAAGTAGTTAGATAAACGACTCAGACACAATGTCCTCCTCTCCCTCAAGGAGCTTCCAGTGCAGTCTGAAAGCAGAGACAGGTGTGAAGCGGTAACTCATTCAGATACAGCAGAGAGGGATGGTTATCACCACAGAAGTTTGTTCAGAGGGAGAACTTCTAACCTGGGAGGGGGAGGTTTGGGTAAGGTTAGAGGTGGGGGAAGCAGCATTTGAAGCGAGCCTCAAATAATTAGGATCTATCACCAGGGTTCCCTGGGAAGCCAGCTCTGAGACTGTATTTCGGTGCAGGGGTGTATCAGGGAGGATACTTGGGATTCCCTCCTGCAGAAAAAAAGGGAGGAAAGTAGGAGTTAGCAAACCGAGAAGTCGGACTGTGGTGCAGTCTTAAGGATGCTGGGGAGCTGGGATGGCCCTTCAGAGTTGTCCTGAGCTACAGCGAGGAGGCTGAGCCTTTAAACCCTCCTGTTGGGTAGTCATTGGATGTGGGCTCCCTCTAAAAGAGGCTGTGGGCTTGAGCAGATGATGCCTGTGCAGCCAAGGCAGTTCCAAAGCAGCTGACATCTGAGGGAGTCCATTGGCAGCACTTTCCTGCAGCTGGGGGAATACGTTCCCCAGGCCCGAAGGGGATCTGAGTGGTGCGTCACAGCGTCCACAACAGATGTGCAGAGATTTGGGGAAGGTGGGAGACGGAATCCACACCAAAGCAGAGGCCAGTGGGAGGAAAGTCTGGGTCCTGGATCACGAAGAGGTGGGTAGTCTAGTGCAGTGGCCAAGGCTGGGGCCGGACTCTGATTTCATCTCTGTTTTGCCACTTTCCTGCTGTGTGAGCTCCACCTAATCCCTTAAACTCTCTCAGTTTTGTCATTTTCAAAGTGGAGCTAATAATAGCCTCCATCAAAAGGTTGTTGTAAGGACTAAAAAATGATATGAAATGTCTACCTGGTACACAATAAACAATCTATAAATAATATTATAGCGATTAGGCCAGGCATGGTGGCTCACATCTGTAACCCCAGAGCTTTGGGAGGCCAAGGTGGAAGGATTGCTTGAGGCCAGGAGCTTGAGACCAGCTTGGGCAGCATAGCAATACCGCATCTCTACAGAAAAATTAAAAATTAGCCAGGTGTGGTGGTTCATGCCTGTAGTCCAAGCTACTTGCAAGGCTGAGGCTGGAGGATTGCTTAAGCCTGGGATTTTGGGGCTGCAGTGCGCCAAGATTGTACCACTGTACTCCAGCCTGGACAATAGAGAGAGACCCTGTCTCTAATATATATATATGTGTGTGTATGTGTATATATATATATATATATATATATATATATATATATATATATACAAAATAATGTAAAAAATATATAATTAGCTATTATATATAATATATAATAATATATTATATATTAGCTATTATTAGGATGATTATTTGGACTTTGAGAAGAAATTTAATGAGAATGAGATTGGAGATGGGATGAAGGAAGAATTTTTTCAGGGCATACAGGTTAAACAAAGGATCAGAAATAAGAAAATATGCTCAGGAACCACTCACTGATTAGTTCTAAATGATGGTGGTCTTGTCTCTTCTTTTATAACCTCTAATTTCTTTTTCTTGCCTTATTGTCTTGGCTAGGACCTTCATCCAGTGCCGTGTGGAGGGAAGTGGCACCCTTGACTCTTAAAAGGCATGCTTCTGATTTTTCATCATTTAAGACAAAAACTCTTAGCAAATTAGGAATAAATAGGAACTCCGCCTGATAAAAGGTATTATCAAAGCCAAGAGCAAGTCACACTTGCTGCTGAAGAGAGTTCAGCAAGATGGCTGCTTAAAGATTAATATACAGAAGTTAATAATGCTTCTGTGTGCCAGCCACATCCAATTAGAAAATGTCATTGAAATGCATACATTAGAAAACGAGAATAATTGAAAATTGATGCCATTGAGGCTACAAATTAGCTGCATCCCAGAAGTTTTGATAAGTGATGCTGTCATTGTCATTCATATATAAATATTTCATAATTTTCATTATGATTTCTTTGACTACAAATTATTCAGAATTAGGTTTGGGTTTTTAAAAAAATAATTTCAAAGGTTTTTTTCTAAAGCCTTCTTATTTTTAGTTTCTGAATTTATTGGATCATAATAAGAAAATTAAGACAATAAAGATTTATTTTTGTTTTTTGTGTTTTGTTTTGTTTGTTTGTTTTTTTGAGATGGGTTTCACTCTGTTGCCCAGGCTGGAGTGCAGTGGTGTGATCATAGCTCACTGCAGCCTCGAACTCCTGGGCTCAAGAAATCCTCTTGCCTTAGCCTGCTGAGTAGCTGGGACTGCAGGAGTATGCCACCACACCCTGCAATTTTTTTTTTCCAGTTTTTGTACAGACAGGGTCTCACTTTGTTGCCCAGGCTGGTTTTGAACTCCTGGCCTCAAGCAATCCTCCCATCTCAGCCTCCCAAAGTGCTGGAATTATAGGCATGAGCCACTGTACCTCGCAAGGTTATACATTTTTTGGTATTTGTTGGAGGATTGGCCTTATCAGATATCAAGGCTTCCTCTGGAGTGATAGTCAGACATTACTAGAGCAGGGCTAGACAAACTGATCAATTGGACAGAAGAGAGCCCAGAAAGAGAGCCCTCCATAAATGGAAACTTGGTAAACGACAGTGGTGCATTACAGATCAAAGGGAAAAGGATGACTACTTAGTAAATGGGGCTGATTCAACTGATTGTCCTTTTCTTATTATTTGTAAGAGCTAATTTTATATATACATAAACATATACTTTCCTCATATGGAAAAATATAAGGCCTTTACCTTAGTTTACAGAAATTTATTCTGGAAAGCTTAAGGTGCTAAAGGTAAAAAGCAACACTTCAAGACTTTGGAAAGACAATGTAGATTACATTTAATATTTAAAACCTTGGTGTAGGAAAAGGCTGCTTAAAGAAAACATTAGAAAGCACAAACCATAAAAGAAAATATTGATTAATTTCATATATAAAAATAAAAAATCTTCCATACAACAATAAATAAATAGAAAATATGGCCAAGACAAGGAGAAGATATTTGGCATACACAGAATCAATAAAAGGTTAACACCCAGAATATAAAATCAGCTCTTACAAATTAATAAGAAAAGGAAAAACAACCCAGTAGAAACAGGTAAGTGATAAAAATTGATAAGCCACAGAAAGTGAAATTTAGGCCGGATATGGTCTGGGATTACAGGTGCGGCTCACACCTGTAATCTCAGCACTTCGGGAGGCTGAGGTGGGAGGATTGCTTGAGGCCAGGAGTTGAAGACAAGCCTGGGCAATATAGGGAGACCCCAACTCTACAGATAATAATGTTAAAAAAATTAGCCAGGTGTGGTGGTGTGTGCTTGTGGTCTCAGCTACTCAGGAGGCTGAGGTGGGAGGATCTCCTGAGCCCAGGAGGTTGAGGCTGCAGTGAGCTATGATTACACTACTGCACTCCAGCCTGGGCAACCGAGCAAGACCCTGCCTAAGAAAAAAAATTAAAAAGTGAAACTTCAATGGTCAGTGATATAAGAAAAGATGCTCACAATTACTGGTAATCAGGAAAAGGTAAAATAAAACAAAATGAGATACAATCTGACTCCCAGTTGGTAGGTAAAACAATCCTAAGTGCTGGCAAGAATGTGGAGCCTCAGGACCCTCATGCGTTCCCAGGAAACATGTAAATAAGTCCAGCTCCTTGAGAGAACAATCAGGCAGTATCTAGTAACAGTGCTGGAAGGGGTATGGACCTTTTGACCCAACAATTTTACTTCTAAATATAACCCAAAGATATTCTAGCGTATCTGCTCACACACAAAACTGTATGAGAATGTTTGCTGCAGTGGTGTTTCTAATAGAGAAACAGAGAAATAACCTAAATGTCCATCGCTAGGGAAATGGTTAAATAGGTTGTGGGTAGTTGCACCATGGAATCTTATACAATAGTGAAGAGGAGCTAGATCTACAAGTATCAATGTGAATAAAGCTTGAAAACTTAATGTTGGGTGAAAAAAGTAAGGTACAGTATGATATTTTTATAAAACTTGGAACACAGATGAATAGTTTATATGGTTCATATGGTTAGACACCTGGCTGAAATAAAGCTATGCAAATGTAGAATGTGTAAGAATACACAGCAGTGTCAGAATTATAATTGAGGAAAGAGGGAGGAAGGAAGGAGACCAAGAACATTTCTAGTGTATCTATAACATTTTGCTTCCTAAAAATAATTTTGAAGCAAAAATAACAAAATTTTGTTATCTAATTTGAGTGATGTGTTCCTGGGTGTTTGTTATTGTTCGCTCTCCTTTTCTGCATGTTTTAGATGTTGGAAAATGGAAATTAAAGGTAAAAATAAGGAAAGTCAGGTTGGAGACAGGTCAAGGAAGCCTTTGGGTGTCAGAGTGAGAAGCTGGGATTTATTTTCTAGACATTAGAGATCCATTGAAGGTTCTTGAATGGGGAGTGAAATGAGCAGAGACAAGTTGAAGGATGATTAATTTGATATGGTATGTTTAATGGCTTTGAAAAGAGATTTTGGATGGACGGTGCATGTTATTATACATATACACTTGTATACATATTAGTGGTGAAAGATAATGGGGACTGGATCAGGGAGATTGATAAAGGAATGGGAAGGAAGGAAAGGAAAGATGGATGAATGGATGAGTGGGTTGATGGATGGATGGATGGATGAATGGATGGATGAGTGGATGAGTGGGTTGATGGGTATATGGATGGATGAATGAACGGATGGATGAGTGGATGAGTGGGTTGATGGGTAGATGGATGGATGAAAGAAAGGATGGATGAATGCATGGGTAGGTTGATGGATAGATGGGTGGATGGATAAATGGATGGGTGGGTGAGTATATGAGTGGATGGGCAAATGGGTGGAGAGGTGGATAGATGGGTGAATACATAGGTAGAGACATTTTTGAAATGCCAATGCAAACCTCATTTACATCCTGTCCACAAATAATTCAAGTGAAACAGAAGATCAGGTTATAAAATGACAAAGAGGTTAAAGTGATGTCTCAAGTCAGTGATTCAGCAGTAATAAGTGATCAATAATGTTTTGAAACCAACAAATAAGCCTAACAACATCCATAGTCATCCTGAAGATAATGTAGAGAGGGAGAAAGCCTCTCAAAACTGAGCAGCTTCAGGTTTTCATAGATACTGGCTTTTCAGGAAGACAGCCCTGTCACTTCCCATGACATGCATGCAGGCTCTCATCTTACCCTCAACCATAGTTCCTGATCTGTGAGTGACTCTTAGAGAGAGAGAGAGAGAGAGAATATGTATATAAAACATCGACATCAGGGACACAATCAAGAAAGATTACTCCTGAGTATGTGAATATGTTCTGGGCCCACAGAGATTCAGCCCAACTTTCCACACCATCCCCAGCTACCTCGACTTGGAAGCCAGGGTGGGACAGGATTGAGTAACAGATGACAGGAGATTCTGCAAAATGGCACGGGGCACTGTATGTTATCTGACATTTATGATGATCTAAAGCAGAGCCTTGTAAATATCAATATGCTTTCTATACTAAGGCAGAAGAGTTTTCATGTTTTAGAATTATTTTTAGATGTTTAGGGAAAGAAGACCTTAAAGGTGCTTAGAGAGCTAACTTTCCCAGTGGAGGCAGCTTGGTTGAGAATATCACATTCACTAGCTCTATGGCCTTGGGCAAATTACTCACCCTTCCTGAGCCTCTGTGTTCTAATCTTCAAAATAGGTTCAACAATAGTGCCTCGAATAAAGGGCTGATCTTAGGCTTACATGAGGTATTGTCTCATAAAGCAGTTAGCATTGTGCTTGGCACGTGCTAAGACATCAAGAAACAATAACTATTATTGTTATTATCCACAATGGTATGTATTATAAGCACATAGTATTAGTAGTAATTGTACTAAGACTTATTATTAATAAGTATTACCATTATTAATAATATTTAGTATTATCCGTAGAGATCCAGAAACTCCTAGCCTGACCATGTCAGGTCACTTTTCATAACCATTCCGAGGTATCCTTGGACTTCCTCAGGCCTGTTACGTAAAGCAGTTCTGAAAGTGAAGCTTTCAGCATAAACAGGGTCCCAAAGTAAGCCTGGGAGTAATTGCAGGGAAAGGAAATGCTGGCCACGGTGCTAGACTCACTGCCTCCGTGCATGCCTGGGCTCCCGGGTGTGCATGAGTGAGGCTCACCACTGCCAAGAACGTCCAGGTGGTTCCAAGGCCTTCCTGCTTCTTTGCAGTCCAATATACCAGCCCTGGCAACAGTAGGAAGACCTAAGGACTCGAATCTGCATTCTTGAAAAATGAGTAGATGACAACATTTGGAGTTCAGCAACAGGAGGCATAAATTAGTGTGGGAAGGGAAAGAGAACAGGGATGAGTTCAGGAGCAGGGAAAGGAAGAAAATGGGAGGCAGAGGGGAAGAATAACAAGGATCAGGATAGAGGGTGGGCAGGAACCCGGCTAAGGAGGATGTTTGAAAGCAGAGGTTGGCGCCGGGATGGAGAGCCGATAGCCCGGTTATTGGCAACCAAAGTCCTGGCTAGGAATGGGAGTGAGCCGTTAACTGTTGGAGCTGCTGTGTTCAGGGGTACGTGGACCTTCCAGCACAGGCTGGAGAAGCCTGATCCTCTGAGACATGCCTTTTAAGCCTTTGTTTTGGAAATAAAAACACAATCACTTTGGGAGATGGCCCGTGCTTACATACATCATGTATTTAAATAGGGAACATCTGTGGGTCTCAAGTTTTGTGATTTGATGAGAAAACAAGCCAGAGTGTGGAGAAGAAGTGGGTAGGATCTGTCGGCATTTAGGACTGAAAGAGACAAAGGATTTTGTTGTTGTTGTTGTTGTTGTTGAGTTGTATTTGTTTCCTGTTGTTGTTTTTGAATCCCAGAATTAGGAAAATCATGAAATGTCCCTAAGAGTAACCCAACATGAGAACATCTACTCAAGCAAAGAGTGAGAAAAGAGAGACAGGGGGCTGGCTGACGCAGGGTTTGATGAGACAGGAGAAGAGAGGCCCAGCACGGATAACTGAGAGTTAACAAAGGCCACCTGTCTTACTCCTGCATTACAATTTTCTAAAAGATTGTTTAGGATGGTGTCATTGGGAGAAATGAAAGGGCGTATGTGTGTGTGTATGTGTGTGTGTGTGAGAGGTCTTGTTCTTAAAACTCAACATTTTAAGATGGTATTTTTTTTTTAGACATAGAGAATGACATTAGCTCTGGAAATGACCCGTCTTTGAGTTATTTTGAGGGAGATAGACACACGCCCTTTAAAAACAGAGCTTTTCAGGCTGGGCATGGTGGCTCATGCCTGTAATCCCAGCTCTTTGGGAGGTTGAGGCGGGTGGATCACCTGAGGTCAGGAGTTCAAGACCAGCCTGGCCAACATGGTGAAAACCTGTCTCTACTAAAAATACAAAAATTAGCTAGGTGTGGTGGTGCATGCCAGTAATCCCAGCTACTTGGGAGGCTGAGGCAGGAGAATCCCTTGAACCCAAGAGATGGAGGTTGCAGTGAGCTGAGATTGCACCACTGCACTCCAGCCTGGGTGACAAAGCAAGACACCATCTCACAAAAACAACAACAAAAGAAATAGAGCTTTTCAAATGTAACTCATAAAGTCTTAGGACCTACTGTGAGGTTTTTGAGAGTTTTCCCTAAAAAGCATGATGATCCCTGCATTGAAAACAAAATCAAATCATACAGAGCAAGATTTTCATGGCAAAGGAAATGATTTAATTCAGAGCTGTGTATGTCAAGAACTTCATCAGCTGATTTCATCTTGACATGAATTAATGTTCACTTGATTTTTTTTTTTTGTGCAAAGAAATAAGGGTTATGGGTGACCATCCTTTACTCCTCTCTAGTTTCCTACTGCTCTGCACAATGCTGAGCTCATCCACAGGCATTTACAGAGCTCCTTTTGTATGCAGGTCTTCGTAATCGGCATTGTGGGAAACTCTTTAAAGCCAGGGATCTGGTCTTTAGGGTGCGTGTGCTCTAATTGTTGGGAAATTAGTCCTTTTGCAGGAACTCTTTGAAAGCTGATGCTTGGTGGAGCGTTTTCAGAAGGCCGTCTCATTCAGTGGTCATTTCGGTATCTACAGACTGACATAAGCATGGATTACGTTAGTATTTTTTCAAATAAGCAAAAATGAAAATGTATGGGATCCTGTAAACTGATGAAGTCCAGAGGTGAATCTTGTTTAGGCACCACTAGATCTAGGGACGGAAAGGCTCTGGCTGTCTGCCGTAGTGGGCCTGGTACTGCAGGCAGTGCAAGACTCCTGAAGACCCTTTTAGCAACCCCCGGGGAGAAATGATCTGAGAGTGTGGTTATGAGAAACGTCCCAAAGAAGATTCTTCATTGGCTTAGCCTGGAACACGTGTTTGTCTCTGATCTGATCACTGAAGGCAAGGAGCTGGAGCCTGGTCAGACCCTGCCCCTGCCTGATGATCTTGTGTGGCCAGGCAAACAGGAGCCTGTTCCACCAACATCTCATCTTCTGTTAGTAGAAGGAGGAAGGGAGAAGCAAGACATGACCATGTCTGGTTTATTCCTAGCAGAGCAGGTGTAGCTAAAGAGGATGAGATCTGCTTGTAAGTTGGGGCAAGGCCCAGAGATGCAGATTTCTGCACAGGTGATAAGAAAGTGCATTGGACAGGTAGGTGGTGTCTGGAGGGCAGGGCCTCCTTTGTACTTTCCTTGTGGTCTGGACTCATCTCCATTACAGCATTGTGATGACTTTTTTTCACTGTGTGTCTGCATCTTGAACTAGGTCCTAAGGAAGCAGATTATAGTAAGTTGCTATGAGTGCCAACTTTGGAGTCAGACCAATCAAAAAGATGAATCTTGGCTCTGCCACTTTCTAGCTGTGCAACCTTGGGGAAGTTGCTCAGCCATTCTGAGCCTCCAGCCCCCCCCCCCCCCCCGCCCACCCCACTTATCTGTCAAGTGGGAATACTTATAGCAGTTCCTGTAAATATTTAAATTAGATAACACATGGGAGTGACTTTGGATAGTATTCAACAAATGGGGCCAGGCACCGTGACTCATACCTGTAATCCCAGCACTTTGGGAGGCTTGAGAGCAGGGACCGTGTCTCATTCAGCTTTGTGTCGTTAGTGCCTAGTTTAGGCTGGTATATACTGGGTAGTCAATAAACACCCGTGTAAATGGAATCAAAGCTAGTGAAACATGGACCACAGAGGGATAAGAGGCCACCCCTTTCCTGAGAGACCTCACCAGTGTCTGGTCATAAACTAAAATACATCTGTGGGCTGTACGGAGGACATGGCTGGGTGGAGGGAGAAGCTGGGCACTGTGGTCACCTGGACCAGCAGTAGCACAAGCCCGTACCGAAGGGGCCACCGTACTTGAAACAGGGGCTCGGCATTGCTGGATCTTCTAGAATTACCAGAGACGCTGAAAATCAGGACTTGTGCAGGAAATTTCCTGAGTTTTCAACACTGGGAAAGCATCCAGATGCTCTGAAAGCACTGAATGGCCAAACAAAACATGTCTGCAGGCCAGAGAAGCTGCCACTTGGAAGCCTTGTTCCAAGGTACTATTTCTCAATTGGGCAGGAGAGGGGGAGTTTTATCCCCCAGGGAACACCTGGCAATGTCTGGAGGTAATTTTGGTTGTCACACTGGGGGTTGGGGGTAGGGAATGCTACTGGCCTCTCACGGGTGGAGGCCAGTGATGCTCCTAAACATCCTATACACAGGACAGAGAATGCCTGGCCCTAAGGGAGCTGAACTGGCTTTAGCTACAGGCAAAGAGGCAAAGGAACCAGGCAGGGCTGGGGTTCCCTGCATTCATGATGGCTGGCTCTTGAGATTGGTCAGCCTCATTTTACTGGCTTATTTGAGCGTGAAAGACAGGGCTGTGCTCCGTCAATCTGGAGGAGCCATAGCTGCCATGGCTGAGCCCTCCTTGGCCCCATGTCACCGTTTTCCACTGTCCACACACTCCCTGTGCATGAAGGAAGCAGCCTGCCACCCTGACCCCTGCAGGCATGAAAGTAGTGTGGAAAATGTGGGCAGTGAGAGCGAATACATTATCACTTAGGTTCCTAAGGGCTGGGTATGGTGTCGCTGGAGATCACAGGGTTTGGGTTTCCTGTTCCTGGTGAAAAGTTTGGTTTGAGTTCCTCATTCAGTAGTTTCTGGAACCATAGTTGAGAATATTTCCCTTCCCAATCAACCCCAGCCAAAAATAGAAAGAACGCCTTTGAGTCTTGTGCAATTGAGTATTTGCTGAGCATTTACTCTGTGGCCAGTCCAGGGCTTGATACTGGGGAGTTGGTGAGCAGAGAGGCCTGGGCTGGTTCCCTCTGGCGGCTTACAGTCCTGGGGAAGAGATACAAGAACCCGATCTCCAGCTCCTCCCATTCATCCCACCCTCCATTCACTGGTGTCTTCACCTTCCTGAAGCGTAGCCCTGGTCATCTTAAACTTCTGCTCAACAACCCTCAGTAGTTCCCAGTCCTGCTCTGAAGGAAGCCTGTACTCTATCCGCCTCTGTGATCTGACCCAACCTCTGTCTCAGGCTTATCTCCTGCTCACCTGTGGCCGAGCTTCTCTCTTCATGAACCAGTCTTTTCACCATCCCCAGTCTCCGTGCCTCCTGCCTAGAAGGCTGTCTCCAGCCATTCATGCAAGCTAAGAAGGCCTTGGAAGTATCCCCTTAATCCTCTTCATCACTTCATCTCACATCACACCATCCTTTACTCTTGTATGGCCCTTTCCGCCTCCTGCCTTAGAATTGTGTTCTTGACTCTACCCCAGCAAACTGGGAGATTCTTAAGGGAAAAGTTACTAAAAAATTTGATTTTATATTCCCTTCTCTGGGCAACTTCCTAGCCTTGTCCTTGGCATCTCGTGGGTGTTGATTCAGCCTGTACTGCTATTTCCCCGGGACTTCATCTGTGCCTCATATGGTGCTAGGTGCTGCCATGTGTGTTATCTCTTTTCATGCTCACAGGGACTCCATGAGACCCATGACATCATCTCACTTTTACAGATAAGGAAACTAAGTCTTAGAGGAACTGTCACTTCATTCGTTCATAGATTCATTCAGCAAACACATATATATACACACACACATATAAATATATATACACACATATATACACATATACATATAATGTGTATTTTATATGTATATGTATGTTACATATGCATACATAATATACGTATATGTATATTTACTCTTGTATGGCCCTTTCCGCCTCCTGCCTTAGAATTGTGTTCTTGACTCTACCCCAGCAAACTGGGAGATTCTTAAGGGAAGAGTTACTAAAAAATTCAATTTTATATTCCCTTCTCTGGGCAACTTCCTAGCCTTGTCCATAATATACATATGTGTATAGTATGTATACATATGTACTATACCTATATGTATATGTATATTATATGTATATGTAATACATATATACATATAAAATACATATTATATGTATATGTAATACATATATACATATAAAATACATATTATATGTATATGTGTAGATGTGTGTGTATATATGTATACATATATAATATACAGATACATATAATATGTATTTCATATATGTATATGTGGGTGTATATATGTGTATATTTATGTAGATATGTGTGTACCTATATATATACACACACACATATACACACCCACATATATACACACATACGTATATATGGTTTTTTTTTTTTTTTTTTTTTGAAACAGTCTCATTCTGTCACCCAGGCTGGAATGCAGTGGCACAATCTCAGCTCCCTGCAACCCCTACCTACCAGGCTTAAATGATCTTCCCAACTCAGCCTCCCTTGGGACTACAGGTGTGTGCCACCACACTTGGCTAATTTTTTGTATGTTTGATAGAGACAGGGTTTCACCATGTTGCCCAGGCTGGTCTCGAATCCTGGGCTCAGGTCATCTGCCTGCCTCAGTCTCTCAAAGTGCTGGGATTACAGGTGCGAGCCACCATGCCTGGCCAAGCAAACATATTTAATGAGCACGTACTCTGTGGCAGACTCTGTTGCATTGCAGAAATGCAGGAATAGGGAAATAAGATATTGCAGATTGGGTCCCCCAGGAAGCAGACCCTGGGACATCTGAATTTAGCTTCTAGGGGAACGATGAAGGAGTGTTCTCTGGATCAGCCACTTGGGAAGGCAGGTGAGGCAGCAGGGTAAGGTCGAGCTGTGATGCAGGCTGCCTTACTAGAAGTCCTAGCCAGCCTGGTGGGGAGCTTTTTTAAAATTTTTATTTTCAGTTCAGAGGTACATGTACAGGATGTACAGGTTTGTTACATAGGTAAACGTGTGTCATGGGAGTTTGTTATACCAATTATTTTATCATCTAGGTTTTTAGCCTTGTATCCATTAGTTATATTTCCTGATCCTCTCCCTCCTCCCACCATCCATCCTCCGATAGGCCCCAGTGTGTGTTTTTCCCTGTATGTATCAATGTGTTTTCATTATTTAGCTCCCACTTATAAGTAAGAATATGTGGTATTTGGTTTTCTGTTACTGTGTTAGTTTGCTAAGTATAATGGCTTCCAGCTTCATTCATATCTGTAAAGGACATGATTTCATTCTTTTTTATGGCTGCATAGTATTCCATGGTATATATGTACCATATTTTCTTTTTCTAATCTATCATTGATCGGTATTTGGGTTGATTCCAAGTCTTTGCTATTGTGAATAGTGATGCAATGAACATACACATGCATGTGTCTTTATAGTAGAACAATTTATATTTCCTTTGGGTATATACCCAGTAATGGGATTGCTGGGTCAAATGGTATTTTTCACTTTAGATCTTTGAGGAATTGCCACACTGTCTTCCACAATGGTTGAACTAATTTACACTCCCACCAACAGTGTAGAAGCAGGGAGTTCTGAAGATGGAATGACTCCTCAGAGCTGTCTGAGTTGAGACAGGAAGAGGCTGACCTCTCTGCCCCACAATGATCAGTCTTTGGGCAAGGACTACACTGAGAAGGAGGTGTATACTTGGTGTCATTGTGTCCTCTGAGGCCATCCCTGTAGGGTGCTCTCAGCTGAGGGCTGTCTGCCTGAGCATTCATTGCCAGAGAGAAAGTCTCTTTGCCCTCATGGGGCTGACATTGAAGCAAGGGAAGCAAATGATAAATGAATGAACAAATAAACAAACAAGATCATTTACAAGTGCAGAGAAGACATAACAAGGTGCTCATTTTACAGTCAGGAAAGCTAAGATGCCAATAGGTTGAATGACTGAAAGCCCTGCCTCCAAACCAGGTCTCTGTGGCCCCCAAAGTCATCCCCTCTGCTGCCCAACAGGCCTGTGCTAGTCGTGTAGAGTTAGCTTGACTCAAAATTCAAGCTAAGGAACTGGGGCTTGATTCTGTAGACAATGAGGAGGCTTTGGAGGAATAGGATAAGTCCATTTCCAGGAAATTTCACTGGCACAGGCCTGCAGAATGGACTGTAAACTCAAAGACACAAGAGCTAAGGATTTTGGTAAGAGGTGCCTCTTAACAAAGTGAATCTGGGTCTGTGGTGATGATATGCTTGCTACGGGAACTGGTAGTGGAAAATAGGACTGAATCCCTTAGGATGCTTTTGGCTGCAAGTAACAGAAAACCCCAGCTGAAAGTGACTTGATCAATAAAGCTACAGAAGTGGAAGTTCACTGGGAGGCAGGCTGTGGGTCTTCAGTCCAATCAATTGTCCAGAAGGTCATTAATCCTAAGTCTGCTTCCTCTTTTGGTTCTAAGATGCCTGCTGGTAGCAACTGGGCTACATGCATTTCTTTCTTTTTTCTTTTTTTGCCAGCACTCAGTAGAAAAGCTAAAACTTTCCATTTGACCACAGAAGTCTTTCTCTTCCATCCAGTTAAGTCACATACTCACCTCTGGACTAATAACACACACCAGAATCCACCGTCTTGAGTTGGGATGGCCTCCAGCTTCCCTTGAAGAACTCTCCTGGAGGAATGAATTCCTGGGCAAATTCATGGCTCTCTTAGGAAATAGGAAGGGCAAGAATGGATATTGGGAGGTGGGGGAGGCCAGCTTGCCTGCTACTCACAACAAATAATTGGAAAGTTTGCAGGCAGGACCCAGTAACAGATTGGATTGAGAAAGACAGATTAAACAAAGTATCAAATAGAACTCCTAGGTATCCAGTTGACAAGCCCAGGAAGATACTATCGCATTGACCAAAATTGAAGGGATGGGGGAACAGTTCACCTTTGGATAATTTGAGTTTGCGGGGATGAGGGGACATCTAGACCATACTGTTTTGCAGCAGCTAAGGATACAGGTCTTTGAGCTTGGGCTGAAGGTCTCCTGGGCAGGACAGAACCCAGGAGAGAGGCCTGGGAGATGATGACATGGCTTCTGGTCACCAAGAAGTGGGAACTGGAGTCAGGAGCGTGTGAGGGAGCCAGCTGCAGCAGGGACCAAGAAGGGAAGGCTGGAGGGAATTCTGAAGACAGGACTCTTCCCAGCAGAACTGCCTCTAGGATGGGGTCCCTGCCCATATGCACAGTGACAGCACACAAGGATGTTCACAGCATCAATGTTTGAGATAATAAGATGCTGGAGGCAATGTAAATATCCATCCCTAAGGAGCTGGCTAAATTAATTATGATGCCTCTGGTATATGGAATCCCAAGCAGCTGTGCAAAAAAGGGGATATAAAAGTTACATGATGGAAAAATTTCTCAGAGATATCGTTAAGTGAAAAGATGCAAAGGTGTGTATGATATGCTCCCATTTGTGTTAAGAGAGAACATATGATATGCAAATATATGTTTGTTTATTCATAGATTATTTCTGGAAAGTATCAGAAGAAATTTTTTGTAGCAGTTGCCTCTGGACAAGGAGGAGCCTTGGGAGACTTATTCTTTCCATTTTACCTGCTGGCTGTTAGAATTTCTTTAACCATGTGCCTTTATTACCTATGTAAAAAGATCATAAAAATAAACACATAAGAAATAGGGTCTTGGGTGTCAAAGGTGTTGGGGAGTTTGAGGACCAAGAGGAGGCCACTGGAGAGTGTCAGAGAATCTGGAGTCAGCAGTGATGGGGAAACATCAGGGGGAGGGGCCACAGGGGAAACTGAGGCACTGATTGTTCACTTGAGAGAGTCATGGAGAATAGGAAATGGGGATAGCTAATTGGGTTCATAGAGCACCAGTACAGAAATCACAGGACACTGTTGAAGGTCCCCAGTGAGCTCTGCACAGAAGGTTCTCCACACCCTCTCGAAGCTGGAGGGAGGTGTAAATAGGTCTCTGGAATTGCCTCCGAGGTTTCTGCTGTCTGTTAAGGGGTCTGGCACAAGCAGAGACCACCTTCAGAGGGGTGATTCTTGGCAAGCCAGGCCCGGAAGCTGAGAGAAAGGGCTGTGGGGGGTGAGGAGAAGGAGCCTGAGAAGGCATCATTCTGATATTAAGCCTTCATGAGCTACCACTGGATTCAGAGGCTTCTCACCTCTGCAAGGGTGAGAGGAAGGCTGTTCTTTGCCCATTAGCAGCTGGTCCAGCTATGAGGCTGAAGGAACTGGGAGGAAGAGCAGGAGGCTGCAGCTGCTCAGGGAGCCAAGATCACGGCTCCCATTTTCGATACAGAAACTCAACACGATGGTCTTGGCAAACAGGGAGAATGTCTTGGTCCTTTTAGGTGTCTATAACAAAATACCGTAGACTGGGTGACTTATAAACAACAGAAATGTATTTCTCACAGTTCTAGAGGCTGGGAAGTCTAAGAGCAAGACACTGACAGATTTGATGTCTGGTGAGAGCTTGCTTCCTGGTTCATAGAGGGCAATCTCTTGCTGTGTCTTCACATGGTGGAAGGGGCAAGGTAGCTGTCTTGGGTCTCTTTAAGGGCATTGTATTAGTCTGTTCTTACATTGCTGTAAAGGAATACCTGAGGCCGGGTAATTTGTAAAGAAAAGAGGTTTAATTGGCTCACAGTTCTGCAGGCTGTACAGGAAGCATAGCACAGGCATCTGCTCCTGGTGAGATCTCAGGAAGCTTCCAATCATGGTAGAAGGTGAGGGTGGAGCAGGCATTTCACAAGGCAGGAGTGGGAGCAACAGAGAGAGAGTGAGAGGCGCAGGTGCCACACACTTCAGAATACACCAAGGGGATGTCACTGAGCCGTTCACCCCCATGATGCAAACATCTCCTGCCAGGCTCTGCCTCCAATGCTGAGAATTACATTTCAGCATGAGATTTGGCAGGAACAGAGGTTCAAACCATATCAGGCACTAATCCCATTCCTGAGGGCTCCACCCTTATGACCTAATCACCTCCCAAAGACGTCACCTCCTAATACCATCACATTGGGGGTTAGGATTTCAAAATAGGAATTTTGAGGGAGACACAAACATTCAGATTATAGCAGAGAATATTTACCAAAATCATAATCACAATCATAAATAAAATAACAAAGAATTCTAGACTCTTCAAGCTGCATGGAACCTAGAGATAATTTTCTCATTGTTTTCTGAATTGTGTCCTTAAATATCATGAAAGCCACTTCATGGAAATAGGACTGTGGTCAATGAAACTACAGACTATACCTCCTTCTTAGAAAGTCTCCATGCAAGGAAGGACATGAAAGGCACTGAGAAGTCCTGCATTAAGAAAACTTGTCTACCTTTGTTCAATTAGCTTTTTCTCAAATGCATGTAGTCTTAGAAGCCCCTGCTCCCCCTTTTTAGCATAGCATCTAGCAGTGATCTTCAGACCATGCTTTGGAAAGTATTGTTTTAGTTTAAGCTTTTTATTTGATAGGTGAGGTAGCTGAGGCTCAAAGGGGGAAGTGATTCTCCAAGGCCACACAGCCAACAGTGGAAATGAGAAGCTAGATCTTTTGCCTTGTGCCCCAGAGGCCTTTCTGCCAACCTGTACTTCTCCTGTTCCTCATTGGAAGAGACATCTTGAGAGTGTGGACTTGCGACTGTGTCAGGATCTAGGCAATGGTAAGATGAGATTAGGCAGACCAGGGGACCAGCACTGGGGAGGGCTGAGCTGAAATTTGGAGTCAAACTAAGGTTAGGGCATCTGTTGTAACCAGTCCTTGAAAGCTAGGAAGGCGATGTCCAAGTGGGTGCCAGCTGCTGATTCTCAGTCAAGGAAGACAAGCCTTCAGGAAACATCTTCTGGAGCAGTGGTCCCCAACCTTTTTTGCACCAGGGACCAGTTTTGTGGAAGACAATTTTTCCATGGACCAGGGTGGGGCGATGGTTTCGGGATGATTGAAGCACATTATATTTATTGTGTATTTCATTTCTGTATTATTGCATTGTAATATATAATGAAATAATTATGCAACTCACTGTAATGTAGAATCAGTTTGAGCCCTGAGCCCTGAGCTTGTTTTCCTGCAACTACATGGTTTCATCTGGGGGTGATGGGAGACAGTGACAGATCATCCTGCATTAGATTTTCATAAGGAGCGTGCAACCTAGATCCCCCACATGCGCAGTTCACACCAGGGTTCGAGGACGTATGAGAATCTAATGCCACCACTGATCTGACAGGAGCTCAGATGGTAATGCCCGCTCACCCACCGCTCACCTCCTGCTGTGTGGCCTGGTTCTTAGTGGGCCATGGACTGATCTGTGGCCTGGAGGCTGGGGACTCATATTCTGGAGGACCTGAGATTTTTCCTGGAGGACTTGAGAATTATCATTTACTCTCAAGAGGAATTGGGATGCCAAATCATTGTTTCTCAAAGTGTGTTCTATGGAACCCCACTCTGTAGCCATTCATGAGGATTGTGCAAGGAGCTCAGACCCTGGTCATACCAGCTTAGTACACGTAGAATTAAAGAAAAATTCTGTGGGGCTTCCCCACATCTTTAATATGCTACTGTCACTGTGAGTCACTGTGGTAGGGAAATGATGTGTAGGGTTCTCCAACTCATATGATCAGGGAATCCCATCTGCAAGGAACCTCTCTCTGTGGGTTTGTTTCATGGACATAGTTGAGGAATTTATGTTGTTGTAGATCAATGAAATTTATGCTGATTTCTGTACCCCTTCTGACCCCACCCGAAACATTCCTGACCTTTCGCTTTTGAAAAGAGATTGGTAAATGTAGCCAGCAAACTTCTCCCCCGCTGACATTTGTTCTTCCACATTCCAGAGCAAGGAGATTGGCCTGCAGATGCACGAGGAGCTCCTGAAGGTGACCAATGAGCTCTACACAGTAAGTTCTGCCCAGGCTCACTGCTGTTTTGGGATTGGGTCTCTGTCTTCATCACCAGAGCTGGAGGGAAGCAAAACAGAGGTCTGGAATGACCCCAGGCCTTTTTTGCTGCGTTTTATGCTGAGTGACAGTGGGTCATCGTGTCAGGATGTAATGACTCACAGCCCCAGCTTCTGATTCTGTACATCTGGGGCAGGGCCTGGGCTTGTCTAGTTTGTCAAAATTCACGAGAGATTCAAACGACCTGCCGCTGTGGGGCGTGTTACCTGCAAGAACAGAGGGCACAAAGTCAAGGCCGGGGGAGTGTGAGTGTGAAGGCTCCTGAAGGCAGGGATGTGAGTTTTGGAGTGAGGCAGCACAGGCTCCAGCAGAGGCCCCTCCTTACCAACTGTAGGACCATAGGCAGGTGGGCAGTTTGTCTGGGTCTCAGTCTGTGCATCTGCAAAATGGAGCACGGTTCCGAGGATCACGGGAGGTCATGGGGTGAGCCTGCATTGCCATCTCCAAGGCATAGTTTCATAACATCACAGTGTGGTCCACGGCTGACTTTGTTACCTGCTTGGAGTCAACATCTAACTGTGCTTGAGATGAGTTTTAGAATCCAAGAAGGTGAGCAAATGGGGACACAAACACATGAGGTGATGATGCAGGAACTTTCAGACTGTGCTTTGAGGAGCCTACGGCTTCCTCAAGAGGAATGTGGGGACCCCATGGAGAGATATGGGGAGTGGGGTGGGTAGACCCAGCAGGTAGAGCTCCAGGCCCCTCAATCCTACCCAATCAGAACAGAGAAGAATGGTTATGTTTTAAATAGATAGGTGCCCTATATAGCATTTCATGAAAAGTGTGTTTGTTTGTGTGTTGGGGAGAATCTGCTGGTAAAATTGTATTTGAAAATCCCTGGTATGAGGGGAAAGAACAGCAGTCTGTGAGAAGCCCCTTCTGTTTGGTTTTATTATCTTTCTGTGTTTATATCCTGTGTGGCCAGCAGGTGGTAAATTCCTCAGAGGCACTGAGAGCCTTTGCGGGAGGGCCTGGACCTCAGGTCAGAAAGCCTGCCTCAGATCCCAACAAGCTACGGAACTCTAGGCAAGGCATTTTTTTTCCTGGGCCTCAGTCTCCCAATCAGTAAAACGGGGCTGAGAGTTCTTAGATAAAAGTTGAAACTTTTAATTCTGTGATTCCAAATTAAGAAGCAAAACTTGAGTTGTGGGTAGTTTTTAGTTGAGTCATTCTTAGGGTAAAGGAAGAATTGCTGCTTGAGAATGCATATTGCTTTGCATCAGCTGGTCACTGGGGGGCAGAACAGCCTGCTGGGTTAAGGCACAGATTTTGAAGCCAGAGATCTGGGTTCAAATCCAGGTGTTAAGTAGAAATACTAGTACCTGCTTAGTGCACGTCCCTGTGAGAATTCGAGGAGATCCTGTATGCAATGGATGCTTAGAACATAGAGAAAAAAAGAGCATTCTGTACCAGAAGTTCTGAGTGTCACTATCATCATCATCACTATCATTGGCTCCTCCTTGATGGGTGTGAGGTAGGCTGTTGTACATACTCACGGTGGGGGGAAGGGTGGTGATAAATAATGCAAGCCTGGTAAACCGAATGGGATTGTCGTGCTCAGAATTCTGCAGCGAGTTTGGCTAGACCAGGTGCTCCCCAGTCTAGGTCCTTTTTATGTTCCTCAGGCTCCACTTTGAATGGATCACTTTCCTCCACAGTGTCAAAACAACTTAGCCCCAATGTCCTGGGACCCCCCCATTCATTCCCACCTAGGTCTCTTACTTTTGCTGTGACCTCCAGCGGGGCTCCTCTTCTTGGTGCCCTCTATTTACACCAAATACCTTCCCCCTCTGCTGCTTTTTCCCTGCAATCCCTGCTGTCTATACCTACCTGTTAGTGTCATGCTCATTTTTCAAACTCAGACCAAACCTCGCCACCTTCAGAATGTTATTACCTCTCGGCTTCAAGTTCCTATGGCAGATGTACCAAAATCTCTTGTATCTTTATTGTCTATATCCCGTCTCCCAACATGTTGGAGTATAAACTCCCTGGGAGTCAGGTCTTGGCTGAGAAACACTGCATGAAAGGCCCAAAGGCTCCATTTGAACCCAGCTGTGTGGCCTTGGGCAAGTCCCTTCACTTGTCAGTTTCACCTGTGACAAACAGGGATGGTCACCTTTCTGTGGTTTGTAGACTGGACAAGGCCAGGTGATGGTCAGAGATCAGGAGGACAGTGGCATCTCTCTGTGTCCTTCAAGGTCCCAGTGCCCAGCACAGTGGCCTGAATCCAGCAGGTGCTCCATGCACACCTCCCTGTGCTGGCTGCAGGGCAGGATGGCTGGACAGAAATGCCGCTGGTATTGGAGACACAGGCCAGGCAGGGTGGCTGAGGCCCCAACAGGACAAGCCATGCCTTGCCATTTCCACAGCAGCCTGGTGAGGGTCACCAGAAGCTAGTGGAGGAAGAAGGGTCCTAGCTCTCTCCTTTGGAAGAGTGGGATCCTCATGGTGCCAGCACACCCCTTGTGAAGATCATTTGTTGACTGCACACTGAGTCTTCAGTAGTTACTCAGAAACTCAGTTAAATTCGATCATTTGTTGCCTGCACACTGAGTCTTTAGTAGTTACTCAGAAACTCAGTTAAATTCAAGCATTTGGGGCCACATGCTGTGGGCCCAGAGCTGCAGTAGGGCACAGTGGGGGATCATGAATATTCAGAGTCTGTCTCTGTCAGAGTCTTGTACATCCTTGGTGCTTCCAGGGTGCTCACTGAAGCAAAGGAGGGAGGAGGGAGGGATGAATACATGAAAGAAACTGGTCTTACTCCTAAGGAGTTTGGAATCTGGGCAGAGAGATAAGAGTAGTGTGTGAACCACTGGGGCTTGTCGGAGGGGGAGGGGGTGGGGGACTGGGGGAGCGATAGCATTACGAGATATACCTAATGTAAATGACGAGTTGATGGGTGCAGCAAACCAACATGGCACATGTATACCTACGTAACAAACCTGCACGTTGTGCATATGTACCCTAGAATTTAAAGTATAATAATAATAATAATATAAAAAGAGTAGTGTGTGAACTGTTGCTACAACACAAGTCAGAGCCTAGTATGTGCTGGACATGTGGGCTCACAGAGGAGGTACCTCTGGGCTTGGCTGTGTAACTCGCCTGTGAGCTCTGTGGGGCTGGACTTTGTTCCCCACAGTGTGCCCAGAGCCCCTGGCCAACCATGCACACACATAGGAGGAGATGGGTGTGTATTAGTTGAGGGAGATGCACATGTGTGAGAGATGGGTTGAGAGGAGGAGGGAGGGAGGGAGGGAGAACAAGAAGGAAAAAGATTCAGAAAAGTGGGCTACTGTGTTCCAGGGTGAGCTTTGAGCTTGGTGCCTTTGGATGGGTAGGAATTAAAGAAGCAGAGGGAATGAGAGGAAGAGAGAAGGAGTTCTCAACAGGGAAGGCAATGCAGGATCACAGCAGTGCACACTGATCACAGACAGATCTGGATTTGAATTCCTGCTGCACCACTTACGAGCTTGGCCAAATCAATTAACCTCGTTGGCTCTCCTCTTTGTTGCCAAACAGGGATGATCCTAACATCTGTAGCCACTTCATGAGTGCTTATGATGCATCTCACTCTGTATTAGGTATTTTATATATATTATTTAATTAACACTCTTACATTTTTACAGATAAAGAAATGGAGGCACAGAGAAGTGACTTATTTAAAGCCTTTGTTTCAGCTATCAGTTGCTGTGTAACAAACTACCTCGAAACTCTGTGACTTAGAACAACCACAATTTTCTGTGCTCGTGATTCTGTGGGTCAGCAATTTGGGCAGGGTTCAACTGGGGCCACTCCTGTGGCTGCAGTTTTCTGGTCAATTAAAAAAAGAAAAAGAGCCCAAAGTGAGCAAATCCCAATGTGCAAGCACTTTTCAAGCTTCTGCTTGTGTCATATTTGCTAATATCCCATTGGCCAAAGCAAGTTACACAGCCAAGCCCAGAGTCCTGGGTTAGAAAAGCAAGGCCCCCTCCCCTTACAGAGTCACAATGCAAAGGGCCATGCCTGCAGCCATGCCAGTAATGATCACAATCCTCTTTGCAAACAGTTCACTCCAGCCACCCAGCTGCTGGCGGCACTATGTGCCCCAAATTCATGCTTCATTGCTAGGGATTTCTTTTGAGCACTTTCTAGTTACCATGCCTGGTTATACAAGTCTACAGTCCCCCTCCTCCCTCAGCCCTAGGGTCATTACCACAGTCACTGAGGAACAAATAATGCAGAGAAAGGATTTTCCAGTAAACTCCACTTTTTTTCTTCTTAAAGTTCTGTAAGGGAGGTGGTGGTGGTCTGTTCCGGGGGTCCTACAGGGTATAATGATGGTGGAGATAAATGCTAAAGGCCACCCATCACTTGCTTTAGAGAAAAGGCTTGTCTCTATCTGGGGCTAGGAAGGATGCAGAGGAGACTGCAAGGCCAGGCATTTTGTTCATTCATTTATTCATTCACTCACTCAATAAGCCTAGTCCTTATCACCCAGTCCTTATCTGCTCAGCCCTTAGCACCTTGAGGCACCCTCCTCTTTAAAACATGCTAGCATGGGTGTTTATGCACATATGTGCGCGCGCACACACACACACACACTTGCATACATGCATGTGCAGTTTGACATGCACCACACACTAGCACATATGCACATTCACGTGCTTGTATGTACATACACATATATGCAAGCGTGCGCACACATATATCCCACTCCACTTCTTTTCCCTCGAACTCCCATCAGCCCAACACAATATAGTTCTTGTTCATGTATTGGCCTGGGAGAAAAAAAGGGCAGAGGTAAAGAACGTGGACCAGTATGGCAATCCTTCTAGAAGAGGCAAATCAAAACAAAACAACTCACAAACTGTAAGCCCCACTGTGTTTTCACTGTTCGGCTAAAAATGTGTTCAGATTTTCAATATATTTCTATATTATGAAATGCATGTGTGTCAGTAACTAGTGAACGTCCAGTGTCCCCCCACCTGTCTCTTCCTCTGTGTTCAGCAGCTCTGCTCCAAACTGTGGGCTGGCCTTCCAAGCCCAGGGCTGCAGGAGAGGCCCAGTGACTTTGTTCTTTGCCATGTGGGGAGGGCCTGAGGAGTGTCCATTCATACCCAGTAGCAGCTGGTCACAGGTAGACCCTAACTGGAGCCATGAATCACTCTACCTTTGACTTGTTCAAGCCTTGATTGATTGTGTATGGGCTCAGGGATGTGACATCAACTCTGGGCCAACAGGCAAATCTTGGCAAAGGTGTCTCCCTCCTCATGACTTCCCTCAGAGATGGGGATGGTGGAGAGAGCTGAGACTGGGAGCCCAGGAGCCTGAGTTCTGGTCCCAGCTCCACCCTGGGCTCACTGCGTGTCTTTCTAGGATGACATTCAGGTACAGCCCCACAGCTTCATCCTATCTTTGGGCCCTCTGTCATTTACTGAATATTTTTCTTTAAGTTGACCTCCCCTCCCTTTTTAAGTTCCCCCAGTGTTAGTTAATTAGTGGAAAGCAGCCCTGCGTGCTGGAAGAGCACAGGTTTTAGAGTCAGCTGGACCTAACTTGAAGGCCCTGCCACACAAACTCCCTGAGCCCAGTCCCTCCCTGGAACATGGGGCTGCTGCCAGTTCATTTGTCTGGATTATTCTGGGGAGAGTGATTGTCATAGAGTATAGCCCAGTGCCTAGCAAACCTGAGTCCTGAGTCATTGTGTCTTTTATGAAAGAATGAGGCATAAATATTTTTCCTACATAGTTTGGAATCTTTCTTCTCCATTCCCCATCTCCACTGGGCCAGCCAGAGCCCTAAGAATGTTTCGCTGGAAAACGTGCAGCCACCTCCTCCTTCGTTTCCCATTCTCCGGGCCTGCTCTCTGTGATGCTGGCTCCATACTTGAGCTGGATGACTTTCCTTTAAAAAAATTGTTTAATATTTAAATTTAGAAATAGAAGATACATACACTTGGTTAAAAAAATAAGACAGTAATTAAACAATAAAAGAAGGTACCCAGGAAGAAGCATGTCTCCTGACTCTTTCTCCATCCCCGTATAATCTCAGTTACTAGGTTATTAGTGTCCAGTTAGCCATGTCTCCTTCCAGAGACCTTTTAGCCATCAATCAGCACACACGTTTGGGCATATCCCACACATTCCTGTTTTATGCAAGTGGTGACAACTGTACTTACTATTCTGCATCTTGCTTTGCGTTCATAGGTATATTTTGGAGATTGTTTCATCTCAAGAATAACTAGAGCCTCCAATCATGTACAGTGCTTGTTGAAGGCCAGGGGCTGGTCTAAATGCTTTACATGTACCGATCCATTTCATCCTCATCGTAACCCTTTGAGGTAGGTGGCATTATGACCACGCCCGTCTTAGGGATGAGAAATCTGAGGCACAGAGAGCCCAGGTGGCCAGCTCAGGGTTGCCCAGAGGGGAAACAGCAGAACCTGCTCCAGACTCCGAGTGCTTAAGCGCTCCCCTACACTAGTGATATAAATACATTAAACTATTTATATGACTATATAGAAACTACTTATCTGGGCTGGGCTTGGCTCACGCCTGTAATCCCGGCACTTTGGGAGGCCAAGTCAGGCAGATCGCTTGAGCCTAGGAGTTCAAGACCAGCCTGGGCAACGTGGCAAAACCCTCTCTCTACAAAAAATACAAAAAATTAGCAAGGCATGTTAGCGGGTACCTATAGTCGCAGCTACCCGGGAGGTTGAGGTGGGAGGATTACCTGAGCTTGGGAGGTGAAGACTGCAGTGAGCTGTGATTGCACCACTGCACTCCAGCCTGGGGGACAGAGTAAGACCCCGTCTTAAAAAGAATTAAAATTTAAAGTTAAAAAATAAACTACGAACCTGCATTTATTGTGGAAGGAAATGATACTTCACATTAGCAGATGAAACACAGTTTGGTATAAATAGAAGCGTTCTGTTAGTTAAGTGAAAATCAAGCAGTGTTGTATATTCAAGCTTGTGCCTGCCAGAGCAGCAGGCGAGAAGCTTTGAAGATGTGTGGGCACGACTGTTTTTTCCTCCTGATGTAATCAAAGGATCCTCAGAGAGCTGAAAGGGGTGAAGAACAGTACAGTAAACAATGCAAGAAGATACACAGAGAGAAGCATATCTCCTGACTCTTCCTCCAGCCCTATGTCACCTCGGTTGCTGTGTTACTAGTGTCCAGTTTGGCAGTGTTTCCTTCCCATGACACCGAAAGTCACCTTGCTAACACAAGTGGCAACACTGACCCAGTGCCAGATAGTGGGGCTCTGACACTCGGTTTCCCCCGTCTGTGGGATGAAGGTGTGGAGTTTGAGGAATACTGAGGCTCCTGCCGGGCATTGATCTTCATGCCACTGTGCCCTGGAAGGGAGACCAGGGTCCTGGCTCAGACTTAGGGCAGGGCAGCTCTGCGGGGCTGTCACAGCCTGCCAGCCAGGGTGTGTGCACAGTGTCATCCAGGGACGGAACTGGTCCTAAGCAGAATGGAAGAGGTTTCCCTCTAGGTAACCTTCCCTTCTCTTTCTGCTGTCCTGCCCAGACACCCATTCACTAAGAATACATGTATTGATCATCAGCATATCCAGACCACGAGATGTGGCTGCACACTATGACAGGTGCCTTAGTGGGGATATGACAGTGTGTGGGAACATGGAAGAGGGGGTGATGAAATCTACTGAGTATCAGGAAGGTGCCAGAGAAGAGATGGTATCTGATCGACAGTGGACAGTTCCTGGGTGCAGAGAGGGGCAGAAGGAGCAGCACTTAGCGCGGTGGGAAGCAGCACCCGGGATGCTGGAGGGAGCCTCCGCCCAGTCAGCACTGCTCCTGAGTCACTGCACTGAGCCTGGCCGGTTGGGATCAGGACTGATATGGGTAGTTGGGGAGGCTGAAAGGGAAGGAAGTCTGCCTTTTGCAATTTGTTTAGTGGCAAGGGACTGGAATCTGGTGCAAACTGGCTTAGATAAAAATGACACTCTGTTGAATCACATGAACATGTAGCTCAGGTCTAACTGGATCCAGGGGCTCACACACTGATTTGTCTGTCTCACCAGTACGGCGTGTACTCTGTGAGGCCAGAGACCCCAACTGTCTTCTATACTGTATTTTGACTGTAGTGCATTTGGTATAGTACCTGACACATAAATAAATATTTGATAATTGAAGGTGTAGCTGTTCTCCCCGCCAATATACTCACTAGATCAGAGGCAGTAGAACTATGCCTCCCCCATTTTACCCTTTTCCCTCCTTCCTTCTCTTCCTACCTTCCTTCCCCACTCTTTCCAATCCATCCATCCATCCATCCATCCATCCATCCATCCATCCATCCATCCATCCACCTTTGAGAATCAGTCTCTCTCCCACTTCTGGTTTGTTTTCCTCTGTGTGGACTTCATGATCTGGCAGGCTTCTCCCATGTGGTGACAAAAATGGTCCCTAGCACTGCAAATTCTCCTCCCATTAGCCTCTCCCCACCCTCCAGTGGAAAGAAAACACTCCCTTCCCAGTGTTTCCAGTGAAGCCCTAGGGTAGCATCTAATTGGCCTAGCTGAGCTTCCTATGGCCAGATGAACATAAGTTTACGGATTGGCCAGGCCAGGGTCTCATGCCCACCCCAGGATTGTGGGGTGATGTCAAACTCCCATGAACCACGTGTACTGAGAATAGTGGAGGGGAATTTGGGGGATTTCCTCAAAATAAAATTAGGGGGCTATTCCCAAAGAAAGAAGACTGGATGAGTCTGGGCAGAGAAAAACAACAGGTGTCCACTGAGGAGGAGTCCCTTGGGGAGAATGAGGAAGTGGTTCCATTGGCTGGTGCTCCTGATGTTCATACCTGACATACCTGATGTTCTTCCACCTTTCAGCTGCTCCCCAGTCCTGTTTGCCTCCTGCTCCCCTGGGCTAATGCTCACTCTGCTCCCTTTGTCTGGGACACTCCACCCCCATCCCAAGCCCTGCTCACCCAGCTAACAGCTACTCTTCCTGCAGTGTTCAGTTTAGATGTCACTTCCTCCGGGAAGCCTTCCTATGGTGCCTAGTACGTCCTTCATCATTGTACTTATCCCACCATGTGATCATCACTTGTGTAATTGCCTGTATCTCTACTACAGTTTGGATCCTATGAGGGCGGCGACCTGCATGTCTTCCACACTGTAGTATTGCCTAGCATAGTACCTGGCACATAATGAACTGCTCAATAAATATTTAATGATTGATGGTACAGCAATCTCCCTACTTCCAAGTATGCTCAGCAGAACACAGGCAATAGAACTGTACCTCCCTCATTTTACCCTCTCTCCCTGCCTTCTTCTCTTCCTTTCTCCCATCTATCTACCCATCCCTGCATTTATCCACCCACCCACCCATCTGTTCATCTGTCCATCCATCCATCTACCCATCCATTCAGCCATATTCACTGATCCACTGATCTTTTGATCTGTTGATCCAGCCAGCCCAGCCAGTCATTCATTCATGCAAATATGTGTTGATACTTGCTGGGTACCAGGCTCTGCTCTGGTACAGAGAATACTATCACGAACAAGACCCTGGCCTCAGGACTTTGCTTCTCTTTTCCTTCAAGGAGGTCTCAGTCATGCACTGGCCTAGGGTTTCACCCATACACAAATGCTGGAAGCAGTGAGCCACTGTGCCCAGGGACAGCCCTGTCTGCAGGGTGGAGGAAGCACACAGGGACTGCATCATTGAGAAGCTGTTTTCTAACAACTGATCCTTATCCTGCTTCAGGTGTCCCTTTATGGATGCTGTCAACTTCCAGATTCTGTTTGCCTTCTTTTGCATTTAAATGAGGGGCTGAAAGATGGTACAGATAACACTTTGCTGTTTTCAGAATCTGAGGATCAGGGAAGAGGCAAAAGGCAATGTGTGCAAAGCAAAAGGCAGTGTGATGACCAGAAGAGGCAATGCTTAGCGGTAAACAGACCTGGCCTGCAGTCCCAGCTCTGCCTGGCTTTTTGTGTGACATTGGACAGCACTCTTGCTATTTCTTTTCTTTCTTTCTTTCTTTTTTTTTGAGATGGAGTCTCGCTCTGTCGCCCAGGCTGGAGTGCAGTGGCACAATCTCGGCTCACTGCAACCTCTGCCTCCTGGGTTCAAGCTATTCTCCTGCCTCAGCCTCCTGAGTAGCTAGGAGTACAGGGGCCCACCACCACGCCTGGCTGATTTTTGTATTTTTAGTAGAGACAGGGTTTCACTATGTTGGCCAGGCTGGTCTCAAACTCCTGATCTTGTGATCTGCCCGCCTTGGCCTCCCAAAGGGCTGGGATTACAGGCATGAGCCACCGCGCCCAGCCCGCTCTTGCTACTTTTGAGCCTCCATCTCCTCAAGTGAGGGGCTAGGACACCAAGATTTATGGAGGACCTTTTATTCTGAGAACACATGCAACTGAACTTGGTCCAAGAACAGTGGTCTTAACTGACACATCCCTACGAAGTCCTTCCCTAGACTCCCTGAATAGAGTCTGGAGGGCTGGAAAGTGAATCCCTTCCCTGGCATCAAGTGGATGGGTACCTCTGAGGGGCCCTTCAGACATCCCCAGTTCAGGAACTTGGCCTCAGCTGAGCTCCTGCATCCACCTCTGCCCCTTCCCAGCCCTGGGCACACTGCTGCTGGCAGTTGGTCACTTGATAATTTGCAGTTGACAGCACTTTCCCCATCTACCCCCTTCTGATCTTCACCAGGCGGACACGGAGAGGACACACCTCTCCACAGCTACCCAGCAAGTAGTGGGAGGGCTGAGTCTCAAAACCAAGTCTCCCGAATTCCAGTGGGCTGGAGGAGCCTTTCACCCCTGTTTTACAGTTGAGAAAGGGGTACAAGGAAAGCAAAACAACCATGTGTTCAGTAGGCCCAGGCTCTGGGGTCAGCCACCTTGGCTTTGAACCCTGACTCCACTTACCAGCTTTTCACCTAGAGAAACTTACTGACCTATTCTGGGCCATGGTTTTCTCATCTGTAAAGCAGGGATCATAGGATGCCTATCTCATAGGGTTTTTTTGAGAAATAAATGAGTTAATATAGGTAAAGTGCATAAAGCAAGGCCTGGCAAGTAGTAAGTGCTCAATAGATGCTAGCTGCTATCATTGTTGTTACTGTCATCACACTACCTCCCAGGATTAGGGAAAGGACTCATTGAAATGCTCCTTTACTAGAAGGGCTCCTGGAAGGAGGTTTGCAAACTTTGAAGCAATAGATAAGGTTAAATATTATTTAATGCATCCTGGACTAGCAATATTGAGCTAACTGTTCTAGTCTATTGAGCTAAGGACCATTCATGCTGAAGCCCATGTATCAGGTAATTAAATAAAAGAAACATCTAGAGGATTCTGGGTACAAATAGAGTCATTTTGGAGAAACTTCCAGGTGAACTCTTTGGTGGCAGCTGTCTGTCATAAGTCACCCTCGGCAGTGGAGTTCACTGTTATTCTTGGAATCAGGAATCGAGTAGATCACAGGGAGTTTGGCCCCAGGGTACTTGGGTTGTCTTCTCCAAGCATGGGATTTTTGGAATGAAGTTTAGAGGCTGTCTGGGAAGTTTGGCCTGTCGGAGGGCAGGAAGAGTACTCTGTGGCTCAAGAAGAGTAGAAAATGATGTAAAGGGAGAGAAAATAAAAAAAGAAAACTAGGCAAAGGATATGTGGGAATTGAGAACACCCAGCTGGGCTGTTGACCTTGAGAGAGTGGATGGATGCATGGTGATTGGACAGGAAGATCTAGCTGTAAATAGAAAGGCTCTCTTTTCCCCTGAACTACCCAGCACAGATGACAGATTCGTGGCGAGGCAAGCAGACTCAGAAGCCAAAATAGAAAAAGGAGATGTAGCAGGAATCATTGAACGCAGACGGGGATGGGATCCAGACATGAAAAACACCAGCAATATGGTGGTGAGGCAAAGAACCCAGGGTTGTCTGTGGATGTGGAGGGACATGTCGAGAAGGGGGAAGGTGGGGTCCTGGAGACAGCCGCAGCAGGCGTTCTCACACTTTAGCCACACCTATTTTATTTTATTTCTTCTTTACATTCCATCCATTTTTGCTCATTTGTAATCTCCCTAAAACTCCTAGAAACCCCCTTCTTGCTGATTTCATCCTCTCTGTATGCCAGTTCCACCAAGACCATATCCAAATAACTCAATGGACTCATTTATTTTATTTTTATTTTAAGTTCCAGGATACATGTGCAGGACACGCAGGTTTGTTACATAGGTAAACGTGTGCCATCGTGGTTTGCTGCACCTATAGGCCCATCACCTAGGCATTAAGCCCCACATGCGTTAGCTATTTATCCTGATGCTCTCCCTCCCGCCGCCTCCCCTGACAGGCCCCAGTGTCCTTTTAACCAAGGCATGAAGATCATCAAAATAGGCGCCTGCTTTGATTATCTGCAAGTCTGCAGTCACCCCTTTTGGCCACTAGATGTCGAGAACGCATCAATATGGCACATATTCTGGTCCATTGAGTTATTTGGATGTGATCTTGGTGGAACTGGCATACACAGAGGATGAAATCAGCAAGAAGGGGGTTTTTTGGAGTCTTAGGGAGATCGCAAATGAGCAAAAATGGACGGAACGCAGAGAAGCCGTCTTTCCACCAAGACCCATGAAGAAAAGTTGACTGCATTTTAAATCCATGTATTGTTTTCCAAGTTTGGGGGATTTTTAGGATGAAGGAAGAAGGGAGAAACATGGCATAAAAATATATTTTTTTTCACATTAGTTAATGTTCTCCAGAGCTTGTAAGCATTTCCAAGTGAGCATGTTTCAGGTTCTTAAACCCTGAGCCCAAATCAGGGATAATAATGATGATGATGGTGGTGGTGGTGGTGGTAGCATCTGATAGATACCTCCATGGCTCTTACTATGTGGAAGGTATTGTTCTCAGCACTTTACAGAAATTAACTCATTTAGTGCTCATAACAAGCATAGGAAGTAAATTTTTATCCCATTTTTACAGACGAGGAAGCAGAGGTCAGAGAGGTTGTGTGACTTGTCCAAGGTCACACAGCTAAGGAGTGGGACCATCAGGATTCAGCCCAGACACTTGTCCATATTCTTACCTTCCATGATCTACAATATATGTTGCCACATTGACTCCTGGCCAGTGGCAAAGGCAACTTTCTGAACAATGAATCAATGCTGTGATTTAATGATAAAAGTCACAGAGCCTGGGCGTGGTGGCTCACGCCTGTAATCTTAACACTTTGGGAGGTCAAGGCGGGAGGATCACCTGAGGTCAGGAGATCAAGACCAGATTGACCAACACGGTGAAACCCCATCTCTACTAAAATATAAACATTAGCCGGGCATTGTGGCGGGTGCCTGTAATCTCAGCTACTCAGGAGGCTGAGGCAGGAGAATCACTTGAACCCAGGAGGTGGAGGTTGCAGTGAGCCAAGATCATGCTACTGCACTCCAGCCTGGGCAACAAGAGTGAAACTCTGTCTCAAAAAGAAAAAATAAAGTCACAGAATTCCTCATTCTAATAAACGCACTTCACAGCACTTCAAATGACAAGGAATAAGATTTTAGGGTTGGCCAGGAATTCATTCTGAGTTCTCTGACTTACAGGGCTTGGTTAGATAGGAGCACGTTTCATTCCTGGGGGAAGCCTTGGCTCTGTTAGCTGTTACAGTAATCCAAGCCACAGAAGAGAATGAACAAGGCCCAGGAGCCATGGATTCCAGAAGTTTCTTTGTTTCTTAGCATAGAAAGATGATCATACACTTGGCATTGCAGAAGAAAAGTACATTTCTGGTTGGGGACCAGTAAAAATGCTGTTGGTATGGAGCAGCCCAGCCAGTGTTCAGGCTACTAAAAGTATGCCTGCTCAGAAAATGGTAATGAATTAAAAAAATTCATTAAGGGCTGGGTGTGGTGGTTCACACCTATAATACCAGCACTTTGGGAGGCTGAGGCAGGAGGATCACTTGAGCCCAGGAGTTTGAGACGAGCTTGGACAACATGGCAAAACCCCGTCTCTATTTATGAAAAAATGATACAGACAATCTAGGATGATCTGGTAGAAAAAGTGGTGGATTAAAAGTGAGAGGCCAGATTTCCAATATGATTAAATATATATTTACCATATGACCCTCCATCCCACGCCTGGGTATTTACCTAAGAAAAATCAAAATACATGTCCACACAAAGAAATGTACATAAGTATTCATAGCAGCCTTATTCAAAAATAGCTAAAAACTATAAACATCTCAAGTAGCTGTGGACATATGACTAAGTAAACAGATTGTGGCATAGCCATACAATGGAATACTTAGCCATAAAAAAGAAGTTCTGATATGTACGGCACCATCAGTGAATCTCAGAAAAGTTATGCTGAATGAAAAGAGGGCTGATCCAAAGGAGTTTATATTGTATGATTCCATGGAACTGGATTCTAGAACACACAAAACCAATCTACAGTGACAGAAGGCAAATCTATGATTGGGGCTGGGGTGGGGTCAGGGATTGGCTGCAAAGGGCCATGAGGGATCTTTCTGGTGCAGTGGAAGTTCTATATTTTGCTTGTGGTCCTGGATACATGGATGTAAAGTCTGGCATCTCTGCACTGATACTTTGCACCTCCGAGCCTCAGTTTCCCTGTTTGTCAAACTAGAAGGTTGTTGGATTAGATGATGTCTAGAATTTCTTCTGGCTCAGAAATTTCCCCTGTAATAACAATATCCATTTTTTTTATTATGGAAGTAGAGTAGCAAAGTGCAATTTGCTTTATAGGAATTGTTTTTATAGGCAAGGATGAATTTATTCCAGAGAGCATAGAATATCTATTGGGTTACTTAATATTACTCATTTTGGGTACAGAGCCATTTGCAGCCCATTGTACTTCAGGAAACAGCTGAGAAAATGATTTGTGTGTAAGAAGGATGTTTCCCATTCAATTCCCATGGGTGTGGGAGGAGGGGCTTTCCCCGCGGCACTGGGAGGAGACGGAGGGATGCCACAGTCACTACTGGCAGGGCTAGAGAGGACAGCTGAGCAAGGGCCAGGCTTGCCTTGTCACGTCTGACAGTCCCCAGATGCTTGGAGCTACGGTTACCCTTTTAAATTTCCTCCTTATTTATTTATTTATTTATTTATTTATTATTATTTTTTAATTTCCTCTTTACTAGCCCATGCCTGGCTCTTAGTTAGGGCTTAATGATGTTGTTGTTGATGATGATGGTGATGGTAATGACCATCATCATCATATCCAGTCCTCAGAGAGTCTGTGCAAAAGTAAAGGAAGGCAGGTGCCCAGAGTGTGTTTTGGGACCAGGGCAGTGGCCAGCTAGAGTGTAGAACTTGGTATGGAGCCAGGAGTAACAGGGAGGGCCGTGCTGGGCCATAGCTGGCTGCTGATTTCCCCTACTTGTGCACCCCCAGGTCATGAAAACCTACCACATGTACCATGCAGAGAGCATCAGTGCGGAAAGCAAGCTGAAGGAGGCTGAGAAGCAGGAGGAGAAGCAGTTCAATAAGTCAGGAGACCTCAGCATGAACCTGCTCCGGCACGAGGACCGGCCCCAGCGCCGCAGCTCTGTGAAGAAGATTGAGAAGATGAAGGAGAAGGTGAGTGGGGGCCCTGGGCTGGGAGCGATTGGGGACAGGGCACAAAGGGGAGGGCCATGGTCTTGGCGGACAGCCTTAGCCTTCCCCCTTATTCCCCTGCATCCCAGTGGGGTGGTGGTGGGTAGGGGGGATGGGACAATGTAGCCAGCATCTCCTCTTTTGGAGATCGGTGTCCTAGTGGAAGCGGAGCCAGGCATGCCCGTGCTAACACTGGTTAGGCCTGGCTTAGTGCTAAGGTCAGCAGGCAGACGAGGTGCTCAACTCACAAGAAAGCTGAACTGTGACGAGATTCACACCCAGCAAGCACCTTCTCAGATGAGCTGGAATCACAAGGCATTAGCGGGAGCAGGGGCTTGTTCCAGAGGCCAATTTGATGGCCAAGGGTAGGGGCGGGGGGTGAGGTGGGAACTGATTGCTGAATGTGTCTCAACAAGAGGGACCAGCACCTGGAAAGCTGGTGAAGGGCTCATTCCAAAATTGCCATTGCCAATTCAAAGATGAGAGAGTTAGAATCCCTGTGTATTGATTCTGGAAAAGTCCTTTAGTAGGGTGTGGTGGGAGGAATTCTAGCTTTGGAGTCAAATGAGCTGGGTTTTGAAAATGCCACGTTTACAACACCTCTCTGAGCTGCAGTTTTCAAATCTGATAGGAGTGGCAAATTCGTCTCATCTCTCATGTCAACTCTGATCAATTGCCCAGAGCACTGGGCTGAGAATTGTGAAACTCGAAACAGATTTAGTTAAAAACAGTGCTGTAGGGCTGGCCACAGTGGCTCATGCCTGTAATATCAGCACTTTGGGAGGCCAAGGCGGGAGGATCGTTTGAGCCCAGGAGTTCGAGACCAGCCTGGGTAAAATGGCAAAATTCCATCTCTATTTATGAAAAAAAAAAGGCAAAGAATTTGAATAGATGTTGCTCTTAAAAAAACATGTATGAGTGGCCAATAAGTACATGAAAAGATTGTCTGGGCCAGGCATGGTGGTTCACACCTGTAATCCTAACACTTTGGGAGGCCAAGGTGGTCAGATAGTTTGAGCCCAGGAGTTCGAGACCAGGTTGGGCAACATGGCAGAACCCTATCTCTACAAAAAATAGAAAAATTAGGCAGGTGTGGTGGCATGTGCCTGTAGTCCCAGCCACTTGGGAGGCTGAGGTAGGAGGATTACCTGAGGGAGGTCAAGGCTGCAGTGAGCCATGATCACATCACTGCACTCCAGCCTGGGCAACAGAGTAAGACCCTGTCTCAAAAAAAAAAAAAAAAAAAAAAAAAAGATTGTCTCTATTATTAGTGATTAAAGAAATGCAAATCAAACTCAGTGAACTATCACTTCATACCCACAGGGATAGCTAGAATTAAAAAGGCAGACTATAGGAAGTATTGGTGAGAATGTGGATAAATTGGAATCTTCACACACTACTAAAGGGAATGTACAGTGATTCTATCACTTTGGAAAGCAGTCTAAATGTTAAACATAGACTAAGTTACCATGTGACTCAACAATTTTATTCCTAGGTATCCACCCAAGAAAAATAAAAACATATGTCCATTCAAAGACTTGTACATGAATAGCAGCATTATTCTTAATAGCCAAAAGATGGAAATGACTCAGATGTTCATCTGCTGATGGATGGTTGAATAAAATGTGGTATATCCATGTGATGGAATATTATTCAGCCATGAAAAGGAATGAAGTACTGACAAATGCTGCAACATGGATGAACCTTGAAAACAGTATGCTAAATGAAAGAAGTCAGTCACGGAAGACCACATATTGTGCAACTACATTTATGAAATGTCCAGCATAGACAAATCTATGGAAATAGAAAATAGATGATTGGTTTCCAGGGGCTAAAGAAGAGGAAAATGGGGAGTGACTGTGAATGGGTGCAGCATTTCTTTCTGGGGTGATGAAAATATTCTAAAGTTAGATAATGATGATGGTTGTGTGACTCTGTGAATACAGTAAAAATAAATAAAAATAAAATAAAATAACCAAGCAGGGAATGATAGGACTACAACATAGGGAGAAGGAGAGAGGTAGAGTGAGTGCTGACTGGAAGTCCAGAGGCCGATTTTTAGTTCAGAGTTGTATTTTTGGTTCGATTAGCTACTTGGCTCTTGGGCAAGCCACTTCTCTCCAGTTCTCATTTCCTCATCTATAAAATAGATGAGTTTAATGAAAATACCTTTAACATCCTTTCTAGGTATAACATTTTATGAGTCTATGAAGGGCTAAAAAATGGTCTCAGGGTCATGGTCATAGTTGTCCACTGGAAATAGGCCAAGAATATCAAAACTCTCTGTGGGGGGTCAGGTGCATGGCTGGCGTAGGATGTAACTGCCAGGACCCTGGGGAAAAGTTAGAGATCTCTGAAGAGAATTAAAAGGATGAGAACTCACTGTGGAATAGGAAGGTGTAAGAATGTCTAGGCAAAGGAGAAAAACCATTTATTTACAGAGACCTGACTTTTTACACAGCAATGGGACTCATCAGTCTGAAAGGAGCAGGGGACAGCTCTCCAGCCCACTTCCTCTTTCCTGCTCCATTCCCAGGCTGGCTTAGCCAGGAGCAGCTCCCTGGGGGGCAATTGGGTCCCTGCTGAGATGGGCGGCTCTGGCTGCCCCACCCCACCTCTCCCATCCAGTCATCCTCCCTCCCTCCTGTCCTCCAGTCACTGAAAATGACTGAAAATGACCTTGTGCAGGGACAGTTCTGGGCGCTCCAGACCTAGCAATGAACAAAGCAGATCAAGTCCCTAACCCCACTTATTTTCTAATGGGAGATCACTGACAATCAACAAGTAAATAAAAGGGTAGAAAAAAATACAGTTTCAGGTGGTGGAAGTGCTTATTAAGAAAAGAGCCGGGCAGGGGTGGGCAGAGGGAGTGGGAGAGGTAGATGAGCTTGTCATCGAAAGCCAATCTGGCCTTGAGACCTTGGGCCAAGGCTGAGGGAACCATGAGTTTGAGGGCCTTGAGACAGGAATGAATTTTGCCTCTTAAAGGATGGACCAAGGAGGCTGAGCAAATGAGGGGGAGCCTGGGGGAAGGTGGAGCTTGAGAAGTGGATGGGACAAGGCCATGGAGGGCTTCTCAGGTGCGAGCAGCAGTTTGAGACATCACTGGAGGGTGCTGGGTAGGGGTCTTATTGATTGATTGATTGAGACGGAGTCTCCCTCTGTCACCTAGACCTGGAGTGCAGTGGTGCAATCTCTGCTTACTGCAACCTCTGCCTCCTGGGTTCAAATGATTCTCCCATCTCAGCCTTCCAAGTAGCTGGGACTATAGGTGCATGCCACCACACCCAGCTAATTTTTGTATTTTTAGTAGAGATGGGGTTTTGCCCTGTTGGCCAGGCTGGTCTTGCTCTCCTAACCTCAGGTGATATGCCTGCCTCAGCCTCCCAAAGTGTTGGGATTACAGGCCAACGCTCCTGGCCAGGGATCTTATTTACACCCCACCCTAGCAAGGACCGTCAGAGGCTGCTGCTCATCTAGTGTCCTCATCGGCTGTGCAGGTGCAAGGTGCAGGTGTAAGGGGAGCTGCCTGAGTCCAGGTCCAGCCCTTACTCATCTAGCAGATGGAGGTCTTCCATAGGTGTGGCTGTGCAGGGCTTGGGTGGCAGGCAGCTACTATAAAGAAAAAAAAAACCACTGGGCCGGGCATGGTGGCTCACGCCTATAATCCCAACACTTGGGAGGCTAAGGTGGGAGGATGGCTTGAGGCCAGGAGTTCCAGATCAGCCTGGGCAACATAGTGAGACCCCACCATCTCTAAAAAACTTGAAAAACAAAAACAAAAACTAGCCAGGTGTGATGGCATGCATCTATAGTCCCAGCTACTCGGGAGGCTGAGGTGGGAGGATTGCTTGAGTCCAGGAGTTAAGGCTGAAGTGAGCTATGATCACACCACTGCACTCTCACCTGGGTGACAGAGCAACACCCTGTCTCAAAAAAAAAAAAAAAAGGAATAGAAAATCACAAACCCCGTCCTCTTAAATGGCTTGCTCTTACATCTACTCTTTTCTTCTTCCAGAGGCAGGCCAAGTACTCTGAGAACAAGCTGAAATGCACAAAGGCCCGGAATGACTACTTGCTCAATCTGGCAGCCACCAACGCAGCTATAAGCAAATACTACATCCATGATGTCTCTGATCTGATCGATGTGAGCTCCCTGGGGAGTCTGGGACTGAGCAGGGCCCACACCAGGGCTGGCACATGTCACTGGCTGAAGGAGGGGCTGGTCTTTGTCTTTACCTGACATTCTCGGGTAGCCACAGCTCTTTTGAGCCCTGCTGGAGGGGAAGGGCAGTGATTTGGGGAGGTGGAAAATGAATGTTACCTCGTGGTGTCTATTTTCACGAGTGGGACATGGGCCTCTGGTGGCCCCAGTGCAGTTGGCTTGGGCAGTTGTATATCCAATGGCAACTTCCCAAGTACCCTCCTGGACACCAGGTCCTTTGCTGGGTTTGAGGGGTTCAGGGGGGAACCATACACAGTTCATGCCTTGGGGGATTTCCCAGTGTGGTAAAGGAGATGTTATTAGTAAAATGTTTGGCGCCCCTAGGGCCACTCAGCCAGACACGTGTACATGCGAAAGAAAGTAGCGAATGAGACAGACTTAATTATACAGATCAGCTTTGTGTGGGGAAGTTATCTCGGGAGAAATCGGGCAGCTTAAGCAAATGGAGAACGGAACACTGACTCCCGAGTACCCGCTGTGCAGGACACGCCACAGGGACAAGCAGACTGGGAGAAAGAACACTGTGAGCGGTGGTGCTGGGGAGGGCTTCTGTGTCATCTAAGTAGGAGCCAGGACTGTTTCTCTCATGTCCTCCTTCCTGCACCGATGGGGGAGCTGGCCCTGTCCATGTTTAGTAAAGGCTTGGTATGGTCGATGGACTCTTTTCCTGGTGTATCCTGTCGGGAAGTCAGGGGGCTCCTGCTTTTCCCGTGGCTCCAGAGGGGGCCCCATTGTCAGCATCGCAAGGAGAGGGAGCTCCCAAATGGCCCAAGGCCAGACCTTCCTCTTTCCTGCTTTTCGCTTTCTTTTTTTGCCCTTTCAGCCCCTTTATTCATTCATTTACCATATATTAATTGAGCACCTGCTGTTGTCTGGAACTTGAGGAGCAGGAGCAGTGGGTTGGCCCTCGGGGAGCTTACCTCGCCAAGGACATGTTGATAGGTGATTTTAATACTAAGTGGCAGGGGTCACAGTGAGAGAGGTAGAGGGAAATGTGGACCCCTGGAGGAGGATCACCTGACCAGCTCTGAGTGGGGAGAACATCAAGGAAGCTTTCCTGGAGGAAGTGACCTCTAAACTGAATTCCGAAAGAAGGGTATTCCAGGCAGAGGGGATGCATGCACACCACCCTAAAGAAGAGAAAGATGGGCTCACGCTTGTAATCTGAGCACTTTGGGAGGCCGAGGCGGGTAGATCACAATGTCACGAGTTCGAGACCAGTCTGGCCAACACAGTAAATCCCTGTCTCTGTTAAAAATACAAAAATTAGCTGGGCTTGGTGGTGGGCACCTGTAATCTCAGCTACTCGGGAGGCTGAGGCAGGAGAATCGATTGAACCCGGGAGGCGGAGGTAGCAGTGAGCCGAGATCGTGCCACTGCACTCCAGCCTAAGTGACAGAGCTAGACTCCGTCTCAAAAAAAAAAAAAAAAAAAAAAAGAGAGAGAGAAAGATGGTGAATATAGGGAACCTAGTTCTGCTATTGCCCAAATCTCAACCGCAACTCCCCTTGAGGGGCGCCGTGAGGTTTGTGCAGTAGGATTCCAAAGTGCCTTGGGGCCTCCGGGATGGAAGATTCGGCTGTGGAAAGGGAGGTAATTGTAAGTCACTGTGGTGGCCAGTGACCGCCCCTCCACATCCTGGCTGTCACCCATAACCTTCCGTTGTTGCCTCTCCCCAAGTGCTGTGATTTGGGCTTCCATGCCAGCCTGGCCCGCACCTTCCGGACCTATCTCTCAGCTGAATACAACCTGGAGACCTCTCGCCACGAAGGGCTGGATGTCATTGAGAATGCAGTGGACAACCTGGATTCCCGAAGTGACAAGCACACAGTCATGGACATGTGCAATCAAGTCTTCTGCCCTCCACTCAAGTTCGAGTTCCAGCCCCACATGGGGGATGAGGTAGGCTTCCTCCTGGAGCCCGGGCTTGGGGCTGCTTCCCTCTGTTCCCCCATGTGCTCCAGTACATCATCCCTGGTTGCACGTACAGAAAGTTTCTATCCGACGCCTGGGGTCAAGCTCCTGGTTCATGGGCTTCCCCAGCTGAGGAGTTTACCACTAATACCCTCATCTTGCTGTCTCAGGTGCCCCCCGTGCAGAATTACAGGACCTTGGCTTCCCTTATAACCCCTCCCAGCTATGTCTAGAAGACTCCAAGGGAGCCCCAGTCTGCACACAGGCTCATGTTCTAACCCCACATGTGCGGGTGAGGTCCACGGGAAGCCTGGGCCTCACTGTAGCCTCAACACAGCCATTCAGGCTGGTGCATTCCAC
Organism: Homo sapiens; assembly: GCF_000001405.40. NCBI lineage: Eukaryota > Metazoa > Chordata > Mammalia > Primates > Hominidae > Homo > Homo sapiens. Next base: position 9,057,878 of record NC_000003.12, on the reverse strand, counting down.
CAGGGCGCTCCCTTCCTCCAACACTGCAAGCCTTTGATACACCAGACGATCGAGTTTCCTTCAGTGCTTGTGCTGCTCAGATCCTTGTTATATTCTGAATAAAACAAACGAAAAACAAATGGAAAGAAGGCCCTTGTCACTGGCCCCAACACAGCCCTACTCGTTACCCAAGGCTTACAAAATCCCTTATGCAAATAGTTCCCTGAGCTTGTCTGTGTCACTGCTCCCTCGGGGCATTGGGGGAACCCACTCCAACAGTGTCCCAGACCCAGCCAGCCTCTGGGTCCCAGTGAGGCTCAGCTGGGCCACCCGTGGCACCTGCTGGGAGGGGAGGGGCAAGGAGGCATCCGAGAAGATGGCATTTGCTAGACCCTCTGCATGGCTCTGCCCACTTACTTCTGCAGGGCTGCACTGCTGTGTCTGCCCCATCCCTCTCAGTCCTCCCGATCCATCACCTGGACCTGAAAATGCTGGCCTCATGGTGACCACTGGTGACCGTAAACTTTGGGTTGTGCAATTAGTAGCAAATAACTAGTACAGTCCACAGAGCGCTACTGTCCCTTGTGATCCTAGCTGTGTTCCTGGAAGGGGTGAGGTGCACATGCCTGCCAGCAGCCCAGCCCACAGGTAATACTGGAGTCCCACATGAAAGGTGGAAGGCGGTGGCTCACGTCTGTAATCCCAGCACTTGGGAGGCCGAGATGGGTGGATCACTTGAGGTCAGGAGTTCAAGACCAGCCTGGCCAACATGGTGAAACCCTGTCTCTGTTAAAAAACAACGACAACAACAACAACAAAAAACAAACAAACAAACAGCAAATAAACAAAAAATAGCTGGGCATGGTGGCAGGTGCCTGTAGTCCCAGCTACTCGGGAGACTGAGGCAGGAAAATTGCTTGAACCTGGGAGGTGGAGGTTGCAGTGAGCCGTGATGGCACCACTGCATTCCAGCCTGGGTGACAGAGTGAGACCCTGTCTCAAAAAAAGAAGGCAGAGGGAGAACAGCATTTCTCTGGGTGCTTCCCCTCCTCCAGCCCTCGGCCCAGTCAATTGCTGGGGGACGAAGAGCTATGAGCTGTGAGAGCACATTGTCTCACAGCTGCCCTGCTGCAGTGTCATTCTGCGGCACAATGGGAGTGCGCCCCTGATTGTTTCCCATTCAGGTTTTTTCCCATTGGCTTCTCTTAGGTGGTTGCTTTCTTGCCACAATTTCTTGCCTTGAAATTAACCAGTTAGTTTTGCTTAATAAGATTAAATTAAGGCTCTTTGTAAACCTTCACATGCTTCCCAAATGTAGATCATGACTGAAAGGCCACACCTGGCAGTGGCAAGAGTGCGGACTTTGAGTAGGAAGACCCCGGTTCTCATCTGGCATTGGTTGCCACGGCCACTTATGAGCTCTGTGACCTTGAGCAGGTCACTCAACCTTTCCGAGCCCCTGTTTCCTGGACTGTGATTGGGATGTTAATGGTAGCCCCTGCCCTAGCTCCACACAGGTGAGGAGGGCACAGGGCAACCACAGATGGTGGCTGTTATTCCTGCAGGTCTGCCAGGTCAGCGCTCAGCAGCCCGTCCAGACAGAACTGCTCATGCGTTATCACCAGCTGCAGTCCAGACTGGCCACCCTCAAGATAGAGAATGAGGAGGTGAGTGAGCCCCTCTGCCCTATAAGGGATTTTCTTTGGAAGGCCTGGCTTGTCCCAGGGAGTCCACTTGTGCCACGAAGTGCATAAGAAATGATAGTTCCACTTATAAGATGGAATAGTACACGATCATTAAAACCACACACACCAAGAATCATTAATAGCCTGGAGGAACATTTATAAGATGTTAAATTGAAGAAAAACAAAAGGTGGGAGGCTGAGGTAAGAGAATTGCTTGAACCTGGGAGGCAGACGTTTCAGTGAGCTGAGATCACGCCACTGCACTCTAGCCTGGATGACAGAGTGAGGTTCCATCTCAAAACAAACAAACAAACAAACAAACAAACAAAACACAAAAGGAAATAGGACTCTATGTTCAGTATTGCCATAACTGGAGTAAACTAAAGCATATGTATATTCCTAGGCATAGAAAAAAGACTGGAGGGAAATGCTTAAATGTTATTAGTTGCTATGTTTGGGTTGTGGGGTGATAGGTGCTTTCTGTTTACTTCTTTGTGCTTTCTTCTATTTTCTGCAATGAATTTCTGTTTTATCATTAGAAATAACAGTAGGTATTTTAAATTACACAATGAAATAAACAACCTAGGGCACACTAAATTTGTCATGGATTCTGAGCTCCAAGGAACAGGTCAGCCTTACCAGGCCCAGCCTCCCTCCCCTGCAGCTGTGGGGCATAGGATTCTCAGCAAGTGGGTACAGATGGAAATACCAGTGCAGTGGCTCTATTCTGATGTGGACTGAAGAGGCCAGATGGGAAACATCCTATTCCAACCTGGACTCTTCCTGCAAGGAGGATGCCAACCAACTGGAGGCCCCTGGAGAAAGGACACCAGGATGGAGGGAGTGACACTCGAGGTCATGGGCAGGTTTATTCTTTAAAGTGCAGTCATGGGGGAGGTGGGAAGACACAGTCTTGATCTTCAAATCTCAAGAGTTCTATCCTGGGCAGAGACAGCAACTTTGCTTTTCATCTCCACAAAGGACAGACCTAGGACAAATGTGAGACAGATTGGAGCTCAGGATGATAGCAAATCAGTGCAGTCCCCAGGGGGAGGTTGTATGGAGACAAATTATATATTTGTTTTTCAAACCTGGAAAGAGACAGGAGATGAACAGAGTGTTTTCTTTATTTATTTATGCCCTACATCTTCCCCCAAAGGATTTTAAATTGTTTACACGGAATAGTATGTGGATCATAATGTTAATGGAATTTAAATTGGAAATCAGGGCCAAAGAAAGGAGAATGAAGCCAATGTTCTTCTGTATGAGCTGCTAACGGGCTTGAATGTGCTTAATTTTGAACCTGAGCTTCCTGTCATGCTGCGTTAGAAAGAAGAATTGATTTGTGTATTCATTCAACAATATTTATTCAAGTATTTATAGAGCACATACTATGTGCCAAACATTGTTCTAGATATAGAGTAAAGTGACCAAACACAACGCACCATAGCACCTCCTCTCCGGGAGGGAATATTCTAGTGAGAAAAGACAAATAATACTTGAAACTGTTGACAAAGAGAGTCAAACTCTGTAAAATACTTGAAGAGATTTATTCTGAGCCAAATATGAGTGAACAATGGCCTGTAATACAGCCCTCAGGAGATCCTGAAAACATGTACCCAAGGTGGTTGGGCCACAACTTGGTTTTATACATTTTAGGGAGATGTAAGGCATCAGTCAATACATGTAAGTTGTATTTGGTTTGGTCTGGAAAGGTGGGACAACTGGAAGCAGGGGCTTTCAGGTCATAGGCAGATTCAAAGATTTTCTGATTGACAGTTGGTTGAAAGAGTTAAGTTATTGTCTAAAGAAAGGAATGTCTGGGTTAAGATAAGGGGTTGTGCAGACTAAGGTTTTATCATAGAGATGAAGCCTCCCGGTTGTAGGCTTCAGAGGATAGGCTGTAAATGTTTCTATCAGACTTAAAGAGTCTGTTCTAACAGTAATTCCAAAAAGGAGGAGGGTATAATGAAGTAGGTTTGCCGCCCCCTTCCCATCATGGCCTGAACTAGTTTTTCAGGTTAACTTTGGAATGCCCCTGACTGAGAGGAGAGGTCCATTCAGATGGCTGGGGGCTTAGAATTTTATTTTTCATTTATGAAACACAAAAAGAAGCCAAGAAATGAATGAGCTTGGAAAATATTAGACAGTAATAGGCACTGAGTGAAGATATCGGGGGGACCAATGTCACCAGGAGGTGACATTTAAGCTGAGGTCTGAGTGAAAAGAAACAGACTTTGAGTGACAATAATTTTATAACAAACACTGGAGGCAGTTTTTCCAGGGACTGTTTTTGGAACCAGCCTCCAGAGCAAAGAATCTGCCTTTTAGGCACAGTTCAGCAAAGGGGTGTTGTAAGGTCAGGGCCCGTGGGCCCTGCTTGTGCAGGCTTCTGGTGGTCCCACGAAATTCCAGAAGAAAAAACTGGAGTCCTAGCTGAACAATGTGTGCCTCAGCAACTGTCTTCCTGGAGTTTTCCTTTTCTCAGCTGGGCTTTTGATAGGAGTCCAGTAGCAGATACCTGGAGAGTTTGTTGCACGAAGAATGGCTGCCCACCATTGTCAACTTTGTCTCTATCCTTCTCTGAATGAAGAGAACTAGAGCACATCTAATGTTGTCCCTACTCAACTGACCACCTTGCATTGGAGGAACTTGTTTTGAGTTACATAATTAGGCTAAGAGAAACAAACCTAGAAACCTGGGTTCCTCATTTGTTGCAACATTCCTCAAGGTTCTCTCTGGCAGAAGCCATACGATAAAATATCTTTAAATTGGGCAACCTGGCTTTTCATCCCAGCCAGCTGTGTGATTTTGGGTTGGTGACTAATTTGTGTTTTCCACATTAATACAGTGAGAAGGATTATTTTTGTTCTGCCTATATCCTAGGGACTTCATATGGAAGAAGTAAAGTGACAGCTGGGAAAGGGACTTTAGGTGTCAACGGCAGTATGAGAATACAGGATTTTTGTCAATCTGCTGTGTTTCCCCAGGTTAGGAAAACCCTGGATGCCACCATGCAGACATTACAGGACATGCTGACTGTGGAGGACTTTGATGTCTCCGATGCCTTCCAACACAGTCGATCGACAGAGTCCGTCAAGTCGGCTGCCTCTGAGACCTACATGAGCAAGATCAACATTGCCAAGAGGAGAGCCAACCAGCAGGAAACAGAAATGTTTTATTTTACAGTAAGTGGCATCCTGGGCCCAGAACCACACTGTCGGCCAAGCCACTGGCAGTGACTTTTCAGGAGCAACCCAAGCTACTGAGAACCAGAGAAACCACATGGGTCAATTGGATCTAAGACTCCATCACCATGCTTTTAAAATTAAGTTGCCTGGCTTGGTTTTCTGAAATGCAGAAAGTGAATTCCCAATGGGTAGCATTGGCATTGATCTTGGGTGATGATTATTGAAATTTTCTTGCTCTAGAAAAAAACCAGAGACAGTTTTATTCAGTGGGGTGATAAGAAAATGGCTGACAGAGTCAGGTACAAGTCCCAAGGAACAACCTTGAAATTATGTATATAGATTATCATGTTGAATTGTCTTAAATTTAGGTGTGAGCTTTGGAAAAAATGCCCTCAAAAATCCAAGCAAATTGCTCTTGAGTTGCTAGCCCTTCATGTAAAATCCCATGTTAATTATCTTTCATTTGGACAGGGACTGGGAGGAGAAAGGAGACGGGGACTGGGGCTTTAGTTCAACATGTGTTTACTGAACATAGAATATTAGGTTTGTAAGGGACCTTAAATCTTCCATGGGATGCTTGAGTCAGTTCAGCCACATCCCTGACCAGGGGCCATCCTGACTCTGCCTGATTGCTCCCAAGATTAAAATCTCCCTTTTTCCCCAGACAGCCCTTTTGTTTGCATTGTGCCTGGCTTTTGGTATTACCATGTTTTCCTTTATCTTTGCTATCTTCAAAAACCTACCTCACTAGGATTTCTTGGTTCTGTTCTCTGGGGCCACCCAGAGTGGAGGCTAATTCTACATGGCAGTGTTTCACATGGTTGCAGGGAGCTGGGATTTCATTTCTCTAGGCTAAATGTATTTGATTCTTTCAGTCTTGCCTTATAAGCTTTTGTTTTGAGTAGCCTCAGTATCCTAGTGACTCTCTCCTGAACATGTTCCATGTGCTGATGCCTCTTCTAAGGTGAGACTCCGAGCAGTGGTATGCCCAACACAGAACTGAGCAAAATTGGCCGGGCACCGTGGCTTACGCCTGTAATCCGAGCACTTTGGGAGGCCAAGGCAGGCAGATTGCCTGAGCTCAGGAGTTCTAGACCAGCCTGGGCAACACGGTGAAAACCCGTCTCTACTAAAATACAAAAAATTAGCTGGGTGTGGTGGCGTGCACCTGTAGTCCCAGCTACTTGGGAGGCTGAGGCAGGAGAATTGCTTGAACCTGGGAAGTGGAGGTTGCAGTGAGCCAAGATCGTGCCACTGCCTCCAGCCTGGGTGACAGAGCGAGACTTCATCTCAAAAAAAAAAAAAAAAAAAAAGAATTGAGCAAAATTTTCACCCCTTCTATACCGGGTACTATGCTCCTATTCATATGTTCTAAGATCATATTCTTTTATTATTATTTTAAGGCTAAGTTATTATCAGTTATAGCTGTCTTCCCTACATGCTGCCATTAACCAGGCCTCACTCTTCCTAAGGCTTTGTAGGGGATATCTTGGGCAGGTCTTCTGTTTATCACCAGTTAGTTTTCCTCTTGATGAATTCAATTCATGGTTTTAGTCAACATCCTGATCCAGTTACTCAGCATACGTGCTGTCTCCTCAAACCTGTGTCACCTGCAGATTCAGTAAGCATGGCTTCCAAACTTTAATCAATTTAAAGACTAATGGGTATACCAAGGCCAAGGCCAAAGACAGAGTTGTTAAAAATATGCAGCTAGGGCCAGGTGCCATGGCTCATGCCTAAAATCCTAGCACTTTGGGAGGCCGAGTAGGAGGATCCCTTTAGCCCAGGAGTTTGAGACCAGCTTCGGCAACATAGGACGACTCCATTTCTACAAAGAAAAATACAAGTGCATATCTATGGTCCCAGCTATTCAGGAGGGTGAGGTGGAAGGATTACTTGAGCCTGGGAGGTTGAGACTGCAGTGAACTGTGATTGTACCACTGCACTCCAGGCTGGGTGACAGAGTGAGACTGTCTCAAAAAAAAAAAAAAAAAAAAAAAAAAAAAGCAATGAGGCTAATATTGATTGGATTGTAGTCATTTAACCCATCACAAACCCACCCAATTCTAACTTCCACCTCCATCTTATAACTGCCTTTGTCAAATCCCTTGTCAAAAACCAGTAGTCGATACACACTACATTTTCTCCAACACTCTTTGACCCTGTCAAGGAAGAAAACAAAGCGGAGCTTAGCAAAGCAGCCCACGCTGATTGCTGGTATTCACCACTTCCATGGAGCCTACGGTGTTCACAAAGAGAATTTGTGGTTACAACATGCACATGAAGATTAATTCACTTTGGCAGTAGAAGCAAAGAATTCTGGGGAACAGAATTCAAGAAGGGAGTTTGGCCTACTCGAAGTTAGGAGAATTCTCCAGTATCTATGACTAATGGTCATCAGATGTTATAGTTTATTCTTAATACTTAGTTTGCTAACCTGGTTTCCTAGTATACCTTCTCATGACTCATTATTTTAGGTCTTTTTAAGGACATCGTAATCCTTTCAATGCAAACATCAATGCAATTTGATGGCATTCTTTATTTTGCGGACATTCGTTGTTCTTCAGGTGGTTGAAGCTTAAATGAGGCGGACAGAGATGAGCTACAGAGCCCCAGGCTGTAATTTGCGCTAACCAGTGGATGACCTGCCAAGGCATGAGTTAGGCATTTGGGATTACATCTTCAACTTCTTGGAGCAGTGAGACACGGTGGACAGAATATCAGCTTACCCCTCAGCTCTGCTTTTTTGGGGAATTCTTGGACAGGAGATAAAATGAGAGGACATTATTGCTGGAAGCATCTATAGAGAGCCTCTAGGACAGTAGTTACCAAACTGAAGTGTGCATTTGAACCATCTGGGAAGCTTGTTAAAAATGCAGGTTCTCAGCCAGGCGCAGTGGCTCATGCCTGTAATCCCAACACTTTGGGAACCGAGGTGTGCAGATTGCTTGAGCTCGTGAGTTCATGACCAGCGTGGGCAACATGGCAAAACCCCATCTCTACAAGAAATACAAAAATTAGCTGGCCATGGTGGTGTGTGGCTGTAGTCCCAGCTACTTGGGAGGCTGAGGTCCCAGCTACTTGGGAGGCTGAGGTCCCAGCTACTTGGCTGGCGTGTGCCTGTAGTCCCAGCTACTTGGGAGCATGGCTTGAGCCTGGGAGGCAGAGATTGCAGTGAGCCAACATCGTACTACTGCACTCCAGCCTGGGCAATAGAGCCAGACCTTACCTAAAAAAAAAAAAAAAGTAGGTTCTCAGACCACCACTCTCCCAAGATGGGCAACTGGAATTGTGAACACTTCTGGGCCTCACTGGTTCCTCCTCCAGTGTCAAATGAAGGGTTAGACTCGAGTTATTCTAGAACAGGAATTTGCGTGTTGACAGTCTCCCCAGCTGGTTACAAGCCCCTGGCCCTCTGCCCCACACTTGGAGAAACACTGAGTCTACTCTCAGTTTACACTGGGGAGGACAGGGAGGCTCAGAAATGCTCGGTAATCTGCCCGAGGTACCCAGTGAGTGACCACAGTTCTGAGCTTCTGTTTCCTTCTGGGTAGAAGGGGCCTGATGATGTTTTCCCCATTTGCCATCCAAGACTCTGATGAGGCTTAAACGTACGTGTGTGAAAACTGTCAAGTGCTCTGTGGATACAAGTCGAGTGACTCTTAATGGCCAATAGGCCAGGTCCTGGGAGCCTAGGACCATGGAAAAGGAGAGAGGACACCACAACCTCCCACCAGCCCAGTCGTTCCAGAAACCCATCAAGGTGGGCCAGTGTGAGGTGACCCCAGTCTTATTTGTGTATGTGTCAGCCCCTACCCCAGTGGGTCTTTCCCCCATAGCTGTCAATGGGAAGGTGGTGATGTTAGAGGCCCTCCTCTATAGTTGACTTGGGGGTGTCTGAGCCTCTGCAGCTCACTTTTCTCTGCCCCCTTTTTAGTGTGCTGGCTGGGACAATAGAGTGGGTTTCTCTTTGAGAAACTAGCAGGTGGATTTGGGGCAGGCACATCTACCTCCTTCACTTTATTCTCAGGGCTGTTGCAATTACTGTACCCCTTGCTTGTAAACCTCCTTCCCGCAGGTCCCCATGTGGCCCCCTTTCTACCTCCTTCAGGCCTTGGCTCAAATGTCCACTTTGCAGTGAGGTCTTCTAGACTTCCAGTCCACTGTTCCCACTTTATTTGATTTATTTATTTTTTTGTGGAGATAGGGTCTCACTCTGTTGCTTAGGATGGAGTGCAGTGGCATGAACATAGCTCACTACAGCCTCAACCTCCTGGGCTCAAGTGATTCTCTCACCTTGGCCTCCTGAGTAGCTGGCACCACAGCACACACCCCCAGGCCTAGCTAGTTTTTTAAACTTATTTTTTTAGAGACTTGGTCTTGCTATGTTGCCCAGGCTTGTCTTGAACTTCAGGCCTTCAGCAATCCTCTCACCTCAGCCTCCTGAGCAGCTGGAATTACAGGTGTGAGTCACCGTGCTCAGCTCTGCTTTCTTTTTATCCGTAGCATTCACCACCGCCTGACTGAGTGGTATTTTATTTACCTTTTTTGTTCGTTTATTGTCTCCCTCCCCAGCCCACCACGTAAGCTTCAAGAGGGAGGGATCCAGTGAAATTTCTCAGCACCTACTCTAAGCCAGTCACAGCTTTAGGCACTGGGGAGCTGGAGATGAGCTGGGCTTGGAGCCCACCCTCTAGCAGCTGGCCATGCAGCAGAGGCATGCCCAGTGGGGCTCTGTGACAGTGCAGGTGGGGGAAGCTGGCACCTGTGTAGAGGTGGCTAAGGCCCACTGAGTTCCAGGCAGGTAGGTGTGTTTCTGTCCTGGCCTATTCTCTGTCCCTCAGTACTGCTCTGAGGTGCACTGCTCTGGGCCAGAGCCCTGAACTAGGAAGCAGGCTGGGGTTAGGCCTGGCCCATGGCTGACTTTCCGTGGGACCTTGGACAAATCACTTCCTGGTGCAAGCTTCATTTTTCTCATCTGTACAAAGAAGAAAATCTTATCACCCCCTGCAGTTTGGGTTATTTTAATGGGAAAGCCTCTCAGGGGCCTGCAAGCCCCTCCTCCTTCAAAGTGGGGCCAGATGAAAGGAAGACTCGTTCCGAGGCTCCTCTCTGACAGATCCGATAAAGCTCCCTAGCTTCGGCTGCGTGGCCCCTGGGACGGCTCCCATTTTTATTGCTCTTGGCGCAGAAGCACAGTGGAGCTTTGATGACTAAAGAGGCCCTTTGCTTTGTCTCCCCGTGGCCCTTACCTGACAAAGGCAGCTTTCACTGCTGCCATTCTCCCCTGGTTTGCTTTGTGTTCCTAACCCCCGACCTGAAAGGCCTGGAGCCCTCCAAGGGCCTGGCCTCCGCCTGTCAGCGCTGGGGTTCTAGATGGAGGAAAGCAAAGACGCAGATGCAGAGGCCTCTCTGTTCCCTGCGCCGGGGTCCCTGCGGGTGACGTGATCTCTGTTCGGCTTCCGTGTCCCAGAGGTCAGTTGCAGAGGCAGAGATCCCATTACTCGGCCTTGCAATCTATAACTTCCTTGTGCCTTGTGTCTTACAGAAATTTAAAGAGTATGTGAATGGCAGTAACCTCATCACCAAGCTGCAGGCCAAGCACGATTTACTCAAGCAGACCCTGGGCGAAGGTGAGTGGGCTGGTGGAGGCCCTCTGGGAGGTGCTGCGTTCCCCACTGGCTCTCACTGTGGCCCCCTGACGTGTTGAGCTGTTCAGGCTTGAGACAGCAGGCACCTGGCAGAATGAACCTGGACTTACCAGGACTGGGCAGGCTGGGAAAATCACCTTGGTACAGATGCCTTGTGGGGTCCAATCTGGCTATAGAAAATAGAGGGTGTGAGTTGCTTTTTGATTAATAGAAAGAAAAAAAATAAAATAAAGAAAATAGAGGCTGGGCACGGTGGCTCACGCCTGTAATCCCAGCACTTTGGGATGCTGAGGTGGGCGGATCACGAGGTCAGGAGATCGAGACCATCCTGGCTAATACGGTGAAACCCCGTCTCTACTAAAAAAATACAAAAAATTAGCCGGGCGTGGTGGCGGGCGCCTGTAGTCCCAGCTACTCGGGAGGCTGAGGCAGGAGAATGGCGTGAACCCAGGAGGCAGAGCTTGCAGTGAGCCGAGATCATGCCACTGCACTCCAGCCTGGGCGACAGAGCGAGACTCCATCTCCAAAAAAAAAAAGAAAAGAAAAGAAAATAGAGGCCAACCACAAGTCTTAGTTTAGGTTGGCAGGGACAGTCCAAGGCAAAGTGATAGAGGGGCATCCATCAGGTAGGGAGTGGGAATCCAGGGCCTCAGAGGCTGGCACTGACATTTTTCAGCAGACACTATTTGCAAGGAATACTACTGGAGTGTCTGGCTAGGGTTCTAGGTCCAGAGAAGGAAAATCCATACATGTAAGTCAGGGTTTGGCCCTCGAGGGACCTGACAACTAGGCTTAAAGCCACTCAATGCATTCCAGTGGCAGTTGGAATAAAATCCCAGCTGCTGTCACGGCACATGAGGCCTTATACCACTTAGCTTCTGCCTGCTTCCCTGACCTCATCAGTCATTCTCCCTTTCCTTACTGTGCCGCAGCCATGCTGAGCAAATTTCTGCCCTTCAGGACTCACCAAGCTTATTCCTGCCCCAGGGCCTTTGCATCTGCATGGGCAACCACCACCCAAATCAGGGGGTAGAGCATTTCAGTCACCCTCAAAAATTCCCTCGTGCTCCTTTGCAGTCAGCACCCCACACTCTACTCTGATCTGATTTCTGTCACTGCAGATTAGTTTTGTGTGTTCTAGGTAGTAAGGGCTGGGGAACTTTGGGGGCTGACGGAAATAAAAGCTCCATATCCTGCTTTGAGTGGTGGTTATACTTGGGGGTAGACATTTGTTAAAACTCATTGACTAGGGGGTAGGAGGGGGGAAGACTCAGTTGCAGTGAGCTTTTTCTTCATTCTTTCCCTCTAAATTTTACCCATCCCGACATTTCAGTATTGGGCCAGCGGGTAAAGGGGGTGTGGAGGAGTTTGGGTAGCAAAGAGGGAAGAAAAACAGTGAGAATGGAGGAGAAAGGGAGAGAGTCCAAGAGTGGAGCTCAGGGTGTGGGTGCCATGGGGGCAGCTTCTAAGACTAGCATTAAAGAGGAGGGTTGGTATTTATAGGCACAGGGCAGGGGGCTATTCCTCATGAGCCAGTTAACCAAAAGGTAGGACCATATGAGTTGGTGGCTACTTGCATTTTTGAAATTAGATGCTGAATTTGGAAAACTAGATCTTCTTTTAAAAAATACGATCCTGGGCCTGGTGCAGTGGCCTGCCCACGCCTTCTTGGTGCAGAAGCATAGTGGAGCTTTGATGAATAAAGAGGCCCTTTGCTTTGTCTTCCTGCGGCCCTTATCTGACAAAGGCAGCTTTCATTGCCGCCATTCTCCGGGGGGGCTTGCTTTGTGTTCCCAACTCAAATGATGATGATTGATGATGACGGTCATCATCAATCATCATCATCATCATCATCATCATCATTATCACCATACTTAGTTTTGGCATAACTCCTGGTCCATTTGGTCCTCCAAGTTTATTTAGCCTTCAACTACGCCTTGCTCTAAGATTGCTCTACCAGTCTCTCTTCTGAGTTTTGAGCTGATTAGCAATAAAAAAAAACCTCCCGGAAAATGCATTTTCAGAAGTAGAGGGGCAGCTAAGAAAAAGCCAACTGGAAGAGTCTCCGTAATCCTGTGTTTCAGTAAGCTGGCCGTGGAGAGGCTCACTGCGCTTCCTTTGACAAATGGATGGTTCTTGATAGACTGGTCAGTTCTACAGAAGTTTTTTTTTTTTTTTTTTAAAGTAAACTTTCTCTTTTAAAACAGTTTTAGAGCTACAGAAAAGTTGGGAAGATAGTATAAAGTTTTCATATACTCCACATCTAGTTTGTCCTGTTATTAACATTTTACATTAGTATGCTATATTTGTCAGCATTAATGAATATGGTACATTATTATTAACTGAAGTTAACAAATTACTGAATAACTGAAAAAGATGGACCCTGAATAAATTGAGACCAAATCTCCAGTCATTTTTATATAGCCACTACACGATAAAGATACAGGTAGATTCTTAGGGCACTGGGTGAAAAGGGAGAATTTCCACTGACCTAATTGATAAATTGATCAATTGGAAATTGCCCATTGGGTGAAGGAAGAAGGGAAAAAATTCAGCAGGCCAAAGAGAGCTCAGAATCTTAGCAAATTCATCCTTCTTAGTGTCAACTGGTGATTCACCTTTTCCTGAGCGTTTTGGTTCTTCTATTCAGTAGGATTCTCTTCTAAGAGTAGGGTAGCGTTACAGCTGCGTCAGTGGCCTTTTTATGCCGTATGAGGGCTATTTTGTAGTATCATGTCTAGTGCCTCAGTTTCTGTAAAGTACAGTAGCCCTTCTTTATTTGTGGTTTCGCTTTCCATGGTTTCAGTTTCTTGTGGTTATCTGTGGCCTGAAAATATGAAATGGAAAATTCCCGAAATAAACAATTCATACGTTTTAAATTTCTCGCTGTTCTGAGTAGCATGATGAGCACGCTGAGCAAATTTCTTTGCTGAGCAAAAATCTTACGCCATCGCGGCTCCATCTCTGCCAGGATGTGATTCCTCCCTTTGTCCTGCATATCCACTCTGGATATGGTACCCGCCCACTGGCCACTTAGTAGCTGCCTTGGTTATCAGATTGAAAAAACAGAGGACATGTAGGATTTGGTACTATCCACAGTTTCAGGCATCCACTGGGGGTCTTGGAACATATTCCCCACAGATAAGCGTGGACTGCTGTACTCTTTTGACAGGATGGCTCAAGGAAACTACAAGTTAGATGAAACCCAAGGTCTTTTGGGTCAGCTTTACTTAAAAGTGGATTTGAGAACATGATTGACCCCAGACATGCAAGTCAAAAAGCTTCCAGGTGCTTGGCAAATGGCATTCCCTGTTACAAAGGATGTCACTGGCGCTTCTCGGGAGCAAGAGCACATACCTTGGCTGTTGCTATGCCATTTTATTGGCCAGAGAATTCTCAGTTTATCATCATCTCTGAGTCTTAGACTTATAACCTTTTTATTGCTCTGGGGTGTGGGTATTCTGTAAGCTCCAGGGTTTACACTCAAGATGCGGTTGGTTTTTGAATTTTTGAAAGTCCCTCAAGCATGAATGAACAGTGTGCCACCTATAAAAGGGAAGGAGCATGACCTTTTCATGCCAACTTTAATTGCCCATCACAGAGCAAAATGGCCACCAGGACCAGGCCATCTGACTTTCTAGAAAATTACTGAACCACCAACTATAAAATATATTTTTAAAATCCCAACAGGTCTCAGAAGGTAAAGGATAGGCAAGTTTTGATTTCCCATATTTGTGAGACAGTCACCCTGTTTCTAAAGATGCTGGTTGTGGGATTCTTGAGAGCTGGAATGTGAGTCTGAAGCTGAAAGACAGCATATTAGATTCCACGTCAGAGAAAAGTTTTCCTTCAGTGTGTTCTGACATTCCACTCCACATCCTAAAACCTTTGATTTCTACCTGCCCCCTTCTGTTCACCCATCTATCCAAGAGCGCAGGCATTTTGTTTGGCCAGGCCTGGGGAGATAGTGGTACACGAGAAAGGTAAGGTCCCTGCCCTCATGGAAAAGAGAGACCTCAAACGGTAAACAAACTACTAAGTAAACAATGATAATTGAGCCCGGTGTGGTGGTGGCCCTGTAATCCCAGCTACTCAGGAGGCTGAGGCAGGAGAATCACTTGAGGCCAGGCAGTGGAGGCTGCAGTGAGCCAAGATCACGCCACTGCTTTCCAGCCTGGGCGACAGAGCAAGTCTCTGTCTCTTAAAAAACAGCTGGGGGTGGGAATTATAATTGTGTTAAGTGCCATGAATGAAAACTTTGGGCTGAGATAGAGAACAATGGTGTGTGTGTTTGGGAGAGATGGGGGGGACCTGCTTTAGATAGGGTGATCAGAGAGGCTTCCTAGGGGAGTTGCTGTTTCAGCTGAAACTAAAGGATGAGAAGACATCAGCCAAGTGAAAAACCAGGGAAAGAGTTTTTGGGGAAGAGGGGACAACATTTGCAAATGCGGGAAAGGATGTGGTGAGTCAGAAGAATTGAGAGAAGGGTATTGTAACTTGTTGAGTACACAGAAGAGTGGACGGTTTGGGAACCCAGAGGAGGGGGAACAGGAAATCAACACTCCTTGTTCACTACAATCCCAGGCCATCGCCTGACCACTTTCATGGGCTGCCATCAGCTCTAACAGGAGGGCTTGTGTCTACCTGAAAATTTTATCCAAACTGGTGTCTGGTAGGAATTTGCCCTTGACTCCAGACACACAGTCAAATCAAACAGGACAAATTTGCCTGTTTTACCGAACTTTTCTCCTTTCCTGCTTTGGTCTTTGGTTCCAATTCCACCAACTGCAGCCACCCATGTAACTGCTTGTGGCTTTGCTCAGGAATTAAGGAGTTGCCTGTTGATTTGCCCCAAGTTCTATTTTCAGACCCAGATTACTCTCTTCCTCTCCTTATTTCCCTCCCTGGCCCTATTCTGCCTTTTTTTTTTTTTTCTGTAAATAAAATGCTCGATTCTTTCTTCTAAAAGTCTTTTAATGTTAGTGCTAGGTGGGATTCCAGAGTTGAGAGCTGTGCTGTCCAGTATGGTGGCCACTAGCCATGTGTGCCTGATGAACACTTGAAACATGGCTAGTCTGAATTGGGATGTGCAAAATGAACACCAGATTTTGAAGAGTTAGTACACACATACACACAAAATAGAAAATATCTTATTGATTTTCTATATTGACACATATCAAAATTATAATCTTTTTGATATTAGGTCAAATGTAATATGTCATGAAAATTAATCTCACTTATTTCTCTCTCTCTCTTTTTTTTTTTTTTTTGAGATGGCGTCTAGCTCTGGGGGTCCCAGGCTGGAGTGCAGTGGCACAATCTCAGCTTATTGTAACCTCCAACTCCTGGGTTCAAGCGATTCTTGTGTCTTAGCCTCCCGAGTAGCCGGGATTACAGGTGTCCGCCACCACGCCCAGCTGATTTTTCTGTTTTTAGTAGAGATGGGGTTTCACCATGTTGGCCAGGCTGGTCTCAAACTCCTGACCTCAAGTGATTCACCCACGTCGGCCTCCGAAAGTGCTGGGATTACGGGCACGAGTCACCACTCCCAGCCTCATCTGTTTCTCTTAACGTTTTGTAATGTGGCTACCAGAAATTGTGGCTTGTATAAATTTCTACTAGATGGCACTGGTTTCAGAGATTCTGAACTGGAAGCAGTTCTTGAGAATATTAGGAAACGGAGAGCATTTTTGGAGCCATGACTGGGGACAGTACTGCTGGTAGTTGGTGAGTGAGATCTAGGGATGTCAGCATCTGCAAAGTACTAGACAGGCAATGAAGAATTTAAACTGAGGATATGGAGGCCCAAAGAAAGGAAGTGGCTTGTCCAAGCTCACGCAGTGAGTTGATAAAAGAGTTAAACAGTAGGACTCAGACCTCTTTGTTTTCAGTACAGTTTTGGTAGGAGAAGGAAAAGATATTATTTAATCTCTTCATTTTGAGTGCCATACCCTTGCCAAGGCAGCTGTCCTCTAATGTGTGGCATCCCTGAAGAGGGGATATTATAAGAAGCCAAATGCTGCCTTCAGGGAGTCCCTGGGTCGGAGGCATATACTGCTGGGGACATCTGTTCTCCCTCACCTTGTGTTTGTGGAGGTGGAACCAGCTTCCCTGGGTAAACTTAGACTTGAAGTTAGGCAACCTGGATTGGAATCCAGACTCTACACTTAGCAGGGACTTGGGAAAGTCACTCCATATCTCCAAGTCCATTTGCTCATCTGTTGTGACAGGAATGACACCCTGTGTACAATTGTGCTGCAGCACTTATTACACTATCGTGTAATCTGCTTATTGACTCATTTGGTACTAAGCTTCTTGCAGATAGAGCACTTGTTCATTCATTCACTCATTCTACAAATATTTGTTGAGCATATACTTTGTGCCAAACACTGCCCAAGACCTTGGTGTCAGCGCAGTTTTAAGAACTGACAAGATTCCTTCTCTCACAGAACACAGTATTTTCCAATGGAGATAGACTGGCAGTGGACAAGTAAACAAATAATAAGTAAGAAAAATATTAATGATAAGCTACATGTATTGATAATTTAAATAGAGAAACGTGATATAAAGAGACAAGTGTGTGCTTTAGATAGAGGAAGAAGCCTGGGCAACATAGTAAGACCTCATCTCTACTAGAAAAAAATAGCTGGGTGTGGTGGTATGTGCCTGTGGTCCCAGCTACTCAAGAGGCTGAGGCAGGAGGATTGCTTGAGCCCAGGAGACTGAGGTTGCAGTGAGCTGTGATTGCACCACTGCACTCCAGCCTGAGCGGACAACAGAGTCTAAAATAAATAAAATAATATAAAATAGAATAGAATAGAATAAAAATAAAATAAATAATAAAGATAGAGGAAGCTTGTCTCTGGACACAGCTTTTAAGTTGAGACCCAAAAGACAAGGTGAAATGAGCCATGCAAGTGTTGGGAGCAAGAGAATTCCAGGCAGCAAATGCAAACGCCTACTTGAGGACCACACAGAGGCCTCTGCATCTGTAGCAGAGCACACAAAGGAGAAAGCAGCCTGAGGAGATGGAGTAGCATTTTGAAGGGTCTACTCTGACCTCAAAGGGTTTATAAAACAGAGTAAGAGGTCTGGATTTTGTCCCTTGTGCGATGAGAGGTTATTGGAGGGTTCTAAGCAAGGGAAGGACATGATCTGATTTACAGTTTAAAGAGATTGCTTGGCTGCTGAGGCAAGAATGGATGGTAGTGGAATAGGAGACCCAGTTAAAAAGAAAGTCGTCCAGGTAAGAGACAAGCATGGCATGGACTAAGAAGATAGTGTTAAGTGGAGAGAAGTGGACAAATTTAATTTATGAAGGAAAGACAGTTTTCAAGGAGAGCACCTGTTAGACTTCTGGCTTAAAGAAGAGGGGAGGTGGATATCCACTTATTGAGATATTGAAGACTTGGGTGAAAGTAGGTTTGGGGCATAGAAAGAAAGAGTGCTATGGGAAACATTTAAGGTTTGAGATAAAAGAAGGCAATTTGTGTTGAGTGGATAAAGAAAATGTGGTCTGTGCATATGATGGAATATTACCAAGTCATATGAAGAAATGAATTACTAAACCGTACTATATGGATAGACCTCAAAAGCTTTATGCTAAGTGAAAGAAGCCAGATGCAGAAGACCACATCTTGTATAATTCCATCTATATAAAATGTCTCGACTACGCAAATCTGTAGAGACAGAGAGTAGATTAGGGTTGCCAGGGGCCGGAGGCAGGAACAGGGAGTGACTATTAGTGGGCATGAAAGATCTTTTTCTGGGGATGGAAATATTTTCAAACTGAATTCTGGTGAGGGTTGCATAACTTTGAATAGTCACTAAAAATCACTGAATTATACACTCCAAATGGGTAAATTTTATGATATATAAATTATACCTCAGTTATGCTATTTTTATAAAAGATTGCAGTGCATCTGAGTTTGGAATTCTAGGGAAGCGTAAGATCTGGACATAGAGTAGGGAGTCCTTGGTAAGCACTTGCGGTCACTTAGAGAGGATGTGTAGAAAAGGAAAGCAGCCCTGGGTCTGTGTCCTGATGGCACTCCAACATTTTGAGGTTTGAGGTTGGGCAGAATGAGGAGGAGACAGGAGAAACTGAGGAACTTGTAGGGCAGGAAGAACACCTGGAAAGTGTGGAGTCATGAAAGTGAAGAGTAGAGAGCTTTGTAAGAAGGGAGTCGTGAACTGAGCAGCATGGTGCGGAGAGGTCAGGTACGATAAGGACAGAGAAGACCATTGGATTCAGCCTCAAGGAGATCCTTGTTGCCCTTAAGTGTTGACCTTGACAAGAGCAGTGTCAGCCCAGGGATGAGGACAGAAGCCTAGCTGCAAAGAGGTGAGGAGGGAATAGCAGGGGAGGAAGCAGTAGTGCCTCCAGACATCTCCTTCAGGGAATTGTGCTGTAAAGAAGAGCAGAGAAATGAGGATGTAGCTGGAAGGAGAAATGGGGTCAACAGAAGGGTTAAAAGCTAGGTCATGCATATCCAGAACATGTTGATATGCTGTTGGAAATGGTCCAGAAGAGAGGAGATTGGTGATGCTAGCGAGAGGGGAGATACCTGCAGAAACTAAGGCCCCCAGAAGGACAGAGGGGATGGAACCAGGGCATAAGGAGAAGGTCTGGGCTTTGTCTGGCAGGTAGGTGGGAGGGCCTCGTGGAGGCATGCACATGGAGAACCCATAGTACTTGATTTTCTTTTCCAGTAAAGAAAATGAGAAGATCTTCAGCTGGGAATGAAGGCAGAGGCAGGGCAGCAGGGTGGAGGAGCACCAGCCTTACGGCTGGTATCCTTCAGTGCCAGGCATACAACAGGGGCTCGGTCAATCTTTGTTGCCATTAAACATTGCAGGAGTTTTTGAACTTTGGGAGGCATAGAAGTGATCACCAGGGGTGGTAGTTAAAATGCAGATTTCTGGGTTTTTATCTCAGAGATTCTGATTCAGAAGACCCATGAGACAGCCAAGAAATCTGCATCTTTAACAAGACCCCCAGATGTTTCTGATGCAAGTGGTCAGCGGGCTGTAGTTTGAGAATCACTGAAAATATGTCTGTGAACAATAATGTGTGTGTGAACACAGCCCTACAAACAGGAGGCTTTTAATGAAGAATTAATAAGACGCAGTTCTTTTCAACAGACCGCACCTTAGGCATAATTAGATTTCATATTTCATAAATAATTAAGACTCATTGTATTTTGTTTTTAGAAAAAGATGAATGTTCTTTGGATTAAAAAGAAAAGGCAATTAAACATTCATGTATACTTTTCTTTGCAGGGGAAAGAGCAGAATGCGGCACCACCAGGTGAGAGTGGGAGAGTTGTGTTTTCTTTCATCTGCTGCCCGAGGTGGGAGTGGGATGGGGCTGGGGAGGCACTGCCAGGAGCTGGAGAAGCAGGGATGGCTTCTTCACCAATGTCCCCAAGGGCCGGTGTGGGTGTGCCCAGGTGAGGCACAGTTGCTGCTTTGCTTGTTCTAGCATTAGACTGACAAAGCCACGCCCCTCCAGGCTGGCGATGGAAGGGGCGCTTTTGGGGCTGCTGTGTGGCAGTGGGGCACCCTCCCTTTGCGCTGGCCATCGGGTGAGACAGTATTGTCTACTCAGAGTGGCTGAGGGCAGCCTGTAGGGGCCAGAGGCTGTGGGGTGGCTGTTGACCTCTCTTCCCACCTGCTACACCATGCTGAGCAAACTGCCCAGCCATGCTGCGAGGCCCAGCCTGAGGTCCCCATGTACCAAGGCTTTGGGCCAGGCTCAGATTGCGCGCAGCTGGGCACACGCATGTGCATAGGCGTGCACAGACTCTCCTGCCGTCCACACCCTAGCTTGGACCTCACGGGCACTTGGATGAGCTGACGGAAAGTAACACACGGGCAACTTCTGCTTTCTCTTCAGCTTGTTCAACATTCCCTTTTGCGCTTTTTCCTGAGCAGACCAGAGCCAGTGAACACTTTCCACTCAGCAGCTGATAGCCCAGGGGCTGACTTTACTTCCCTTTCAGAGAGCTTAGATCCATAAGTGGCTCTGTCACTGGCCAGGTTGTTTGCTTAGAGCCTATTTCATTTCTATGTTCCTATTAAGAGATATTGCACTGCCTAGCTGGAATTCAGCCAGTGGCCCAGAGGCCTGCACTTTTCCATCACACGGCAGTAGAGCGCTACTTTTTGCCTCACTTTCTGGGCCCAGGGACCTGAGGGCATTCTTTCTTTTCCCACAAATGCTTTCCAGTGGCCCCAAATCCTGGGAAGCCCTCATGTTTGGCAAGAGCAAAGATGAACTCCCAACTCTCTCCTGCTCCTTGGGAAGGGAGTTGGGCAAAGTCTTGGCAACCTCTGGGGTTTTCAGTTTCCTGGGCTCAGGATGGGGAGACGGAGGGCTTGGCAGAAGTTCAGCCCGTACAGCTGTTCCTCTGGGCTCTGGCAATTTGGAAACATCAGGATGATTCACACCAGGCAAGGCCCTTCCAGCACACGGGGCGGCAGATGTGCAGGGTCACTTTCGAAGAACCTTTTAGAAACGAACCCATTATAATTTTTTTTTCTTTTCTGGCGAGAGAATGTTGTCATAGTCTCAAAACAACAGAAGCTGTATTTTACACCAAATTCTGCAAATAGTGAAACAGATGGGGGATGAATTGAGCTGTCCCTCACTTCCTCCTAATTCCTAGAACTCACGCAGAGAAGTTTGTTCCAGCAGAGTGTGGGAGAGGAGATCTGTAATCAAACACTTGGCCAGGTCTCAGGGTCTTCCCTCAGGGGAAAGTTGAGGGTTTGTGTGTTTTGTTTTGTTTTGTTTTGTTTTGTTTTGTGTTTTAAATAAAGCCCTCTGAAGTGTTGTCTTCCACACCCTCCTTGACCTAGGGCCTGGGAAATCCAAGCTGAGTTTATCAGACCTCCCACTTAGACACCCTGCATTCAACTGCAGCTACCCTGCGTTCAATTGCAGACATAGCCCTGTGTACTCTGGTTCCTGGTCAAGGTCAAAGACAACTTTGTTAGTAAACTAAAAGTCTCCCCTTACCTCCAAAATCATGATTTAACTTGTGGAAATTGTTGCTAACAATGTCTCTGTCCTATGGCTCTCTCTGTATCTTCCATGGACTCCCACACGAGGTGGATATCATTTCTGGATGGTTATTTGAGCAGGATCCCCTCAGCTAAGTTGCTGTTGACCTTGTATAGAGGAACTGGTGTTGCATATGGGCTGCAGCATGTTATATTTTTCTCACACTTCAGAACCTTATCTTAGAATAGACCAAATTCATAATAACCCTGTAATTCAGGATGGCCAGATGTGATAATGCACTTAAGTTTAAAAGCGTATTGCAAATGTCAAAGCAAGATGCAAATATAAGGTTTGATTATTGTGATTCAAATGAATGTCTGGCTCCCCTTACCCAGGTTGACATGCCCTCGTGGTCTGGATTAGAGGTGAAATCACTTGAGATCTTGTTCAGGCAGATGCAACGCAGTACACAGCCCATGAATAGCCTCCAAGGGCCCGACTGGCATTGCCCTACAGCATTGCCACCATTTGGGATGTTGACCTCCAAGTCTATTAGGTTATCTAGGGGAATTTTTCATCACATCCCTTTAGTTGCAGGATAATTTTGAGGCTATTTCCTGTGTTGCCAACGTGTGTTAATTTTCATCTTGATTAAAAGGCAGAAAGGGGACATTGGTCTCTGGTTTCTCTTTCTTCCTCTCTGTGGCTTTCTCTGTTCCTGTTTTCCCTGCCTCTCTTTCTTTCTTTCTTTCCTTTTTGCTCTGCATCTGAGCAGCAGAAGAGATGGAAGGCTTAGGCTGCCCCACTTTCCTTGGCCGAGCTGCCCCCCTGCTCCCCACTTTGTGCCCCACCCAGCACTTCAGTAAGTCGATATAGATTTGATATTGTGCAAAGTTGGGATAGCTACGTTTCCTTGTCAGAGATTCCAGACAGTGCACAGAGCACCACACAAAGAAAGAAATCCTCGTGTGATTCACACAGTCCTTTGCTTTCTGGATTGGGCAGGAAAAATGGGAAAACATATGCTATTTCCCCTTTTTTCCACTTTGTAGAATTTAAGAAAAAACAAAAAACACTTAGGACTTTCTTTTAAGGAAACCCTCCAGTTGGGCACCGTAGGTTTTTTGATATTGAGTGTCCAACACCTGCTTTTAGAGTCTCCGCTCTTCCTGGCCATGAGAATTTAACAGATAATTTAATGTTACTTCTGGATGTTCTATGATAAAATCACTTTCATACTCACACTAGATCCTTGAGAGTAGGAAGAGCTGAATTTTACCACCAGCCTCAATCACATTTTATTTGTGTGACCTTAGGCAAGTTTCTTCATCTTTTGTGGGCTCACTGGCCTTGTATGTAAAGTGAATTGAATATTCTTTCCCAGCCTCACAGGGTTGTTGTGAGGTTGTCATGCAATGTGATAAGGAAATGATCTGGGAATGTTCAAAAACAAGCCAAACACTATGAAAACAGGGTGACAATGTTGCTATCATCAAGTTATTTCTAATCCCCAAACTTAAAACCTTTGGCCTTGTGTCACATTTTTGACACTCTCTTTTGCCTTTGGTATTTGAAAATTTAAGAGCAGCTCTTGTAAGAAATCCCACCCCACATACATACATCCTCAAAAAAAAATAAGTAATTTTTGAAAAATAAATGACATGGACTTAGCTAACCAAATTGACATAGATCCAAGATGGGCTTGAAAGAATCTTGCCTGTTGTTTCTTTTCAAAATTTTGATCTGTGCTGTTATTTTGTTTCCATTGTTTGGGTGGCATGATATTTGGATTCACCTGGTTTTTGCCCATGCATGTACTGGAGCTAGCAGCATTTGCTCAATACTCAAACACCTAGGAGAAGTTGGTTAGAGGTCCCTGGGGATGGCTGGCTTACCGAAGGAGACAGGTACCACAAGCCCAGTCAGCAGAGGCAGCATGAATCTCATTAATCCTGATTGGCTGCATAGTCTGGAAGATTTCTTGCCCGCTCACAGAAATCAATCAAGACTTGGGGGACCAGGTCTTTGCTTGTCATGTGTGGACATTATCTGTGCCTGGCTGAGTCCCCACTTGTTGCTACCCAAATTTTGAACCAAGCCATTTGAAAATGAACTGCCTCTCTTGGTTAGGGGCCCTCTTCTTAACCTTCAAAAGGCCTTTGCCCCAGAAGGCTGGCACCATTGAGTCAGGCCAACTTGTGTGGTGAAATGAGCAAATAAGCCAACACAGGTATATGCATGGTGAGCAATTCTGGAAACGGGTCCAGTGTTTGTGGCTGTTTCTCTGGTGAACTGTGGTGTGGTTACCCCTCCCTGTGGCCAAGAGTGGAGCACACTTTAGGAATGGAAATCCTAAAGTAAAGCAAGACACTTTCAACCTGATCCCATGGCAAAGGTTACTGGGGTAGATGAGTCCTTGGCTGGAAATAAAAAAGTGCCCTAAGGCTCCATGATGGTGGCCTGGTAGGAAAAGCCCTGAACTTGGAGCCAAAGAGTCCTGGGTTTGGGCTCCAGCTCTGTCAGTTCTCCTTCACAGGAGGCTTCAGTCTCTGCCTCTGTAAAATGGGGCCACATGCACAGGGTTGAGATGGTATTAAGTATAATAATGGATTTGAAAGTGCTTTAATTGAAAATGTACTTGAGGCTGGGTAAGGAGGCTCATGCCTGTAATCTCAGCACTTTGGGAGGCCAAGGCGGGCAGATCACGACGTCAGGAGTTCAAGACCAGCCTGGCCAACATGGTGAAACCCTGTCTCTACTAAAGATACAAAAAATTAGCTGGGTGTCGTGGTACATGCCTGTAATCCCAGCTACTCGGGAGGCTGAGGCAGGAGAATCGCTTGAACCTGGGAGGCAGAGGTTGCGGTCAGCTGAGATCATGCCATTGCACCCCAGCCTGGGCGACAGGGCAAGACTCCGTCTCAAAGAAAAAGGAAAAAAAAAAAAAAGAAAGAAAAGAAAGTGTACTTGACTAAAGAGCAGGATATTACCATTATCCTGGGGTCACCCAGGGACCCCAAAGAAGTTGCAGCCTCCCTCATGGCATCAGTTTCTTCATCTCTGAAATGAGAATAGTAATTGCCTGGCTCTTAGATCAATGAAGTAAAGATCAGTCAAGTGCATTTGAAATGCCAAGAGGCATTAGGAAGATCAGTGCCCTGGTACATTGGGAGTTGAGACTTGGTGATAAATTTAAACCAAAATAATGAAAATTAACCCTCACAATCATTTTTGAAAGTCTCTTGCTTTCTCGGGCTACAGATTACATCTCTCTCCCCTGATTCCCCCTCCATCTGGTCAGCTTTGCAGGATGACAGCCTCTGATTGGAGTTTCAGTGGTTTCTTGCACATGTACTATATTCCCCCTAAGATTTAGAATGCATTTGAGTTATGTAAGAGTTGCTCCTGCTTGGCATTGTGGGTAAATTAAGGTCCCCTAAAACATCCAAAGGCCTTCAGATGGAACATTGGAAACCAATGTCTTGGCGGGGGGTCAGGGGCTTCCATTTACATTTTGTGTTCCCCTTTAGTCGTGGGTTTTAAGAGCATCTTTCCCAGTTGTATGTTTATGTTGGTTGCTTTCTTGATTTCTTTTGTTCCGTTTTCCCCTAGGCCCCCCTGTCTTCCCCCTAAACCACAGAAAATGAGGAGACCTAGGCCTCTCTCAGTGTATAGCCATAAACTCTTTAACGGCAGTATGGAAGCATTCATTAAGGTACTTGCTGGGGAGCCGTGGAGTCCGCGAATGCACCCAATGTAATGGCAGCCTCTGTCCGCCCGCCTCCCTGCCAGCAGACAGCCCTGTCCTTGGCCAGGCCCTGTGGAGCTAGTTCCTCACTGCAGCCTGCTCTTAGCTTCAGCAAGGACTTTTCACGGGAGCTGCCGTGGCTTCTAACCATTTGCTCCTAAGTGCCCTGCGCAATTCTCAGCCCTGGGGGTAGGGATTCAGATCATGAAAGAACTCAGGGAAGTCCAAGTATGGCTGAAATGCCACACTTCATTCACGCTTCATTGCTTCAGCAACTGCAGTCCTAACACCT
The DNA here is from genome assembly GCF_000001405.40 of Homo sapiens. Classification (NCBI taxonomy): domain Eukaryota; kingdom Metazoa; phylum Chordata; class Mammalia; order Primates; family Hominidae; genus Homo; species Homo sapiens. The sequence continues at coordinate 9,032,324 of NC_000003.12, read as the reverse complement.
GAGGGACAGTCAGAGAAACCCCATTCCCTCACTTCACACCTACATCTCCCAAGAGGAGCTAGATTGAAAGCAACACAGAGGAAATCCCTGTGGGTATCAGTGTGTTTTTATACACGTGAATTTTTTTTTTAGTTGCATATATACCAGCAAAGGAAACACATACATTTTTTATAAGAGAAAATCCTCCCACCTAGTTTTGCTTCCTGTTAGGTGGTCTGGGAGAAGGGAGAAAAGTTGAGGTTGTCCCTTTTGAATTCTAGGTTAATCCTTTGTACCTTAAACTAAAAATTGAAGTAGTTTAGCTAGGCGAGTTTCTCTTTTCTTTTCTCTTTGGTGTAAAGGGTATGAGATTAAGCCATATCAGATATAATGGCTCAAGGGAAATTAAGAAGATGGAGAAGCGAAGAGCAGCAGCTGGGGAGATACTTGAGGAAGGGGAGAAGCACTCTTAACATTACTTAGAGGAAGCAGGGAAGTCCCTGCAACTGATTTGAGAGCCCACTACCTTCTAATGAAGACACTTTCTTCAGAGAAGATGATAGATATCAATCAGGAGAAAAAACAAAGGCTCCTGGGCTTTGCCAATGATTTGGGGGTTTTGGAGGCTGCTCGTGCTCCAGCTGTCTACTTGTGATCCTCAGACAGGGTCCAGCACAAGACTTGCAGGACAGCAAAAGACTGGATATATGAGTTTGGCCTTAGGCAGGGGAGGGGGTAAGCAGGACCAGCCTGGGTCCCAGGACTGTCTCTGCCTGTGGGCTGAGTTCTGGGGAAGGGAGAGTGGGGAAAAGGGCAAGTGGAAGACCAGGGCCCAAGTTGGGACTGCCCAGGGTCGAAGGATGTCAGGGGCTGCTGTAGGATGCCTAAGAAGACCAAAGCGTAGAGGATTCCCAAAAGGAAGGGCCCATGGATGCATCAGGAAGGAAGATCAGGAGGTGACCCAGAGGGAGTGGTTTACTGGGTCATGGGAGGGCAGGGCTGTACCAAAGGAATCCTCTGTCTCCATCCTCCCTCCTCTCTCCTCCAAGACTTTCTTCTTTCATCCTTGCCCATAAAAGAGCCATGGTCCATGGCCAAGAAGGGGCTAGTTACTCTCCCTTCCCTCAAGGAGTCAGTAGTGGAGCTTGGGCAATTTTAAACACAAAAGGCAGAAAGTGGAAGGTGATTTAGGATGAGCACCTGGTGAGTTATCCCCACAGAAACAAGTTTAGGATAGGCGCAGTGGCTCACACTTGTAATCCTAGAACTTTGGGAGGCTGAGGTGGGAGGATGGCTTGAGCCTGGTAGATCAAGGCTGCAGTGATCTACAGTCATGCCACTCCAGCCTCGGTGACAGAGCAAGATCCTGTCTCAAAAATAAACAACAAAAAAAAAGAAGTTCAGAGCAAGAAGAGCTATGAGCTCAAGCACAGTAGGCTTCTGGAGGGGCTTTGAGAGAAAGATGGGAATACAGAGGAGAATGAAAGGACAGAAGGAATTATTGAAAGGAAGAACAGAAGGAATGAAGGCTCAGAGACAGGGACATCCTCAGTTTGCTTAGGTCTTTGGAAATGGGTGATCAGTCAGGATACTTGGAAGGAATCAACTCTTATCTGACAGTACTTGACAAGTAGATATTCTGTTGAGTTAAGTATTTTCGTAATAGAGGGGTCCTATATATAAGATGTGACTATAAAGTTATCTGACTTTATTCCTTCTGACCAACACATCATAACCTAGTCAACCACATGAGTGTTTGCCCCTTTGAGACAGTCACCTTGGGAAGCCACCTTCTTACCTGAATGTGTTGGCATTGCTGCAGCTGCTTTGGTCAATCTTCTTTAGAGCCTGGAGCATGGCCTTTACCAGTGGGGCCAAGACTATGTATTCAAATGGACACCTTGTCTTTGGAATAGAAAGCTCCGTTTGAAGCTGAGCTTTGCGATGCCATTGGAGGTGCAAAATGGCAAGAGGAATATGCTACAGTGGGGCTGTTCCACTGGCTCTGAAAAGAGCACCCCAGCAGCGACAGCCCAGAGCACTTGAGCAGTGGCAGCGCTGTTGGAATAAGTGCATCACCTCCTAAGGGGAAAAGTTGGAGGAATAATACTCATTTGACTGGGAAAAAAGGTGTGTTTGTTAAATACTATTTCATTCATTCATTCATTCATTCATTCATTCATTCATTCATTTATTGAGGCAGTCTTGCTGTGTCGCCCAGGCTGGAGTACAGTGGCACAATCACGGCTCACTGCAGCCTTGACCTCTTGGGCTCAAGTGATCCTCCCACCTCAGCCTCCCGAGTAGCTGGGGCTATACGCATGCACCACCATGCTTGGCTGATTAAAAAATAATTTTTTTTTTTTTTGTAGAGACAGGATCTTACCATGTTGTTCAGGCTGGTCTTGAACTCCTGGGCCCAAGGGATCCTTCCCAAGGGCCTCCCAAAGTCCTGGGATTACAGGCATGCGCCACTGCACTTGGCCTTACTATTGCGTTGCTTTATAGTCACACTGTACTCATCACATACCATCAGCACAGTTCAATAAACTCATACTGTGCACCTACTATGAGCTAAGTGGTCAATGTTTTACAGCACAGTTTTACTGTGAAAGATTATTAACTTTCAGAGAATGAAAAGGCAGTATAATGTATTCAATCCTTCAACTATTGAGAATGGAATTTAATTTTCTATTATAATTCACATGCCTTCTGAAAGAACATTGAACTAAGAGTCCCCAGCTTTGAAAAACCACACCTGTGAAAAGTTTTTTTAATAAAATAACATCACTGGGACTTCACAATTATGGTGGTCTAGAGGGACAAGGAAGCATCCCCTGGGTTCATAATCATAAGTAAATGTTGCTGGAGTTTGTTTTATACATTTCTTGGACCCTACCTGAATAAACAAACCCCTTTCAAAATCCTTGATGTTTTTTCCTCCTCCTCTCAGGCAAAAGGAGAACTCATTTTTATAAGAGCCAATTTTGAAGCCCAGGAGGTTCACCTCTGGGACAAGGGGAGAATCCTCTTCTTGTTTCTGTAAAATAAGCATGACAATTACCTACTTCATGAGTTTGTGAGGAAGATTAAATGAGCCACTATATGTTATGTTTCTAGAGCACTGGATGGCACATAGTAAGCACTATGTATTACCTATGATTATTAGCATTAATGTTAGCATATTGCTCATACAGCCTGTTCGACCAGGCTGTTTGCTCAGTTCTGGGATTCTGGTAGATTTAGTCAGCATGTCAGGTAGCAGACAATTCCAGCTGTCGAGATGCTGAGAACTGGACAGATGACTCTAGCTAGAAGGCACACATCCTCCAGGAGCCTGGATGGGACAAGTGCTCACCCCAGAGATGGACCTGCTGCACAGGTGGAAAGAGCCGATGGCGCTCCCCTGAAAATGGGCATCATCAGTGGCTTTTAGTGAAAGTAAAGGCCCCAGTTCTGCCCCCAAGCTCATGAAGGCATTCTGACTCAACTTCCCTTTCTCCTCCAGGCCTTCCTCAGCTTTTGTATTCCTTAATGCCAGTGTAAGGGTCAAGAGGGGAGGAAGGAGAGCAAAGCCAAGTGGATACCCAAGAAAAGCAACTTAGGGTGTACGGCAGGGAAACATGGGAAGCTGTTTGGAATTTGGCATCAGGTGGAAACCTATGGGCATCTATCCAGAGGGTACCTTGTAGACATGATCTTGTTAGAACTGAACTTTTCACCAAGAATGTTTCTTGAGCTGAATTCCAGAGACATTGTTCCAGTGGACATAAAGGTGTATTTCTCTCCTTTTTGTGGGCAGCTGGGAATAACTTATGGGGTCGTAGGTAGCTTTTGTCCATGGGTGCATAAACAGTCCCTTTTGTTGAAGAGAAGCTAGGTACAGGGATGGGAATGGGTCCAGTCCACACAGTTGCTGCTCTTTCACAAGGACTGAAAGAGGCCCCCATGTCAGCTGGTGTCTGGGAGGGCAGCTAAGGCAGCCACATGGGAAGGCTGGCTGGGTGGCTTCCAGAAGTCCCATGAAGCTTCCAGGCTTGAGGGTGGCTCTCCCCACAGGCCGGCTGTTTGGCAGGCTCCCCAGGACCTTGGCTGGCTGCCATTGCATTTCGGCGTTCACGGACTCTGAAGGATCTGCTTACTCTAACTGATCTTATTCCTGCATAATCTTTTCTTTTTCTCCTGCTCTGCTGCCTGTTTATTTTTTGTTATCAGAGGAAGAAGAAATGCTCGAACCAGGAACCAGGTATTTACTAGAAAGGCCCATTAGCCCCATTCACCGTGATGGAAACTGTCTTTAGTGCTGACTTCCAGAACAGAGCCCACCTTGCCTGTTGCTGATGGGTCCATATTCTTGTCCTGTCCCTGGGCACAGTCAATCAAGGAAAGAATTCACAGGTGGGGTGTGGAGGAGCCAAGAACATATCCAAATCCATGCTGTCTTCACAAGAGCATATTACATGTGCCTCATGGTTTACTCACGTTGTGAGGAGGCTAGGCCTTTGATTTGGCCCCTTTTAAAGAAAGTTTAAAAGAATTTGATGCTCTTTAAGTGACCTGGAATAACAGAGAGGTCAACAAATAATGGAATCCAAAAGAAAATGTTTCCCCTCCGCCATAATCATTTGTGGCTGTAGACCAGTCTAGGAAGATGTCATTGAAAATACATTCACATCCCAGGTGCCTGTGTTGAGAATTGCATCTTTTTCAGCCTTTTAGAGTAAGGTTGGCCCCTGGATGGCCAATGGCTGACATCGGCTGCCTCTAGAGCTTTTCCCTGTGACATGTTTACTGTTAAATGCAGTATGCATCTGGGTGTTTACTTGTGACTTCATGAGTAGAACTGGTCTTCTTTTCTTAGAGCTCAAAATTTCCACCAGGGGCCAGCCTTGCTTCCCCCCTGGTGTGCCCTTAATTCTGACATCAGGTACTGCAGTAATAGGATGAGGACTTGATCCTTGAGCACTGAGAAAATAGTGTTGAGTTGGGACAAAATGGAGGGGGAGGCAGAGAACTCTTCAAGGCCAGACTCCAGCACCCCCCCGAGGTGGTTCCCTCTCCACTGCCCAAGTGGGCCTGCCAGGCCTCCTGAGCCCAGGTTCCTTTCCAGTTGGGTAAGAAGAAGAGCATTTCTTTAAAATAATCATAGCTATGCCTTTTTGTGCATACAGTTGAAGACTCTCTATTGTAACTGTCCGTGGAGACTTTAGGATTAGCAGTTCCTTGCTTGTTTTCCTACTAATCTGATGGTACTAATATTCTGGCTTGAGTCTGTAATCGGTGTTTGCAATGTCTTTTTCCTGTGGTGGTTGTCAAGCCCCATAAAACTCACAATTTTTCTTTTCTCAAGGATTCAGGACAAGCTATACCGCTTGTAGTCGAGAGCTGCATCCGTTACATCAATTTATATGGTAAGCTGGATCTTGGGCCAGTGTTTTCAGCAATCTGCAGAACAGGTGCTAGGCTGTTCTGATAGGAAATGAGATTCTAATTTGTCCTGGAAGACTTCCCGTCACAGCTCTGCTTTGGAGGGGGAAAGTACTGCACACAGCAGCTGCTCTTCTGAGTGCTGCTTTTGAGCCTGTGTGTTGAGGGATGGAGATCATGGTGAGAGGATCCAAGACCTAGGAAAACTGGAGAGTAGAAAGGGCATGGACAAGAGAACTCAACCCTATAGCTCTGTGCTTTGAGCACTGAATGGAGTTTGCCAGTAAATCAGCTAATACGGCTAGATTATAAGCTCCATGAAGGTATTAGGTTGATGCCAAAGTAATTGTGGCTTTTGCTATTACTTTTGAATGGCAAAAACCGCAATTACTTTTGCACCAACCTAATAATGATGTCTGGGATTTGTTAACCATGGTGTCACCAGAACATAACTGGTGCTTATCCACTCGTTCATTCCTCCAAAACTATATTTATTGAGTGCATAATAGGCACTGCTTTGGAGAGTGGGAATACAGGCATGAACAAGACAGGTGCAATGCCTGCCCTGCATAGCTTACACTTCCAATGAAAAGGGCAAGGAAATTATCAAGTGGAAAAATAAATAATATCATTTGAGATAGTGCAAATGCCATGAAACTAATTTAAAGAGGATAGAGAATGGCTGGAAAGGAGAGGAGGTGCTTTGGCTAAGGCGGTGAGGAGAGATTTCTCCGAGGGGGTGATGTTTGAACTAAGTAATACCGAGTAGAAGCAGCCAGCTATGCAGTCCAGGTGGAGAGAATGGAGGATGGCGAGTGGAAAGGCCTAGCATGGGGAGGAAGGTCAGTGTGGCTGGGTGGTAAGGAGCCAGGAAGATGGGATCAGAGACTTGGGTGGCAGAAGTTCAATATTGTTTAAGTAAAGAGATGAAGAAGCATTTATTGAGGATATACTATATACAAACCAAACTTTGACCAAAGCCTGCCTTTTGAGAGTAAATACTTCCTAAATTATAATGTGGAAAATTGTTTTATATAGAAAAACAGAGATAGGGAAAGGATCACAGGCTCCCCCATTAATTCTCATTAAGATGAAACAGACCTTTTAATTCCTTCAGTTGTACAGGCTGCTGTTATGTCATTACTGTCATGTCATGTATAAGGGTCTCCTCTTTGTTAAGGTCTTGTAGAAACATGTAAAAAAAAGGGATAGTTTTACTTTAATGATTTAACTTCTCTCAAGTCCCAGCCAGAATATACTCTGGAGTCTAGCTCTTCTTGAAGGCAGAACATGTCTGTGTACAGGGAAGGAAAGGTATTGATACAAACTTCTTGAGGCCTTTTCCTTTAAGCTCAAACAGAAGATCACAAGTGTTTGAAGCAGATGTGTCCAAGGATTTTGGCCAGCTGTACTTTACCGTGAAGGCCATTTCTGGAGACATTCATAGGGAACGACTCTGTTATAAAGGATCGGGGGAGAAAGAGACAAGCAATGGGGAGAGTCACTGATATTCCCGGTAGTCTAATGAACTCAAGGTCTCGTGGATTTACTATTTCTTTTTCTGTATGTTTCTTTTTTAGGACTCCAGCAGCAGGGGATCTTCAGAGTGCCAGGATCTCAGGTGGAAGTCAATGACATCAAAAATTCCTTTGAGAGAGGTGGGTGCAGAGCGACCATCTTAGGCTTGTGGCCAGGGGAAGCCAGGGTGAATATTCACGTGTGTCTCAGAGCCAGTGGTGTGCAGAAGCCAGCCTGCAGTGGTTTGCAGGAGCTGATTGTGCACATCTCTTCCCAACTTCACATGCAGTGCCTTTGTCCTGGTACTTGGAATAAGCCATGGCTGGCGTGTTTACACCAGAGAAATTGGCTAACACTAAGTTCTAATTGTTACCTGCCAAAGAGTTAACTGTTCAACATTTACCTACCACCAGCACCAGCACCAGCACCAGCACCACCACCACTGTTACTACTACTATGACTACTACTGCTATTACTACTATTACTGCTTTTGGGTGGTTTCTCCAGGGGACTGCACAGTGGTTGCTGGGAAAGGGCACCTTGTAAAGAGCTCTGGAATATTCATATGAATCTGTAAATGATGCTACATTTTAGAATTGGAAGAACATAGAAAATACTGAGTGGCTTTTAGGATATCCTAATTTTTAATTTTTTATGCAGTGTTTTTGGCAAGCCACACATTGCGGGGAAGAGATTATACACTCCCTCCAACCCTGGAGAGGTGACCTAGTTCCCATTTTGATTTAAACAAGGATATGAAAGCTTATTAGAAATGAGGTGGACCACTAGACCAGGACACATATGATACATTTGGTGTAGCCTCTCTGGGCCTCAGAATCCCTGATAGGAACAGATGGCCAGTGACAGTGTCCAAGCCAAGTAAGGACTCACTGGGTCAGGAAACACTCAATTTTTCTTACACCTCTGCTTTTGAATATTCAGTGCTTATCTCACTGCTGCACTGAAATGGAAAATCCATGCAGTTTCATTCGAGGAAATATTTTCAATCCTGCTCCCTGATTCTAGAACAAAACCTAGCATTAACAAGACCATAACCTCATCCCAGGGGAGGAAAGAAGAGTTGGAATATCAGTATCCCAAATAATATCTCTGCCTGCAGTTTTCCAATATTTGAAAAGGTCATGTCTCCATAGTCCATGCCTTCTCAACTCTGATTTACTGCCTTCTTCTCTGAGTGGTTCTGGTGCTGAAGACCCCAACCCCATACCCCTTTACTTGCAGTACATAACATCCCAAAAGGTATGGTTTACCCCTGTTGGCTGTACTCTGAGCAGACCTCTCTGTGTGTTTCCACCCATAGAATTCTTCCTACTTATTACCTAGCTCCCCTACCACCCCAAAGGAGCTGCCTCTTGAGCAAATTCTCTGCCTCTCGGTCATCTCCATTCCATCCTGCGGTGGAGGAAGCATTCTGCAGCCCCAAGCAGTACTGCCACGGCCCCCAGGCACAGACCCTCTGTGGATGTAGGTGCTCTGGCTTGGAACCATCTGTAGACAATGAGATTTGGCTGCATGTCATGCTCAGTGGCCTTCTGGGGTCTAGGGGAGCTTCGTTTCTGGAGCCTCCTCAAGGATCTCGGGTGCTTAGAACCAGGGAGCCCCAGGACCTCCTTGCTCCAAGCTCCTACTTAGTCATGTATTCATTCACTAAACAAGCATGCACTGAGCCCTATACCATACAAGGTAATGGACAAGGGCCTGGAAATGCAATATGAACAAAACACAGTCACTACTAGTGGGGGAGCCAGTTTAGTCAACAGCCAGTATAATCAGTGCAATGATAGAGTAGGCATTGGGGAGCATAGGAGGCCCTAGCCCAGCCTGGATGGAGTGGGGAGGAACAGCAAAGCCAGGGAAGGTTTCCTTGGGAAAAAATGCCTAAGCTGAGGCTTGAAGAGTAAGAGCCAGGGGAAACAGGGGCAAAGAAAGGGCATTCCAAGCCAAGAGAACAGCATGTGCAAAGGTCAGAAAGCAAGAGGTCTCTCCCATCTGCGTCCATGATGCAAGTATCATTTGTCATTGCTCTGAGCCTCTCTTGGCAGCACTGGACAGTCCAACCCATAATGTTGTTTCTTCATTTTCCCCAGCTCCTTACATCCCTGCTGCCTTGTCTTCATTTACAATGAACAGAACCATAGTCTGGAACCTTTGCTGGTTGCCTCCTCCTGGGCTCATCCCATTATACAGAATGCCTTGTCACCCTGCCTTGAATCTCGTGGGCAAACTCACTGCATGGTGCCTCCAGCCTGGCAACCACTTTGCCTGGCATTTCCCTGCCTCTCCATATTCTGTATGTAACCTTGTTGCCACGGGCAACCCCACCCTTTCCCTACTCTGGTAGCACTGCTTTTTACCTTCTTGAATGTGATTTTCTAAGGTCAGCACCTCCTGTCACTTGCTTTGGTGCTTTGCAGGGGTGATGTGCAATTTAAAAGAATTCTCTGCTCCTAACAAGCCTTGGGTTGCCTCAGGCAGAGCCCAGCTGGGCAGAGAATGTCTGAACTAAATCTCAGCTGCAAAAAATATTTTTTCCTTTTTCTTTTCCTCACGGATGCAGTTGGCCTCACTCCCTCTTCCCATCGTTCCAAAACGAATCTCATTCTCTCGCCAGCCTGGTCCTTCTGCTCCACCTGAGTTGACAATGGAGCATGCTTTCTTCTGAAAGAATCGTTCTAGTATGTCTCTTTTATAAAAATCCTTTCCTGGATTTTCTGGGTTGGCCGCTGCCAGATTTCTCACTTACTCTTTTCTGTTCCTTGATATTCACCAAGCATATGCCCTGGGTTTGGCTCCTAACCTGGCTGACACTCAGGGCCGCTTCCTCCCACCCCTCCCCAGACTAAGGTCTTCCCTCTTCCTGGCCGTCAGCCTGCTTATCTCTGTGTTTCCCTGGCGACGGGGTGGCCCAAATCTGGGCCCAGCTCAATATTTCTCTTCTCGCCCACTCTTCACATCCCACATGGTTTAACTCGTGACTAAATTTCCTCTCCAAACCAGTATGCCATGTTTTTCCTTTCTTCCTGTATTTTATTTATTTATTTAGTTAGTTAGTTGGGATGGAGTCTCGCTCTGTCACCAGGCTGGAGTGCGGTGGCGGAATCTCGGCTCACTGCAACCTCCGCCTCCCAGGTTCAAGTGATTCTCCTGCCTCAGCCTCCTGAGTAGCTGGGACTACAGGCGTGTGCCACCTTGCCCGGCTAATTTTTTACATTTTTGGTAGAGACAGGGTTTCACCATGTTGGCCAGGATGGTCTCCATCTCCTGACCTCGTGATCCACCCACCTCAGCCTCCGAAAGTGCTGGGATTATAGGCGTGAGCCACTGCGCCTGGCCAGTTTATTTAGTTTTTGAGACAGGGTCTCTGCCTCCTCCGGTTCAGGTGATCCTCCCACTTCAGCACCCTTCCATCCACCAAGTAGCTGGGATTACAGGTGTGTGCCATCATGCCTGGATAATTTTTGTGTTTTCTGTAGAGATGGGCTTTCGCCATTGAACTCCTGGGCTCAAAGCGACGCACCCGCCTCAACCTCCAGAATTGCTGGGATTCCAGGCGTGAGCCACTGCCCCCAGCCTTTTCCTTTTATTTTTAAAATTTAAATCCTCTAATTCCTGCAGGGTGCCCATTCTTCACCAGTTGTTAAAAGGGATTTGGGTCTTGTTCTTCCTTGGCTCTGTTTTTCCCTTCTCCTGAGTAGAGGTCTTCCCAGAGTTCCTTGCTTAAGGCTGTTGAAAGGAGCATGGTTTTCTTTTCCTTGAGCTCCTGAAAAGTGATAACATGTTGGAAATCCACTCCTGGCTTATTATTCCTAAATCTACTTTTTTTTTTCCTTCTCATATGAGTCAACCAGAGTTTTAGTTGGAATTCTTTTTGTTGTTGTCGTCAGTAAATCTTAAACTCACTGCTCAAGTTTTGAGCTCTCCCTATAAATCTTCTGGCAAAATGAAGGAGAGAGAGAAAAAAAAACACATCATGAAAAGGCAAGAATTAGCTACTGAGCTGTGGTTTGCTCTTGTCTCCCAGAGGGTCCCCCACAAACCTCTCTAGGTGCCCTCTTTGTATGCACAGATGGGAGTGCTGAGGTCTCTCCTTATGTGGAGGGGGTGCCTTGCCAAGGAGGCAATGGCTCTCTCCCGCTGTGCATATCTACGCAGGGTTTGGATGTGGGGCTAAAGCCATGCCACGTAGGCTCTAGCACACTCTTGACTCTGGATCTGCCCCTTCTGAGACCTGTGTCCTGCCTCAAGAAGAGGGATGGAACCTGGAGATGCTGGGCGGGGTTGTCATGTCGAGGGGCTCGAGGACCTGTGGCCAGAGAGAACTGCCCTCATGAGAGAGACTGACTCCAAGCTTCCAGCAGCAGGTCTGACAGAGCCTTTAAGCACACACTGTGTGCTCAGTCTCTGCCCTGGGCACAGCCCTGTCTTAAAGCCTTTGGCAACGCCCAGGTGATCTGGGTAAAAGTAAGCTCCAGGCAGGGCAATTCAGTAACAATGCCACCTCCCCAGGACATTAGCTAGCTAAGTGTGAACATGTCTTTCCTTCAGATTTGCCTGGAATTTTAGCTCTAATTCTCCTCCTGGAGAAAGCCGTCATTCACAGGAACCATCCAGCTCGTCTCCAGCTCTGGGATTCCATTCTCAGAGCCAAAACTGACTAGCTTGCAGAGAGCCAAAGGCCTGGGCTAATTGAAAAGAATGTTTGGGCAGTTCAATTTATGGACTGAGAGCCTTGCAGGAGGAATGGCAAGAACTAATGGCGTGTGTATGTGTATGTGTGCGTATGTAAAGTCAATATGCGAATCATGCTTAACAACGGGAACTAGTACTAGGCAACATGGAGGAAAATATCCATGTGTTTTTGAATTATGAGACCACAGGAATGATGTGTGGAGCTAATAGGGAAACAGCTTAATATGGTACAGTTTTTGAATTCCTTAGGCTGCTACAGGGATAGAGAGGGAGGCTGAGGAGGTAAGGCTTGGACATCCCCCACCCCAGTTCAACTAAGACAGCCTTGTTCTATAAGTTGGGATTTCACAGGAATTTTTTACTGAGAAAAAAAAAAGGTTGAGATTCTACTGTAAAGGATGAAAGGAAGGAAGGAAGGAAAGTAGGTAAATATATACCTACCTACATAAGCAGGCATAGATGCAGACAGACAGATCAAAAAATCACAGGTAGAAGAAAGTGTATCTCTCAGGGATTATGAGACCTTGGAGCTGCCAGTATCTGTTGTTGACTTTGTGATTATGGGCACACTGCTTCATCTGCCAGGGCCTCAGCTCTCTCACAGGAGAGAATGGTGGTATTGGAACCATGTCTCCCTTAGTGACATGCAATGCTGTTGTAAGGGTTAGGAGAGTTCGTATGTACAAATGTGCTTCTCACTTGAGAAGTGCTGTGTGAATACAGGTGATTTTTTTGGTGTGTTTATTTTCTCTCTTCCTTCCCTACAAAGAAGTCTTATGGAGGCAGCATTCTCACGTCCTCCAGTGGGAACATTTGAGAGATTGACCTATTTGATACCTGTGTCTGGGCCACCATGCATGATTGTTCACTCTGGGCACTGCACAAGGCTGCCCAGCCAAGAGAACAGATGGGAACTGAACTCTGGCTCATGCTCTGTACACTGCAAGCCTTGGTGCAGGAAGGCAGGGGGACCGTTCTCTAATTCATACTGAAGCATGTTGGGGCTAGGGAGGCTCTGGCAGTGACATGTATTCACTTTCCACAGAAGCAGAGTAAAAAGATCCAAGGATGAGTTTCCAGTTCTGCTTTTCATTGCTTGCCAGCTCTAGAGGTGCTCTTCGCTGTTCAGGAGGAGGAGCAGCCCATTGTGTGGATGTCTCTGAACATCAAAACAGCAGAAGGCTCGCTGCTGCCTTTCACCTCCCCCATGGAAATTCACAGTGGTGAACCTGCCCAGCAGCTCTGATTAAATTGAAAAGTGCTACTCCCCTGAGATAACATTTTCCCTTGTCCAACTGGCAAAAATTCAAAACACTGATGATATGCCAGGGGCAGGGCTGTGGAAAACAACATTCTTGAGATGGTGTTGCTGGTAGGAATATAAAATGGCATAGCCCCAGTGAAGAATTCGACTATGTCTGAAAAAACTGCATATATGTCTACCCTATGACCCAGCCATCCCTCTTCTGGGAACTGATCACAGAAATCTGCCTCTGTGCATACAAAAACACAAGACTATTCACTGTGGCAATATTTATAATAACAAAATAGTGGAAAGAAGTCAAATGTTGACCCCTAAGAGATTGATTGTATAAATTACGGTCTGTCCATGAAGTAGAGTACTTTGCAGCCTTTAAAAAAATAATAAATAGAGGAAGATCTCTGTGAACTAATGTGGAGGGATTTCCAGGATTTCTTGTTAAGTGAAGAAAGAAGTTTATTTAGAAGTATACTACATTCTGTGTAAGAAATAAGAAGATATTAAAAATAGGCCTATGTATTTGCTCACACAGCAAGACAAACCAGAAACGAATGAAAATGGTTAAAAGGTGTGGAGGAGAGAAGGATAAGAGTAGGGCTTTTCTGAGTGCAACTTTTGACTTTTGGACCCTATAAATGCTTTGTGCATTCAAAACTGTAAATTTAAAAAAAGTATTTCTAAAAAAAATTACTACCTAAAATACGAAGAAAACCAAGTGTGCCACTTACCAAATTGATAACTACAGAGAGTAACTTTTGAACATGTACTCCGATCATACATTTTTAGCAGCTTTATTGAGTTGCACACCATAAGGTTCACCCATTTTTTGAAGTATACATTTCATGCAAATCAAAACCACAAATATCATGTCACCCCAGTTAGAATGGCTATTATTAAAAAGGCAGACAATAACAGATGCTGACGAGGATGCAGGGAAAAGGGAACTCTTATATACTGTGGGTGGGAATGTAAATTAATACAGCCACTATGGAAAACAGCATGGAGATTTCTCAAAAAACTAAAAATAGAACTACCATACCATTCAGCAATCCCACTACTGGGTATTTATCTAGAGGAGAATAAATTAATGTATCAAAAGGATACCTGCACTCCCACGTTTACTGCAGCACTATTCACAATAGCAAAGATACGGAAGCAACCTACGTGGCCACCAATGCATGAATGGAAAAAGAAAATGTAGTGTATAATATATAGTAGAATACTATCCAGCCATAAAGAAGAATGAAATCATGTCATTTGCAGCAACATGTATGGAACTGGAGGACATTATGTTAAGTGAAATAAGCCAGCCTCAGAAAGAAGATTTCTGAATGTTCTCACTCCTGTGTGGGAACTAGAACACTTTATCTCATGGACACAGAGGATAGAGTGATAGGTGCCAGAAGGAAGGGTGAGTGGGAGTGGAGAATGAAAAGAGGTTGGTTAGTGGGTACAGACATAGAATTAGATAGAAGAAATAAGTTCTAGGGTTTGGTAGTAGAATAGGGTGACGATACTTAGCAACACTATTTCGTATATTTCAAAGTAACTAGAAGAGAGGACTTGAAATGATACCAACACATAGAAATGACAGATATTCAAGGTGATGGATACCTCAAATACCCTGACTTGATCATTATACATTCTATGCATCTAACAGTTACATGTACACCATAAATATTTAAAATGTTATATATCAGTAAAAGAAAAAATGCATTTCAATGGTTTCTATTATATTTACAGAGTTAGGCAATCATCATCATAACGTTACTTCAGAACTTTTTCATCCTCCCCAAAAGGAATCTTGTACCCATTTGCAAGTCCCTCCCAATATCCTCCATACCCTGGCCACCAGCCCTAGGCAACCACTGATCTACTTTCTGTCTTCTGACCATATATCTCTTGAGTGGGATACATTTTGAAGATAAAAATACTAAACAATAACATAAACAAAAGCCCTGGAAAGAAATCTCAAGTTGTGTGTAGCAGGTTTATTGTTAGTGGTAATATTGCTATTAAAACTGTTACACCATTGATTGTGTATTATAGGATAAAGCAGATGAATGTAATTATTACTAATATTATTCAGAACCAATATTTTTATGGTAAGAAAAAAATGTACAAATACAAAATAAGTGAAGGTAATGAAAACCTTATTGTATGAATAAGAAACATCAGTATGAACTCATGAAAAAAAATTCTAGTTCTATCCACTGAAAGGATCTGGAAGGTCTTTATGACTCTTCTGTAGCAATGAGCACACCTAATACCTAGATCTTGGTGTCTCGATATGAGACACCATATTTGTTTCCTACAAAAAGCAAACAGAGCCCGCTGGAGAAATGTTTGATTCAAGATCTGGATCAAGGAAAGTAAAAAGTAATTGGGGATTTTTTTTGGTCCAGAAAACAAGGAAGTGCTCAATGGAGGTCACATTAAAAGGACACAAGAAAGTATGCTCCCTGGCCAAATTTGGGACAATTTAAGTATTCTAAAAAATAGTGATGGTAATGGGTAATCACAATTCAGTTAAAAATTACAAAAACAAGTTCGTATAAATGTTAATAAAGGGTGAGAGTGGGGGACAGGAAGACAGCTCTTCTTTACAAAAGAATGCCTGCTGATACACAGAGAAGAAATGACATAATTAGAAAGTCACCGTTTTGCAACCCCAGTGGAACAATTAATTTGGGCAAAAATCATCACTGGATGCTAAAACCATTGGGTGAAACATGTTGGGCACTACATGCACACGGTCGTCTCAGAGTATCATCTTGACACTTCGAGTATCATTTCACAGATCATACTTATTACAAAGTAGGGGGAAAATACCTTTATAATGTAGAGATCTGGAGGCCAACACCTTGACCCAGTGATCAAGGTTGGCATCACCAGCAGCAGGACAGCCTGACGTACGTGCCTTCTAATGGGATGCATTAAGGTGTCCATAACATCACCCATGTAGTGTTCTTGCCAAAAATATTTAATTGGAGTCTAATCATGAGAAAACAGACAAATCCAGAGTGTGAGGCATTCTACAAGACAACTGGCCAGGGCTCTTCAGAAAGAGCCGAGATTGTAAAAAACAAACTAGCAAACAAAAATATCGGGGCATATTTTACATTTAAAGGACTCAAGAAAAATAACCACCAAATGAATTGTGTGAATGTTGATTAGATCTTGGCTTTTGAAAAAAAGTCTATAAAAGACACCATGGGACAACTGGGGATGTCTGAATGTGGGCTGTATATGAGATGTTCTTTTTGAATGGTTAATTTTCTTAGGTGTAATAATGTTGTGGTTACATACAAGAATATCCTTATTCTTAGGAGAAGTGTGTTGAAGTAGTTAGCGGTGGTGTGTTTTGATGTCTACAAAATAATCTCAAATAGTGGAGCAACAATAAATATAAATACAGAAAGAGCGAGAAATCAAATGTGGCAAGATGAGTTGTAAGCGAAGGGTGATGGGCGTTCATTATTTTATTTTTACAACTTTTCTATAGATTTAAACATTTTCAAATAAGTTGCAGGGAGAACTTTAAACTTGCTGAAGTGGGGGGCCTCATATGTGGGGGAGACTTTTCCCATCTGCCTTTCCTGTGGTTCAGGCTGGACCAGGTCATCTCTTCGGCCATCTGCACGTTCTCTGACTCCTTCCCAAGCTGAAATATCATCTCGTCTCTTGTTTCCACTCAGGTGAAGACCCCCTTGTGGACGATCAAAATGAACGAGATATCAATTCAGTCGCTGGTGTTTTAAAACTGTATTTCCGAGGACTGGAAAACCCACTCTTTCCTAAGGAAAGGTTTCAAGATTTGATATCTACTATTAGTAAGTATTTCCCAGGTGAAATGATCAGTTTTTTGACAAATCATTGTTGGAGTTGAGCTACAGGCTTACTGCTGTGCTAGGCATAGAGGAGGGACATTATGAAAGGCGAAGTGTGACGTGCATCCTCGTAGAACTGAAAGCGGAAATAACAAGATGGTTTATAATGAAAGGGCTAATGGGCATGTCACACCCCCTGGGTAGAGAAGGAGCTCAGAGGAGAACCAGAGGAAGACTTGGTTTCGCAGATCAGAGCCAAGAGAGAGTGCTGGGAGCAGAGTGTTCCAGGAGGAATGAGCACGGGGGATCCTGGGAAGCGCAAGGGACATAGACCCAGTGGGACCAGCCAAGAGGGTGTCCCAGCCTGTGCATGGTGCAAGAGGTTGGAAGGGGAAAATGGAGCAAAAGGGGGAAGACCTTGAATGCCTTGCAGACATTCCAGAGCTTTTCCCCTTGGGTGATGGGGAGACGTGGAAGGTCTAGAGGTCAGGTCAGCAGCATGACCAGCAAGGGAAATGCTGAAAGTAAGTTGTCTGGGGATTTTTCTCTGACATTGCTAGTTAGTTGTGAGAAACTATTATGTTTCTGTGGATAAAATCAGGAGGAACCCAGTCTAGGGAGCTGATGTCATGGCACCCTGACTCTGAGGTACCCAAATCCAAGGTAACCTTTTGGAAATTTTTTTAAAAAATAAGCTTTCAACTTTAGAATATTAGAATTTTAGTCATTTAGAATAAACTTTTAAATTTGATTCACAGAAAAGTTGCCCCATACCCAGTTTCATTTGGGGTGTTTCTCACAGTACTCTGAGAGATATTTGCAGCCAGGAAAGTGTCCCAGGAGATGGCAAGAGAAGAGGGAGGTTTGAGCTCTTTTTTATTGTGTGTGTAAAAGACCCTTCTGTTCCTCTCTTCCCTCCACACTATTCCCTGCTCATCTTTCCAGACCTCCATACTACAAGCTGTATTCTAGACTGCAGAGGTCTGACCCTGTCTGAGCCCTGTATCACTTGCTCAGCCAGTGTTTCCAGAACCCCAAAAATCCTGTTCCTGTACAGGGCCCTGAGCCAATTTCAGGTCTAGGATGACCTGGAAACAGGGGTCAGAGATGAGATCCCAAGCATCTGCCAGACTTTGGCTGATAGGTAGCTTGAGAAGTGGTGATTTATTCGATGTTCATTTCCTGAGCAACCACTATGTGTCAGGCCTGTGCTGCAGCTGGTGTTTGTAAAGAGTTTAATAAAACATCGTCCCTGCCTGTGTCTGTCAGGACTCATAAGTAACAGAAACCCAGCTTAAACCTGCTTACTTCATAAAAGGGAATGCACTGTTCGGGAACCTGGAAAACTTAGGTCCAGCTGGACTCAGACCTTCACACGGCATCAGCAGATATATGCCCCGTCCGGCTCTATGCCAGCTTCACTCTTAGGTGGGATCCTCCTCTCAGGGGCCCCCACTGTGCTCCAGGCTTCCCTCTACCCAGGTCCAAGAGGGCATCTCCCTGTGGGTTTCTCACAACCAAGTCCGGAGAGTCGACTCTGATTGGTTCTTGATTAGGCCACACCTCCAGCCCCTCCCTGTAGCTAGGGAGATGGATGCTCTGATTGGCCAGGCCAGGATCACCTGTGATCCCTGGAATCAAGAGTAGAGCTGGCTCCCCCATCCACGTGGGTTGATATAGGAGATGTGGCGAGCGAATGTTTGTTGCTTTGCTCTCTGAGGATGAAAGGCACGCTGAAAGGCCCCTTTATGTTACAGAACTGGAGAACCCAGCCGAGAGGGTGCACCAGATCCAACAAATCCTCGTCACCCTTCCCCGCGTGGTCATTGTGGTCATGAGATACCTCTTCGCTTTCCTCAACCAGTGAGTGTCTGGCCAAGGGGCCCCTTTTTGACTCAGGCCTGGCCTCTTTTGGGAGGGGGTATCTTGAGGCTTTTGCAGATGCTGTTTTTAAAGGAGAACATGGAACCCTCCTGGATTTGAATAGGGTCCCCCAAAAGAAAAAAAACACAGGGGGAGGACTTGCCTTTCCCAGATGACTTGTGGGTAACTCCTCTCTCCTAGCCTCTCCCAGTATAGCGACGAGAACATGATGGATCCCTACAACCTGGCCATCTGCTTCGGGCCTACCCTCATGCACATCCCTGATGGGCAGGACCCTGTGTCCTGCCAGGCACACATCAATGAAGTCATCAAAACCATCATCATCCATCATGAAGCCATCTTCCCCAGCCCCCGGGAGCTAGAGGGACCTGTGTATGAAAAATGCATGGCTGGAGGGGAAGAATATTGGTAAGATGCCATTCCTCTTAATATTATTATCATCGTCATTGTTATTGCCATTGAATAGGAACAATAAGAAACCCTTCAGTTTTCTTACTGCTTGATAGTCGGTGCTTCCATATACATTTTCTCATCTGAGCTTCACAGCAGCTTCACATGAGAGATAGGTACATCAGTTAGGATTCTCTTGGTTACAAGGGACAGACATACAACTCAAATGGCCTTTAACCAAATGGGACTTTATTGATTTACTTAAGTAAAAAGTCTGGGGATATATCTTCAGGTATAGCTTGATCCAGGGGCTCAACTATTACCACAAGGACTTGGTCCTGCAGTCTCCATTCCTTGGCCCTGCTTGATTCTGTGTTGGCTTCATTCTTGGATAGCCATTTCCTTGGTGGTCGCAAGCAGGCAACCAGCAACTCAAGATCTGTAACTCACTCTCTTAGCATCTTCAATAGAAAAAGACCCTTTCCTTCCCAAATGTTCCAACACAAGCTCAAGAATTGTGTTTCATTGCTGAGGTTTGGGCCTGGTGAAGTAATCACCTTGGTAAGGAGATGCAATGCTTTAACTGGCCATGTGAGTCACAAGCCCATCTCAGGAAGCAGGGGAGTGACTAGTCCCCACCTCAACTTCATGAACTGACTGTGACACTTCCTACCCTTGTCTCCTCTCACCTAGGAGTTCTCTTTTCCAGACAAAGTGAGCTCAGTTTCTTTGCGTGTCCAACACCATGTCAACAATCACTAGTTTGGGACCTCTGTGTGCCTGGTATACCTGGTACTACACTAGGTCTTAGGAGAAAGATTTTAGAACCTTTTCAAAGTCAGGGCTTTAAAAGCTTCCCCAGGCTAAGACCTTAAAATGTGAAGACAGGAAAAAAATCTTTAAATGTGGTGAAGACAGGAAATTCAGGACACTCAATGACAGAGACCAAAGCATTTCTACTATTTCTTTATTTCCAATTCAGGAGAGCACACAGCTATATATTTAGGTATTACCCACACTGCCTTCAGCCAGGTGCCTACAGGGGAGTTTGTTTTTTGATTGTCAAAGCATTCCTGGACTTTTGAATTGCCTTAGTACTGTGAGCATATTTGGGCAGCTGCTTCAAAGAAGGAAGGTGTTCCAGCCTTTGTGTTTCCTTCCCACATGCCTCCCTGCATAGAAATACTGGGTCATAGTGGTGTCTGATCACAGCTCTCTAATCTCGTTTGAGGCACTAGGGAGCAAGTCCATCCCTGTTCTGTAACAGAAACATTAAACAGCTGGCAAGCATAATTTCTGGACAAAGAGAATTTTCACACAGTTTTTGCAACCATTACCAGTTCTCTTTTCTTGCTGCAATATATGTAATTAGTGTTCTGGGAAGGGACCCACAGATCTTCGTGTACTTATCAAAGAACAATATACAATAACCACACTTTTCTTAATCCTATTTGTTTCCCACGAGACTGTAAAACTATTAATTACATGGTAATTTTGGAGTCTTCAAAACCAAAAAAGGAGACTTGGCTGAGGGTCTCAGCACAGTAGACAACATTCATTCATTCAACAAATGGTTACCAATCATCTGTTGTGGGCTGGATTCTGTGCTGGGAGTCAGAGATGTAACCAAACAAGGTTGACCCCTGGTGCAGGAGCTCTGATGGAACAGGAAACAAATGGCTCCAGAAGTGGGGCTCCCTGAGCCGATCTAGGGAAATCAGGAAGGGCTTCCTGGGGGAAGTGCAGACTGAGCTGAGACTGCAGAATGAACAGGAGCCAACCCAGTGAGGAGTGGGAAGACCTGGAGCATTCAGTAGAATGAAAAGCAGTTCAGTGTGGTCAGAGCATAGCATGTGTGACAGGGGAATGGTGAAGGATGAGGCTCCACAGGTTGGGTAGAGCCAGGCTGTGAAAAATCTTGGAAGCCATTGAGTTTGGTCCTGATTCAGGTGACAGTGGAGAATTTTTCGTAATAAAATGCATATTCCTTTAAATGGCATTGCAAATGTCAACTCCTTTGAGAAGCCTTCTCTGTCCACTCTTTATAGGTCCCCTCTGCTCTTCTTGTCTCTGCCCATTTATTTCCTGCATAACACTACATAACATAACTTGCAACTGTCTTATTTAATGGCCTATTTACTTCGGTTTTTTTTCTTGTCCCTCTCCCTACAATGTAAGCAACATGAAGCCAGGAACCTTGTCCGCCTTATCTATCATTGCATCCCTCCTACCAGCACACTGCCTGGCATATTAGAACTCACTCAATGGCTCTATAAAAAAAAAACTGGCTGATTATGTGAATTAACCCTTGCCTCAAGAAGCTTATAATCTAGTGAGGGGGTAGTAGCTGGTGAAATTATACCAGCACATTAACAATTAAATCTGATGGACTGGATTACTCAGCCACTATGCCCATCATGGTTGCCAGTCTACTCTCAGTGCCTGCATCAGTCGGGGCTTTTGCATGCAGAAAGACAGGGCAGCCCTTGTTAGCTTCATCTTACCTCCTGGGATATGTCACCTCAGCTATAAGACAAGAGAGTCAGGCCAGATGAAATAACTCATGGTACTTCAAAGGGTTCTTTTTGTTCTGGCCTGTGGTCCTTCTGATTATAAATGCTGGGGTTTTACCACTGCCCTCTGGATCTTACAGAACACGTAAGCATTGACAGACTTCACCAAGAAGACAGCTCAGCAAATTCCAGGGCTAGGAGGGCACTGGGGGAGATATTTGGGAAGCTTCGCAAGGAGGAGGCTGGGAGTAGTTTTCTGATTAGGAAGGTCCCCGGAGTGGTCACATGGAAAAGATAGGATGGTATAGGCCTGCATCTGAGCTGCGGGAGGGCCCAGAGGCCAACTGGACTGGCATGAGAGGCTGAAGGTGCTGTGAGGGTAGATAACCCCCCGCAGTGAGTCCCATTCCCGTGTTTCCTTGCAGTGACAGCCCACACAGCGAGCCAGGGGCCATCGATGAAGTTGACCATGACAATGGCACTGAGCCTCATACCAGCGATGAAGGTGAGTGAGGGGGATCCTGGGGACAAGGGATTCTTCCTGGGGCCTCTCACACTGACTTTTGTCAGCCCAACCACAGGGCTGGCCCACATAGACCTCTTCAGCTTTCCAAGTCAGCCATCTGTCCTTCAGAATAGACGAAGACCCCGAAAAACCTTCATGGCATGCCCCAAGTCCTGGCATGGGCCTGACACAGAGCAGATCCTCATAGGCTCACGCTGTGTTCACGACACCCCACACCTAGCCCACTTCATTCCTTAATGTGTCCTGCCTGGCCCAGGTACAAATCCTAAGAGACATGAGTTCCCTAAGTAGAAAGCAAGCTCTGTTCCTCCATCCTTCCCCTTTGAGGGTCTGCTCTGTGCCAAGCCTGTGCTGGGACTTGGGCACAGGGATGAACAAGACGTCGGTCCTTGAGGAACTCCCAGTCTGTCACCAGATCTTGACAGGTTGGAAGTAGCTTCTCATGGTGCAAAGCGATAATGCCAGATTACAGGTGTGTCTGGTGCATTGGGCACCCTGGAGATGAAATCAAAGGGTGATGATCCTGGGAAATGTGTGGTGAGAGAGAGAGAGAGAAAGGCCAGTCAAGACCTTTCTCCAGATTCCTCCACCCCTTCCAGACAAGGAGAAGAGAGTCGGACTAGTCTCTAGGGAAACTGGACTGTGTAGACAAGCAATCTGAACCATATGCCAACTTATCCGTCAGGCAGAGTAGGCATAGTGCCAAGGGCCCATGGTACTTGTAGAGGTCCACTAAAATGTTTTAATTTCTTTTAAAATCAGAAAAAAAATGAACACAATATCCAGTCTGGATTATATTTGTCTTTATACTAATGCAGTTGTAAAATATAATTTTTAACTTTTTTTTTGAATGGAGGAAGGGACCCATGCAGGCAAAAGGGCCTAGGACCCTTGAAAGTTAGAATACGGCCCAGGATGCACCAAGCACCTGGGATAGTTTTCCTTTTTAAACATCATGGCTTAGCAGTTCTCTTACTTGTCCTTTGTGTTTCTTTTGTGGGACCAGGACACGTTGGCCACCACATTTGTCAGGAGAGCAGGGCAGGCATTCAGGTGACAGTTCTGGGAACTGGTAAAAGAGACAAGACTGACAGATGGGTTTTCACATTCTAGTAGGACTATTTCAGTTGCTAATGACAGAACCCCCAACTCAAATCAACTTAAGCTTAAGAGAGAGTAAGTTCCTATACCTGAAAAGTCCCAGGGTTGGGATGGCTTCAGGCACAGCTGGATCCAGGAGCAAGGGTGATTTTTGTCAGCACTTTGTCTCTGTCTTCTTGTTCTGCTTCCCTCTGTGCTGGTTTCATTCTCGTGTAGGATCTTCCGGTGCAGTGGTCTCTGGCAATTCCAGGCTTTCACCATCATCTTACCCAAACTCTCAGTGGAAAAGGGCTTCCTTTCTATAATGGTTCCAAGAGAGGTCCTGGGGTGGAGTCTCATTGGACTGCCTTGAGTCATGCACCCAGTCATGATCCAGTCCCCATGGCCTGAGAGGGAGCTAATGGGTCAGACCCGGGTCACAGGAACAGAAAAGCAAATCCAGATGTCACGTTCAGCTTGATCAGACTCCTGAGAGGCTAAAGTCATCCTGAACTGAGGAATGTGTCCTGCAGAGGCTTTGTTTGGAGATGTGAAGGCCGCCACCTTCTGCTTATTCCTGGTGATTTGCTTTTCTCTTTCCTCCTTTTTTTCTTCTGCCGACCACCTCCAGTTCTCCCCTCCCTCTATCCCTTTTAACAGCCCTCACCCTGTCCTCTCCATCTGT
Source organism: Homo sapiens (assembly GCF_000001405.40). Classification (NCBI taxonomy): domain Eukaryota; kingdom Metazoa; phylum Chordata; class Mammalia; order Primates; family Hominidae; genus Homo; species Homo sapiens. The sequence continues at coordinate 9,008,521 of NC_000003.12, read as the reverse complement.
TGCTCTTTTTATTTCTGGATCTCCTTCTGTCCATCTCTTTATCTCTCCCTGTAGCTTGCTCTCTCTCTCTCTCTCTCTCCTACTCCTGTCATTTCCTCTCCTTTGTCTTGACCGAAGCACCTGCCTTCCTGGGGGCTGAGGTCCCTGTCAGTCCCTTTGCTGGTTTTTCCACAGCTCCTCGGGCTGATGGGCAGAAGGCTTCTCTGGACACCAGGACTGAAGATGAGGAGGGACAGAGAGAATAGGGCTTGCTGGGTCAGCGAAGAAGCAGCCATGGGACTCACCCAGTGGGGCTTCCTCCCCATAAGAACCACCCCCCAGAAAGTGCTGCCTCCCACTTCTCAGGGTAAAGGTTCACAGTGGCCCCCAGAATGCATGAGTCAGAGCTTTGGGTCCCCCTCCGAGATGATCCTTCTTCTTTTTGTTCTTTGTAAGGCTGCTGGTTTCTGGGAATGACAAAGGCAGGAAAAATCATTCTGGGAAGGAAGAAGCCACAGTCTGGGAGAGCCAGTTTCATGTTCCCTGAAGGCTCTCAAAGTATCCTGTGTGTATTAGTGGGGGGTATTGAATCAGGGGCACTCTTTGGTGGAAAATCAATTGCATTTTCTAAATGTTACATTCTTGCCATCCCTGGCCAAACAGTGGCAGAATAGTGAGCTGCAGAGACAGTCAAGGGGTCACTGTGCTCAGAAAAAAGAGACCTGGAGTTGAAGCACAGAGGGAGTCCTTATGGTCATGTAATCTGAGGCAAGCCACATCACCTCTGGCCTCTATTTCCTTATCTATAAAATGGGAATGACAGCACCAAGCAAATTATGGCATGGGTTAAAATGAGGTGACATATGTGAAGGAGCCTAGCACAGTGCCTGGGACAGGGAGGTGGATAAGAAACATCAATGGACTCTGTATCAAACAGACATCCTTCCTAATCCTGATAGAAAAACTGAGTCCTGGAGAATTTTCTTGACCTAACTGGCATTGGCAGTTACTGGTCATTGGCAACCAGAACCTCCTGATTTGTTTACCTGTTTCCTCTTAGACATTTCATTTAGGGGATCATCAATATCTGTCTTCTTTGCTCTTGACAGCACCCGGTATGAATGGAATCCAGCAGGCCTCAAAGGTCAAATCAGGCAGAGAACCATGAGTCCAGGTCTTTGCCATGCATGAATCAGCCAATGAATGCCAAATTGCAGGAACAATTTAGTTGTTTGTGTATCTGTTGCCTTTCTTGTCTCAAAGATTCTGTACCAACTGGGCGTGGTGGCTCACACCTGTAACCCCAACACTTTGGGAAGTTGAGGTGGGCAGATCACTTGAGCCCAGGAATTCGAGACCAGCCTGGGCAACATGGTGAAACTCCGTCTCTACAAAAAAAACCAAAATACAAAAATTAGCCAGGCATGGTGGCATATGCCTGTGGTCCCAGCAACTCAGGAGGCTGAAGTGGGAGAATTACTTAAGCCCAGGGAGGTTGAGGCTGCAGTGAGCCATGATTGTGCCACTGTACTCCAGCCTGAGTGACAGAACAAGGTCCTGTCTCAAAAAAAAAAAAAAAAAAAAAAAAGATTCTATACCCAACTGATGCCTAGTCTCCTGTCTTGAGTCTGATAAGTCTGGAAATTCCATAGTGCTTGCTCTTTGGTCTCCAAGAGTTATATAAAGAAACCATGGTTAGGCCAAGGATCCTTGACTAAATGAAAAAATGAAGGCAGCCTGTCACTAACAACTTTATTAATTGGAAGCTAAATGAGAAACAAGATTATTAGATTATAAAACCACTAAAATCAGTGACAGAGGCATGTTCATATGGGTGATATGTCCATTTTCAATTATAATTGTGCCACCATTCTCTTACTGATATTTTCCTGAAATTTTTGAGGTTACCTTTGACTCCTCCCCCTGTTGGTCTGTTTACAATTTCATATAAATGGTATTGTACAGAATACAGTTGTTTGGCTCTGTCCTCTTTCACTCTGCATAATATTCTGAGATTCATCCATGTCGTTGTGTATTAAGGTGAGGTTTTTGATGGTATTAAAATGACATTAGTTGATTTATGCACAAACACCCCAGTTGTGGAGTCATAGCCACTCCTTTTCTTTTCTTTTTTTTTTTTTTTTGAGACAGAGTCTCGCTCTGTTGCCAGGCTGTAGTAAAGTGGTGTGATCTCGGCTCACTGCAGCCTCCGACTCCCTGGTTCAAGCGATTCTCCTGCCTCAGCCTCCGGAGTAGCTGGGATTAGAGGCATGTACCACCATGCCCGGCTAATTTTTGTATTTTTTAGTAGAGACGGGGTTTCACCATGTTGGCCAGGCAGGTCTCAATCTCCTGACCTCGTGATCTGCTTGCCTCAGCCTCCCAAAGTGCTGGGATTACAGGTGTGAGACACCACGCCCAGCCCACTCCTTTTCATAAGAAATTAAGAACAATAGAAAAAAAGAACAGTGGCCAATTTCTTATACTTGGTGTATGCTCCTAATCCCTAGTAATAAACATGGTAAACTGGCTTGCGGCATTTGGCTCAGGCCTTATACCTACGAAGGACCCTGCCTTCTTCTTAAAACCACTTTATTGAGTTATAGATCACACACCACACAATTTACCCTTTTAAAGTGTTCAGCTGAGTGATTTTTTTGTGTATTCACAGATATGTGCAACCATCACCATGGTCAATTTGAGAACATTTTCATCATCTTGAAAAGAAGCCCTGTACCCTTTAGCTATCACTCCTTACGCCCTCCCATCCCTACCCCCCACATTTCTCCCAGCCCTAGTCAATGCAACTGTAAGTCTACCCACTGTCTCTATGGATTTGTCTATTCTGGACATTTTATATAAATGGAATTATATAACATGTGGCCTTTCTCTTAGCACAGTTTTCTAGGTTCAGCCATGCTGTAGCATGAATTAGTACTTAATTTTTGATGGCTGAATAATATTCCATCACATGAAAATGCCAGACTTTGTTTATCCATTTGTCAATTGATGGACATTTGGGTTGTTTCTACTTTTCAGCTATGATATAATACTGCTGCAAACATGTGTGTGCAAGTTTTTGTATAGACAGAATTTTTCATTTCTCTTGAGTATATACCCAGGAGTGGAATTGCTGGGTCATATGCTAACTCTATGTCAGTCATTTAAGGAACTGCCAGACTGTTTTCCAAAATGACCGCACCATTTTGCAATATCATCATCAGTGTATGAGGATTCCAATTTATCCATATCCTTGCTAGCACTTGTTACTATCTGACTTTTTGATTCTTGCCATCCTAGTGGATGTGAAGTTGCATCTTATTGAGGTTTGGATTTGAATTTCTCTGATGACTGATAATGTTCATCATCTTTTCATGTGCTTTTTGGTCACTTGTATATTTTTCTTCAGATCCTTTGCCCATTTTTAAATTTGGTTATTTGTGTTTTTATTATTGAGTTGTAACAGCTCTTTATGTATTCTAGATCATAACAGCTCTTTATATATTCTAGATCTAAGTCCCTTATCAGATATACAATTTCCAAATATTTTCTCCCATTCTGTGGCTTGCCTTTTTATTGGTGATACCCTTTGAAGCACAAAAGTATTTCATTTTGACTGAGTTCCATTCATCTATTTTTTCTTTTGTTGCGCATGCTTTTGGTGTTATATCTAAGAGGCCTTTGCCGAATCCAAGTTCATGAGGATGTATTCCTGTATTTTCTTTTAAGAGTTTTAGAGTTTTAGGTCTTACATTTAGATCTTTGATCTATTTTGAGTTAATTTTGGCATAAGGTAATGGTCAAACTTTATTCCTTTGTATGTGGCTCTCCAGTTGTCCCAGCACGATTAGTTGAACAAAATTATTCTTTTCCACATTGAATGGTCTTAGCACCCTTGTTAAAAAAAGTCCTTTGACTACAGGTGTATGGGTTTATTTTTGAACTTGCAATGCTATTCCACTGACCAATATGTCTATCTCTGTGTTGGTACTATACTGTCTTCATTACTGTTGCTTTGTAGTAAGCTTTGAAATTGGGATGTTTAAGTCCTCCAACTTTGTCCTTCGTTTTCAAGATTGTTTTGGCTATTCTGGGTTTCTTGTGATTACATATGAATTTTAGAATCAGCTTGTCAATTTCTACAAAGAAGTTAGGCAGGATTCTGATAGGGATTGCATTAAATCTATAGGTCAGTTGGAAATATCACCCTCTTAGTAGTGTTAAGTCTTCTGATCCATAAACACAGGATGTTTTGCCAATTATTTAGATCTTTAATTTTTTTCAACAATGATTTGTAGTTGCCAGAGTGGCAACTACAGAGTGCCTTTTATCCTTTTGTCTTGAAAGGATATTAGATTTTGTCAGTGCTTTATTCCTCTGTATTTTATTCTTTTTATGCTAATGTAAGTGAAATTGTTTCCTTAATTTCACTTTTGAATTGTTCATTATGAGTGTATGGAAATATAATTGATTTTACTATACTGCTCTTGTATCCTGCAACCTTGCTGAACTTATTCATGCAGTCAAATAGTTTTTAGTGATTTCCTTATTTTTTTAATATATAAGATTATATTGTCTATGAATAGATATATTTTTACTTCTTTTCCAGTTTGGATACCTTTTATTTCTTTTTCTTGCCCAATTGGCCCAGCTAGAATCTCCAGTACAACACTGAAGTGATGAGAGTGAACATCCTTGTCTAAGTCCTGATCTTATGGGGAAAGCATCCAGTATTTCACTGTTACGTATGATGTTAGCTGTGGGTTTTTCATAGATGCCATTTGTCAGGTTGAGGAAGTTCCCTTCTATTCCTAGTTTGTTGAGTGTTTTATCTTGAAAGGATATTAGATTTTGTCAGTGCTTTTTCTTCATCTATTAAGATGATTGTGTGATTTTTGTTTTTTATTTTACTGATAAGATGCATTACATTAATTATTTTTAGATGTTAAACCAATTTGGCAGTCCTGGGATAAATTCCACTTGTGCATGGAGGATAGTTCTTTTTATGCTACTGCATTTGGCTCGCTAGTGATTTTTTTGTTTGTTTGTTTGTTTGTTTGTTTTGAGATGGAATCTCACTCTGTCACCCAGGCTGTAGTGCAGTGGCACAATCTTGGCTCACTGCAACCTCTGCCTCCTGGGTTCAAGTGATTCTCCTGCCTCAGCCTCCAGAGTAACTGATATTACAGGTGCCCGATACCATACCAGGCTAATTTTTTGTATTTTCAGTAGAGACAGGATTTTGCCATATTGCAGGCTGATCTCAAACTCCTGACCTCAAGTTATCCGCCCAGCTCTGCCTCCCAAAGTGCTGAGATTACAGGCATGAGCCACCGTGCCTGGCCGGGTTTGCTGGCATTTTGTAGAGGATATTTGTATCCATATTCATAAGAAATACTGGTCTGTAGTTTTCTTGTGATACCTTTGTCTGGTTTTGGTATCAGGGTAATACTTGCCTGGTGAAATTAGTTGAGCAGTGTTCCCTTCTCTTCTAGTTTTTGGAAGACTTTATAAGGAATTATTACTAATTCTTTTTTAAATGTTTGGTAGAATTCAACAATGTAGCCATCTGGGCCTGGGCATTTATTTGTGGGTAGTTTTTTGATGATTGATTCAATCTCTTGTTATAAGTGTATTCATTTTTTTTTCTTCTTAAGTCAGTTTCAATAGTTTGTTTCTTTCTAGGAATTTATTAATTTCATCTAAGATATCCAACTTGTTGGCATATAATTGTTCATAGTACTTCTTTATGATCCTTTTTCTCCTGTAAAATAATGGTAGTAACGTCCCCTCTTTCATATCTGATTCTAATCATTTGAATCCTCTCTCATGTTTTCTTGGTTTATTTAGCTAATGGCTTGTCAATTTCATTGATCTTTTCAAAGAACCAGCTTTTGGTTTCATGATTTTCTCTATTGTTTTTCTGTTCTCTATTTTATTAATTTCTGCTCTAATCTTTATTATTTCCTTCCTTCTGCTAGCTCTAGGTTTAGTTTGCACTTTTTTTTCCAGTGTCTTAAGGTGGAAGTTTAGGTTATTGATTTGAGGTTTGGGTTTTTTTCCCTAATATAGGCATTTACAGTCATACATTTCCTTCTAAGCACTGCTTTAGCTGCATCCCATAAGTTTTGATATGTTGTATCTTCATTTTCATTCATCTCAAAGATTTCTCTTTTGATTTTTTTCTTCAACCACTAGTTATTTAGCAGTATGCTGTATAATTTTTGCCTATTTGTCAGTTTCCCAGTTTTTTTCCTGCTATTGATTCCTACTTTAGAAGAAACTTCTTCTATAGAAGAAATCAATAATTTTATCCTACTGTGGTAGAAGAACACATTTTGTATTATTTGTATGATTTTGAATTATTGAGGTTTGTTTTATGGACTAGCATAGGGCATACCCAAGAGAACGTTCCATGTGCAGTTAGAAAGAATGTATAGTCTCTTGCTGAGTGGTGTGTTCTATACATGCCTGTTAGGTCTAGTTGGTTTATAGTGTTGTTTAAGTCTTCTATTTCCTCTTTGATCTTCTGTCTAGTTGTTCTTTCCGTTATTGAGAATGGGGTATTGAAGTCTCTAACAATTATTTTTGAATTTTCTATTTCTTTCTTTGTTTTTGTCCATTTTTGCTTCATGTATTTTGCTGCTCTTTTATTAGGTACATTTTGTTTATAATTGTTTTTATCTTGATAGATCAAAATTTTTATCATTATGAAATGCTGCCATTTATCTCTAGCAGTATTTTTAGTTTTAAAGTCTATTTTATCGATATTAGTATAGTCATTCTAGCTTTCCTGTGGTTCCAGTTTGTATAATACATTTTTCCATCCTTTCACTTTCACTCTAATTGTATCTTTGAATCTAAAGTGTGTCTTTTAAATTATTTTATTTTATCCAGTCTGTTAATCTCTGCATTTTAATTGGATTGTTTAATCCATTCACATTTGATATTACCACTTATATAGTTGGATTTTTGTCTGCCATTTTACTTCTTGTTTTCTGTGTGTCTCATATCTTTTTTGTTCCTCTATTCCTTCTTTACCGATTTCTTTTGCATATTTTCTAACATAGCATTTAGTGGATATTTTCTAATATAGCATTTAAACTTCTTTAATGATGTTTTCACTATATTTTTGAGTTATTTTTAGAAGTTTTATTTAATTTTTGATGGACAGATAATTGGACATATTTATTGGATACAATGTGATATTGCAATACATGCATACGTTGTGTAATGATTAGATCCGGGTAAGCAGTATATTCATCATGTTGTAAATATATTGTTTCTTTGTGGTGTGAACATTCAACATCTCCTCTATTCCAGCTATTTTGGAACATACAATACATTATTGTTAACTATAGTCAACCTACTGTAAAATAGAACACCAGAACTTATTTATCCTAACTAACTCTAACATTGTACCTGTTGAGCAATTGCTCCCCATATCCCCTCCCCTTCCTTCCTAGCCTCTGACAAGCAGTATTCTGCTCTTACTATTTTTGAGTTATTTTTTAGCAGTTTCTCTAAGGTTTACCATATACATCTTATTTGAATGAGCTTCTATTTATACTAGCTTAATTTCAGTGACATATGGAAATACTGCTCTGTGGGATGACAGTGGTTTTGGTAGGGTTCTCCTTCCCTGAGATGCCAGTGGGTTTGGTAGAAGTCTCTTTCCCGGATCCTTTCCGGCTGTTAATCTCTACTAATTGCTGGATGATTGCTATTCTTTCAGCAGTGCCCTTGGTCCTAAATTGCTCTACAGATTAATGCAGTCAAATTCTGTCCCCATTATAGGGATAGTTTCTGAAGTCAATGTTTGATATTTGTTCTGATCCCAGGAGTTCTCCTGGCTGTCTTATTCCCTGGTTCTCCTCTGCTAACTATCTGGGTTATAGTCTAGCTTCTATATTCGTTAAATTCATGAACCATCACTGGATTGCCCTTCAACACGACCTCCACTGTTCTTGAGAGTCCCCTTCGACTTGAACTTCTCCAAGCTCTGTTGCAACTGAAGTCAATTCCTTTGGGATAAGATTAGGATCTGTCTGTTTTACGGGATGGTTCTCCCCCATGGGAAAATCTCTGAGCCAGGACTCTGAGACTGGGGATGGAGACAATGGCATCTTCTGAGTGATGTCCCCACTGAGTGCTTTGTGGAGGGGCAGCCAGAGATCCTCTTAACTTCCCTCTCCTGCCATGCAACCACCACCTCACAAGCTGGGGCAAGGTTGATAGAACCCCCACATTTTCAGTGGTGCCATGCCCAAAGTACAGCCACCATTCCATGAGTAGGGGTTGTGTGAAAGAATGAAGCCCTGGTCTCTCCACTCCACTCACCTGGGACTTAGCCTCAGCAACAGGTAGTGGGAGCAGGATGAGAATCACTGAGCTCCTGCTCCTTCCAGGAAGAAAGCCCTGTGACTAGAAGATGGTAAAGGGAGAGGAAGCCCTGTGTGCTTGACTGCAGTCATCTGGGTTGGAGCCTCCATCTCCCCAAGCTTGGAGCAGGAGTAGAGGGAGGGAGCAGTCTTGGTTCAAGTAACAGAGATTTTCACCTTTCTCACTAAATTTTTATAGATTTTCTTGAATAGATGTTTCTTCATTTGCTTTTTGCCCTTAGGACCATTTCCAGGGGCTTGAAATATTTCTTTTTCTTTTTCTTTTTATATTTTTTCTCGAGTTTCCCTGGGGAGCTCTTCATGCTGTCATCCCAGAAGTCGGTCTCACTCCTTTCCTTTTAAATTAAATCTAAATCTCAATATCAGCTGGTGCCACCACCGAATGCAAAGAAAGAACCCAAGGTCATGAGTGAGAAGGGGAGAAAAGAGGGACCCTGTAAACAGGCCCTGGCTTCTGTCATTACTCTCATCACAGGGAAGATGACGGAGAAGAGAAGGTACACCCACATTCTCAGCCTTTGATACAGTGACTTGGCCTCTAGTAAACTGGTTGCATGAGATTAGTGTTCTCACTTCTGGGGATGAAGTAGGGGGTGGGGTAGGCAGAGGGACATAAGTGGTATTGAGAGGAATGGAGCCATCCCCTCTTTCATGCAGGCAGGACTCATGACCTATAACAGAGTTCTCTGGAATGGCATGGCTAGAGGGAGGGATTTGATGGGTAGAGAAGCATAAATGTCCAACCTTCAGATTCTGAAATAAAAGCAAAGCTTCAACATGTCTTTTCATCTCCGGAAAAGCCCATGTCTAGCCCATGCTAGTTCAGAGGCCGCACCAGTGTAGCCGTCTCTGAACCACTGCTGCCTCCAGCCTCTCCCCTCCAATCCCTCCACTGCTCTGCTTTGCCACTGGAGTGATTTTCCTAAAATGTGACTCCAGCCAGGCCCCTACTGAGACAGTCTCAACCTCTCCTGTAGCTCAGGGGCTGGGCTGTTCATCTCTTCCCTCACTGTAGAGCCCACAGGGTTTTTACCTGGTACAATTAGCCTCTCAATACACAGGAGTTGAATTGCATCAAACACAGAGCATTGTATATCTATATAGTCAATTTACACTGTACAGATGCAAAGACCTTGTGGCAGGAATAAGCTTAGCACAATTCAAAAACATCTAGAAGCCTCTATTAATGATGTCTGGGACCTGAGCTCAGATGTTAGCTCATCACTGTATCTACTGGTGTGACCCAACCCTAGGCCCATCATTCAACCCAGCTTCAGTTCCCTCATCTATGAAATGAGGGTAGTGCCTCAAATGTTGTTATGGGATTAAATGTGATAATGTAAGTAGAACACCTGGTACCAGTAAAAGCTTAATTTGTTCATGCAAGCAATAAATATGTATTGAGTGCCTGTTTGTCCTAGGGTCTGTTCTAGGAGTCAGAATACAGTAGGAAAGAAAAGAAAATCTCTGTCCTAATGGTACCCACACTTTGGTAGGAAAGATTGATAGTAAAGTTTCAAAATTATATGTGTGTATATATACACATATGTGTATGTATATGTGTGTGTATATATACATATATATAGTATATATATACACACACACCCATACCACAAACACATAAATACACACATCATACACACACACATAAATTTCAGGTTGTGATAAGTGCCATGAAGAGAAATAAAGCAAGAGAAGGTGTTAGAAAGTGATTTGGCAGTTGGGGCTCTTGCAGTTGGGAGCGGCTGGGAAAGGCCTTGGTAAGGCAATGACATTTGAGTACAGACCTGAATGAAATTAGCAAACGGCACATAGCATTAATACATATTTGTTGAGTGTGGATGAATGCAAAGATCTGGGAGAAAGGCATCCCAGGGAGAAGCAATAGGAAGTACAAAGGCCCTGTAAAGGGAAGACACTTGTCTGTTTTAAAAGCATCAAGAAGGCTCTGTAGCTGGGGGTGGTGGCTCACGCCTGTAATCCCAGCACTTTGGGAGGCCAAGGCAGGAGGATCACTCGAGTCCAGAAGTTCGAGACCAGCCTGGTCCCCCAGGCTGTAGTGAGACCCCCGTTGCTACAAAAACTTAAAAAATTAGCTGGGCATGGCGGCATGTGCCTGTGGTCCCAGCTACTCAGGAGGCTGAGGTGGAAGAATTGCTTGATCCTCAGGAGGTTCAAGTTGCAGTGAGTCATGATTGCACCACTGCACTCCAGCCTGGGTGACAGAGTGAGACCCTGTCTCAAGAAAAAGAAAAAAAAAAACCTCTATGAATATTTATGCTGAAGTGTTTAGAGATAAAGTATACTGATGTTTATAACTTAATTTAAAAATCATTAAAAAATAAGACGGATAGAAGGGTGGATAGATATATGATAAATCTAGCATCGTAAAATGTGCATAGCGGAATTTAGTTGTGTTCCATGCATGTTCACTGTGAAATTCTTTCAATTTTACTTTGTGTTTAAAAAATGTCATACTAGGATGTTGGAGGAAAAACATCAAGAAGCTTAGTGAGGCAAGAGCAGATTGAGCTAGTGAAGGAGAGAGAGAGACAGAGAAGATGAGGTCTCAGAGGTCTCTGCGATTGGGATCCTGGAGGGCCTTATGAGCAGTGGGAAGACACTGGGATTTTGTTCCAGCCTCCATGGGAAGCCTTCTGAGGATTTTGAACAGGGGAGTTTCATGATGTGATTGTATGATTGTAAAGGACCCTCTAGGCTGCTGTGGGGAGAAGCGGCTCTACCTAAGCAAGTATGGAAGTGAAGAGGGTGGCATGGGAGGTGGTGAGCCATGGTCAGATCCAGGGGACACTCTGAAGGAGTCGCTAATGGATGAGGTGTGCAGAGCCATGCCAGGGCATTGGCCTGGGTGAGCAGGTAGACAGCAGTTCTGTTTCCTGAGATGGGGAAGATGAGGGAATGAAGTAAGCTTGGGTAACAGAGTGTGGGAGAGTGATGAGGGGGAGAAACATATTCTGTTTCAGGCACGAGAAGCCCAAATAACAGACTTAGTAATCAATGGGAGCTGTTATTACTGTTTCCACCACACACACTTATGTAACGACGTCTGCAAACACACGTGCTTTCTCTGAGCTGGAGGTTCGCCCTGTTCCTCCTGTTTTCTTTCCCTCACATTGTCTGCTCCCCCTGCTGCCCCACTCTTTCAACTTCAGGCTGCTGTCCAGTGACTGCTGGAGGCTCTGGTGATGGTAAAGGCAGAAACCGGAGGCAGCCCCTCTGTGCCCCTCTGAGTATCAGAAAACCTCTGCTTAGGTCAGCGCCTTTCTTAGTTTGGGGAATCTGGGTCAGAGGAAGTCCCTGGGCGAACCCAGGAGCACGCAGCTGTCTGGGCTCAGCTCCTGCCCTTGCAAACCCTCCGGCCTTTCTGACTCTTGTAACGAGGCAGGCAGATGGGCTAGCAGGCAGTTCCAGCACACGGCCGGATGTGAGATTCAAAGATGCTGCAGAGAGAGGGACCAAGATCTCTGTTTGTTTTACTGAGAATGTGACTCTGAGTCAAGATCTGAGTTAGTCTGACCCATTTAGTGGTGCTGTCATTTCCCCACCTCCTTCCCTCCTTCCTTCTCTCCCAACACCCAGGTTAGAATAGCATTTAAAGACATTTGTCGGGTAGCTAGCTGGGGAAGCTGACTTGACTGTTTGAGGCCTGCTCCCTGCAGAAGGCTGCCTCAGTCACTAAGAGCTAAATACATCCCAAAGCCACTGCATCTCATGGGGACACAAGCATGGTCTTCTTGAGCCAGTTGCTTCCAGAGGGGAGCCCTGGTGCATGTGTGTGGTGGGGAGTGATGGGGAGTGAACAAGGGAGTTTCCTCCTCCTGCTCTTTGATTTTTCCATGCCATCCGTGGCCCTTAGAAGTGCACCAGCCTCTGGTAACAACATGTGTGTAACTCTTATAGGGTACTATGTGCCAGACACTGTTGCAAGCACTTCATGTATATTCACTCACTTAATCCTTCTAATAACCCTGTAAGATAGGTTCTATTTATTACCATTTCCATTTAACAGATGAGGAAACTGAGGCACAGAAAGAAAAACTAAGTATCCCAAGGTCACACAACTAAAAAATGGTAAAGCCAAATGTTCTGAGCTTAACTGTGTGATGGACAGGTGGATGAATAGATCGATGAAGACGAGATTGTCCACAGTGAATGGAGCAGATAGAGAGCCCCAAGAAAGCTCAGCATGGAGAAGCTATCTACAGGCTAGAGAGAGGGCAGGGGTTGCTTTTGTTACTCTTCTGTTCTATTAAAATAAAAAAAAGTAAGAATTATAATGTTAAACCTCTTTGTGCTTACTTTAAAATATTAAAACATTAATACCTATACAAAATCAGTTTTCTACCACATATGGACACTTCTTAGGGTAGAAACTATAAAACAGGTGGAATAAACTGTAGGCACAATCCCCTGCTCCCCAAAACGTCTCTTCCCCAAATATCACTAGTTGTATGGTCCTTAAACCATGCAGTTTAAAACACTTAAACTCTCTGCAGTTCAACGTCTCTTCTCTGGACGCATCCCATAGGCCAAATCCATTAATAATTATAATCACAGTCATGACAGCTGCTGTCAACCGAATACCTCATGAGTATCTGTACTAAGCTATGCCCTTTTGTACAAGAACTTTTGTTTGTTTGTTTTGAGACAGGGTCTTGCTCTGTCACCCAAGCTGGAGTACAGTGGCATGATCATGGCTCACTGCAGCCTCAACCTCCCAGGCTCAAGTGATCTTCCTGCCTCGGGCCCTAGAGTAGCTGGCACCACAGGCACGTGCTACCACGCCCAGCTAATTAAAAAAAAATTTTTTTTTGGAAATGAGGTCTCACTATATTGCCCAGGCTGGTCTCAAACTCCTGGACTCAAGCGATCCTCCTGCCTCAGCCTCCCGAAGTGTTGGGCTTATAGGCATAAGCTACCACGCCCAGCCTCTGCTCCTCTTATAAAGACACCAGCACTAGGATTATGACCCCACCATTATGACCTCATTTAACTTTAATCACCTCATTTACATTAATTAAAGCCTCTAAAATACAGTCACGTTGTGGGTGAGGGCTTCAACATATAGATTTGAGGCAGACACAGTTCAGTCCTTAACAATGAGCTTTGAAGGGTCTGGGTACCCTTAAAATCCTGTATCGGATTTTGCAGATTAGAGTCTGCATACATGATGTGGCCTCTCAAAAGATTAAAAATTACTAAAAGTATTATAAATGACAAAGAGGAAAAGGGTGCATAGAAAAATAGAAATATTAATAGAACTTGTGTTAAGGGGTGGAAGAAAACGAAAATTCTACAATATTGTCTTAATGAGCATTAAAAAGTAGAGAACAAGAAGGGCAGTGGAAAAGGAGCATGTATCAGCTCCCTCTTTACATTTTGAGGGTTTGATGGTTTTCCTGAGGTTGCAGGGTGGAGAGTGGATCTGAGGCTAGGACCCCAGGGTCCTGAGCCCCAGCCCACCAGGCGTTCTGTCCATGTTCTCACCAGCTGTGCAGTCTATCCTTCCCCAGAGAAGCCAGGGCCATCTGAGTGAGGCTCCTGAGCTGCCACTTTGCTGACCTCAGAGACGCTTTTTCCCTTGATTTCCTTCCAGAAGTGGAGCAGATCGAGGCTATTGCCAAGTTTGACTACATGGGGCGGTCCCCGCGTGAGCTATCCTTCAAGAAGGGGGCCTCGCTGCTCCTGTACCACCGCGCCTCGGAGGACTGGTGGGAGGGCCGGCACAACGGCGTGGATGGACTCATCCCCCATCAGTACATAGTTGTACAGGACATGTGAGTGGAGTCGAGAATTCTGTGAAGAATGCCGAAATAGATTAGTGATGTCTGGGATGGGCACCGTAGGGGAGTGCTAGCTTGTATGCCAGCAATTTGCTCTCCTTGATATCATACGCTTGTTCTTCTCTAACAATGGGTAATATCTAACTTCCCTTTAAATGGTGATCCACTTAACGGATATCCAAATTCCTCCTTCTGAGCACACAGAAACGGTGTTGGGTGCCTCTGGCCTACATCCTGATGCAGCTGACAGCCCCCAGGGAGTGCCATCACCCACCAGGGCTCTCAGTATCCAGGGGATCCTGCCATGTGCCTCCACCTCCTAGGCCTCCCCTGCCTACGGTTCTACACTCCAGAGGTAGCTCTCTTAGGGGATGGGCAGAAACATGCCCTTGTTTCTGATTAATAGGGTACTATTTTTTAAAAAATAATTTCAGGGGTTAATGAAAAAGAGCCCTGCATCCCAAATGCCTAGTCCTACCACAAAAAGTCTGCACTTTCCATTCCTTTGAAAGCCATGGAAGCTTCCAGTGCACACCTTCCTTGGGAGCTCTGGTCAGGCTCGGCAGAACAGATTTACCATAGAGGCAGCCACCAAGCTGAGCCTCAAGGGAAGGGGATCAACAGCCCACATTGTGATGGGAGAGAGGGGGTCTCAGCCAGAGAAAAGGCCAGGGCCAAGCAGACTGCCAGAGGAATGCCATAGTGGAGGGCCCTTGGCAGCCTCCCGAAGTCCCCAGACCTCTGAGATCAGGGACAAGTCACCACAGCAGAGGGCCGTGGAAGGAGGCCGGCAGGGCACCCCAACAAGCTTGGGAGCCACCTCACAGTAGCCCAAGCCCTGGGTGGGGAGGTGAGGGGCAGAGGCAGCTTCTTCCTCCCTTGCTTAGCCAGAAGCCATTTCTCATGAAGTCACACAGAGACTCAGCACTCAGCCCTCGGTGCTCAGCCTGCGGACTCCATCCCCCCATTTCTCCAACACACCCTGCAGCATTTAGCTTGTCCTAGCCTGGAGCTGCCTGGGAATGAACAAGCTAGAAGAGAAAAAAGGAGGAGGTAGGTGTGGGACAGAAGAGGGTCCCAGCTGCGGAAACTGACCAGGAGTGTTGCAATGGGCATGCGTGGTGGGAAGGCACCCAGTGGGCAGTGGCCTAGCAAGCGCTGTGGGCACAAAGTAACCATAAGTTGTGTTAATTCAGCCCCTCAGACACATATCAGGGAGCTCTGTATATGCTGGGTTCTTTGGGGGAAGGTGCCTCCAATTCATGTCTGTCTTCTCCCCAGGGATGATGCCTTCTCCGACAGCCTGAGCCAGAAGGCTGACAGCGAGGCCAGCAGTGGGCCATTGCTGGATGACAAGGCCTCTTCCAAAAACGACCTCCAGTCCCCCACGGAGCACATCTCGGATTACGGCTTTGGGGGGGTGATGGGCCGGTAGGATATGCGGATTCATTTTTTCCCTGCTGGTGTCAATCCTGTTCATGTCTGATTTGGGAGAAGCACAAGGGCAGAGAGGAGAGAAGGAGCCTACTGCAGCCCCTTGTTCCCCACAAAATGAAATGGGCACACTGGGCGGGCTGGCTGGCATTGGCCCAAGAAGGCCAGGTATAGAACCATCCAGCCTGTGTTGCAGGGAGGAGGAGGAGGAAAGACATGTGTTGGGAACCCAGTGCTTTTTTATTTAAAATAATAATAATGTGTGAGAGAGATACAAATTGGCAAGTATTTTTCCTACCTGTGTCCAGTTCCTGCACCTCCTTCCAGCTTTCTGTTGTAGAACTGAGTTGTTATATTTAAAAATGTAAAGCTCACATATTCCCTGAAACGCGCTACATAAACAGAAAACTCACACCTACTCATGTGTTGAAGGAAATTGACACTCGACTCCACCCACTTATTTGGAGGGAGCAGTATTACCAATTTCTTCGCTCCCTATGTGTGGGCCAGGCTGTGTCACATAACCTTTCTACCAGGCAAGGAGCTGTGCATGTCCTTCTGAGAACAGGTATAATCCAAAGTATGTGGTTATTTTTTAAAAAATTAATGAGGAAATAAGAAGAAAAGAAAAGAAAAGCTGACAGTTTCTCACTGCCTTTTTAGTCACACTCTCAAAATGTCATATTCTATGTTTTTTCCAGTGGAGGGGTCATGTGGTCAGCCCACACATGTAGGTATTTGCAGATAGACCCCAAAAAAATCAGTCACAGTGGGAACACACAATTTATGAATTTATTTCAGCAAAAATCCTGATGCCTCTTTTCTGCAAATTCCATTCAGTTCAGCAGATAGCTCGGGGCACTGTGGTGGAATTGAGAAGGTCAGGGAAGTGGAAGGCTGGCGTAGGTAGACAAAGAAGTTATGGTCCCCTGACTTCTAGGAGGACCATATCTTCTGCCTCTCTTTTCCTCTCCCTTGTCCCCCGCCCTCACCTCCTTTGTTCTTGTTCTTTCTTTCTAAGTACTGCTTCCTTTCCAATACCTATGCTTTGGTCCTGCTGGGGCACCCACAAGCACTGCTTAGCTTGGCTGGTGGCACTAGGATCTGAATCACTGGTGGTCCCTAGTCATAATCCATTCCCAACACACGGTCCCTCTCCCTCTCCCCTCACCACTTCTAGCCCTTCAGACTCTTGGTGACCTCTGTAGGATGCAGCCAAATCTCCTGTGTATAGAACCTCTTATCTTCAAGGTGCTTTCAAACCCACTTGAAGCAAAGGTAAAGGGTGGGCAAAGGATCTTGCTTAAACCCGCTTCACAGATTAATAAAGTGGGCTTGAGAGAGGACACAGGAAAGCACGCGGCAGACACAGGGCAAGAACTCACCTTCCTGAAACACAACCTAATCCCCTTTTCACCACACCAGAGCCTCCCTGAAGTGGGAAAGGTACCAAATGCACAAAAGGGCTGTCCAGCCATGCAGTGTTTACTCTTGAATGACTAGTTTTCCAAGATCCAAAAAAGCCTCGCAGAAGGAGCCCTCTTCTGGGGAGATTGGGGGTTGGGTGGCAACGTTAGAGTGTCTTCAGTTCCCAGGGGACCCCAACTGTGCTTGCAGGGTGCTGGTAACTTTGGTACAGTCAAGCCTCAAAGCTTCAGACCAATTAGAAGCCCCTCAGAATCATGGAAAAGTCTGAACTGCTTCAGAGGGTATCATGAGCCCAACTAACCATCACCAAAGCGTTTCCAGGGTTGGAATCCTGTAGGCCTTGACTTAGCATGTAGACCAGATGCATTTTGCGGTTGGCGGCACAGCTGTCTGTGGCCTGGAAGCACCGTGCTCCAAATGCTTTCATGTTTACAGATTAGACCTCCCCCTGCTGCTGAGCTGTGTGCTGAGCCAGCTCTTTCATTATGGAATTGTAGGGTCTGGCTGAATGAGGCTTTACTGTACCCGCTCCTTAGACTAGCGTGTAGTGTGTGGCATGGGGTTGACTCACCCATTCTGAGACTTGCCAGGCTTGACCTCTGCCCCATGCCCCTCGCCCCCTGGCTCCTTTGCAGAGTGCGGTTACGATCTGATGGAGCAGCCATCCCCAGACGCCGAAGCGGGGGCGACACACACAGCCCGCCCCGGGGCCTGGGCCCCAGCATAGACACACCACCCCGGGCTGCTGCCTGCCCCAGCAGCCCCCACAAAATCCCCCTCACCCGGGGGAGGATCGAGAGCCCTGAGAAGCGGAGGATGGCGACGTTCGGGAGCGCTGGCAGCATCAACTACCCTGACAAGAAGGCGCTCTCCGAAGGGCACTCGATGAGGTCGACCTGCGGTTCCACCAGGCACAGCAGCCTAGGGGACCACAAGTCCCTGGAGGCCGAGGCCCTGGCAGAAGTAAGGGCCAGCGGGAAGGCAGGCTGGGCAGCCAAAAGCCCCAGAGGGCAGCGGGTGGGAATCCGTGGAGCGGGGAGCCACCTTGGCCTTTATGCCAGGCTCATGGCTAAGCCAGAGAACAGGAGAGTGAGTGGCCTCCCCGTCCCTTGCTGGGCTTCCCGTGGGAGTGGAGACTGGTTGGGAGCAGCCACTGCTAGGGTTCCGATAGAGGCTGAACACCCCCAGTGTCCAGGGCTGGAGAGGGCATTGGCCAGATTATGGGGCTGGGGTAATGGCAGGTCACTACACAAAATGATACGATTCAGTTTTTGACTCATTCATTCACTCATTCATTCATTTCTCTCTTCATTCATCAATTCATTCACTGGCAAATATTGATTGAGCATCTATCATGTGGCCGTCACCATGCTAGCCACCAACAGTAAAATGGAGATCTAAAATGGACTCAGGCCCTGCCCACATGGAGCTTACAGTTTAGAGAAGAAAGAGACATCAACAAACACACACACACAGTTGTGAAATAGTTGTTTGGTTGGGTGCCTTTAAGGAATGGTCCAAAGTATTTTGAGAGCCTAAAATGTGAGGATTGCACCTAGGCAGGGAGAGACTTCTCTGGAGAGGACTTGACCTGAGACCCAAAGGGTGGGCAGAGCTAAATAGCCGAAGCTGCAAGAGAAGAATGTTCCAGGTTCTTCTCAAGTGCTTAGAGGGTTGGCTTTTGTTTGTTTGTTTTGTATTTGGATGAAAAATCTATATGATTTTTACATTTGCCAAATGAATAGAACTGTGATTTGTTTAACAGTTTGCATAGCCGGTTTCATGGGTTTTTTGACAGTTCTATCATATTTTGAGAAGTTTCCATTTTTTTTGTCTCTGGAATTTGGTGTGGGGGCCCATTATGTACCCTCTCCCTAGTGTTCTCTCCCACATAAGGTAACAGAGACAATCAGAACCTTCTGGTCTGTGAGAATTTTACTGTGGAGAGTAGCCTTTGAATCGCTGTTCAAAAGGAGAAGGAAGAAGGGCAGGGAGTCATGAGCTGTGTTCTAGAGGAGGCCAGGCAGGGTTCCCAGGGAATACACAACACAGAAACAGCTCACCTAGCAATGAGTACTCCTGTTCACACCAGCAGGCTCTAGTTTGGCCCCATGCCCATTCCCAGGGGTCCCTGAAGATCAGTGCCTTCCGAGGAGGCATGCCAGCTGCTGGTCCCCCCCATACTTGAGGAAACATCACCCTAGCACCCACCATCATCTGGAAACTCTACCAGTCTAGAAAGTTCTACCAGTTATGATAGAGGATGGCCTGAGGCCTGCCCCAGGGCCCTTTACATTTATAAAGAATCAAATGCAGTCTAGAAAACTGTTTCTAAAAGTAGCTCTCACAGCAGATTAGTCCCACAGGATGCTAGGGAGTGGGTAGGGAATACATGTTCTGTGGTCAGCAAGGTTTGGGGAATGCTGCTCTGACAAAGTTGAGTGGCTTCTCTGTAAGACTTATAAAACCTTTAAAGCAGGCACCCCCAGCCCCCGGGCCATGGATGGATCTGTGGCCTGTTAGGAACCAGGCTGCACAGTAGGAGGTGAGCAGCGGGAGCCAGCATTATTGCGTGAGCTCTGCCTCCTGTCAGATCAGCGGGGGCATTAGATCTTCACAGGCCGTGAACCCTGTTGTGAACTGCGCATGTGAGGGATCTAGGTAGTGCTCTCCTGAGGAGAATCTAATGCCTGATCTGAAGTGGAGCAGTTTCATCCGAAAGCATCCTCCTGACCCCCCATCTGTGGAAAAATTGTCTTCCACGTAAACGGTCCCTGGTGCCAAAAAGGTTGGGGACTGCTGCTTTAAAAGATGTGCACTGTGAATCTCCAAGAAAGAAAACAGGGCATGCCCCATATCCCAGACTTCTGTGACCTTTATT
Source organism: Homo sapiens (assembly GCF_000001405.40). Taxonomy (NCBI): domain Eukaryota; kingdom Metazoa; phylum Chordata; class Mammalia; order Primates; family Hominidae; genus Homo; species Homo sapiens. The sequence continues at coordinate 8,988,593 of NC_000003.12, read as the reverse complement.
CATGGAGCGTTTTGCACGACCTGCCCCTGGAATGCACTTGGGGCCTGCTGCATGTGTTCTCAGTTTGCAGATGGATCTGCACCCTGTCTAGTTTGACAGCTGCCATCCAAGACCCCCTTTCACTAACAGAGGTCAAATAGGGAATTGTAGTAAATGATATGTAAGTAACCCACTGCCACTGGAGAGTTTCCAGCCTCAGCATTGGCTCTGATGAGCCCTTGACTTTGCAGGCTGCAAAGGGGAGTGGCAGCTGAAGAACCCCAGGTAGTAGGCCGAGTGACCCAAATTTCTTTGGTCTCAAAATGTCCCTTAGGATTTAGATGTGAACCCACTTAAAGAGGCTGTTTGGGGAACTTGCAACATGACCATCCAAAGTGGGAAGATCGAATTGGGGAGGAGATGAAAAGCAATCACGGTCCCCACTCTGTCTCCCAGGGCCTCTCTGCCGCTCAGCTCTGGAGACTCACAGCGCCACCTCTCGGACTAATGCAAGGCTGCAGCCTAAACAACTCAGCTGATCTTTCTCTGAACTTCCTGTCTTTCTGCTTACTCTGCTGGGGTAGAGTGGTGGGGCGGGTGGGGATGGTGGTAGAGGGGCAGTAATTACATTTTATGTGTTAAAGTTTCACCATGCAGCTCATGCTGGACTAGAGCAAATAGAGAGTAGTGAGGTCAATAGGGGGCTTCCTTCAAGCGGAGTGGTTGATGATAGGGCGGCTCGGCTCCAGGAAAGCCGGCTGTGTCACTGCAGGGCTGGCACATGGCAGAGATGGGGAGAGGTCTGCCTTCCCTCCCTTCCTGCAGAAAATTGCCCCCACAGCGCCTCCTTTTGGATAAGGCACAAAACACCCTTTCTTAAAGTTGCCGGTGTTCTGGGGCAACGGATGAAACATCCTGGAGAAGCGTACAAGCTAATATTAGCCATTAGCCAGACATCCATAGTCCCCTAACAAAAAGGACAGGCTGTGACAATGCGGGGAGCAAGAGCTCTGGGCCCTGACCCCAGCCAGATTGAAGCCTGCCATGTGGCCTAGGGCAGGCAGGAAGCCACCTGCAGACAGGGGAGGGAGAGAATGTAAAAGACCAGGGTGCAGAAAGGGGCCGGCCCCAGCATCTCCAGGCTCCAACCCCACCATCTGTTTCACCAGACTCATACTTTTTATTTATTTTTTTTAGGATTTGCAATAAAGCAAGCCTGTCTTAATAGTCATCATTCCTCCATGAGGTTATGCACGGCACCTACCAGTGGTGGCTTAGGCAGTATCCCTCATGGTGCCCTCGATGGCCAAGCCAGCTGGGCTGTGGCTCAGCTGAGCCTGAGCAGGTCCTCTCATGTCTGTCGGATGCGGAGGCATCCCAGTCAACAGTCATGGGAACCCATGGGGCTCTTGGGCTAGAAGGATTTTGAAAACCACCACCTGGCAGTTTACAAAGCTTCATCACATCCATTATCTCACCCCATATTCACAGTAAATGTCTGGGATTGTAATAGATGAACAAAATATGGTGCAGAGTGATTGAGATTTGCTCAGGGTCACACGGCCAGCAACTGGCCACAGATTCTTTTTACTCAAAAGTCCGGGGCCCTGTGGCCTGTCCCAGGGCTCTTGGGTTAAATGCTGCCTTCCAGCTACAGCACCACCTTGGGCATGAGGGGACGGGAGCTGAGGGAAGCTGCCCTGTGGCATGGTGAGCCCGGGCTGCCCTGGGTGGCAGGGGGCTCGCTCTCTCTGAGTCCTTCAGAGTGCTCAATCAGAGTGCTCTCCTCCTGATGAGCTCTCAGATATTATAACATCCTCGGGAATTATGTAGGCAGAAGAAGATTTTTCTGGCCTGTTAAAATTTCCACTTTTTAAAAAAATTTTCTGATTATAATACAGAGAAGAGAGTAGCAGTCCCTCTATTCTGGGATGTGCGCTGTGAACATTCTGATACATAATCTCCAAGAAATTTTTCTGTGAGCAAGGATTTTTAAAAAAATACTGAACTGACTGGGTTCAGACTTGGGCTATGCTGCTAATTAGCTGTGTGACCTTGGGCAAGTTACTTAACCAGTCTGAGCTTCAGTTTCCTCCTGTGTGACATGAGCATAAAGGTAGTTCCTACCTTAGAAGTGTGAGGATTAAATGAATTATTAGGGGGCAGGGTTTGGATTGGTGCTCAGTGTTAGCTATTATTGCTATTGCTATTGTCATTCGTATTTTTGAGTGCTTACTCTGTGCCAGGGGTCAGGCCAGGCTCTTCACAGGGACTGTATCATTTAATGCACTCATCAACTCCCTGAGGTCCATATTATAATTATCTGCCATTTACAAATGAGGATTCTGGGGGCTCAGAGGGATGAGGGAACTTGCATAAGGTCACATAGCAAGGAAGTGGCAGAGCCAGGATTTGAATCCGTGTCTGTCTGACTCCAGAGCCTGCCCTCTTTATCAGTAGTCTGACCTGCCCTTATGAAATCTATTTCCTGTGCAAGGCAGCATGCAGGGGATATCCACATTGGTTCTCCCATGTGGTTATAAGACATCCTGAGGACTTAATCTCCATCCCTGCCGCGAGGCTTCTGGGGAACCTGCCTACGAAGGGAAGCTGCTTAGCAGACAGGAAGGACCTGACTCCAGGTCTCCAGACTGTGCTGACCCCAGCTCCCTCTGTCCCCAGGACATCGAGAAGACCATGAGCACGGCTCTGCACGAGTTGCGGGAACTCGAGAGGCAGAACACGGTCAAGCAGGCGCCAGATGTGGTGCTGGACACCCTGGAGCCCCTGAAGAACCCGCCAGGCCCCGTCAGCTCGGAGCCCGCCAGTCCCCTTCACACCATCGTCATCCGCGACCCCGATGCCGCCATGCGCCGCAGCAGCAGCTCCTCCACCGAGATGATGACCACCTTCAAGCCAGCCCTGTCCGCCCGCCTGGCTGGCGCCCAGCTCCGCCCGCCCCCCATGCGGCCCGTGCGGCCGGTGGTCCAGCACCGGTCCAGCAGCAGCAGCAGCTCGGGCGTGGGCAGCCCGGCCGTGACGCCCACCGAGAAGATGTTCCCCAACAGCTCAGCGGACAAGTCGGGCACCATGTGACCTGCAGGATGGGCCGCGCCGCCGTGGCCCGCTGTGGCTCACCACGGCCCAGGGTGGCCTTGGTGGCTTCCACGTGCTTCCCAGTGACCCTGGCCTTGGAGGGCAGAGGTCCGTCTGGGAGGGTGTGTCTGTGCAGAGCTGAGGCCCGGGCGCTGGCTGCAGCTCACGTCCAGCCATGGGAATCCCACGGACCTCTCGCGTGTCAACAGACGACCAGAGGAGTGCTGGAGCTCCAGCAGCCCCAACCACAGCATTCCCTAACATGGAGGCAAAATACCACATGGCTTCTCCCGCATATCGTCACTGGAAACTTCCTCTCTCGACATTCTCTCTACATACGTATATGTGTGTGTATATCGATGTGTGCATATATACACATGTATACGTATGTACGTGTCTGTAGGTGTGTGTATATATATATATATTTATGCATCTATATACATATACTAGATCTGGACACACGCATACTAAGTGTATATAGTATCTCCTTTTTCTTTTTATGAAACTTAGATTTACCTCAGATCCATGCCACCAAACATCTCCCACCGAGTTATTTGGTGGGATTTGCAGGGACTTTTCTGGGAGAACTTAAAGGCCCATAGTAACTGCGAATGAAGCAATATACCACTAACCTGCAGAAAAACACAAACAAAAACAGACTCCCACTGTCTCCAGAAGTCGTGGCCTTCCAGAACAGTCTGCCCCTCAAGGAAGGGTGGGGCAGGCAGTACCCCCAAGCAGGCTGCTCCCAGAGGTGGGGAACCCTTCATAGGAAATCCCCACCCCCGTCCACCCCAGAGACCCTGCCCTTCCACCCGGAGGCCAAAGGCCAACTGTACTCCCAAAGGCATGGGAGAAGGTTGGCGAGAAGACCCCTGACTACCACATCCTTGTGTTTGTGTGTAGAGACGGGGGATAGTGAGAACCTAAGCCCCATCGTAGCACAGTATTACATGTGGTTGGGAAAAATAAAAATACAGTGGTGTGGAATACTCCAAAACCTAGAAATGCTGTAGGAATAAATCTGTGGTAACTATAGAGGTTTAACTTATATCATTTTCAAACTATTTAATTTTTTCTTTTCCTGGTTCTACTAATTATACTGTGTCAGATTTGGAACTAAACAGGCAAGGAGGCTTTGAGTCACATCGTTTTCATTTTAAATCAGGCTGTGATGCACTGTGGCTGGTGCCGTCTTGCATGAAACGCATGAGCCGTGAGCGCCCAGTTCAGACTGGGGCCAGGGAGGGGCAGTCCTTGGCACTTTCTGTCCTAGAGGACACTGTCAGTTGAGTTAATACAAGTGACATAGCTTCCCTTCCCTCCCCCTTCACCCACTCCCTCCAGAACATTTAGTGTAGATGAAAATGTGGTGATAGAAATGGGTGCATGATCTTCACGTGTGACAGCCAGGCCTTTGCCTCTTGGCCAAGTAAAGCCCTTCCGGGTCGCTCTCCTTCGATTCCATTTTACCTCCTCTTCTGATCACTTCCAGAGATGAGCTGTTTCTGGATAATGGCACACGGGCAAATCTGTGTGCCCTGTGGGCCGCTGTTACTTACCCTCTCCTGCGAGACCCAGGGGCTTTTCCCTACTGTTCCCACGCTTCCTCTCTCTCGAGGCCACTGAAGTTTGGAGTCAAAAGGCCCAGAGTCTGAGTCCCAGCCCTGAGCACTTAGGAGCCTTCTGACTTAGGGTTTGTCACTCCACCTCATTGAGCCTGACTGTTCTGCTCCATAAAATAGGGTAATAAAGGTCAAACATCAGTGAGCAAGCTGTGTACACTGGAAAACACTGAATCAATACAATGCGTTTGTGATTATCATTAGTAAGGTAAGTCTTAGATCAGAGCCCTCCAGCCCTTCTTTTTGAAACCTCCCAATGGCATTTCAGAAGTGAGCAGTGGAATTTTCCTGCCATCCTAATAAGAGCCCTGGATTCCATCATTAACATTTCAGCCCATTGGATGAAGTGGTGCCCTCTCCTCTGGTCCCCCGCGAAAAGGTAAATACACCCAAAGGGAGGGACCTAGTTAAGTCACTGGCACCTAGATAAGTTAGGAGGGTAAAGCCACTACCTCGTCTGAAGGACTGGACTTGACACCCCACAGTGGAAGGGAGCATCAGGAGAGGAACAAAAAAAGGGATCTCAGGGAGAGGCCAGTGTCAAACTTGACCTCCCTTGTTTGGCCTAGAATGAACCCTTCTCTTTAGCTCCTGGATATGAAAGGCCATCTGCTTGGAGCACAGAAAGATATTGCCATTTTACAGCTTAAGAGAGTAAGGCCTTGGGCTGTGCTGTGACCTGCCCAAGATTTGACACTGGCTAGGAGCAGAGGCTGCGTCAGGCTCTTAAAGTCATGTGTTTGCATGCTGGATGCTATACTGTCCAGCCAGGACACAAGACTTCTGATTTCTACCCTCAAGATACTCCCAGATCCTAAATCCAGTAGCCTCCCAGGCAAAATATAGCAATCTGCCACAACTGCCAGATGAAAAGCAACAATCAGAGTAGAAAAATCTGTTGCCTGATATACATAACACCAATCAGACCGTGTGGATTTTTCTCTGAATTGACTGATTTTGTTTTTTTCTTACTGAAAATGGACCTGCCTTTCACTGAATTTTCTGAGGGCAGAGTCTTAGCTGTTTTCTTTAAGCACCTTTTTTTTTTTTTTCCATTGGGAAATGGCTGATGAGTTCACATTTAGGGATGTACACACACAGATGGCAGACGTCTCCCCACTCATCCAGCCCCAGATCTGAGCCTTGACGCAGGCCAAGTGGAAAAATACTTTCCCGCCCCCCTCCCCTGTTCCCACTTCCTCATCTGGCACTATGCATGTCTCACTCACCCTCCACAGCACTCAGTCCCATCGACGTTCACTGAACATTGGCTTTCTCTTTCTGACTCCTGCCTGTTTTAGTCCACTATATATTGCTGTATTTGCTTAAATGCTGGAAAGTAACTGTTAAAATGTGAAATTGTAATTTTTAAAAAGGCTACAATTAAATTTTAGCCAATGCCACTCACCAAATCTTTGCACCTAGTAGATAGATCAATGTAAAAACAAATACCTAACTGTACAGTGAGTGTGGGGGAAATGTAGTAACCTAGTTAGTAGTCTTCAATATAACCAATTGTACAAGGGGAAGTGGTGTTTACCTACTTGTTCATCACCATTATTGAAAGCCGTACTGATCAGTTAGTTGACAACGGGCATTTTTTTTTCTTTGCTTCATGGAATGATTTCTTTTCTTAACCTTCGACTTATCCTGAGGTCAAGCCTTTTGTCTTTATGTGTAACCGACGTTCAGTCTATTCTAGGAATGAACCAGCAAGTTGTTCATTTAAAACTGACCAAAGACAATTAATTCCTGGTCTAGTTTCCTGGGCCTTGTGGCTCAGCTGCCACTAAAGAGCTTTTTGGATAAAATTGAGAACAAGCTGTGCTTCCTACCCCACTCTCCCCGTCCCCTTTTATTCCCTTTTCCTCTTAAAGAGCTGCTCTGAGCTGTGGGATTCTATGAAAAATTCTTGCCTTTCCTTGTTTCAGTGCTAACGATTTCTCACCTCGAAGCGCCTTTTGAACCCCGGACAGAGTGCACAATCGGAGGGAATTGCGAGCTTGGGAATTAGACTTTGGAGTCTTTTCTCTGAAGTCACCAGGCCAGGGGTCAGGAGAGAGATGGATTCCCAAGGGATGAAAGGTTTCTATTCAATGAAGAAATCGGAGTGGGAAGAGACACAGGGAAATTGAGCCATATTTTGGCTATCGGCTGGAACCAGCAGTTCAGAGATCTGCCTTATAAACATTTAAAACCGGTTTGTGGTACACAAAGAGGAACCAGTGTGGGAAGGGGCCTTTATGTGGGGCTTTCTTCTCTGTTGGAGTCCCTTGGAGTGCCTTGTTGGGTATATTTCTCTGTCATTCAGGAGGCACGAATGTGGAGGACTTCTCGTGACCTGGTCGTGATGTGGCATTCAGTGCATGTCCACAGCTAATGGAAAAACACGAGGACTCGGGTAATGGTTCTTCCTCTCAGTCTTTCTATTCCTAACTTTTCACACATCCAGATGGTTCCACACTAGTGCAAATGCCTCACTCTCCTGAGAAACCCAGAAAGAAGAGTGGCTGGCTCACAACCATGGGGTTAGCCCCTGCTGGGCTGGGAGTCGGGGTGGCGGCCAGGAGGAAAGGCAGAAAGGGGTGAGCCGAGGTGTTGCCTAGCTGATTTTCTGCTGTGCAGAGCTAATGCTGACATTTCATGTCAACTTCCCCGGTTCTCTGGGGTCTCCTCTCCTCTGAGCAGCCACATAGAACATTCCCCACATATCCAAAGCTGCCCAGGGGAGCCGAGAGAAGGGACTTTGCTGTCAGGTCCAAGCCCTCCTGACCTCCCTGAGATTGATCTGCCAGTGTCCTGCTGTCCCTCTGGGACTGGCCACATGGCCATCGCTGCCCCTTGTTGACACCTCCTTTCTGTGTGAGTTGTCCCCGGCCAATAACAAAGCTGTTCCTTGAACCAGAACAACCAGAGTGCACTTTTCCTTCCTTAGACGGAAGTAGATCCTGGCTAGGGTTTCTGCCCAGGCCCTTGTTCCCGGCAGTGTGACTGTTTACATGGTTTGGCAATAGGTTTGATTCTGATTGCTTCAGAGTGGCTGGTCTATTTTGTTTCCTTTGGTTTCCTTCCTCCCCAAATTGTGACAGGAAAAACAGACCAAAACCACCCTAGGAAATTGCTGGTTGCCTGTCCCCACGTGATGATAAATGTTGCCCTCTTCTGGATATCGTTTCTCTACCTTACGACCAAACGCCCGTCCTATAGAGTGTCTGATTGGATCCTCTGTCGCGTATTCTGATGGTGCCTGCTGGTTTGACGTGGAGCTATCCTGTGAAATAAAACAGCTTAACTTTTCTCAAACATGCTCCAGTGGTTTTTGAAAGGGCGAGGTGGCACATCAGGGGTGGAGAGGTCCTGGGGGGAGTCCCCATCCTCCAGTCCACACTGTCTGCCTGCTTCCCCCAGGAAACACCTTTGAAATGTCCATTAGCTCAGATCCAACAAGATGAAGGTAAGGTTACAAGGAGGACCACTTCCATTGTAGAGCTAACTGAAGAAGGTAACTAACTGTAGGATGACTGCTGGGGAAAGAGGGTTTGGAAATGTCAAAGCAAAGGCAAGTTGGGAGTAGTAGCTGTCATCTGCAGAAAGTGTCTTCAAAAGTTTAAGATAAATTATCAGAGGCCACTGGGTACTGATACATCAAGGCACATGCAACATTTTGATGTTCATTGTCTACAAACGTCATATAACCTCTTGGACTTTTGTTTTTACCTGTGTGTGTTTGTGAACTGTTTATTGACCACTTATTTCTGTCCCAGCCACTAGATTAAACCCTTTACCTGTATTTTCTCATTTAATTCTCAATACACCATTGAAGGTAAGTATCATTATTATACTCTGTCCTGCAGATGAGGAAACTGAGGCTCTGAGAGGCTAAACAGCTTGCCCAAGGTTAGGCTAGGAAGTAGAGAAGCCAGAATTTGAATTCAGTCCGCCTAACTCCAAACCCATGCTCTTTATAAGTTTGTCATACTGCCTCTGATTTGAGCATTGTACTCATTACAGCAGGATTAGGGGCAGGATTTCATGATGAAGGTAGCTTGCTGCTTGCTGCAGTCAAGAAATACTCCAGGGCCTTTATATCCCACCAAGACTTTGTATCAGGGAAGAATACAAGTTGCCCAAAGGAGATTGTGGGGCTGCCCATGAAAAATAATAAATGGTGATGATTTTCAGTCTCTCTTTCTGATTAAACCTCTGCTGGATCTTCATGGAAGGGCCTCCTTGCAGCCTCAGTGACTCATTCCCACCAAAAATGCTCATCACTCAATGATGGTCTCTTGCGAATTCCAGACTCCTCTGCTATGAAAATGTCTTAGTCTATTTTCTGTTGCTGTAACAGAATAGAACAGACTGGGTAATTCATAAAGAAAAACAGCTTATTTGGCTCATGGTTCTGGAGGCTGGAAAGTCCAAGAACATGACACTAGCATCTGGCTAGGGCCATCTCATGGTGGAAGGCAGAAGGGCAAAAGAGACAGTGTGAGGGGCAGACTCTTTTATAACCTTCTGTCATGATAACAATCCCATGCCCATGGCAATGACATTAATTGATTCATGAGGGTGGAGCCCTCATGAACCAGTCACCTCTTATTAGGTGCCCTCTCCCAAGATTATTGCATTGGGTATTAAGTTTCCAACACATAAATTTGGGGGACACATTCAAACTACTAACCTTCTAAGAGGCTAAACTTTGTATGTGTTCCATAATCTGTTTACTTGCTCATAGCAACAGTACACATTTGAAAGCTTCAAATCAGGAGCCTCTCATTCATTCAACAAGCGTGTATGAAGCACCTTAGCACCTTTTTATGCAACTTGCCTCAAGTTAGCTGCTGGGGACACAGAATGATGAGCCCCAGTTCCTTTCCTCAAGTTGCATACAGTCTAATTGCACAAAATGATCACTCTAGAATTCTAAGATCGACTTTTACTCAATGATAAATAGAACAGTGTCTCTAACCCACAGAGGCACAAAGGGCAGATTTTAGCAACTTGACTATTTTGTCAGCCACAAAGCATAGACCATTGCTGGATTGTCCATTGCACATCTGTTTAGGAATTTTTTGTTTGCAAACGACAAACTATTCAACCCAAACAGCCCTAAGCAAAAGAGAATTTATTGGCTCACATGGGTGGAAACTCCAGTCTAGAAATGGCTTCAAACCCAGGATGATGTGACGATGTGAGTGTTGTCTCCGGGGTGCAGTTCTCTTCTTTCAGGTTGGCTCTGCTCAGCTCTCTGGGTTGACTTTATGCTCAGACAGCTTGTCTGATATTTTGTGGTTGCCCAGTGGCTGCTGAAGCTTCCACTACCTGCACCTCCTCAGCTTCAGTAGTCTTGGGTCTGATTCTCACTGACCAGAATTAAGCCACAGGTTTATCCCAAAAGCAGACCAAGGGGATGGAATAGAAAAATGGCCTTAAGCAACCTGTATTTTGAAGGGTGGTGTCAACCCCACCAAGACTTTGCATCAGGGAAGAATACAAGTTGCCCAAAGGAGATTTTGGGGCTGCCCATGAAAAATAATAAATGGTGATGGTTTTCAGTCTCTCAGTTTTAGGGTAGTTAGCTATGCAGCAATAGCTAACTGATACACTAGAAAAATGCTCACGCAAATATGTAGAATTTTGTCCTTGTCCATGGACTGTACATTGACTTCACAATAATAAAGTTAACATCCATCAAGTGCATTCTGTATGTTGACACATTACCAAGCACTTCACATGCCTTGCCTCATTGAATTCTTACAAACAACTTGTGGGAGTAGATTCTGCTAGCACCCCCAGTTAATAAATGAGAAGACTGATCCTCAGGGAGTTCAAAATGCAGGGACTTAAAGCACTTTCAGGCCAGCAAGAATTCCATGGCCCCCAAATGCCTAGCTGCAGGGAGGTCTGCTTGCCTTGACAACCACCTTAGGAGTAAGGTCTATCTCAGCTTCTCTCAGGAACCTATGATAGCTCTGTTACTCATCCATTTCTTTTAAGCCCTAACATTGAGAATACTTACTATCGATTCCTTGCATTAGTGCCACATGTGTCTTTACTGTTGTTGAGAACATTTTCTATTTTCCCCTTTTTCTACTCCAACTCTCCCAAGAACATATAAATTATATTAGATGGGATGTTCATTTTACAGATGGGGAAACTGAGGAACAGAGAAGATCCAGGGCTTGTCCCAAGTCCCAGGATCACATTGAGGGAGAGAAAGGGTCTCTGGCTTTCCTGGACCCTGGCCCATGCTCCCTAGACCCCAGCCACTCTCCCTCCACCCACCCCAAGCATCTCCCACTCCCATGCTTCACACTGGCTGGGTGATTTGGACGAGCTTCAGTCATGGGTGTAAGTGCAAAGGCTCTGGATTCAGACAGATCTGAGTGTGGATCCCAGCACCGGCTTGTATCAGCTGGTTGACTTTAGCAAGTGACAAAACCTCCTGGAGCCTCCATTTCCTCAGGAACACAGGGCTAAGAAGGCTCTGCTCCACAGGGTTGTTTGCGGTCTGGAGTGGATGATCTACGTAACATCCCTGGACCATCCAGGCAATCAGCAAAGGCTGCTGTGTTCATCCATGGTTGCTTCTGCTCCTTAAAGAGTTTCTGCTTCATCTCCATGCTCTGCAGACAGAAAGAGCAGGTTGTTGGGCATCTGATGAGTGACTGAACCGAAGGAGCTCTAAGGAAAAAGCTTCAGTGGGATTCTGCCATTCATTGGCTACCAGATTTGGGGAATGTCTCTTCCCCTGTCTGGGCCTCAGTATCCTCATCTGTAAAACAAGGGGGTTGGGGAAGCTGACCTTGATTATTTCCTCCAGCTCTGAGGGCTCACTCAGTGCCTTGGCTGAAGGCTGCAGAAGCACACATAGGGGAGGGCCACCAGCCCCACCACATCCCCTCTGCTTTCTAAAGGGAACTCCCTTAACGACCATGTTTGATATTGTGCTACCCTACCCCCTGACTCCATTGGATTGAGCCAAGGATGGCAGCTGATGCAACAGCAGTTGATGGTAGATTGGTTAGTCACCATGGCCCTTGGCAAAGCTGGACCTGCAGATGACCTTTCTTGGGAAGCTTGACCCAGAAGTAACAAAATGACAGGCCCTGTAAGCAGGAGACCAGAAGATGAGAGCCCACAACAACGAGGAGGTCGGAGGCAGAGAGGTGGCCCTTCTGCACCATAGGGAGGCTGACGTCACTAGGGATGAGACTCTGAGAGCACAGTGACAAAACCAATGGGCAAAGCCAATGGCAGAGATCACAGGCTTCGAGAGCAAAGCCATCCAGTCCCTAGAGAGAGCCAGAACCCCCGGTTGAGTACCTGCCCCAGTGCCTATTCCTCACTGGGAGACCTTACATTCAAGCCCTCCTTACCTGGTGTAACTTGAGTGCGATTTCTGCTTCTTGCAATTAAAACAAAAAAGGGGCTCACGCCTGTAATCCCAGCACTTTGGGAGGCTGAGGCAGGGGGATTGTTTGAGGTCAGGAGCTCAAGACCAGCCTGGCCAACATGGAGAAACCCCGTCTCTACAAAAAATAGAAAACTTAGCTAGGTGTGGTGGTGCATGCCTGTAGTCCCAGCTACTTAGGAGACTGAGGCAGGAGAATCACTTGAACCAAGTGGGTGGAGGTTGCAGTGAGCTGAGATTGTGCCACTGCACTCCAGCCTGGGCAACAGGGCGAGACTCTGTCTCAAAAAAAAAAGGAAAAAGTAGACAGAATGATAATAGCCAACCTGTTAGAGCACTTACTGTGTTCTAAGCCCCTTCACATATAAAGGCCAACTCATTAGTCCTCTCAACCACCCTTTAAAGCAGATACTAATGTTACTCCAGCTTAACCTACGAGGAAATAGTACAGACAGGCTAAGTAACTTGCCATGGGACACACTACTTAGGCATCACGGAGTTGGGGTTCAGAACTAGGCAGTCTCACTCTGGAGCTGGGTCTCCATTCTCTCTCTTAGGCCTGAGGATGAGGCAGGACACTGGGTGTGATCTGAAACAGACAGCTTCACCAAACTGGGAGTGTTTGACCCAAGATACCTCACCCAGAGGGAGTTTGCGCCCCCTTGGCATGGGGGGTGCTGTGGTGGGGTGGGTGGTCATCGGCTGCTCACACAGCCCCCAAAGAAGGAGCAAGGATGGATACAGGGTTTCACCAGGCCATCCTGCCCCAGGCTGCAGCCAAGGGTCAGATCCTGCCTCTAACACGAGGGAGCATTTTATGTTGGGAAATTCCCTAGAGAAAGAGCTGTGCGGGGGTTGGGGAAAGGCCTCCTAGGAACAGCCTGCCAGACAATTGCCTCCACACCTAAGCAGGGAAGTCTAGAAAGGACCCCACTGCTGCCTCAGTGCAAGCAGCGAGGCATGGCCTTGGAGTAGCCTGAAGAGGAGCTTTTGCAGTGGAGGGTTGTGGAGAAGGATGGGGGTGAGGCGGGAGTAAGAGACCCCCCCGCCCAGAACCCCCCAACCCCCAACACCTTACATCCTCCTCAACACGCCCCCACTGCTGCCCCTGGAAGCAGCAGAAGTGGCAGTTTTCTTTTGGGCAGTGAGTGGAGGTTTGTGTTTAAATAAAGGGATGCCAAGAAGAGGCAGAGAGAGGACAAGAACTTCCCAGGCCTTTTCAGCCACCCCAGAAAGCAGGTCAGCCTCACACTGGAGGCCCGGGGCCGGCTCCATACTGGACTCCAGGCTGGGATTTGTGGGGTGGCTAAAAAGGCCTGGGACCTTCCTCTGATACCCAGAGAACCTAGTATCAGGTCTCCCAACCACTCCTCACTGCCTCAGAGACACCTCCCCTGACCTCCTTGCTTAAAGCAGTCACCATGAGGTTAATATGTTTTATTTTCTTCATTGCCCTTATCATCATTGGAATTGATTTGTTTCTTTATGTGTAGTCTGTCTCCCTCAATCCAGAATGTAAGCTCCAGAAAATCTGGGGTTTTGTCTATCTTGTCCATACTGTCTCGAGATGGTAGTAGGGTGTCTAGCACATAGTAGGTACTCAATAATTATTTATGGATGAAATGAATCTTCACCTACAACTGGGGGGAAAGTGCCATTTCTGAGTGAGGTGGGCTTGGTAGCTAAACAAAGTCATATCTTTGGTGGTCATTCCCTCATTTAACAAACAGTTCTTGAAACTTACTGTGTGCCAAGTGTTATTCTGGGATGCAGCTTTGAACCAAGCAGACCAAGATCCCAATGGAGCTTATGGCCAAATGCTGGCGACAGATAATGACAACCACAAAGCCAGAAACACCCAGGGCATGGGGAGGAAGAATACTAGAATCTGCTTTAGACTGAGAGGTTGGGCCGGCCTCTCTGAGGAGGGGAGTTTAAACTGGGAAAAGCCTGAGAAGGAGACCACCATGCCAAGGGGTGACCAGGCAGGCACATGAAGAGAAAGAGATTGGCACAGGAGGAGAATGGAGAAGGCCATGTGGCTGGAGCTGAGGGGGTGAGAGATGTGAGAACAGCTGTCGAGAAGAACACAGGCAGGGCCTTTTGCGCCATGGTATCCATTTTGAAGTTATTCTAAGAACAATGAGAAGCCCTTGGAAGGTTGCAATAGGGGCATTACTTGATTCTACTTATTATTGTTAAAAAATTAATGGCTGGGTGTGGTGGCTCATGCCTGTAATCCCAGCACTTTGGGAGACCAAGCCGGGAGGATCTCTTGAGGCCAGGAGTTTGAGACCAGCCTGGGCAACAGAATGAGATCTTATCTCTACTAAAAAAATAAAAATAAAAAATTAGCTAGGTGTGGTAGTGCACGCCTGTAGTCCCAGCTACTTAAGAGGCAGAGGCAAGAAGATCACTTGAGCCCAGGAATTTAAGGCTGCCGTGAGCCAGTATTGTGCCACTGCCCTCCAGCCTGGGTGACAGAATGAGACATTGTCTAATAATAATAATAATAGTAATAATTCATCATCTCTGGCTCTGGACCACAGCCACTTTTTAACAACGGAGGGCTTGCATGATAATTGAGGATTAAAGTGCTGCAGGGGCCACGATGCTATGTCATGAATCCCAGATTACAGTGAACCTGCTTCTCTTTATCTGAGGGCCGATGCAAGAGGAAGAGTATTATTATTATTATTATCATTATTATTATTTTTCGAGATGAAGTCTTGCTTTGTCACCCAGGCTAGAGTGCAGTGGCGCAGTCTTGGCTCACTGCAACCTCTGCCTCCCGGGCTCAAGCAATTCTTCTGTCCCAGCCTCCCAAGTAGCTGGGATTACAGGCGACCATCCCCGTGCCTGGCTAATTGTTTGTATTTTTAATAGAGATGAGTTTTCACCATGTTGGCCAGGCTGGTCCCGAACTCCTGACCTCAAGTGATCTACCCGCCTCGGCCTCCCAAAGTGCTGGGATTACAGGTGTGAGCCACCGGGCCTGGCCAGGAGGAAGTATTATTATTAGTGTTTCGGAGCCTTGAGTGCCCCCATTCAGTGATGTTTCCGGACTTCCAGCTCTGCTTCCCTTCTCCATCCAGACATCCACACATGGTCCGTCTGACCCACTGAGAGATTGATTCAAATTCCTCCTAACATGGAGATCAATGGCCCCTGCATGTCACAGAGCTGCAGACTTCCCTTCCCGGGCAACTCAGAGTCCAGTCATCCGTGGAACAAGATTTTCCTTCTTCATTTGCCAGTTATTGTAACTGGACATAAACTAGTGCTTAGAGGTCTTTAATCTTCTGATAAATAGCATGACCCTTTTTGCTTTATACCATGCTGTCGAGAAATGTATTAAGGACTTGGTTGGTTACCAGTGACAACAACCCAACTTAGCCTGGTTTGTATCACAAGGCATGCTTTTTGCCCCCATCTGTATGAAAAGTCCAGAGATAAAAATGGATTTAAGCAGGCTGGGCCCAAGTATTCCAAGGATGTCAACAGGATTGGGTCTCTCCACTTCTCAGCCCTGCGTTCCTTCACACTGTACTCTCAGGCTGATTCTTCTCAAGTGATGGCAAAGATGGCCCAAAGCAGTTCTAGACTTGCGTCCTAGCATTTAGCTACCCCAGTAGAAAAAACTGTCTCTCTTTCCCAGTGAATGAGTCAGAGTCCCAGGATTGCCTCTGATTGGCCTAGCTTGAGTCACATGCTTACCATGAACCAATCACTCAGTGGAGGGTGGGTCTTACTGTCATTGACCAGATCTGGCTACTTGCCCAGTCTTGAGCTAGATTTGGGATTAGCCTTGCCTGACCACATGGTTGAGAGTAGATTAAGGGCTGTTTCCCAAAATGAATAGATGAGTTCTATTATTGGAAGGATGATGCTGGGGCCAGGTGTGGTGGCTCAATCCTGTAATCCCAGCACTTTGGGAGGTAGGGAGGGAGGTTCACTTGAGGGTAGGAGTTTGAGACCAACCTGGGTAACATAGTGAGACTCTGTCACTACAGACACACACACACACACACACACACACACACACACACACACACACACACACACACAATGAGGCAGGCATGGTGGCGTGAGCCTGTAATTCCTGCTACTTGGGAGGCTGAGGTAGGAGGATCTCACTTGAGCCCAGGAGTTTGAGGCTGCAGTGAGCTGTGATCACACCACTGCCCTCTAGTCTGGGCAACAGAGTGCGATCCTGCCTCTTGAAAGAAAGAACAAAGATGCTGAGCAGGCAAAGCCCAGAGAGCTTATCAAGAGCTCCAGTCTCCAGAGGACACTCTTGAGAAACACATTCATAGCATGGACATTCTCGCATCCCTTCCCCAGGTCCACAGGCCCCTGTCGACTGCAGGATCACACCCCTGTCTCCAGGTAAATGCTTTGTCTTTCCACAGCACCCATCCCCAAAAAGGAGTACAGCCACCCTGGTGGATATGAATGAGGACTCCAAGGCTAGGCTGCCTGGGTTTAAATCCCAGCTTCCCTCCTTTCTCACTGAAAGACCTCGGGAAAGTGAACACTTCAGTTCTCATTTCTAAAGTAGGGACAGTAACAGCCCTGCCTTGTAGGCTTGCTGTTGGGACAGCATCTGACACAGAGAAACCCCCAATAAATGTAGCTGCTATAGTTGTGATCTTGCCTTTTGGAGAGTCTTGATTCCAGTGCCCCAGTCCCAAAGCTGCATTCACCATTTTCTCCATATAGACAGGTAAATATGTTCATCTTGAGCACTTACTATGTGCTAGGCACTGTTTTAAGCAATTTTTCATAGACAGTCTCATTCTCTTGCAACAGACAGCTATAAGATATAAACTATTATTAGTCCTGTGAGGTTCAGAGAGGTAAAGTAATTTTCCCAAGATCACAGTAGTAAGTGGTAAACCCCAATGCATGCAGATCAACTCACACAACATGAGTGGCCAGCTACCTCCATTCCCCACATTAATTTCTTTGTTTCCAACATGTCTGGCCAAGGTCTCCATTTCCAGTGATGCCAAACACAGAGATACCTGTGTTTCTGGTAGACCCAGCAGGACAGAGGTTCCTGGTCACCATCCCTTCCTTGGCCTCCAGATACAGACATAATATATGTGGCTGCAGGATCCCAGATCGGGTGAATTCGACATTTTGTCCCCTATAGGCCCAGCACAGGCCCCTGCACATAGTGCTTACTAAATGATGGGTTAGAAGAAAAGATGAGAAGTAAATAAATTACGCATGAGTGGGATGATCGCCTATCTGCATTTCCCTCTCAAAGCGCGAGCCCACATCCAGCCTGATACTCTGCTGCCCTCATGTGGTCATTTGTAAGATGGCAGGCAGGGTAAGCAGCCTCTAATTTTTGTTATCAAAATTTTCAGATTTACAGAATGCAGAGAATAGCACAGTTAACCCATTATGTCTATCATCTAGTTTTAAAAATTATTCACATTTTTATGAGTTTGCTTTACCTCTGTTTTTGAATTTCAAAAAAATCGCTAACACCATGACATTTTACCCTGAAACATATCAGTATATGTCTCTAAAAATGACATTTTCCTGCATAATGATGACAATCTCATGATCACACTGAATAAAACTAATGACAATTTCTCAATAACATGTTACCTAATCCATATTCCATTTTCCTTGATTGTTCCAAAAATGTCATTTAAAAGTTGCTTTGTTCAAATCAGCATCCCGTCTAATGAGTATTGTCTCTTAATTTTTCTAGAGTATGCCCCGTCATGACTGGCTGAGCTTGTTTTCTGGTGAAATGCCCCACAACCAGCATTTGCCTGACTGCTTCCTTGAGTTGTCAGTTCACTGGTTGCTGTCCTCCCCTGTATGTTTTTTTATTTTATTCTATTTATTTTTTTGAGATAGGGTGTCATTCCATCGCCCAGGCTGGAGTGCAGTGGTGCAATCACGGCTCAATGCAACCTTGCCTTTCTGGACTTAGATGATTTTCCCACCTCAGCCTCCTGAGTAGCCAGGACTACAGGTGTGCACCACCATCCCTGATTAATTTTTTGTATTTTTTTTTTTTCTTTTGGTAGAGACTGGGGTGGGGGCTGAATCTCACTACGTTGCCCAGGCTGGTCTCAAACTCCTGGGATCATACTTGGCCTTCCAAAGTGCTGAGATTACAGGCGTGAGCCACCCTGCCTGATCCTACTCTGTATGTCTTTTAAATGGCAAGTTGGATCTACACCTTTGATTAGATTCAGTTTCACCATTTTTGGAGAGTACACTTCCTAGGTGACGTGCACTTCATATTACATCACATCAGGAGGTACCCACTGCTTGGTGCCCACTTTTAGGATCAAAAAACTTGATGAATAAGTTCAGGTGGGTTCATCCTCATCTTTCTCTGTGAGTAACAAGTGAACTTGTTGGCCTGATAATTTGGGGACCTGATACATATCCAGTTCCCCAAGAACCACTCTCAGAACTGTTTTATCACCCATTGGTGATCATTGCTTGAAACAATAATATTTCATTAGAATCTGCAAAATGGTGAGTTTCTAATTTTATCATTTCCTCTATATGTTTTAGCTACTAATTGAATACTTATCCACAAGAGCTAGTATTTCTCTAAACATAGCTTATTCTGAAAAGGAGGAATAAATGCTTAATTCTTTTCTATTATTCATCAACTTTCAGAGTAAGAAGCTGATACAATGACAACCCCCAGTGGCAGTAAATGAAGGCTTTCCTTTGTTTTGCTGAGATTAATTATAACTTTCTCGATGTAAAAATATCCAGTGCATTTCAATCCATTGCAATTGATGTTCTTTTTATTGCTTAAGTGCGTAGAAGCAAGTTCAAGCTGCCTCTTACATCCACTAGTTTTCAACTTCTTTACTGGGGGCACAATAAGATGTTCTAGGCTCATCTTGTACCTGCCCTGCCCCAGACCTAAAACCAAACATTTCTCCAAGAAACACTGTTTCCTTTTAGTGGGGATGGTATTTAGAGACCACACTCCACACACGGCAAGTGGGAGAGCTGAGATTTGGACCCAGGCAGTCTGACTTCAGAGTTGGCGCTCTTAACCTTTGTACCCTCTGGTCAACATATTTATTAGTGATGATAACAGTAATAATTACAACTGTAACTCCCACTGCCATACGCAGCCGTTCACCATGTGACAGGTGCTCTGCTAGGTGATTTCCAGCCTTTTTAAAAGAGCTAATCCTTATAACAGCCCTCTAAGTCAGTCATTATTATTTCAATCTTACAGAAGAGGAAAATAAGGCTCAGAGAAATGAGTGTCTTATCCGAGACCAGATGGTAAGTGACAGAGCATGGATTCAGATTTCTGTCTGTGTGACTCTACATCATGTTCCCTTCGTTGCTGTAAACTATATCAATTGGTGACAATTCTGTCTCCTTTCAACGGTTCTTTGCTTGGCTCCCTGAGCCCTGGCACTCCTATGTCCCAGGGCCCCAGGCTCAGGCATGTGTTTGGTGTCTTTCTGGGTAACTCACCCAGAGAACATTTGTTGGGTCCCCGCTACATTTGTGGGGTCTATCCAGGTCACTCACAGCTGTGCTAGGGCACAGAGGAGTTGGGAAGAGAAAGGCTGGTTCTGTCTCCTCCAGGAACCCATGGTTTAGTGAGGGAGACTAAACAGTTGCTATTAGTGTGTTTGTGCTATAACATGAGGTGTAACCTGCTTTCACTCTCCCAGAGGAGCAGTCAGCTCTCCTCTGGGGCTCTGGGAAACCAAATAAGCTTTAACAACCAAAAAAGTAGGGCGTCCAGATGCCATGACAGATGGTGGGAGAGATTTTCTGGTACAGGACTCAGCCACACACCTTTCAAATGGTTGCAGGTTGGTGGCTGCCTCTTTGTAAGGAAGAATGGCTAGGAGCCTATGGAGGCAGGAGGAGTTGCACGGGCCAGCCCCTGGCACCCGTAATCGGAATTATGCACCAGAATGGAAGCAGAGCAGAGACAGGCACAGGGGTCTAACAGAGCAGGAGAGGATGCTGGGAGTTGGCTATGGGAAAGATGAAGGACCAGCAGGACTGGGGCTCCAGCCACTCTGTATCTGGGGGCTCCTGAGCCAGGCTCCGGGCAAGTGGAAGACTCCTGTACAGGGTCACCATGGTTTTTAATCATTGCATCAGTAAACCATTGCTGTGGAACAACCCATGCCCACAGTTAGAGGCTTAAGAGAATAAACATTTATTATTTGCCATGATCCCGTGGGTATGTTGAGCAGTTTTCTGGTCAGGGCTGGCTGAGCTGATCTCTGCAGTAAGCAGGTGCTTTGGCTGGGGCTGGATAGTCTAGGATGACCTCACTTATGTATTGTAGGTGGTTTGATGTTGGCTGGGGTGGCAAGGTAACTTGGCTGTCTGTCTCTGATCACCCAGGAGGATCACAAGCTGGGGCTTATTCACATGGTGGCTATTAGTGCACAAGCCTCTGCTTGGGTCACCTTTGTTAATGTCCTGTTGGCCAAAGCAAATCACAAGATCAACCCCAGATTCAAGGAGTGGAGCCACAGACCCACCTGTTGCTGGAAGGAGTCCCATGGAAACAAAGTGTGGATAGGCAGGGGAAAAATTTATAAGCATTTTTGCAACCTGCTTACTTGCAGGCGCCCATTCCCTCTTTTTCTGTATGTCACACCCTGTTGTTCATTTGGGGCATCACTCCCACTCCCAAACTCACACTTAGATAATCTGAGGCACAGCGATTGGTTCAAGGATGGGCATGTGACCCAATTCTGGCCAGTGAGACTTGCTCCTGGTACTTTTGCTGAGAACTGTTGGGAATGAGGTCCGTCCTTTCTGCTGAGGCAGCTGTGCTAATAGAATGCAGGCCTGGAGCTTCTGGAGCCATGTTTGCCTCTCATGGGGGGAGCCTGCATGAGCGTTAAGTCGACAGTGAGGGAAGAAGATATAAGGCATTAAGAAAGAGTGATTATGGCCAGGCGCGGTGGCTCACGCCTGTAATCCCAGCACTTTGGAAGGCTGAGGCTGGGAGTTCACGAGGTCAGGAGTTCAAGACCAGCCTAACCAATATGGTGAAACCCCGTCTCTACTAAAAATACACAAGAATTAGTTGGGCATGGTGGCACACGCCTGTTGTCCCAGTAGGGAGGCTGAAGCAGGATAATCGCTTGAACCCAGGAGACAGAGGTTGCAGTGAGCTGAGATTACACCACTGCACTCCAGCATGGGCGACACAGTTAGACTCCGTCTCAAAAAAAAAAAAAAAAAAAGAAGAAAGAGTAATTGAGAGGGAAGAAGAGAGACCACCTGGATCAAGCCATACCTGAATACCTACCTCAGGTCTTTTCAGTTACATGAGCTAACACACTGCCTTTCTTGCTTAGGCCATTTTGAGTTAGCTTTCTAATTCAGCACTTTGAACCAAAAAGTCCTAATACAGTTCCCTCCCTTAAAAGTTCTTCCTGTCTGATCTCAAAGCTCTTCCCATCTGCAGACCTTGACTTGGACTGGGCATTCCTCTGTCTAGTGTACTTGTCACCTCTGCTTGGGCATATAGTAGGTGCTCAGCAAACACTTGTTTGAAGGATCAATAGGAGGGGTTGGGACTCCTCCTAAGAAGAGGCTTTGGTGACAGACAGGTAGCTGGCCTCAGTGAGAAGCTCCCAGAGGTGATGGTGGTCTGACAGGCAGGTGGACGGGGTAATGGGCACAGTCTGTAAGTGTAAACAAGACCTAGCTGTCCCAGGGCTGGGAGGGAGAGAATAAGGCAGGGTCCATGTCTGGGAGGAGTCAAGATAGGGGCCTGGTCACAAGGACACAGCAGGGCCTGCTTCCTAGAACTGGGGTCCACAGTAAGTGTGAGGTCCACAGCACTTTTACCTCACCCGGACTGTGCCACCAAGGTTCAGTCCCTGTCACCTTCTTCTACTGTACACTTTCCACTTTGATCCCTTCTTCACCCAGCAGCTAGAATGACCTTTGGAAAATGTAAATTACACCCCTGCCTAAAGCCTCTAAGGACTTCCCCCCTGTGCTTATAGCAACATAATATTAATGACAGCTGACACTCACACAGGGCTTAGTAGTTGCCAGGCACCCTTCTAGGCATTAAACCTAGAATAACTCCTTTAATTATCCCTACAAGGCAAATACTAATATTATCCCCATTTTGCAGATGAGAAAATTGAGGCACAGAGAGGTCAACAACTTACCCAAGTTAACATGGATTAAAATCTGAACTTTTTACTAAGGCATGGAACTCTCCACTTCTGGGGTCTTTGGGTCTTTGCATGGCTGCCTCTCTCTATCAGTTGGGTCTCTGCCCATATATCACTTCCTCAGAGGGAGCCTCCCAGATCATACAATTTACAGTGTCCCCTCCTCTGTCCATTTTATCACCCTTTTTTATTGTTTTTACATCAGTTACTGTTTTATGCAATTATCTTACTCATTTTTTTACAAACTCTCTTTTTTTTTATCCTGGCTCCATGCTCACCCCCAGGCTGCCAGCTCCTGGAGAACAGAGGCCATATCTGTCTTACTCACCTCTGTATTCTAGCACCTGGTACAAGTGGAGAGTGGCTCAATAAACATTTGTTAAAATGAATGGAGGAAGGGAGAGATGGAGGCAGGGAGGAAGGAAGAAAAAAAATAAGGAAGGAAGGAAGGAAAGAAGGAACGAAGGAAGGGAGGAAGAAAGGAAGGAAGGAAAGGGAGGGAGGGAGCTCCTTTAATATCCCCTCTCCCATAACTAGAATGAGGAAGATGGGGCCTAGAGGAAGAGAGAGTGCTGGGCAGAGAGGAACAGGATGAAGAGAACCTGGAAAGGAGCTCAGGGGCCACAGGACATCCCCAGGTTAATCCAGGGCAGGCCCCACACTCAGTTGGGAGAATGCTTCTCTAATTAGGGTTGTCAGATTTGGCAAATAAAAATACAGGATGCCCAGTTAAATATTTGAATTTCTGGTTAAACAACAAATAATTGGTTAATAGGTTGTGTGCAATATTTGGGGCAGGTTTACACTAAAATGTTGTGTGCGGTTCATCTGAAATTCAGATTTACTGGGCAACTTGTATTTTATCTGGCCATCCTATTCTGGCTTCTCGCTGTGTGCTATGTGCCACAGAAGATTCCACTAAACACTAGCCTGCTTTTATTTTACATGGAACATTTTGTTTTTAGTCCTGAATAAGGAAGTACAATCTCTTTATTGATCTAACAGAAGGAGAAAGTCCATACAAACAGCAGCTTGTTAAGAGGAGAATGGCTCCCAGGGTTAGATAAACACCCAAGACAAACGCCTTTTCCTGAGCTCAAAGTGCGCTTGTTCTTGAACTTTCCTTCCTGGGCCTAGAGGTGGGCTTGATGGGATCTATCACCCTGGTGCTGCTGAAGATGGCAGGAAGAGAAATGCTCAGCCTGGGAGGAAAAGATTTATGGGAATGTGGGCTTAGTCGGTGATTCATCCATTCATTCAGCCTCACCCACCAGCTATTGGCAGACACTCAGAGATGAATGGCACCGCATCCTGTCCTGGAGGCTCTCCATAGATAGGGAAATGTATTTTGGCCCCAGGACTAACAAGTACTGCCTCCTTCCAAATCTGTCTCCATGGTTGAATGCAAAAAGTACATTCCTGTCCCTGTCTTTTCTCTCTCTCCCTTTCTCCTTACCCATTCTTTCTCTTTTTTCTCATCTCCTCTCTCTTCCTCTCTCACCTTCCCAGCCATTTGTCACCTTAAACCTAATTACCTTGTCCAACTAGTAGTGTGAAAAAAACAATTACTGGTTCACTCAGGCCACGGACCTGGTCTTAAATGCTTTTCCTTTGTCTCTCCAAGACCCCACTTCCTCCACATCCAGAACTATCCGACATTTTCCAGCTCAGCCTGGCATTCATTTGCGTTCATTTGCATGCCGTTCTATGATTGGCTGATACAAAGTGGGGGGCGGGGGTGGACACCGTAAACCTCCATTCCTCATGCATTTAATATAACATGTATGAAAAAAAGTATCTATATTTATATCTCGTTTAAGAAAAAAATTGTTCAATGATACTTGTTAAAGCACAATAAGGAAGACTTAATCAGGACAATTCAAGTAGGTATAGAGACCACTGGAACTGTGTCTTGCAATTGGTGAAAACTGGGCTCAACTCTGAATACAACATGGGCAAATGGAAATTTATAGCCAGGAAGCAGGGTGGGGAGCAGTGCATGAAAAATTACTAAGAGGAAACATCAGAGGTAACAGTAGATTCTTGCTGAAGAGGCCAGGGTGATCAGACATCAACTGGGGGATGGTGGAGGATGAGGAACACATCAGATATCAAGAGTGATCACATATCAAAGGTGGGGATTCTTGGTAACTTGATTTAGCAGGGTTTTTTGCTAAAACTGGATTTTTACAGGAAGTACACAGATTGGCCTAGGAGAAGGTTCAGGAGCCTGACTAAAGTTTGCTCAAGCAAAGAATCTTCGTCAATCTGCATAGGAAATATCTAGAAGGCTATATGCCAAAGTTAATGGTGCTTCTCTCCGAAGAAAAAGAAAAACCGTGCATTAAAATTTTAATATGAATAAAAGCAACAGCTCCCATTTAAAGCCCAGAGGTCCTGTTTGGAATCTGACTCGAAACTCTATCCACTTTTTCGGGCGTAGGCTTCTCTTGTGTAAACTGACAATGATAACATCTACCTCCCAGTGTTGTGATACGGGAGACATAAAGTAATGGATATAAAAACTTCTGTTCAGAGCAAGGACGGATAGTCACTGCGATTAGGGTGGGCGACCCGGAGGGGGGTCATGAGCCTGGACCTTGACAGATCTGGTGAGGTCTGGATTTGGTTTGATTCCTGGCTATCTTTTCTTAATATTCAACTGGCTCTACGCTTTTTAACCATTCACTTTCTTCAAGGTAAGTGCGGCAGAAGCCTGGCGCATGCGCAGTACAAGCCCTTAAGCGGCGCCCCGCCCACATACTACTACAACTTCCGGCAGGCTCCGCGCCCGCCTCTGGCGCGTCGCGGGCTGCTGACGTAATGCGGTAGCGCGGGGAATTTCGAGTGGTGTTGGAGCGCCGGAGGCTAGTGGGTGGCTGACCCCCAGCATCCTCGGGAGCGACCATGGACTCCCTGGCCGAGTCTCGGTGGCCTCCGGGCCTGGCAGTCATGAAGGTGAGTGCTTCGGGGAGTTTGGGAGCTCCCGGGTGTCTGCGGGGGGAGGTCCCTCCCTTTGAGGAGGATGTCCTCGCCTTAAGGAGAAAGGATGAGGCGCGAGCGTCGCACTGGGCCCGGGTATCCGGCTCTGCCCTGCCACTAGCCGACCGCGTGGCTCTGGGTCTCAGTTTACTCCTCTGATAAGTGACAAGGACAAGCCTGGTGAGCTGAGGTTGGCAGTCTTATGGCACCAGCTATTCTGCGATCCAATCCCAACAATAACATGGAGAAAAACAGTTATTCCAAACAATGACATCGACAGCTGTTCTTTACTGAAAGCTTACTTTGTGTCAAGCACTAAACAGTGACACCGGACATGATTTTGGGTGGACACTTTATCAGATAACATGTATGTAATCACGTAGCCAAGCAGGTAGTCTCCTTTACAGGCTCTTTCATTTCTTCTGATTATTCTCAATAAACGTAGTGCTCGTTTGTTCTGACATACTGCCCCAACTCCTCTCTAACACACCTTCACTCTTCTCTAACAATTGCTCATGTCTCTTAAACAGAGATCAGGACTCAGGCTCAGCGCTGATCTTGCATTGCGTCTGATTATTTCACTTAAATAACATTTATTTTTGTGGCCACTTTCTGTTTTGGCAAGGCATACCAGTTTCCATTTACAGTAGTGGTGGGCCCTGGATTTGCTCAAGAGCAGATGCACTTTGCTGTGCTGGATAAAGATCAGTTGCTTGGTGTTTCTTCTTGCTCTGTGATTATTTCCGTTTCTCACAGTGGCTAAGATAGCCTTCTTCTCCCTCAGTTTTGTAGACTTGGGGATTATAATACCTGTCCCACTGACTCATAAATTTGACTTTAGAATTAAGTGAAGGCTAAAGTAAGTAGAAGGCCTTGTTCTTCCTGCTGTCATCAGTGACGTCTAGAGTGCTTGGGGACTTGAGATATCTGCATGATGAGAAGCTGACATTGTGAAATGATCCAGGAAAGCTGTAGTTTTGGAGTTGTGGGCTTGGCACCAGGATGCAGTGGAGAAGAGCACAGATTTGAGTTCCAGTGGTCCTGGGTGAAATCTCCTGTCTGCCTCTTGACTGTATGACCTTCGGTTAGTAACTTAACCTCTCTGAGCCTGAATTTCTTCAACTATAAATTAGAGACAAAAATAACAGTTCATAGGATTGATTAAATAAATTAGTTGATGTATGTGGGCACAGATTCTGCTGTGTATTCACTGTGCTTACTGCAGTGCCTGACACCAAGTGGGTGCTCAAATATTATTTGCTGCTTGATTGAAAGTATCTGGAATGTAGTAAGCATTCAATGAATATATTTTATTATTATTAGCACTGTGTTAAGTGCTTCTTTCCCCTTTTAATTTGTTGTCATGAAGCTTGACTTGGATAAGGAAAGTAAAAGAGCTCTGTAACCTGTAAAGCTCCTGCTTTGTAGATTTAAGCACACTTTACATATTCCCACAATTTCAGTGTTCTTTAGAGGCGGGTTCCATGTCTTCTCTGACTTTGGTATCTCACCACAGCACTGAATGTAGAGTTTGGCACCACAGAGCGTTCAGTGAGTGTTCAACCAGAGAGTTGATTGAGCCCGTATTTTTTTGCTCACATTGGAATCATGGAATCTTAAGGTTAGAAAACCAGCCCCTTTCAGTATTTTAATCTCCTTTATAACACATCTGCCAATTTCTCACCTAATTTTTGCTTGAACTCTTCCAGGCACAAAGAACTATCAGATCCCAGAAGCAGATCTGACTGAAGTTACTTCTTTTATTGAATAGAAGTCTGACTCAGAATCCATGGTTGCTAACTTAGGATTCACAGAAAGACTTTGGAGTCTCAAGTTATTTGTAAAATTTTTGCATGTATGTTTTTCTGAGCAGAGAGTCCATAGTTGTCATCCATTTTTCAAAGGGATCTGTAACCCCAAAAACTTAAGAGTATTTTTGTAATTATTACGTTTTTCCACCCATTTTCTACTTCTCCCTTTCACTTTCTCTCTCTCTAAACTAAAGAAATTTTGGGGAGTCTGCTGACCACTCTCTATTCAGGCATCATTTTTTGTTTAGTTGGTTGAGGCGCATGTGATATGCATGTTACTGTCTTGGAGTGACATGACAAGAAATTTGAACCAGAAATGGCTCATCTGATGTAGTGTCAACTTCCACAATTGTGCTCTGCAGATCTTTCAGAATCATTCCTCCACCAGAAGAGGATGGCATAGATAAGAAAGTGTGATATAATAGACTGGTTCTGGCTTCTGGGCCTGCCTCTGCTCTTAATTGATCTTGAACATAACCCTTTAGATTTTTGTGTCTGTGACAGCTTACCATCCACAATAATGGAAGATTTTGGCATTTTATTATTTCCCTGGTTTTACTTTAACAAAAATTTACTGTTTTTGGCATATTGTAAATGTAATATGTGTACACGGTAGAAAAAAATTAAAATTCAGAATAAGATAAAGGAGAAAAATAAAACCATCCATAATTCTACCACCCAGAGAACCAGTGTTTAACATTTTACCTTATTTTCCTTTGGTTTTTGTGCATTTAAAATTTGGGATCACTGTGGAGTCAACTTCTTGGGTTTGATCCAGCCAACTTAGGAACTCTGTAGACTTTATTTTTAAAATTGGGATACTGATGCTGTGGACTTCATAAGATTGCTATGAAGATTAAACTACAGAGTTGTTATTATTATGTATTATTGGCATAGGTTTGTTTTCTGATTTTTATTTTCCTAGGGCATTAATTATTCTTTGAAAGCATGTTTTTTAATGGCTGCATAATATTTCATCATATGGACCATTAGCGACATTAGTCCTTTTTTGTTTACATTTTTAAAATTCAGGTAATAGGTTCACATGGTTCAAAATACACATAAAATAAAAAGTAAAAGTCTCCTTCTTACCATGTTCCTGGCCCTGATCATTATTTATGACTTCTTGTTTATCTTCTCATTATTTACATTTACAATGAAAATAGAATGCATTCTTTTTTCCTTTTTTTCTTTTTTGAGATAGGGTCTCACTGTCGCCCAGACTGGAATGCAGTGGCAATCACGGCTCACTGCAGCCTTGAACTCCTGGGCTAAAGCAATCCTTCCGCCTCAGCCTCCTGAGTAGCTGGGACTACAGGCATGCGCCACTACTCCCAACGAATTTTTAAATTTTTTATAGACATGGATTTTTGTTATTTTGCCAGGCTGGTCTCAAACTCCTGGACTCAAGCAGTTCTCCTGCCTTGGCCTCCCAAAGTGCTAGGATTACAGAGCCACCATGCTAGGCCTATTAGAATACATTCTTACTCACCTCTTCCTTTTAAACAAACCGTAGCATAGTATATGTACTGTCTATACCTTATTTCCTTTTTTCACTTATCTTGGCAATCTTTTCATATCAGTATGATGGAGAGCTTCCTCTTTTTTTTTTTTTTTTTTGAGACAGTTTCACTCGGTCATGCAGGCTGGAGTATAGTGGTGCGATGTGGGCTCACTGCAACCTACGCCTCCTGGACTCAAGCGATCCTCCCGTCGAGAGCTTCCTCCTTTTAAAAAATATTTCTGTTGAATGGAATAATATTTTATTTTAAACAATTTGAAAGATTTTAGGTTGCCAGAGTAGTTCCGTTCCTGTTTGGATTGCATTCCAGGTTGGCACACATCTCTCTTTCCAAGTTGTCCACTTTCCCTTCCTCTGCTTTCACTGCCCCAGCTCTTTCCAGGCTTCCTCATTTGGCTGCATGTGTAGTACCATGCCGAAAGCACTGGACTGCCAGACGGGAGACAGGAATTTTGGTCTTGGCTTGACTGATGCCTACTATTGTGTGCCTGCTTTTGATACCAGTTTCCTCTTTTGACTAGACAGTTTCTGGAGTTTGGCTTTAACATTCTTTGATTTGATTCTTAACTTGTGTGGTGGCAATGGCCACCTTTCACCCAATAGTGACTATAGGCTAGGTGTTGGAGTCTGAAGAGGAGGAGGCTTGGAGTAAGAGCTGGAAGCGCATTAGAAGTGGAACAGAAGTACAGTAGCCCTTATGTGAAGGGATGACAATATGGCACAAGAATCGGTGTGCCATCATCTTTAGCTGTCTAAAGCAATTTGGGCAACCTGAGACTGAATGTATAAGAGTCATATGAGAGAAGTTTTTATTTATTTGTCAAGATCCCTTGCAGTTTATCTGGAGTTAGCTTTTGAATTTGTGTATTTGACAAAGAGTTTGATTTTTTTTTTAGGGGATAGAGAAAAAGTTTTGTGACAGGACTTCCAATTTTGATGTCTTTCTGATATGTATATATGCATATTTGCATTTCAGACAATAGATGATTTGCTGCGGTGTGGAATTTGCTTCGAGTATTTCAACATTGCAATGATAATACCTCAGTGTTCACATAACTGTAAGTATGTTTTGTTCCTGTGAGTTAGTAAATTGCGATTTTTACATGAGGTAGTGTTAATTTAACACCAAAGATATGTGCACATATTTATGTTTCACCTTTAGCTCTTCTATCTTGTAGTTTTTCAGAAGGTCTTTTTCACTGCCTTCCTCTTGAATATTGAAGGTTTTTACAAGGCTTCTATATTTTCTACCTCGTTCCTCTTTGATATTTTTATGATTCTTATAGCATTTATGGCAGTAAAATTTTTGGTCACAATAAGTGGTTCTTTATTTGCCAAGTGTTTTTTGACGTTAAGTTTCAGAATTTTTGTTTTTAACAGGATAACAGATAGGTGGTTCCACCAAGTAGTACTTGATATAGAATTTCAAAGTTTAAAAATCTGTAACAATAAGAATATTGCCCCAGTGGGAGAATTCTACCACTGACTTTATTACAGACAGTTTTATACCTTAACTGCTATGTGACGCTGGAAAGACTCATGTTGGAATTTGTTTGTACTTCTCTTTAAGAGTCTAGTATATAAGCATTTAAAAATATCGTACCTTAAGATATTTAGTGCATAGGGGTTACCCTATCATTGTTGAGGAGCTAGACATACAGTTTATGGGTTATTCAGGTTCATGATCTTTCTTGTCCTCTATTTTCAAGTTGATTTATCTTGGAAAGTTAAAAACAGTCAACTTAGGCCTAAGAAATTGGTTTTAGTTGGTAGTAGCTTTGGTGGAAAAGTTTCTGTGGAGAAGACATAGTAAGAGGGTAGCAGTGACGGCAGCACGGGCATTGCAGATGCCCTTGGGCTTGACTCTTGAAAATCGGGTGAGAATTTACTACTTTAGAAAATGTTTGTGAGAATTAAATGTGCAGAACTCACTGTCCGGCACATTATGAGTCCTTAACAATGTTAGTTTTCTTCCAGACAAGATTCACATTAAAAACCAAGATAAGTTTTGGAGATTGTTTTAAAATATATTTTAACATCATCTTTATTTGGGTGTAATTTACATACAATAAAATACATCCATTTTAAGTGCACATTAAGGTATAAAAGTGTTCATGAATTTTGACAAATGTGTATGCTGTGTTACTACTGCAATTAAGATACTGAACATTTTCATTATCTGATAAATTTCTCCCCATCTCAGTCAGTATGACCTCAGCTAGCCATCTGTAGTCTATTTCTGGACTCTTCTATTCCATTGATCTTAGAAACTTAGTAGTTTTTCACCAAAACTACTGCCCACTAAAACCAATTGTTTAGGCCTAAGTTTACTGTTGCTTTAGCTTTCCAAGATAAATCAACTTGAAAATAGAGAACAGGAAAGAGCATGAACCTAAATAATCTGTAAACTGTTTGTCTAACTCCTGAACAATGATAGGATAACCCCTATTGCAGTAAATACCTCAAGGTACAATATTTTAAAATGCTTATATGCTAGACTCATATATGTCTATCCTTGTGCCAGTACCACACTATCTTGATTACTGTGGCTTTGTAGTAAGTCTTGAAGTCAGGCATTGTAAGTCCTCCAACTTTTTTTTCTTCGTTTTTTTTAGGATCGTTGCATTTTAAATGCATTTCCATGTATAACTTAAAATCAGGTTGTCAATTTCTACCAAAAGCCTGCTGGGATGTTCACTGGAATTGTATTGAATCTAGAGATCAATTTGGGAGAATTGACATCTTAACAATGCCGAGTCTTCAGTGTATGAATATGATACACTTCTCTATCTTTATTTCTCTCAACAGTGTTGTTTGATTTTCATTGCACAGACCTTGCACAAAGAAATATAACTTATATTGACCTTTCGTCTTCTGACTGCAGTAAATTCACTTTAATTCCAGCATCTTTTTTGTTGATTCCTTAGAAATTTTTGCATACACAATCATGTCATTTGTGGATAAAGACAGTTTTACTCATTCCTTTCTGATCTATATGCCTTTATGTTTCTTTTTGTTACACAGGCTGGTACCTCAACTACAGTGTTGAAAGTGGTGTGGAGGGACATCCTGTCCTTACTCTTAATTTTTTGGGGAAAGCATTCAGTCTTTTACCATTAAGTATGATGTTAGCTGTAAGTTTTTTTTATATTCTTAATATGTTTTCATAAACCTACCAAGTTGAGGCACTTCTCTACCCCTGGTTAGGCGAGAGGATTTTTTTTTTTAAATCATGAATGGGTGTTGAATTTTGTCAAGTATTTTCTGCAGTTATGGAGATGCTCATATGATTTTCTTCCTTTATTTTGTGACATAGCTAATAACGTTGTTTTTGTTTTGTTTTGTTTGGGAGACAGGGCCTCACTCCCTCACAGTGGCTTTGTTACAGACTGGCTTTGTACTGTAGTCCCCCCTTATCTGTGATTTCAGTTACCTGTGGTCAACTGCATTCTGAAAATACTAAATGGGAAATTCTGGAAATAAATAATTCATAAGTTTTAAATTGCACTCTGTTCTAAGTAAAGCACTGATGAAATCTTGTGCCGTCCTGCCCAGGATGGGAATCATCCCTTTGTCAAGTGTGTTGATGTTACATATGCTATCTACCGTTAATCGTTTAGTGACCATCCTGGTTACCAGATTGACTGTTGCAGCATGGCAGTAATTGTCACTGTGTTGCAGAACACAGTAATTGTGTCAAGTAGCGCTTATTTTACTTAATAGTAGCCCCAAAGCACAAGAGTAATGATGCTGGCAATTCGGATATGACAAAGAGAAACCATAAAATGCTTCCTTTAAGTGAAAAGGTGAAAGTTCTTAACAAGGAAAGGAAAGAAAATTGTATGCTGAGGTTGCTAAGATCTACAGTACCATCTACAGTACAGCACAAGATATTTTGAGAGAAAGACCACATTTACATAACTTTTGTTATAGTATATTGTTTTAATTCTATGTTATTGTTATTGTTCCTAATCTCTTACTGTGTCTTATTAATAAATTAAACTTTATCATAGGTAAGTATGTATAGGAAAAAACATAGTATAAATAGGATTCAGTACTACCTGTGGTTTTAGGCATCCACTGCGCTTTATGGAATGTCTCGCCTGTGTATAAGGGGGCACTACCATATAGAGAAAGATCTTTACTAGTCAGCTTGACTGCAGATTCTAGGGGCTTCGTAAGCCTTTTCTGTGGATGTGTCTTCCCTGGACTTGTGATTATAAATTTCCAAGCCGAGAGATTTGGTCAGTTTTTTCATTAGCTGCTGTTTTTCTCTCTCATGTGTCTGTCCATGGTATTGCAGGTTCTCCAGAGTTGCTGTAAGCCATCAGCCTCTTTTTTTGTTTTCAGCTGCCCTCAAGCATCTAAAGTATGCTGATCCAAAGCACCCCAAGTTGAGTGAGACAGAAACCATTCCCTTAGGCAGTCCTTTGAAAAGTTCAAATGTTGGTCACACACTCCACTATTCTCTCCCAGCCTCCCCTCCCAAGATAAGCCGCAGAGCTATATCAGCCTCTGTCTGCTCTATGGGTCCTGTGGATCAGTAGCAAGCAACCCAGCTTTTTTTTATTCTTAGCAGTCCCCAGTCACCTAGAACATGCAGGGTTCATGCTTAGTGGGGTGAGACAGAAGCCAGTCCTCTGGCCAGCTCTTGGAAAAGCTAGAACATTGGACCGTGTTTCCCTTCTTTCTCTCCCCAGGCAGAAAGTTGGGGGTTTCTCTTCCTTGCTGAGCCTGGGGGAGGCACACTGGCCAGTGAGTGTGGTACTAGTCCAGACCTTTGCTTTTGTTCTCAGTGGCCCTCAACCTGGTTCCCTTTTCTGTCAGTGTATAGATTCAGGCAGCTCAGAAACCAGTTTCTCAAGTAGCCCCCGCAATGTAAGTGCTAGTCTTCTGTTTCTCTCCCTAGGGATACATGTTGTTTGCTCACTTCTTCATGACTTATAGCTGTCACTTATGCCATTCTTTAAGAGGAAGTCAGTGGAGGGAAGTTTCAGTAATGATGATTTTTTATTTTATGAGCACTTTTTTTTCACTTGTGAAGTCTCAGTATTCAGTAGGCCTCTTCTACTAAACACCAGTTGTCACAAGTCCCGTCATGTCTAAAATTTGCTCTGGGTCTTTAGTGTTTTAATGACACAAAACCCCCAGGGCTGTAGTGGAAGCCAGGTCTGTCATGTTCTGGTATCATCTTGGATTGACTAGAATTGGTGATCCAGAATCCTAGGTATTTATTGTTGCTTCTTAGATTTTTCATGATTTATCATTTTTAAATCACTTTATTTTGTTTTGTTCTGTTTAGGTTTTTGGATATGAGTAATAAACACTACATTTGTAGTTCTGCAGGTACAAAGGTGTGAGTGGGGTGCCTTGGCAGAATGCAGGTCAATTAAATTGATCCAAATTTGTGCTATTAAAGAGTATTTTGGGGGCGAGAGGGAGCAGACTTACTCCAACCCATAAAACACCATTAAGTGAGAAATGGTCTTGCTAATAGACTAATATGCCCAAGTGCCAATTTTCTTTGCACTTGCTATAATTTTTCTCACTTCATAATGGAAGATGATCAAAATATTTAGCAATTGGCTGGCTTTCAAACATCAAAAGAGTCTAGCATCTTAATAGTAAAAAGGAAATTTCTAAAACTTAAATGAATCCTTGTCATGTGAAATCTTAAGGACTTTATGAAAGAAGGAACTTTTTAGAAAGAAACATCTAAAGTGTCCAGTTAAAAGCAAAAACCAGTGTGAAAAGAACAGGAGGTCCAAGAAAGCTGAAAAGGTTGGCATCTGCCTCCAGTTCTAATGTTAAGGGACAGTTAGTTGGTAAGAGAATAACATCCCTCCAACTAAAGACTAGCATTTCAGAATTTCCAGAAGTGCAGCTCTGCATAATTATATCTCCCTTTTGTGTGTGTAGCTATTTCTCTTCTCCTCTGCCTTGTTTCACAGTGCTACTTCATGAGAATATAAAAGAAGATAAACACGTTTATTATTTGCCTAATAGAATCTTATGTTGTCTCTTGAATTAGCAAAGGTTTCGTAAGGGGAACATTTCATATTTCAGTTTGTTTTAAAAAATGAAATAAAATTGCTTTTTACTTCTACACAAGCTTTGATTAATTTTTTTTGAGTCAAAATCCACAAAAGGAAAAAAAAAAAAGATTGCTGGCCAAGCTTTAAAATAGTGGTAATTTATCAGTGTCCACAAGCCAATTATTTTATCTAGGATCTTGCTTGGGATTAGAGATGCCCCCTCTCCCAAGGCTTGGATATTTCTGTGAAACTACTCTTTAATTCATTGTTGTTATTGTACCTTCCTCCACTCTGCCCACACATCTTTTTTGGGCTCTCTTGGATGGAAAGACAAATTTCATAGGTGATTTAAATGAAGCCCTCTGGGAATACATGAATTCAAAACTCTTCAGCTGTTCTTCTTTGAATGGAAGGGTTGTCATAGTTGCCCACTAGAGAATAAATTATGCTGGTCTGCAGCTTACCAGTACATATTTGGTAGTAGTCTAGTAGAGTGAAATTAAGCCTAGGGCTTGATCTACTTAGGACTCCATATCTGGTTCTCCTCATTTCAAAAGAAAAGAAGAGGAAAGATATACAAGATTATGCAGAAGAGAAAGCAGTAGCCTTATTATAAATACTAATTTAAAAGGTACATGTGACCTTATTAATTAAATGTTATTTATTGATGTATACATAATATATATAATGTATACTTATATAGGTACAATTACATATATAATAATGTATACACTATATTGTATAAGTATACATTATATAACTATACATAGTACATATTTATATAAGTATACATTATAGTATAAATGTACAGTATATATTTATTATAAACAAATGTTTATAGATATAGTCAGTCCCTGACTTACCATGATTTGACTTAGGATTTTTCAACTTTACGATGGTGTGAAAGCGATACACATTCAGTAGAAACCATACTTTGAATTTTGAATTTTGATCTTTTCCCAGGCTAGAGATAGGTATATTAAATACATTTTGGCTTATGATATTTTCAATTTATGATGGGTTTATCGGGATGTAATCCCATGTTAAGTCAAGGAGCATCTGTAATTTTTAATAATTAATATATTAAGAGTCTGGACTCTGGTGCTTTCCTTTGCCACATATTAGTTCCATTATCTTTGGCAAGTTGGCTGAGCCCTGTGCTTCATTTTTCTTCTTGTCAAATGTGACTAACATTGGTACCAACCTCAGGGTTGCTGTGAGGATCGAAAGAGTTAATACATGTAAAGTGCTTAGAACAGAGCACATACTAAGTGCAGTGTTTATTTGAACCACATGAAATTGCCAATATTTGTCCATTTTTGACTTAACCAAAAATGTCAGTTTCATATAATTCAACTTAATAGTGACAACTTATTAATTTTTTAAAAATTGTTGCCATTGTTGAATCAATATTACATATTAAGAATGTGATTTACTGACCAAAATCCATTGAATCACTATGACTGGGGATACAGCCTGGGAAACTAAGTTAAAACCAGCATAAATCTCCCTAGGTGACTGAGCTGAGCAGCTAGGTTTTAGGATTTCTTGACTTACAGTATTGCTCAGGAGACTTCTTATAGTATAAAGAGAACAGCATTGATAATTAAGAGAATGAGTCTGGACAGGAATTTTTGCCTCAGGATGATTCATACCTTGAGTCTCATCCATATCTGATTTAGGTGATATTTAGATGAGACTTTAGATTTTAGACTTTAGAGTTGGTACTGGAATAAGTTAAGACTTTTGGGGCTGTTGAGATGGGATGGATGTATTTTGCATTTGAGAAGAACATGAATTTGGGAGGTTAAAGGTGGAATGCCTGGAGTGAATTTTATCCCCCCTAAAGTCCTATGTCGAAGCCCCAACCCCAATGTGTTGGTGTTTGAAGATGAGGCCTTTGGGAGATAATTAGGTTTAAATTAGGTCCTGACAGTGGAGCCCTAGTGATGGGATTAGTGTCCGTATGAGAAGAGATACCGGAGCTTATGGTCACTCCTCACCCCCTCATGGGAGGACGCAGTGAGCAGGTGGTTGTCTATAGGCCAGAAAGAGAGCTTTCAGCATAAACTTACCATATTGGCACCTTGATCTTGGACTTTTAGCCTCCAGAACCATGAGAAAACAATTTCTGTTGTTTAACCTGCCCAGTCTGTGGTATTTTGTTATGGCAGCTCAAGCTAAGAAATGCTTTCCTGTAGTCTTTTGTACCATTGCTGTCATTCATTTCACTTATGCATAAGCATTCATAAGCGTGCATTTTTATACGCATATACATAATAAGCATCTATAATTGAATACTTCGTTATTATTTTTGTACAAAGTGTTATCTGTTAAATTAACAAGAAAAAGTTTTTATTACAGTTTCACATATTCCTTCTCCAGTACTCTTCCTTTCTTTACGTAGATTGGAGTTTCTGACCTAAATTATTTTCCTCCTCTCTGAAGAATTTCTTTTAGCATTTCTTGCAAGGGAAGTCTACTGAAAACAGATTCCTTCAATTTGTGTTTGTCTGAGAAAGTCCTTATTTCTCTTTCACTTTTGAGGGATAATTTCTCAGGATATAGTTTTAGGTTGGTGATGATTTTCTCTCAACACTAAATATTTCGGTGCACTCTCTGTGGTTTGTGAGAAGTCAGGTGTCATTCTTTGCTTCTCTGTAGGTAAGGCCCCCACTACAGCTTCTTTCAATATTTTTTCGTTATCTTTGATTTTATGTAGTTTCAATATGATTGGCTGAGGTGTCTATTTGTTTTGTTTTTGCATTTATCCTGGTTAGTGTTCTCCGATCTTCCAGGATAAGTAGTTTAGTGTTTAACATTAATTTGGAGAAATTCTTAGCCATTATTATTTCTTCTGCTCCTTTCATTCTTCCCTTTCTGGTATTCCCATTATGTGTATGTTACATCTTTTGTAGTCATCCTGCAGTTCTTGGTTATTCTATTCCATTTTTCCTGTCTTTTTTTCTCTTTGCTTTTCAGTTTTGGAGGTTTCCATTGACATGTCCTAAAGCTCAGAGATTCCTCAGCCGTGTTCAATCTATTAATGAACCTATCAAAGGCATTCTGTTATAGCGGTTCTTTTTATCGCTAGCATTCCTTTTTGATTCTTCCTTAGAATTTCCACCTCTCTGCTTATGTTCCCATCTGTTCTTGCATGTTGTCTACTTTTTCCATTAGAGCCCTTAGCATATAATTTTTAAAAATTGCTGGTCCGATAATTTCAACATTTCTGGTATATCTGACTTTGGTTCTGATGCTTGCTCAGTTTCTTCAAACTGTGTGTTTTTCCTTGTGGTTTTTTTGTTAATAACTGGAAATGATGTCCTGGGTAAAAGGAACTGCAGTAAATAGGCCTTTAGGTATGGGCAGAGGGGACACATTCTATAGTCCTATGATTAGGTCTTTTAGCGAACTTTGCCCCTGGACTGTGAATGTTACTAACGCTCCTCAGTTTTCCCCTCCTTAGATGGGACAGGATGGCTAGAGGGCTAGAGTTGTGTATTTCCTTTTTCCAGAGTCAGCTGGGCTCTGATAAAACTCCAGTAGATTAGGCTCTGTAAAATAGTTTCTTCTGAGGGAGGGCTTTGTTGAGAACAGACTACTCTGGGCCAGTGCAGTGGCTCAGACCTGTAATCCCAGCCCTCTGGGAGGCCGAGGTGGGCGGTCACCTATGGTCAGGAGTTTGAGACCAGCCTGGCCAATATGGCGAAACCCCATCTCTACTAAAAATACAAAAATTAGCTGGGTGTGGTGTGGTGGCGCACACCTGTAATCCCAGCTACTCGGGAGGCTGAGGCGGGAGAATCACTTGAACCCAGGAGGCGGAGGTTGCATTGAGCCGAGATTGCGCCACTGTACTCCAGCCTGGGTGACAGAATTAGACTCCATCTTGAAGGGGAAAAAACAAAACAAAACAAAAAAAACAGACTACTCTGGCTTATTTAGAAATGGTTACTTTTACCCTCCTACTCCTGGAAGGACTGGGGGGTTTTTCTCCAATATTCACTGTGAGAACTTTGAAGAACTCCTGGAACTAAAACTCACAGAAGTGTGAGGACATCCTCTCCATGCCTGCAATGACAGGGTTCCCTGGAGTTTTTGACTCTCAGACTTGCCCACACTGAGCCGCCAGCAATTCGTCAATTACAGCTCAGGTTCTCCCACCCCAGCACTGGTTCCAGCACAGGTTTCTCCTCTGGTTCCCATGGAGGTTTCTGTTTGTGGGTTTCTGTTCCAGTAAGTTGTGATTGTCTGTATTACCCCCCTCTCTCTCTCCAGTTCGGGGAGAGCAGTTTGCCCTGTGACCCTGCTTTTCTGCTGGATCTACGAAAAGTTGTTGGTTTTTCAGTTTGTTCAGCTTTTTACTTGTTAGGACAGAGTGGTGACTTCCAAGCCCCTTACATGCTGAATCGGTCCCCTGTATTCATCTTTGCTTCCTAAAAGAACTCAACCTGTTGTCTGTTTTATCCTTTTCATAATATGTTTCTTTGTTTTTCCTCCTGGGGTGCTCTTACTTAGGCTGGCAAGACTTGCTTATTTCCTGGATATCCATACCATTGAAATTATGCTGTCTCCTCCTCAACTAAACGAATCCTGAATTTATACAGTGTACTGAAATTGTACTGTCTCCTCCTCAACTAAACAGAATCCAGCTGAATTTGGGCTACTAGTAAATTAGCTTAGGTAATTAGTAAGGTACCATTCTGTTAGTCACATCTGCTTTGTCTTTGACTGGGAGAACATTTACACTGCCTTGAGTGTGGTGAATTTAGTTTGTGCCCATTTCCTGCTTAAATTGTTAGGATATATTATGCGGAATTATGCTGTAATTGCTTCACTATTTTATTAGCTCCTTGAGGTCAAGAACCTTCCTTTATATATATTGTTCTTAGTGCCTGCCACAAAAGTGCTTGTTAAATGTGGGACAGAGGACATTATTTACAGAATTAAGATATAGAAGTCCCTAATGTGATAACCTGGATATATATTTTTTCTTAATATGTGTATATATATTATTTCAAAATTTATATTTTCAAATGATAAGCAGTAGAGATATCTGGCAGGTTTATACAGTACCCAGCCCAAGTGTATGTTTCCTGTGTTTTGCAGATGGAGGACACAGAGTGATGTATGTTGCTTGTGTAGTTGTGGTATCCTAAAGACTTACAATATTTATGTTTTCCTTTCCTTAAAATGCTGTTTAATCACATGTGTAAGTGTGCATAGAGTAGAGGTACTAGAAATTTAAGCTTATGATGATATACCTTAGATGACGGAAATAGTCTAGGGCTTAAGATTTTGTTAGAAGTCATATTCCTGTATTATTAATATAGCTTAATTAACATTATGTTGCACTTTGTGTTTTGCAGACTGCTCTCTCTGTATAAGAAAATTTCTGTCCTATAAAACTCAGTGTCCAACTTGCTGTGTGGTGAGTTTTTGTTTCCTTTTTTTAAAACTTACTGACTGCTGCAAATATTTCTGCTTTGTGTATACGTAAAAGCCTGTGTATATATAGGGTGATGTGTAGTTACTGAATTAAGCTATATGAAAGACATTTTCAGAAAGGACCTCTAAAGTACATGTAAGAAGAGCTGGGCTTTGTTCAGTTTTTTTGTTAAGATTTCTGAAAACCTAAATGTATTTTAGGAAGTAGCACTCTTTAATTCTTATGACCCATGTTTTTATGGCTTCTCATTTTTAATAATTTCTCACTTTGGTAGAAACTCTGGTGGTATGATTATTCATTTGCAAAGAACTGTCTAAGTATTTGTGCAGAAGGTAAATATGCATGGCTGTTGGGCTTAATCCGGCCTATCTGTTCCCTTACATCTTTCCCCTACCAGAGCTTCAGGGAAAACCCTAGAAAGTTTGTTGTTATTGTTTCTGAAACTTTTCAAGTAGTGGGAACAGGTGGAAAAGTAGACTAAAAGGGTAATTAAACATAAGTGGGAATAAAGAAAGAAGAGACAAGTGAGGTCTGACAGAGCCGACACTAGGACTAGGTAAGGAGTTTGGTTAGTTTTGCCTCTCTGGTAGGTATGTGGTGTCAGGGTGTCACTGAACATTTCGAACTATTTCTCTATGTAAGAAATTTTGTGATTTGGCTCTTAAGTCTAAGATCTTTACGATATGTTACACTGCTTTTGACAAGATGGTCTCATCGCTGAGATAAACTGTGTACCATTCATGCCAAATAAGTACTGGGTTTGTCACTTTTCTCTTGCATTCCTGAAAACCAATCTTACTTTAAAATTCTCCTTGAACACTTAGTGCCTCTCCCAGTGTTAGAACTTAAAAGAACATTTCTCTTCTGTTTTTCCGGAGAAATTTCTGAGAAAGCTGAGTGCTGGCATTTTGAAGAAAGATTCTTGCTTATATTAGGTTTGATTGTAGTCAGTACAGAGTATATATGATTATAAGAGAAGCTCTGGAGAGCTTTTATCAGACTTCCAGTCAGCAGATACTGATTCACTGTTTTAAAATTTCATATTAGCATGAGATAAATGAACTTTATTTTGAGGCTGCCTTAGAAGACTTAGTGGGATGGAGAACCTCAGGAGGATGGGTCAGACATTTTCAAAAACAAGATTATGACAAGTTGATTATTGTTTTTGACCTTTTTCCATCTGTTGTTTGTTTTTTCTAGACTGTCACAGAGCCGGATCTGAAAAATAACCGCATATTAGATGAACTGGTAAAAAGCTTGAATTTTGCACGGTATGATTTAATTTTGTGACTAACCTCTAACTACTTTTGCCTTTTATATGTGTTCTCTCTTTACTTTGTGCACCTTTGGATTAGGGAATGCAGGGTTGCATATTTTATAGTCAAAGAAGGGAAGTAACAGTCATTATTCACACATGGAAAATTTACTAGAGTAAGATTTTCTTCCTTTACTTAACAGAAATTCTCCTGTAGTATAGAATAATTAAGAGTTAAAACGCAGATTTGAGGACTTCCTTACTTTTGGGTGCTCTGAAGATACTCCTTTTCCTGCCCAAGCCCTAGAATCAGCCATTTCTCCAAGGAGCTCCTCTTCTTGGAGAATAGTATTTAGAGACCAGGATCTGGTGCTGGGTATGCTTGTTGCTACTGGGGTGTCATTGCTTCTAGGCCCTCTCAATGGACAGAGCTAAGTAATATATGTATGTTATATATATGTATGTACTAACTCATGTATATACACATATCTATAATTGATTCTGTCTGCTATATATTAATCTGTTAATTCTTAATCGGATTTATTCAGCATGTATTAAATGGTATGGCATTTGAAATATGTAATTGCTTGTACTTTATAAAGCTCAGATATGCAACTTTACTTCCTGTCAAATGCATGAATGTGTGAAAGTGAGTTTGGTCACCCAAAGGGATATGAAAAGGCATGTTTCAATATCTTGGATTACTTTTAGTTTTAATCATGCAAGTCAAACAAGAATTTTTATGAAGGACGTACTGGTTTAGATAGTGGTCAGGTGCCCCTGTAGTTAAGTGTAATCATGTGTTGCTTAACAGGGATGTGTTCTGAGAAATGTGTCATTAGGCAATTTGGTTGCTGTGTGAACATCATACGGTGTACTTACACAAACCAACATGGTATAGCCTACTACACTCCTATTCTATATGGCAGGGCCTATTGCTCCTTGGTAACAAAACCTGTACAGCATGTTACTATAGCTAATACGGTAGGCAGTTGCAACACAATGGTACCTATTAGTGTATCTAAACATAGAAAAAGTACAGGGAAAATATGGTATAAAAGATAAAAAATGGTACATCTTTATAGGGCATTTACTATGAATGGAGCTTTCAGGACTGAAAGTTACTCTTGATGAGTCAATGAGTGAGTGATAAGTGAATGTGAAGGCCTAAGGCCCTTACCATACACTACTGTAGACTTTATAAACACTGTACACTTAGACTACACACTAAATTTATAAAAAAGTTTCTTCAATAATTAACCTTACTGTAACTTTTACACTTTGTAAACTTTTATATTTTTTTAACTTTTTGACTCTTTTGTAATAACACTTAGCTTAAAACACAAACACATCGTATAGCTGTATAAGCATCTTTCTTTATATCCTTATTCTGTGAGGTTTTTTCTGTTTTTAAAAATTGTTATTATTTTTTCCTT
Source organism: Homo sapiens (assembly GCF_000001405.40). Classification (NCBI taxonomy): domain Eukaryota; kingdom Metazoa; phylum Chordata; class Mammalia; order Primates; family Hominidae; genus Homo; species Homo sapiens. Next base: position 8,945,799 of record NC_000003.12, on the reverse strand, counting down.
TTTAAACTTTTTCTTAAAAATGAAGATGGAGGCCGGGCTTGGTGGCTGACGCCTGTAATCCCAGCACTTTCGGAGGCCGAGGTGGGTGGATCACGAGGTCAGGAGATCGAGACCATCCTGGCCAACATGGTGAAACCCTGTCTCTACTAAAAATACAAAAATTAGCTGGGCATGGTGGCACACACCTGTAATCCCAGCTACTTGGGAGGCTGAGGCAGGAGAATCGCTTGAACCAGGGAGTTGGAGGTTGCAGTGAGCCGAGATCACGCCACTGCACTCCAGCCTGGCGACAGAGTAAGACTCCGTCTCAAAAAAAAAAAAAAAAAAAAAAGAAGATGGAAACACACACATTAGCCTAGGCCCACACAGGGTTAGGATTATCAAGATGTCACTTAGCAATGGGAATTTTTCAGCTCCATTATCGTCTAATGAAACCACCACTGTGTATTTGGTCTCTTGTTGAACAAAGCATGTTGGAACATTCTATGAGGTACCTTATGTTGCTTTTAAAAATATAAACAGATTTCTTTCAATAGAATTACACATTTCTTTATTGGTTTGCATTCTAAAAACGATCAAATTTAGTACAGTTGTCTCTCAGTAAAGGGGATTGGTCCCAGGACCCCTGAGAATACCAAAATCTGTGGATGCTGAAGTCCCTGACATAAAATGGCATAGTATTTGCATATGCACATCCTCCCTTATACTTTAAATCACCTCTAGGTTACTTATAGTCCTAATACAATGCTATATAAATCGTTGTCATACTGTGTTTTTAAAATTTATATTATTTTTCATTGTTGTATTGTTACTTTTATTATTTTTTGAACATTTTTGCTCTGTGATTAGTTGAATCCACAGATGCAGAGCTGGTGGATGGGAAGGGCCGACTACAGTTTATTGTTTAGCCAAATGGTTCTAGACTGCTGTTTACATGTTTCTGATCAGAACAAGCATTGCAGGACTTTAGTTACAGAAGTCCATGGAATTGATTGCATAGATTTAATGGCTGCCCATGTCTACCCAAAGGCCTATTTTGACTCTTGATTCTTAGCCCCATTCTGAAGAGGTAAGGTTATTGTATAGTTAACAGATGGACAAGACTTTTCCTTCCTTCCTTCCTTCCTCCCTCCCTCCCTCCCTCTCTGCTTTCCTTTCTTCCTCCCTCCTTTCCTTTCTCCCTCCCTCCTCCTTTCTCCTTCCCCTCTCTATTCCTCCCTCCCCCGTCTATTCCTCCCTCCCTTTCCTTCCCTTCCTCCCTTTCCTCTCTTCTTCTTGCTCTGTTGCCCAGACTGCAGTGCAGTGGCATGATCATGGTTCACTGTAACCTCGAACTCTTGGGCTCAAGGGATCCTCCTGCCTCTGCCTCCCAATTAGCTAGGACTATGGGTATGTGCCACCATGTCCACACTGAAGAAATAAACAAAGCTTCCTTAAATATGTGGTAGAATTTACCAGTGAAGCCATCTGGGCTTGGAGTTTTCTTTGTGGAAAAGTTTTAAATTATAGCTTCTGTTTCTTTAACAGATAATAAGGGCTCTTCAGGTTTTCTGTTTCTTTGTCAGTTTTGATGAATAGTGCTTTTCAAAGAATTTGTCCATTTTATCTAAAATTTAAAATTTGTTGTTTTAAAGTGTTCATAATATCCTCTAATTATCTTCTTTATAGGATTTGTAACGAGGTCTTCTTTTAATTCTTTGTTTTGGTAATTTGTATTTTCTCTCATTTATTTCTTGTTCAGTCTTAGTAGGGATTAACAGTTTTGTTAATTTTTTCAAAGAACCAATGTTTGGCTTTGCTTGTTTTCTCTTGTTATCTCTTCTATTTCACTAGTATCTGTTATTAGTTTCTCTCTTCTTTGGGTTTAGTTTGCTGTTCATTTCCTAACCTTTTAAGTTGGAAGCTTAGAGTGGTGGTTTTTACTTTTTCTATTTTCAATAATTTTCCCTCCAGGGACAGTTTTGGCAACCCTTCATGCTATCGTTCAGTTTAGAATATTTTTCTAGTTTTCATTGTGATTTGACATGCGGGGTTATTTAGAAGTGTGGTGCTTTATTTCTTAACATTTGGAGATTTTCTAGTTATTTTTCTGTTGTTGCGTTTCATGTAAATTCGGTAGTGGTGGAATCTATGGGTTGATTTTTTTTTTCTATCAGATTTGAAAATTCTCAGCCATTGGTTTTTCTAGTATTGCTGATTTCCCATTCTTTCTTTCTGTTCCTTCTGGGCTTTTAATTATGCCCAATATCTCATACTTTTTTGTGTTTGTCTTTTTCATTCATTTTTCTCTCTGTGCTTGGTTTGGATATTTTCTATTGACCTGCCTTCAAGTTTGTATTGTGTGTTGTTATACTCATCCAATTTAGATATGGTATTTTGCAGTTGTAGAATGTTCATTTTATTCTTTTTTATGGATTTTATTTCTCATAATACACTATCTTTTTATCCCTTTTCTTTTTTTTTCTTTAACATGTTTATCATAGTTTGAAGTCCTTACCTAGAGATGCTATTCTTTGGATTACCTCTGGGTCTGCTTCTATTGAATATTTTATCTCTTGATTAGTGGCTACTTTTTCTTGCTTCTTTGCATGTTCAATAATTTTAAAATATGTGCTGAACATTGTGGTTGAAACGTTGTAGAAGCTGTGAATTGTCTTCTTTTGAAAGATGTCACATTTTGTTCTAAGAGGCAGTTAAATTATCAGCTCTTCATCTTTGTTCTGTCAAGGCCTGGTATAATGTTTTCTTAGGTTAGGTCTGTTTGAGCTTTGTTTATATTTCTTCAGTGTGGTCCATTTTTCTAAGGTGTGGTCTTTGTGGGGTGTCACTTGAATGTCCATGATCTTACCAAGATTTCTCAGCTTTGGCTGGGCTCCAATGCGAACAACTAACTTTCCAGCACTGACGTTTGGGATTTTAATTTACCAGTATCAGCTTCCTAGTGGGTCTCCTGTGTTTTTGTCTAATCATGTGCAGCCCTGGAAATGAGCAGGAATGGATGTGAATTTCTAAGCAGACTGGTGGGGTTCCCTTTCAGTAGCTACCACGTGTCAAAGCACTCTGACCCCTCAATCCTGGCCAGTTTTGTTCAGAACTCTGATCTCTTATTTTCTCTAACAAGTAAGATCAATGTTTCCTGTTTAGACTTCACTTTAGTACCCATTCCTAGAAAATGCTCCCAGGGTAAAGTAAGTCTTGGGGGAAATGTTGGACTACTTCATGTTTTCTTCTTTTTCAGGGATTGCAGCCTTGTGTTGATTTCAGTCCAGTGCCTACAAAGAGTTGTTTTTTATGCAAGTTAGGCCATTCTTACATTGCTATAAAGTAAACTTGAGGCTGGGTAATTTACAAAGAAAAGAGGTTTAATTGGCTCATGGTTCTGCAGCTGTACAAGCCATCTGCTCGGCTTCTAGTGAGGTCTTGGGCTGCTTACAGTCACAGTGGAAAACAAAAGACGGGCAGCATGTCATGTGGTGAGAGTGGGAGCAAGAGAGACAGAGTGGGAGGTGCCACACCCTTTTAAAACAGATCTCATGAGAACTCACTCACTGTTACAAGGACAGCACTAAGGGAATGGTGCTAAACCATTCATGAGAAATTCGCCCTCATGATCCAGTCACCTTCCACCAGGTCCCACCTCCAACACTGGGAATCACATTTCAGTGTGAGATTTGGTGGAGACGACATCCAGACTATATCAGTATATTTTGTTCGGATTTTAAAGTTACTTATGGTTGGAGATTAGGTCTCATATAAGCTGTTCTCTGTGGCCTAAAGCTGATTTCCTTTCATTTTGTTTTATTGACACATTAACTGCCTTTTACGTTAGATTTATTGCTTTGAGTTATACTAGAAGAAACTTTGGTTTGGTTGTCATTATAGTATAGGTCCTGTATTTCAGAAAACAAGGTTAATTGGGAAAACAGCTTATGTCAGTTAATTTATGATGTAAAATTGGATCTCTTAATTGTCTGTTGTGTTCTTTGTGCTTCAAGGAATCATCTGCTGCAGTTTGCTTTAGAGTCACCAGCCAAATCTCCTGCTTCTTCCTCTTCAAAGAATCTTGCTGTCAAAGTATATACTCCTGTAGCCTCCAGACAGTCTTTAAAGCAGGGGAGCAGGTTAATGGATAATTTCTTGATCAGAGAAATGAGTGGTTCTACATCAGAGTTGTTGATAAAAGAAAATAAAAGCAAATTCAGCCCTCAAAAAGAGGCGAGCCCTGCTGCAAAGACCAAAGAGACACGTTCTGTAGAAGAGATCGCTCCAGATCCCTCAGAGGCTAAGCGTCCTGAGCCACCCTCGACATCCACTTTGAAACAAGTTACTAAAGGTAGGAAGTTATTTTCATATGTGGAAATATGGACATCTTTTCATCCACATGACATAAGAATAAATAGGCAGCATCTTTGAGGGGGAAGGAATGGTAAAGGACAAACCAGATTTTACCATATCACAAACCTCAGACATTGTTGTAGATATGTTTGTTCTCTTTCTCTCTCAGAAACAGGAATTCAGGCTGACTGCTACAAAAAGGAAACAATTTTAATTAGTTCAGCCTTCAAGTATGGCAGTAGCTTTCTGTTTTCAGCTTTTAATCTTTCTTCCCCTCATTCAACATATCAGTTCCCATTTAATCTTGAAAAGCTCTTTTTATCTTATTTTACCACCACTTGAATGCCTCCTCACTGTTCTGCCTGCCATATAAAGCCTGTGACAATTTGAGGCCTAACCTAGTCATCCCGCCTTATTGCTCACCTCTCTGTCTCAGAAGTCCTGCTCTAGCCTCCCCACTGTTCCTCCAGTACACTGAGGAATTGGCAAACTACAACTGGCAGATCTAATCTGGCTTGCCACCTGTTTTTGTAAATAAAAGTTCACATACCCACCCTATTCTCTGTGACTGCTTTCATTCTACAGTGGCAGAGTTGCATGGTTGTGACAGAGGCCATAGGATCCGTAAAGTCTAAATTCTACCTGGCCCTTCACTAAGAATGTTTGCCGGCCCCTGTTCTATACCTTTCCAGACTCTATCCAGATCCTCACTATTCATTTGTTATGTTAGAAAACACTGTCTCACATCACAAAAGTGCTATAGCACTTGTTTTCTGGACTGTTTTGTATCCCATTTGCTTAACTGTTTGATGAATATGTCAGCTTGTTTAACTTTTTGTTTCTGTATCTTCTTTCCAGTGAAGTTTAGAGCACCTTTTAGGCAGAAACTCTTAGACATCTTTGGTATACCCATACCACACGTAGTGCAGAGATGTGAGTGTGTATTAAACTTAGATTGAAATTAGTTTATTAGTACTTAACGTGTTTACATCTTTTAAAGATATATAAATTTCACTTATATTTTCTACTATGTCTATCCTTAGTCTTTTTACCAATTGACAGTTCTTATTGTAGTATTTTTTAGCTTGATGGTTAACTGTTTTTCCCCTAGCGGAACCTTTTTTCCCAAATGAAATTTTACGATAAACCATAACGTATAAAATAGATAAAACAGATTGTTCTGTTCCACCTGACCTCCTTCTGCCTATTATCCATGGTGGTCTGTAGGCCCCGAGATACCCCCACAGATCCCTGCAACTTTATGAAATAGTTTGAGAATGACTGTGTTCCTTAATTTTAACATTATATATGGAATCATCAGTGAGAGCTAAATTAACAAATTTGTAACCATTGACAAAATTGAACTCAATAAATTATTAAACTACCTTTCCTTCACTCGGCCCTTGGGCCAGGTGTGTCTTACTTAAGTCGTTACTATTGCTTCTGGGCTAAACATGGATAGCTCCTAAGGGTTGGGAAAATTTAAGATGAGTTCTATAGTTTGGTCATACCTTGGTAGAAAAGATGTAACCGAAACATTTTTAATAAATGAACTTTCAAGCTTATTTGCAGTCTCTTTCTCTGGGACCAGGACTTCAATTTTGTGACTTCCCACAATTTAGCCATTACCCAGTAACCAGTCTGTCCCACTCCTGTTGTCCCGATGGGCCATTCTTTTTCTTTTCTGCTTTTCTAAGTGCATGTTAAGTTGGGATTCTTTTTTACTTTACTTGCTGAAAAGATGCCAGTTTACATACTTTTGCCCCTTCTACAATTAATAAAGTCTCTCTTTTTCTTTTTAAAAAATACAGTGGATTGTCCTGTTTGCGGGGTTAACATTCCAGAAAGTCACATTAATAAGCATTTAGACAGCTGTTTATCACGCGAAGAGAAGAAGGAAAGCCTCAGAAGGTAAGGAAGTTGAGCAGAACCATTGAGCTACTTTAGCTGGGTGCCTCTTGTGCTTACTTGGGGGAAAATTACAGTATTCCTTTTATCCTGGTGACCGTATTTCCTGCTCTTACTTGCTTTCTTCTTTACTCCTGTTGGCCACTTCTTCCAATCCCTCTCCTCTGTTCTTTCTTCAACTCCCACTTTGCCAAATATGATTAGCTATATTGAATATTTGAACTGCTACTAAATTTTGACTTAATAAGAAATTAGTGACTTCAAATTCAATTCTTTTTAAACTTGTTTTTTTCTCTTAGATTTTAAAAACTACCAAAAAGCCTCTTGGCCAAAGAAAGCAAGGTTAGACTCTGAATATAAGATATAAAAAACCTTTCTCTGATCTTTAGGATGCTCAGAAGTTTTAAAATTTAAAATTGAATTTTTCAAAAAATTTTGACTAGGAAATTATATAAATATATATGATATAAAAAGGTACAAAAATGCATATATGAAATGTAATGTCATACCCCACACCACCCCCCCATCCTCCAGGTATTGTAGCTAATAAATTGTCAGCTCAGTATTTACATCTAAACAACTGTGCTGTTCTACCTCCCTTGTACATGAAAATAACTGTAATTTCTCATGCTAGTCCACTATTGTTACACATATAAGTTGTTCAGGAATGAAATACTAGTCAAACTTAAATTGCAAGGCATTACGGAATCAGTGGATAATAAGCAGAAGACACAATTTAGATGAGTCTGGTGATGAAGGGAGAAAGATGAGATGGTAGTTTGGAGAAGCAGTGAGTGGCATAAAGATCAAGGGTTGTTCTTTTTAAAAATAGGAGTTTAAGCCTTCAGTCTCTTTCCTTCCACTATTTCCAGGGAGAGAGCAGAGGATAAATGGAAGAAAGTGAGGAGCACAAGAGCCCAGTAATGAGGTTATCCTTGACATGCAGAAAGGACCCTTCTGAAACAGGAGGCAAGGGCAAGATAATAGGTGATAATTCAGAGAGATTTGGAAAAGAAGAGGAGGGAAGCTGAAGAAATTAATGGTATCTGAGAAGTGGGGATGAAAGAATGATTTGCTTCTATGTTCAGTCTGTTTTGAAGGACTTTGAAGAGTATTTTCCAAAAACCATGTTAATAAGACAGAGCCATAGTATTATTTTTTGTGATTAAAGAAAATACATCACTTAATTTTTATGAGTAAATTTGGAGTGAATGCAGATTCTGAGGGTCAGATTCATACTGTTACAACTTACAAAAGCTAACATATAAGACACAATGGTGCTTTATTAAGGTAGACATACTTGAGTCCAAACCTGGGGCAGTTTTACATGCACAGTACTCCCACCTAGTGGGTAAGTTTGTTAATGAGAATAAAATTTAGATTTTTAGGTTGCTTAGTGGTGATTTGGAGTAAATGAATAGTCCTAAGGATTATTTCCCATAAGCCACGAGAGTTTGATGAACTGCTTTTCTCTTTAGAAATGCATGAGTTGGGAATATAGAAGCTGAGTATATTCTTTTGGAAGAGTAAGGAATCTGCACTGATTATCTTGCATGGACTCCCCTTTTTCTAGATCCATCCATCAGTTCGAATACATTTCTGATACATCATTTCTGATGCTGTCAGTTTGTTTGAAGACATACTCGTCCATGTGTAATTAAGTTCTAATAGTGGTTTAAATTCCTGCTTCAAAGAACACTATAGTCCTGCCAGTGCTCTGTAGTGAACTTATAAGCACTACCTCCTGGATCCCCCTCTTAGTGTGTTAAAGGCTTTGAGAAGTCCTACATTAAGGGTTACTGTTAGGTTTTGTTTAATTTAGTAATCCTAAATTTATTTGACCGCCAAGCCTTTCTGTTCTCATCACTTCCATCTTACAAAACTGGTGTTTGTGGAGATTCTGAAGACAACACTGGGCCATGTTCTTCTTTAGTTGTATCTTGGCCACGGAGTCAGGTCATAGAGAAAAGGCCCTGTGAGTTTTCCTGTCTCCTCCACAATATTCTGACAGGCCATCTGCTGAATGTGAGTGGCAGCCCTTAACCCTTCTATATAAAACCATGTCAGAACTGCCTCAGATTCTGAGGCCCCTTAAATGTATTACTCAGTTCCACTAAATCATGGAAGAAAAATCAATGTCATTTTCGTGTTTGGGGAAACATTTATCAGGTTTCATGTTTTAAAATTCCTGATAGAAATTGTTGATCTCTGGTGGTGCTTTTTATTGTAAATGCCAGTGAACAGTACAGTTCTTCACTGGAATTTCACAGTCACAGTTTAATCATCTGTCCTTGATAAAACAAATATTTTAGATACAGACGTAATGAATCATCTCTCCCTGTGTGCTTCTGTAAACACAAAATGATTCAGCTGTTGCTACCTACTGAGATTTCATTTTGCCATAATTTTATCAACCTTGTAGAGTCAGATGGGTTGTCATTGTAAGAAGAGCAATTTTCAGAAAAATATAATCTATTGAGAGTTTGCAGGTCTTTTCACAGTTAATTAGTTATTTCTGGCTTTTAGACTTTGTTAATACAGCATAAAAGACATAATTTATTTGGGGAATGGCTCTGTTGGTTAATAGAGAAATTTTTGATTGTTTTCAGTCTATACCTGACTGTAATATTTCTCTGTTTGATTATTGGACCGTTTATATCAGATTTACTCTGGAGAACCTTGTTGAAAATAGAGATTTTAGAGCTCCACTTCAGACCTGAACCCTAATTGGTGGATGGTGTGGAGAAGGGGATGGAGAATCTGCGTTTTAAATAAACTCTTTAGGTGCTTCTTAGGTACACTAACGTTTGGGACAGCCTTGTGTGAGCTAGTTATATGCAAATCCTTTGTAAAAACTTGTTTTTTGGATAAACCTATTATTTCAAGTTTCTGTTAATTTTCACCTGAATCTTTGCTATTCTTATTTTGAAATGATAGCAAGTGTAATGACCTCCTTGAGCACATTTTTGTTAAGCATCTAATTGCCATAAAGCTGAGCCAGGTAGAGAACCTGCTATAATCAGGTGAAATGAATTAAAACTCACTAAGAAGTTCCTGTTTATGGAATTGCTTAAGTCATTGGTACTTTTATGTAGCTTGAATTTTAGCCCACTAGAATTTCTAGCATGCTTTAAAGAGGTGGAAAATTGAATAGGTCTATGTAAGTGTGATTCTAAGTGAAGTCCTCACAGCATATTCCACAAGCGTTACATATATGTCTTCTAAGTGTGCCTCTTTAGGTCTGACCTCTTTTTGAGACCCAAGTCTCTCACTTCTGGTGCCACCTAGGCCCCTGTGTCTGAATGTCTTACCAGCACCTCAGATACATCATGTCAGACACTCAACTTTATCCACAAACTTGATTTTTCTCTCCCCTTTTTAATCTAATGGTTCTACTATTTTCCCGGTCACCCAGGTGTTGAATCAGAATTTATTTGCCATTTTACATGAAAAGCATTTGATAATTCACAATAATCATCAGGTATCTTCCCCCCTTTTCAGTTCTGTTCACAAAAGGAAGCCGCTGCCCAAAACTGTATATAATTTGCTCTCTGATCGTGATTTAAAGAAAAAGCTAAAAGAGCATGGATTATCTATTCAAGGAAATAAACAACAGCTCATTAAAAGGCACCAAGAATTTGTACACATGTACAATGCCCAATGCGATGCTTTGCATCCTAAATCAGGTAAAGTAATAAAACAGTGAGTTATGCTTACTTTCTGGATAAAGCAATTTTGTGTAGCTCAGAAATTATAAACCATAGAAAAATATTGTAAATAAATACATTTTTGATAGATAAGACGTGCAAATGTGTTCCTTCAAAAGGTACCTAGAGTATGCTATGATAAGCCAGCCTTCCTCTCAGCCTGCCTTCCAATCCCCAGATCCCTTCTCAGAGGCACCCCATTGCCAGTTTCTCATGTGCCTATCTAGGGAGAATGTGGTGGGGAAGAGTGGATCTGGAGAGCCTGGGTTACAGTGCCCGTTTTTCAGCTTTGTGGCTTGGTGACTGTGGGCACGTTACTTGATATCTCTGTACCTCAGTTTTCTCCTTCATAAAATAAGGGTTATAATAACTACCCACTTCATAATGTTGAGTGAAATAAATGATAAAAGGCATGAAAAGTGCCTAACACAGTACCTTAGCAAGTAGTTAGCTTTCAGTAAATGTTGCCATTATGATTATTGTACACAAACATATATCCTTTTCATTACTGTTTTTACAAAATGATAGTATTCTGTGTAGTGCACTATTTAGTGGTTGGTTCTTTTCATTAAACCACACACATACATTGGAGTTCTTTCTATTAACATATAGAATTGCCTAATTTTTAAAAACTTGGAGAATAACATGCAAACATTAAAACACACAAATTATAAGTGTATTGTTTGGTGAATTATCACAAACTAAATTTCATAAAGTGAAATGTCATTGTAGCCAGTACTGAGATCACTACCAGCGTCCCAAAAGCCCTATCTGCCCCCTCCCATTCACTCCTTCATTCTCACATTTGACCACTGTCTTGACTTCTAACCCCATATGTTCATTTTGCCTATGTTTGATCTTTAAATAAAGGGCCAATAGCTTATGTATTCTTTTGTGCCTGCCCTCATTTGTGCAACATTATAAGATTCATTCATGTTTTTTTATATGGTCATGTTTTTTTCATTTTTGTTGCTATATGGTATTCCATTGTATAAACGTATCATCTTATCCATTCAGTGTTTAATAAACATTTCATTTTGTTCCCACTTTTCCTCTATTAATAATGCTGCTACAAATAATCTTTTATATATCTTGTGGTGCACATAGGTGCATGTTGCTGTTGGATATATATATACAGGAATGGAATTGGTGTTATATATTTGCAGATATTCAGCTTTCATGGATACAGCCCCAAATTCAGTAGTCATGTACACTTTCATCAGGAGGGTGTGAGGGTGTCAGTTGTTCTGCACCCTTGACAACATCACCACTGTTAACTCTCCATTTTAGCCATTCTAGTGGGTCCATGGTAGTACCTTGTTATTTTAATTTGCATTTCCTTAATGACTTATAAATTTTATATGCTTGTTGGCCATCTGGATGTCCTCTGTAGTGAAATACCTGTTTAAATCTATGTCCAATTCTTCTGTTCTGTGGGCCTATTTTTATTCTTATTTGTGGGAGTAATTGAAATTTCCTGGATAAAAATCTTTTGCTGGATGTATGTACATTTCTAATTTCACCTTTTCACTCTCTTAATGGCATCATTGAAGAGTAGAAGTTCCTAAAATAGTCCAATTCATTACATTTTTCCTTTTGATCAGTGCTTTGCCTTAGCCTACTTCAAGATCATGTGGATCTTCTCTTGTTTTCTTTTAAAACTTTATTGTTCTTGCTCCTAAATTTTGATGTACGGTTTATCTGGAATTGATTTTAGCATATGTTGTGAGGTAGAGGACAAGATTGTCTTGTTTTCTTTCCATATGAATAACCAATTGATGCAGCACCACTCATTGAAATGCCATCCCTTCTCCCACTGAATTGCCAGAAGTCTTGGCTGAGAATCAGCTAATTGTACATGTGTAGGCCTGGACATTGTTTTGTTCCATTGGGCTATTATTTACCGTTGAGCAGGATAAATAATGTGTGTCTTAAGTACTTTATGAGTAATTTATAATAGGTCTTGCTGTCTGGTAATATAGTTCTTCCAGTTTTGTTTATTGAGGTTGACTTGTTTTTTCTAGGCCTTTTGTATTTCCATATAAGTTTTTAAATTGGGATTACATTGAATTTATAGATCAATTTTGAGATAGTTGATATCTGTATAGTATTTGAGTCTTCCAATTCATGAATATGGTTTGTCCCCTTTTTTGTCTTTGATTTTTGTCAGTAATGTTTTGCAATTTTCAGTGTGAAGGTCTCACACATCTTTTTAAAGAGTTATTCTCTGATATTTTTGATGCAGTGGTACACGATGTTTTATTCTAAAATGTCAATTTTTATTAGTTGCTTGTACACAAAAATACAACTGGTTTTTCTATAGTTTCCTTATATCCAATGGCTTGTCGCTTTTTGTATGTGCCCTTTTTATTGATGTATAACTTACTCACATGTAATACATCCTTTGAAAGTGTATAGTTAGATGAATTTAGGCAAATGTATATTGTCATTTAGCCATTGCTCTAACTGAAATGTAGAACATTTCCTTCATCAGCAAAAGTTCCAGTGCCCCTTTGCTGTATATTCCCTCTCTTTTACTCTAAGACCTCAGGAAACACTGATCTCTTTTTTTGTCCCTATAATTTTACCTTTTCTAGACTGTCACATAAGTGGAATTACACAAATTGTATAGTATGTAGCATTTTACATATGGTATCTGTCACTTAGCATAATACTTTTGAGATTTTTCCATGTTGTTGCTTTTACCAGTAGTGCATTTATTTTTTATTTTATTTTATTTATTTATTTATTTTTGAGACAGAGTCTCTCTCTGTCGGCCAGGCTGGAGTGCAATGGCGCGATCTCGGCTCACTGTAACCTCCGTCTCCCAGGTTGAAGCGATTCTCCTGCCTCAGCCTCCCGAGTAGCTGGGACTACAGGTGCCTGCCAGCACGCCCGGCTAATTTTTGTATTTTTAGTAGAGATGGGGTTTCACCATATTGGCCAGGCTAGTCTTGAATTCCTGACCTTGTGATCTGCCCGCCTCTGCCTCCCAAAATGCTGGGATTACAGGCATGAGCCCCCGTGCCCAGCCAGTGCATTTATTTTTTATTGCCAAGCAGTGTTCTGCTTTATAGCCATGCCACAATTTGTATATCCCTTCACCTGTTGATGGACAACTGGACTGTGTCCAGTTTTTTTATTATCAGTAAAGCTGTTATGAACATGGGTTCACAGGTCTTTATGTAACCATATGTTTTCATTTCTCTTGGGTGGAGTGGAATTGCTGGTCATATGGTAAATGTAACTATAAGAACCTGCCATACAGTTTTTCAAATGACTGAATCATTTTGCATTGTGAGAGAGTCCCACTTTTGCCACACCCTTGCTAACACTTGGTATTTTCATTCTTCTTAATTTTAGCCATTCTAGTCAATGTGTAGTAGTGGTATCTCATGATGGTTTTAATTTGCATTTTCCTGTGACTAGTGGTGTCTGCTGTCTTTTGATAGTTTTATTTGCTATTTGTATATTTTCTTTGATAAAGGCTTGGTTGAAATATTCTGCCCCTTAACTCTTTTTATTGATTTGTAAGTTATTTATATATTCTGGATACTGAATTTTTAAAATATATGTGTTGTGAATATTTTATCTTTGTATGTGGCTTACCTTGTCATTTTCTTAATGATGTCTTTGAAGAGCAGAGAGTTTTAATTTTGACGAAATTTAATTTACTTTTTTTATGATTTATGCTTCTTGTGTATCATTTCATGATTTTTTATGTATACAATTGTGTTGCATGTCAACAAAATATTTGCTTATCCTAAGATCACAAAAAATTTCTCCTGTGTTATTTTCTAGGAGTTTTATAATTTTCGCTTTTATATTTAAATCTATGATCCATTTTCATTTAGTTTTTCTGTATGGTGGAAGGTAAATGTCAAATGTCAAAGTTTATTTAAAAAATATGTATATCTAGTTTTTCAGCACCATTTGTTAAAAAGACTATCCTTTCCCCATTGAATTACTTTGCCCTCATTGTCAAATCCTAACGGCCATGTATATAGCATGTGAATCTATCTAGAATCTATTCTGTTCCACTGATCTATATATCTGTCCTTTCACTCATGACACACTCTTGATTTCTGTAACTTTATAGTAAGTCTTAAAATTATCAGGTAGTATAAGTCCTTCAACTGTGTTCTCAAAATTGTTCTAGGTCCTTTGCAATCCCACATAAATGTTAGACTCAGTTTTGTTGTTGTTGTTCCCCTAAGAAATGTCAGGCTATTATCCATTCTTGTTGTTCAGTGTTTTCTGAACACTGAGTGTAGAAATAGCCACTTTCACTTCGCCCCGATGTTACAGGCATAGCAGAGCATCTGCATCTGTGCAGCTGGCAGGTCCAGGACAGCATCTGCAGGGCAGTCAGTTTATTAGTGTGTACCTTTTGGGATTTTGAGTGAGATTACATAGATCAGCTTAGAAATGATATCTTAACAATATTAAGACTTTTAATGCACAGTCGTGGTATGGCTCTTTAGGCCTCCTTTACTTTCTCTCAGTAGTGCTGTCTACTTTTTTATGTGTGTGTGTTCCATGTATTTTGTTAAATGTATCCTTAAATATTTCATGTCTTTTGGTGCTATTGTGAGTAGTTTTAAAATTTTTATTTCTCATTGTTTATTACTATTTTAAAGAGTCATTTTGACATTTATTTTTGTATATTTACTTGTATACTATTAACTAGTGAAACTCATTTCTAATTGCTTTTTTATAGATTTCATAGGATTTTTATATACACAATCAAGTTACATGCCAATAAAAACAGTTTTATTTATTTATTTTTTTCAGTCGATATGCCTTTTATTTATCTTTCTACCCTTGGTTAGTTGCATTGGTTAGAACCTCCAGTGTGATGTGGAATAAAAGTGGTGTGGGCAAACATCCTTTCCTTTCTCCAATCTTTTTTTTAAATGAATTTCTTAAGAAAGGATCTCTGACTTTCATCTGATTTTTCAAGGGTCTGTCTCCCCAGAAGGAAGAATAATTGCCTTCAAAAATCATTTGAGTGACAGTACTATTGCATCAATATATGTTCTTTTAATTCTGGAATACCCCAACTTATAGGTAAAACATTTAGTCTTTCACTATTAAGTGTGATAGGTTTTCATAGATGCCTTTTATGAGGTTGAGGACATTTCTTCCCTTCCTAGTTTATTATTATGAAGGCGTGTTGAATTGTCATTTCCTTATTCTACATCTATTGAGATTATTATATTTTTATTTATTTTGTGATATGATTTATAACATTGAGTATTAATCAGTTTATTGAAATATAATTCATATAATACTGAGATATAATTCATACCCACCTGAAGTGTACATACAGTTCAGTGGTTTTCAGTATATTCACAGAGTTGTACAACTATCATATTAAATTTTAGAACATTTTGTTACCCTGAAAAGAGCCCAGTATCCATTAGCATCATTATCTACCAACCCTTCCAGCCCTAGATAGCCACTAATTTACTTCTGTCTCTATAGAGTTGTCTATTCTGGATATTCCATTTAAGTGGAACCATATAGCATGTGGCCTTTTATAAACTAACTTCTTTCACTTAGTATAATGTTTTCAAGGTTTATCTGTGGTCAATACTCACTTATTTTTCATTGCCAAATAATATTCCATTGTATGAATATGTCACATCTTTGTGTCTGTTCATTAGTTCAAATCTGACATTTTTCCACTTTTTGGCTATTATAAATAATGCTGTTATGAACATTTATGTACAAATTTTTATGTCGACATATGTTTTCATTTCTATTGTGTCTTTACCTAAGAGTAGAATTGCTGAGTAGTATGGTAATTCTATTTTAACATTTTGAGGAATTGCTAGACTATTGTCCAAAGTGGCTACACCATTTTACATCCTACTAGCAGTGTATAAGAGTTCCAGCTGTGCCGGGCGCAGTGGCTCATGCCTGTAATCCCAGCACTTTGTTTGGGAGGCCGAGGCAGGTGGATCACCTGAGGTCAGGATTTGGAGACCAGCCTGGCCAACAGGGTGAAACCCCGTCTCTACTTAAAATACAAAAAATTAGCTGGGCGTGGTGGCAGGCGCCTGTAATCCCAGCTACTCAGGAGGCTGAGACAGGAGAATTGGGTGAACCCAGGAGGCGGAGGTTGCAGTGAGCTGAGATCGTGCCATTGCACTACAGTCTGGGCAACAGAGTGAGACTCCGTCTCAAAAAAAAAAAAAAAATTAATTCCAGTTGCTCCATGTCCTTGCCAACACCTGTTAGTCTGTCTTTTTCCTAGTGGGTGTGGTATTGATTTACATTACAGTGATTAATTTTTGAATATTAAACTAACCATTCATCTTTAGCAAGGAATGTGTTCATTTCATCTAAGTTGTTGAATCTATAGCCAGAGGGTTCTTTTTGTTTTTGTTTTTTTAAGTAACATTTTCTTGTTAACCTTTTAATATCTATGGGGTTTGTGGTGATTTACTGTCTTTCATTTTCTATACTGAAAATGTGTCTTCTTTTTTCCTGATTGTTCTACCTATAAGTTATTAATTTTTCTCGTTTTTCTAAAGAATCATCCTTCAGCTTCATTTTTCTCAAATTGCTTTTTCTCAGTTTTTGTCTGTTTTCCTATTTCATTGAATTCCAGTCTTTTATGATTTCCTTCTTTCTACTTACTTTAGGTTTAATTTGCTCTTCTTTTTTTAGCTTATTATGGTGGAAGTTTAGATAATTTCAGATTGTTCTCGATGTATTTAAAATACAGATTTTTGTCTAAGTGCTATTTTACCTCTATTCACAGACATTGATAGGTTGTATTTACCTTCCCATCCAGTTAAAATATTTTCTAATTTTTGTTGTGTATTCTTCTTTGATTCATATGTTAAATAGAAGTATTGTTTAATTTTTAAAGATTTTGGTTATTTCTTAGATACCTTTTTATTATTCATTTCTAATTTAATTCAATGTTGGCCAAAGAACCTGTTCTGTATCATTTCAGACCTTTCACATTTACTGAGACATGCTTCATAACTTAGGTGTTAGGTCTTCCTGGTGAATATTGCATAAATACTTGAAAAGTTTGCTTTTTTGTGCAGTGATCTGTAAATGCTATGTAAATTTACTTGATAGTATATTCAAGTCTTCAGCATCCTTGCTGATATTCTGTTTACTGATTCTATCAATTACTGAGAAGCTTTTTGAAATATCCAACTATATTTATAGATTTTTCATTTTCCCTGTCAATATTTTCAGTTTTGTTATATTTTGAATCTCTTAGTATTATTATGTATCTTCTTGATTAGTTAGCCTGTTTATTATTATGGCATATATGTCTTTGTCTCTGGTAATATTCCTTGCCTCAAAAATCTATCTGATATGAGTATAGCAGCTACTTTATTTCATTTTTCTTTAAACCTATTATACCATTATGTTTAAGCTGTGTTTTATTGTAAGCCGTATATGGTTTGGATTTTATTTTATAATTTAATTTGACAAGCTCTACCATTAAATTGTAGGGTTTAAACTATTTTAATTTCATTTATTCTATTTGGTTGGGTTTATATCTGCCATCTTGCTTGTTTGCTGTTCTATCATTCTTTTGTTTTTTCTTCATTTCCTGCTTTTTTTTGGATTAACTGAGTATTTTTTAGTTTTTTATGTTATCTTCATTTTACGAGCTATACTTCTTTTTGTTTTTTTGTAGGGGTGATTGTTCTAGTTTACTATATGCATTTTTAACTTATCTCAGTCTACCTTCAATGAATAGTACACTACTTCATGTATAATGGAAGGACCTTAAGACTTTCATTCTTTTTTTTTTTTTTTTTTAAGTTTTAGGGTACATGTGCACAACGTGCAGGTTTGTTACATATGTATACATGTGCCATGTTGGTGTGCTGCCCCCACTAACTCGTCATTTACATTAGGTATATCTCCTAATGCTATCCCTCCCCACTCCCCCCACCCCAAAACAGGCCCCAGTGTGTGATGTTCCTCTTCCTGTGTCCAAGTGTTGTCATTGTTCAGTTCCCACCTATGAGTGAGAACATGCGGTGTTTGGCTTTCTGTCCTTGCGACAGTTTGCTGAGAATGATGGTTTCCAGCTTCATCCATGTCCCTACAAAGGACATGAACTCATCATTTTTTATGGCTGCATAGTATTCCATGGTATATACGTGCCACATTTTCTTAACCCAGTCTATCATTGTTGGACATTTGGGTTGGTTCCTAGTCTTTGCCATTGTGAATAGTGCCACAATAAACATATGTGTGCATGTGTCTTAATAGCAGCATGGTTTATAATCCTTTGGGTATATACCCAGTAATGGGATGGCTGGGTCAAATGGTATTTCTAGCTGTAGATCCCTGAGGAATTGCCACACTGACTTCTACAATGGTTGAACTAGTTTACAGTCCCACCAACAGTGTAAAAGTGTTCCTATTTCTCCACATCCTCTCCAGCACCTGTTGTTTCCTGACTTTTTAATGACTGCCATTCTAACTGGTGTGAGATGGTATCTCATTGTGGTTTTGATTTGCATTTCTCTGATGGCCAGTGATGGTGAGCATTTTTTCATGTGTCTTTTGGCTGCATAAATGTCTTCTTTTGAGAAGTGTCTGTTCGTATCCTTCACCCACTTTTTGATGGGTTTGTTTGTGTTTTTCTTGTAAATTTGTTGGAGTTCATTGTAGATTCTGGATATTAGCCCTTTGTCAGATGAGTAGATTGCAAAAATTTTCTCCCATTCTGTAGGTTGCCTGCTCACTCTGATGGTAGTTTCTTTTGCTGTGCAGAAGCTCTTTAGTTTAATTAGATCCCATTTGTCATTTTTGGCTTTTGTTGCCATTGCTTTTGGTGTTTTAGACATGAAGTCCTTGCCCATGCCTATGTCCTGAATGGTATTGCCTAGGTTTTCTTCTAGGGTTTTTATGGTTATAGGTCTAACATTTAAGTCTTTAATCCATCTTGAATTAATTTTTGTATAAGGTATAAGGAAGGGATCCAGTTTCAGCTTTCTACATATGGCTAGCCAGTTTTCCCAGCACCATTTATTAAATAGGGAATCCTTTCCCCATTTCTTGTTTTTGTCAGGTTTGTCAAAGATCAGATAGTCGTAGATATGCGGCATTATTTCTGAGGGCTCTGTTCTGTTCCATTGGTCTATATCTCTGTTTTGGTACCAGTACCATGCTGTTTTGGTTACTGTAGCCTTGTAGTATAGTTTGAAGTCAAGTAGCATGATGCCTCCAGCTTTGTTCTCTTGGCTTAGGATTGACTTGGCAATGCGGGTTCCTTTTTGATTCCATATGAACTTTAAAGTAGTTTTTTCCAATTCTGTGAAGAAAGTCATTGGTAGCTTAATGGGGATGGCATAGAATCTATAAATTACCTTGGGCAGTATGGCCATTTTCATGATATTGATTCTTCCTACCCATAAGCATGGAATGTTCTTCCATTTGTTTGTATCCTGTTTTATTTCATTGAGCAATGGTTTGTAGTTCTCCTTGAAGAGGTCCTTCACATCCTTTGTAAGTTGGGTTCCTAGGTATTTTATTCTCTTTGAAGCAATTGTGAATGGGAGTTCACTCATGATTTGGCTCTCTGTCTGTTATTGGTGTATAAGAATGCTTGTGATTTTTGCACATTGATTTTGTATCCTGAGTCTTTGCTGAAGTTGCTTATCAGCTTAAGGAGATTTTGGGCTGAGACGATGGGGTTTTCTAGATATACAGTCATGTCATCTGCAAACAGGGACAATTTGACTTCCTCTTTTCCTAATTGAATACCCTTTATTTCCTTCTCCTGCCTAATTGCCCTGGCCAGAACTTCCAACACTATGTTGAATAGGAGTGGTGAGAGAGGGCATCCCTGTCTTGTGCCAGTTTTCAAAGGGAATGCTTCCAGTTTTTGCCCATTCAGTATGATATTGGCTGTGGGTTTGTCATAAATAGCTCTTCTTATTTTGAGGTACGTCCCATGAATACCTAATTTATTGAGAGTTTTTAGCATGAAGGGCTGTTGAATTTTGTCAAATGCCTTTTCTGCATCTATTGAGATAATCATGTGGTTTTTGTCATTGGTTCTGTTTATATGCTGGATTACATTTATTGATTTGCATATGTTGAACCAGCCTTGCATCCCAGGGATGAAGCCCACTTGATCATGGTGGATAAGCTTTTTGATGTGCTGCTGGATTCGGTTTGCCAATATTTTATTGAGGATTTTTGCATCGATGTTCATCAGGGGTATTGGTCTAAAATTCTCTTTTTTTGTTGTGTCTTTGCCAGGCTTTGGTATCAGGATGATGCTGGTCTCATAAAATGAGTTAGGGAGGATTCTCTTTTTTTCTATTGATTGGAATAGTTTCAGAAGGAATGGTACCAGCTCCTCCTTGTACCTCTGGTGGAATTCGGCTGTGAATCTGTCTGGTCCTGGACTTTTTTTGGTTGGTAGGCTATTAATTATTGCCTCAATTTCAGAGCCTGTTATTGGTTTATTCAGAGATTCAACTTCTTCCTGGTTTAGTCTTGGGAGTGTGTATGTGTCGAGGAATTTATCCATTTCTTCTAGATTTTCTAGTTTATTTGTGTAGAGGTGTTTATAGTATTCTCTGATGGTAATTTGTATTTCTGTGGGATCGGTGGTGATATCCCCTTTATCATTTTTTATTGCGTCTATTTGATTCTTCTCTCTTTTCTTCTTTATTAGTCTTGCTAGCAGTCTATTAATTTTCTTGATTTTTTCAAAAAACCAGCTCCTGGATTCATTGATTTTTTGAAGGGTTTTTTGTGTCTCTATTTCCTTCAGTTCTGCTCTGATCTTAGTTATTTCTTGCCTTCTGCTAGCTTTTGAATGTGTTTGCTCTTGCTTCTCTAGTTCTTTTAATTGTGATGTTAGGATGTCAATTTTAGATCTTTCCTGCTTTCTCTTGTGGGCATTTAGTGCTATAAATTTCCCCCTACACACTGCTTTAAATGTGTCCCAGAGATTCTGGTATGTTGTGTCTTTGTTCTCATTGGTTTCAAAGAACATCTTTATTTCTGCCTTCATTTCGTTATGTACCCAGTAGTCATTCAGGAGCAGGTTGTTCAGTTTCCATGTAGTTGAGCGGTTTTGAGTGAGTTTCTTAATCCTGAGTTCTAGTTTGATTGCACTGTGGTCTGAGAGATAGTTTGTTATAATTTCTGTTCTTTTACATTTGCTGAAGAGTGCTTTACTTCCAACTATGGTCAATTTTGGAATAAGTGTGATGTGGTGCTGAGAAGAGTGTATATTCTGTTGATTTGGGGTGGAGAGTTCTGTAGATGTCTATTAGGTCTGCTTGGTGCAGAGCTGAGTTCAATTCCTGGATATCCTTGTTAACTTTCTGTCTCGTTGATCTGTCTAATGTTGACAGTGGGGTGTTAAAGTCTCCCATTATTATTGTGTGGGAGTCTAAGTCTCTTTGTAGGTCTCTAAGGACTTGCTTTATGAATCTGGGTGCTCCTGTATTGGGTGCATATATATTTAGGATAGTTAGCTCTTCTTGTTGAATTGATCCCTTTACCATTATGTAATGGCCTACTTTGTCTCTTTTGATCTTTGTGGGTTTAAAGTCTGTTTTATCAGAGACTAGGATTGCAACCCCTGCCTTTTTTTGTTTTCCATTTGCTTGGTAGATCTTCCTCCATCCCTTTATTTTGAGCCTATGTGTGTCTCTGCATGTGAGATGAGTTTCCTGAATACAGCACACTGATGGGTCTTGACTCTTTATCCAATTTGCCAGTCTGTGTCTTTTAATTGGAGCATTTAGCCCATTTACATTTAAAGTTAATATTATGTGTGAATTTGATTCTGTCATTATGATGTTAGCTGGTTATTTTGCTTGTTAGTTGATGCAGTTTCTTCCTAGCCTTGATGGTCTTTACAATTTGGCATGTTTTTGCAGTGGCTGGTACTGGTTGTTCCTTTCCACGTTTAGTGCTTCCTTCAGGAGCTCTTTTAGGGCAGGCCTGGTGGTAACAGAATCTCCCAGCATTTGCTTGTCTGTAAAGTATTTTATTTCTCCTTCACTTACGAAGCTTAGTTTGGCTGGATATGAAATTCTGGGTTGAAAATTCTTTTCTTTAAGAATGCTGAATATTGGCCCCCACTTTCTTCTGGCTTGTAAAGTTTCTGCCAGGAGATCAGCTGTTAGTCTGATGGGCTTCCCTTTGTGGGTAACCCGACCTTTCTCTCTGGCTGCCCTTAACGTTTTTTCCTTCATTTCAACTTTGGTGAATCTGTCAATTATGTGTCTTGGAGTTGCTCTTCTCGAGGAGTATCTCTGTGGCGTTCTCTGTATTTCCTGAATGTGAATGTTGGGCTGCCTTGCTAGACTGGGGAAGTTCTCCTGGATAATATCCTGCAGAGTGTTTTCCAACTTGGTTCCATTCTCCCCGTCACTTTCAGGTACACCAGTGAGACGTAGATTTGGTCTTTTCATATAGTGCCATATTTCTTGGAGGCTTTGTTCATTTCTTTTTATTCTTTGTTCTCTAAACTTCTCTTCTTGCTTCATTTCATTCATTTGATCTTCCATCACTGATACCCTTTCTTCCAATTGATCGAATCGGCTACTGAGGCTTGTGCATTCGTCACGTAGTTTTTGTGCCATGGTTTTCAGCTCCATCAGGTCATTTAAGGACTTCTCTGCATTGGTTATTCTAGTTAGCCATTCGTCTAATCTTTTTTCAAGGTTCTTAACTTCTTTGCCATGGGTTTGAACTTCCTCCTTTAGCTCGGGGAAGTTTGATCATCTGAAGCGTTCTTCTCTCAACTCGTCGAAGTCATTCTCTGTCCAGCTGTGTTCTGTTGCTGGTGAGGAGCTGCATTCCTTTGGAGGAAGAGAGGCGCTCTGATTTTTAGAATTTTCAGCTTTTCTGCTGTTTTTTCCCCATCTTTGTGGTTTTATCTACCTTTTGTCTTTGATGATGGTGACGTACAGATGGGGTTTTGGTGTGGATGACCTTTCTGTTTGTTAGTTTTCCTTCTAACAGTCAGGACCCTCAGCTGCAGGTCTGTTGGAGTTTGCCAGAGGTCCACTCCAGACCCTGTTTGCCTGGGTATCACCAGCGGAGGCTGCAGAACAGCAAATATTGGTGAACAGCAAATGTTGCTGCCTGATTGTTCCTCTGGAAGTTTTGTTTCAGAGGGGTACCTGGCCGTGTGAGGTGTCAGTCTGCCCCTACTGGGAGGTGCCTCCCAGTTAGGCTACTTGGGGTTCAGGGACCCACTTGAAGAGGCAGTCTGTCCATTCTCAGATCTAAAGCTGCATGCTGGAAGAACCACTGCTGTCTTCCAAGCTGTCAGACAGGGACATTTAAGCCTGCAGAGGTTTCTGCTGCCTTTTGTTTGGCTATGCCCTGCCCCCAGAGGTGGAGTCTACAGAGGCAGGCAGGCCTCCTTGAGCTGTGGTGGGCTCCACCCAGTTTGAGCTTCCCAGCCTCCAGCAATGGCAGGCACCCCTCCCCCAGCCTCACTGCCACCTTGCAGTTTGATCTCAGACTGCTGTGCTAGCAATGAGCGAGGCTCTGTGGGCGTAGGACCCTCCGAGCCAGGCACGGGATATAATCTCCTGGTGCGCTGTTTGCTAAGACCGTTGGAGAAGTGCAGTAGTAGGGTGGGAGTGACCCAATTTTCCAGGTGCCATCTGTCATCCCTTTCCTTGGCTAGGAAAGGGAATTCCCTGACCCCTTGTGCTTCCCCGGTGAGGCGATGCCTCGCCCTGCTTCAGCTCACTCCCGGTGCACCGCTCCCACTGTCCTGCACCCACTGTCCGAAAATCCCCAGTGAGATGAACCTGGTACCTCAGTTGGAAATGCAGAAATCATCCGTCTTCTGCGTCGCTCATGCTGAGAGCTGTAGACTGGAGCTGTTCCTATTCGGCCATCTTGGAACTGCCCCTGACTTTCATTCTTTGTACTATTTTTGTCATAGATTTTTCTTCTATGTATTTTAAACACTCTATAATACCTTGTTACTATTTTTGCTTTAAACTAAATAAAAATGGAAAAGATAAATAAAAAATGGAAAAGAAGGTCTGTGTTTACCTACACATTTACCATTTTCAGCATTCTTTGTTTCTTTGTGTAGATCTGGGTGTTCATCTGGTGTCATTTTCTTTTGCCTGAAAAAACTTCATTTTTTCCTGGATTTCCACAGTGTTTGGACATTTCCTGAAAAACTTTATTTGTTCATTCTGTCTTGTTTTTTTTTAAAGATAGGGTCTTGCTCTGTCACCCAGGTTGGAGTGCAGTGGCGCAATGATAGTTCACCGCAGCCTCGGACTCCAGGAATCCTCCTGTTTCAGCCTGCCAGGTAGCTAGGACTACAAGCGCATGCCCAGCTAATTTTTGTTTGTTTGTTTTGTAGAGACAGGGTCTCACTGTGTTGCCCAGGCTGATGTTGAACTCCTAGCCTCAAGAGATTCCCCTGCTTTAGCCCCCCAAAGTGCAGGGATTACAGGCATGAACATTGTGCCTGGATTATTCAATATTTCTTGTAGTGCAGATGTGCTGTTGAGACAGATTCTCTCAGCTTCTGTTTGTCTGAAAAAGTCTTAATTTTGCATTCTTTTAAAAAACTTTTTATTTGGAAGTTTATAGGAAAGTTGAAAGACTATCATAGTGAATGCATAGACTGTACCCTTTGTACAGATCCACCTATTGTTAGCATTTTGCCTCATTTGCTTTATGAATTACTCTGTTCCTCTTTCTCTCTTTTTCTGTGAATGTGTGTATGTGTCCATATAATTACACACATATTTTCTTCTTTAACTGCCTGAAAATAAGTTATATAGTGTTTACCCTTTACCCCTAAATATGTCCTTGTATTATTTCTTAAGAAAAAAAGATTCTCTTTTATTGCCACTGTAGTTAGTACTTGTAGTAGATTTAACTTTGTTATAATACTTTTATTCATCTATCCAGTTTTGTTAGTGGACCCAATAATAACCTTTGTAGATTTTTTTTCCTGCAGTACATGATCCAGTTTTGGATCACATATTGCATTTCGTGGTAATATCTTTTCAATCTCTTTCAATCTAGAATAATTCCTCAGCCTTTCTTTGTCTTTTATGACACTGGCCTTTTAAAAGAATACAGTCTTTGTTGTGTGTGTGTGTTTTTCAAGTAAAATCTTCTCATTCTGGCAGAAAATTCAGATTATGCCTTCCTGGCCAGAATACTATATAAGTGATGTTTTGTCTTCGGAATATTACATCTAGAGCCATTTGACATCTGTGTACCCCTCATTTGTGATATCAGGCCTGATCACCTGGCCAGTTTCTCTCTGGTTTATACTTTACATCCGCTGCCTTGCTACTAATAAGAAGTCTGCAGAGACACTTCAACACTATGTAGCTATTCTATACCTCATTAAGATTTCACCCCTATATTTAGCATCCTTTGGTAATTTTTCTCTAAACTATTCTTTTCTGTGATAGTTGCAAAATGATGATTTTTCAACTTTAGCATTGGTTTCACAGTTGCTAATTGATACTTGGCATGATTCTGAAAACAAGAGCCCTTCCCTCTGCCTTATTATTATTTTCTTTTTCTTTTTTTTTTTTTTTTTTTTGAGACGGAGTCTCGCTCTGTCGTCCAGGCTGGAGTGCAGTGGCACGATCTCGGCTCACTGCAAGCTCCGCCTCCCAGGTTCACGCCATTCTCCTGCCTCAGCCTCCCGAGTAGCTGGGACTACAGGCGCATGCCATGCCTGGCTAATGTTTTGTATTTTTAGTAAAGATGGCATTTCACCGTGTTAGCCAGGAAGGTCTCAATCTCCTGACCTCGTGATCTGTCTGCCTTGGCCTCCCAAAGTGCTGGGATTACAGGCGTGAGCCACTGCGCCCGGCCTGCCTTGTTATTTTCTTATTTGTCTCTTATGAATATGGATTCACAGATTTTTAACTCATTACTTCTCTTAATTATTTTCGTGTTTGTATTTTTCCACATTTGGCCAGCAGGAGTGTCTTCATTCTAATTCCTGTCCTCATGACATACACCCCCATTATTTTCATTACCGTCTTCTTATTTCTAACATAACAAGATATTGCAGACTTTTCTTGCTCTTCCATGCCCCAGCCCTGAAATCAGCCATTTCTTTGAGGAGCGCTGGTCCTTTTTATTGGTGAAACCAAGATATGGCTACCAGCTATGCTCATTGCTACTTGGTGTCTTTGCTTCTAGGCTATTTGAGCAGATGAAGCTGGGAAATATATGCATATATGTGCATATATATACATACGCACACGTGGATACATATATACATACACATGCATGTATGCATATATATACATGTAAATCCATGTACACTTACATGTTTCAAGGCTCTCAAAAGTATTTCATACTGTAGCAGTTTTGTTTTGTCTCCAGAGCATTAATTGCCTGTTGGATCATTTTTATGATGGTAGCTTTAAAATTCTTGTCAGATAATTCCAGCAACTGGGTTGTCTCAGGTATTGGCATCTTGTCTTTTTTCATTCGAGTCGTGATTTTCCTGGTTCTTAATATGTCAAGTTTTTTTTTAAATTGTATTCTGAGTATTTTTTATATTCTAATGACATTCTAGGTTCTATTTAAATATTCTAATTTAGCAGGAAGTCATCTTGTTTAAGTTTAGCATGCAGATCCTGGCCTATTTTTGTAGGCTGTGGTTCTAATGATGATTTAGTTCCCAGATCCCTTGAAATGTTATTTTGGTCTACTTTATTTAATTGCTACCTAGAGACTGTTGTGAATACCTGATATTCCACACTGTGGTTCAGTTTTCAAACCTTTTGGCATATTAATTGTAAACAATTTCACATGTTGGTCGGGGATGCCCTGCACAGGCTGAAGGAATTCTTTTCTCCAGTTTCCTTCTCTTTGATATTCTCTTCTCAGTTATTAGTTGAGAGGGTGCAGTTGTCAGCTGCCATCATTGGATGGGGTGTAGAAGTCTGAGCTCCTCACTAGGCTTCCACTGACATTGTTGCTATGGGAGGACATCCTGCACTAGGACCCCTTCCACCTCTGGTTGATGGGTAGAAGTCCATGCTCCCCACTTGCTCTCTGATAATACTGCACAGGGCAGGGAGCATCAGCAGTGTTTTGCTTGGGTAGGTCAAGTATTATCAAGGTTTCTGGGTACCCTCTTTTTCAGTCCTTTGCTTATAAAGAGTAGATTTTTCTTGAGGCTTTTTTGTCTGTTTCTCTTGATGGCTCTGGACTTCTCCAGAGCATAGTCTATAAGATACAGAATACAAAGACACCCCAGGGTGACACACAGTGTCATTCCTCACATGCTGAGATCTTAGCCAGTCCATCTTCCTCTTTCTACTTTCCAGAGTTCTCTTATAGTTGTCTGTTATATATCAGGGTTTTTAGTTGTACTTAGCGGAGAAATGAGTCTAATCCATCTTGTTTGGAAGAAGAAATACTTTTTAATGTATTTTAAATTTCTGTTTTAGGGGCAAACACATTTAAGATTATGTCTTCTTGGTAAATTGACCCTTTTATCACGATATAATTTCCCTTTTTTTTTTTTTTTTTTTTTTGAGATGGAGTTTCACTCTAGTTGCCCAGGCTGGAGTGCAATGGCACCATCTCAGCTCACTACAACCTCCTCCTCCTGGATTCAAGCGATTCTCCTGCCTCAGCCTCCCAAGTAGCTGGGACTACAGGCATGAGCCACCATGCCGTGCTAATTTTTGTATTTTCAGTAGGGACGGGATTTCACCATGTTGGTCAGGCTGGTCTCGAACTCCTGACCTCAGGTGATCCACTCGCCTCGGCCTCCCAAAGTGCTGGGATTACAGGCATGACCCACTGCGCCCGGCCCCTAATTTCACTCTTTATCCCTGATAACATTCATTGTTCTGGAGCCTATTGCGCCTCATATTAATAAAGCTCCTCCAGGTTTCTTTTCATGACTGTTTACATGAGACATCTCTTTCCATACTTTTATTTTTAACCTATCTTTTTATTTAAAATGGGTTATTTTTGATAGTATATAGTTTGGTCTTGCTTTTTTATCCAATCTGACATCCTCTGTCTCTTAATTGGTGTTTTAAAACCCTTTCTTTAATGTAAATACTGGTGCAGTTGGCTTTGAATTTAATATCTTGCTGTTTTTTCCTTTGTTCCGTCTCCTTTTTGTTATCTTTTTTTGCTGTTTTTTGGATTGAGCATTTTTATTATTATATTTTATTTCTATTATTGTCTTATTACTTTACCTCTTTTTCAAAAAATTTTAGTGTTCTCTCTAGGGTTTGCAGTGTACATCTTTCATTAGTTACAGTCAAGTAATTATACAGCCTCACTTGTAAGAAACTTTTAACAGCATACTCCCAACTCCTAATTCTTTGTATTGTTATTGTCATGAATTCCTTTTACATATACTGTTAAACCATTACATTGCTATTGTTTGTCCATTAAACAGTTATCTTTTAGAGTAGTTAAAAACGAGAAAAAAGTATATTTTATACTTATCTTCATGTTTACCATTTTCACCAGTTTTCATTTCTTCTTAGGTAAGTTTCTCTCTGGTTCTTCTAATTGAAGAACTTGTTTTAATACTTTTTGTAATGGAGGGCTGCTAATAATACTTTCTCTCAGCTTATGATTTCCTCAGAAAGTTTTTGTGTTTCACTTTTGAAAGATATTTTTATTAGAATTCTGGATTGGCGGGCTTTTTTCTAATGCTTTAAAGATGTCACTCTATTGTTATCTGGCTTGAATAATTTCTGATGAGAAGTGTAATGTAATTCTTGATTTTTCTTTATATAATGTGTCTTTTTCCTCTGATGGCCACATGATTTTGTCTTTGTGTCTATATGCATGTTGTTGTCATTTTGGGTTTGTTTTTATATCTGTGTTGCTTGATCTTTGAAATTCTTGCATTTGTGGTTTGGTGTCTTTCTTATATTTGGCAAATTCTAGACAGTTCTTCAACGATTTCTTCTCCTCCCTTTTTTCTTCTTCTGTGATTTCTATTATGTGTATATTTCTTGATATTGTCCCATAGCTCTTAGAGGCTCTGTTCTGTTACAATTTTTTTTCTTTTTCCTTTTTTTCTCTCTCTGTGTTTCAGATTGGATAATACCAATCCAATTTTAGGTTCACTGATTCTTTCCTTAGCTGAGTCAAGTTATCTGTTACTGTGTTGGTTTTATGTGTCTATATCTATATATCTAACATTTCTATTTTATTCTTTCTAAAAAAAAGTATTTCCATTGAAGTAATTTCTACAGAAATGCCCCATCTGTTCATGTATGTTGTTCATCTTTTCTACTAGATCCTGTATCATCTTAATCATAATTTGCTGCTTTTTCATGTTTAAGTTTTGATTGAAAGCCAGACAGTGTAGGTAAGAGTCTGAGGTGCCAGACTTTTTTTTAAAATGTAGCTATATATCACTCACAACTTAGGTTTTCCCTATGAGCCTGTGCCTCAGAGAGGGTCTCTCTCCATGTTCATTTCTCTCCTAGAAGTAGATTGCTGTTACGTATCACTTGGATCATGCTAGGTTTGTGGCAGGCAGAAAAGGAGGGTTCTCTGTTACTCTGATTTAGCTTCAGTCTTAGGCAGGTCTTTCAATCCTGCATCTCAGAGCTGGGGCTTTTTCAGCGATCCTGCCCCTCTCTCACTGCCAGGGGCAGGGGTCCTCTATGGGTCAGGGCCCAGAATGGTTTCCTGATCCTCCTGAAGGGTAGAGGGGGTTTTTTGTTTGTTTTTGTTTACTTCCCTCAGCAACCGATGCTCTGGGGATAACATTTTTGCTGACCTTTCGTCAGTGGCTTAATGCTTTTTTTCTTCAGGGATAAAGATGTGATTGGGGCTTCATGTCCATCCTGCAGTGGGGGTGGTTCTCTTTTGCCAGGAATGGATCTGGAGGAAGATCTTTTCTAATTTGCTGCCCTTCCCCAGTGAGCTACAGAGAGACTGAGGACTCTTGTGGGTGCCCACTGAGGTCTGTAGAAAATAGCCTGCAAGGCCAGGTGCGGTGGCTCACGCCTGTAATCCCAGCACTTTGGGAGGCCGAGGCGGGTGGATCACGAGGTCAGGAGATCGAGACCATCCTGGCTAACATGGTGAAACCCTGTCTCTACTAAAAATACAGAAAATTAGCTGAGCGTGGTGGCAGGCACCTGTAGTCCCAGCTACTCGGGAGGCTGAGGCAGGAGAATGGCGTGAACCCGGAAGGCAGAGCTTGCAGTGAGCCGAGATCGCGCCACTGCACTCCGTCCTGGGTGACAGAGCGAGACTCAGTCTCAAAAAAAAAAAAAAAAGGAAAATAGCCTGCAAATGGATGTGATGCCCGCTGTGTCCAAGCCACCCAAAATTTTTATATTTTCATGGTAGCTCACCCTTGGTCTTTTGCAGTTCATCAAAAAGTTTAGCTGAGATCTTACCCAGAGATAGGGTGGTACCAATTTTTCTCTGGTGTACTGTCCTATGTCAACCAGTGCTCATGATCCCTCTCTCTTCTAAGGCACTCATCTTTGTTTAGGTTTCAGGCTAGTTGATTGCCCTCTTACTTTAGCTCTGATGGATTCAAGAAAAATTATAGTTTTATAAGTTATCCCGCTTTTTCTCGTCATTAGGGTGAGAGTGACATTATTTATAGCTCTCTACAACCTAAACAGAATCAGAAATCTCCCTGAAGAAGATTTAAGCCACTAAATTCTACCCAATCCTAATATAGTTTTCTTTTTTTTTTTTTTTTTGAGACGGAGTCTCGCTTTGTCGCTGGGCTGGAGTGCAGTGGTGCCATCTCAGTTCACTGCAAGCTCCGCCTCCCGGGTTCACGCCATTCTCCTGCCTCAGCCTCCCAGGTAGCTGGGACTATAGGCGCCCCCCACCACACCCGGCTAATTTTAAAAAATTTTTTTTTATTTTTAGTGGAGACGGGGTTTCATCGTGTTAGCCAGGATGGTCTCGATCTCCTGACCTCGTGATCCACCCGCTTCGGCCTCTCAAAGTGCTGGGATTAGAGGCGTGAGCCACTGCGCCTGGCCTAGTTTTCTTAATATCTTACAAGAGGACATGCCAGATGTTCTCTGTCTTTAGTGATACTTGTATTAATGGATTGGATAGAATGCAAATGGTCCCTGTGTTTTTCATGTTATTCCATGACTCATTTTGGAAAGGAGAGAACCACTAGCTGGTCATCTTCACAGAGAGATTGTTTACATTGTTTCTACTGATTTTACAATATCAAGGAGGCAAAAGGTACCTCTCAGTGCTCAGAAAACGTAAACTTTGTATTGAGACAGTTGCATTCTTAAATGATCGTCATAAGGTCTGTGGTTTAAAAAAAATAAAACTTTAATGGGGATTATTTCAAACATATACAGAAATAGAGAAAAGAGTTTACTGATTTCCCCATATGCCTACTACCCAGCTTAAACAATTATCACACTGTCTGAATGTTGTTTTATCTACCATTTACACCCCTTTTTCTTCCATGGATTATTTTGAAGCAAATTCCAGATATAATTTTTAAGTATAAATGAGGGTTAGGGATTGTAGATTTTTATTTCCTACCATATGCATTTCAGTTTTAATGTATTGACTTTGGATGCAGAAAGATAGCATTTGCAAATTCTGTGCTGTTTGCATTCAAAGGCATTTAATGTTTGACAGGGTGTATTCCAGATCTCTTTTATGTATGTAATTGGATTGGTAACATACCTACAGACAAAGGTTCTGGAGGCAAGGACATTTTTCCTGGTATTTGTAGACCTTTTTCTCTCCTTGAACAGTAGCCTGTTGTACTGCATTTAGTACATTGGAATTTGAGCAGACATCCCCTAATAATTGAACTCACACTAAAAAATTAATTTTCATATTTCACTGAGACTTCTGTTTAGACCTGTATATTCAAAGGAGAAAGCAAAATGACTTGACTCTTGTGGTTATACGTTGAACAGCATGTGCATGTGTAAGAGTTCAGTGTTTTAACTCCATGTTATTTTTTTAACCTTTTGTTTTGAAATGGTAATTGATTCACAGAAAAATTGTAAAAATAGATCAGGGAGTTCACATATACCCATCACCCATCTTCTTCTAATGTTAACAACTTAAATAATTATTGTACAGTGATTAAAAAAGACATGTGATTAACCTAGTGGTTATTTTCTTATTTTAACAGCTGCTGAAATAGTTCGAGAAATCGAAAATATAGAGAAGACTAGGATGCGTCTTGAAGCTAGTAAACTCAATGAAAGTGTATGTTAATGGGCTATTTCAGTATATGGATAGAAATGAAGAAAGTTTAATACCCTACAAAAATTAAAGCAAGCCATTATTAAATTTATTCATTTACTAACACATTTCCACTTAGTGTATTATGATTTACTTGCAACTCATTTTAGGACAATATTTGATTGTACTTAGCAGTCTTCTAGCACAAAATGCAATCCAAAGTAGAGTTTGTTCATGAGCTAGAGTTCTATAGAAAATGCCTGTGCCTGTGCATCAGGCAGCTTTGATATTGGTCCTTTCTCTGCTGGTTGTGTTTGATAAGCTACCTCTAAGGACCTCTAAGCTACTGCTAGGGACCTCTATGATCCCTTTTTAGCTCTGGCATTCTGCAATTCTATGATTATACTTATGGAAATGTTAAGTAATTATAAGAGGATAAATTAAGTAATTTGAGGATGGAATATTCTCTTGAGCTTTGGAGGGAATCAGAGACCTAAAATTCTTCACTGTTGCCTTCCACTAGCTTGATGCCCCAAACTTGAAGACAGGATACCAGTGAAGAAAATAGTCATTGTGTCCTGTGACACTGGAGAAAGTGTTTTGGTCTCTTCCAAGTAGACTTTTTTTTTTTCTAGGCCATTTGTAGTGTGTTTGTAAGGAGAAAGCAATGGTTACCTTAAGAAAGTAAGTTTGTAACCAAATAAGTAGGAAAAAAATGGGATTTACATTGACCCTATTATTACCTGTGTGCTAACTGTAAGATGGGAACTGCAGTGAATCATGGAAGCAGATTTCTGATCTTTTAAGTCTGAGGTTTAAAAAGTGGACCTAGAGGCTTAACTTACTGTGTTTTGTATTATTGCATTTTCTATACATACTGCTTTTCTATAATGACCTGGAGAAGTTAGATTGGAAAGGAGAGAAGGCAGACAAGAAGATCAGCCTTACTAATAGTCAGCTAAGTGTCGTTAGTCTTCTGGTTTCAAATATTGCCTGTTGTATTAATGAATGTGGGATATTAAATATTGAAAATAGAAAATTTATTATTTTGTTAATATATAATTGAATCATGTTGCATTTTCTACTGATGAGAAAAAATAATGAGTAAAATGTATACCATTTCTGGTATTTAAGGGAAGTACATAGGAATGATTCTTCCTAGGTCTATATAAAACAGATGAGAGATCATTTTCCTCTATTTTAAACACTCACATTTGAGATTTGAAGGTTTGTAATATTTCCCTTTTTGTCATTTTGGGGAGATTTTTATTAAGGTCTTTTTTTGATTATTTTAGGTAATGGTTTTTACAAAGGACCAAACAGAAAAGGAAATAGATGAAATCCACAGTAAATATCGTAAGTTGCACGACTTTATTTAATTTGTAAAGAGCTTCAGTTGCTGTTTTTCATCTTAAGTAATTTTTCAGAATAATGTTTTATATTAAGGTTCAATTCAAACTTTTGTTAACATTACTTAAGAGATTGAATTTTAATTGGGTGTTTACTTAGTGACTTTTTTTGTATTTTATATGCCTGCTTTTTGATTTTTATGACTAGCATTCTACTTTGAGCTTATCACTAAGCACTTTGCAAATATTAATTAGCTGCTCTCAAAGCATTTCTGTGAAAAGAAGCTGGGATTAAAATGGAAACATTCGGGACTCTATCCTGTCCTCAGGCCACTCAGTAACAATACTTCTGTATAGGATTTCAATGCTTCTATAGCTTGCAAATTTGTGCCAAAAATAGTTTTCATTTTATTGCTTGTTAGCAACCTCCCAACTTTATCACTTCCTTTTCCTTAAATGGTCTTCGTGTATATCTTTCCCAGGGCTAACACATTACTGTTTTGTCAGATAGCTGTTACTCTTTGTGTGGTGGTTGGATTTTAGTTTAAATTTAAGTGCCTGACGAACAGTAGATAGTTAATAGATGTTCATTGAATCAGTATTCCCAGGCATGGTATGTTTTAATTGAGGTAAGATAATTTTTTTCTCTCTTCATTTCTTAAACTCTGAAGGGCCAGGTTCTGTAGTGATGTATTGTGGGAGGGAGGATGAAGCACACCTGCGCTGGATGTAGGTGTGATTGCCTGTGCCTTGCTAGAGTAGGAAAAGGACCCTAGAGGAGTCTTGGATTATGGACTGAACAACAAAAGTCACCATTGTTCTGTTGCTGGACAGATAAGTATGATGTGAACCTCTTTGATCAACTTGTAGGATGTCAGAGTGATTTTTCTTTAGAAAGGAGAACAAAAGAGAATATCAAATGATCAGTGAATTGGCCTGGAAAAATAAGGATCACTAAGGCCTGTGAAAATAAGGAAACCAGAAAACTTGCATTGGGAGAAAGTAATTTAAATAACTGAAAGGGTGGTATCTAATAATCCTCCCATATTAAGAAAAATTTGGACTATATTCAGTCAAGTAAATATTCATTGCCCACCATTTAGATATCTAAAAAGTGTAACTTTACTAAATAGGTGGTATTAATTTATTTAGCCTTAAAATAAACCTCAAAAGTCAAGTGCTTCACAAAGCTTAGATGCTTAGCCTTTTAGTTTATTCATACATTTTGATTTAGTGTCAGGTTCTAACTATACTATTGATATATCTTCATCTTTAAACATTTTATTAATGTTTTACATGTAGTTTTTAAAAAATCATTTACTTTTTATGAGCCTTATCATATAAAAGAGCAGTCTCTTGCATCCTCCAACAACCTGCCTCTATTCCCATTCCCTAGAGGTAACAACTATCAAGCCATTTGGTGCTACTTTTGGTAATTACCTTACAATTTATAAAAAAGTATTTTTTCTGCTACTTCTTGAAGTTTTTCAATTTCACATTAACTATTGATGTGCTAATATGAAAGATGGAGATTTAGCTCATTTATATATCCTGAGCCCTACCTTTGCTTCCCTTCCATCCTTTAAATATTATGTCATAAGTTTTTGTAAGCTCAGTATTTAGTTAGATACATTGTTTATGGCTCAAGCCAGACAATTTGCATAAGATGGTTATAATTCCTTTCATCAAAACATTCTGTTGTTCTTTTTTTTTTTTTTGAGATGGAGGCTCGCTCTGTCCAGGAGTGCAGTGGCGCTATCTTGGCTCACTGCAAGCTCTGCCTCCTGGGTTCACGCCATTCTCCTGCCTCAGCCTCCTGAGTAGCTGGCGCCTCCTGAGTACAGGCGCCTGCCACCACGCCTGGCTAGTTTTTTGTATTTTTAGTAGAGACGGGGTTTCACCGTGTTAGCCAGGATGGTCTCGATCTCCTGACCTCGTGATCCGCCCGCCTCAGCCTCCCAAAGTGCTGGGATTACAGGCGTGAGCCACTGCACCTGGCCTTGTTTTTCTTATAACTAATAATTCTCTTTTGTTTGTTTAACTATTTACCTAGTACTAATATATCTCTAAACCTTCCAACAGAAGTGTAAATCACTTTCCAATACATTTACACACATTGATTATAACTCATTATTTTCTCAAGAACGTCTCTCCTAGGGCCACCCCTAGCCTCTGTTGTCCTGTTCCAGTCTACTATGCTTGTCCTTTTTGCCTTCTGTTAATACATGGCTGCTCTTCTGGAATTTCTTGTCACCAACTTTCTGGGAATTCTGCTCTCCTCCTTCCTGTGTTGGTTCACTTCTTCCAAGTTCCAAGTCTCCCTCTTCTCTTGCCTTGTTTTGGTAGAATACATTTGCCAGGAAACTTCCTGAGAAACGGTGTATGCAAGCTTGTCTAAACTGCGGCCTAGGATGGCCTTTGAATGCAGCCCAAAACGAATTTGTAAACTTTATTAAACATTATGATAATTTTTTTTCTCTCATCAGCTATTGTTAGTGTTAGTGTATTTTATGTGTGGCCCAAGACAATTCTTCTTCCAGTGTGGCCCAGGGAAGCCAAAAGATTGGACACCCCTGGTATAGAGGAATTTCTTGAGATATATAACATTCCATACATAACAGGAAATAACCCGTTTATTATTGATTGATAATTTGGCTGTTTGTAGAACTTTAGGTTAAAAAGATACTTTTCTCCAAATTTTCAAAGGTATTCTTCCGCTGTTTTCTACTTTCCATCACTGTTGCTAATAACTAGCTTGCCATTCTGATTCTTTATCTTTCATTTGTTACTTTTTTTTTTTATCTGCCCATGTTCAGTTCACCACCAAGTTCTGTCAGTCTCTATCTTCTAAATATCCCCCGAGTCCGTACACTTCTTATGTATCACTTTGCTCTCTAGTCATCCCCCATCTACTCTTGCCCCTTCCTAATACTCAGAAGCCAAAACTGTCTTCCAAAACTGCTGAGTCTTCACATCATGCCATTTCTGCCTTGCTGCCCTCCTGCCATTGTAAAGAACTCTTCAGTGGGCTTTCGATTTCTCTTAAGCTACAGTTTGTAAAGTCTGTTATTTCCTGTATCTGGACCTGCCTACCTCTCTAGCCTTGCCTCTTCTCCTCCCCTTACTCCTTGTATTCCAATCACTCTGGTTATCTTTTACCTACTTTACCAAGTCCTTCACTGTTTTAGGGCATTTGTTACCCTCTTCTCTCTTTGTCTGGAACTATCTCTTTCTCTAATTGCCTCTGACCCCCCTATCTATACTCCCCACTCTCAACCAGCTCAACTGTAGTTTCCCTGGGAAACCCATTGTGATCTCTAGGACAAGGTAAGATTTTCTTTCTATGTGCACTTACATTATCTTGTGTTTTTTCGTAGTACTATTCCATTCATTCAGCCATCACAAGTTTGTCAAGTACTTAGCACGTGCCAGACACTGTGCTCGGAGCTGGGGATATAGGAATGAACAAGACAGACAAGAAGCCTACTCTGTTGGAGTTTATATCTTTCTAGTATTTTAGGAAGTGATAAGTGAAAAAATAAAGCAAGGAAGAGTATAATGGTCATAATCATTATTTATTGTGCAATTAATTACTTATTTCTAATTAATTTCTAATTATGTGTTTTTATTAGTGTGCTAGGGTTGCCAAAACAAAATACTGCATGCAGACCGCATGGCTTAAATAACAAATTTATTGTCTTGTGGTTCTGGAAGCTAGAAGTCCAAGATCAAGATGTCAGCAGGGTTCTGGAGGCTAGAAGTCTAAGATCAAGGTGTCCCGAGCTTCTCAGGGCCATGCAGGAAGGATCTGTTCTAGGTCTCTCTTCTTGGCTATAGATGGCCATCTTCTCCCTATGTCTCTTGACATCGTCTTCCCTCTATGTTGTCTCTGTGTCCAAATTTCCCCCTTTTATAAACATATCAGTCATATTGGATTAGGGCTCATCCTAATGACCTCAGGGGTGGCTCCTCTGTCATTTCCCTATTATAAGCAGAGTCCTGAGGTAGGAAAAAAACTCTCTCACTTAGAAAAGAAAAAAAAAAATGCTTAAAGTGAATAGTTGGGGGTTGGGGGCCTGGGGGAAGAGCCTCTTGCTCTCTGGAAATGGGTTCCTTTAATCACTCTATGTCTACCTCAATTCAGATCAGCTAGACCTCCATGAAGGGAAACAGAACCAACATTCCTTTAACCCAAAGGAAAGAGAGAGGTGGCAGGGTCTTGGAAAAGAGACGGATCCAACAATTCCACATTTTAACTCACCCTTTGTCATATCCTGGATGAGCCCCCGTATTATGGGATAGTTCCCTGGACCTTGACCCCCTTTGTGGGTGGGAACTGGAGTAGATCCTTTCACTCAGCGCACTGCTGGCCACTCCTTGCAAGAGGGAACGAATGCTGGAACCAGCCAGATGCTCCTCTCTGGTGGGAGCAGGCTCTGTGCAGGCCCCGTAGCAGTGTCCTAGCCCCTGCCCTTTCAGCATGTGGGTTCTTGTCCAGCGTCTTAGAAAATTGAGGTTGCACAAACCGATAGTGGGTAGTGTATGTGGAGGATTTTATTGGGTGATGGCTGGCAGCGGATGGGAGTTGGAAAGGGGATGATGCGGGAAGAAGGTGATCTTTCCCTGAAGCTGCACCATCTGAAGTTAGCTGCATCTGTCTGTAGTCTCTGATGCTCAGCTGCTTGTATCCCTGACGCTCAGCAGCTTGCATCCCTGACCGCTTGCATCAGCCGCTTGTGTTGCTCTGCCAGCTGAAGTGTTTTTATGGGCAAAGGATAGGGGCATGGCAGACCAAAAAGGCAATATTTGGGCGGTGAGATGGGGTCAGCTGTTTTCACTTAGGGCCAAGGTCCCAGGTTAAGGGTGGAGTTTAGCCAGGAGCCCAGCCATTCTGTATCTCAAGGACACCAAAGAGCCTTTGTTTATGTGGGTCATATCTGTTGATATGTATCACATTATCAATTAAAACTTAGAGGGTGTCTGTTTCCAGCCATGGAATAACTTCATTTATTCTCCTACCTAAAACAAGCAAAATGAATGTACAAAACATATGAAATAGCAATTTTCAAGATACTGGCCACAAAGGACAGGGATCCTTGAGAGGTAAGCAAAAAATGCGATGAGCCTTATAATACAGTTTCCTGGCTGTAGTATGGGCAAGTGGGTATTCCAGGCAAAGCCTGGAGACTCTAAGTTAAGGAGAAAGAGCTGAGAGATCAGAGGAACCAAAGGAGTTAGAGTTTGCAGGACATAGTACTGGAAGGAGAAACCCAGTGATCTGCAGAGAGTTCACCTTGAGTATTCATTTGGCATGCAAAATACGTTCTCTGACCACAGTGAAATTAAATTAGAAATCAGTAACAAAGCCCTTGGGAAAGTCACCAAATATTTGGAAATTAAATAATCCATTTCGAAATAACCCATAGGTCAAAGAAGAAATTAAAACCAAGAAATTTCAAAAATATTAACAATAAACCCATTACATGTTAGCATAAATAACATATTTTGATTAAAAAAAAAAAAACTGTTTCCCCCTCTCCAAAAAATAGAAATAGAGATTTCTATTAGCCCAGATGGAATAACAGAGACTATATTTACTCTCCTCCATGAAAAAAAAAAAAATCTAGAAAACGAGGTGAATGTTGAATGGTTTTTCAGATAATGGGAAACAGGTAGCACAGGACTGTGATCTCTGAGATAGAGAGAAAACAAATCATGACTTAGGCCAAACGTTGCTGTGAACAGACAACATTACATTTCACAGAGATAGAAGGGAACAGGAGTTTCACAGCTTGGAAGCAGCAAACCTTGACAAGACCAGCCTTATTAGAGAGGTCAGAAGTGTTTAGAGTTGATTGAGACCAAATTGGAGGTGAGGAAATGAGACCATTAAGGTAGACAACTTTTCGGGGGAGGTTTTACTGTGTTAAGGAGAGCAAAAAAATAGGGTCATAGCTGGAGGGGGGTGTTGGGTCAAGGGAGGGTTTTGTTTGCTTGTTTTTTAAAGTTTGTTATTTAAATTGGGAGATATTTAACTCAGTGGCTTTCTGACCTTTTTGACTACAACCCACAGTGAGAGATAAATTTTATATTACTACTAACTGTATACATACACATGACTGAAACAAAAGCTTCACAAAATGGTATTTACCTTTTCCATTTTTAACGCATTCTGATACTTTCTATTCTCTTTATTATTTCATTAAGAAAAAAATGCTGGTCTGGATTTACTGAGTTATTTTCATAATTCACACTCTAGGTTCAAAGGCACAGTCTCTCTGTTCACAGCTTCATGATGGAATCCTGAGCATAAGTTAGAGGTTAGCCTTTAATTATAGCAAGGACAGTTGTTTCATGGTAAGAACAAGGGAAATAGATCATAAGTGCACAGACAAGGTATATTGGTGCTTGGAAGAT
Source organism: Homo sapiens (assembly GCF_000001405.40). Lineage (NCBI taxonomy): Eukaryota > Metazoa > Chordata > Mammalia > Primates > Hominidae > Homo > Homo sapiens. The sequence continues at coordinate 8,905,901 of NC_000003.12, read as the reverse complement.
GACAGAGTTTCTGTTAGAATGATTCTATATTTTTCAAAGTAGTGTGAGGCCAACTAAGAGGGGCCACATGGGGAGTGTCGAATATTTGAATGAAGAGAAGAAAGTGTGAGATAGATATTTTGGAGAATAGTAGAGCAAACTTTACTAGAGAAAGGTGCAAGAGTTTTATAGCAGTATTGAATGCCCATTTGAGAATTATGATCATGAAATTAAAGTGTCACTAGTCAGTTCAGGGCTAGATGAATAAGCCTGTAGTGAACATTAGCCATAACTGTTAAACTCTGTTCTTCATCCACATTTAGCTGGTTGGCTATCATAGGTGATATGATGGTGAAAGAAATATATGGGATTTTACTTTGGAAAACACTGACTCCAAACTCATTTCTTGATTTAAAGTAGAAGAAGTATCTCAGTGGCATCACTGTAGAAGGGTGTGAGTCTTTTCTACTCTTGAGAGAGCCTGTTTTTAGTCTTTTGTACCACTGGGTTCTGGGTTCTTGGGCAGACCCAGAGACACTCTGACTGTAAGGGCTGGTCTAAAGAAGAGTAGTTAAAGTGATCAGGGAGTAAAGGGCTTGATTTCGTTCTAAAAAAGATTACATTTAAACTTAGAGAGGCACAAAGGATGGTATGATTCAGGTATTCAAAATCTGGAAGAAAATGAGTTGATTGAACGTGTACTTAGTCATGGACACTCCCACGACTAGCTGAGCCACTTAAAACTTTTAAGAGGAAAATCCAGGACACATGCCCACCAGAACTGAGATTTTAAACTCTGCAGTATTCCTTGCCAAATGGCAGATCTTCTAAAATGAAGTAAAGAAGTAAGTGGGAACAATGTTACTAGTCTTGATCTGTTGACATTTTTCATTTTCTGAGTAGGGGTTATTGGAATTCTCTGGCTAAAGCCAGAGTAGTGGCTGCCATTTACTTTTGGTTTCCAGCCTAGCTGTGGGGTAATTAGATTTAAATCTGGGATTTTATTACTTCAGAAGATAATAAGTCATTAAGTCTCCTTAACTGTTAATGTGATTACTTTAGCAAATTTCTTGACTAATTCTTAAATCTCCAGTCTTTATGTGTACAGTGGAATGGCCTTAGTAGGAAAATAGCTTAGACCTGGTCTAACTAAATTATGTAGATCCCATAGTACTGTGTCACCCTCGCCTAATAGAAACTACATAATGATGATGGTAGTGTTAGCCCATTGATTCTAAGCAGCCAGAGAAATACAAGATAATTATCCTCAAGTGCGTAGAGTGAAATAGGACCTCAAAGAAATCACCTAGCTTGTGTCCTAGATAGGATCTCACTTGTTTGTAAAGAGTTAGTTTTTTCCAGTGATCTTTACGGCCAGCATATATTTCTTTTGCTGACACTTTAATTGGTCTTTTATTTAAAATATGCCATACATTTTATAGCCCAACATTAGTTTCACTAGAAGTTTTCATACATGTACCATACACATAAAAATATTGTAATTAGGAGCATTCTTTCCTGAATGTCTTTGCTGTGCCTGTCAATATTCATGTATAGGAATCCAACTATTTTCTTCCTTGTGCGTCACAATTTAGTGTTTTCTCTTTTTGCGTTAAAAGATAATTTTCAAAAACAACTAACATCATTCTCATATGGATGTAAAATGAACATGTGTTTTTATTAAAGATTTAAACTCATTAGTAGAGAGAAGACTGATATTATGAGGTGATCAAAGAAGGAGCCAAAGAATCATCACATTTACAGATGAGGAACATTGAAATGAATGTATAATGAGCAAAAAACTGGCTTCTTCCACATTGGAGGAGGAAAGTCAATTGAACCTCCACCCAACAGGATTTTGCATATCTATAGACAAGAATTATTTTCCATTGCTCTCAGTTATCTACAACATACAGAGTTATACCATAGCTCAAAGGCAGTGAATGGCTGGAATCTTGGGAGAGTAGATTTAGACAATGCCATAGTTCAACTGAAGCACAATTTTTTCCCTACACCCAGTAAATTCCCTATGCCTTAGTATTATGCTAAGGAAAATGGAAGAAACCAAGTGATAACAAGTACATTGTTGATTTTTGTATGAAAACAGTGTCAAAATTTTGTTTTAACCATTTGTAGTATGGTTCTCCCTAAAAATTTTATAGGATTTATGACATTACTTTGGACTGTGGCCTAAGTATTTAACGTTGCTAGATAAGTAAACTGTGACCTCAGCTGCATGGTTCAGAATCACAAATACATGCCCTAAAGTCCATACAGTAATGATGACTGGCTGCTCTTTATTGAACAGATTGGTACATTAATAATGATGATCTTGAGGTCAGGGTTAATTATATTCAAAGGTGTTAAAATGGTAGTAAATAAAGATTAGAGTTAGTATAGTATCGTAAGATAAGGTAGAATTGGTTGGGAGAGATCTTAGAATCTTAAAGGGGCTCTACTGGGAAACCGGCCGGAAATGTGAAGAAAAAAAGGAGAGCTGGAGTAGACGGACATTCCTTTGTTATGATGATTCAACTTTCCTAGAAGCTTCTATTTTAGATTCAGCAAATACTCTTAGTTCTCTTGTATCTTGGAAGTTAGAATGGTATCATTTGTATATATTTAAGAAAGCGGGCATCTTTCATGCTCTTATGATTATGTAAAAGCCTTTCTAGAGAATGGAGTTTGGGAAGAAACCTAGAGTAGCTAACTAGGAATATCATGTTTCCATATTTGTATTTGAGGAAGGGAGAAGATAAAAAGAAGGTTCCATGACACTCCAGCCCTTTGTATTCTTATGCTTGGCAGCTTTTAAATTTATTGCAAGTGATTCCTAAGGATGCTGTTCTTGAGCAAGCTTGTACACCTCTGTTTTTTGTTTTTTGTTTTTTTTTTTTGAGACAGAGTCTTGCCCTGTTGCCCAGGCTGGAGTGCAGTGGTGCAATCTCGGGTCACTGAAACCTCTGCCTCCCAGGTTCAAGTGACTCTTGTGCCTCAGCCTCCTAAGTAGCTGGGATTATAGGCACACAATACCACACCTGGCTAATTTTTTTGTACTTTTAGTAGAGATAGGGTTTCACCATGTTGGCCAGGCTGGTCTCGAACTCCTGACAAATGGTCCACCTACTTCGGCCTCCCAAAGTGCTGGGATTACAGGCATGTGATACCACACCTGGCTAATTTTTTTTGTATTTTTAGTAGAGATGGGGTTTCACCATGCTGGCCACGCTGGTTTCGAACTCCTGACAAGTGATCCATTCACTTCAGGCTCCTGAAGTGCTGGGATTACAGGCGTAAGCCACCATGCCCATCCCTTGTACACCTCTTGATATTCAGTTTGTCAGTTGTAGATGGTTAACTTTCATAGTCCTAGCTTTACTGAGAAGATCTTTTGAATTTCAGGTAAAAAACATAAGAGTGAATTTCAGCTTCTGGTGGATCAGGCTAGAAAAGGATACAAGAAAATTGCTGGAATGTCACAAAAAACAGTAACAATAACAAAAGAAGATGAATCTACAGAAAAGCTATCTTCTGTATGCATGGGTAAGAGACTATAATTAAAAACAGACATATGTCGAATTTCATTATTTACTTTTAATATGAAAAAATTAAACCAAAGAAATTTACTTTGGAGTTCTTAGTTCTTTGAAATGAGAAAAAGTATTTTTAGACAAACTTCATGTAGCAGTTTGTAAACTAGATTTATTACTATGGGGAAAGTGGTTGGAAGAATGTCCTGAAGAAACAATCTCTTTTTGTCTATCGTCCTTTCAGTTAATGATAAATCATAAATTTCTTTGTTATTTAAGCTTCAGGATGTTTTCTAGATATAGAATTTATTGGTGGAGATCCTGTAAAGAGAGTGAATTATTTTTGTGATAGAACACTGGTGTTTACTTTGGATGAAATGTTCTGCCAAACAGTCTAAAGTTAACATACCTGGTAGGCTAATACAGAGCACGTTCCTTAACTTTGATCCATTTTAAAATTTGAAATTGATATTTTAATTCTATTGCCTGGGCTTTGGACCAGTGAACAAAAAAGAATCATAATGGGGGAAAGTGCGCAAGAAAATTGCTTATTATGTTTTTCTATATTGTGGTAAAATATACATAACACAATGTTTATCTTTTTAACCCTTCATAAATGTACAAGTCATTGGCATTAAGTACATTCACAATATTGTGTAACTATCACCACTGTCTATATCCAAAACATTTTCATCATTCCCAGCACAAACTTTGCACTCATGAAATAGCAACTCTTCCGTCCCCTCTGCCTCATAGCCCTGGTAATAACAATTCCACTTTCTGTGTCTATGAGTTTGCCCATTCCAGGTACCTCATATAAATGGAATTGTATAATATTTGTCTTTGTGTGTTGGCTTCTTTCTCTAAGCATAATGTTTTCAGAGTCCTTCAATGTTGTAGCACATTTTAAAATTTTAAAATATTTTAAAATTTTTGATTAAACAGTATTCCATAGTATGTATATGTCATATTTTGTTTATCCATTTATCTGCTATGGTTATTTCCACCTTTTGGTTCTTATAAATAATGCTGCTATGAGCATTGGTGGTCAGATATTTAAGTTTCAGCTTAGAGTGCGATTTCTGATTCATATGCTGGTTCTATGTTTAGAACCTTTTGAGGAATCGTTAAACTTTTCCATAGTGGCTGCATTATCTTACATTCCCACCAGCGAAGCATGAGGGTTCCAATTTCTTCACATCCTCATCAATGCTTGTTATTTTCTGATTTTTAAATTTTTTAAAAATTGTAGATGTGAAGTGGTATGTCATTGTGGTTTTGATTTGCATTTCCCTAGTGACTAATAAACAATTTGTGCATAAAGTGCTGCCTCAGTATGTAACTCATGGTCATTGAACAACTCGAACTTGTTCATGCAGTTGTTAAAGGATATTTCTAGAAACTAGTTTAGCACTTGAGAAAATCTGACTGAATATTTCCCATTAAGAAAAGTTTTTTTAATTAGTTGAACCTCTCTTGAATATCATTGATGGCTTGTATGTATTTATGAACATCAATATTACTCTTTCCGGGGTTCAGAGGTGATTGCTGCTTTTAGATTGCTGTGCATGAATGAGATGTCTGAGAGGGTAAGGTATGTGAGAGAGATGAAGACAGACACAGACTGACTGAAAAGATGGATTTTGTATAGCATCATACAACCAATATAATTGTTGCTCTTTAGAACATTGAAGTGCTCATGTAAGTGAACAAGTTGCATATTCTCTCAAGTGAAAACTTAGCCTGTTTTTGTTGTGTGTCTCTGGGGAGCTCTGATGTCTGAGCCTCACTCTTCGGGGCTCTATTTTGGAGTCCTGCATTCTGAGATCTAAGGGCAAGTAGGAAGGATAACTTATTTTTTATGCCCACAGATTATTGAATGCTGTTTGTTCCCAAGAGGGAATATATCTTCTAGAAGTGTATGTAAGAGTGGAAGAAGTAAGAAAAGAATACAGACAATGTGCAAAAATAAAAGATTGTTTTAAGTTGAATTCCTGTTCCCTGGTTTGCTAGCTTGCTTGCATGCACCTCACTAGTTGAGTAATATAGTCCCTGGGTGAACCGAGTTGACTGGGGGATTGGCTCCTCTTAATGTGATTCTGGTATCTGTTTACAAGAGGAGTTCCTAGAGGTTCAGGATGGTCATCCTGGCTAAATTCTTTTTCCCTTTTCCAGATATACATTAGAGGGTGCTGTTTTGTTTTGCTAATGATAGTTTATTGACAGCCAGATGACATTAGGAGCATATTTTTAGGAATTACACTCTTGTGAAGTATGCTGTTCTCTCAGTGTAACAAAAACTTAGAACTATTTCTGAAAAAAATTTAACTGTATGAACTTGGCAAGGTTTTTTGAAGAATTTGTTATGTTCTTTCCCCATAAATTCTCTCTGTATAATCAAACCTTGACAATTGTATTTTTAGTGTGCTTTGTTGAAGACCACTTGCCTCTACAAGTGCTTGATGAGTGATGTGTGAAAGCTCTGTTTCTCTGTGAGGAAACACATGAAAGGAGCTCTGTAGTATTATTAGCACATGTAGCTTGCATGTGAGGTACCTCCTCAGTTCCTGAAAGTTAAGGACAGCACAGATGAAAATCCCAGCAGCGTTCATGATGAGTGGGAGAATCCTGGGCACTAAAGAATCTTTCACAGATATTCTTCCACTCATATTTGTAGAAAATTGGCCATACCCATATGCCACATTTTTGTAAACACTGCATCCTTCCAGCTTTTTGGGGTCTTTATTTTTATCTGCAATAAGAGACCTTGAAATCTGAGAATATGACAAAGAATGCACGGAAATGTGATGTGTATTGGATCAAATGGAAATATTCCTTATGTCTGTTTAGTTGTCCTTTTCCATAGAGAATAATTAGATTCTAGTTAACCTAGAAAAATGTTTAGAAAAATGTCCAGATAGATTCACTATCATATAATAGTAGCAAATATTGTGGTTGTCTTATTAGTTGAATCTGTAGTCTTTTTTTGGTTATACTTCTTATGTTGGTTTGTCAGTGTTCTCTGATCTATGAAATATGCAAGAATTCCTTAGTGATATGTTAATAGAGGCCTCATTAGAATTACAAGATTCTTCCTGCTTCTGGTTTTAAAATAAATTTTATTTTTAAACTAATTAATCTTGGAAAAACATGGGCTGGACAGTATAATTAGATAGCACCATTGTAGTGTTAATTCTTGCTCTCTGGCTGTCACTAGAGTTCTGGAATCTATGTGACATATACTTCAACTTTACTAAGTGCACATGGCAGTATTAAGTGTTGCAGAAGTAATAGGCATACAGAAGTTGTAGATTTTAAGGTACTCTTAAATTTATTTTTTCCTAGGACAGGAAGATAATATGACCTCAGTAACAAACCACTTTTCTCAATCAAAGCTGGACTCCCCAGAGGAATTGGAACCTGACAGAGAAGAGGATTCTTCTAGCTGTATTGATATTCAAGAAGTTCTTTCTTCATCAGAATCAGATTCATGCAATAGGTAAGAAACATGCAGTAGTTGATTATTTTAAATATCTACTTCATATGCACATGTAGATAGATAGGCAGAAATAATTAGAATGTAGCTTTGAGGCATGGCATGGTGTGTCACTCTTACATTTCAGTCCCCTTTTACTGCTGGGTCTTCTTCACAGTGATAACAAGGCAGGATTTGGGAAGGTAGTGCAGGGATCACAGGGTGAGTTTGGTCTCTACTCTATAGCCTTTATGTAGATACTTTTCCTACCGTTGGAAAAGAAAGCATGATAGACAGTGAAATTTTTGTCAAGACGATGAGTAAAGGAGATAAAAACAACTATATTGGAAAACAGAAATGATCAGAAAGACATGGCGCATAGGAGGGTTAAGAAATGAAAAATTTAACTGAGTAAATAGAATAGATGGGGAAACTTTAAAAATGAGAAGTTTGGTAATGAGTCATTTTGAAAAGATATTTTAAAAAATATATAGGGTTTATTTTACACACACACACACACACACACACACACACACGCATGCACACACACATACCAGTTTTTGTTCCGGTCTTTCACTTAATGTTATGTCATAAATGTTACGTTTCTATAGGTTGGCACAAAAGTAATTGAAACCACAGTTACTTTTGCACCAACATAATAGCTTATGTTTATAATTGTTATTTTTTAATGAGTACAGTATTCTGTTATGTCTCTGCGCTATAATTTACCAGACCCTTCAGTTTCTGTTAGAGCTCTACATTTTTCCCAGTGTTCTACTTATGTACCTGATGCTATGGTAAAGCTCTTCCTTTGTTTCTATTGAATACTTTTTTTTTCATTTTTTTGAGACGGAGTCTCACTCTGTTGCCCAGCCTGGAGTGCGGTGGTGCGATTTCGGCTCACTGCAACCTCCACCTCCCAGGTTCAAGCATTTCTCCTACCTCAGCTTCCCAAGTGGCTGGGATTACAGGCCTGTGCCACCACGCCTGGCTAATTTTTTTTTTTGTACATTTAGTAGAGACAGGGTTTCACCGTGTTGGCCAGGCTGGTCTCAAACTCCTGACCTCAAGTGATCCACCCACCTCGGCCTCCCAAAGTGCTGGAATTACAGGCATGAGCCACCGTACCTGGCCACTTATCTTTATTATTCTGATATGTAGGCATTGCCCTCTGAATGAATTGTACTGATTTAAAATGCCTACCTATCAGAATCATTGCTTATTGCCAGTGTTATTTAATGACGCTGAAACTTAGTCAAGAGAGACACCCATTTGATTCTGGTAACTGATACCATAGAAATCAGGAAAAGATTCAAACTTAGAAGGGACTACCAGTCAAGACCAAATTCCTTTAGTAGCATCATACTATGTGGTATTTATTTATCTGGTCCAACTGGGCGTTCTCAGGGTGGGGTTAATGAGTATATTACATAGATTTGGCCTTGCTGTGCTGAAGACATGCCAGTCTTGTCACCAGCTTCATACTCAACCCCTCAGATTCTGTTATCAAGGACGCTTGTAATCAAATTGAAGCTTAAGTGGTAGAGGAAATTTTCATTTTGGGGATGTTCCTTGTCTTTCACTTCATTTTTCCTTGTGGGGTTCAGTGTTGTAAGCGATTTCTATTATCCCCCTACATTTTATTATTTGATTTTTATTTGTGTCAGTCATTTATACTGCTGACAGTTGAAAGAATAAAAACAGAATGAAGCATCCTTATTTTGTTTCCCTGCCCATTTAACTTCAGAGTTTGGTTTAGTGTCTAGTTGTAGCAGTGGATATTTTGCTAATTAAAAAAAAGAATTTCCTTTGCATTAGACTCTCAGAGAGGATAATCTTTTGTTTCTTAAGCTTGTAAGTTAAATGTAAGCACAAATGTTTAATTCTTTTTTGAACTTGAATTTTTGTAGACATCCATGAGAACTCCAATATTTGGAACTAACCTAATGTTCTTATTTTTTTTTTCCTTAAAAAAATACAGCAGTTTACTTTTTATAAGAATTTAAAGTGATTGACTAAAAGGAATGTATTCTTTCTCTCTCTTTTTCTTCTATCTTTAATACAATGTTTCCTAACCCTTTTCTTCAGCACACATAGCAAATGATAGTATTTCTGTGGCATGCCAGGATAAAGAGATGATGCCGCCATGGGTTTCAGCCACCCTGCGTCTCACTGTGGGCTAGGGATTAATGCCTAGTGTACAACTACCCCGTGGGTGAGGGAGAGAACACACCAAATAGGAAGCTTAGCTTTTATTATATGAATACACCGTTGAACAGTTGAATAGGTGGGACATACATGGACAAATAGGCTCATGGTGCTTCTGTGGTAGAAAGGACAGCAAGAGCATTTGAAGCGCCCCTGTTTTGGGGCAGGTAAGGCAATGATTGAGTCAGTCGAAAAAGAAATTAAGTGACTTAATCTCATGATCCTAATGAATGGTAAAGCCAGTTTTCTGAATTCAGATATAATGCTTTCTTCTGCTTTTTTTTGCTGTTCTCCAAATCTCAGAAGGCACTGAAGCCAGATTAAAAGTTAAATGAACAGGTGACATATTAAAGTTACAGGTTTATGAGTTTCCCCACTCCACTGTTTTCATGTAGCTCCAGAACCTTAGAGGATAATGGAAGACAGATTCAGTCCAATGCTGTTTTTCAGAGTAGAATCTATCATGTTTTTAAAGTTAAAAATTATCAGTGTACATATTAAATACAAGTTTTTCAGATTTAGAATTTGTTCTTCTGAAAATAAGAGTCCTGAATGTCTCCTGGACAGAAAACCCTGGTTCTGGGGGTTTTAGGATCCAGAAGACAGCATGCCCAGATGGGCTTGGGTTAGTTCACTTGATTTGCACGTGAAAGATGTGAGGGTACAGGAACTGTGTGGGTTGGGGTGGTCAGAAAAGAGGGAACAGATATGGCTATAGCAAGAGAGAATTTTTGCAGGTTGTTTTTTAGGACTAGATCTAAACATTTTAAAATCAGCATTTCAACTAGGATTCCTGGATAATGGGAAAGTCCAGTGTTCGGAACAGCATGTATAGCATGTGACCTCTTTTCTAAAAGGGGGAGGAATACTTATATTTGTTTGGTTTTGCATAAAGAAACACTAGAAGACTACACAACAAACTAATGAAAGTGATTGCATGTTGGAGATGAGAAAACAGGTTGGATGGGAACAAAGGAGGAAGTGGGCCAACTCAGTATACATCTTTTATGTCATTTGATTTTGAACCATGTAAATATATCAATCTACTTTAAACAAACAAACAAAAAAAAAAGAGAGCAAGTACTGTTTAAACCTTACTCTTTATAAAGTTTTGGAAATCATCTCATCAGTGTTAATCGTCATCATAAATTGGTTAATAAAGTTTGGTGGTGTAGACAGTAAGGAAGACAAATATATTAATGAAACTTTGTAATTTAGAGGGTATTGGAATTATTAGAAAAACTACTAAGTAAGTGTTTATGTTTCTGGTCAAATTGAGAGAAAAAACATCAAACTAGTGGAACAATATCCTAAGTTGGAAGTGAAGTATCTTACTGTAAGTCAATGATGGCTTTGTATTTTTTAAAATCTTCATAATTGCTGTTGGAAAGTTGACATTATATTTCATTTTATAACTTAAATGTGACATTCGATGAATGTAATGTTGCCACAAAATCTTTTTCTACTAAACCTCATTACTGTGTGTATTTTATTATAGCCTTTTTTGTGGGAATATTTATGAACTTTAGAATACCCTGAAAGCTAAATGGTTCATTCTGTTTCAGGTGGTGAGTTTTTTTTTTTGGAACTTTCTAGAGAAAATGTGAGAACATGAAACAGTTCTTCAGTATCTTTTCCATTTTTGAAAGAGCTTCGGCCGGACACAGTGGCTCACACCTGTAATCCCAGCACTTTGGGAGGCCAAGGCAGGTGGATCACCTGAAGTCAGGAAGACCAGCCTGGCCACATGGTGAAACCTGGCCTTTACTAAAAATATAAAAATTAGCCAGGCGCAGTAGCATGTGCCTGTAATCCCAGCTACTCGGGAGGCTGAGGCAGCAGAATTGCTTGAACGTGGGAGGCGGAGGTTGCTGTGAGCCGATATCGCGCCACTGCACTCCAGCCTGGGTGACAAAGCGAGACTCCATCTCAAAAAAAAAAAAAAAAAAAGCGCTTAAACTGGGTGTGGTGCATGAGGCAGACCATCTTTTGGATGAATGGAACATTTGTTTTAGGGGAATGTATCTTTGTCCAAGATACTGTGACATCAAGTCCTTGAAATGTGTATGACTCCTTGAGATCCATGTACCTAGCAGTCAGTCTTCCTTGTTTCATTGTGGGAGGTCAGCTCAGCCATTGGCTTTATGACTCTGGAAAGGTGCCTGGCACATGGAATTTTAAATTAATCTCCCAGAGTTTCAGTTTCCTCATTGAAAAAAATGGAATAATAGCTTTTTTTGTTTGTTTGTCCCTCTAACTTCCCTGGATGAGTCTACAAAGCAAATTAGATGATCATATATTGTGAATGCTTTGTAAATAGAACGTAAACTTATTGTTGCTTGGTTTCATCTCTTGTTAAGGATTTTGCATATATTAGTAAGTTATTTTTATTATTTTCTCTTAAGCTCTCTTCATTTTATCTTTCTTTAGTTCTAGTGGAGAGCAGTGAAACTCTTAGCCTTGTTTTTTCCAGAACTGTGTTGATGTTTGTGCGACAAAAACCTTATTGATAAGTAGGCAGGAGAGCGTATTCTTAACTCTGGTAAAATCAATAGCATTTGATTTTTCTGCTACCACTATTGAAGCAGCACAATGTGGCAAAACAAGATGAGTTTTGCATTCCCATTCCTGTTTTTCTACTTACTTTAATTTCTCTCAGCCTTTGTCAAGTGGGGAGAAAACTTAGGGTGCTTCTGTGAATTAAAGCTAATGTGAAGGCTGGATGTGGTGGCTCACACCTGTAATCCCAGCACTTTGAGAAGCCAAGCAAGGCGGGAGGATCACTTGAGCCTGGGAGTTTGAAACCAGCCTGGGCAACATAGGGAGATGCCATCTCTACAAAATATTTAAAAATTAGCCAGACATGGTGGTATGCACCTATAACTACTCAGGAGATGTGGTGGGAGGATTCCTTGAGCACAGGAGGTTGAGGCTGCAGTAGCTGTGATTGTACCACTGCACTCCAGCCTGAGTGACAGAGCAACACCCTGTCTCAAAAAAAAAAAAAAAAAAAAAATTAAAAAAGCTAATGTGTACAAAGTAATTATCACTGTGGCCTGTAGAGGTAGTTGCTCAGAACATGATAATTTTCGTCATTGTCATAATTGAATGAGTTTTTTGGAACCTGGAACTTTACTATTCTAATACGTTAGCCAACTGCTAAAATATTTGGCATATAAGCTATTGTTTGTCTTACAGATTACTAAAAATAGGGGTTTGAGGGAAGATTCATGGTAGCTGACAGAATTTATTTAAGTACCATTGTCTGGTAGGCATGTTGTCCTGCATTGATCCTCCAGTGATCTACCCTTGAAGAGTTATTGTTTTAAATTGGATATACTCAACCACGTTCAAATTAGTGCCACAATTAAGGGAAGAAATATGGGCAGGTAACTACTAGATGCTAGAAAAATTCCACTTGTAGGTAATCCTTAATCCTCAGGATTTTTATAGCAGATGTTTGCGTTTTTTCCTACCCCGCAGTACCCTGTGTACCTGCCATGCTGGTTCTGATGAATTTACACCCTGGTGTCATAGAAACAGTGGAAATCAAAGATTAAAATAGAGCACATAGTAATCAGGTTTTCTCGGGCAAATTGGAGCATGGTGCTGAGGCAATTATTCAGATAATTCAGACCCAAATCTGTTTTATGAAAATGGAACTGACATTTGTTGAACATTTACTGCGTACCAAGCTCTATGCTAAATATTTAATGTGTTATATTGAATAAGCTTTTAAAAAGCCCTAAGGAATACATGTATCATTATCCTGATTTTATATGTGAGGATATTGACACAGAGGAAAGTTAAGTAACTGGCCCAAAATTACACAGTAAGTAACAGAAATGGGACCTCAACTTAACTTTGTCTGACACCGAAATCTGAGGGTTTTTTCTCTAACTAACATTACCAGTCATACATTTGCCGTAGGTATTTGACATCTTACTTTTCAGCTTCAGTAGTAAATTCTTTACTAGTAGAATGAAATAAGATGCTACAAAAGGAATATGCGAAGATAGTGTTTTACTTTGCTGAAGAAGCTGTGCTACTTTCCGTCAGAGAATGACAAGAGTGAGATATTACAGAAAAACCAGCTTGGCCAAGGTGTGCATGTGTGTGTGCATGCACACACACAGAATTAGCTTACATTTCTGCAACTTTGACCTGAAAATAAGGCTAAAAGCTGACTAAAAGGTGTGAAAAATAAATTGCAGGTGTTCTAAATAAGCCTATTAATATCTTCCTGGACCAAGGTTGGGAATTCCATCGAATTCAAGATTCGATTTTGAATCTTTGCCAGTGAGTCTTTCTCACGTGTAATCTATATATTAATATCCACTGTAGCCTGGACCAGTAGGGACATCAGAGAGGGCCATTTGAATGCCCTTCCATAGGGGAGCTGTAACGTTCATGTACCAAACCTTACATTCATCCAGCTTCTTGAAGCGTGGTCTTCCAGAATGTTTCAAGACCAAATAGTAGACAAGCTGAAAAAGTTCCTCGTTCTAGACTTTAAAGCTGCAGTTGTGTAGGCTTGTATATGCTCTGACCCCAGAAATATCAGAATGAGTAATTAATTTTCTCCTTTGGAAGATTTTTTAAATGTCTTGAAAGAATGTTAAAGGAATTTTTGATCCTCAAGGCATATTAAAATGACTAAGACTTCAAAAATATTAATTGCTTTTATCCCCAGGGAAGCGATCTGAGTGATAATTTTAGTAACACTGACTGCTATACCTAAGTGTCTTTTTGTAAAATCCTATTTGTGAAACTATGTTTAATTTTAGGAATGTGGTTTTTGAGCAGATATGGTAATAAGCACATTACTTGAAAAAGGAATGAGCAGTTCTGTCTGGTATTTTAATTGTATTAGCATCAACTGTGTTTTTCAGTGGTGACTAGAATTGGAACAGCAGATATAGCAGATAATCCTGAAACTTCATTTTAGATAAAATTCTGAACCTCCCAAATTTTGTATCAGTCCATTTAGTGATTTGGTTATCATTCAGGTGAGTGCCTGAGGTGGGGCAGAAGGAAAGATAATGGGAATTGAAGACACCAGGGAGCTGTGCAGCCTGGCTGGGCAGTGACATTGAAGTCACAGAGGAAGAGGAGATTGCAGGCAACTTCTGAGATGTGTTTTTTGTTAACCACCTCTAACATCTGTTTTCACTGAGGTAGCATAGCAAAAACCTCTTAGATTTATGTCATTAGTGTACTGCAAATGTTTTCCTTTAACAAATCAGTGATTTGTGCTGGTGATTTGAAAGCCCCTAGGTAAATTGATCACAGACTCTACTAGGTTAGTTGACAGGCTTGGCCATCCTCCTTTCTTAGCTAGAATAGTAGAGATGCTTTGTAACCTTCCTGTTTAAAAAAAAAATTGTGTGTGTTGTGGAGCACAGGGGGGTGTTGGCAAGAAGCTTACTTTACTCTTTCTCCAACTCTGTGACCCCTGCCAGGCCCCAGAACTACGTGATCCTCCGCAGCTCCCATTTCCCTAGCTCGTGGGTTTTCAGTAGGAGCAGTATCACCCCCAAAGGGTGGAATTTTGTTTTTCGTGGGGGTGGGAAGTGGGTAAAAAGGTTACTGTGTGTATGCATAAAACACAGATATATATATATATATATATATTTTATATATATATGCTTTATACATGTGCGTGTATGTGTATCTCAACACATGAACAAACAGACATCATATTTGTGGTATTAAAATTTCATGGGATTGGGGGAAAAGTGTAAAAAGGCTGCTTAGGAAGATGATAGTTTTAAAAGCTTGAGAAACAGTACCTTAAGCACATCAGGTAAAGAAGAATGGATGACACTGGAGTAGAGAGAAGGGAATGAAAAGGTTGGGTTAAAACAGCTTCAGCTTTGTTTAAATTGGAGTAGTTCTCTCCAAGGTAAGGAGTAGCAGGAGCTGGGGTCTTGTGAATAGAAGGGTTTAGAACAACTTCTGTTGAAGTAGGGGTGGCAGGGAATCTCAGCCTCCCTGGCTAGTGGAAAATACTAAAGATGGTAAAATCTGCCTCAGTGTTTTTCAGCGCCTTTGGCCTTTGCTCCTCCTCTCCTAATGGAAACTACATTTGGCTCTCTCTTTCCTTGCCCACCCCCACTCTCCCTCCTTCCTCTTACTGGTAACCACTGGTTTGCTTTCTGTCACTATAGACTCATTTGTTTTTTTCTAGAATTTTATATAAATGGGACGATACAGTCTTCTTGTTGTCTGTCAATACTGATGTACATATCCTTTTAGTTCCAGTTCAGACATCATAAGAGATCTTTTAGAAGAAGAGGAAGCCTGGGAAGCATCACATAAGTGAGTTCTCATAATCATGAAATAAGCATGCACTTTGACCTGAGAAATTATACTTCTATGCAGCTGATTTTCAAACAAAATTATATTTTTGCTTTCTGGTTTAAAGAAGTAGTAATCCTCATGCAAGGTAAAGATTTTCAGTTTACTACTTGTTTCTATATATTTCTGCTAAGAAATGGAATCCTATGTAATAACTGTAGTTATGTATCAGATGTTATTTCTGTATGGATAAATTGTTCTTATGGGCAATTAATACAGTCATGCATCACTTAACAATGGGGATACGTCCTGAGAAATGTGATTTCATTGTTGTGGGAACATCAGAGTATACTTACCTAGATGGTATAGCCCACCACACAGCTGGGCTCTAGGGTATAGCATATTGCTGCTAGGCTACAAACCTGTACAGCATTTTACAGTTAGGCATTTGTAACACAATGGTACCTGTTAGTGTATCTAAACCTGGAAAAGGTACAGTAAAAACATGGTATTATAATCTTACGTAATTGCCATAATGCAGCTAGAGCGATCTTTTCAAAATGCAAATCTGATCACTGTTACTCATCCCTCTGCTCTAAAAATCTTGAATGGCTTCTTGTTCCTTTTAGGTTCAAGAAGGGACTCTTTAATATGCGTAAAAGGTCCTAAATGATTGGATCTCTTTCTCCAGACTCATCTCTTATTATTTACTTCATATTCTCTCTGCTTCATCATATAGATGTCTTAGGTCCTCCTGCATGAAAAGCTCTCTCCCACCACAGAGCCTTTGAACTTGTCCCTCTACCCAGAATGTTCTTTATTTTTTCATCTAGTTTACACCCCTACTCAGCAGCTCAAGTTCTTCCTGGATCCAGTCCTCCTACAGTAGGCGCTTACAGCACTGTGTCCATCTCTTTCCAGCACATTTATATGATTATTTGTTTGTCCATCACTCCCACTGGCTTATAAGTTAGGCATTTTAACCCCACTGTCAACATGAGCCTAACTCATAGTAAATACATGTGTGATCTCATTTAAATATAACATTATGATGTTCTATTATCCCTGTTTTACAGTGAGGAAACTGAGGCTCAAAGGGGTAAGTCTCCAGCCCAAGGTCATATAGCAATAAGTAATAAGTGATGGAGATGAGATTCTAACCTAATTGTCAAAAGTCAGCACCCTCAACCATTAAACTCTACTATCTTTCCAAAGGTGGAGAGGCTTGCTGTGCAGTTGACATTTTGTAGTTTCATAGCTGAATCACTGGGAGAGTGGAAAAGTATGGTGTATCCAGGGCACACATGGTTTTATTATGAGATATTTGGTGGTTCAAGCAGTAGCATTTTATGTAAGTTTGAGATTTTGGCTGCATTACTGTCTCTCACCTAAGCATTATTTAACTTTGAGTTCTGGAAGAGGAGGAGACTCCTTAGCTAACTACTTTCCTCTTGTACCTCTTCATACTGAACTAACCCTGACACCAGTGACTATGAGCCCAGAGTTCCTGAGCCCAAGCCTGCTCTTGATAATGATAACTTCTTAAAGTGATTACTACCAGAAAGCACTTAGAAAACAAATCCTATCATTTCAGTTTTTAAAGCGAGAAAGATACAAGAGCTCATCTAGCCCAACCCATTTGTTTTATAGAGAAGGAAGCTCGGCTCCAGAGAGGTAAACTGACCCTTGGTCAAGGTCCGAGGACTAGTTAGTGATACCTCCAGGATCAGAATCCAGGCCTCCTGATTTCAGCAGAATATAGAATAGTTTAAACAGCCGCAGTTCCTTCTAAGGAAGAACTTCTGCTGTGATGTAGTTTTAAAAGCAGAATCAGGAAAAGCCTCCAGAGCTTTACTTTTCAACAAAATGTTGCAGTTCTACAAATACCCATCTTAAGCTTATAGGCATTTTTTTGTAGTACCACAAGTGGCATATTTGAGATGTTAGTCTTAGAACATACCATATCAGTTCCGACACATTCTCTTAATTCCACAAATGATTTAGAGGTTTCGTTAGCAACACATGGCTCCATATAAAGCAGGGTTTTTGTAAGCAGCAGGAAACTTATTTTCTGCAGACTGGTCTTGGGGTCTTCTATCTACATTTTGTATTCTTTTATGAGATGATTAGTCAGTGTGGCCACGAGACACAGGAGAGGCTCAGGAAAACTTGTTTCATTATACTCACAGGTCCTAGAGACAGGGCATGGCACACCGTGCAGGTCCACAAGGGAAAGACGCTAGCGTGGTCAGGAGGCAGAAGACAGGAACAAGGGAAGTGCTTTAGGCTAGAACCCTGATTGGGGTTTTCTCAGGAAAGGCAAGGCAGGGTGGGGTGAACAGTGCAGGACTGGCTAGTTTGAATAATTTCAGTGGCTCCAAGCTATAGGAGTGGTCCCTAGTTACCTAGAACCTGGCCCTGGCATGATTAAGGCAGAGGGCTATTGCCTTTTAGGGTGTTGGGGCCAGATAGAGGAGTTGTGACTCTGGATTGGTTAGTTTGCATGTCACAGGCATACTCCTGGCTGGGCCCGTTGCTGTCTCTGAGAATTGACCAGCCTCTCCTTATGCCAGCAGGGGCAATCTCTCCCCAGCTAGAAAGGCTATATATTATGATGTCAAAGCATCATAATATATAGGAAACACACCCACACAATTTTTACTTAGCCTGTCTGATGGTTCCCTGAAGACTCTACTTGCAAGACTTTTACTTTACTTGACTTGGAGCTTGCTCAATTCAAAAAGCCTTTTCTCTAAGGGTGTTTGTTGAAAGTAATGAGAGGCATTTGACTAGCTTTGCAGCTGTCTGAGGTGGCGGATAACAGTTGGGGCAAATGATACGCCAACCAAAAAGCAACAACAACAAGCTACAAGATATATTTACATTGAACAGAATGAAAATAGAAAATGGTCCTGGTGTTACTTCACATTTTGGGGTCTCAGTTTCTTTACACATAAATGTGAGTAAAATATATATGCTTCAGTGAGTCTAAGCCCTTTGCTCCAGATCTGCGTCTCCTCCAGTGTCCCCTCTTCTCAGTGAATGGTAGGATCATAGTCCTCCCCACTGTTCAAGCCAGAACCTAGCAATTATTTTAAACTTCTCACTCTCCCTTACCACTCACCTGCAGTCACTTGCAAAGTCCTATAAATAAGTGGTTCACAGACTTAAAATCACCTGGAGGACTTGTTAGACTACAGATTAGTGAACTCCACCCCTAGAGATTCTGATTCAGTAGATTTAGGAAGGGGCTTAATGATTGGCATTTTAACAAGCTCCTAGGTATAGCTGGGGCAGCTTCTGTACTGTCTCAATCCCTTTGTGCCACTGCTTACTCCTGCAGGCCCTTTACTTTCCAGCTTGCAGCAACCACTGTCTAGCTGTCTCTCTGCCTTGGTCTGTTACCAGTTCATTTTGCCAGTGAAACGTAACATACAGGTATTTTCCCCCTTAGACTTTAAAGTAGCTCTCCACCATCCAAGGCTTTTCGTGTTCTGGCCCCAGCCTACCTGGCTGGCTCATGGAATTTTATTCCCTCACTTCCCTACCCCACAACTGTGGCTTTGGCCAAGCTGCCAAGCTGCACCACTCACAGTTGCCTCATGAGTTACACCGCCTTGCCTCTGGCCTTTGCACACGCCGCTGCTTCTGTCCAAATTGCCCTTTCCCCTTTATTCATCTAGATAGCAGTTGACATTCCTTTCTTCATACTCTGTTCAGAAGCCCCTGATTTTGCTCCAGCAGCACTCTCACCCTTTCTAGTGAGTAAGTACACTGGATTTTAAATCCCTAGCACCTAGCACTGTGCCTGGGCAGCCCAGCATAGGCACTCAATAAATATGTGAATGAATGAATGTGTCTGTCTGTCAGTCAGTCAGTCAGTGTTTATGGGATCTGAGTGTATTCACTAGTAGATTCTATGTTCTTACTTGGCTTCAAGAACCTGTGAATGAATAAGGATCACCACTGTAAACTAAAAACAAAATTTTAAGCCATCAGCTGACTGAAGAGACTCCCCTATTGGCCAAGGGGACCCATAGAAACCTTAAAAACAGTCCCTGGCCATGACAGCACAGGAGGTCAGACATGCCTCATTATACCTCCTCCCTTTTGCAGTGTAGACATAACAACTGGCCAACATTAATGTTAGAATAGAGATCATAGGACTGACAGAACAGATTTTTTTGTGGCAATAAAATACCAAATTATAGACAAGACCTAAGGCCTTGCCAGGCAAGGGTTAAGTAAATCACCCCACACTTAAAGAGTAATTATGTTCTAATTGCCACAAGGTTTTTCTTTTTCTCTAGCAGCTAAACAAGCACTGGCCTTGAGATAAACAATGTTAAAACAATTGTAGCACATCTATACAACTGCCAGATGCTGACTAACTGACCCACCCTTTTCCACAAGCTATAACTACAGCATTGGTTTGACAAGAGACTGATTTCAATAACTTTCTCCTGATAAGAGACCACTGACCATGGACTGGTTCTGGCTAGTTTTATAGTGGCTGAGCAGTTGGGTGCCTTTATGTCCTAGAAAGACCTTTTGACATGTAAGGCCTAACTGTAATATATTTAAATGTTAAGTCTCCACCCCAGAATGAACATGGGTTGTGTGAAACATGCATGCATGCATTAGGACATGCATTAGGATCCCCCTTTATGAATAATCATAGCTCCTCCTGTAACCTGTTGAATATGTATGTTTGGTCCACACATTCACCCTAAATCCCTTTTCCCTCTTCCCTCCCTTACAGTGCCTGTCTTTTGGGCTCTGCCAGAGTTAACACTTCTCAGCCTTGTCAGAGTGGTCACCTTTCTGGCTGTAATCATTTATAAGAAATAAAGGCTCCTTTCCAAAGTTGTAAATTTGATTTTTAAGCTAACACCACTTAAAAATCTTGCTAACTCTTTGTCTCTATCTCATAGTGCCTTTAAAAGAAAATTTTAGAAAATAACTTTCTCTAATCTTATAAAATCGGAAAAGGAAGAATCATTTTCTCTATTAATAGTCTACATTTCATCTTAAACCCATAAGAAGTTGTTTGCATGCACTTATGAGCCTGTCATGTTTGTTAAATGATACAATTACTGTAATTGAAAGTACTTGCAGCAAGAAAACAGTGAATCCCATCTTTAAAAAAATGAATAAAAGGAAACTCAGGCCTGTTTACAGTGGTCCTTGATCTGACCACTGTCTCTTTAATCAACATGAGGCAAGGAGAGCCACACACCAAGAGATTCTTTCTATGGGCCTACCAAGAAGGAAAGTAGGTCATCCTGGAAATAATGTGTATTGGAAGCAGGCTGATGATGAATGGCCAGATCTCCTAAGGCATGTTTTTGCATTCAGTAGATTCAACACTTTAACAGTAGATAGATGCCTCACTGTGGCCCTCCCCAGGAATATCCTCCCATCTGGCTAACATGCTATTGTCAAATTTTACTAAAAGAAATTCATTAGTAATACCTGCTGGAGACCAAGAATTTAAAAACCTGCTGTACCTGTGAGATCTTATGAAGTGTTATTCCAGTAAGTCAATGTGTTACATGCATGGAAAAAAATGTGGGCTGGGTTATTCTATTAGGATTCTTGCATCTTAGGGGATGAGGTGTTTTAGAGAATTGTTCTGGGAGAACCGCTGAGATCCTTGCCAGGAACTCCCCTGCTAAGGAAGTGGAAGAAGTATAGATGACTTCTTGCACTACCTCAATAGCTGTGTCTGTTGCCAGCTATCATAAAGGCAAATCAAAGAGGGGAAACATGGAAAGAAAAATTACTGAAAATTGTTAAAGGATTATTAAAAACAAGGTATGAGAATAGAGAGTGATAAAATAGAAGTTAAAAGTAAGGAGGAACATCCCACTAAAACTTAAGCCTTAAAAAGAGTCAGAAGTCAAATAAGTAAAGATGATAAAACATTAAGATAAAAAATTTGACATGGTGAAAGTTGAGAGATTTTAAGAACATAAACTAAAACATGAAAAAAAAGTAAAAATGATAAGAGTGATAGCAAAAATGGTGGAAATTCTCTGCTCCATAAAAGCAATAACAAAACTGCAAAAATTGTCAGAATCAACTTTTAGGAAAACTCTGAAAATTAACCAAAAGCAGCAGCAATTTAGGTAGGGGTCATTTATTCAAGAAAAATGTCTGAATCTCAGTGAGAACAGTGAGCTTTGTGGTGATTCGACTGGCTTTGTTCTCATCCTTCTCTCTCCAGTTCCTCTATGGCCTTGGGAGCCAACAGTCTGCAGTCATGGTGAGGACCAGCAGGCTGACAGTCCCCAGAGAAGGCAGAGCGGGGTTGGAGCCCCTTTAAAGCCACATTCCCAGAGAATTTTTACTTAGCCTGTCTAATGGTTCCCTGGAAGACTCTACTTGCAAGACTATCTTTACTTTATTTTTACTTAGCCTGTCTAATGGTTCCCTGGAAGACTCTACTTGCAAGACTATCTTTACTTTACCTGACTTGGAGCTTGCTGAATTCAAAAAGCCTTTTATCTAAGGGTGTTTGTTGAAAGCAATTAGAGGCATTTGACTAGCTTTGCAGCTGTCTGAGGTGGTAGATAACAGTTGGGGTAAATGATATGCTAACCAAAAAGCCTAATGGTAAAAGCTGAAGAATAAGATTTCCATGGGGGTTTTGAACAGCTATAAAATATTCCTGGGAATCTAGAGGGTCACTCTCATTCATAGAGCTTCCGTGCATGCTTAGGAAAGACCTAAGGAAGCGCTAAACTTTCACCTCTGGTTAACCATGAGGCTGTGTGCAAGCAGGAAGTAAAGGCTAAGGCAGAGTTGTCCACTGAGTGTTGAGTGAATGTTGATTGCATGCCCCAGCACAGACACAGAACCCACCAGCAAAGACTGGTTTTGCTGAGTTTCTGTATGATATTGGTTCCAGATGTCTAAGGAACTGTTCAATCATTAGTGGACTACAAAGCTAATCAAGCAGACACTTTTAGTTGCCATATACAACAAAGAATACATATTTATAGGATTGGTTTAGAAAAGTCACTAAACAATAATAGCAAACAGCAACAACAACAAATCCTGGAGAGATCTTGTTTGTTGGTTGTTTATTTTTGGTATTTCTCATGACTGGGGTTCTTTGACCAACTTTGATCTTGATTTGAAGTGTTTCAACGTTTTTAGAAAATCCACAGCCATATATATTTACATATTTATTATCCATAGTTCTTTCTCTCCTTTCTTCCAGGTATTACAGTTATACACATGTTATGCCATTTTTATTGTCCCACAGCTCTTGGCTGCTCTATTCTATGTGCACCCCCTCACATACTCCTTTTTCTCTTTGTATCTTAATCTGGTTTTTATTGACATACCTTCAAGTTCACTAAGTCTTTTTATCAACTTTGTGTATTGCACTTAAAGCCTATTGAAGGAATTTCCATCTCGAAATGGGTTTTTCCCTTGCTTCATTGTGTATCATACTTTTTGAATGCGGGCCATGCAGTGAAGGACCATAGGGACTGAGGTCGATAGTGTTTGTGCCTAGAAATGCACATCCTTCTACTGGGTCATTAGTGTGGGGAGTTGAGCTGGGTAATTCAGAGTTGACCTGGATTGGAGTTTCCTAGTGACTAATGTGACCTTCAGTGCATCCACTTCAAGTTACTCTAGCAGGTGGCTGCTTTGACTTCTGCTTAGTGTTGGGGCTGGATTGCCAGAGGGTTTTTCTCATTGATTTTGCTCCCATTTTCCTTTCAGCCATGCTTGCTTTCCTGCACCAAATAGGGGCATATCTTCACCATGTCTGTGTCTCTCCCTCAGCCATTTCCTGCTCCTGCTTATTGCTTGTTGCTAGGCTGATGGTGGGAAACAGCCGGGGTTCACTGTTATCTCAGTCTAGCCTGAGTCTTAGGTAGGCCCTGTGTGCCTGAGTCTCAGGGGTGGGCCTTTCTCAGCACTTCCACCTCCTCCCATGGTATCTGGCTACTTGACCAAACCTCTGCGTGGTGTCAGTGTAAGGTCATCAGCTGGAGATGATTTACTGCCCCTCCTGTAAGGTAGAGGTTTTAGTTTCTACCATTCCCCCTGCAGCAGTGAATCTTTGCCTGCGTTCCTGCAAATGAGGTCATATGCCTCCCCTTGAGGCAGACTGATTTCACCTCTGTTCCTTCCCCAGAGGCCATAGGTCTTTGCTAGAGCCCCAGGGGGAGTTTCCTGTGTTTCCCTCAGCAACTGAAAAGCTTATGCTTCATGGGAGAGAAGCATTCAGGAGAGCAGGCAGGACTTGACTTCTTCCTGTCCCCCGTAGCCACTGAAGTGGCCCCTCTCCATTCACCTGTCCTGCTCCCAGTCTTTCTTGTGAGCACCTGACGGAGGCTCGTGGAAAAGAGCTGGCAAGTGTGTGCAGACTCTCCTTGTGTCAGGGGCCTGCAATACTAGCCTGTATTTAAGAAATTAGGAAAATCTTAGCTGATTCTTCTTACCTGTTTGTATGGCAGCCACCTCGTTCTCCAACACTCTGCCAAAAGTGAGAGAAGTGTGGCCCATCTTTGGAGGGGCATATTTTTCTTTGGAATTTTACTTTCTTAGTTCCTTTAAAACCTCAGGTCTCTGAAGGATCAAACAGAGTTAAGATTTTGTTAGACTGTCTGGCTTTTTCTTGTTAGGATGGGAGCAGCTTTTTGTTTGCCGTTTTTTCCCAGCCCTCTACATGCTAAACAGAAGCATAAAACTCCTAAATTTTAATTCAGAAAAAGGGGTTCAGAGCTCATTTACTATCTGTGATCTTTGCTAACTCACTAATTCATAAAGTGGAAATACTAATAATAACAATTATGAATTCATCAACAGAATAGAGGATTATTTCGAGGTTTTAATGAAATAATATGTGTGAAAACACTTGTAAACTAGAAACTGCTGTACAATAATCATTACTTTCCAAGATGTCATTTCCTTTTTCTGTCTTCAGAAACGATCTTCAAGACACAGAAATAAGTCCAAGACAGAATCGCCGCACAAGAGCCGCTGAAAGTGCTGAGATTGAACCAAGAAACAAGCGTAATAGGAATTAATGTGGGCTTTTGCTGACTTTTCAAATGCATTGATTAGAATACCGTACTTTTGGTTGCCACAGATAGATTTTCTATTTATAAATGCCCAAGGAAAGATGCTAAATTCTAAATATTACGGTTAGCTGATATTCATTCTTTTCTGCTTTTCCAGAGGGGAAAAATGTTACAAAATATCCTTACTTGGTCAGTTGCCTCCTGCCTCTAAAACATCTCTCTCTAAAAATACTGACATTTCACACAGGTACCAGCTTTGCAGAGGAGGTAGACTCTTTGGCACTTTGGCACAGGGATTTGGTTTGGTTTGGTTTGGTTTGATAATTAAATTTCAGAATGTCCTTAGGCCATTCTCCTTCTCTTCCATGGAGAATCCAGCCTCACAAAAGGATTCTTTCAACTTCTTTATTGCAAGAAACAGTTGAGTTAAATGTTTGTTTTTGGAAAGGCGGGATGTCAGTTCACATCCTTGGTGTGTGTAAGTACCGATGCACGCCACCACCATGCCTGTGTTACAGCAGCTCCATGATGGTTGTTGCCCGAGGTTAATGTAGTTGTTTGTTAGACCTGTGTCTTACACATTTCTCAGAGTAGGATATTAGTATTATAATTTAAAGCTACGACAGTCACAAAGTCACAATAACTTAGAAACATTGCGCATATTCTTCTGAAATAGCACTTAAAAATGATTAGTGTCAGTATTTTTTCACTTGGGTCAATCAAATCTGTAACACTGAATCCAAGCTATTAAACAAAAAGTATGCAATGAATGAATTTTGTAAATGAATAGAGAGTATCAGTTTACAATAATGTTCTTAAAACAGTATCCTCTGGATAGTTGAGTATGGGTTAGAAATCATTGAAATGGATTGGTCAGAAATTGCTATCTGTGTAAAATGTCTACCAGTAGCCAGATGCTTCCAGAGTTCTTAATGCCTCTCTGGCATTTCAGAGCCAGCATCCCCCAACTCCCACCCCTCTGCCATCACCCAACCCAAACACATCAGCTTTCAAATGAGATGATAGTAAATGCGGCAATGTTAAGACAAGAAATTTATGATTTGCCAGATTCAACATTTATGACCTCCCCTTCCAAAGACTGTCTCCGTTGACCTTGTCTTTTTGGTATGCCTTGGGGTTTCTGATAATGTGTGGAGTCTCATTATGGCTGAGAGTTTAGTGTTTTCACAGTGAAGTGCAGACATTTGATTTCTTTATGAGTTCCCTGTGTTAGAAATGGCTATAGAAAAATTTGTCATAATAATTTCATTTGCATGAAATCCTGAGGGGTGCATTAAGGAAACTAAAAGCACCACTTACCAAATCTATCGGCAGAACTGATGTGAGGTAAGTGAGCATGTCAAACAAAATAGGAGCTCACATGGATATATTTATGTCACTGAGTTGTCAGAAATTATGTCAAAATGAAAACTGTTTGTTTCATGACAAATTATATAGTCTATAAATTAAACTGGAAGTAATTATTACTTTAATTGCAGCAAAAGGAGTTTGTGAGGGAGCGGTGAGACCCAAGATTGGGAAAGTAGGCACATGAGTTCATTCAGCAAATATTTGGTTATCTATGTCTGTCACTGTGCTGACACTGGGAATACAAAGGTGGCCAAAGATCATCTAGAACAATGGTTCCCAGTGGGGTGGGCAGAAAGATTTTGCCCCCCAGGAGACAGCTGGCAATGTGTGGAGACACTTTTGGAGGTGGAGGGTGGTGAGGGGTACTACCAGTATCAATGGGTGGAGGCCAGGGATGAGGCTAAACACCCAACCCTCATGGATTAGTTTGCCAGGGCTGCCGTCACAAGATACTGCAGACGGGGAAGCTTACACAACAGAAATGTGTATTCTCAGAATTCTGGAGGCTGGAAGTCCAAGATCAGTAGGGTTTCTTCTTCGGCCTCTCTCCTTGGCTTCCACTCATGGTGTCCTTGCATGGTCTTTTCTCTGTGTGCACATGACTGTGCAGGACTGGTGTCCCGATTTCTTGTAGGGACAGCAGTCATTGGATCAGGGCCCATGCGTATGGCCTCATTTTACTTCAGTTACCTCTTTTTTAGATAGAGGGCCCTATCTCTAAATACTGTCACATTCTGAGATACCGGCAGTTAAGACTTCCAACATATTTAGTGGTAGGGGTTAAGGGGCACGCTTTAGACTACAACACTCCACAGTAAAGAATTATCCAGTCTAACATGTCAGTTGTGCCAAGACTGAGAAACCTGTAATGTAAAGGAACTCCCAAGTCTACCTGAAAAGTAAGGTCTAAAGAGCATTTATTGAGCACTATCTGTTAGCACTTAGCATATGTTTAATATTCATACATTGAAAGAAATGTATGTTCATATCCATCTGACAAAGATTAAGGAACTTAGAGTAAGTAATAGATCCAAAATTGAAACTGATAAACTTCTGGTTCTAAAATTCACCTTTTAGTGAAAATACAGTTTCTCACCAAACTTACAGTAATTCAGAGTTATTAACTCTTTCTACCTCCTCACTCCCCTCAAAGTTATAACATCTCCCATCAACATCAGCTCAGAATGGCAGTGATGCTTATGGTTTGTGGGGGTGCAGGTGAGCTGCTGGATGCACTTTAGATGGCCTAGTATGCCAGGCCGTCCTTTCATCCTCTACTCTCGTCTTTCTTTTTCGACCTCATGTTGAGGATTACTGGTCTAGTTGAAAAAAGAATTCATACACATAAGACCATGTATATAATAGAGGGAGGTATGCCTTTAAAAACAAAATTACATGGTAAAGACTGATGTGTCAACAGGGATAGACAACATAGAGAAGGCTAGAACTGTTTCTGGAAAAAAACCCAAAAACAATGGATTTCAAACTTCTTAGCATCCGATAAAAGAAAGTAGCAATTATTCAAATGAGAAACACTTCTGTCTGTTATGTACATATTATGAAAGTATGAACATAAGAGGGAAAACCACAACCATTACATTTTTTACCATTTCAGTAATTTTTTTTTGGTTTTTAGTCTGTTTTTAGACATCCTTAAGAACAACTATCTGAGGCTGTAAACAAGTATTTACATTAACACCCATGATACTGACTTTATACTCCCTACCTGCATTGAGACCTTAAAGGGGGCATTTCTCCATTCCTTCTGTGTATTTCTGGGTATCCCCAGGTTCAGATATTCAGAATACAGATACAAGTCCATGCTTGCATATGTTGCTGCTCCCCCCGACAGACTTCTACCAGCATCTGCCCTCCTCACCGCTGCTCTGTCACGTGCACTGCGGCTGGCCCTGCTGGAAAGTCCTACCTTGCCTAGGACGCCATCCCCGATATAGCCCCAAGATGCAAACCTGCCAAGTGCTAGGGCAGCCCTGCCTTCCTGTCCATTTCAGTCTCTTGGCCTTGCTGTGTTCCAAGTGGAAATGGGAGTGTGCTTTCCTGGTTTGCTAGTGTACTATCACCCGGACCACAGCGTCCTGTGCAAAAATTTGCTTCCTCTCTCTTCCCCTTTCACTCTTTCTCTTTTCTCTTCCCCACCCCCTTTTTTTTCTCTTTCCCCTTACCTTTCTTTCCTTTCCACTCTTCCTGTCCTTCCTTCCTTCAACTATTAGGACTATAT
Organism: Homo sapiens; assembly: GCF_000001405.40. Taxonomy (NCBI): domain Eukaryota; kingdom Metazoa; phylum Chordata; class Mammalia; order Primates; family Hominidae; genus Homo; species Homo sapiens. Next base: position 8,877,752 of record NC_000003.12, on the reverse strand, counting down.
GTCAAGTAATGTGCAAAACAAAGACAGTTCCTGCCCTGATGGAGCTTGTAGATCAGAAGGGAAGATGAGCATTAAGTAATTATATAGATTAATGTACAACTGTGATGAGTGCAACAAAAGAGAGGTTCATGGCACTATCAAACATGCAATGGACGGATTTTGTTTTTGCCTATAAACTCTTGCCATAGAAAGCTTGAAAATCAGTCCAGGGGGACAGCATTAATCACCATGTTCTTTCCTTATCCCTGTCTTCCCCAAAATTCATGTGTTGAAACTTAACAAGAGGTGGGAACTTTAGGATGTGATTAAGTCGTGAGGGCACAGCTCTTATAGATGGGGTCACGGTCCTTCTAAAAGGGCTTGAGGGAGTGGTTTTGTTTCCTTCCATCCCTTCCGCCACATGAGGACACAGTCTTCGTTCCCTCTGGAGGACTCAGCAACAACACACCATCTTGGAAGCAGAGAGCAGTCCTCACCAGACACGGAATCTGCCAGTGCCTTGATCTTGGACTTACCAGCCTCCATACCTGTGAGAAATAAATTTCTATTGTCTATAAGTTACCCAGACTGTGGTATTTTCTTCTGGCAGCACAAATGGACACCCAGAAACTGATGCATGCATCTTCTGACTCCTTTGATTCCAAAATACAAAATATTAGAATAAAGTTATGGAAGTCAGCTTATGCTAGTAAGTGCCTGTGTGTCTGCCAACTTCCCAATAGTATCAAGAGAAGCTGGACAAGTCAGAATTTCATATCACCTATCCAGGATCACCTCCATAAACACACAAACACACACACACACACTCACACACACACACATACACATACACACACACAGTGCTTTCATTTGTCACAGAAAGATTCCACAGTGCATTAACAATACTATTTAATGATTGTATAACAATCCATCTGGATCGTGTGCCATTTTGCACAGACATTCTACGCTTGGACACTTACGTTACTTCCAGCTTTTTCCAATTACAAATAATTTAGAAGGCATCATGGTGCATATAGTTTTTTCCATATATATGATTACTTCCTTAGATTACATTCTCGGAAATGGAATTATTGGGACCTTAGCTTTTAATAAAATATATGGCCAGGTTTTCAAAACGGGACACCAAAGTATTCTAAAGGAATTTTTTTCTCTGGGTCTTAATGGGTTTTAAGAATCACATTGGAGTTCATCAGTGTCAATGTCACAGCAAATGCAAGGCTTTCATTTCTGTTAACTATCAAAGCTGAGAGTCCAAAATTGAAAGGGACTAAAACAAAACAATTCTATGGAGTTACAAGCAAACAAAGACCAACAATACTTTTCATGTTCTAATGTAATAGAAAGTTAGATAGGTTCTAATTATCCCTAGTTTCAAATTAGAGATATACAATAGGTTGCGTATCCTTAATTTGAAAATCTGAAATTGGAAATACTCTGAAATTGGAAACTTTTTGAGTGCTGATATGACACTCAAACCCTCACTGGAGCATTTTGGATTTCAGATTTTTTGGATTAGGGATGCTTAACTGGTAAGTATGATGCAAATATTCCAAAATGCAAAATCTGAAACACTTCTGGTCCCAAGCATTTTAGATAAGGGATACTCAACTTGTATTTAAGATCTCTGAGGAGAATGGCTAAGAAATACTTTTATAGTGTTTCACACCCAGTCTTTGGATAGCAGCTGGATACATTTTCTGGCAAGATTCTAGAGCTGCTCTTACTCTAGTGCTTTCCAAAGAAGCCAGCTGGCTTGGTGTCAAATGAATAGACAGCAAGGCTGACATGCTATTGTAAATGTCTTTTCTTGAATGGGGTTCAGGTAGGCAGCAAGCAGGGAGTTTTTTTTGGTCCCCATAATATAACTTTGGAATTACAAGCACACAATTGAAACCCCAGGATTCCACATGATGTTTATTTCCATTTGGGTCACATAAGAACTGCATCACAGTCTTAAAAGAATTGTATCATATCTTTTATGTAATAGCTGATTTTGAGCAGCCCTGACTCTCATGCCTAATAAGTCTTCACTGCAAAATGCACTTTCTAGGGAACATTATTGAATGAGCTATTTTAATATAACTATTTGAATTTTAAAGAGTATCTACTGAAAACATTTTGGCAACATAAATATTGAATTTCTGAAAGCATGACATCTACATAGAATCATTTGTTTTCTATTTGCAATACGTGGTATTGTGTTACTTAGGTTAAAAACCTAAAGAAGGGGGTGGGGCTAAGAGAACCTATGGTGGCACAATGTAAGGCCCAAATCTGATTGTCAAGAGACTGACCTTACCCACTTTGTCACAGTTTTGTAGAAATACAGGCTTCATGGAAGCATATTTGTCTAAATGTATTTGGGGACCATTGCTGATTTCTATCCAGAAAGGGAAAATAGTTGAACAAATGCTAAAAGTCATAACCTGGTCAGGGGCTGGTTTTTGTTTTTTTTCTAGCAAAGTAAAAGAATATCGTAGTGATGAACTGTGGGATAGTTCTGTTTTAAACCAGCTAAGCTCGTCCTTCATGCAAGATATAGTCAGAGATCCAGACTTCTGTTTGTTAAGTTGTGATGGGCAAAAGTACTTACTAAAGGGTGCTCTTTAGTAAGAATGGAATGGAACCCAGAAGAAAGGGGTGGTATACAAAAAGCAGTGGTGAGCAAATATGTTGGTAAACACACTGGCAAGTTTTAAGTAAATATAGATTTAGGGGTGGAGAGTGGAGAGTGGTTAAAACAAGGTGGAAATAAAATAGTAGATAATCATGTGGGACATGGGAGATCAGAATATCAAGGCATTCTGAAGCTCTTGGTATTAGTATTGTTTGGGAGGCATCGACCTACTTTGAACTCTTAAGAATCCATTTTAAGGTTTTAAAGGCAACTCTTAGTGAACACCTGTTTCCAGAAAATGGGTTTCAGGAAAACTTGGTAAAGCCACGGAGGCAGAAAAGATTAGAAAAACAAGGAAAAGCACAGTGAATAGAAAATATGAAATAAGATGGTCCAATAACCCCAACTATATCAATAATCACTATCCCTATAAATGATTACACTGAACTCTTAAGAGTAGCTAGTATTAATTAAGTGTGTAGTACATGCCAGGGCTAAGGGCTTAGCCAGTGTTAACTCAGTCATTGCAACAACCCTGTTTTACAGATAAGGAAACCAGGACAAAGGTTAAGACATGTTCCCACAATAATATGTGACAGTTTCTTAGGTTGGATTTTTAGGAAACAATCTAGCTTTATGCAGTTTACAAGAAACAATCATACAGAAAGCAAAAAGGTAGGAAAAGATACCAGACAAAGCTAATTAAGTGTAGCAATGGTTGTAAGAAATTCACCATGTGTATATTTTTTTCATTTTGCTCTGGATTCGTGGAAACTTGTTATGAGAAATTGGGACTTGGATTAGCTTTTAAGAAGAGATGCAGTTTGCATTTTAGCAGAAGGGAGTACAGAGAATGCCGGAGATATAAAATGACGGTCAGGGTGAGGTGAGGAACAGTCATTGCTGGAGGGCACTAAGGGCTGCCCATATAGGAATGTGGTGTGCTGCCACCTTCCCCTTCTCTTTCCTATTTTCCTCTTGGTGTGCTCCTTTCACCAAATGCCGTCCTTCAACTGAAGGAGCCAAAGCTCCTCTAATATGCCTTTCTCTCGCCCCATTTTCACCAAAATCTCCACTCCGTAACAATGTAATTACGTGGATATTCATTTAATGAATACTGTGTTAGAATGTAATAATAAAGAATCTACAAGAAGGAAGCATTCCCTGTCCAGAGAGCTGCCTCTCTGACTAATCCAGTTCTAGGAGTGGGTCACTTTCCCTCCCCCTGGCCCTTGCTTCCTCATGTTGATATAAAATAGGGCATTTGAACTAGACTCTAGACTACCAAGAGCTGGAGGGAACCTCATCTATCATCTAGCTCAATCCCCTCATTTAACAAGTTGGAAAACAGATTCAGTGGGCGCCTAAGACATAGGGTGTCTTCTGGCTATAATGTTTCAATCTAAGGCTCAGGTGGAAGTTCTGGCCAAGACTCTCCTGCGTCGGGTGGAGGGAGTAGTGGCCCTCTCCGTGTGCTCTGCCCACAAATAAGACCTGCACTTAGAGGGTGGCACAGAAGGCAGCAGGGGAAACCCACTGCTCCAGCTGAGCGGACAGGAAAGCAGCACTTGGATGTTTCTATGTGGTGTCTTTGAATACTCCTGAGACTAGAGATCCAGGGAAATCAAGGCCCAGCCGTCTGCTAGCTCTGGTGACTCTGCTCACTCCCTGGGTTGAGGGTCCAGGAACCTAGCGGCAGCCTCACGGAAGACAGGACTGTGCCCTCTCTTGCTTCTAAGGAGAGTCCATCCAGGCCTTGGGTTTCAGACAGGAAGTGTTGAGGGCAACTGACCAGCTTCAAACTCCTCAAGCCCTCTTAGGTGAAAAAGGATAATCCTTGTAAGGGGTGAGAAAGAGGGGTTTGTATCTCCAGGCCTCTCTATCCAATGGATTCTTTAACCATTCACCACCGACCCCTTCCAAACCCAGGCCACCTGATTGTCCATCACTTTTTTTTTAAGAGGCGGTATCTCACTATGTTGCCCAGGCTGCAGAGCAGTGGCGATTGACAGGTGCCATCACAGTGTACTGCAGTCTCGAACTCCTGGGCTCTAGTGATCCTCCTGCCTCAGCCTCCTAAGTAGCTAGGACTGCAGGCAGGGGCCACCATGTGCAGCTCTTTGATCACCTCTAACAGATTCTTTCCCCATCACACCTCTGCACTGGCCCCCAGTCATGCTCTTGCCCTCTTGTACCACCACTGAATCCCTGCCTCAGGTTTCCCGCTCTGACCTCCTATTCATAGCTGTCCCCACACCAACAATTCTTTGACCCCCCTAGTGACCTTCATTCCTGTAACCTTGCTACTTTTCACTGTTCATCATCCCGGGCTCCACATACATGTCCTTACATCCATATTATCCAGTTCAGATTCCATGGTCCCTCACAACCATTCCCTTGCCTCTCCCCTCCACCACTTTTGCCTGGTGCTCTTGGTTTTCCTGCCACCTGTCTAGTTACCCTTGCTCAGTCTCCTCTGCTCAAACCTCATTCTCTGTTTGACTTCTAGCCATGAATGAGAAGTGCCCCAGAGACTAGTCTCTGGCTGTCTTCTCTAGCTATGTCTTCTCCCTAGTTGGTATCATCTGGTCACGTGGCTTTAAATTCTATCTCTAGGCTAATGATTCTCAAAAGCATTCCTCTCTGTCTTTGACCTCTCACTTTCCTGTAAAGCCTGCTTCCCACTTCCTAGTCATTCATTCTCCCTAATGCTTTACTGCTCTGCAAAATAATTGTCTACATTCCTCATCTTCCCCTCCACTCTTCTATGAAAATGAGTATTTTTTTAAAAAAGTATTCCTCTCCCCTGAGTTTCAGACTGATTTACCTGACATGTCCACTTGGCTTAGAGGCACCCCAACCTAACATGTCCAAAGGAGAACTCCTGAGCTCCTTCCCTACCCCAAGCCTGCTTTTCCCAAATCTTCCTATTTCAGTCCATCACACCCTCATTCACATAGTTGCTCAGGCCAAAAACTAAGTAATGAGTTGTTGAACAAACATTTGGGGTTTAATTAGGAAGTAACTATTTTTATCTCCTCATAGCCCTTCAAAATGTATTCAGAGGGTTGTCTACCCCAGGATGGAAATTCCTGTGGTCCCATGACTTTTGTGATCACTCTTAGGTAATAATAAACAACAACAACAACAACAAAAACCTATAGTCCAAAGTTAAAATACCTGGTCTCATGTAGTGATAAAAGTCTGACCTTGATTTATAGTTACGTCTTCTCCCTACCCTAGCCGGAGCTTGCTGTAATCTGGCTTCTTGCAGTGGATGTGGCTGGCCAGTGGTCAGGGGCTTGTGCACTTCTCTCCCTACCCTACCCTACGTCATGCTTTCACCTACCCTCCAGCATCTGGCAGTTGGTTCAGGGAGTGGAGAGAGAGAGGAGAAGCAGGGGAGCAGGGAAGCTCTTTTCTGAAAGGTACTATCATAAGATGGCTCACCCACTGGGCCCAGCAGGTAGTTAAAGTTGGCTCTCATGGTTCCAGCCCCACTGAGCAAGGTCTGCCACAGAGCTTATAACTCACGCGGGAATTTTCCTCCAAGTGGCAGCTCTTTTCTTCAATCTGTGGTTTTCTCTGGTCAATTCTACACAGACTCTGAGGATCCCACTGCTTCTCCGGCCAGTCTTCCTGATGATTTACAATGACCTTACTGTTTTCCACAGAAGCTGTACTATTTACATTCCCATCAACAGTGCACAAGGGTTCCAATTTCTTCACATCCTCACCAACACTTGTTATTTTCTGGGTTTTATTTATTTATGTATTTATTTATTTATTTATTTAATAGTGGCCATTCTAATAGTGTGAGGTGATACCTCATTGTGGTTTTGATTTGCATTTCTCTAATGATTAGCAATATTAAGCATCTTTTAATATGCTTGTTGGCCATTTGTATATCTTCTTTGGAGAAATATCTCCTCAAGTCCTTTGCCCATTTTTTAATCGGGTTTTCTTTTCATGTTGTTTTAGAACTCATCTTTGATCTCTTGTCTTTACCCAATACATCCTACCATCACCAGGATTCTTCTTGGTGCACCCTTCAGAATGTATCGTCTATCTCTCCACTCCTTAGGCCCTCCACCGCTACCATGTTTATTTCAGCCACCATCATCTTTCAGTGATGCTGCTGTTCTAGCTTGCTAATTGGTTTCTCTCATAATCCACATTTATCCCGCCATAGCTGATTCTTCCCCAACAGCCATCTTTTAGAAATGTAGATCAGGCCGAGCGCGGTGGCTCACGCCTGTAGTCCCAGCACTTTGGGAGGCCGAGGCGGGTGGCTCACAAGGTCAGAAGATCGAGACCATCCTGGCTAACACGGTGAAACCCCGTCTATACTAAAAAATACAAAAAATTAGCCAGGCGTGGTGGCGGGCCCCCTTAGTCCCAGCTACTCGGGAGGCTGAGGCGGGAGAATGGCGTGAACCCGGGAGGCGGAGCTTGCAGTGAGCCAAGATCGCGCCACTGCACTCCAGCCTGGGCGACAGAGCGAGACTCCGTCTCAAAAAAGAAAAGAAAAGAAAAGAAAAGAAATGTAGATCAAATATTATTCTCCTCCTTCAAGTCCTCCAATGACCACCCAATGTATTTCAACTCAACCAAATTTCTTACTATGATGTAAATGTCCTGGATGGCCCGGGCTTCATCCACCTCGCTGGCCTGTGCCCTTCCACTCTTTTGCTGTTTTCTGGGCTACAGCCACACAGCCCTTCTTACGGTTGCTAAACATGCTAGGCTTGCTCCTGTTTCAGGGCTTCACTCTCATGCTTCCTCGGTGTGGAATCGTCTTCTCTGGGATCCTCCCACGGCTGGCTGCTTCTCATCATTTGAGAGCTGCACAAATGTCACCTTCTCATTAAAGCCTTCCTGGACCTCTCTTTCTAAAAGACCTCCTCGCTCCTCCACATCAGTATCTGTTCCAGACTCTGTTTTCTTTTCTTCATAATATGCACTGTCCAGAGTTATTTATTTGCCTGCTTGTTTGTTGCTTTTCTTTCCCTACTGGAATGTAAGCCCTGTGGCAGGAGGGACTCTGCCATGTTTGCTACTGTCTGCCAGGCCTAGAATAGTGTCTGGTACACAGTAGGCATTCAAAAACTATTTGTGAAAAGAAAAAACCAAAAGACTAATGGTTGACTGAATGTCTTCTCTCCCTGGAATGTGATGTCTGTGAGATCAGGGACCTTGCTTGGGTGGTGTTCACCTCTGCATTCCAGTGCTCTGAACAACATCTGAGCGTATTAGGTGAGCAGCAAATCAGTGTGGAATGAATCATCTCTGAGCAAAGAGATCTGATCAAGTGAGTCAGGGACCCATTGAAGCAATCTCTTCCTTTCTTCAGTTTCTGCTCTTCTCAGCTGTCCCTGAAATGCTTGGCTCAACCGGATGAAACTAACACCAACTGTTTTATTTATGTGAACTACTCACTTTTTTCTCCAATTCCTATGACTCAATGTATGCATGTGTCTTCACTGAAGTGTACAATAATCTTTATTTTAGGCTTATTGGACACAACACTAAATGCTTTGTCTGGATGAAATTTGTTACTTTTCTAGTGTGGACATGCTCTCCCAACTAACAAATTGTTACAGGGACCATCAATAAGGACCTAAACTATGGGAATAATTTTCTGTTTTCATTTAATACTTATCTTTTGTCTTATTTCTTAGGGCCTAAACTTAATTTTGCTTTGGACCTTTGCTTTGAACCTCTGTGTCAGATGCACAACATCTTTAAATCTTCATTTGAAGATGACTAAGAGACTCAGTAATTAAAAGCTATCACTCCATCTTCCTGTGTACCTTCAAGGGTTTTATTAATAGCTTTCCTTTCTGTTGAACAGATTATCCTGCATCTCTGTGTCTTATTGAAATGCTCAGCACTCACATCCCTTTTCTCGGGAGTTTTTACAACAAGAAGAGCAGAGGTTTTTGTTACGGATACAAAGCTCTGCTTTTGTGAGCATGTTGATTCATTCTCATCAGGGAACAGATGAGGGGTTGTGTGAAGGATTGGGGCAAATTGTTATCACGAAAAAAAAAAGAAGCCTGAAATATTGTTTTACCTTTCTTGACCTAAAGTTCAAGATGTCATAAAATCAACCTTAAAGCTTACCTAGTCCAATGTTATTATTATATAGATGAGGACACTTAGTTCAGGGAGGAAAAGGGGTTCTCCCAAGGCCACACAATTGAAACACAAAAGTCAGAGTCAAACTGAATTCCATCTGGATTTGTGAAGGGCTGATTACCAAAGTACAGTTAAAACTGTTAATGGCTCACCGTGGGATCTTGAGTGAGTCCTCTCACCTTTCCATTTATGTTTTTAAATCTGTAAAATGGGCCTATCTGGAGAAAAGTCCAGATGCGTATTATAGTTATCACCAGATTATTTTTATTAGGTGTTCAATTGCATTTTGGCTGTTTTACAGCAACTGCAATAATATCATCATAATACCTTTACTTTGTTTATTTACATTATAAAATATTTTATTTTTAAGCAGTATATTATCATGGTTTATTATTCATAAGGCACAAAAGAATATACAGCAAAAAGTCTTCCTGCCGCCACAACTTTCCAGCCATTGAGTTCTTGGAGGCAACCAGTTTCTACCAATTCTTAGTGAAGCTTTCTAGAGATGTCTTATGCACATGCAAGAAAATATGCAGTCCTCTTTTTTTTTTTTTTTTTACAGAAATGGTAGCATACTAGATACATTGTTCTGTACTTTGCTTTTCTCTTTTAACATTATATCTTTTTATATATTATTGTTTCCTTTTTGTTTTTAAGGCTGAATAGGATTGTTCTGTATGGTTGCACATTGTTTGAACCAGTTTCCTACTGAGATATTTTTAGATTTCCAATCTTTTTCTATTATAAATATAGCTAAAATATACATATGTATATATATGTATGCACATTGTGTGTGTGTGTGTGTGTGTGTGTGTGTGTGTCTTTCTGTGTGTGTGAATCTGTAAGACAAATTCTTAAAAGTGAACTTAGTGGGCCAAAGATTTTGATAGCGTGGCCACTTTAATGCCTTGGATTTAGATACTGCTTTCAACTTTCCCTTTTTGAATGATTATTCCATAGGCTCTGTCCTTTTGAATCAGAGGCTTAGGATCTGAGATAACAAAAACAGGTCTGAATATGTATCTGCAGAATAAAAACAAGGGACAGAGAGTTCCAAGATCCACAACTTGGAAGGCTCTTCAGAAGAGAATAGGTTTTAAGGTGCTTGGAAGCCTTTGGGCAGCTCATGCTGTCACTGAAGGCAGTCGTTGCTTCTGGAACGCCCACTTCCTGAGCCTCTAGAGGACTGGCAACTGCAGAGGATGCCCTGCAGACCCAAGCTGGACTGTAAAACCCTTGATCTGGGTTGTCTATAAATGCCAAGGGAGGGTATAATAAAATTAGTACAAAAGCAGTAAATATTTGTTGCATGAACGAGTCTATTCTTAGGTACCTTCCTCTTAGAATCTTGGAACATCAGGGCTAGAAGAGTCCGTGGAGACCCTCTAGTCTACCATTTGAGAGGGTGGGAGTGGTGCAGCTCTTACATCTAGTATTGGAACTATTGAACTTTGCCCCTACCACTCTATTTATGTGGAATTGTGTATTTGGTTGTGAGTGCCACATTTTAGGGGGGAATGTAGTTGAAAAGGATCCTGTCCAGCATGTGGGGAATAAATGAAAGACCCATATGTGTTAGGCTTGGGAGGGGAGAGGGAACTTTAGAAAGGATATATACGTGGCACTTGTCTTCATAGCCTCACAGTGAAGAAAATATTCTAAGCACTTCAAGAACTATAACTAGAGCCAGTGGATGGAAGCTATAGGGGTACGGATTCAGCTTAGTATGGAAAATCTTTCTAGTAATCAAAACCACGTGAACTCCTGGTGACGTGGCCACATCCCAGTGGTAGCAGTGTTTAGGCAGAGGCCTCATGGCCACCGTGGAGAGATGAAGTTCAGGGGAAGGCCACGCTGGGGGAGATCAGACCACCTATCATCAGATCACCACCAATTCATATTCTGTGCTTGGATTAACATCCAAATGGAGCTTTGCTTTAGTGTACACCTCCTTTATTATACTTTATCAAATATATTTCTTCGTGTTCTTATTACACATGCTCCTTGACTTATGATGGGGCTATGACCCAATAAACCCATGGTAAGTTGAAACTGCGTCTAATACACCTAACCCCTCAAATGTTTTAGCTTAGCCTAGCCTGCGTTGAATGTGCTCAGAACCCTGAGCAGTGCCATTTTGGCAGAAGGTAATCAGGTACAGGGACATTATTGTCTTCGTTTTCTGTAACTGCTCTAACAAATTACCGCAAGCTTAGCGGCTTAAAGCAACACCTATTTATTACGTAGAGCTCCATGAGTTATGAGTCCAACATGAGTCTCACTGTGCTAAAATCGAGGTGTGGGCAGGGCTGCATTCCCTCTGGAGGCTCTAGGGGAGAATCTCATTTCCTTGCTTTTTCTAGCTGCTAGGGGCTGCTCATATCCCTAAGCTGTAGCTCTTCCTTCATCTGCACAGCCAGCAACAACTGGCTGAGTCCTCATATCACCTCTCTCTGACCTCCTCTTCTGCCTCTCTCTTCCACTTTAAGGATCTTGTGATGAAAATGGGGCCACCCAGATAATCTAGGATAACCTTCCTATTCCATCTGCAGCCTTAATTCTTCTTTGCCGTGCAACCTAATGTAATCATAGGTTCTGGGAATTAGGGTGTGGCCCCCCTTTGGGGGTCATCATTCTGCCCACCTTAGTTATGCATTTGGTCTGTTATTTCCCTGCCCAGACACAGGGATATGGGAGCATCATCTGCACTTGGATTGCACCTCTTAGTGGCTCGCCCTTGGCTGTGATCATTTAGGAAACTGGACCTGCCTTTTTGACAGAATTTCTAGGGTCATGTTGGGTTTTTCTTAACCTTGGTCCTCTGTTGCTTCTAGGTTTGCCTTATGAATGTATGTGCTCCGTTTTAGCACCCACTTCTTTGAATATTTGGGTTAGCACAGAACTTCACTGGACCCTGCCCTCACCAGTCCTGAGGGCATGTGCTACCAGTAAGAGGGTGGCACAAGTGGGCTGTGCTGTGTGAGCTCCCATTAATCAACACAGAAAAAATGAAACAGAACTACACACACACACACACACACACACACATGCACACACATGCACACACGCACACACACACATGCGCACACACACACACACACGTGCACGCACACACATACACATGTACACACACATATACACACACAGGCATTTCTGTATGATCATTACACATACAGACCATAAAATCACAGCTACCAAAAAAATTGTTTATGTGTTTTGCTGGACTCTCCTTTCAACACCCCCTCCTGCCCCAGGTGTGGGTTTTGGGGTACTGTGGTGCAACCCCAGACATGGCCATTCTTCTAAATATTTCAGGCTGGGTGCGGTGGCTCATGTCTGTAATCTCAGCACTTTGGGAGGCTGAGGTGGGCAGATCACTTGAGGCCAGGAATTCAAGACCAGCCTGGCTAACATGGTGAAACCCCGTCTGTACTAAAAATGCAAAAATTAGCCAGTCGTGGTGGTGTGAGCCTGTAATCTCAGCTACTGGGGAGGCTGAGGCAGGAGAACTGCTTGAACCCGGGAGGCAGAGGTTGCAGTGAGCCAAGATTGCTCCACTGCACTCCAGCCTGGGTGACAGCCAGACTGTGTCTCGAAAAATAAAAATAAATTAAAAAAATAAACATTTCTACTCTGACAAAATAAAGTCTAAAATGTGGACATTGAAAATTAAGGCCAAAACAAAAGAAAAGAGACAAAGGAAAATCAGTAACTAGGCACTTAAACTGTGACTGAAGTTTTAGGTTTCCCTGTAGCTAAGGCAAACTGGGAGCTGGGTAGGAATACCTCGTTCTCACTGGCTAACTCTCCGCTGAGGTTTCGGTTTTAAGTTTCCAGTTTTCTGTAGACATTACGTATGTAGTATCTCATTCTAGTTAAAGCCATGGGATTTGATGGTCACAAATGAGTGGTTCTGTCCCTGGGCTCTGTCTTTCAAGCCTGTCCCCTGTCACAGAACAGCTAATATTGGAAAGTGCCCCCTGCGGGAGGAATAGGTGTGCCCACATTCTTACCTCCACCCTCCGGTCACACGCTGCAGGTCCTGACTCTGGCCTCGCTGGTGGTAGCCCCTCCTGACCCTCCTGTCAGCTGCTCACCCTCCCAAGGCAAGGGTTTCATCCCTGAGGTCCCTTTTATGCCCCTCTTTTCGGAAAGGATGAACTTGAGTTGGAGTGACATGGCAGTCATTTGGATTCAGTTTCCAGTTTCACTTCTCCAATCTCCTAATTGCTGCTTGGTTGTGGGCCGGGGCTTTTAGAATTGATTGGGCAACATGGCGTGGAATTGCCTCCGTGTATGTGCCATCCACTCTGTGGTTCAGGGAGCTCCTGTGAGTTCCTTAAGGGAACTAATTACCAGCTAGCACTTCTTATCGTTAGCGTTTTCTCCCATCTGCCAGCCAAACTCACTTCTTTTACACCTTAGATAATGTAGTGTGTTTTAAAATCCAGCCCAGATGTCCCACTTTCTAACCATTTCAAACTGATGAGGAAGCCAAGTGTCACAGCCAGGAATGGGAAAGTCAGGACTTTTTGGGCAGAGCCGCCTCCCCCTGCCCTCCTTCGTGAATACCCCCAGCCATCACCCCCAGCCCCTCTGCCACCCTCTATATCAGTCCCAGTTCTTCCAGAGGTAGATGCCAAGATGGAATTAGACTGGCCAGAGATTTATTGAGAGAACATCTGTGTCGGACAAAAAGGAGAGGGAGCAGGAAAAGGTGGGGAGAGACTTCCAACCACTTTTGCACCCCTGTGGAGAGAGAGGGGGAAGGGAGAGTCATACATAGGAGGACCCTCGGGCGGTGGTGCAGCACCGAGACAGCCTTGGCCAGACGGATGGGGAGTCTGGCAGTTACAGGGGCCCTTCCTTTCCTAGGTGCAAATTGCCTGTCCAGCAGCTTTATCTTCAGATGGGCTGGCACTGTCACTTCACACCTTATTGCTTCTCTGTTATCACCAACCAAACCCCCACAGAAGGGGAGGCCAAAACCATGTGGGAACAGATGCTACATCCTAACAGCAAGCCTGTTCTATATGTGTTTTGCTGGACTCTCCTTTCAACACCCTCTCCTGCCCCAGGGGTGGGTTTGGGGGTACTATGGTGCAACCCCAGATATGGCCATTCTTCTAAATATTTCAGGCCAGGCATGGTGCAGTCATTCCCCAGTCCTCTCCCATGGGCCTGTAGCTCTGCTCAGCCAGGGAACTGACAGTAGAATAGAAAGAGCCCTGGGTGTGGACAGAGTGAGAGCAGGGTTTGGACTCTAGCTCTGCCATTTGGTCCAGCACATTCATCCGGGGCTCCCACAGGCTGTGCCCTTTTCTAACACTAGGAATTCAAGGACAGCTCAAGCACAGCCCTGGCCCATGAGGAGCTCAGTCTGGAAGGGAGACCAGCAGCCTTGCAACAAACACAAGGAGAGCAATGTGATGAGGACACTGATGGACACACTACGTGTTCTTGCTGTGTATGCTCACTATGATGTGAGCACATCCTGGTATCTCTTGTCTATGTTAAGTATAAGTGGGGCCCCTAAATCAAGAAAAATGTTTTCAGTGCCTGGCACCAAAGCAGAGGGAGGCAGCTGCTTCAGAACAAAAGGGCACACCATCATGGGGGTCTTCCCCCCTTAGACTTGCCCTTGAAGCCTGAAGAGACCTAACATGGTCCCCGTGGACAGCCTCTTGGGAGCCTCCACTGGCCCCTGTGCACAATCAGAGGTCTCGAGAGGAGAATGACTGCTCCTCACATCTTGGCCCTGCTCTCCTGGCCTGGGGAGTCTCTGCTTTTCTTGTTCTGATCTGGGGCAGGAAGGGAAAGAACAAGGAAGGGGCCCTTCCTCTGATAGAGGAGGACCCTGGCCCATGTGGGCGTCTGAGGGAGGTGGACCACTGGACTGTGTGGGCGTCTGAGGGAGGTGGAAGGCAGCCCCCGCGTCCATTCTGTCCATGTTGGTAGCGCGGCTGTCCTAAGCCCAGAAATGAGATCTTTGCTCTACTTCCTCCGCAAGGGGTTGGTTAACTCATCTCAGGCTGGAGGGAACATGCCCACTTTGGAGGCAGGAGTCGCAGTGCCTTGCGGAAGTAGATTTGCTGAGGGAGAACTTAAGCGACTGTCACTCAGTCATTCAAGGCCTGAGCTTCCCCAGTCATAAAAGAAGGGTGAGTTGAGGGCTTCCTGGGTTCCTTTGAGGTCAGCCATCTAATGTCCTCATCTGGTCTAGCACTGCTCTAGGCTGGAGGCTGGGTAAAGGTGGTGGTCAGGGCCTCCAGAAGGGCTCTCTGAGCTGGAACCTGCTACAGGCTTCTCTGTTGCTAGCATCACTGGCTTCCTGTATGTGCCTCCCTTGTGAAATGAGAGCTGGGGTCCAGCCCAGTTTCCAGCTGCGAGGGCTCCTGGGAGTCTCTGAGTACACCATCACACATGGAAGAAGAGGAGCTCCCTCCCACTCGGCTGTCAGCCGGGAAGGGAACAGGCTCCAGGTGTTTCAGAGGCTAGACTGGAAACACGGTCTCTGAGGCTGGGCAGCTCAAAGGTGGGGAAGAGCCTCCTGAACCTTAAGAGAGATAAATAGTAGTGGGGCTGGGTCAATAAATTTAAATTAAAGTCTCGCACTGTTGCCCGGGCTGGAGTGCAATGGCGCGATCTCAGCTCACTGCAACCTCTGCCTCCCAGGTTCACACAATTCTCCTGCCTCAGCCTCCCGAGTATCTGAGATAACAGGCGCACACCACCACTCCCGGCTAATTTTTTTATTTTTAGTAGAAACAGGGTTTCACTATATTGGCCAGACTTGTCTCGAACTCCTGACCTCATGATCCACCTGCCTCGGTCTCCCAAAGTGCTGGGATTACAGGCGTGAGCCACCACGCCTGGCCCAATAATTTTTTATTGGGTGCCAGCCGTTGTGAATTTTACCTTGTCAGTAGCTGAATGTTTTGTATTCTTATAAATAATCTTGATCTTTGTTCTAGGGCATAGTTGAGTTATTCAGAAACAATTTGAATCTTTAGAGTCTTGTTTTTAAGATTTTTTGGAGTCTACAACAAGGATCAGTTTAGGGCTAATTATACCCCACCATGGAGGCATGACCTTCCCAAATACTCTACTGAGTGCCCAGTGAATGGTGAGTTTTTGCGGTCTGGCTGGTGGGAACAGGCTGTGTCCAGCTGTGGGAATGACCAGTTTCCAGCTGTGTGTAAATACTAGACACTGTTACCTCTAATCCTTTCAAATGGTTCTTTTCCCTGCCTCCAGTAGTATTCCTACACATCCTAATAAGTATTCTCCTGAAGACCCAAGAGATACCTTCTGCTGGTCTCCAGGTTTTGCTTTCTCTGGGGAAATCTCCCCTCTGGTCTCTCTCCTATCTCTCTAGCTGCCACGGTCTCTCTGAACTCTAAGCTGCATTTCCTCAACAGAGTTTGCCAAGCTCTGCCTGGGTTCCCATCCCTAAGTCGTGACCTGGAGACTGTCTCAAGACAGTGGGCTGGGCAGTTGTAGGGCTGGCTCACCTTACTGGTTTCTTTTCTCTTAGGGATCTGTCCTTCCTTTCCTGATGACCAGTTTCTTGAAAATTTCTGTTGCACAAATTTTGAATAGTTTAAAAACTTTTTTTCCAGGTGGGAGAGTTTATTAGTCAGGGTTCTCCAGAGAAATGGAACAAATAGGATAGATGGATGGATGGATGCATAGATAGATAGATAGGTAGATGATAGACAGATAGATAGAGAGATAGATAGATAGACAGACAGACAGATAGATAGTTAGATGCTGAGATTCATTATAAGGAATTGGCTTGCTTGATTATGGGGGCTGAGAAGTCCCGTAATCTACCATTTGCAAGCTGGAGACTCAGGAAAGCTGGTGTTATAAATTCCAGGCTGAGCCTGAAGATCTGAGAACCAGGGGAGCTGATGATGTAAGTCCCAGGCCAAGGGCAGGAAAAGACCAATGTCTCAGCTCTCACCACTGGGTAGAGATAGAATTCAACTCTCCTCCACCCTTTTGTTGTATTTGAGGTCTGAACAGATTGGATGATGTCCACCCATACTGGGGAGAGCAATCTGCTTTACTCAGTTTACCAAGTCAAATGTTAATCTCTTCCAGAGACACCTTAACAGATACACCTAGAAATAATATGTAACCAGGTATCTGGCCCAGTAGAGTTGACACATAAAATGAACCTGCATGAATCTATCCTTTGTCAACTTGGCACCCATAAGCACCTCCTTAAACCATACTTAATCTCCAGATAAAGACAAGAACAAGTTCATAATTCCACCTAACGTGATGCAACTCTCCTGCATTCAATAAAAAATACACTAGCCCCTTTCCTAGAAATAAGGTAAAATCCTTGATATCTTTTTCCTTGATATTACCTAACTAAAAATACTATGATGTAAAATTAACAATGCTTAAATACTATGATATTTAGTCAAAATTTCTTACGTTGCATGCTAAGGGAATAAGAGAAGAAATAAAACAAAGCTATTTATATATAATTAATTAATATAAATAATAAATATAATGCACACATATTCATAACAAAGGAAGGAGGAAGTACTCATGATAATTACAATTCTTGTGTCTGTAACTGGTCACAGGGCCGTAGCAGGTATTTATAACTACCTTCTTCCACTACTCTCTCTGAATTCTCTTTGCCTTCAGCAAGCATCCCAGTTGGTCATATGTATTTACCTGGGAGAGTGACCCAACTCTTCATTCCTGAAGAATCTAGGCTGTTCATAGCCCTGCCTGGATTGGGTTGTTGTAGTTATTCATTGACCTTAATCACAGGGCATGGTAATACTAAAACACGCCGTAAGGGATCTCCTGTATTCCAGACAGTCTTCTTTACCTCCATTGTGGAGTAGTAGTCCAATTTGTCCTTGATAGTCTGGAACAACCATCCCAACTATCACTATACCTCCCTCCTCACCTGTTCATTCATGGGCATGACGGGCCCAAAGTGGCAAGGTGGCAGTCTTAACTTCCAATTCAGTGGAATCATTGTTGTGATTCCTGGTGGAAGCATTCTCCCTCTGAAACTAAAACTTCTAGGAGAGTAGAGTATAAAGTCACAGGTACAGGAAGTAAAACCTTTGCTAGTGGATTGCTAAGGGTAATAGTGAGTGGTGCCACCCCCATTTCCACCTCTTGGTTTCTGGATCCTTGAATCCTAGCTATGGGAGAAAGAGCACCATATGCTGGATGCAGACTCAGAGCTATACAGGCTTCTGGAGAACCTTGCCCCCACCCTATAAGGTATTGCAACGTAGCTGATGCTGTAAATTAGTCTGCAAAAGGCCATCACACTGTTCTACATATGCCACCTGCTTTAGGATGGTGGGGAATATGGTAACTTCAGTAAATTCCATGAACGCAGGCCCAGTGCTGTACTTCTTTTGCTGTGAAGTGAGTTCCTTGGACAGAAGCAAATGCTATGTAGAATACCATGACAGTGGATAAGCATTCTGTAATTCCATGGGTGGTAGTTTCAGCAAAAGTGTTGTGTGCAAGGAAGGCAAACCCATAACCAGAGTAAATGTCTATTCCACCAAGAACAAAACGCTGCCCCTTCCATGATAGAAGTGGTCCAATGTAATCAACCTGCCTCTAGGTAGCTGGCTGATCACCTCCAGGGAACTGTGCCATACTGGGAATTCAGTGTTGGTTTCTGCTCCTGTCAGATTGGACACTCAGTGGTGTCCATAGCCAGATCAGCCTTGGAGAGTGGAAGTCCATGTTGCTGGGTCCATGTATAGCCTTCATCCCTTCCATGAGGGCTGTTTATTTAATGAGCCCATTGGGCAGTGACAGAGTTATCTGAAAAAAGAGGTTGACTAAGCCGGGCGCAGTGGCTCATGCCTGTAATCCTAGCACTGTGGGAGGCTGAGGCAGGCGGATCACTTGAGGTCAGGAGTTCGAGACCAGCTTGGCCAACATGGTGAGACTCTGTCACTACCAAAAAGTGCAAAAAAATTAGCTGGGTGTGGTGGCATGCACCTGTAATCCCAGCTACTTGGGAGACTGAGGCGAGAGAATTGCTTGAACCCAGGAAGTGGAGGTTGCAGTGAGCCGAGATCACACCATTGCACTCCAGCCTGGGTGACAGAGTGAGACCCTGTATCAAAAAAAAAAAAAAAAAAAAAAGTTGACTAATATCTATAGAATGAGTCACCCTATTCACTTGATTATTAAAATTTGCCTCTGCTGATATCACCCTTTGGTGAGCATTCACATGGGACACAAATCTCTTAATCTTTTGCACATTCAGAGAGGTTTATCCATATACCTCTTCCCCAGATTTCCTTGTCACCAGTTTTCCCATCATGTTCTTTCCAAGTCCCTGATCATCCAGCCAAATCATCGGCTACAGCCCATGAATCAGTATATTATCACATGTCTGGCCATCGGTCCTGCCAAGCAAAGTGCACGACCAGGTGCACTGGCTGAAGTTCTGCCCACTGGGAAGATTTCCTTCACCACAGTCCTTCAGGGATGTCCTAGAAAGGGGCTACAGTGCTACAGCATCCACTTTTGGGTCGTGCCTGCATATCCTGCAGAACCCTCTGTAAACCAGGCCTGAGTCTTCTCATCCTCTGTCAGCTGATCTGGGGAACTCCCCATGAAGCCACAGGTGCAGGCTGGGAGAGAGAAGGCAACATAGCAGGGTTAGGAACCGTGGGCATTTGGGTCACTTCTTCATGTAACTTACTTGTGCCTTCGGAACCTGCTCGGGCCTGATCACAGATACACCACTTCCATTTGATGATGGAGTCTTGCTTTGTCCACCCAACTTTATGGTGTGGTGGGTCAGATAACACCCAGCTTATGACAGGCAGCTCAAGTTGCATGATAATGTCATGGCCCATGTCAAGCGTTCAGTCTCTGCTGAGGCCCGCTAGTAGGCCAAGAGCTGTTTCTCAGAAGGGGAGTAGTTATCTGCAAATGACAGCAGGCTCTTGCCATGAAATCTTATACTCTCCACTGTGATTCACCTATAGGGGCCTGCCAAAGCCTCCAAGCAGCATCGCTACCTGCCACTGACACTTTAAGCGCCACTGGATCTGCTGGGTCATGTGGCGCAAGGGGCAGAGCAGCTTGCACAGCAGCCTGGACCTATTGCAGAACCTTATCTTATTCTGGGCTTCACTCAAAACTAGCAGCTTTGGGAGTTACTCAGTAAAGGGGAGAAACACACCCAAATGAAGAATATGTTGCCTCCAAAATCCAAAGAAGCCCATTGGGCTTATTTTGGTTGTAGAAATGGCCAGATGCAAAATCATATCCTTCACCTAGAAGGGCTATTTTGACATACCCCATACCACTGGATGCTAGAAATTTCACTGAGGTAGAGGCCTATGAATTTTAATCAGATTTGTTTTCCACCCTCTGACACACAAATGTTTTACTAATAAGTCTAGAGTAGTTGCTACTTCTTGCTCACTAGCATAATGTCATTGGTGTAATGGATCAGTGTGGTACCTTGTGGAAGGGAAAGGCAAACGAGATCCCTGCAAGCTAACTAATGGACATAGGGCTGGAGAGTTACTGTATCCCTGCTGCAAAATAACCGAAGGTACATTTCTGGCCTTGCCAGCTGAAAGCAAACTGCTTCTGGTGGGTCTTATTAACAGGGGTGGAGAGAAGGCATTTGCCAGATCAATAGCTACATACCAGGTACCAGGGGCTGTGGTAATTTGCTCAAGAAATGAAACCACACCTGATACAGCAGCTGCAATTAGAGTTATTACCTGCTTACAATAATCCACTGTCATTCTCCAAGATCTATCTGCCTTCTGCACAGGCCAAATAATAAGTGAATTGAATGCAGATGTGGTAGGAATCACCACCCCGTGTCCTTTATGTCCTTGATGGTGGCATCAGTCTCTACACTCTGTCAAGGTATGGCTCTTGGTTTACTATTTTCCTAAGTAGAGGCAGTCCTGCTGGCTTCTACTTGACTTTTCTCAACATAATAGTTCTCATTCCACAGGTCAGGGAACTAATGTGGGGATTCTGCCAGTTACCAAGTATGTCTATTCGAATTTTGCATTCCAGAAAAGGAGAAGCAACCACAGGATGAGTTCAGGGACCCACTGGACTCACTGTGAGATGGAATTGAACTAAAACTCCATGGATCAGCTGACCTCCACAAGCCTCTCCTCTAACTCCTGGACCACAGTGACATTTTGGGTCTCCTGGAATCAGTGAGAGTTCAGAGCCAGTGTCTACTAGTGCCTGAAAGTTCTGATTATTTCTTTTTTCTCAATGCATAGTTAATGCTGTAAAAGGCTATATGTAGGTCCCTTTGGGGAAGGCTAGGGGAACATTAACAGGATAAATTTCGGGTAGTACACCAGAGTGGTTCCTCAACGGGGCCCATCTTCCCCTTTATCCAAGGGGTTTCGAGGCTGTAGGCTGGCTCAAGTCTGGGAATTGATTGAGGGGCTATGACTCTCTGCTTCTACAATTCACGTTAGATTTTTGTTCACTTAACCTAGAATTTTCCACTTGTACACATCAAGTAAGAATTTGGTTGGCTTCCTATCTATTTCACTTCTAGGAACACCATGGTCAGCTAGCCAACACCATATACATGCGCGTGCACCCCCCCACACACACGCACACACACATCCCCGGCACCAGGCCAGGAATTTTTAATTCTGAAGGAACATCTCCCTCAGCTGTTTCTGCCAGTCTGAGGTGAGCAGTGGGCATGGGGCTGGGGAGGGAGGGGCCAAGGCGTGCATCTGCGTTACTGCAGACGTCCACGTTACTGCATGTGTCCACATTACTGCAGGTGCAGGTTGGAGCCCCCACCCAGACCCGCACCAGCTGCTGCCATCTCTCATGCTCAGTCCCAGGACAGTTATTCTCAGCTTTCCCGGACACCTCCCTGTTCCCACTAGATGCAACAGCACAGCTAGTTCCTGCTGCATGGTGCTCCCAGCTTCTGAGTCTTTAAAGATTTGTTTTTAGAGATGAGGTCTTGCCATGTTGCCCAGGCTAGTCTTGAACTCCTGGCTTCCAGTCACTGGGGTCAGGCCCTGCAGGAAATTGGTACTGCTCGGATGGGAGGCAGGAATTGGTACAGCTAGGATGGGGCAGGCAAGGCAAGTCCCATTCGATAGACTGTGGCCCACCGAGTGTATGCTCTGCACTTGGAATCCGGAATGATGAGGGGGCTAAGGACCATGACATAAACTGGAAATATTTAACCTAGAAAGACTGTTCTTAGAGACATTGTTATGTTTGAGTAATAAAAGCTAGTACTTACTGGGCTCTAAGTTTGTGCCAGGCATAGTGCTAAGTGTATTATGTGCTTAAAAAAATTCTCAAAGGCCCCATTTTACAGATGTGGAAATCGAAGCACAGGGAAGTGGAAAATCACGGTTACTCTACCACAGTATGAATTCCCATGGGCAGGATCCCCCAATGGATGCTGAAGTGAATGGGCAGAGCTAACTCAGAGAGCTAGGGGTGGCAGGGCTAACATCTGAGCTCAGGTTTTTCTGATTCCAATTTTTTAACTGCCACATGTGGGGAATTAGATTTTTTTTTCTTTTTTTACTACACCTCATGGTAAAATTTGGATCCATAGGTGGCAGCTACAGGGAGATGTATTTCACCTCAGTATAAACAATATCTTTCTATTTCCACCATTCAAAAATGGAGTAGGCAGGCAGCTTTAACAGGTAGTGAGTTCACCATCAATGGTGGCAAACAAACTGAGCATGTATCGGGGACACTACAGAGGGATCCAGCACTGATTAGACAATCAGGATTGCAGAGTGACCTTTTTGGGGTCATTTAGAAAATGTGTGAGTGGAAGAAGGGAGGAAGGTACCAGCCAAGGGAGACTCTAAAATCTGCGAGCAGAATGGCAAACTGTGATTGCTGAAACGTTATGGCCACAGCCAAGGACTCTAGGCACTGCCAGAGATGGGGGGCTGTAAGGAGGCAGCATGTGACAGGGTGAAGAGTGGGCAGTTTTGGGATCAAGATCCCAAGGGGCACAACGTCTTTGTAAATCCTCCACAAAAGGCCTTCCACAGAAACTTTGTACTTCAAAATTCCAGCCCTGGTAGGTCATTCCCTTGGCTTCAGACTTTTTTCTTTGTTGAGATGGAAGTTGATTGGGGCTGAGTCAACTTAGCTAAGTGGGAGCTACATTTCCCACAGTTGCCTTCCCAATATGCTTCCATTTAGGGTTGGCTATAAAGAGGAATATACATGAGATTCGGAAGGTGAAATGAAGAAACAGCAATTTTCAAGCTCTGAAGCCCAGCGTAAGATGCCAAACACTGTGACTGGTCATGGCTGTTGCGGTCCTGCTGCCTGGCCTCATTGACATGGGCAGCACCCAAGCCCATATCTCCTGCAGCTCCCTCCAGCCCTGCTACTCAGACTTCACCTAGTCCTGGGCCAGATGCGAGCGCAGCTCCGTGGTGAAGTGCTCCAGTGTCTCTTGTATCGTCCAGGTTGGATGTAGTTCAAGACAGCTGTGGCTCCAGCCAGTGGGCAGCTTGTGGGCTCAGCCACAATTGTCCTCTCGGGTTGCAGGGCACCTATTGGGTCCCTGTTTGTCTTACTCTCCTCCACCTCACACCTTGATTTCCCTCCTGATTGCCAGCCTGGCCAACCTGTAATGCCTACAGGCCCAACACCAGAAGTAAGGACCACAGTTTTGCCCAGACTTCTCTTCTTTACATTTGTTTTTAGAGATGAGGTCTTGCCATGTTGCCCAGGGTAGTTTTGAACTCCTGGCCTCAAGTGATTCTCCCACTGAAGCCTCCCCTACATAGTCTTCTTAACCGGGTCTTACAATTGCATAAGGCCTAATCCTTTTGTCAAATGCCTTATTCTGTATCACTCATAACAGTTCCGCTTCTCTGACTGAACTCTTTCCTAACTCACACGTAGCTGTCTTCCTCCACACACTGCCAATCTTATCATTCTATTCTACCCTGGCATGTTACTGACTTTTATTAGTGCCTTGCCATTACCTAGAAAATCAAGTCCACATCCCTAAGGGTGGCATTCAAAGCCCTCCATCAGCTTTACCAAAGCCTATCCTCTTAGCTGCTACACTGAACTGCTTTCCAGAAGGCCTGGGAATGAATCTGCCTCTGCCTCCTATTAGCTATGAAGCCTCGGGCTAGTCAATTTCCACTGAACGTCAGTTTTCACATCTATAAAATGGCAAAACCATCCTGCAAGACTGATGTTCTGCCCACACCACAGTTGTTTACTGCCTGTGTGTTCTTTGATGGGTTGGTTCCCATTTCTTGCCAGTTCTTGGATATTTTGAATAGCACCCCGAATTATTTTTCTGTTGCTGCATAACAAATTGCCACAAACACAGTGGTTTCACAATCCTTTATTATTTCGCAGTTTCTATAGTTCAGAGTCTGGGCACAGCAGAGCTGGATTGCCCGTTCAGGGTCTCACAAAGCAACATCAAGGCGTTGGCTGGGGCCCCATGGTGATCTAGAGGATAGGGTCCTCCTCTGAGCTCATTCGGGATGTGGGCAGAATTCAGTTCCTTTTGTCTATGGGGCAGAGTCCCTGTATTCTTGCTGGCTCTCAGCTGGAGGTTGATCTCAGCCCCTAGAGGCCATGCTCAAGTCCTAGCCATGTGGGCCTCTTCCAGCACGGCTACTCACATCTGCAAAGCCAGCAGGAGAATCTCTCTCCAGCCTGCTAGGACAGAGTCTTACATAACACAACCCAGTCAGGGAAGTGACTCCCCATCATGTTCCCAGGGCCTGACCGCTGGGGAGGACCCAATGGGAGGAGATTTTACAGAGCATGTGCATCGGGAGCTGGGAATCTTGGGGCTACCTTAGAATTCTGTCCAGCACAAACCCCGTTACCTCTCAGCACTGTGAGTTGAAAAAAAAACAAAAGGGCTTAGCATAGGGCCTGGCCTGCTGTTTGTCTTTTATATATATTCATTAAATCTCTTTCTCTGACTTATTCATGATTACTGGAGGGCAAAGGATCCCACCTTGTTGTTTTCTCTGTATCTCCAGCACCTGGCATATGGCACGCCCAGGACCCATGGTCCCCTGCGAGTGGAAGGATAGATACAAATGGAGACAGGTAAGGGGCTTCAGGAGGAGCCAAGGAGCAGGGTGGGGGCTGGAGGGCAGGCTCAGATATAAGCAGGCAGAGGGTATCTGTGGTGACGGAAGGCACGTTTTGCCTCCCTCCGCTGTCTCAGATCCCATGCTATGTCACCCTCAGCCTTGGTTGCTGCTGCTACTAACAAATGAGCTGTTCATGCCACCCCCACAAGAGTCTCTGTAGAGGATCCTGGAAGAGCTGCTCCAGAAAGGAAGGGAGGCACCGGGCACCTGCCCAATTAGCTTGGTGACCTCTCTGGTGCAGAGGCTGTCTTCTCTCATCCTGCTCTTTCCCCCAGAGGGGCCCAGTGGGACAGTCCTGAAAATGCAATGTAGAAATCCCAGCTGAGGTGCCCTCCAGAATCCAGGGCTCCAGCTGTGAATACTTCAGCAAGAAGGAGCCTTGTGCCAGGGAAGGTGGCGGAGGGCGGGGTGGAAGAATTGACAGGGCTGGTGTGAGGAATTAGGGCGCTTGGATAACCAGGTGCAAAGGGAGTTCTGCACCCATGCCTTTGCTTATGTCCTTCCCCCAGAGCCCAGTCCTTGCCCACCTCCTTCATGGTGCTTTCCTCCAACACCCCTGAATGAAAGCAGCTGGCTCTTGTTGTTCATGGGCAGTGGGTTTCAGTGAAGGTCTCTGGAGCAGAGTTCAGGACCCCCTAGGTCCTACTTTGTCTAGTAACATGCTATGCAGATGGGGCATGTCAGTTACTTCCTCTAGGAATCAAATTTTTGTACCCTTTAAATGAAGGATCTGGAGCCCAGGACCTCTAGGGTGTCTGTCAGTTTCACATTTGGAAACGCTTCAATTCCAAAGACCTATCTTATCTTATTCTGGTATCTTGCTTTTGTCCCTTCTCCTGCTGGCCTTGAGCTAGGGCTGTGCATGGCCTCGAGCTAGGGCTGTGCATGGCCTCAGTGCTTCCATGTGGGCTGAATTTCATACCACAGATGTTTGCTGAATGAACATCATGCCTGGGACTACTGGTTCTATTTTTAGGAGCGTGCTGGAATTTCTAACCAGACTGTGAGCTTCCTGAGGTTAGGGTTTGGAGTGTGCCGCACCTCAGAACCCAGAGGAGACTGAGAAAGGACCCAGGGAACACTGGGGATGAAAACTTTCTATACTCTCTCCATCTACATAACAAACAGAACTCATTCCTGTATTTTGGAAAACACAGACATCTGCACTTTGTCCCCAGAGATCCTGATTTAATTGGCCTATGGTTGGACCTGGGAGGTGATGTTATCCGGAAGCTACCCTAGATGATTGAGCTGGGGTGAGAAGCCCTGGGCTCAGTTAATACCTGAGAGCAGTTCCACCTCTGCCATTCTGTGACTCCTGCACTCCCCATACGTGCTGTTGGTACAGGGCAGAGGAGCCCTATGTGTGAAAACTACTTAGGGCTTTACATTTTTTACTGGTAATAGGAGTTGTGAATCTTCTTGATGAAGCTCATATTTTATGCTTGGTTCTTTGTAGACATTCTCTTTTAATTGAGTCTTCATAGCAACTCTGTGAGATCAATTTCATGATTGCCATTTTAGAGATGAGGACTCGGGAGCTCAGAGAGGGGACTTGATCTGCACAAGGTCACACAACGAGCTAATCAGTGGCTGAGCTGGGATTTGACCCCATATCTGTCTGACTTCAAACTCCATGCTCTTTTCAAACTGGAAAGCTCAAGATAAGTAGCCATTTAGGTAGTTTTTTGGAAATATGCAATTTGGAGCTACTTTAGTACCTAACCAGGGAAAGGGAAGTCTCCCTCTTTTCTGTTTTGGTTATACATTATCCCTAAAGCATCTGGTTCTGCTGCCTTTGACAAAGATGCTCTCTTCTTGAACCAAACTTTAGTCCGGCTCCTCTGAACCTGCTTCTCAACTAGGCCTGGACATTTGTGCTTTTGCGTTTGTCTCTATATTGCCTTGAATGGTTAAAAAAAAGCGCGGCTGGGCGTGGTGGCTCATGCCTGTAATCCCAGCACTTTGGGAGGCTGAGGTGGGCAGATCACGAGGTCAGGAGTTTGAGACCAGCTTGAGCCACATGGTGAAACCCCATCTCTACTAAAAATAACAAATTAGCCAGGTGTGGTGGCATGTGCCTGTAATATCAGATACTCAGGAGGCTGAGGCAGGAGAATCGCTTGAACCCAGGAGGCAGAGGTTGCAGTGAGCCGAGGCCACAGCACTCCAGCCTGGGCGACAGAGCAAGACTCTGTCTCAAAAAGAAAGAAAGAGAAAGAAAGAAAGAGAAGGAAGGAAGAAAGGAAGGAAGGAAGGGAGGGAGGGAGGGAGGGAAAGTGTGGCATATATGCACAATGGAATATACTATTCAGGCTTAAGAGAGAAGGAAATCAATCCTGTTGTTTTCAACAGCATGGATGAACCTGGAAGACACTATGCTAAGTGAAATAAGCCAGTCACAGAAACACAAATACTGCAAGACCCTGTTTATATGTGGAACCTAGAAAAGTTGAACTCATAAAAGCAGAGAGTAGAATATTGGTCACCAGAGGATGGAAGAGTGGGTGGTTGAGGAATGGGGAGATATTGATCAAGGGGTGTGCAGTTTCAGTGAGATAAGAGAAATGAGTTTTGCTGATCTATTACACAGAGTAGTGACTATAGTTAATAATAATGTATTGTGTATTTCAAAATTGCTACAAGAAGGCCAAGGCAGGAGGATTGCTTGAGGCCAGGAGTTTGAGACCAGCCTGGGCAACATAGCAAGACCCCCAGCTCTACCAAAAAAAAAAAAAAAAGTTAGCCAGGTATGGTGGCTCATGCCTGTAGTCCTAGCTACTCAGGGTGCTGAGGTGAGAGGATCACTTGAGCCCAGGAGTCTGAAGTTAGAGTGAGCTATGATCATGCCACTGCACTCCAGCATGGGTGACATAGTGAGACTGTCTCAAAAAAAAAAAAAAAAAGCTAAATGAGTAGATTTTAAGTAATTTCATAACCCAAAAAATGTTAAGTATGTGAGGTGATGGATATGTTAATTAGCTTGATGGAATCATTCTGCAATGTAAACATATATCAAAACATCAAGCTTGACCCACATAGGAAGACCCCATCTCTCCAAAGGAAAAAAAAAAATGCTGGTTGTGGTGGCACACGCCTGTGGTCCCAGCTACATGAGTGACTGAGGTGGGAGGATCACTGGGGCCCAAGAGATCGAGGCAGCAGTGAGCTGAGATTGTGCTGCTGCACTGCAGCTGGGTGACAGAGCGAGATCCTGTCTCAAAAAAAATAAATAAATAAAGATAAAAACACCACACTGTACCCTATAAATATATACAATTATTGTTTGTCAATTAAAAACAAAATTTCAGAAATCTTACTAAGTCAGTTTAGTGAGAATTCCTCATACTTGGTATCTGATCAAATTCTTTATCCTTCACCCTCAGAATCTGATCATCCTGGCCTACCTTCAGTGAGATGTTGAGTAGGTTTAGCCAGAATCCACTCCTACCCCTGATGTTTCCTTTCACTGACCGTCCCGCCACGACCACTCCTGGGCTGTAAATCCTCACTTGTCCTTGCTGTATTTGGAATGGAGTCCAGTTCTAAGGTTCAAGAGTTCTAAGAGTCCTGAGGGCTCATTTCTCCTATTGAAATAGTTCCTGAGTAAAATCTGCTTTTATGGCTCTAATTACTGTCTGGCTCTGGTTTTCTTTAACACTTATATTTGTAGAATGTTGACAAGCTAGAACGTTTTTGAATGAGTGAGGTCAGCCAGGAGACTGAGAGGATCCTGCTGTCACGTGGAGAACCATGGAGGTGTTACAGGCTTTAGTGCAGAAGCAGAGACAGGGAGGCAAGAGAGCTGTCTTCACATGCATCTGGCTGTGCAAGAAGAGAGAGGAGTTCTAAAGCAAAGGATCTGGGCATCCTGAATACTGTTAGGACAGCTCTTACTAAGTAGGAGTGAACAGGAACTGGTTTATACTTAGTTTTAAAGATGAAGTCAGTGCTAAGGAATGGGCCCCTTTCCTGCATGCTCTATATGTTTCTGGGACATTTGCTGTCGGATGACTCTGGCCCTCTTCCAGTGGGAGGACTGGGGGAAACGCTGCAGGGGATGCTCACTGTGGCCCACGTGACCCATGGTGCTGCTCAGTAACATGTCAAGGATGCAGATTCTTTCTGCGCATGCTTGAAACTAGAAGGCAAATGGAGTGCACAGCCTCCCACCTAGCTAGGCACACATTTCATGTTTCCTTAAACTGTTTGTTGGGTGTGCTAGATGGGTACTTGGATCTCACTTGGTGTAAAAAACTCTGGTGGTTTCAAGTAAACAAATACAGAGCACCTATCGGGTGCTAGCTAGAGAGCCAGATGCTGGGAACTGGAACAGGAACTGGGCATATTGGCTGTCCCATAGAAGCTCACAGTCTTGTTTTGGGAAGATGAAAAACACACAATTGACTAAAAGAGGAGACTGACAATGGCAAGTGTGACAGTGATATGGGACACAGGACAGGATGGGGTCCTGACTGAGGAAGGAGTTCCCAGTGAGCTTCACAGACGTGGTGATGTTCCCCAAGTAAGACCCACCTAACGAGAATTTCTTCTGCCTGCATAGACTGGAAAACAGGCTCATTAAAAAGAGACTGTCATTCAGTTGGGGTAAGTGCTAAAGATCTAGAAGTGGTAGAGGTAAGGGATGTGGTTTTTGTTGTAGGGGAAGGGAGTAATGTCAAGGTATGGGGTACCTAGGTGTAGCAATGCTTTCATTAATACCATATATTCCCCTCTGCCTTTCTGATAGAACTCTGCTTCCATTTGGTTAATCTACCCTTCACACGGTCATGCCCTTCATGACAGCATGGCAATTTCATTCCCTTTGGCAGTAACTGGTTTAGGCATGACCATTCAGTAGAACTATGGTCATGGAGATGTGAGAAGTGTTCTAGTGGGCTTCTGGGAAAGGCTTCCTTATTGTCAAAAGGAGACAAACTCAAGGATGGAAAGTCTGTTCTTTTTCTGGACATCATTGTGTCTGGATGTGATGCTGCCAAGGGGGCAACCATCTTACCACCTTGAAGGGAGTGAGTCCAAGGGCAGAGCCTCAGACTAAAGATGGCAGAGCACAAAGATGGAGAGAATTCACGTCCTTGAAGATGGCATTGAGCAGCTGAATTTGCCCATCTGGCTCTGGAATTCATATGTTAAATAATATATGTCTTTAATGTTATTTTGAGATGGGGTTGTCTATTACATGCAGCTGAGAGCATCATACCCTAAACAAAGGAAACCGAGAGAGGACATTCAGAGGAGTATCACACACCCGGGACTTTTACTGAGTGTGAACGTCCCTCCTCAAAATGGATCCCTGCTAGTGGGACAGTCGGCCATCTTCTTCTGCCCTCAAATGTTTTCTAGCCTATGTCCAGATCGGGGCAATCAACTGGGAACCTCTCTATTTTAGACAAATTCCTTTTTTTCTAAGACCAGCTGGAATTGCACAGGAGAATTATTAACTACCACTTAATGTATTAAAATCTGCCGCTACTCAGCCCGAGGTCTTGCTACACAGAGCTGGCCAAGTGAGGAGCTGCTCTGTTAGCAACCAACACCTACAGGCAAAGTGTCTGCCTTTGAGACTTTAGGTTTCATGTTGACTTTTGAAAGCCCTCTGTCTCTTCCAGTGAACAGCACACAAGCCTGTCATTGTAGCTTAGTTTTAGTTGGAAGATAACCATCTATCTTTTCTGGAAGATAACCACCTATATTTTCCAGTTCCCTCTGGGACCTCCAAGAGTGAATTCTGGGTAAATCAAGGAGCCTATATTTAATGTTGGGCCAGCTAACATACCCTTCACATTTACTTTAAATTCATCAAGCACTTAAAAAAAATACACTGTGGTTAAAAGACAAACTTACTTTTATTTAGAGGTATCTGGATGCTCAGAATTTCACCTTGAGAAATCATTTCCTCCCACGCAGGACCTGGCTCTCAGAGGAGCCTTGAATATTTGTGTACTCTGTTTGCATGTCAATATCTCGACCACGCTTAAATGCAGCCAATGGAGATCTTGTTTATTTTTAATTACTCACATTATTACAATCATTAATTATTTAACATTACAGAATTTTGGGAAATTGAAAAATAAAGTCAGTCTTAATCACTTCATCTGATGCATCAATGAATTAATTTCATCCTGATCTTCCACTGTTATCCACATACAAGTATATTTGTATGCTGCAATTCTAGCACGCATACATTTTTGTCTCTTAATTTTTTTATCTTATTAAATTAAAAGACTATCCATGTTGCCACAATGTTTTTATAATAATTTTAATACTTGCATAATAGGATCAGCAAATAGATGGAATGGAATAATCTAACTTTGTAAAAACACTGGTAGTAGTTTAGGGAACTGTTGTTTCTCTCCTCCCCCTTCTCTTTTGTTTTGTTGCCCATCTCTCCACTGGGAGCAAGAATTCAGGAATGAGTGAGCCCATCCCCAGCTCCAGGGGCAAGTCCTGACTGGTCTGAGCCCATCATGGTGGTTCCATTCCCCTTGCTGGAGATTGGTTTAGGCATCTGCATGTGTTGCTAGTCTGCCAAGGGACATGAGGGGGACTTCTGGGAAAAGCTTTTATCCTTGTAAAAAGAAACATGTTGGAAGAGATGTTCCCTCCTTCCACTGGACACCATTGCGTCGGCATGCAGTGCCTGTAAATGTGGCAGGCAAATGTTACCCAACCGAATCAACTTTCTCTCCTGTTGATAAACATTAAAGCCTATTGTAGGCTGTAGCTATAAAGCCTATTATTAGAAAAACCTCACTTTCTTGGCATTTGGGGTGCTGAGACCTGGAACTTCTTCCTGGACAGTAGGATTTCTCACCTTAGCAAAAGTGAGACACCAAACTCTGAGACACTTCCCCAGGGTTTTACCATAAATGTCCCATTTGTCATTGATATGAAAGGATGGGGAACAAAGCAGGTCAGCCAAGTTGCTATTTTTTTCTGTTGTCCCAAGTGAGTCAGGGCACAAACAGTCTGATCATTGGGAATGAGCTGACAAGTGTGACTCAGAGCCAGAGACATGGAAAGACACAGGATGCTGGGTCCCTAAGATGCCCTAGGAAAGCGCTTCATCCTGAAGGGCCAAAAGCCATAGGAGATAATCCTCCTTAGTCTTCTGAGATGAGGAACACTTACTCCAGACCTAGGCTGCAGACTTGCCCTCCTGTTTTTCTTTAGTGGACCCAACTTTTGGATAGGCTCCATTCAGACTCAGTTCACAGCCCTTAGGCTCTTGTAAGACTATAAGATTTAGGCTAAGAGGACCTGGATTAAGATTCTAATTCTATTATTGGAGCCATCTCAGGATAATTGTAATTTTGGGCTACCTTTTCTGATTTTCAATTTGTATAACTATAAAATGACGTTGGTGGAAATACCTCTATCATAGAATTGTTGAGAATGTTAAGTGACAGAATATGTATGAAATTGAGTGTAGCAACAGCAATTTTTGGGCCACTTACTATGTGTTAGCCTCTGTGAATAAAAAGATAAATCAGAATTCTTTCTTGTTCTTAACAAGCTTACAGTCCAATGGAGAAAGCAGTTTATAAAGTATTGGCTATTATCACTACTACCCAGGATCCACATATTTGAAGGTCAAGTAAGGATTTTCTTGGCATATGATTGTCTTAGTCAGTTTGTGCTGCTGTAACAAAATACCATAGAAAACACAAAATTTCTATGCGCAATAGACATTTATTCCTCTCAGTTGTGGAAGCCCTAGGTCAAGGTGCTGTCAGGTTTGTTATCTGGTGAAGGAAGCTCTCTGCTTCCAACACGACGTCTTTTTGTTGCATCCTCTGGAGAGGACGAAGACTGTGTTCTCACATGGTGAAAGGTAGAAGGGATAAAAGGGGATGAGGGCTGTGTGAAGCCTCTTATAAGGGCCTTAATCCCGTTCACAAGGGAAGAGTCCTCATGACCTAATCATCTCCTAATGGCCCCACCTCTTAATACTGTTGCATTGGAGATTAAGTTTTAACATGAATTTTGGAGGGGATACAAACATTCAAAGCATAAGTTACCTATTGCTGTCCTGTCAGGACAAACAAGAATTCATAACTGCAAGAATGCAGATTGCAAGACCTCCGTGGGCTAGGACCTTATCTGCAGGGTTGCGTGGGCATTTCTTTCATGACTTTCTTTTTTAATGGCTAAGCTTTGGGCAGTTTTACTTCTGAGCTGAGGAGTGATGACATCCTATTTCTTATTCCCAAAGCTTCATATCTGGATTGACAAGAGCAGGAACTGATGAGGTTGCAGGAGTCTGGGGTGGATGGAGAGAGGTCTCAGGTCCGTCCCTTCATGGGCTGCATAGATTCTGAAGGGATATGTGGCACCAAAGGGAAGCATCCTTCTGGATGACACCCTAGGTGTCAGCTCCTCTTCTTCCCAGCAGCTGGAGACAAGCCCTCCCCCTTGATAAAGGAAGTATCAAGATTTATTTGTTTAGCAAAATGATCTAGTTAGGTTGTTTCAAAGTATTTTTTTGAAAAAAGCAAAGTCCATTTTTTCAATGGAAAGACCTGGACATGGAATATGTAAAATGGATAACCATGGAGTGCTCTTGGTTGATGCTAGTTTTGGGGGCAGGGTATCCTGCCCATTTAACCCACCCTCTCCACGAAGACCCTTCTCTCCATGGAGATCCTTCAGGCATCTTGGTGGAAGCCACAGGGCTCTGAAGAACACAGCTTGACTAACTTCAGCAAGATGGTGTAGGTACGGTCCCTGTGTATATCACACCTAGTATGAATTGAGAACTGTTGAGGTTTCCTAGCCCTAAGGAATCTCCCTTGCCAGCCACCTATCAGGTGCCTGAAATTCTATCTCTTGGGGGCTTTAGAGTTTTTTGCTCTTCACAAAAATGCCCTCATAGAGATGTAAGCATTTCTGGAAAAACTACAACAAGCCCATGACCAATTTCTACTCACATTCACTCATCCATTCATTATATTCAATGAATATTTACTGAGCATCTACTAAGTGCCAGGTATTATTCTACATATTGGAGATATGGTTCTGAGCAAAACAGACAAAAGACCTACCCTCTTGAAGTCTGCATTCCAGTAGAAGGACAGTCACTGACGGCTGGGCCCTAGGGGACTGGAGTACAATGCTGGAGGTAGACTGTGCCCAGAATATGTTGCAGACATGCTGTGCTCACCTCCGTGCTGCTGGCCCTACTCAGCTGGAGCTAAACAGCGTTCTGAGTTGAACCAGCTTGGCAGGACATTTTGGACAAACACTGGGGTCAGTTCGTTTGTACACTGTCTTGAAGTCCTTTGGGTTTGGTTGTAATGACTCAGGGGCCACCTGGGGCACAGAAGAGAAGAGGTGGGAGGGGTAAGGAGAGGCCACCGGGGACCTCACTTGGATCTAGCTAAGGGCTTCTCACACTTCGCTGCACGTTACAGCATCTTGGGAGTTCTCAGAAATCCAGATGCTCAGCTGACCCCAGGAGTTTTTGGCGCTACTGAGGCCCAGGACCCACTACCACAGAACCTGATGTAATAGGTCCTGTGGTGGTGGGCCCTGGGCCTCAGTAGGGCCAAAAACTCCTCGGGTGAGTACAGTGCACAGCCAAGATTAAGAACCCCTGAACTAACTTGTATAATAGGTCTATGTAAAATTCTTCTCTCGCTGAATATTCTCCTGGGCTATAAACACATTTGGACAGTGATTAGTCCATTCTCATGCTGCTATAAAGAACTGCCCAAGTGTGAGTAATTTATAAAGAAAAGAGCTTTAATTGATTCACAGTTCTGCATGACTGGGGAGGCCTCAGGGAACTTACAATCATGGCAGAAGGTACCTCTTCACAGGGTGGCAGGAGAGAGAATGAGAGCCAAACGAAGGGGGAGGCCCCTTATAAAACCATCAGATCTCATGAGAACTCACTCACTATCACGAGAACAGCATGGGGGAAACCACCCCCATGGTTCAATTATCTCCCCCTGGTCCCACACTCGACACGCGGGGATTATTACAATTCAAGGTGAGATTTGGGTGGGGACACAGAGCTAAACCATATCAGACAGTGTTCTCTATCTTTGGGCTGTATTGGACTCATCTGGGGGAATTTGGTGAAAACAGGCAGGCCAAGCCTCTCTCTCCTACATCAATGAGCCGAGGCCTCTGAGTTCTTTATCTGCTCTCCAGGGGATTCAGGTACACATGAAAGTTGGAGAACCACTGGGTAAGAGAATGTCTGACAGCAGGGAGTATAAGGATCACTGGCCAGAGGCAGCTCACTAATCTGTGACCTTTTGGGCCTAGAGCCAGGAAGGAAAACAGGTATTCATATATAGGTTTCACTGTTGTGAAACTCTACATCCTACATTACTGCATTGGAACATAACGCCTTGTAAGGTATTATTGTCCCCATTTTACAGATGAGAAAACTGAGGCACAAAGATAGAAAGCAACTTGCCTAAGGCCACATGGGATTCAAACTCTGATGTGTCTGACTTCAGATCCTGGGGAGACTGAGTTCTGATTTCTCTTCTGTGACCTGGAATCTGTTACAAGGAGCACTAGAGAATTCTGTTATCTCTTAGCTCAGGTGATGCTCTCATTGTTCTTTAGAAGTGCCGCCAGAAGTTCATGCTCGGAGACTATTTTGTGTTCACAGGAAACTGCTCTTTCATTCATGCCCCTTTTGTTCTCCCGAGTCAGGGATCTCAGCTCCCTCTTTTCTCCTGGAACCCTCTAATTAGCCTAACTGTAAATCGAATAAGCAGATTTTTCAGTGACATAATGCAGTTTGGAACTATATACCTCTTATGGGCTGCATCTATTTTCCCTTTCCAGTACCTCTGCAACTACAAAAATCTTATGTTGACAATAGAGATCATGTCATGTTTCCTTTGGTTTGAGATTCTGTGTGACCTGAGTACTTTAGGCAATTATCTATGAACATCTAAACTAAGAAAAGAGCAAAAAGGGCAAAAGAGTGCAAGATTGTTCCCATTCCCATTAAAGAAGACATTCTCTTCTGTGTTTAACATGGGCAAAATAAAAGTCTGTTTATTAGACTTCAAACACGTATTTTCACAACACATTTATTGTGTGCAGCAAAGTTCAACTCTATTTTGTGCCTGTACATATAAGTATCAAAGGAAGCGCCTTCATTCCTAGTTGCTGACAAATATGAAGTTGCTTTCAAGAAAACACATGCAAAAGCAATTACGATTATGAATGGCTTTGGCAGCCACCATCTTACATTATTAATTTTGTAATACAGTCCACCTCCTCTTCATTCATGTTTGATAGGAAGCCTGTGTGGTCAATAAGGAAGCCCAGTGCAGGATTTATGAAGTTGTTTGTAAGGTTTCAAGACCCTGGTGGTGCTCGTTCTGCATTCAGGGTTGTGCTTTTCCTGCCCTCCATGACCTTGCTTGCCTTTGAGATAGCAACTGCTCTTTTGGAATTCATCAACAGGTATGATCAGTAACCAGCAGGATGTTATCTAAAGGAAACAAAATAAGCTTTGAGCATCATTTGGAATTGGCCACATTTCCTCTGCAGTGGCAAGGTGCTGGGAGTACAGAGTATTTGTGGGAAAGGGTCTCTGCAATAACCTCTGATGAGAAGGAAACACATTAGCCGCAATATCCAGCATTTATATCAAGCTCAAGCTCAAGCTTGATACCATTCGCAAGGTGTTTCCAAACCTGTAGTCCATTTGAATGCATGATAATCCTTAAGGTGGACAGAATAGCTATGATTAGATACCTTTTCCCAATGGAGAAAAGAACCTCAGGTTAAATGACATTTAGTCTTTTCTAGCCTCGTCTACACAATAATCCCCTCACTCCCTTGCCCCCTGCTTACTCCCACAAGCAGCCCTTCTCCTGCCCTGTTCCACAGGTCCCTACCCCATATTGTATTTTTAAAGGCCCTTGCATTTTGCCTGCTGCTGGCTGGCACCTACCAATGCATAACTTTGCAGTTCCTAGCTATGCTGAGGTGCCCAGGGTGCTGTTGTGAACTCACAGGAGTCCGGCGAGGTATTTTAAATTTTTGAGGGAAGCAAAGCAATGCCTGACGTCTATCCAACCCCACGTGACAGGGGTAAACAGATCACTCTACATTCCTTCAGATTATGTCATATCTTTGCAAAGCTAGGTTTTCAGTGATTACAAGGATGAAAAAAAGTACTACTGAAAATCAGCGTGGGACAGGAGTTGAGGGTGGCAGTGTCCAATCTGATTGCAGGGCTTGAGAATTCTGCAGTGCCCAACAGAGACACATGTTTTGTTAGGAAGTAATTGTG
This sequence comes from Homo sapiens, assembly GCF_000001405.40. Classification (NCBI taxonomy): domain Eukaryota; kingdom Metazoa; phylum Chordata; class Mammalia; order Primates; family Hominidae; genus Homo; species Homo sapiens. The sequence continues at coordinate 8,840,536 of NC_000003.12, read as the reverse complement.
TCTCTTTAGGAGTGAAATAAAATAATATTTTTCTTTTAACTTATGTATATTATTTTCTGTTAATAAGGACACATTTATTAAGTTGCTTATACATAACTACTTGATAAATGGAATTGTTAGGTATTTCTTTTGGCCTAAGGGTATCCTGAGATACCAAGGGCACCATGAACCTAGCTTCTGGTGTAATGAAAATCCCTAAAGGTGTTGCTTTTCTTGCTTTTTTTTTTTTTTTTCTTCAGAGGACTTTACATTTGAAAGCCTTTTAAACTCCAAGACTGAACAACTGCCAGAGGGATTTTGCTGCTGTGACCAGACACTTTCAGCTGGAGAGACACTTTCAGGTGGGGGTTTTCCTAGCTCTTCTGAGCCACAGTTGGTTGTCCATGACTGGATTTGTCCCTGAATGTACACAGGTTGGCCTGAAACAATAGGACCATGAGTCACCCAAGAGTGGATAGTGAGTGAATCGGGTGTCCGTTATCTCCAGGCATCCAGGGGACAAAATGAAAAGCCATGTAGTCCATCTGTCTCCGACAGAGAAGACAAAGCACCAACCTCTGTTCAGTCCTTTTACTCAAAAATATTTCTTCAGTGTCCCTCTACACACCTTGCCTCCAAGAAAAAATATGGGCAGCCTGGAATAGTGGGTGGGACCTGGAATCTGTGTCAAATGTTGGCTGAGCTCCTCAATGACGCAAACTTAGCTCCTTCCCGTTTCCTGGTGCTGCCCGACTCCAGAGATGCTCTGGCGTCCCTCCTTACTGGTTGCCATGCTGAGATGATGGGGATCACGGGTGCTGACCAATGTTAAAGATAGGTATGAGGTAAAAAGCATTCAGGGAAGTCTTAAGTGTCTGCCATTTCCACATTTCCACCTAAGGAAGCAACCCCAGGGCGATTCCTTGGCATTGGTTGCCAGGCTGTGAGTGTTGGCTGATCCTGGTGCCCTAGCCACCACTGGGGGACTCGTGATTACCCAGTTACTCCCTGCAAATGCTGGGTGGGACTAGAACCAACCACTTGCAGTGACATTGAGATTTAGAATCAGATATTCCTGGTTCAAATCCTGCCTCTACCTTGTACTAGCTGTGTGACTTTGGGAAAGTCATTTAACCTATCTAATATTTGTTTTCCTCACTTGGAAAATGGAAATAATAATAAGCCACCTGTGACAATTCATTGGAAGTACTTGGTGTGGTGTCTAAACTAAGCCTTCTTTATATGGTAGCAATTGATCATCATCATCATCACCATCTTAATGGAAACAACCAACATGTGAAGTAGGATGAAGAGAGGTTCATCCTAATCCCCATTCTGCAGATGTGGAAACTGAGGCTCAGAGAGGTTAAATCTGACTTGCTTTGGGTTACATACACAAGTACAGCTGGAACTTCAAACCTGGGTGTTCATTAACCTGGCACCTCCTTGATTGCATCCTGTTGACCCCCACTTCATGGGCCTCTCCTTCCCATCTCCTGGCCCACTCCGACTGTGGAGGTCATAGGTAACCCTTACTAAGTTTATGTGTATGTCCTGCTGCTCTCGCTTCCTGGATCCTGCACAGCAGACAGCCAAGTGTAGGCTGGGACAGCTCCAAGCAGGAAAGGGGATGTTGGCTGGATGCAGTGGCTCACGCCTATAATCCCAGCACTCTGAGATGCCAAGGCAGAGGATTGCCTAAGCCCAGGAGTTCAAGACCAGCCTGGGGCAACATAGTGAGACCCTGTCTCTACAAAAAATAGAAAATTAGCCACATGCCTCTAGTCCCAGCTACTTGGAAGGCTGAGGTGGGAGGATCGCTTGAGGTCAGGAGGTCAAGGCTACAGTGAGCCATGACCACATCACTGCACTCCAGTCTAGGCGACAAAGCAAGAACCTGTCTGAAAAAGAAAAACAAATGGGAATGCCTTCTTGGCTTGGGTGTGTCTCCTGAGCCCATACATACTTGCCTACCTGTTTTTGTGACCCTTGGCCCTCCTGGAAAAATTGGTTTTGTTTTCAGCGACTCGGCAGCCAGCATCCTGAGGAGTGAGACACATTTGTCCCTGTGTAACCCCATTGCCACTGTCATCACCATGCATAGCATCAGCCAGTAGTAATGAGCAGCTATTTTGAGGCTGGGGGACAGCTGTTTCCCCTAAGCTTTCAGAGGGCTGGGATTCTGCGTGCAGAGACTTCCCTCCCCATCTGTCTGTCACCTGACAGAATAGGCTGTGACTTGGTAATACCTTCTCGCCACCCCAAAATTGTCCTACTTTCACCCCTCACTCCACCAGGAGGGAGATGGAACATGCCTGGGACCAGTCAGAGGCCAGTTTTGGGTCATCTTCTGCATCCATCTTTGCTGTGTAACAGACCACTCCCAAACTCAGTGGCTTGAAACATCAATGATTTATTTCTCACCATTCTGCAGGTTGGTTGGATGGTGTTTCTGGTCCTCACTGGTTTGGCTGGGACTGGATGGTCTGGAGTCCCTCACTCACATGTCTGAGTCCTCAGCTGGGACAGTGTATTCATCATGCCTTTTTATTTTCTGTATTTTTGATTATTTGACATCTTGGGGTCTTCCTGACCCTGGAGAGACTGGTCCGTCTAGGGTGAGCCAATTCCTACAGATGGTAAATGACTCTCCCTTCCATATGCAAACTGAACAAGACAGAGCCCATAGCCCCAGCCACTCTGTTACAGAGCTCTGATACCCTGTGCCATTATTTTCCTACCCCAATCACCTTACAGCCAAGTACCAGACAACTAGAGACAGCCCTTATACCTCAGAGCCAAATGAAATTATCCAAACTAGCCCATCTTAAACCTGCTTACCCTTCCTCACCTGTTCCTTCCCAGGAAACCAAAATAGAGGTTCTTGCCCCATTTTCCTCTCACTCCCTCTGCCCCTGGATGGACCCTGGTGCTTCCCCATTTGGTCCCCTGCAATGTGGGATGCTCCATCTTTTAGGATCTGTGGGTAACAAGCCATTTTTTTCCAATGGCAGTCATCTCCTGATCTGATACCCTCATCATCCCTGAGTAATAATACAGCCAACATTTAAAACAGACAGCAGCTGGGATGGCTGCATCTTTCTCTCCACGTGGCCTCTCATGCTCCAGGGAGCTAACCTGGGCTTCTCCCTATGTGATCTCCACGTTCCCAGCTCAAGAGAGGGCAAACCTCAATGTGTCAGCACTTTCAAAACTTCTGCCTGAGTCACACTTGCTAATGTCCTATGGGGCAGAGTATATCACATGGCTGAGCCCAGATTCAAAGAATGGAAAGCTATAGACTCCTCATCTTAATGAGAGGAACGGCAAAGTCCCATCAAAGGGATGTGCATATAGATGGGAAGAATTTGTTGTCATTTCATAAAGTCTACCATATGCTGTGCTCACTGTGCCTTTGGGCAAGTGGCTTCCTATTCCTTAACCTCATTTTCAGCAGCTTCATAATGGAAAGATAATCCCTGATCCTCACAGGGCTGCTGAGAGGGTCAAAACACCAAAACACCACAGTCCAGAGAGTGCCATGGTAATGTAAAGGTTTGCTGTTATCTGACATTCATACCATAGATGTCACATTTTGAGTTAAGAAAGATCCAGGCGTTTGGATCTTAAAAAATGATTTTTTCCAGCCTGGGCAACATGGCAAAACCTTGTCTCTACAAAAAATACAAAAATGAGCAGGGCATAGTGGCACGTGCCAGCTACTCAGGAGGCTGAGGCAAGTGGATTGATTGAGCCGGGGAGGTCAAGGCTGCAGTGAGCTGTGATCGTGCCATGGTACTCCAGCCTGGGAGACAGAAAGAGACCCTGTTTAAAAAAAAAAGAAAAGAAAAAGAAAAATATTTTTGTTATCAAAATCATATAGCTTAGTTTCTTAAAATTTAGGTTGGAGAGATCCTCACAAGTGCTTGACAAGATGTCACCCATCTTTATAAGAATGTGTTCTAGATAAGAACACATATACTTATGGTATTAGTTGAGGTTCTTGATCCTATCAGTGTCCCACTTCTAGATCCTGGGAAAGAAAATCTGGATGGCCAAGTTTGAAGCAAGTGGATAAACCTGGTCAAACCATGCCAATCAAAGGGGCATGCCATGGGTACCAAATATTGTTTTAAGTCTGTATTGACTCTACTCCTTTAAGCCAGCTGGACACGCTCATAATCATGCAACCAACAGACCATAAAAGCAAGTGGTCAATACCCACTCACTGTCTTCTTGCCCCAGACCTTTCTTGCTGCGTTCTGACTTGCTCTGACTTCCCTCCAGGTCCTGTCTAATTCCTGACCCCTGGCTCTCTTGCATTTGTTACCTTGCCCTTGTACCCTCCCACTTGGTGTTTTTCCTCTGGAATTTCCAGAAGGCTTTTTGCTTACAGACACCTTCTAGCTCTTTTGGATTTGCTTGAGATTCGGAAAGGCTGCTTGGGACTTCACCTGCAGCCTTTGTCCTCCCACTCCACTACGAGATGCAGGGAGTTAGACTACCTATGTGTCTGTTTCTCTGATTAGACTAAAATCCCCTTGAGAGCAGGAACCATCTCTCTAAATAACCAGATATTACTTGTCACTTTGTTCCTTCATACAGAACTAAGGGAATCAAGTGAAACATAGAACCAAGATATTCTAGATTTGTGCTGGAATTGCTAATAGATGTGTGTTGTTTTGTGGCTCCCAGCTTTCCAAACTCCCGTTTTTCAGGAATCCTTTGTTGGCGACAGGCACAGTCCTGTCTCCCTCTTCAGAGGGCTAAGGGGGCCAGACATTCCCTTTTCTCAGCCCCTGGCCTCTTGGCCATATGGGACCTATGCTTGGCCAACCAGATGCTCCCAACTTGAACTTTGAATCTTAAGGGAGTCTCACAGGGACAAGGGCCACGTGAGAAATTCAGTGGTTATATGTGATTCATGCAGGAGCAGCGGGTAAGCAGAAGGCTCAGCACAGGTCTCTAGCAGCAGCTGTGCCAGCATAAGTGATCTAACCCAGCTATTTCAGTGGCCCCACCTGGGGAGTGTTTTGCCACCTGGCCTCCTAGTTTCCTGACTACTTTTTGAGCGTGGTTCTCCATTATTCTGATAGATTCAGAGACCAGTGCAATATCCTATTAATAAATGCCATCTTTCGGTGCAGCAAGTCAGAGTAAATTTCTGTTTTTTGTCTTTGTTTTTGTTTTTTGCAACCGAGAACCTGATTGATGCAGGCCACAAATAATAATAAACGCTTGCTTCCACTCACCATGGACATATCACATGCCACATGGAGCACTGAGTACTTCGTATTGATGATATTTAATCCTCACCACAGTCCTGGGTGGGAATTATTACTCTTCTCAGTTTGCAAATTAGACTCAGAGAGGCTTTTATGAATAATGTTGCTGTGAGTATTCTTGCATATGTCTCCCTGGCATTCATGTGAATGCATTTCTGTTGGGCGTATATTTAGGAATGGAACTCCCGAGTCATAAAGTACTGATATGTTTATCTTCATTAGCTAATGTTCAACTGTTTTCTAAAGTTTTTATTCCCACCAGCACTTGCGTGAGATTCTGGTTTCAGTAGATGAATGGATCTTGGCCAATTCGATATTTTCTTTTTACTATTAGTCCCCATGGCAGGCATTTAGTGGTATTTCGTTATAGCTTAATTTGTATTTCCATCATGCCCAATGAGGTTGAACATCTTTAAAAATTTATTTACGCTGGGCACAGTGGCTCACGCCTGTAATCCCAGCACTTTGGGAGGCTGAGACGGGTGGATCACCTGAGATCAAGAGTTCGAGACCAGCCTGGCCAACATGACGAAACCCCGTCTCTACTAAAAATACAAAAATTATCTCGGCATGGTGGCCTGCACCTGGAATCCCAGTTACTCGGGAAGCTGAGGCAGGAACCCAGGAGGCAGATGTTGTAGTGAGCCGAGATCACACCATTGCACTCCAGCCTGGGTAACAGAGCGAGACTCTGTCTCAAAAAAAAAAAAAAAATTATTAAAAAAAATATTTAACACATAGTACAGAGAATTCCCATATACCCTCTCCCTCACACAACACAGTTTTTCCTATAACTAACATCTTGCATTGGTGTGGTACATTTGTTATAACTAATGAACCAATACTGATACATTACTATTAACTAAAGTTCACTATGTATATTAAGGTTCACTCTTCGTGAACCTTAATTTGTATAATTCTATGGGTTTTACCAATGCATAATGTCATGTATTCACCATTATAACATCATGCGGAGTAGTTTTACCATTCTAAAAATCTGTGCATAACCTATCCATACCTTTTCACATCCCCCAAATCTTTGGGAACCAGTGATCTTTTTTTCAGTCTATAGTTTTGCCTTCTTGGGAATGTCATATAGTTGGACTCATACAGTAAGTAGACTTTTCAGATTGGCTTCTTTCACTTAGTAATATGCACTTAAGTTTCCTCCATGTTTTTTTTTGTGTGACTCGATAGTTAATTTGTTTTTATCACTTTTTTATCATTTTTTAATAGTCTATCATTTGGGTTAATATTCCACAGTTTGTTTTTCCATTCACATATTGAAGAACATCTTGTTTGCTTCCACTTTTTGGCAATTATGGGTAAAGCTGCTATAAACATTCATGTGCAGGTTTTTGTGTGGATGTAAGTTCTCATCTCATTTGGGTAAATACCAGGAAGGGTCATTGTGGGGTCGTATGGTAAGAACATGAACACTTTTTTGAGAAACTGCCAAACTGTCTTCCAAAGTGGCTGTACTATTTTTTCATTCCTATCAGCAATGAATGAGACTTCCTGGTACTGTCAGTTTGGGGATTTTAGCCATTATAACATGTGGTAGTGTATCTGATTGCTTTCATTTGAAGTTCTCCAAGAGCATAAAAATTTGAGCATCTTTTTATATGCTTATTTGCCATCTGTATATCTTCACTGATGAATTGTTTGTTTAGATCTTTCTCTACTTTAAAATTGGGTTGTTTTCTTATTGTTGAGTTCAAGAGTTCTTTCTATATTTTGAATAGAAGTCTTTTATCTGATATATCTTTTGCAATTCTTTTATTTCCCCAGTCTGTGGCTTGTCTTTTCATTCACTTAACAGCAGCTTTTATAAAGCAGAAGTTTTTAATTTTAATGAATTCCTACTTACAGATTTTTCTCCATAGATCTTACTTTTGATGTTGTATCTAAAACCCCATCATCAAGCTTAGATTTTCTCCTATGTTATCTTTTAGAAATTTTATAGTTTTGCATTTTATGTTTAGGTTTATGATTCATTTTGGGTTAAGTTTTGTGCAGGGCATAGGTCTGCATTTAGATTTACTTTTTTTTTATATTTGCATAGGGATGTCCAGCTGTTCCAGCACTGTTTATTGAAACGTTATCCTTTCTTCATTAGAATTGCCTTTGCTCCTTTGTCAAAGATCAGTTGACTCTGTTTGTGTGGGTCTATTCCTTGGCTCTCTATTCTGTCGCATTGATCTATTTTTCTATTTTTTTTTTCCACCAAATACTACACTTTTTCTTTTCTTTTCTTTTTTTTTTTCTTGAGACAAGGTCTGTCTCTGTCACCCAGGCTGAATGCAGTGGCATAATCTCAGCTCACTGCAATCTCTACCTCCCAGACGTAAACCATCCTCCCACCTCAGCCTCCCAAGTAGCTGGGACTACAGGCATGCACCACCACACCTGGCTAATTTTTGTAGAGACGGAGTTTCACCATATTGCCCAGGCTGTTCTCAAACTCAAGCAATCTGCCAGCCTCTGCCTCCCAAAGTTCTGGGATTATAGGCGTGAGTCACTGCACCCAGCCCGCGCTGTCTTGATTACTGTATCTCTATACTAAATCTTGAAGCCAGGCCATGTCAGTCCTCTCCTTCTCCTTCAACGTTGTGTTGGCTATTTTGGGTCTTGAGCTTTTCCATATAAACTTTAGAATCCAGTTTGTCAGTGCCCACAATATACCTTGCCAGGATTTTGATTGGGAATGCATTGAATCTATAGATTAATTTGGAAGAATTGGCATTGCTGAGCACTTTTTGATTTATTTGCCATTTGGGTGTTCTTTTTTTGGGGTGCTGTGACATACCTATTCCAACCTCTTGACCATTTTAATTTTTCTTATTGATTTGTATACATTCTTTGTATATTCTGCAAAAGAGTCGTTTGTTCTTATATATGTTACAAATATCTTCTTTCATTCTGTGGTTTGCCTTTTCAGTCTTCTGAATAATGTCTTTTGAAAAATAGAAGTTCTTAATTTAAGCTTTGTTCAATTCATCTTCCCGATTATATTTCATGACCTGGTCAAGATCCCAAGATTACAAATAAATTCTCCCTGTTATCTTCTAGAGTCGAGGTCTGCAAACTTTCACTGAAAAGGGTAAGATAGTAAATATTTTAGGCTTTGTGGGTCATATGATCTCTCTCACAACTTCTCAACTCTGCCATTGTAGTGTAAAAGTAGCCATAAACAACAAGTGAATGAATGGGTATGCGTGTATTCCAATAAAACTTTATTTATCAAAACATCCGGTGGGCCATAGTTTGCTGAACCCTGTTTTAGATTGCTGCTCTCCAATATAACTTTCTGTGATGATGGAAAGGTTCTGTGTGTGTGGTAGCTAAGAGCCACATGTGGCTATTGTGTACTTGAAATGTCACTAGTGCAACTGAGAAACTGCGCAACTTTTAACTGAGAAAATTTTAATTGTATTTAGTTTTGATTAATCTAAAAACTTAAATAGCTACATATGACTAGTGGCTACTATATAGGATAGTGCAGTTCTAGAAGCTTATTGCTTTATCTTTTCTTTAGAGCTATCATCCACTTGGAATTGATTTTCATGGATGGTGGGAAGTAGGGAATAGGTGGCTATCCAGTTTACCCAAAACCATTTAATTTAAACACTGTCTTTTCCCCATAGCTCATCGGTGCCACCTTTGTCCCATATTAAGTATCTTACATGACTCATTATCTATGTGTATTTATCTATCCTTGCACCAATATCATAGTGTCTTAAATACTGAAGCTCAATCATGAGGAAGACTGGATGTCTGGTAGATTTAATCCTCCATTTTTTTTTCTTCTTCAAGAATATCTTAGCATTTTAAAATTGTTTTCATTTACATATAAATTTTATAATTAGCTTGTCAGTTTCCACACACACACACACACACACACACACACACACACACACACACACACATGCACCCCTGCTTGAATTTTTATTGGAATTACATTGAACTTATAGATCAAATTGAAGAAATTAAATGCCATAGAAAAATGCCATAGATATTGGATATATCTATAGCAGTTAATTTTCTAATCCATGTACTTGATATAACAAATCTCCTTTAATTAATTAATTAATTAGTTAATTGCTTTTTGAGACAGGGTCTTGCTCTGTTGTGGTGCAGAGTCATGATCACGGCTCGCTTGCAGCCTTGACCTGGGCCCAAGCGATCCTCCCACCTCAGCCTCCAGAGTAGTTGGGACTACAGGCATGTGCCACCATGCTCTGTCAATTTTTATTTTTATTTTTTTTTTGTAGAGATAATGTCTCACTATGTTGCCCAGGCTGGTCTCAAACTCCTGGGCTCAAAGATTCTCCTGCCTTTGCCTCCTAAACTGCTGGGATTATGGGTGTAAGCCACTGCATCTGGTCAGTCTTCTTTAATTTCTGTCAATAACATTTTATAGTTTTTAGTGCAGACATCTTCTGTATCTTTCTGTAGATTTATTCTTAGGTATTAAATACTTTTTGATGCTATTGTAAGTGATAGCTTTAAAAATATTTTCTAATTGTTTGTGGCTGCTATATAAATACACACTTGATTTTGACTGTTGACCCATGTCCAAACCTTGCTCAATTGACTATTAATGGTAATCGTAATAGTTTATGCATAAAAATATATAATTTTTATATGTTTTTTCTTTTCTTTCTTTTTTTTTTGGAAACAGGGTCTCATTATGTTGTCTAGGCTGGAGTGCAGTTGTCTAGGCTGGAACCTCTGCCTCCCAGGTTCCAGCGATTCTTGTGCCTCAGCCTCCTGAGTAGCTGGGACTACAGGCATGTGCCACCATGCCTGGCTAATTTTTTTTTTTTTTTGTATTTTTAGTAGAGATGGGGTCTCGCCGTGTTGCCCAGGCTGGTCTCAATCTCCTGAGCTCAGGCAATCCACCTGCCTTGGCCTCCCAAAGTGCTAGGATTATAGTCATGAGCTACTGCACCTGGCCCATTGATATTTCTTTTATCCTGTTTTTTTCCTTCTCTGTATTTCCTTTTGTTGCATTGGCAAGAACCCCCAGCGAATGTTGAACAGAAGTGGTGATAGATAGCAGAGCCAACACTCTTATTTCACGTTCAGTCTCAGAGGGGAAACTTTCATCATGTTTGTTCCAGGTTACCCTCTATCAGTACATTTTAACTTATTGCTTTTCTAGCATTAACCAAACTTGCATTGCTGTAGCACCCAACTTGATTGTGTAGCATTTTTCCTGATTCTTACTATTCTCACTGGATTAATTTTGCTAATACTTTGACTGTGATTTTGCATCTATATTAATAAACAAGATTGGCCTGTAATTTTCCTTTCTCATATCTTTGTTGATTTTGGACTCAAAGTGATGCAGGTCCCATAAAACTAGCTAGGAAGAATTTCTTCTTTTCCTGTTTTCTGGTAGAGTTCTTGTAATATCTGGCATTATTTCTTTCTTTAGTATTTGGCATAATTTACTCATAATTTTAGGATTCTTCAGAATTTCTACTTCATCTTGAGTCAGCTTTTATAAGTTATATTTTTCTGTACTGTGTCCATTTTATCTAAGTTTTGAAATTTATTGTGATAAAGTTATTAATACTATCTTTATGATTCTCAAGTGTCTGATGAATCTGTAGTGATGATCACTTTCATGTTCTCTAAATTATCTACTTATGTATTCTCTCTTTTCCTTAATTAGTTTCTCTGGGTTTTTCTTCAAAGAACCAACTTTGGCCTGTTGATTTTCTATATTGTGCATTTGTTTTCTAATTTATTAAGTTCTTCTCTTATCTTATTTTCTTCCTTCTACTTTGCATTTAATTTTTTACGTATTTATTGAAGTGTAGTATACCATAAAGATAAAAAGGCACAAATAGTAAGTATACAATTAATGCATTTTCAGAAAATGAACATATCTACTTAAGAAATAGAACTTAACAATACAAGCCCCTCATTATTCTCTGCAGCCATTGACCCCTTTCTGTCTGGAAGATAACCACTATCCTGCCTTCTAATACTATAGATTAGTTTTACCTATTTTTGAAACTTATACAAACGCAATCATGTAGGTATTCATTTGTGTCTTGCTTCTTTCCCTGAACATTATTTTTATGAGATTAGCCCATTATGTTGTACATAGCTAATATTTATTTTAATTCTGCAAAGAATGCCATTGTGTAAATATAACATAATTGGTTTGTGTCTTCTATTATTGATGGACATTTAGGTTGATTCCAGTTTGAGGATATTATGCATAATGCTGCTATGAACATTGTTGTACACACTTTTTGAGTGCACAAATGTACACAGTACTATTGGGTACATAGCTAGGAGTAGAATTGCTGGATCCTAGGGTATACGTGTGTTCACTGCCAAATGGTTTTCCAGAATGGGTGTAAAAACCTTTCCTTAGTAGCAGTATATGAGTGTTCATTTCTCCATGTCCTTGGCCAATACTTGGTATTGTCAATCTTTAATTTTAACCATTCTGGTGGGAGAATAATGGTACCTCATTATAGTTTTAGTTAGCTTTATTTTAATGACTAATGAGATAGAGCATCTTTTCATATGTTTATCGGACATTTGGATATCTTCTTTTGTGAAGTTCAAGTCCATTGCCTATTTTTCCCCCGATGGGTTGTCTGTTTCTCGTGATTTGTATAGGTTCTTTATACACTTTAGATAAGAGTCTTCTAATTTTTATATGAGTTGGAAATATCTTCTGCTCTTGCCCTTTTCTTCCCTTTTTGGTGATTTTTGAACAGAAAATTTTAATTTTAATATAGTTTACTCGATGAATCTTTTTCTTCATTGTTGATGCTTTTGGTGTCCTTTTTCATCAATCTTTACCTATCCTGAGGTCAAACATATATTTCCTGTGTTATCGTCTAAAAGCCTTTTTGCTTTACCTTTCCCATTTTGATCTACAGATGACCTTCAACTTAGGATGGGGCTACATCTTGATAAACCCATCCTAAGTTGAAAATATAAGTAAAAAATGCATTTAATACATCTAACTTACTGGACATCATAGCCTAGCCTAGCCTACCTTAAATGTGCTCAGAACACTTACATTAGCCCACAGTTGGGAAAAAATCATTTAACACAAAGCCTACTTTGTGTTGAATATCTATTTGTTTTGTTGAATATCTCATGTCATTTATTAAACACTGTACTGAAAGTGAAAAACAGAATGGTTGCATGGGTACTCAAAGTATACAATTTCTACTGAATACGTGCCACTCTCACACCATTGTAAAGTCAGAAAATCCTAACTCAAACCAGACCCACATCAGGGACCATCTGCACTATGGATGTTCCACTGATGGAGCTGATTAGCATAGGGTTTCTCAGTCTCTGCACCATGGACATTTCTGAGTGAGTAATTCTTTGTTGTGGGGGCTGTCCTGTGCATTGTTGGATATTTAGTGGCATCCCTAGCTTCTGCCCGCTAGATGCCAGTTATGTCAATAAAATTGTCCCTAGAATTGCCAAATGTTCCCTTATGGGGGTTGGGGAGGGGTTGCAAAATTCCTTTCAGTTGAGAATCAGTAATTTAACATATAGTGTAGAGGTCAAGTTTCATTTATTTTCTCATATGTTGCTCAACTGAAATTTTTTTTTTTTTTTTTTTGAGATGGGGTTCTGCCATATTGGCCAGCCTGGTCTCTAAATCCTGACCTCAGCTGATCCACCCACCTGGGCCTCCCAAAGTTCTGGAATTACAGGCATGAGCCACCACGCCTGGCCTGCTCAACTGATTTTATTTCTTCCTTTATCATCTTTATACCTTTTATTTATTTTTCTTTATTGCACTGGCTTGAACCTCAAGTACAATGTTGAATAGAAATGATGATCAGGGGAAAACTCCATCTTTCATCATAAATTTAATTTTTTTTACAGTGGGCTTGCTGAAAATATCCATTATCTCATTCAGAAAGTTATCTTCTATTCCTCATTTGTTAGGAGTTTTTTTTTTTAACTAACTAATTGTTGATTTTTTAAAAAATGCTTTTTCTGTATCTATGCAGATAATCACATGAATTCCCCTTAATTAAGTTAATGTTGTATTGAAAAAATATGTTATATTAATTGATTTTCCAACATAAACCCAATAACTAAGGTCTTGGATTATATTATCTTCTTCCTCCGGGGAAGTCCACCTGACTCACAAAAGTGTCAAGAGCACTGTTTGGACTCTCAGACTGTCAGCCTCCTCTTCTAGAATTAACAAATTACCTGGGGGGAAAGTAGCCTCAAATTCTTGGATTATATCTTCTTTTAAAGCATGACCTGGTTATCCTTTCTGCTTTATTCATCCTCTGAAGGCTTCAAACATTTTCTTTATTAAAATATTTATTTAAAAATAATTATTATTGTTGTCATTATTATTGTGTTTAGCTTTTGTAGCTGTTCTCAGTGGAGAGGTTGGTCTCAATGATCTGATCAGTCATTACTAGAAATAGAAGTTTCTTTTCTTAGAGAAATAAATATCAAGTATACAAAGTACACAAAGAAAAAGAAAACATATATATATATATCCATCTGTACTATAATGTGTTATTATATATTATAATCAAACAACCTATGCATCACCACGTAGGTTAAGAATAAAACATTTAATGGCATGAACCCGGGAGGCGGAGCTTCCAGTGAGCCAAGATTGCACCACTGCACTCCAGCCTGGGCGACAGAGTGAGACTCCGTCTCAAAAAAAAATAAAAATAAAAAAAATTTAAAAAAAAAATAAAACATTTAAAATTTTGTTATTATCATTTCAAAATTGTTTTTATTTAAGAAAGAAAATTATCACTTCTTCTAAGAAGAAACCTCTATGTGTCCCGCTCTGATTACATTTTTCTCTCTCTGCCATCACTAACTTTTAGCTTCATTTTTGTGTTCAGCTTTCCTTGCTCTTCTTTACAGTTTTAGAACCTGTACTTTATTCCCAATTATATTGTTTAGTTTTGTCTGTTTTGGAGCAGTACATAAATGACATCTTCTAAGTGTATGCTTTTGTGTCTCCATTTTTTTTGCTCAAGGTTATGTTTTTTAAGTTTATCCAAGATGATGTTTATTTTCCCTGCTCCATAGTTTTCCACTGATATTCAGTGTATTTTTCCATTTTACTGTAGATGGACATTTGTATTTTTTCTGGTTTTCATGTATTATAAACTATAGATACATATAATATAAACAATATAGTAGTGAATGTTCTTCTACACATTTCTTGGTGTGCAAGAAGGGTTATAGGATATACATATCTTCAATTTTACTTAGTCATACAAACTCTTTTCCAAAGTGATTGTACCAATTTACAATCTCAAAGCAGTGTGTGACTTTCTATTGTGCTATAATATTGCTATCACTTGGTATTGACTTTGCCAAAATGGTGAGCATGAAATAATTTACGTTGTGTATATCTCTGATGTCTGTTGAGGGTTGAGGTTGCATATTTCTTCGTATGGGACCAAAAGCCTTTACTTTTCTCTGAAATACTTGTTCTTTTATCTTGCTCATTTTTTTTTGACCGGGCTATGTATTAGTCAGGGTTCTCCAGAGAAACAGAACAAATAGGAGATACATAGGGAGAGATTTATTGTGAGGAATTGGCTCACATGTTTACAGAGACTGAAATGTCCCATGATCTGCTGTCCACAAGCTGAAGACCCAGGAAAGCTGGTGGTGTAATTCCATTCTGAGTCCAAAGGCCTGAGTACTAGGAGAGCTGATAGTTTTATACTAGTCTATGGGCAGGAGAAGGCAGTTGTCTCAGCTCAGTCAAAGACATTAAGCAAAAATTCCTCCTTCCTCTGCCTTTTTTGTTTATCTAGGCTCTCAATGGGTTGAATGATGCCCACCAACATTGAGGAGGCAATCTACTTTACTGGGTCCACTGATTCAAATACTAATCTTATCTTGGAAAACCCTCACAGACACACTCAGAAGCAGTGTTTGGTCTGGGCACCCCATGGTGCAGTCAAGTTGATACATAAAATTAACCATTGTGGGCTATTTGCTTTTTTTCTTAGTGATTTCTAGGAGCTGTTCTATATTCTAGATAAGGGCTTCTCAACAGAACTTTCTGTGATGATAGAAATGTTCTCTGTCTGCACTGTCCAATATGGTAGCCACTAGCCACATGCTACTGAGCATTTGAAACTAGTGCAGCAGAGGAACTAAATTTTCAATATTATTTTTAGTGTGTTTATTTATTTATGTATTTATTTTGAGATGGAGTTTTGCTCTTGTTGCCCAGGCTGGAGTGTAGTGGCGCGATCTTGGCTCACTGCAACTTCTGTCTCTCAGGTTCAAGTGATTCACCTGCCTCAGCCTCCCAAGAAGCTGGATTACAGAGGCATGTACCACGACACCCAGCTAATTTTTTTATTTTTGGTAGATATGGGGTTTCACCATGTTGGTGAGGCTGGTCTCAAAATCCTGACCTCAGGTGATCCACCCACCTTGGCCTCCCAAAGTGCTGGTATTACAGGCGTGAGCCACTGTGCCCAGTCTATTTTTAGTTTTAATAGCCATATATCTAATAGCTGCCATCTTGGACAGCAGAGGTCTAAGTAACAATTATTTGTTGGCTTTAAGTTTTGCAAATGTCTTCTCCAAGTTTGTGAACTGTCTTTTCACTCCTTTCAAGTTGCTTTTGATGAACAGAAGTCCTTAATTTTAATGTATTGAATATTATTAACCTGTTCCTTTACAGTTGGTGTATTTATATATCTTGTTTATAAAATCCTTTCTCATACTTTCTTATCTTAGTATATTTTCTTATACTGAGGTCTGAGGAACTGATTTTTGTGTTTATAATTTTCTTCCCTCATGAGTCATCAGTTTTCCTAGCACAGTTTACTGAATGAGCCTTCTTTTCCTCACCAATCTGCAGGACTGCCTGTATCAATCAGGGTACTGGCGAGAAACAGAAGGCACACTCAAACATTAACATTAAAGAGAGTTTAAAAAAGGCAGTATTTACAAAGGAGAGGCTGAGGTAAGGGAAACTAATAGGTGATGAAGCACCTATTAGTGAAGCATCACTAATAGGTGATGAAGCAGTTTCAACTGGCAAGAGCTGAAACCCTTACCACTTCTAACCTTGAGAGTCAAGGAAAGGCAGGAGTTACTGGACCCAGAGGGAGGAGTGGAGGAAGACCTCCAAATAGAAGGGGAGACTTCCACAGAGAAACATACCAATCACCTTGACCCAGGAGAGACAGAGTTGGCCAGAGGACTAAACACCTGTCTGCTCAACCTCATGCTGTCCCTCCTGTAGATTTGGTGGTAAATCCACCATAACCCAGCTGGAAGCCAGAGGGCAGGGAACCCACCAATGCAGGCCACAGAGGTCTGCTCTGGAGTACAGAACTGAGTGGAGCAGGTTGGAGACTGCATCTGGGTGAACAAATAAACCATCAAGCACACCTGCATGGTTATAAATCTATTTTCCATAAATGCATGGGTAGGTACAAGATCTCTCTCCATACTGTGCCACTGATCTATTTGCAGCACTCCACGCTGCTTTAAGTATTAAAGCTTTAAATATATTTTCATATTTGAGAGGGCAAGAATCATCACCTTGTTTTTCCTCTTCAGGAATGTCTTGGCCATTCCCTGCCTTTTGTTCTTCCATTTATATTTCAGAATCAGCTTGCCAGTATTCATGAAGAACTCTGTTGGAATTGTGACGGGAGTTGCAATGAGTCTCTAGATCAATTGGAAGAGAGCTGACATATTTACAATTCCTTCCACGGATAGGGTTTATGTCTCCACATACTTAGGTCTTATTTAATATATTTCTTAATAAGGTTTTATCATACTCTCTATAAAGAGCTTCCTTTTTTTGTTATTTTTTTTCTAGGTACCTATTTTTGTTGCTATGGTAAATATCTTTTTTTTTTAAATAAAAAAGTCACTTTTTGCCTGATGCTTGTATATAAAAATGAAATTATTTTTGTCTATTTTGGACTGAGCAACCTTACTAAATTATCTTAGTAATTCTAATGATTTACCTGAGAGTTCTTTGGAGTTTTCTTTGCAGACAGACGTATTATCTGCAAATAATGATAGTGTTGTTTCTTCCTTTACAATCCATATATCTTTACTTTTTAATCTTCTGTACCATTTAGGACTTCTAGTTAAGTGTAGAATAGAAGTTGATATTAGCATACATCCTTAACTTTCAGGCTCCTGATTTTCAGGGGAATGCTTTCAATATTTCAACATTAATTATAATGCCCTCTGTAACTTCTTGTAGAAGCACTTTATCACGTTAATCAAATGCCCCCTACTATTTCTAGGTTAAGTGTTTTTGTTTTTAACATGAAAGTAAGTCGAATTTTATTAAATGCTCTTACTGCATTAATTGGGGTTATCATAGGAGTTTTCTTCCAACCGCATTTGGAATAGTCCAATTTCTAATTGCTAAATTCCTACCCAGTTTTCAAGGGTAGGATCATTCCCCACTCCCCATCATAAGGCATCCCTTTTCCTCTCCCTTTATTTCATAGTCCCTTTGTAGAAGGAAATCATATATTCACTTATGCATCCCCCAATGCCCAGCACACAAGCACATAGTAAATGCTAACAAAATGTCGGTTGAATTATGGAGCGAGTCATTCTTGTGGCACTTTATAGCTTTGATTTTATACTTTCATATCCACGTTTCTTTTCTCGCCTCTGGACTGGAAGCTTTAGAGGACAGAGTCCACATCTGATGATTCTCGTTATTCCTCTAGGACACAATCCAGGGACTGATTCAGAACCTTGTTCACCAATAGATGATTCCTTGCTTTCCTTGGTAAACTCCATCATCAAAACCATCCAACCAGTCTTCCAGGAGTAGCCAATCTCTCTTCATAGTCCGCTCTGCAGAGAGAGAGGTTTATTTCACTCTCACCCTCAGGGAACCAGGCCAGTTCTGATGACTAAGGGCAAAATAATTTGCTCCTTTGCTGAGATTAATTTCTAAAAAATGATTTTGCAATAGCCTGGGCTTGACTGGCCAGGGGTGAAGGAAGGAGAAAGAAGCCATAAAGAGCATTTCTTCCCTCTAATGAAACTGAACCAAGGACAGGACAATAAGCCAGGGAGTCAGCCATTGATGGGTCTTTACTCAGCCCTTACTTTGTTCCCGGCCCTATTGCTAGGCATTGTAGAAGTGGGAGAGACATGCTGGCCTCTTTCCTGAATGCTTGGAATTTATTTTTCACCTTGGAAACAGAAATTTCACATTTGACAAGTTAAACAATACGACAAGGCCGTCTGTTTACTCATTCATCCATTTATTCTTCCGTTCATTTATTCATATAGTGTTAAACAATACGACAAGGCCATCTGTTTACTCGTTCATCCATTTATTCTTCCATTCATTTATTCATGTAGTATTTCAAAGCCTCTGCCATGTGGTAGGTATTGTGCTAAGCACTGGGGAATTCAGGGTTGAAGAGATGCCTCCCCTGGCCTTAGGCTGAATAAGGGAGTTGGTTAATTAAACAGCTCCAGTACCGTGTGATATATGTGGTGGTCAAGGTATGTTTTCAAGCACTGAATTGGGGAACAACAGGATACAGGGACTCTCAGAGGGAGTAATGAATGGATTATCAGAGGACATGAATTTGGTGTAGAAGTTTATTATCAGGATAAGAGAGAAGGATATATGAAAAGTTGGGGCGACATGGAGAGCACAGGAAGTTTGGAAGATGATGACTGGCATGACTAGAGTTCAGGGACAGGATGGAGGATGAGAAGGAAGAAGGCCAGGAAGGCAGGCAGGGACCAGGCCCTTAACTCACAGTGAGAAGTTGTGGGAGCCTTCACCTCAGGGCATCAGAAGTCATTTAAACATTTCAGCAGGGAGTAATGTGATCTGATTCGTGTTTTAGGTTCCAAAAGGTCAGAGCAGAGAGAATGGATAGGGAGAGCGGAAACTGGAATGAGGAAGGCAAATGAAGAAGAGTGTTTGAGCTGGGACTTGAAGGATGCACAGGATTGACTGAGTAAGGATGAGAGGGTGTGGCATCCCAGGCAAAAGGGATGGCAAAACTTCCAGTATAGAAATTGGGAAGCAGTGGGAGGTCAAGGTACCAGTGAAGAGATCAGGCTGATTAGAATCCAAGGAAGGTCATAAAGTTTGGAAGTGGGTGGCACGCATTAGGGGGACATCTGGGGGCTCAGAAGCCTGTAGAACCAAGTGAAAAGGGGTCCAGCAAAGATTCCAAAATCTTAGAAATTGGAGATAAAGCAGTGGGTAGTGGGAAGAGATTAGCTGGAGATGAAAAAACCTAGATTCTAGACTCAGCTCTGTCACTAACTTGCTACATGAGTTTGAGCAAATTATTTCTCCTCTCTAGGTCTCGGTTTTCTCACTTATAAAATGAAAGTGCTGGCCTAGATCTCTTCTAGCACTGGTGATTTAGGATGCCAAGCACTAGCCTCTATCCTTCCATTCCCAAGTGTGTTTGCATTTGCCCCAGGCCATCTCAGACCGTGCTCACTGCCTCACTGCAGCCTGCCAAGCTGC
This sequence comes from Homo sapiens, assembly GCF_000001405.40. Taxonomy (NCBI): domain Eukaryota; kingdom Metazoa; phylum Chordata; class Mammalia; order Primates; family Hominidae; genus Homo; species Homo sapiens. The sequence continues at coordinate 8,820,757 of NC_000003.12, read as the reverse complement.
ATCTCAGCCAGAGGAAGCAGAATTAGTGGATGAGACAAAACAAGACAAAAATACGCATAATATAAACCCTCAAAGAAGGAAGGAAGGCTGTTAAAGCATGAGGCAGGGAGAACCAGTGATGAAGATAATTAGGAAAACCTAATTATTGGAATAACAGACTCAATATATAGGTTGCACAACAGAAAGGAAAAGCTGAAGAATAGTATATCTGTTAGCTTTTGCTGTGTAACAAACCACTGCTAAACTTACTGGCCATTTATTACTGCTCATTGTTCACATGTCACATAAGCACTGCTGTTGAGCTGGTCAGACACAGTTGATCTCAGCCTTGCTCATGCATTTGTGGCTGGCTGGAAGGTCTGCTGGGGGCTAGCTGGTTTGGGATCATCTCATTCACGTGTCTGACAATTGTCTGGATGTCAGCTGGGACAAAGGAGCTGACTGGGTCACATGTCTTTTAAGATTATTCAGTATGCACACCAGGGCTTGTCTACATGGTGCTATGTTTGAATGTGTCCCCTCCAAAATTCATGTTGAAATTTGATCCCCGTTGTGGTGGTCTTATGAGGTGGGGCCTTTGGAAGTTGATTAGACCATTAAGGCCCCACTCTCATGAATGGGTTAATGACCTTAGGAAAGAAGGTTTTAGAGAGTTTGCCTTCCACCAGATGAGGACAAACAAAAAGGTACCATCTTGAAAGCAGAGAGCAGCTCTCACCAGACACCAATGGGAGCACCTTGGTCTTGGACTTCCAGCTTCCAGAACTGTGAGACATAAATTTCTATTGTTTCTAAACTACTGAGTCTGTGGTATTTTATCATAGCAGCTTGAACAACTAAGACATATGGTGGTATCAGGATTCTAAGAGAGAGACTGGAAGTGTACAAATGGTCAGAATATGTCACAAGGCCAGCCAAGAGTCAAGGATGGGGAAATAGATTCCATTGATGATGCAGAGTAGCACTACAAAATGGCATAGACAGAGGAAGGAATGAGGGATTGTGGAAATTTTTTCCCCAATTTATTAAATTGAATTCTCTGGCCGGAGTTATTCACATTCTTCCCAAATGCAAATATACCTACTCCCATTCCAGTACCCCACAAAATTCTCACTGAACTATGACATCAAACTTGGAGTCAAGCTTGGATCTCATGATCTCTCTCAGTTTCCAATGAGACTTTTCAAATGTGGCTCCTCTTCACTTGAAGACCCCTGAATGAAGAAGATAAGTGACTTGACCCACACCTCACTAAAACACATTGGTGAGACAGGTAAAGTGTAGATGTAATGAAAACTTTTATTCAGAAGGGGGAAATAAGAAGCAAATAACACTCACTGGTCTATAGCACTACTGAAATCCAGCTGGGCTAATATTAACAGGTTTTCCTACTGAAGAGGAGGAAATATTCCTTGATTAGACCTAAACTCTGCTCCGTGGGAGTGACTTCTCAGTCTGTTTTTTACCTCTGTCTTTTGAGGCCACTTTTTGGGATTACCAAGACTGGCCTCATTTGCAGCTGGGTAGCTTTCTCAATTTGATTCCTTTCTGTAGAAAGTTGGGGACCAGAAGCCCTCTTATATTTGAGCCACCTTAGATTTCAGTCCACATCTTAATGTAGGCTGGTAGCACTTTTACATATTCAGCTCCATTAAAAACCATGTGGGTTTCCTATAAATCTGATTCAAGTCCAACCTATTTGACAAAAGTCATGCCAATTTTCTTTGAGATATGACCCTCTCTTTAGACTTATTCACAGCTACTTTGGGTTTGTCCAGACAGCTATAAGATGATGTCCTTAAAGTTCCTAGAATTTTTTTTTGTCTAGAATAAAGGGTCTACTTAAGATGCAGTAACTTAATTCTGTTGATTTTAACAAAGGATGTCTGTAGGGAAAATTGCACAAAGCTTCCCCGGGCTTGAAAACTACCTGCCTGGATCATGACAGTTCCTTTGGCCATTACTAAGGAGCCATGGTGTTCAAAGCAGGCTCTTCCTACGGACAGGCAGTATAAGTATTGCCTATGAAGTGTGCTAAGAGAGGAACCAGGAAGATTCCACCTCAGACTCAAAAATCTTTTTTATTTCTCCCATTCCTTAAGTTCCTTCAATGTAGATGGATTGCTTTTGGTCAATTGCATCAATTGCATTAATCTGTCACAGAGGGTCTATCATGCATGGCCATTGTCATGGATAAAGTACCTTAATTACTTTGCTCAGTGCCTTGCCCTTAGAAAGTGCTCAGGATATCTTAGTTCCCTCCTCCCAGTTCATTCCTACTTTTCCTGAGGCTTCCGTCTTGCAATTTACGTTACACCACAGGAGGGAATAGAGTAAGGGTCTATCACCTCCATGTAAGTGAGTTTGTTGGTTGGTTCCTTGAACAAATATTTATGGAGTGACTACCCTGTGCCAGGCACTGGGACTATGTTCCTGAATGAAGTCCCTGCCTTTATGGAGCTTACAACAACGTAGGGGACAGAGAGACAGAAAATAAGTCAACAACCCATAAAATAATCACAGACTGTGATAACACTAGGATGGAAACAAGGTGGGGGGCTGAGACTGGGCAGCTGGGGAACCCTGTATGACTGATGATAGCTGCGAATGAGGAGGAGGGAAGGGAAGGCTGGAGAGGAATGAGAAAAGGAGGCTGAGGACAAACAGGCTTCCTGTGCCTCCTCCACGATTTTGCCCCATGACTGTGGAAAGGACACTTTAGTTCAAGTAAACACATAAATCTGGAGAAATATGATCTGTCATAGCAAATGCAACACATTTAGTCAGGATTCCCTCAAGGATTGGAGCAATAGACTTGGGTGTCAGGAGCCCTCAGTTTTAATGCTAGCATAGCCCCCTATTCCCTGTGTGTCTTTGAGAGAGTCCCCTCCCTTCTCTGGACTCCTGGATCCTGGAGTCTATACTGAGTGGGTGGGACTCAGTGCTGTCTGACCACCTACGGCTTGATGAAATGACCAGCACCTTCCATGGGAGTTTTAGCATAGCTCCAGAAGGCTTATGGCTCTGTCATTGCTGCCCATAGCTGTTAGAATTCCTCCTTCTCTGCCCGGTTGTGCAATTCTCTGCCTCACTTCATTGGGTTCCAGCTCTAGGCCATCTTTTCTTTTAAGTGTTTAGTCAGAGCCCAGACAGTTGGCAATTCACAGTGCCCCTGGTGCAATGATGATTTGGCCTGGATGCTGTTCCAGAAAGTCATTGATAACTCTTAGTTCAATCAGAATGCTTGAGGAGTACCATGTTCTGTGCATTTAAAACATTCTTCTCCAAGAATAAGAACAAGCAATCAAAATACACATCAAAACAAAAGCCACCATTTATTTAGTGCCTACTATGTGTCAATGAGCTAAGATCAGTGCATTTCATTCTTGCATCAGTCACAGGAAATTGCCACAATTTCATAGATTAGAAACTTAAGCTCAGAGACTTTAAACCAGCCAGGGGTGGAGGCATGATCCTGATCCATGAACATCCAACTCTGGAAGTCCAGTCTCTACCATCATGCTGTTTTACAATTCTTTTCACCAGCTGCATGGAAGAACAGCAGGAAGGCCAGGTAAGGGTGGGATCTGCCTCTGCCTGACTCTCCTTGTCTGAATCTTCCCTTTTTGCTGGGCTCCACCAGCAAAGGAGTGTTGCTATTTTGAGGTGACTTTCTCAAGCTCACCTAGCAAGCACTCCTGGGAAAGTATTACTCAACCGTATCTGTGGTCACAACCTCGAAGCTGATATCTCCTTTCCACTTTCCTAAAACCATCGAGTAAAGTAGAGACCCTGCTCTTCACATAACTTCCTATAAGTTGGTGACATAATTCATTTGAACTTCAAATACAGACCCTTAGATGGCACCATGGCCATGGGATGCAAGAAGTGAGAACCAACATGACAGGTGTGATTGTGCCGGGTCCCTTTAGGAATAAACCTCCCAAGAGCAGGGATGTTCAACCATCAGCCATCAGCCATCTCAATGATATATAATTCAAGCAACACTGTTACATTTATCTCTGCCTCTAGACCTTCGATCAATCATCTGTATACGTCATGGGGACAGGGCTTCCCAAGATATAGCCCTTTCAGCTGATAAGAATTGGATGTTGGGATATTTCAGTGACACAGAACTGCACTAGAGGAAGTTGAGGGGCACGACAGGGCTTGGGATTTGCTCTTCTAACAGCAGAATCATGTCTTCCAGCTCCGGAATCATTCCACGTCTCCATTCTCTTAACCCAATGTCAGCTGCATCCAAGGCTGGTTTTGCTCTCGGTCAGAGGACAGCGGCCAATGGCAGCAGGGGCTGTACTCTTAGACGAAAGACTGTTTTTCAAGGTTTTATATTAAGAGACTTAGAAATCCCCCAGGAAGCTTTTCCTTGGACTTCATTGACCAGAAGATTAATAGACTCTCCATTGTGGTTTACAGCAGTCAAAGCCCACACATCTTCCCTGAGTCACTCATGAGTGATATTGAGAGGTTAAGACCTGAACACATTCAGGCTTCGGTAAGGATGGAGTAAGATGGCTGCCAAGAGGCAGCCAACAGCGTCCACAGTTCAATTCCCTGCTGGTCTAGTTATAGAAACTCCAAATTCCTGAACTTAGATTCTTTGGACCCGCACATGAGCTTATTAATTAACCTGTGATTCTGTGGTGTGCAGTAGCTTGTTCTGAAATTTGGGTACAGGGTGTGAGGGTCAGTTCACCATAGCCCAGGCAGATAGAGAGGAAATGACGTGGTGAGCTGGGGCTTGGGACAATATCCAGAAGGGCAGGACAGGCACTTGGACACATTTTTCTCAAAGCTTAGGTCTTAGTTCCTCTGAATTAGAATCACATGACTGTGGGGGGGAGTGAGATGGGGTGGGACAGACCTTACAACATAGATTCATAGACCTTTTGTTCAGACTCTCTGGGGCGAGGGTCCAGGAAGTTGCATGATTGACAGGCTCTCTGGGTGATTCTTAAGCACCCTGGAGCAGAGCTTATGCTGAGCTGTAGAGACTGACTCTGGAAATATAACTAAGAGGGTAAGTCCAGGGCAGGAGTCTTCATCACAATTCATCAAATAGTTGGTATTTGGGGTCCAAGGTGAGGGAATTGGTCCCAATATAGTGACAAAGAATTTAAGCTGGGTTGAATTGTCCTGGGTCAGGCCAGGCAGTGAGCGATGATATTTATTCATTGCATTTTTCAACCAACATTTATTCAAGCCCCTTACATGATAATCCCTGAAGATACAGATCAAAAAGTCCCTGTTTCAAAGAGTCCCAGTGCAGTGTGTTGGGGAGATGCAGACAAGTGGACAGGTATTCACATTACATGACAAGGGTCATGGTGACACACAGGGGCTCTGGAAGCACTCAGGAGAGGCCTAGTCCAGTCTAGTGGGGTGGATTAACTTCCTGGGCCTGCAAATTAACAAGCTATTACAGACCTGGTGGCATAAAATCACAGAAATTTATTCTTACACTTTTGGAGCCCAGAATCTGAAATCAGTTTCACTGGGTCAAAATCAAGGTGTCAGGCCTCCCTCCAGAGGCTCCAGGGGAGGATTTATTCCTTGGTCTTCCAGCTTCTGGTGGCAGCCAGCACTCCTTGGCTTATGGCTGCATCACTCCAGTCTCTGCCTCTATGGTCACATTGCCCCCGCCTCTTCTGTGTCTACTCTTTTCCACCTTCCTCTTACGTGAATACATGTAATTGCATTTAGGTCCCAAGTGGGTAACCCAGGATAATCTCCCCGTCACAAGATCCTTAATCACATCTGTAAAGCTATTTTTGCCCTTTAAGGTGACATTTACAGGTTCATGGATCAGGAACTAGATATCTTTGGGGGATGTTATTTAGTCTACCACTGGGGGCAAGGGGAAAGGAGGCTCTTGACATGAGTCAATAAGGAGAAGTAAGAGGTAGCCCCATGCAGTAGATAAGAAAGAACATTCTAGAAAGAGCTAGAGCATGCACATAAGCGCCCAGATCTGGGAACTGCGAATAGGTTTTATGAATGGAGGCTCACAGCACAGAGGAAGGGTGCTGAGGTGCGAGAAGAGGTGGAGGAGGTGGGCTAGGGTCAAAGGATGGAGCTCCTGGGGCGTGGGCTATGGTCCACAGCTCATGGGGAGTCATCAAAGGTGTGTGAGCACATGAGTGACAGCAGCAGACTTGCATTCTGCCTGTGCTGTGGAGAATGGATTCCAGGGGGACCATTCAGTAGGATATTGCAGTGGTGCTAGGTGGAATATAGTTAGACCTGAACAAAGCAGGTGAATCGAGACAAGTGGAAGGATCTGATTGGTGGGGAGAATCAACACAAGACTCCCAGGTGTCTGACATCCATGGATAAAAAGGGGCCCCTGAGGGAGCATCTGGGAGAGGAGGGGACGGATGAAGCCTTGCCCAATGGACATGTTGATTTGAGGTGTTCATTATGGGTCGCCAGGTGTCTGGGAAGCAGAGGAATGTATGGGCCTGGAAACAAGGAGAGGAATCTGGGCTGGAGACTTGGATTCGGATGCCCACACATGTAGGTGGTAGGTAAAGCTGTGGCTGTGAATGTTGTCATCTCAGAAGACAAGGAGTAAGGGGATGGATTGACAAAAAAGGCCTTCACAAGGGAGACTGGAAAGATACAGCTGTGGAGGCAGGAGAAGTCTCAGAACTTAGGGCTTAATACAGCGTGCATGGCTGGGATCTTTGCATTTTAAAGAGAGATTGGGGAAAGGATAGTGCTAACACCAATAGCGCTAGGTTTGTAATGGTGAAATCTGGGGGCTCTGTGGGAGGAATATAGGGTAACTGCCTATACACATGACTTAAATTGTGTATACAGGCAGTTACCCTGTCTGTTTGCTGGCCCAGCCAGTTGTCAGCTTGTTGGCAGCCTCTGTGATACCTGAGTGCCTGTTTGGGACTCAGGGAGGCCCCAGTAGCATCAGGAAGCCAGCTGCACTTGTTGTTGACTCTTAGCACGCATTATACACCAACAGCATGGCTGAAGTAGAATCCAGGGTTGCAGGATGGGCAAAGAGAGAGCCATCTATGCTTCTCAAATGTCTTGTGGCTATTGGACCTGTGAAGTAAGCCTCTTCCCAGAGTCCTTTTCTGTTTCTGCTCCTCCTTATCTCACAGGAATGTTGAGGAATTCAGAGTTTCAGATTGCTAAAGCAGGTACTTAGGTGAGCAATCTGAGATCCAGAGGGTGGAAGTTCTTTCTTTCAGAGGAGCTGGTACTGATTATGTGACAGCCTTGAGTCCCCCCATCAGAGCCCACTGGTGTCTTCTTCAGGGTCTGGTCTCTGGTACTGAGATGATGATCACAATTATTAACAATGACATACTTGCTTTCAGTTTTTTTTTTTTTTTTTTTTTTTTTTGATGGAGTCTCGCTCTGTCGCCCAGGCTGGAGTGCAGTGGCCCGAACTCAGCTCACTGCAAGCTCCGCCTCCCAGGTTCACGCCATTCTCCTGCCTCAACCTCCTGAGTAGCTGGGACTACAGGAGCCCGCCACCACGCCTGGCTAATTTTTTGTATTTTTTAGTAGAGACAGGGTTTCACCATGTTAGCCAGGATGGTCGCGATCTCCTGACTTCGTGATCTGCCCGCCTCGGCCTCCCAAAGTGCTGGGATCACAGGCGTGAGCCACCTCACCAGGCCAACAATAACATACTTTCTTACCATCTTAGGAGGGTCTTTATACCTTCATATTTGCTCAATCTCCAAACCCATCTGATAAGTATGAAAAATGCTGTTTATAGCTGAAGAATCAGGCTCAGGATCAGGGATTTGTCTAAGACCCAGGCCCAGAACACAGGTCCTCTTGACTCTAAATCCCGCGATCCTCCCCATCCCTGTGCAGCTCTACCACAGGGTTGCAGGGCTCCGGGTTGCAAGGCCCAGTGCTGATGACACCTGGATGGCTTGCTGGAGACTCCAGGACCATGCTACAGGCTGTTGAGAACTGCTGGGCACCTGCCAGGTGGCTCTATCAGAAAGTGGGGAAGCCCCACAGAAAGGCAGGGAGGGGCCACAAACACAGACGACTTCCCACCTTTGTTTTGGACCAACTCTGGGCTATCTGACAGAGCAGAATGCTTTGCTGCAGCTGAGAACATGTTTCTCGGCCTTAAGAAATAAGCTCTTAAGCTTTCAGCTTTTAAAAATGTAAAGCAAGTAATGCATTCAACAGACATCACCCCATCACTGAGGTCTTCCCTGTCATCCGTCCCTAAGTCTCAAACCATCCATCTTTGAGCCTCCGTGGAGCCTGACCATTGCTTGCCCAAATCCGGAGCCTCAGCCTGGCACATACATAAACCCTTCCCTTACCCCTACCCAAAGATGAAGGCTCACTCTTCTTGTACCTTGCCCATTCTTCACCACAGACCTGATCTGTCCCTACCAAATCTTGAGCCTCATCCCAGCCTTGACACTAACTGCATCCCTTACCCAAATACTCACCTTCAGTCCATATCAGACCCCATCTCATCCCTCACCCCATACCCAAATCTACCACCATGCCTCACACCAACAATCCGTCCCTTACCCAAACCCCAAGACCTAACTGTACCCCCATTACACCTTAATTTCATTCTTGAGCCTCGGTGCTAGGGGTGAAGGGGGTTATTGCACACATCACCAGGAAATTTCAGAAATGCCCAAAGGTTAATCATTTCTTTTTGAGGCTCTCAAAATAAGTGTGGCTATCACTTTGTCCAAGAGTCAAAGTGGCTGCATTAAAACAACACTGCCCAAAACTGAGGCCAAGGTGTGAGAAGACACTGTGCAATCTCCCTCTGCAGTCCTGTTGTTCTCAGATCAGAAGGAGAGAGTTGTTTTGCGTTCAGTAAATTCAGTCACCATGTGAGTACTACGAATGGAGCCTGAGACAAGTGCAGTCATTATTTTGTGTAATGACATGGTGTTGGAGCCACCGCTGAGAAGGAAAATGCAGGCACAAACCATCCATCTTTTCAAGCAAATGAGAAAGGTTCATTTTTCAGATCTGCTACTGTTCCTTAGGAACTTGGTATTTTCTATCCTTCCAATTGCTCATTGGATTGTCTTCCCTATGCCTTTCTAAATGATTGACTTTCCAAAGTGCTTTGGCTCCCTGAAAAATGAAAGGGGTCTGGAAATATCAGGTGTGTTATAATTACCTCTGGCAGCACCATTGGGTAGGCCAGGCGACTCTCATCTCAACGTGTCTGCATTAACTCTAGCCATCTTTCTTTGGAAAAATGTCAGCATGATTAGCAATGGCTCCCACAATGAATTGGAGGGAAAAAAATCACCAGTCATTATATTTTTTTAAATGAATTTTTCTTTTTTTGTATCAGCCCCAAGTTAGAATTTTAATTTGCAGAAACTCCCAAGAAATTTCAGTCAGTGTTGTAGTTAGACCAAAGCTTGATTTAGGTTGGCACATTAAAACTCACTCCTGCTTTTAAAGTGCTGTACACTTTCCAGAATAATGATGCTATCCATCCCTCACAATATCCCTGTATGGAAGGCACTGTTACCTGCTTTTCACAGATGAGGGAATGGAGGCTCAGGGGCTTCAGTGACTTGTCCAGATAGGGGAGGGTTTCTGGTGCCCCATCTCCTGAGCACGGACCTGCACTCTTGCCAGCATGGTGCTGACTGCCCTGGGGAGGGCAGCTAAAGCCCACGAAGGCCTGGGTGACATGTCAGGTATGACTGCCCTGGAAGAGGCAGTGTAGATATCAGCCAGGACATGATGACAAACTTAGAAATTCAGTTCACTTTGCTATTACCAAATATCTAGAGGCTTCATGTGATGCCAACTGAATATCCAGATTTTTGACCCACTTGTTTTTTGTCTGGGTCATTGTTAATATGTGATCTTTTGTAACAGAAAGAGCCCCATGCTCGATCTCCATGATCTTGTTTAATTCTTGCAATAACACTTTGAGAGATAGATACAATTATCCTCATTTTACTAATAAGAAGTTAAATAACTTGCCTGAGATTGCACAACTTCGGGGCAGAGTCAAGATTTGAACCAAGATCTGGATTACTCTTACCCACTACAGTAAACCTATTCTCTGTAGGTCAGAAGAAAATGGAATTCTAGTTTGAGCTTTTTCTTTTTAGTTCTGTGTCCTCAGATGAGTTAACAAATTCATTGAATATTTATTGAGTATATGTTGTTTTTTTTTTTGTTTTGTTTTATTTTTGTTTTTTGTTTTGAAACAGGGTCTTACTCTGTTGCTCAGCTTGGAGTGCAATGGCGTGATCTCAGTTCACAGCAGTCTCCACCTCCTGGGTTCAAGCGATCTCATGTCTCAGCCTCCTGAGGGCTGGGACTAGAGGTGCAAGCCACCATTCCTGGCTAATTTTTGTATTTTTTGGTAGAGACAGGTTTCACTATGTTGGCCAGGCTGGTCTTGAACTCCTGACCTCAAATGAGTCCACCTCGGCCTCCCAAAGTACTGGGACTACAGGTGTGAGCCACCATGTCTGGCTGAGAATACATTTTTAAACAACTGATGAGCAAGCAACTCAGTTGCAATGACTGACAAACAAGTAAATTCCTTCATCTCATGGATGAGAATCCATCCATAAACAAGTGAGTTGGGCAAGTTTTTCTCAAAGGTTCTTTCTAGAGCTCATATAGTATGAGTCTGTGATGTTGACAGTTTAGATTTGCAACAGAGTCGTGCCCAAATCTCTCAGATGTGCATCTCGGTTTTCACAATGTCAAAGGTGATCTCTCCCACACTTCAGAGAGATTCCCTGAATTCAGCACCTGTGAGAAGTTATTTATCTCCTCTATGTACTATTTTTATACAGCTACCTGATTTAATCCCTAACACCAAAAACTCGAGCTGTGTTATTATCATCTTAAAAATGAGAAAATGGAGACTTGGTGATTATAGCCACTTGCACAATGTCATAGAACTAATACAAGACAAAGCTGGGTCTTGACGTTAGAAGAATCAACACAACAGCTGCTGCAACCTAGCATGCACTGTGGGAGTAGCTCAGGCCCCTGGAGAAGCTGGCTTAGCCTGAGAATGCATCAAGCTCATTCACCCAAGCTTCTAGAAGCACCATTCAGAGACGTTTGGTGGGGTCACAGGTCACCTGCCTCCCCACAGACCATCTGACATTTGTCACACTAGATCTTTTTTATTCTCCTTGCGACCTTGTCTGTGAGTCAGCCCTTGTCATATGGTAAGACAGACTAGCAAGAAATGGAGCTGTCCAGGTGATCTTTTAGAACCTCTGAGATTCCTGCTGCATGACACAAGGATACTCAGTCTCCCTGAAGCCCACCTGTCTCGGGCTAAGAAATGAATGCAGCCTTCAGGAAACAAATGTCCCCACTACTTGAATGATGTCACTTGTATTTCCTGAAGTGTGACAGCCTCTCGCTCCTGACAGGTGGTCATTATGCCTCATCCTGGGCTACATCACTGTCCTTGTAAAGAAATGAGGTTGAAGCAAGTTTCTTCATTTCCACAGCTAAAGAGCTTCTGGATAATATCTCTGCCATGACTAAAACCATGCAGGGGAACAAAATAAGAGTTGATTTATCAAACATTCAGTAACTGAAAAAACAGAGTTGGAGAATCTATCAAATGACTACGTGGTAACCAATTCTAGCTAGTAGTTTAAGGTGGCTTTGTTTTCTGTTTGTAGCTAGAGGCCCAGAGGGAGGACCCTGAGCTCAGGAAGTGAGGATGCTGGTAACATAGCATCACACAGAAAAGAATGGAAAGGCCAGGCATTATTATTACGGCTGACCCCTTTCATTCTTTCTTTTACTTTCCAACTTCTTTCTGCCTGACTTCCCCAGGAAAGTCTTCCCATTTTCCTTCACTGTGAATCAAGAAGCAATTGTAATCATGGTCAGCACATACTATAATCATCAGGGTACAGACACTTATCAAGACAAGGGACGTGGCCATTTCACTTTGAAATCAAAGTGAAATCAGGTAATTCCTGAAAGTTCCCAGACTTTCCTCTTAGAAATATTGCCAAAAAAACTTCCTACTCATCCTGCTTTAATTACACACAACACAGTTCTTCATCAAGTGTCAATATTCATAAGTAGAAAATGAAGTCTTTTTCAACATTATTATGTTTCCAATGGATTTAGTTTCTACTGTGGTAAGAGCATTACTTTGCAAACATATTTGAACAAAATCCTATAGTATTTTGATGACCTTCTTCCTTCTAGCTTTTGTGGGCTAGCCTGGGCATCTGATGGACATTTAGGACATTACTTCCTGTGGACACTGGGTTCTGCATTCAACCAGCCAATTTACAAATGATTCTTTGGAATATAGCTTATCTGCTGTTGTGTGTAGAAAAATAAAATTGTCATCTCAGTTTCTCGATGTGGAAATTAAGAAATAAAATCTGGAGTGTTGGAGCTCTTGTACCAATGCAGTGGCAGCTATTCCTTTTCCCTTCTTTCTCTGAACACCAACAGGGAGAAGCCACCTGCCCATCTTTGCTGGTCTTCTCGGCCAGTTCTTGTGTCTTCACTGAGAAGGAGCTGTGACTGGAGGCAGAGGCCAGGCCCATTCACTGTTTTTAAATGGAAATATAACTTACATACAGCAAATCATATACAACTGAAATGTACAGCTCAATGAAATTTTGCAAATTTATACAGCTATGTAACACAATCTACATCAAAATGTAGAATAACACAGCATGGCAGCAGGTTTCCTCCTCAATCCCGTGCCAGTCAATACCCTCCGCCCCAGTGGTAGCCCGCTATTCTGACTTCTTTTAACATAGATTAGTTTTTGGTCCACTTACTTAGAAAACTTTCTTAGGTTGAGGTATAATTGAGAAACAGTAAATTGTACAGATCTTAACTGTTAACTTTAATGAGTTGTGACAACATATACCTGTGTAACCAGTGCCCAGAACAAAATGTAGAACATCTCCATCACCATTGGCAATTCCCAATGCTCCTTCCAATAAATCCTCATCCCTTTTTGTTTTGACAGGGTCTCACTCTGTCACCCAGGCTGGAGTGCAGTGGCATGATCTTGGCTCACTGCAACCTCCACTTCCTGGGTTCAAGTGATTCTTGTGCCTTAGCCTCCTGAGTAGCTGGGATTATAGGCACCCACCACCACACCTGGGTCTTTTTTTTTTTTTTTTTTTGTATTTTTTGTTTTCTTCGTAGAGATGGGGTTTCACTATGTTGGCCAGGCTGGTCTCGAACTCCTGACCTCAAATGATCCACCCACCTCGGGCCTCCCAAAGTGCTGGGATTACAGGCGTGAGCTCTTCCTTTCCTTAGCAACTACTTCCTGATTTCAAACACTGTATAGTAGTTGGGCTTGTTCTCCGATTTCACATAAATAGAATCATCCAGCATGTGCTCTTTAGGGTCTGGCTTCATTCACTTGACATATAGACATATACGTATTTTTAGCTTCACCTACAGTGTTGCATGTATCAGTAGTTAATTCTTTTTTCCCACTAAGGAAAGTTTTTTTGGCTCCATTTCTTAGATTCAGAAGCTAACACCACAATAACAAAAATGTCAAATACATATAATTTGACCCCAATTGTTTAAAAAAAGCTCAAATATACACTTATACCACTGAGACAGGAAAAGATAAATACTGTGTACTAAAAAGTGCTCCTGGTAAACTCTAGACAGTGAGAGATTATGGATGATTGCTCTTCTTCTTTTTATTTTCTGAGTATTTCAGTTTCTACATTAGCATTTTTTTGCATTTTTAATTGTGGTAAAATACACATTTCAAGGATGTAATGTATAGTGCCTATTTCCGGACTTGCTAGTCTTTTCTATTGATTTATTTACCTATCCTTACACCAACATCACCCTATCTTGATTATTGAAGTTTTATAATGAGTCTTAAAATCAGGTAGTCAAAAGGCTTCCAAATTTGTTCTTCATTTTCAAAATTGTTTTGGCTATTTTAGATGACTTGCATGTCCACATACATTTTAGAACTAGTTTATCTATTTCTTCAAAAGAGATTGCTTATATGTGATATGGATTATGTTAAATCTATACATTAATTTAGGGAGGATGGAAATCTTAAACAATATTGAGTTTCCAATTTACGGACGTGCTATATCTCTCCACTTAGGAATATTTTAATTTTGCAAAGCAATATTTTATAATTTTCAGTTTATAGATCTCACATACCTTTCATTAGATTTATTCCTGGGTATTTTATTTTGGCTAGTGTTTTGATGCTATTGTCAGTGGTATTTGTTTTGTAATATAATTTTCCAATTCTTACTAGAATATTGAAATGTAATTTATTTTTGTACATTGATGTTACATCCTGAAACCTTGCTAAATTCACTTATTCTAGTAATTGTTTAATAGACTCTATATGATTTCTAAAACAGCTTGATTGAGACATAATTGACATACCATTTAATTCACCCATTTAAAGTGTGTTCTTATTATATTCCCAGAGCTGTGTGACTATCTCCACAATCCAGTTTTAGAACATTCTCATCACCCCCACAAGAAACCCTGTGTGATGAGGAGCAGTTAGGTCTCATCCTCCTCTCATCTCCACCTCACAGCCCTAGACAATCACCAATCTACTCTTTGTCTCTATGGATTTCTCTCTTCTGAACATTTCATATAAGAGCAATGATACAACATGTAGTCTTTTGGGGCATAATGTTTTCAAGGTTCCTACATGTTGTAGCATGTATCATTCATTTTTATGGCAGAATAACATTCCGTTGTATAGATGGAACAGATTTTATTTATGTATACATCAGTTGATGAGGATTTGGGTTGTTTCCACATTTTGGGTATTATGAATACTGTTGAATGAACATGCGTGTGCAAGTTTTTCTGTGGACATGTTTTTGCTTGCCTCATTTTTATCCTTTGAGGAACTGCCAGACTATTTTTCAAAGCAGCCATACTGTTTTGCATTCTCATTAGCAGTGTATGAGGTTCCAAATTTCTCCACATTCTTGCCAACACTTGTTATTATCTGTCTTTTTTTACTATATTATCTGTCTTTTTTTACTTTTTTTACTATATTATCTGTCTTTTTTTTACTACTTTTTTACCAGTAGAACCACCAGTTCTACTGGTGGGTGTGAAGAGGCTTTCACTGTGCTTTTGAATTACATTTCCTTGGTAGGTAATGACATTGAGAATCCTCTCATGTACTTTTTGGTCATTTGTATATTTTTTGTAGAAATGTCTACTCATATGTTTTGCTCATTTTTAAACTAGGTTATTTGCCTACTTATTATTGAGTTGTAAAAATTTTATTTTTTAAGAAGTATTCTGAAAGTTTCTTATCAGATATATGACTTGCAAATATAGTCTGTGGGTTGCCTTTTTACTTTCTTGATGACGCTCTTTGAAGCACAAAACTTTTAAATTTTGATGAAGTTCAATTTATCTATTTTTCTTGTTTGTGCTTTTGGTGTCATGCCTCAGAACCAGAGTTTTATACATATACAATCTTGTTGTCTATGAATAAGGCAGTTTTACTTATTTTCCCAATACTTATACCTCTTATTTATTTTTCTTGCTCACTTTCACTGGCTAGGACCTCTACTACAATGTAGAATAAAATCAATCAGAGCATATTCTTGCCTTATTACCAATCTTAGGGGAAAATACTTCAATATTTTATTATTAAGTCTGATGCTAGCTGTGTGTCCTCTATCATATTGAGGAAGTTCCCTTCTAGTCTGGCTTGCTGAATTTTCTTTTCTTTTCTTTTTAAATAGACTTTATCTTTTTAAAGATCAGTTTTAGTTTCACAGCAAAATTAAGAGAAATTTACACAATTTCCCATATGTTCTTGCCTTGACACATTCATAGTCGCCCGCATTTTCAACATCCCCCACCAGAGTGGTGCATTTGCTACAACTGATGACTCTATATTGACACATCATGATCATATCCAAAGACTATAGTTGGCATTAGGAATCACTCTTGGAGTTGTACATTTTATGGATTTGTATAAATGAATAATAACATGTGTCCACTATTACAGTATCATTGAGGGTAGTTTTTCTGCCCTAAATCGTCTATGATCTACCTGTTTGTCCCTTCCTCCCTCTAACCTCTGGCAACTACTGATCTTTTTACTGTCTCCATAGTCTTGACGTTTCCAGAATGTCATATTCGAATCTTACAGAATGTAGCTTGGAGCTTCATTCATGTGGTAATATGCATCTACGTTTCCTATATGTTTTTTTTATTCCTTTTTAGTGCTAAATAATATTTCACTATCTGGATATATCACATTTTATTTACCTATTCACTTACTGAAGAATATCTTGGTTGCTTTCAAGTTTTTGCAGTAATGAATAAGGTGCTATAAACACCTATGTGCAGGTTTTTGTGAGGACATCTTTTCAACTTCTTAAAGTAAATACTATGGAGCATGATTGCTGGATCATATGGTTAGAGTATGTTTAGTTTTGTAAGAAACTGCCAAACTGTCTTACAAAGTAGTTGTACCATTTTGCTTTCCCACCAGCAATGGATGAGACTTTCTTTTGCTCCACATCCTCACCAGCATTTGGTGTTTTCAGTGTTTTGGATTTTGGCCATTCTAATAGGTGTGTAATGACATGTCATTATTTTAATTTGCATTATTTTGATTTGCATTTAATTTGCATCGATGATATATGATGTTGAGCATCTTTTCAAATGCTTATTTGCCATCTGTATATCTTCTTTGGTGAAGTGTCTGCTAAGATCTTTGGCCCATTTTTTAATTGAGTTGTTTGTTTTTTTATTGTTCACTTTTAAGAGTTCTTTGTGTATTCTGGACAACAGTCCTTTATCAGTTATGTCTTTTGCAAATATTTTCTCTCAGTCTGTGGATTGCCTTTTTGTTCTCTTGATAGTGTCTTTTGCAGAGCAGAAATATTAAATTTTAATAAAGTCTAGGTTATCAATTATTTCTTTCATGGATTATACTTTTGGTGTCATATATAAAAAGTCATTGCCAAACCCAGGATCAACTAGATTATCTCCTATGTTATCTTCTGGGGTTTTATAGTTTTGCATTTACATATTTGGAGTTAATTTTTGTGAAGGATATAAGGTCTGCATTTAGATTCTTTTTTTTTTTTTTTTTTTTTTGCTTGTGGATGTCCAGTTGTTCCAGCACCATTTGTTGAACAACTATCTTTTCTCCATTCTCTTGCCTTTTCTCTTTTGTCAAAGATTAGTTGGCTATATTTATGTGGGCCTATTTCTGGGCATTCTGTTCTGTTCTATTGATCTATTTGTCTATTTTTTCATAATACCATGCTGTCTTGATGACTGTAGCTTTATAATAAGTCTTGAAATTGGGTAATATCAGTCCTATAAATGTATTCTTTTGAGTTTTCTTTTTTTCAGTGTAGTATAACCAGATTTTTGTTTATTGACCTTATTTACACTGATTATATAGAGACTGAAATTCTACTCAAACAAATATATTAAAAGCTCTAGGTTTTTAGGGTATAGGAGATGTATTTTTTTCTGTAAACCCAAATTTCAAAAGAAAAAGAAAAACCAGCAGTCTATGAAGTTACTGAAATATCAGATTCTATTTTTGGCATGAGGACTATTCCTTACTAGAGGTAAAGCAGAAAAGAAATGGGAGAAAATTTTTGCAACCTACTCATCTGACAAAGGGCTAATATCCAGAATCTACAATGAACTCAGACAAATTTACAAGAAAAAAACAACCCCATCAAAAAGTTGAGTTTTCTTTTTAAACCAGAATGGTGTTGAGTTGCGTCAAATGTTATTTTGCATCTATTAAGATGATATTGATATTTTGGGCTATATAACTCTCTGATGAAAGGGGGTTGTCCTGTGCATTATAGAATGCTTAGTTTCATGCTTGACCTCTATCACTAGATGCCAGTAGTAATCCAATTGTGACAACCAAAAATATTCTGACATTGCTAAATTCCCCTGCAGGGCAAAATCACCCGTGGTTGAGAATCATTGCTTTAATACATCACTATGAAGTTTAAAAAGTATGTTTCAATCTATTTTATACTCCTCCTTCATTAGTTGGAGCTTAATTGCTCTGTCTTGAGTGTGGACTGGCTTAGTAACTACCTCTAGTTGGTAGAGTGTGGTGGAAGTAACTGTGTGACACTTCCAAGACTAAATTATAAAGGGCATTATGGTTTTCTCCTAGCTATCACTCCGGGGGAAGCCAGGTGCCATCTTGTAAGTACACTCAAGTTGTCCTAAGGACAGATCCACATGGTGAGGAATGAAGGCCTGCTGCCAGTAACTAGCACTGACCTGCCAGGTGTGTGAGTGAGCCATCCTGTAAGCAGATCTTCCAAGCACAGTCAAGCATTAAGATAACTACAGCCTCTAACATTATCTTGACTGCAATGTCGTGAGAGATGCTGAGCCAGAATCATCCAGTTAAGCTACTCCTAAATCCTGACCCATAGAAACTGTGTGAGATGATAAATATTCATTGTTGTAAGCCACGAAAGGTTTGGAGTAATATGTTGTGCAGCAGTAGATAACTAATACACTTACACTGACTGATTGTCAAATATTAAACCAACTTTGCATTACTGGGACAAACCCCACTCAGTCATGGTGGGAGTTTTAATCCTTTTGTACAAAAAGGATTAAATATATGTGTATGTATATGTATATGTATATGTATATTATGATATATAGTTGATTTTAAGTCTCCTATATTGGTATTTATTTTCTTTTTGCCTTATTTATTCTGCTTTCCTCTATTTTTTCCCTTCCTTCCTTTGGGCAAATTGTGTGTGTGTGTGTGTGTGTGTGTGTGTGTGTGTGTGTGTGTGTGTGTCTTGTATTTGATTTTATCTCCTATATTGACATTTTAGCTGTACCTGATTTTATCTCCTATATTGACATTTTAGTTGTACCTGTTTATGTTCTTTTTAATGGCTGTTCTAGAGATTATAATACTTATCTTTAAGTTAGCACAGGTTACTTGCAAACAGTGATGTAGAAAATTACAACAGTATAATTTTATTTATGCCCCTCCTGCTATTCGTGCTCATATTATCTTATATTTTACTTTCATACATGGCTCAAATCCTATAACATATTGTTATTATTTTTGCTTTAAAAATGATATCCTTTTAAAGAAAAAATATAATATAAACAAGTCTTTTATACCTATCCAGATACTGACCACTTCTAGTGTTCTTTTATTCCTGCCAATCTAGTTCAATCTTGTATCATATCCTTTCAGTGTAAAAACCTTCTTTTGGCATTTGCAGCTTTAAATGTATCTGCTGGGGATGAAGTCTCTCAACTTATGACTACTAAGAAGTCTTTATTTTCCCTTGCTATTTGATGTATATTTTCACTGGATATGAAATTGTAGGTCAATGGCTTTTCAACCTGTTGTTCTTTTGTTTAAAGATCTCATTCTGTCGTCTTCTGGCCCCCATTTCCTGCTAGGTCAGCCGTCATTGGATTGTTGCTCCTCTGTATGTAATGTGTCTTTCTGCTCTGCATGTTTTAAAGATTTGCCTTTTATCTTTGGTTTTCAGCAATTTGCATATGATGTACCTAGAGGTGATTTTATTTGTATTTGTACTGCTTGGGTTTTAGTAAGAATTTTTGGCTTTGTGGGATTGATGGCTTCATCAGTTTTGGAAAGTTCATGGCCATTATCGCTTCAAATATTTATTCTGCTTTTTTTTCTCCTCTCCTCCTGGACTCCAGTGATATGTATTTTGGACATTTCATATTCTCCTTTGGATTCCATTTGCTTTATTCTGTCTTTTAATTTCACTCTTTTTCTCTTTGTGTTTCAGCTTTTATACTTTCTACTGCTCCATCTTCAAGTTCATGATAATTTCTTGTGCTGTGTTCAATCCATTGTTAGGTTCATCTAATGAATTACTTATTTCTAATTTTACAGGTTTCATTTCTAGCACATGCATTTGATTCTTCTTTGTTTTTTTTTCAAGAGTCTGCTAAAATTTCCCATTTATTCTCATATGCTACCCATCTTTTCCACTACATCTTTTAGCATCGTTTTCACAGCTATTTTAATGTCCCTATTTGATCATTTAATCGTCTGGGTCATCTTTAGTTCTGCTTCTATTGACCATTTCCCCTCTTGACCATAAATCACATTTATTGCTTTTTCATATGTCTTGTTATCTTCAGTTATAGAAAAAGCATTTTGTATTAAAGAACTTAGAGATTAAAAAAATACTATTTCTGTTAGGCTGCTAGTGTGGGGGCTGACTTAATTGGATTTGAAATTAAGCAGGGTTTGGGCTGTGTTATAGCCTTCCCTTGATTTAGTTCACTATTGGCTTCAAATTATTTGAGGGCAAGATCATTAATTTCCTTTCAGCATAGGTTAAATCATTGGCCATGTGCTTGAATTCAATCTCCAGCCCTCATCCTTCTCCAGAGGTCAGGCTGGCCCAAAGTTCTGACCCTCTTTGTGGTGACCAGCCACTAACTTGAAGCTATCTAGGAGCCTACCGGGAGTCAATTCAGTAGCATTCCAAAGACAGCTCTATCACTGAGAAATACCTAGGGTTTTTGAAACTCTGCCAAGAAGCCAGGCCAAAGACCTGATATATTCTCCATTGCACTACAAATTTTCTCTCAGCTTTCCTGCTCATACCTGCCCTTCTGAGGGGGACTTGCACTAGGGGAGCGATCCCGGCCTCATGTACCTTATTATAGACCCCTCTTTGCTCTTCTCTGGCCTCATTCACTGTTTTGGGTGTGTTACCCCCAACACTTGCTGAAGACTCACAGGGTAGGAGATAGTGAGTGAGTATACATTCACTCTGTAAGTAGTGCTCTTCAGGTTTCTAATCAGTCATGCCAGTCCAAACACCGGTGTTATAAGTTTGTTAAAAGTTCAGCTGATTTCTCCTTACTTATTTCTATGGAAGATTACTTTTTCCTTCACAGTTCCACCAACTATGGAGGAACTCTGTGTTTTTTCTCTCCTGTGAAGGGCTCATCACTTTCCAGAGTTTAGTTCATTTACATTTCTTTGTGTTCATGCTCTCTGTTGAGTTTTTTAAAACTAAGATATTTTAGCTTTTATTATATATACACACACGTGCTGTATATATGTGCCACACACACACACACACACACACACACACAGAGGCTCGGGGAAGTTTGTTAGTAATGGTCTTTTGATAACTTTCCACATCTGAACACAGCCTGTTCACTTTTACAAGGAATAAACTAGGAGTAGTTAATTTTTTTTTTTTTTTTTTAGGCAGAGTCTTGCTCTGTCACCCAGGCTGGAGTGCAGTGGCGCAATCTCGGCTCACTGCAAGCCCGGCCTCCCAGGTTCACGCCATTCTCCTGCCTCAGCCTCCCGAGTAGCTGGGACTACAGGCGCCCACCGCACCTGGCTAATTTTTTGTATTTTTAGTAGAGACTGGGTTTCACCATGTTAGCCAGGATGGTCTCGATCTCCTGATCTCATGATCCTCCCATCTTTGGCCTCCCAAAGTGCTGGGAATTACAGGCATAAGCCACCGCGCCCGGCCAAAAATTTTTTAAGTGGAAATTGCATTTATTTTAACTTTATTTTATTCAATACATGATAAGGCCTCTTTTGAGTAGCTCTTAACTCTTTAGAGACCCCTTTAATGGCTCCCTTCTTTGGATCTCTATACACACCATTCATTTTGTCTCAGCAATAGCAAACATCAGGCATGCAATTTGCATTCTGGCACTGTAGACTACCGCTATCCACACACACACACACACACACACACACACACACACACACACACACGGCAGCCAGGGCAGAAATTGCTAATCCATCTGTAAGCATTCTTTCTTGTTGAGACTGGATGAGTCCTCCCTATCCTCAACACAATGTACCAGGCAATAAATTTGATTTGGTCCATAGGAGTAGATGTATTTGTCACCCTGGTTTCAACTCAGAGATGGTTTTCCCCCAAGTTGAGTACTTGGGTGTGCTCCAAGAAAAGGTTTGTAATGTGGGGCATCCATAGGTTGTAGGTTACTTTCACAACTAGACATTTCAAAGAGGATCAGTGGATATGGAGTTCAAAACAAAATGAAAATGAATTTGTAGACACTAGGGTGAAATGATCTGAGAGGAGTTTGTGCTGGTATCATGAAATGCACGTTGAGAGCTGGAGAATATGAGCCTAATCTTGGCCTTTCAGGTTGTAGTATTCTTATCTGCACAGTTAGTGGGTGGGAATGGGAGCAGCAAGACCCCTTATGCTACATATCTCTAGGTCCTTCCTGGCACTTGCATCAAATAATGGAGAACACTGTAATAAGATGACATTGCTAAGCTTCATTTTATTCCACTCTGTTAACCCCTATTCTCCCCATCACCATTCAAGCAGCAGCAAAGGTTTTGCATATATACTTCTCTATGAGACAAAGAAAATAGAGTCAAATTCTTGTAAATCTTCACTTATTAGCTGGAATGCTCCTGTAAAGAGAAGCTTTCTCTCACCTGCTATCTGGTCAGAGCTAGAGCTGTTACGGAAAAGACAGGATAAAAATGCTGAATTCTTTCCTTCTATTTAAAATGCTTGATTCTTTCTATTTGCCAGTTTTCAAAGTAACAAGTTGATTGCATCTCTAGCATCTTCCTACAGTTGTTACTTTTTTTTAAAGCTTCATTGTGAACTTCTGAATTTTAACGCATTCAATTTTTATATGTGGATATAAAAATATGGATGTAGCCGGGTGCAGTGGCTTGTAGCCGGGTGCAGTGGCTCAGACCTTTAATCCCAGCACTTTGGGAGGCTGAGGTGGGCGGATTGCAAGGTCAGGAGTTCTAGACCAGCCTGGCCAATATGGTGAAACCCATCTCCAGTAGAAATACAAAAATTAGCCAGGCATGGTGGTGGGCGCCTGTAGTCCCAGCTACTCAGGAGGCTGAGACAGGAGAATTGCTTGAACCCGGGAGGCAGAAGTTGTAGTGAGCCAAGATCATGCCACTGCACTCCAGCCTGGGTGACAGAGCGAGACTGTGTCTCAAAAAAAAAAAAAAAAAAAAGGATGTACTTGATATTTCTATGGGTTCTTAGATCTCAAATACTAATTGTCAAGTAAAAACTCTCAATGCAAATTGATTTTTCTCTACTATCTAACACTAATAATAGCTACTGTTTACTGAATATTTTCTGTGGGTCAAGACCTATATGAAGATCTTTTTATGCATCATGTTATTTCATCTTTCTAAAAATCCTATGAGCTACAAATATTACTACTATTACTACAACTTGTTTTAAAGAGGAAGAAATGAAGGTTGAAGAGGATAAATCACCTGCCCAAGATCACAAGCAAATTGAAGTTGAACTGGAATTTTTAACTCTAAAACCAGATGTCTTAATCACAATTTAAGTTTCCAAGTCACTTGGTTGATGGCGAATTAGGGAATGATGGAGTTTGGATGAGAAATGTACCAATTGCTATATTAAGCTGACCATGGTGAGAAGGATACCTGGGAGCCAAGATGGAAAGGGGTGGGGGCTCAGCAGGGTTAGGCAGAAATGAGGATGAGGAGGACAGACCTGGTGCCAGTTCCAGGAGGTGAAGAAGGCTTGAGGCTGGGAGTGAGCTCATGGCTCTGAGGAGAGAGCTCGATGGGGCCGTTCCAATGAGACCTGGCAGTCCCGGCTCCAGTCCTCTCTGTCTGTCATGTACCTGCTGCATGGACCTTGGCAAATCTCCTGCATCTTTGAGCTTGTATCTTAAAAAATTTTTTTTTTATTTCCGTAGGGTTTTGGGGAAGAGGTGGTATTTAGTTACATGAATAAGTTCTTTAGCGGTGATTTGTGAGATTTTGGTGCACGCAGCACTCAAGCAGTATACACTGAACCCAATTTGTAGTCTTTTATCCCTCATCCCTTTCCCACCCTTTCCCCCCAAGTCTCAAAGGAATTGTATCTTTCTTATGCCTTTACATCCTCATAGCTTAGCTTCCACTTATGAGTGAGAACTACGATGTTTGATTTTCCATTCCTGAGTCACTTCACTTAGAATAATGTCTCTGATCTCATCTGGATTGCTGCAAATGCCATTAATTCATTCCTTTTTATGGCTGAGTAGTATTCCTTTGTGTGTGTGTGTGTGTGTGTGTGTGTGTGTGTGTGTGTATGTGTGTGTGTATATATATATATATATATATATATATATATATATATATATATATATATATATCACAGTTTCTTTATCCACTCATTGATTGATGGGCATTTGGGCTGGTTCCACATTTTTGCAGTTGTGAATTGTGCTGCTATAAATGTGTGTGAAAGTACCTTTTTCATATGCCTTGTTTTCCTCAGGTAGATACCCAGTGGTGGCATTGCTGGATCAATTGGTAGTTCCACTTTTTGTTCTTTAAGGAATCTCCACACCGAGCTTGTATCTTTATCCCTGCTTTACCTTCCCTGAAGTTGTTATGAGGGACAAATGAGGAATTGATGTGGCCAGGACCCACGACTCAATCATTTTACCTGTTGGAAATTATTACATGAAGATAAGAGAAGGGGAGAAGCTATGTGCTGATCAGTTTGGTTTCTCACCCACAGAGAGCTTTTTCATATCACTTTATGTCTCCTACTCTCACCTCAAGCCTCCCTAACACATCCCCCTCCACGCTGGCTACTGGCCAGCAGATGAACTCACCTTGTTCTTCACTGAGAAAATAGAGCTGATCCAGACAGAAACTGTCCCCTCCCCTATCCAATCCACCTGCATCTGTGCCTGTGCTCTGTGCCTGCCCGCCTAGTCTTGCTCCTATCAGAGGCCACCCCTCACCTGAGTTCTGGGTCCTGTTCCCTTCCTCCTCAAGGCCTTCTCTCCTGCAGTCACCCCACTCTGCTGGAGCATCCTAAGAATATTCAAACATGCTCTAGAACCTTCCATCTTGAGAAAGAGCCACAAAGGAGACTCAACCGACCACTCTCTCTGTCCCCATGGAAAGCATTCTCCTCCCATGCTCTCACACTATCTCATTCTGCTGGTTTTCTTCCCACCTGGCTGCGTGCGTCTATGCACTCTCCTCGGCTCCCTCTCTGCTACCTGCCCCCTAAATGATGAGGTGCCAGGGCCCTGGCCTGAACCTCCCTCTCTACCAACCTTCTCTTCATGGATGTAAGTGTTTTCTTTCTGCTCATAACATCTTGAGTGCACACCTTCCCTGGAGTTTCAGACCATTCACCTGGTGAACTCTATGAAATCTCCGCTCAGATGTTTAATAGGCCTCTGAAAATACACATGTCAAAAATATGACCCTCTGTTTTTCTGCCTTCCTGCCGCCAGTCAAACCTGTGCTTCCTCATCTCAGTGAGTGACATTGGGCAATCACTATTCATAGGGTTGCTCAGGCCAGAGTCTTGGAAATAATCTCTGATTCCTCCCATGTGTTCCTCCACCACATCCCATTGATTGGCAAGTTGTATTGGTTCAACTTCAAAGACATCTGCAGTCAGTCCATTCCTGCCATGCCCCCTTCACCCATCACCATCCAAGTCACCACCATCTCTCGCCGGTGTCCTGCTCCCAGCCTTGCCCTTTTTACCATCGTTTTCCCACCCAGCAGCCAGAGACATCTGTTAAAAATATAAGCCGGCTCCTGGAAGCTGGCTGCTGTGGAAGGCAGCTTGGGTGAGAGCACTGAATGATGAGAGGCCACAAGCAGGGGCACCGAAGTGCATTCCCCCAATGAAAAGCTGACACTGACACCCCAGACCTGTGAGTGAGTCCATTGTGGATCCTGCACTCCTGTCGACCCTCCCCAGCTGACAACTGGTGGAGCTGAGATGAACCGTCCCACTGGGATCTGCTTGGATCCCTGACCCAGGGAGTCATGAACAACCAAATGGCTGCTGCTTCAGGCCACAGAGAAAAGTGTACAATAGATCCTGACCCTTTGCTCGTTATCCCTCATGAGTGATTTCCTGATGCACTTGTGTTAAAATCCTAATTCCATGCCATGCCTTGTAGGCCTTTGATAGTTCCTGCCTGCTGCTTTCCTCTTTTGCTCCATGCTGTGGTCATACAGCTGCTTTCTGTTCCTCGGTCTTGCCGCCTGCGTGCCTATCTCAGGGCCTTTGAACCTCCCCTTCTCTCAGCCTTTCTTGCAGCTCTTGGCATGTCTGGATTCTTTTTATTTTTCAAGACCCCACTCAGAGGCCATTTCTTCGAGAGGCTTTCTCTGATCACCCTAAACACTCAGAAACATCACCCTGTCTATTTTCTTCATAACACTTCCTACAGTCTGGAGCAATCTTATCTGTAGAATGCATGTGTTATCTGTCTCTCCCCTGCTCTCTTTGAGAGCAGGATTTGGTCTGTCTTGCACCTGCATCTTTGGGGGTCAACAGCTTGACATAATGTAGACCTCTAACAAACTGCAATAAACGTGTTATTGGGAAACAACTTAATAGGCAAATGATTATGTGTATTAGGGCAGCGCTTAAACTTCAGTAAGAATGTAGATTACCTGACAACCTCATTAAAATACAGATTCTGATTCTGTAATTCTGGGAGCTCTAGGGTGGGCCTGAGACTCTGCATTGCTCACAAGCACCCAAGTGATGCCAGTGCAGCTGGCCCATGGAGTACACTTTGAGCAAGCAAGGCAAGGCTGTTCGACCTTTGTATACCCACGGTGCTATTTAACAGTTGCACAAACGTATTTGTTTCAGCAGGAAGGGAAAATAACGACAGAATCCTTATCCTCTGTTCAAGTATCATTTCCAGGTATTTGCAATTGGTACCTTTATGACATCCAGGGATGTCTTTGGGGGCCACCTGTTTTTTTTTTAATTTTTAATTTTTATTTATTTATTTATTTGAGATGGAGTCTCGCTCTGTCGCCCAGGCTGGAGTGCAGTGGCGTGATCTCGGCTCACTGCAAGCTCCACCTCCCAGGTTCACGCCATTCTCCTGCCTCAGCCTCCGGAGTAGTTGGGACTATGGGCGCCTGCCACCACGCCCGGCTAATTTTTTTGTAGTAGAGACGGGATTTTACCGTGTTAGCCAGGATGGTCTCGATCTCCTGACTTCATGATTTGCCCGCCTCAGTCTCCCATAGTGCTGGGATTACAGGCGTCAGCCACCGCGCTCGGCCGGGGCCACCTGTTTTTTAAGTGTGTTGCATCTGTCTTTAAAAGCTAAGGCTGCTTATCCGAATTCAATCTCTGACTGCTTTCTGTGCCTTCAGGGATGGCTGCAGCTGCCCACTGAGTGGCCTGGAGCTTGCCGTGACACAGGGAAGGGACCATGCCTGCCTGAGGATCTGACTGATGTCCAGGGTTGATGTTAGCCTGGCGTGGGGGATCCCAGTCACTGATGGCCTGCAGTCATGTTCATGATTAGCTAATGTCTGTAAGACTTTGAGTCACCACTCACGGTGATTCAGAGTCCATTGTGTCCATCGGGTTTCCTCAAGCAGCGTTGCCATCTGGCCTCTGTCTGGGGATAATTTCTCTGTCCCTTGGTGCCAGAATTAGCCTGTCTCTTCCCTATAGGCAAGCAGAGTGATGCCCAGTGCATCCCAGGCATCGTGCCTTCCTTCGCCTCCTGGGTTGGACACCGTGACTTCGGCCGTCTCTCTGCCTCTAGCCTTAGCGTTCATGCATGCTCACTAGAACTGGAGGGGATGGCTGGCTCCCCAAATGAGGCCTCAGAAACAGGAGCTCAGGGTCATAGAGACGCTGAGAAGGCTGTCTTTGCTAGGGGCATGTTCTAGGGCTTGTTATCCCCAAATGCAACTCTGACACTCCCTCAACCAGCTCAGGTCTTGAGCTGGAAAATTTCTCATCAATTGTCTCCCCACATCCTTCCAACAGTGATGGCAAGATGGCCTTCCTGACACAGGAAGATGTAGCCAAGAGAGGTGGGTGGCTTGCTGAGGGCCCTGCAGCTGCTGAGTGGCTGAGCCAAGACTGCAGGGCATTGTCTGACCCACACTGCAGTCCAAAGCTGCTGTGGCTGCTTTATGGCAGATACCATCACAGAGGGTCCCTTAGGGAAGAAGGAACTGAGGCTCTTCTGCCGATCCTGGGCTTACTCAGGGGTTGGGGGAGATGGAGAGGGAAAGGCCAGCAGGATCAGGGAGGAGGCTTCTTTCTGGGGGAAGCACAGGATGCATTCTGTTGTGAGAGTTGCTCCTGCCCAGGTCAGCATTTTTCTTGGAGTGCTCTGTGGCCAGCCTCCCTAGACATTCTCCCATGGCATGGCCTTATACAGAGGTTCTGATTCGCACACTAGGAAATCCCACCTTTTCCCCAGTCTCTCTCCAAATTCACCTCAATGCTCCTTTCTGTTGGGTAAGCAGTTTCTGCATCTGTAGGTCTTGCTCACTTGAAATTATATGTAGATGTTAAATTTATAGCATCTCTACACGAATGCCTTGATCAGACCATTTCTGAGAGAGGCTGCCTTGGTCACTGTGGAAGGTGGAAGGTGAAGAAGGAGGGATGTTGTTCCTGAGTTGTCATTCCCCTAAGGGCAAGGCTGATGAAGGCAGAAGAAAAGGGGCAATGTTCAGAGAAAATCAGGAGGTTGGCAGCTGGGCAAGGGCCCAACCCATGCCTCAAACAGAATGAGGAGCAAAGTAAAGTGAACATTTATTTATAGAGTTCTTACCACTTGCCCGGCACCATGCTGAGCACCTAGAATTTATTATTTCATCAATTTCTCAAAATGATACAGTGCAGAGGCTCAGAGAAGCTGGGAGACTTGGTCTCACAGCCAGTAAGTCTCAGAGCTGTGGTTCCATC
Source organism: Homo sapiens (assembly GCF_000001405.40). NCBI lineage: Eukaryota > Metazoa > Chordata > Mammalia > Primates > Hominidae > Homo > Homo sapiens. Next base: position 8,791,985 of record NC_000003.12, on the reverse strand, counting down.
TACTCAAAGCCCCACTGCCTTCATGGGAAGGAAGCCAAGGGGCAGAGTGAGGGAGGCCCAGTGATGAGAATAGGGCCTGAGGAGCCAGTTCTGGAGCTTTGGGTATAGATCTCAACCTTTGTTAGTGCCTGGCCCTCATGCTTTGCTGAATGGAAGACAGACTCTTTCTTTCTTCCTTCCTTCCTCCCTTCCATTCCTTCATTCATTCAACTAACATATTGCCTACATGTTTACCAGTCCAGACAGTGCTGAAATGTATAAAGCAAAATGCTGTAGTTCCCTCACCTAACACCAGTCTAGCTGTTGGAGGTAACTCACCACTGTTAACAATGTGATATCTTCTCTATGATCATATAAGTAAATACCATTCGAAAACATTTTTTGTTTTTTTTTAAATTAAATTAAATTAAATTTTTAGAGATGGAGTCTTGCTCTGTCGCCCAGGCTGGAGTGCAATGGCACAATCTCGGCTCACTGCAACCTCTGCCTCCCAGGTTCAAGCGATTCTCCTGCCTCAGCCTCCCGAGAAGCCAGGACTAGAGGCGCACGCCACCACGCCTGGCTAACTTTTGTATTTTTAGTAGAGATGGAGTTTCACCATGTTGGCCAGGCTGGTCTTGAACTCCTGACTCAGGTGATCCACCTGCTTTGGCCTTCCATAGTGTTGGGATTACCGGTGTGAGCCACCATGCCCAGCTGATTTTTTGTTTTTGAAAAAAAAAAAAAAAAAGCCATACCGTACTCTCTATGCCATTTTTCAATGTGCTTTTCCCCATCACTATGGAGCATTTCCCATTCAGCCATAAGAATCCCTAAGGGGTAAACTCCTAAGGGGCAAGGCACAGCTGGATTGTCTGAGAGTCCTGGGAAAATGTGGAGAAAGTATCAAGGAAGCAAGGTTGAGGGGCACCAGGACTAGTTTCTATCCACCCAGGAAGGTGCCAGGACATCCTTGCATTTGGCAGTATCCCTGCCAGGCAAGTGCTGGTGGAGAGTCACCCTGTGGTCTCACCTTGGGGTTCTTCTTCCCCAGTTGTCACACCCAATTCCCTTCCTCTTCACCATTAGTCCAAAGCGTCATTCTCTCTCTAGCTGTGGTAGCTCTTAGCTGGTTACTCTGCTTACACTCTTGACCTGTGTGTAGATTGCAAATCATCCTAATTTTTTTTTTCACTATTGCCTGTCTTCTCATCCTTTGCAAGCATTTTTCAGCTGTCACGAAAAGGATGGAATGTATATCCCTACCCCTCAATTTTGTGTTTGATCATGTGACTTGTGCAAGAATTTGTGGCTCACTTTGACCAATGTAACAAGGCATATCCTTAAAATATTTGTTTTTCCTTAACCTCTGAAGCTTCTGCTGTCACCAGAAGAAGGACATGTCTACACACTAGCCTGCTGGTCCAAGGAAAAGGATCCAGCCAGGCTCAGCTTAGAGCAGTCCACCCTCAGCTAATTCACACATGCATAAGCTAAATAAATGCTTATTATTGCAGTGGTTCTCCAAGAATGGACTACAGACACCTTTCAAGGGGTCTGTGAGGTCAAAACTATTTTTAAACAATATAAATACATATAGGTCTTTTTCATAATGTTGACAAATACACTGATATTTAAAAAGCAATTGTGAACTGGATAAAAAAGATCCAACTACATGTTGTTTTCAAGAGACACACTTTAGATTCAAAGATAAAAGGTTGAAGGGAAAATGATGTAAAAAATATATCATGCAAATAGCAACCATGAGAAAGCCAGAGTGGCTATATTAATATCAGACAAATATATATATTTTTCAGAGATAAGGTTTACCTCTGTCATCCAGGCTGGAGTACAGTGGCATGATCATAGCTTACTGCAGCCTCTAACTCCTGGGCTCAAGCATTCCTCCACTTCAGTCTCCCGTAGCTGGGACTATAGGTATTTGACACCATGCCTGGTTAATTTTTTCATTTTTAAAGAAATGGGGCCTTGCTGTGTTGCCCTGGATGGTCTTGAATGCCTGGCCTCAAGAGATCTTTTTGCTTCAGCCTCCTGAGTTGCTAGGATTATAAGTGTAAGCCACTGCTCCTGGCTAACACAAATAGATTTTAAAACAAAAAATTATTAGAGATAGTGAGAGACATTTATAATGATGAAAGCGTAAATTCATCAGGAAAATATAACGATTATAAACATATATGCATCTAATAACAAAGCCCCAAAATAAATGAAACAAATTGAAGAGACAAATAGACAATTCAACAATTATAGTTGATGACTTTAATATCCCAGTTTGAACAACTAGGCAGAAGATCAATAAAGAGACAGAAGACTTGAACAACATTATAAACAAACTAGACCTAATAGGTATCTATAGAACACTCTACCCACCAGCAGAAGAATACACATTCTTCTCAAATGCACATGGAGCATTCTCCAAGATAGATCGTATGTTAGGTCATAAAACAAGTCTCAATAACTTTAAAAGGATGGAAATGACACAAAGTGTGTTCTGTGGACATAAGAGAGTAAAATTAGAAATCAATAGAGAAGAACATTTGGAAAATTCACAAATATGTGGAAACTTAAGAATATACTCCTAAATAGCCAATGGACCAAATAAAGAAATCCTAAAGATGAATCAAAAATACTTTGAAATGAACGAAAATGAAGACAAAAACATGTCATAATTTATGGGATGCAGACAAAGCAGTACTTAGAGGAAAATTTATAGTTGTAAATATGTATATTATAAAGAAAGACCTCAAATCAATAACATGTCCTTCCACCTTAAGATACTAGAAAAAGAAGAGTAAACTAAAACCAAGCAAGCTAAATAAAGGAAATAATAAAGATTAGAGTAGAAATTTATAAAATAGGGAATAAAATTCATAGAGAAAAATAAACAGAACCAAAAGTTAGGTTACTTGAAAAGATCAACAAAATTGACAAAACTTTAATTCGATTGACCAAGTTGAAAAGAAAGAGAAGTCTCAAATTATTAAAATCAGGAATAAAAGACTTCACAGACCTACTGACAGAAATTAAAAGGATCATAAGGGAATATGATGAACAACTGTATGACAATTAAGTTCAAAAAGTTAGATGAAATGAAAAAATTTCTAGAAGGACAAAAACTACCAAAACTGACTTAGAAGAAATAGAACATCTGAATAGACCTATAACAAATAAAGATATTAAATTAGTAAAAAAAATTTTAGTCAAAACTACTCACAAGGAGCTCAGTCCCAGAGGGCTTAACTGGTGAACATTTAAAGAATAATTAATATTGATTTTCCACAAACTTTTCCAAAAATAGAAGAGGAAAGAATACTTCCCAACAAATTCTATGAGGCCAACATTACTCTGATACTCAAACCAGACAAAGGTATCATATTAGAAGAAAATTACAGACCAATACCTCTCATAGGCAAAAATTCCTCCAGAAAATACTAACAAACTGAGTCCACAAACATAAAAAGCATTACATACCATGTTAAGTGGGATTTATTCCAGGAATGCAAGGTTTGTTTAACATCAGAAAATTAAACATTATAACATACCAACCCTATCAAGACATTTGACAAATTCAAAATCCTTTTATGATAAATATTCAACAAACTAGGAATATAGGGAACTTTCTTAATCTGATTAAGGGCATCTATAAAACACACACACACACGCGCGCACACACACACACACACCACACAAGCCACAGCTAACCTCATATTAATGGTGAATGATTGAATGCTTTCTTTCCTAAGATTGGGAACAAGATAAGGATATCTGCTCTTGCCACTTATATTCAATATTGTACTGGGAATTCTAGTCAGGGCAATTAGGCAGTAAAAAAAAAAAAGGGCATAAGACTGGAAAAAAAATAAAACTATCTCTATTTGAATGTGACATTATTTTGATATAGAAAATCCTAAGAAATTTACTAAAAATCTATTAGAATAAAAAAGTTAGTCAAGGTTACAGAACATAAGATCAATACATTAAATCAATTATATTTCTATATGCTTGCAATGAATAATCAGAAAATAAAAATAAGAAAACAATTCCTTTTCCATTAGCATCAAAAGAATGAAATACATAGGATTAATTTTTCCAAAAGAAGTGAAAAACTTGTATTCTGAAACATGTATAACATTGTTGAAATAAACTAAAGACCTAAATAATGAAAATACATCCATTTTGATAGATCAGAAGACTAACTATTGCTACGATGGGAATACTTCCCAAATTGATCTACAGATTTAATGCAATCTCTATCAAAATTCCAGCTGGCTTATTTTTCTGAAATTGACAAGCTGATTCTAAACTTCACATAAAAATGTAAAGCACCCAGGATAGCCAAAACAGTCTTAAGCAAAGTTGGAGGGCTCACACTTTCCAACTTCAAAACTAACTACAAAGCTACAGTAATCAAGACAATGTGATACTGGCATAAGAACAGACACATAGATCAATGAAATAGAATTGAGAGCCCAGAAATAAACCATGATAATTATGGTCAGTTGATTTTCTGCAAGGGTTTCAAGACCATTCAATGGAAAAAGAAGAATCCTTTCATCAAATGATGCTGGGAAAACTGGATATCCACATGCCAAAGAATGAATTTAAATCCCTACCTCATACCATATACAAAAAATTAACTGAAAATGCACCAAAAATCTAACTGTAAAAACAAAAACTATAAAACTCTTAAAAGAAATATGGTCATAAATCCTTGTTACTTTGGATCTGGCAATAGTTTTTTAGGTATGACACCAAAGGCACAAGCAACCAAAGGAAAAATAAATAAATTGAACTTTATTAAAATTAAAAACTTTTGTGCTTTAAAGAATACCATCAATAAAGTGAAAGGATAACCCACAAAATGGAAGAAAATATTAACAAGTCATATATCTGAAAGGGGCTTGTATTCAGAATATATAAAGAACTTTTACAATCCAATAATAAAAAGACAGACAACCCAATTAAAAAATGGGCAAAGGATGAATAGACATTTATTCAGAGAAGATATACAAATGGCCAATAAACACATAAAAGATGCTCAACATCATGAGCCATCAGGAAAATAAAAATCAAAACCACAATGAGATATCACTTCACATCCACTAAGATGGCTGTAATCAAAAAAGACAAGCGTCCACAAGGAGGTCGAGAAACTGAAACCCTTATACACTGTTAGGAGAAATGTAAAATGGTGCAGCCACTTTGCCAGTTCTTCAAAAGGTAAGACATAGAATTATCATATGACCCAATAGTACCGCTCTTAGGTATACACTCAATAAAAATAAAAGTATGTGTCCATCTACATAATGTATAAAATATATGTCCATATACATATTTTATGAAAGCTTGTTCATGAATGTTCATAGTAGCAGTATTCATTATAACCAAAAAGTGGAAATAGCCCAAATATCCACCAATTGATGAATGGATAAATAAAATATTATATATCCATGCAGTTGGATAGTGTTTGGCAATAAAAAGAAATGGAATCCTGACACATGGTACAACATGGATGAACTTTGAAAGCCTTATGCTTATGAAAAAGGCAGACACAAAAGGCCACATATTGTCTGATCCCATTTATATGAAATGCCCAGAATAGGCAAATCCATAAGAGACAGAAAGTAGATTAGTAGTTGCCTAGAGCTGAGAGGTTTGGAGAGAAATGGGGAGTGGTTGCTAATGGATATGAGGTTTCACCGTGAAGTGATAAAAATGTTCTAAAGTTGATCAACACAATGTTGATTGTGTTGATGGTTAGTGTATTAGTTTCACTCATGTGATGGCTTGAAATAACATAAATTTATTGTCTTATAGTTCTGAAATTGGAAATGCGTCTCACTGGGCTAAAATCAAGGTTTTGACAGAACTGCTTCCTTTTAGAGGCTCTGGGGGAAAATTTGTTTCCTTTCAGCTTCTAGGACTGTGCATTTCTTGGCTTGTGACTTGGCTTCCTCCATCTTCAAAGCCTGCAGTGTAGTACCTTCAGATCTCTCTGACTCCTTCACTGACTGCACTCCCACCCCCCTTTCAATTATAAGGATCCTTGTGATTACATGGGTCCCACCTATATAATCCAGGAAAATCTCTACCTGAGGTCAGGAGTTCGAGATCAGCCTGGACAACATGGTGAAACTGTATCTCTACAAAAAAAAAATACAAAAAATTAGCCACCACGCCCGGCTAATTTTTTGTATTTTTTTTTTTAGTAGAGATGGGGTTTCACCTTGTTGGCCAGGCTGATCTTGAACTCCTGACCTCAGGTAATCCACCCACCTCAGCCTCCCAAAGTGCTGGGATTATAGGTGTAAGTCACCATGCCCAGCTGACTCTGGTATTTTCTAGCTGTGTAAACTGAAACAAATTATTTAACTTTCCCCAGCCTCTGACTTCTTATCTATAGAATGAGGATAATAATAAAATTTATTTCCCAGAATTTAACTGAGATAGTTCGTGCAAAGGTCTCTGCACACAGTGAGCACTCAGTAATGATTGCCATGCTGCTACTGTTGGTAATTATTCCCTGAGTCTCAGTTTCCTTTCCTCAAGAATGGGGATAATGATTCCGCCTATGGACTTCATGGGGTTGTTTTTGAAGCTCTAACAAGCTAATAGACTGGAATGTGCTCTGAGGAGGAACAACAGCAGGACAAATGCAGGAGGTTGTTATGATTTGGCCTTCTTTTTAAAGGATGTTTGGCTTCCTGCAGACTCTGAATTATGCAGGCTCAGAGGAGCTTGGCACTGACTCTCAGTTCCCTGCTGCCTGGGGCCTCATTTGGATGTTAGTGGTGTCCATCCCTTCTCTAGACACACTGGGCAGCTGTTTGTGGGGACTACACAATGCCCAGCTGCCTTTAGGCCAGAGAGGCCCCTGGCACTGCAAACCCAGCCTGAGAGGGCAAGTCAAAGGTAAGGCTGGACAGGAAGGTCAGCAGCAGTCTTTGTGCTGCTTTCTGTCCCTGTGGAAGCCCTGGCAGGGAGAGGCTGTGCTGCTTCTGTTTCAGTTGGCCAGGCCACTTAATCATCTTTTAATTGAGTCTGAACTTGCTTTTCAGGAGCAAGGGCAATGTCTGTGGCAGCTCTGTGCATATGGGCAAGGTGGGTGTCTACCCGCTTCTCTTGATGCTAACAGTTAGTTAATTTAGATTAAAATCAAGATTCAGGATAAACCTAATTTAGGCCAAAATTAGTTCATTTATGTTAAGCATTCTCCCCGAAAGGCAATCTGGCATAGAAGAATGTCCTGGGTTTGGAACTAGCTGCACCTGGTTTTGAACCACCCCCTCTCCCACCTGCCTGGCCTAGGAATATTTTGCAGCCCAAGGTAGTCCCAGAGGTCCCTCTATCATTTCCCTCAGGAAAGAGAAATGCATTAAATCTTTAATAAGACAGTAGAAATAAATTAAGAATTTCTTTCCAGAATCCCAGATTCCAGGACAAGGGATGGGAAGAGAGAAGGGCTCCCTTGATTTCCCCCATCACATACTTCCCACTGTCCCTTCAAAAACATCTCATAGACATTTATTGAACATCTCTCTAGTGCGAAGTGCTTTTTATACACAATCTCAGTTAATCTTCACAACATCTGTTCAAGGAACATAGTCTCATCTTCTTGTTGCAGTTGATGGGATGGTTGGACATATTGTCGGTCCTCGGATTTTTGAGTACGTGGCAGGCATTGGTTCATTAGCTAACTCATTCACCATATGAATGGTGCACACACAATGTGCTCAGCATGGAGAATATGGTGAATACAATTAGACACAGCTTCCGCCCTTGGTGGCAGGCATTAATCAAAACTCCACACAAACATATGTAAAATCACACATTTGGAAGGTGCTAAGGAGAGGTCTATAGTATTACAAGAGACCCTGAAGGAGCTTGGAGGATGTGGTAGATTTGCTGGGATATGAGATATGATCAAGCCATAACTTGCCCATGGTTGTGTGGGCAGTGGCTGAAGCTTGGAGAACTTGAAGTGTGGTGTAAATAAAGGTCACCTGATCATATGGGACTGGCCCATGGACCATGTTAAAGCATTTGACCTTTACCCCCGGGGCAGGGAGAGGACATTAAACTACTTCCAACAGAAGGTGATGTTAGCACATGTGCCATTTTCAAAGGTAACCGGCTGCTGTGTGGAGAGAAGGAGGGAGACCAGAAGGGTTGCAGCTGTCCAGGGAGTGTATGTGGGTGGCAGCTTAGACTGCAGCAGTGACATGGAGATGGAGGGAGCAGATGACTTCAAGCAACATCTAGGATGTGAAATGGATAGTTCTTGAGGTGGGATAGATGGTGAGAAGAAAGCTCCTGGGCAGGATGGCTTCATGTAACCTGTGCATAGCATGGAGGCCACACTCAGAGGTCCCATGCTTGGTTTAATGCTCTTCCTCCCCTCTAGCTTTATTGAGATAAAATTTATAATTTATTGAGATATAATTGACAAAAAATTGTATATATTTAAGTTGTACAATGTGATGATTTGATGTGCATATATAATGAAATGATTATCACAATCAAGTTAATAACAAATCAATGACCTCACAGTTAACATTTTTTTGCATGTGGTAAGAATACTTAAGATCTATTCGTAGCAAATATCAAGTATGCAATACAGTATTATTAACTATAGTCACTATGCTATACATTAGATCTCCAGAACTCATTTGTCTTACAACTGAAAATGTACACTTTGACCAACCTCTCTCTATTGTCTCCCACTCTCACTCCCATGCCCTGGTAATCACCGTTCTACTGTCTGTTTCTATGAGTTTGCCTTTCTTCAATTTCACATATAAGAGAGTTCATACAGTATTTCTCTCTCTGTGCCTGGCTTATTTCACTTAGCATAATGTCTCCAGGTTCATCCATATTGTTGCAGGTGGCAGGATTTCCTTATTTTTTATGGCTGAATAATATTTATTGTATATATACACACCACATTTTCTTTATCCATTTACCCATTGATGGACACTTAGGTTGCTTCCATATCTTGGTTATTGCAAATAATATAGTAATAAACATGGGAGTGCAGATACCAAGATGCTGATTACCCAGAAGTGGGATTGCTGGATCATATAGCAGTTCTATTTTTAATTTTTTTGGGAACCTCCATTATGTTTTTCATAAGAGTTGTACCAACTTACATTTCCACCAACAGTGTACAGGGGTTCTCTTTTCTCTACATCCTTGCCAATACTTGTTATTGCTTGTCTTTTTGATAATAGCCATCCCAGCAGGTGTGAGGTGGTATCTCATTGTGGTTTTAATTTGCATTTTCCTGATGATTAGTGATGTTGAGAACCTTTTCATATACCTGTTGGTTATATGTATCTCTTTTTTTGGAAAAATGTCTATTCATGCCCTTTCCCCATTTTTAAATTGTGTGTGTGTGTGTGTGTGTGTGTGTGTGTGTGTGTTTGCTATTGAGTTGTAGGAGTTCCTTATATATTTAGGATGCTAACCCCTTATTATATATATGGCTTGGAAATATTTTCTCCTATTATGTAGGTTGCCTTTTCAATTTGTTGATTTTCTTTGCTGTGTGGAAGATTTTTTTAATTTGATGTAGTCCCACTTGTTTAGTTTTGCTTTTGTTGCCTGTGCTTTTAATGTCATATCCAAAAAAATCATTGTTCTGGTCAATATCAAGGAGCTTTTCTCCTATGATTTCTTCTGGCAATATATAGTTTCAAGTCTTTCATTTAAATCTTTAATCCATTTTGAGTTAATTTTTCTGCACAGTGTAAGGGTCAAATTTCATACTTTTGCATGTGGATATCCAGTTTTCCCAACACCATTTATTGGAAAGATTGTTTTTTCCACATTGTGTATTCTTGGTATCTTTATCAAAGATTAATTGAACATATATGTGTGAGCTCATTTCTGGGCTATCTATTCTGTTCCATTGGTCTATGTATTTTTTTAATGCAAGTACCATGTTTTTATGCCTGTTTTAATTACTAAAGCTTTGTGATATAGTTTGAAGTCATAAAGTGCAAAGCCTCTAGCTTCGTCTTTACTCAAGATTGTTTTGGCCATTTGGAGTCTTTTCTGACCCCATATGAATTTCAGAATTGTTTTTTCTGTTTCTGTTAAAATGCCTTTAGAATTTTGATAAGGATTGCTTTGAATCTGAGATCACTTTAGGTAATATAGGCATTTTAACAATATTAATTCGGATCTTTAATCTCCTTGGTTAAATTTATTCCTAAGTATTTTATTATTTTCAATGCTATTGTAAATGTTATTGTTTTCTTAATTTCTTTTTCTGATGGCTTGTTTTTAGTATATAGAAATGCAACTGATTTTTTGTATGTTGATTTTGTATCTGGCAACCTGACTGAATTCATTTATTAGTTCTAAAGGTTTTTTTTGGTGGTGCATTTGGGATTTTCTATATATAAGATCATGTCATATATAAAGAGATGATTTCACCCCTTCCTTTCTTACTTGGATGCCTTTTATTATTTCGTCTTGCCTGGTTGCTCCGGCAAGATCTTTTTTCTTCATGTATGCATATATATATATACAAACAAACTATATATATATTATTATATATGTATCTGTGTATTTATATATATACACACAAAGTATATATATCTCATTATATATGTATATCTCATTATATATGTGTAAGTATATTTGTATACAAACTATATATGTATATCTCATTATGTATAAGTACATATGTATACAAACTATATGTATATATAGTTTGCTTGTTTTTTGCTATTAACTTCCCTCTGAGAGCTGCTTTTCTTGCACTTCATAAGTTTTGGTATATTGTGTTTCTATGTTCATTTGTTCATTTGTCTCAAGATTTTTAAATATCTTTTTTGATTTATTATTTGACTCATCGGTTGTTTAGAAGTATGGTATTGGTTTCCATATATTTGCAAATTTTCCAATTTTCCTCCTGTTATCGATTTCTAGTTTTGTAGCATTATGGTCATAAAAGATACTTGATATAATTTCAACCTTCTTAAATTTGTTAAGACTTGTTTTGTGGACTAGTACATGGAGAATGTTTTTTTGTGTGCTTGAGAAAAATGTGTATTCTGCTGCTGTTGGATGGAATGCTCTGATGGTCCCAATGTGTCTATTAGGTCCGTTTGATCTATAGTTTTATTCAACTATGCTATTTCCTTATTAATTGTCTGTCTGTGTGATATATCCATGAATAAAACCGGGATATTGAAGTTCTCTCCTATTATTATATTGCTATTTTTCCCTTCACAGTTCTGTTAATATTTTCTCTATATATTTAGGTGCTCCAAGATTGAGTGCATATATATTTACAATTGCTATATTCTCTTGATGAACTGATCCCTTTGTAATTATATAGTTACTTTCCTTGTCTCTTGTAACTACATGACTGTTTTTGGTGAGATACAAGACATCTGACCCTCTCTTTCTGGAAGCTGCATTGTGTTTCCACTGGCCCTGCAGTTTGCAGAAGTTTCTGTTCTCATTTCTAGGCTATTTGCTCAGTACTTTCTGTCTTGCTTAGGACCAACACCCTTGGCTCCTAATCTGGAACATTGGGTAATACTGCTGGGGTGTGATGGATGTGTGGGCTTAGGGGCACATGGGGAAAACTCTCACTACCATGGATTTCTAGTGCTTTTGTCATTGGCACCCTGGTTCACTCAAATTGGGGTGGCTATGAGTGGACCTCAAGCTTTTTTGCTTGGGGTATAGAGAACAGACTCCAGCTTGGTCTACTGGGCCTGGTCATTTGATTCTAACCTATGGCCCCTGTACTCTTAGGCATTCTTATAGGCAGCTACATAATAGCTAGTATTTGTATAGGTACCCACTATGTGCCAGGCATCATGCATTGAATCAACTTGAACAACTGAGTGACATGGTATAATCATGTATTTTCCAAAATGGCACAACAATACTTTTGGTCTCAGATGCCTCCAATATCTTGCTTTTTTTCTCTCCAAGAGGCAGGGTCTATTTCTCCTCTTCCTGAAAACTGGTGGGTCTTTGTAACTGCTTTATTGAATAGAATATGGCAGAAGTAATGCAATATGACTTCTGAGGTTGTTACAAAAGGTGATATGGCTTTTTCTTGCCTCTTTCTTTCTCCCCATTTCTGTTTCTCTCTGTGTCTCCCTGTCTCTGACTTTCTCTGTCTTGGACTCTATCTCTTTCTCCCTCTCTCTCAATGCTTGCTTTTGAAAACCAGCCACTGTTTCCTGAGGGAGCCTAGGAACCCATGCCTAGGCATCTGACCCACAGCCCCAGCTAAGCTTCCAGTGACAGCCAGAATTGGCAGCTGACCCATTGCCCCAGCTAAGTTCCCAGTGACAGCCAGAGTTGACTGTGATCTATGTGGGATATCAGGCCTCACAATCTATAAGATGATTCGAGCCCTTGCCTTTCCATCGTTCCAGCTAATGTCTACTGGAGCACAGATGAGCTGTCCCTGCCAAGCCCTGCCCCAACTCACAGTTTCATGAGCAAAATAAGTTTGAAAACACTACACTTTAGGGCAACTTGCTATGTAGCCACAGTAACTGAAAACATGGGTATTACACAAATGGGAAACTCATTCCCATTTGTGAGTCAGGTTAATTGAGGCACAGTGAGATTGGCGCTGTCACTCAAGGTAATACTGTTAGTATGTGGTGGCATCCAGATTTAAATCCAAGTCTGCATGACTCCCCCATACAACGTTGATTCCAGGGCCTGTACATTTACCTGTGGTGAGCCTGCATGAGTCAATGCATCAACTCCTCCTCTGCTATCCTTGAACTTTAAGGGGTTCCACAAGGTAGGAATAAGGAGTCCCTAAGAAAAGCCAAGGCTTCAGGAATCAACCACTTCAAAGGAAGCAGAGAGAATGTCCACTCTCTAGCACCCTATTCCAGAGTTCCAGAAAGCACGGTTCTCAGAAAAAAAGCAACAGGCTAGGAGGAAAGGATAGGAGGGAGTCAGAGATCTGGCTGATCCCAGTTAGCCATGCAATCTTAGCAAATCTTGAGCCTCAGTTTCTCCATCTGTAAAGTGGACAAGGTATGAAATTTGATAGTTAGGGGGACAAGCTGGGGTGGGGATATCATTCCTAGTAGGGGGAATGGGCTGAGTGTGGGTGTGGAGATGGTGTGCACAGGAGTGTTGGGGTACCTGCTTGGGGAGCCAAGCCTGGTACAGGAAGATCAGCGTGGGTGGAAAGGAGGCAGATAGGGTGGGCCAGGGCCACAGAAGCAGCTGTGCAGTGGAATTGAGAAGAGTCTGCTAAGGACTGGGAGTACGGGTTTGTGCTGTGTTGGAGAGGCAGCTCAGTCACTGGGAGCTGAGTCAGCACCCTGAGGCTGCATTCATCCCAGAATCATCAAGTGTGAGATGAATCTTGTGTCCGTGTTCCTCGTGGTCCTAGTGTTTTAGCATGCTAGGGTCCCTGTCCTTCAGGTAGGGTGACAAGGTGTGCCTCGATCCCTTGGGAATCCTGGGCCAGCTCTTGGATGTCATGCACACAGGGAAGGTCTCCTCCACTTGTGACCATCCCAAGCACACCAGCTCTGGAGCCTTTGGCTGTTCTTTCCTTCTTTGGTGCATCTTTCCTGCAAGGAATTGTTGTTGGAGCTGGGCACCTTTAAGAAACTTTATGAAATGTCACAAACACCTTAAATGTGGAGAGAAAGTGCTGTGTACGAGGCAACCACAGGAAGAGCTGGGGGTATGAAAGCAACAGTTCTCTTGGTGGCCTTCGGATGTGGCTGCTCTGCTTACACCAGGACCCCAAAGAGCCGGTCCATCCTTCACGGGTGGGAAGCCTCCTCCTGGCTGGCTGTACATCTCGATTATCAAAGCTGTTATTTGTAAACACTCCAGCCAGCTGGTTGAAAACTCTGACAACACTTGAAGGGAATGCTCCCACTTCCCCAGCACCCTGGGGTGGCGTTGGGAGGCACATGCTCCACAGCTAAGAAAGAGCAAGAGGTGGAGGCTGGAGATACCCAGGCTGGTCTGTGGAGGCTTTCTGGAAACATACTCCTACTATCTAGAGATAATTGCTGTTAATTTGTTTGTAACATCCTTTTGAGACCATTCTCTGTGGGTGGATTTATAAATGGCATCATTCTATATACCCTGTTCTGTAGCCGCTTCCTCCTTCTTCTCTCTCTCTCTCTCACACACACAGACACACATACTTTCCTAGGTCAATTAGCAAAGATCCACCTTCTCATTTTTAATCTCTACCCAGTTTTTCGCGGGATGCACATAATAAACACTCCTGTTCTGCTTGTTCTACAATGTTTAACAGCCATCTGTATACATACCTCTTTGCATTTTTGCCCAATCATTTCCTCAAGTTACATCATTAGAAGGGTTAATTACTGTGTCAAAAGGCATGCACATTTTAAAGGCAATTTATATATATTGTTAAATTTCTTCCTTTGAAGGAGGCTACTCCAAAATGCATTCTTACCAGAAGTGTTTGAGAGCTTCAGATTCCTCCGGGGTATTCTCTTTTTCCATTTTCTCCAGTCTGTTAGGTGAAAAATGACATTTCAGTTGTTTAAAACTCACTCTTGGCAGAGTGCTTCTGCCTTTCCTGTACAGTGCATACTCATTCTTTCTCCTTGTATTTATTGAGTACCTACGATGTGCTGTACTGTGGTCAGCACTGGGGATGCTTCATCAGATGGTCCTTTCTGCTCTTATTGCTTTGCAGTGTGTGTTTTGCCTTCCAGACTTAGAGCATTATAGAAGGTTAGAGCTGTAAATGATCTTAGAGATTGTCTAATAACCTCATTTTAAGGAGGGGAAACTGAGGCCCAGGGAGATGTGGGGATTTGCCCATGGTCACACAGGGCGGCACATTCATGGTGGAATTCTAACTCCGAAGGCAGGGATTTGGGGCTTTCTACTTGTTTTGATTTTCTCACCCAGCATGGGAGCACTTGTTGGTCAAATTCAACTCTGAGCTAATAGCACAGCCTCCCTGTGCTACAATTCAGGGGACATTCCAATGGGCACAGAGTAGGTGCTTTAGAACTTATTTATTGAAAGAATGTTGGTGCATAACAGAACAGAAGAAATAGTACATTCTGTTAAATTGTGCTGAATATTCCAGGAAGAAAGGCAGGCTTCTGTGGGGTGCCCTTCTGGGATGAAATGCCTTTTTTTTTTTTTAAATGAAAAAGAAAAATGAGTGGGCTGTTGGAATTGGTGGAGGAGGAGAGATGGGCTGCCTAAGGCTTGAGACAATGTGTTTGGAGCCGTCAGGTCACTGGAATTTCCCTTAGGTGCCTTTCTCCTACCAGAGATGGCCTGATAGAAATGGGGCAGGAGCTAACGGGAGAAGAGAGCTTTGTTTTCTCTGAGCGTTCCTATCTGAACCTAGCCTGAACTCTTGAGTAATTCCCAGGGACTGTCTCATGCCATTGTTATTGTCTCTGCTCAGCTAGCTCCCTCTTTCCTTCTACTTCATCAAAAAGTCTTTCTAGCTTGTCTCTTGAGAACATTTTCAATGCTGCCCTGGCCTTTTATGACGCAGGAGGTAGCTGAGTCAATGGAAAGACCAGAGTTTGGTTCTGGCTTCACTTCTGATCACAGTGGGACCTTGGGCAAATCTCCTGTCTTTGCCATGTCGACCCTGGCACCACCCAATTCACACTTGTGCCCCTCTCCCCGGGTGCCCACAACAGCCTTTTTTTTTTTTTTGAGATGGGATCTTGCTCTGTTGCCCAGGCTGGAGGGCAGTGGCACAGTCTCGGCTCACTGCAACCTCCACCTATTGGGTTTGAGAGATTCTCCTGCCTCAGCCTCCCAAGTAGCTGGGACTACAGGCACGCACCACCACGCCCAGCTAAGTTTTGTATTTTTAGTAGAGATGGGGTTTCACCATGTTGGCCAGGATGGTCTCGATCTCCTGACCTCGTGATCCACCAACCTCAGCCTCCCAAAGTGCTGGGATTACAGGCATGAGCCACCATGCTGGCTCAACAGCCTTTTAATCCATCTCTTTGCAACTGCTTGCCTCCCTCCAATCTGTGCCCCTGCTAGTGCGAATGCATTATCACTCCTTCACTTAAAACCCCTCATGCCTCCCAGCCCTCTTAGAAGAGAGAGCAAAGTCCCTTACACTTCCACCAGATCCGTGTGGCCTGTCCCTGCTCCTCTTGTGCTTTGCTCCAGCCACGCTGACCTCCTTTACCAGCTGTGTGGCCTTGGGCAAATGCCTTCCCCTCTCTGAACCTCGGTTTCCTCATCTGTAAAACAGGCATTGTAATAATCCCAATCATTCTGTTTGTTATGAAGCTAACAACCACTTTTAAATGACTCTCAACTCTTTCAGGCTCTACTTCTCCAAAAGACGTTACATATTCCAAGGATCCTGCGTCTCAACAAACCCTTTCTTCTGCAAAAGAACAGCCTGCTTTTATTCCAAGCTCTGAGATTCCTTATAGGAAGCTGTTTCTCTCCAGTTATGCCATGTTATGCCTTAACCTGGGCCAACAGTGCCTACACACGGAGAATGCAATGGTTGAGGCCAATTCATTAACAGGGATTGTTTAGCCACATCCGTTGTTAATTGACAACATGTCTATGGAATTAGAAGCCTCGTGTTTATCTCTGTCATCGCTTTCTCTCGGGGAGAATGGCACACAGGGATCAACAACATCCTTTCTCACAAAGAGCCCTCCTTCAACTTGATTTTCATAAAAATACCATTCTAGGAAGCAGGGGTCTGAGTCTGGTGACTCATTTGCTAAGGGGTGTTCTTGGGTAATCCATCAGCCATTTTCTCAACACATTTTCATTCATAGGCATGCATGATAGGAAAATGATGGGCAAATATAGAAAGGACTGTGATATATGGGACTAATTCTAGGCACTTATAACTGGATTGGGAAGACTGAGCACATTCATACTGTAAATATAGTTTTTGGTCATGCTAGAGAGGTTCAGAAAATAATGATTTCTCAGTGGGCCAGGGTGGTCAGGAAAGGCCTCCCTGAAAGGTAAAGAGTCAGTATCCCCATCTCACCAGTTAGGGTTCAAAGGAGTTACTTTCCTTGCCTGGCACAGTGACATTCCCCCTACCTTCCAAGATGCAGTTTGTCTGATTAAATTGAAAATATTATGAACTCCATCCAGAAAGACTAATAAGATGGAGGTTGATTGGATCAGACACTATTTTCATGGAGTGGTCCTGGGGTCAGGATTGTCAGCATGGGAATAAAGATTTGATTGTATAGTTCTCTGCTGTTTGTGAAGCACTCTTCATGTGCATTAAGTTTGGTTTATACACACAGCCTCATGTGATCAGCACCTGGGGAAACCAAGTCTCAGAGAAGTTCAGTACCTTAGCCACGCTGACAAAACGTGGTAAAATCCAGATGCTAGCAAGCACTTACTGCTGCAGATTCAGAGCTCTCTCCAATAGGAAAGCACATTTTTCTCTCTTTCTCCACCCTGCATGGAACACAGGAATGAAAACAAAGGCTGGGAAGTCCAAAATCACACAGGCTAGAAGGAATCCGTGCAAGTTCTACCTATAAGCAGTGGCCTCCTGACACAGCATCCTGGCACGGCCTCAGGAACTTCCCAGGTCAGCCCATGTGCCCTGATGTGCCTGCATCCGCACAGAGCTATAAATGTAAGAAGATCAAGTGTGCCAGCAGCAGGCTGATTGCTACAATGTGTTCTCAGCCTTTATGCCTGAGAGCATGTCACTGACCCCCCTCCTGGAGCTAGGAGCCCAAGCAGAGGCTGAGAAGTTATTTGGGGGCAGGCTGGGGAGGCGGTGATGTTAGGGAGGGGGTAGGTTGGATGTGTTTATAGCTCATTTCCACTCTGACAATAGAGCAAAGGCCGCTTGGGCTTGGATCCATGTTGAAATAAATGTGCCAGGGCTGGAAAATTCCCAAGATGCTAAAACTCAGACCCAGTTCCCAGAGGCAGAAGTGGGTACAGGACAGGTCATTCTCTGGGCAGGATACCTTCCCCAGAGGGCCTGGTTCTGCCCATGGAGATGTTTATTTCTTCCCTCCTTTCCCCCTTCCTTTTATCCTTCTGTATTTAACAAATACCTGAAAGGTGCCTATTCTATAGTGACCTAGGCCTTTCGAAGTACAGGTATAGACAATATTGGCCCCACCTTTAAGATGCTTGGATACAAGAAAAAAACAACCCCATTAAAAAGTGGGCAAAGGACGTGAACAGACACTTCTCAAAAGAAGACATTTATGTGGCCAACAAACGTATGAAAGAAAGGTCAACATCACTGATCATTAGAGAAATGCAAATAAAAACCACAATAAGATACCATCTCATGCCAGTCAGAATGGTGATTATTAAGAAGTCAAGAAACAACTGATGCTGTAAAGGATCTGGAGAAATAGGAATGTTTTTACACTATTGGTGGTAATGCAAATTAGTTCAACCATTGTGGAAGATGGAGTGGCAATTCCTCAAAGACCTAGAACCAGAAAGACCATTTTACCCAGCAATCTCATTACTGGGTATATACCCAAAGGAATATAAATCATTCTATTGTAAAGATACCTGCACATGTATGTTCACTGCAGCACTATTCACTATAGCAAAGACATGAAATCAACCCAAATGCCCATCAATGATAGACTGGATAAAGAAAAAAATGTGAGATATATATATATATATCTATATCTATATAATCTATATATAGATATATATAGATTATATAGATATAGATATATATAGATTATATATATATAGATTATATAGATATATATAGATTATATAGATATAGATATATATAGATTATATATATATAGATATATATAGATTATATATATATAGATATATATAGATTATATATATATAGATATATATAGATATATATATATATAGATATATATAGATATATATGCCATGGAATACTATGCAGCCATAAAAAGGAACAAGATCATGTCCTTTGCAGGATGGATGGAGCTGGAAGCCATTAACCTCAGCAAACTAATACAGGAACAGAAAACCAAACACCACATGTTCTGACTTATAAGTGGGAGCTGAATGATGAGAACACAGACACAGGGAGGGGAACAATACACACTGGGGCCTGTCACGGGGGCAGAGGGAGGGAGAGCATCAGGAAAAATAGCTAATATGTGCTAAGCTTAATACCTAGGTGATGGGTTGATAGGTGCAGCAAACCACCATGGCACACATTTACCTATGTAACAAACCTGCACATACTGCACATGAACTCCAGAACTTAAAATAAAAAAAAAAAAAAGATGCCCGGATACTCAGACAGATGAAGACATTTGTAAATCAGGGATTGCTGAATCTCTGTCTGTGATGGTTCATTTTGTGTGTCAGCTTGGCTGGGCCATGGTGCCCAGATATTTGGTCAAATATTATTCGGGATGTTTCTGTGAGGGTATTTTTGGATGAGATTAACATCTGGAACAAAGTAGATCACCCACCATAACGTTGGTGGGCTTATCCAATCAGTTGAAGGTCTATATGGAACAAAAGACTGACCTCCCTGAGCAAGAAGGAATTCCGCAGCAGAGGACCTTTGGACTTGACCTGCAAAATCAGCTCTTCCCTGGGTCTCCAGCCTGTCAGCTCACTCTGAAGATTTTGGACTTGCCAGCCTCCATAACACATGAACCAATTCCTTAAATGAATCTCTTTCTCTACATATATACATCCCAATGGTTCTGTTTCTTTGGAAGACCGAAAGACACCCTGTAATGTCACATCTTTTGTCCATGCCTACAGCATCTCTTGCCTGGATCTCCAAGGCCTTCATAATGCCAGTATCTCCTTTCCCATCTTCCCTGTGGCTACCAGCATTCTCTCACCAAGCACAGATTTGAGTACGTTGTTTTGCTTGCAGTCCTTCCAGGCACCCCACCTTCCCCACCAATGCCTTCTAACCTCAGTCATCTTTACACTAGCACCTTCATGATTTTTGTTATATCAGACTTTCTCTTTGCTGACGTCAAAAGTAAGCAGAACTGAGAACTGAATTTCCTCCCTGTTATTCAGTATCACTCAATATTAAATTCACATTTAACACTATCAGAAAGTATTCCATCCCATATTTTGGGGAATGTTGGGTTACAGAATAAAACCCATTCTCCTTTACATGGCCTTGAAGTTCCTTTAGCATCAATAAGTACAGTTATCTCTTGGTATCCATGGGGGATTGGTTCCGGGAGCCTTCAAGGTACACAAATCCCTGATATAAAATGAAGCAGTATTTGCATATAACACGTGCATATCCTCTCACATACTTTAAGTCATCTCAAGATTACTTGTAACACCTAATGCAATGTCACTCGTCACTGCATTTGTGTGCATTCAGTGTTGTAGGTGGCACATGACAAATTCAATTTTTGCTTTTTGGAACTTTGAGGATTTTTTTTCCTGAATATTTTCAATCCATGATTGTTTGAATCCACTGAACTCACAGATACAGGGATATAGAGGGCCAACTGTATGTATTAAGTGCTGGCAATGTGCTAGGCACCAAGCAATTCATCTTTAGTCCTTCCTCCAAAACGCCAAAGTGATTCCCCTGCACCACTCTCTGAGAAGTATGCCTTTTTTCTTTGCTTCCTGGAGAACTCATTCTGGAGCTCTGAAATCCAGCTACCTCTTTGTAAAACGATCTCCCAAGTATTACCTCAGCCCCCAGCAGTCCTCACTTCTGTAACATCATTTATTGTTGTCACACTGCAAATATTAGGTTGATGCAAAAGTAATTGCAGTTTTTGCCATTATTTTTAATAGCAAAAACCACAATTACTTTTGCACCAATCTAATATGTGTTTTTCTCCCTGGCCGAAGCTCAAAGGTGAAGGAGCATGTCTTATTCATTGTTAGGAGTTTTCAAGGGGACCTCTCTATTTCCTGCCTGGTTTCTGCACACAATGAGAAATAAAACAAAAGACAGGAAATGGGGATCACACTATTACTGTTGTTGTTATTGTTGTTGTTTAGATTAAAACTAAGTTAGAGAATTTACCTTTTGCATGAGACTAAATAGCCCTGTTAGGTGAATCCAGAATTAGGCTGTCTCACGGGCTACGCGAGGACCACACAGGTAGGCAGGCTTCCCTACAAAGGGTAGAAGAGTCTGTCCTTGGTGAAGTGGCTCAGTAAACTTGCTCCCTAGAAAGCAGCTGTCTTCCAGGAGAAAGAAGGGCAGGCTTGGTTCTACAGGCCAGTGTTTTCCTTCTCACATTCACCGGTCAGGGGCTCATAGGGAAAAATCTGCCTTCATCCAGCCGTGGAGTGAGGCAGGGGTGTTTTACCTGCTAGGATTGAACCCTCAGATTGCACAGATTATACAGTTTCAGAAAACCAGAGGGACAGGACCTCAGACATTAGCTATCTTGACCAGTGCTCTCATTTTACATATGAGGAGACTGAGGCCCAAAGAGAAGGGGCTTGCCCAAGGTCACTTCATTCTCACCTGAGTCGTCTGTAACTTTAATCTGTAATTTTCGAGGCCGATAGGTACTATTGACTAATATTGATTAATACTGCCTGCCACCCCTTGGCAATGCTGTCAAGATTCCCAGCCCCATTCTGGAATGATTACTCAGCTAGAACCCTGGGATCCAGGTGCTGTAAGGTTGGCCCCTGGGATATCTCGGCATGGGGCTGTAATTGTGGATTAAGGAAACCCAGTCCTTGGCTAACTCAAGTCTCTCCACATAATAAAAAGACGGAGAAGTGAAATGTCAGGAGGAAATACACATTTAATGCATTTTAAAGAGCCCTGTTTATTTTTGAATCCTGGCCTTTTTTTCTGACTTAATTCTTGGCCACTGTAAATTACTTCAAAAAATGATTTTAGAATAGAGAAGGGGCAGGGAGGCTGAGAAGCTGTCTTTAACATTTTATCTTCCTTTGGCATCATTTAGAATTTTAATTCCGAAGCGCGACAAGGAGGCAGAAACGGCTCTTGGGCGCAGACAAGCAGAATCACTTTAAATGAAGACAGTGTTGTGCTTCAGAATTTCCTCTAAAACTACCGAAAAAATAACGCCTCTCCCAGCACTGCTTAGAATAGAGGCCATTTCTAATTCCTCATTAACGGGAATAGGAACAAAAGTATTCCAAAGCAAAGACTTATTTGAGTTCACTGCTAAAGCCGCTACATCAAGCTGGAGGTGTGGGGGGAGAGAAAAGCCTGAAAATTAACATCATTTTTGGGAAATAATCAGTTTAAATGCTTTTGTAACTTCATCACTATCTACCCGGGGAAGAACATTATTATTCAAGCCTCCTATGTGTCTCGGAGTCAAGAGCTTCTAAACCAAGAAAGGAAGAAACGGGCGGGTTATTGACGAGTTCCCTCCCTCTCGCAGTTTTAAACCACTGCAAAATAAACCCATTTGTTAAGGCTCTGGGACCAACGCTGGGCGAACCAGCTCCGCTCCGGAGGGGTCTGCGCGGCTGGCCTCGCCCGCCCCCTAGCGGACCCGTGCGATAGTGCAGCCTCAGCCCCAGCGCACAGCGCCGCATCCAGACGCTGTCCGCGCGCGCAGCCTGGGAGGCGCTCCTCGCTCGCCTCCTGTACCCATCCAGCGACCAGCCAGGCTGCGGCGAGGGGATTCCAACCGAGGCTCCAGTGAGAGACCTCAGCTTAGCATCACATTAGGTGCAGCCGGCAGGCCATCCCAACTCGGGCCGGGAGCGCACGCGTCACTGGGGCCGTCAGTCGCCGTGCAACTTCCCCGGGGGGAGTCAACTTTAGGTTCGCCTGCGGACTCGGTGCAGGTAGCTGGGTGCTAAGCAGGGGTGGACGGGATGGCTAGGGCCGGTGGAGCCATCGGGACCCGAGTGGAGGTGGTGGGGTGCCTCGCACTCCTTGTTCCTGGAGGAGCTCGGGGTGTTCCGAGAGATTGTAAAGTGACTTCTCGGGATTGAGACTCAGAGTCCTTGATTATCTGGGTCCAAAGCGCAAGTCAGGGGTTCCAGAACTTTCGAGGCTGCCGGGCTGGGGAGGAGCCCCGCGGGAGGTGTCTATGCCAGGGTCTGGGAACAGCGCTTGGGCATCTTGGGCTTTGAGGCAGGGGTTCCCCCAGCAGGGACTGCAGAACCGGGTTTCCACCGAAGCAGGTGCTGTGGAAGTTCAGGGAGTGACGGCCGACCGTCTTAGAAAAGGGGGTTAGACGGGGAAGGACCAGAGCTGGGGTTTCCCAGGCAAGTGGCTATTTGGGGATTTCCGGAGGAAGTACTTGAATTAATGTTTACTAGGAGAGGGGCTGGTTTGGGGGTCCCGCGGCAGGTGGATATGCTGAGGGTCGGAGCCTGGGGCGAGTAGGTAGTTTGGAGATTCCCTCGGGGAGGTGATTTGGTTTTAGATTCCCACTCCCGGAGGAACGTTGCTGATTTTGACCCTCCCTTCTCCCCCAGTGGAAGCCGCTGAACATCCCGAGGAACTGGCACGCTGGGGGCTCTGGGCTTGTGGCCGGTAGAGGATTCCCGCTCATTTGCAGTGGCTCAGAGGAGGTACCTCCAACGGGGATTTCTGGGGTGGCGGCTGAGCAACCCGAGGCCGGCGGTTGTGCCCTGTTGTTTCAGATGAGTTGGGTTCCTGGGAATGGGACAAGCACGCCCTACCCGCGTCGGAAGAGAAACGCGGCGGTCTCCTCACGGCCCTCCCGGTTTGTTTCAGGGTGGACCCAGCAGATCCGTCCGTGGAGTCTCCAGGAGTGGAGCCCCGGGCGCCCCTACACCCTCCGACACGCCGGATCCGGCCCAGCCGCGCCAAGCCGTAAAGGGCTCGAAGGCCGGGGCGCACCGCTGCCGCCAGGGTCATGGAGGGCGCGCTCGCAGCCAACTGGAGCGCCGAGGCAGCCAACGCCAGCGCCGCGCCGCCGGGGGCCGAGGGCAACCGCACCGCCGGACCCCCGCGGCGCAACGAGGCCCTGGCGCGCGTGGAGGTGGCGGTGCTGTGTCTCATCCTGCTCCTGGCGCTGAGCGGGAACGCGTGTGTGCTGCTGGCGCTGCGCACCACACGCCAGAAGCACTCGCGCCTCTTCTTCTTCATGAAGCACCTAAGCATCGCCGACCTGGTGGTGGCAGTGTTTCAGGTGCTGCCGCAGTTGCTGTGGGACATCACCTTCCGCTTCTACGGGCCCGACCTGCTGTGCCGCCTGGTCAAGTACTTGCAGGTGGTGGGCATGTTCGCCTCCACCTACCTGCTGCTGCTCATGTCCCTGGACCGCTGCCTGGCCATCTGCCAGCCGCTGCGCTCGCTGCGCCGCCGCACCGACCGCCTGGCAGTGCTCGCCACGTGGCTCGGCTGCCTGGTGGCCAGCGCGCCGCAGGTGCACATCTTCTCTCTGCGCGAGGTGGCTGACGGCGTCTTCGACTGCTGGGCCGTCTTCATCCAGCCCTGGGGACCCAAGGCCTACATCACATGGATCACGCTAGCTGTCTACATCGTGCCGGTCATCGTGCTCGCTGCCTGCTACGGCCTTATCAGCTTCAAGATCTGGCAGAACTTGCGGCTCAAGACCGCTGCAGCGGCGGCGGCCGAGGCGCCAGAGGGCGCGGCGGCTGGCGATGGGGGGCGCGTGGCCCTGGCGCGTGTCAGCAGCGTCAAGCTCATCTCCAAGGCCAAGATCCGCACGGTCAAGATGACTTTCATCATCGTGCTGGCCTTCATCGTGTGCTGGACGCCTTTCTTCTTCGTGCAGATGTGGAGCGTCTGGGATGCCAACGCGCCCAAGGAAGGTAGCCAGGGCTGGGAGACCCAGGAGGAGGGAGCCTGGTGGCTGGGGGAGGCCCTTATCTTGCTGCCTCAGAATGTCCAGGGGTCTGTGGACTTCCTGGGGGATAAGCGGGTTTGAAATCCCACAGAGTCACTGCTCTGTCATCCCTTGACCAAGTGACTTAGGGCAATTAACCTCCCTGAGCCTCCACTTTCTCTTCTGTAAGGTGGCAATAAGGATAAAAGTACCAACTGTCACCAGGCATAGGGGAATGCCACGAGAAAATGCAGTTAAAGTCCTTAGCACAGTCCTTGGGCTGCATATGGGCTGTATGGTTTACTGTGGTGGTGGAAACAGGTTCAAGGGACTCCATCTGCTTTCCCACGTGGTTAGGAGGAGGTGGTGGAGGTAAGTTTGGAACCCCTGGCCAAGCTCAAGCTCCTTCAACTTTAAGTTCACGTTAAGATGAACTTCCACTTTAAGTTCAAGAAATCCAGCTGAAGCCAAGAAGTCTGGTTTGGACAAGGACAGCCTTGCAGGAGTGGCAATTTGTCCAACCAAGCACCTAGTAGTTGAAGGGGGTGTTGGGGGGCAGAGGAGTCCAAGGGAGAGGTGAAGACAAATCCCTGAACTCCTCATCGAGTGGAGGTGATGAGTCTCCATGCAGAGAGGTGAGTACTGCAAGGAGTGGTGGGCAGGCTTAGGGAGGAGAGCGCCCAGGACTGAGACTTCACTTCCACTTGGAGGAAAGAGAAGAAAGCCTTGAGGGGGACATTCAAGTTTGAGGGGGAGGCTGGGTGATTTCTGTAGGTGGGGAATGTGCCTTCCAGGTAGGAGGACTGCTGAGGACAAGGCTGAAGGTGGGGCAATTGTCCATTCTTGGCCTGTGCCAGAAAGCTAAGAGGAGGGCATAGAAGAGGGCGACCTAGGGAGAAAGCTTGGAGGAACAGAGGCACCCTAGGGCTCTGGGGTTTGTGGCTGGTGCTGGGTGGCTGTCCCCAAGGCACAGAGCACCAGGCAGCTTCCTGTCACTCCCTGCCCCCCAACCCCTTTCCAGTAGCTCATTTGGAAAGACCAGGAGGGGGTGATTGCTGGTGGTGAATGATTTATAAGTTTTTGTTTGAAGGCAATCCCATAACGCGTGCTGGATGCTGGGGACTTCAAATGTTTGTAAAGAAAGACCAAAGGATTTGCTTTCACCCTTTCTGCACTCCAGACACTGCAAATGTCCCATTTCTGTGTGCAGTTACTACTGCTCCCAATAGTCTCAAATACATGCATCCTGGGAAGCCGAAATCTCAGTGCCAGCTGCTTTCATTCAGTTTGGTAACTTTGCTTTGGTCCTTTCTGAAAATCACAGACTCCAGGCTTTATGGAACCCTCCCAGTTAGCTCAGTGTTTGCTTTAGTGGCCAAGACACTGGTTATTCAATATTTACCGAACACCTGTGGCCCCTGGTAACAACTTACAGAGAGGGTTCTAGGGCCCCGAGAGGGGAAGGCACTTGCACCAGGTCACACAGCAAGTCAGAGGCACAGCTGACGTTTCCTATGCCAGGGTTCTTATGAAGGACACATGATGAGGGAGTGGGGTTGGGCAAAAGCCAGTAGTGGAAGTCTCTAAGTAAGGCCTTAGGCCTCACCTGTTTCCTGGGCAGATCTGAAGAAACCAGATCCAGGTCTTGAGGAGCTCGAACACCAACTATCAAGAAAGTGAAACCAGCACCCTTTGGAGTAGATACTGGAGAGATGTGGGGTCTAGTCCTCCTCCAGCCCTTACTAGCTTTGGGATGTTAGATGAGAGATCTCTTTATTCCCCTTGAGCCTTAGTCTTGCTTTTAGAATGAGGACATTTCAGCATTCAGTTAATTCATTCAACAGACATTCCACTCCTCTCTCCTTGGGGTCCCCTCGCCTCTCCCATTCATGTCTTGAGTCTCTGGTGATTTTTCTCCTTCCCTTTCCTCCCAGCTCCCTCCTCTATGGCTTCCTGCTTTTCAGCCCCCTCACTTGCACTCCTCTTCTCACTGTGTGTCCTCCCTAAAGAAGGAGAGTGTGTGGTCAACACGTCACACGTACCGTGAAGCGAAGTTTAGATCTTTTCTACACTTTAAAAGCACGTCAACAATTGATTTCTTTGTCTTAGAAGCAAAAGAGAGAGGAAAAAACAGACACACACAGATCCTGGCCAGAGTGGAGGTCATAGGCCTCTTGAGTGTTTGTGGTCCTCTGAGGATTTTCCTGGGGACCAGACCTTCAGTAGAGACGGGCTCCTGCTGAAGCCCAAGGGGCAGGGAAAGAAGAGGACTTTAAGAATTTCAGGTCCTACTTCCCTTTGCTTCTTTAGGAATTCACAGGGAAGGGTGGGTGTTGCATGAAAAACCCAGGGCTTCTCTTGGTCCTCCTCAGCATTCTGTCTCAGGTACTGAGAAGAATCCAAACACAGACCGGCAGGGATTCATGATGCTGCTGCAGCCGGGACCTCCCCGCTGCCCCAAGCACACAGCCAGGAGCAGGAGCCCAGTCCAGATGTGAGCACCTCATCAAACACAGAGGTGATGACGTGGACTCTGGCCACCACCAGCCTGGCCACATCATGCCTAGGCCTCGGGGATGCAGGGGTCAGAGTGGCTGTGAGCTCAGTTAGAACACCAGCCGTGTGTCCACTTGGCCTTAATTTGGATAATTGCAACTGGCAGGTGGAAATGGTGTCTGCATCACTTTGGAGATACCTCTCAATCCAGAGGCTACCAGCAAGTGTTAAGGAAGGAATAAAAGAGAACCACACTTGAGCTACTCAAGAGGTTATTATCGGAAAAGTGGAATTAATGCACAGCCCCACTTTCCTCTCCAAGAGGACAGAATTTAGATGCGGAAATATCTAGACCAGGGCCCCTTACTCCACTCATCACCTGAGGAGCCAGTACTGAAGCCTGTGGCTAACAGTGTGATGCCATCCAGGGATGCTTGCAGGTGGAGCAGGCTCACAGGGAGGCAGGAGAGGTGGGGCACACATGGGTCTGTTCCTGCTTTATCATGAAAACCCCAGGGAGGTAGGGGAGCTTAGCCAATGGCCACCCATCAAGGCTGCCAGAGTGGGTGGGGAATGTCACGCTTCTGGTGGCTGTAGATGTGGTGGCCCAGGGACCCGAAGTCCCTCTCTGCTTCAGCATTTGCTCTCTCTTTTCCATCTCTCCCTTGAGCAACTTCATTCCCTCATATGCCTTCACAAATACCAAGGGCTGCCTTTGTGGGTTTAAAGCTCACCTTGTTCCAAAAGTAATGTGCAGTGGTGGCCAAAAATTTAGGTGCCTCAACAAGATAAAATAGATATAAGGAAACTGGGATAAAGCAGGCAGTAGGGAGAAGAAAAGGAAAAAAAACTATTACAATAATAGTAATAATACTATTAATAATAATAGTCTCTCTGTGTATAGACAAGCTCTACACCTGGTTAGTTGTTATAAGAACCAAAGAGGAAAACTTTAAGTTTAAATATTTCCATGATTCCGAAGAAAGAGCCAATGGGAGCATCTGGGTAATTTGATGAGATCCATTCTTCAAAGCAGCCGGATGCCGTCGGGTGCTGACTTGGTGAGGCTGGTGAGACTGGATGCCCCATGCAGGGTTTGACAAGCCCTTTATATATCTTTCAGAATTAAATTCCAAAGCCAAAGATTCGGCACCAGCCTTTTCCCTTGAACCCAGTGGCATTTTCTATGCTGATTGCAGGGGCTCTGACCCTGGGGCAGTTCTGAGGGAGGAGATGAGGATGAGGAGGGAGTTTGGTAGAGTGGGGCTGTTTGCATTTCTAGGGTTGGTTGATGTTGATTGGGTGCGGTGGACAGGATTTGGGGTCTCTGTCTCTAGTCTTCTCCTTCCAGCCTCTCCCTGGTAAAACGCCCAGTCCAGTGTCCTTAAGCCAGTTGCTTTACCTGCTCTGAGCCTCCACCTCCTCCTCCATGTAATAAGGATAGCACGGCTCACTGCCTGGGGTTGATGTGAGGATTAAATGGTGTGACCTATGGCCCCTTCCTGATGGACAAGATGGGGATTCTTGTCTTGAGCCTGGGTGGAGGGAATGGGAGTGGACAGCAGGTGATGTGTCCGGGGAGGCTGGGAGGTGGGAGAGAAGCTTGTTAAGGCCGGAGAGGTGGACTATGAGCCCTATCACAGCAGGGACGCTGCTTGTCCTGTTCCCTACTTGTTAAGCCCAAGTCCAATGTGTGGGCTGTTTTGTGGCACAACTCCAGGGGATGCCTTTTACCCCAGGGGATGCCTGGCACAAGGCTGCACAGTCATTGATAGCTCAACCAGTGCTTGCCAAATACGTGGAAAATGGGAGCAGAGAGGTGAGTGAGACGGGGCAGGGATGGCCATGAAGAGCTGGACTCAGGAGGAATAGGGACTTTCTAAGCAGCTGTCTGAAACAGAACTGGCAACCTGGAAAAGAAAGGAGCGCCCCATCACTGGGGCAACCAAACATCTGTCAGGAGCGTTGGACTGGGAGGAAGGCTGACAGGCACAGGAGGCCTGGTTTGAACTGTTTCCCCATCTGTAGAATGAGCTTCCCAGCCCCTCCCTGTTTCTGTGGGACTGAGGATCCTCGGGCATGTCCCGTACACCTTTCCTTTCCATGAATGCTGTGCCCGAGGTGTGGGGGACCAGGCCCCTTGGAGGGGCTTTTTCTTGAGGTGACCCAGTGATGTGGAGAGCATGGTGGGCCGGCAGGAGAAGCTTGGACAGGATATTCACTCTGGGCCATGAAGAGTGCACAAGCTCGGCCCTTCTGGGTACAAATCACAATTAGATGGACAGTTAACTTCAGACACTTATATGATTAAGTAATTGTGTGTTCTTTTATGTTCTTAGCTAATGTTAATGTTTTCCCTTAGGGTTTCTGCCCTGTGGTGATTTCACTTCTTTTCCCCCCAAAGGTTTGATAAATAACAGCTAAAAAGACAAAAATCCAAAATCAAAAAACTCAAAAGCTAACCCCAAACCAGCCTCTTGGGTGAGGCCCTGCTACATCATGTTTCCATTTGATGGCTGTCTGTGTGGGTTTCGGGAGGGGTGAGGAGGGGAAGAGGGGTTGTGGAGGGCCTCGGATCAGGAGGAGATTAGCAGGTGCCCTGGCTGCATCACACTGTCTGTGGAGGCTGGGTGAGGTCTGTGGCCCCGGGCTGGCGTGTCTGGGTGTGACCTGAGGCACTGGCCCACCTGCTGACCTTACCACCTTGCCCTGGCAACTTTTGGAAGCAAAGGCAACCCCACAGGGCTCCCTCCCAGGGGCTGAAGCCGGACCCTGTACACCTGAGCCCACCTGCCAGAGCCCCCAGCCCCAGGAGACAGTAGTGGGAAGTAGCCAGTCCCCTTCTGGGACCTGGTCTTGTTGCCATCTGTGTCATTTGGGGCAATGTCTCTTGATGGCCTCTGGACCTCTGCCATTCCCATCTGAGCAATGGGGATAACGGCTCATAATGGAGCTTTGACACCCTCTCTGGACCTCAGCTTTGGTGAAGGGAGGAGTGGGATCAGTTGGTAACAGCAGCCACCACTGGCTGAGTGCCCACTGTGAGCAAGGCCTGTGCCCAGGCCATTTCTGCTCCTCACCCTAATGCAGCAAGGAAGGGGCCCATCATGGCTTTTCTACAGATGATGAAACTGAGGCTTAGAGAGGTGTGACCTGCCCACGATCACTGCTGAGTAAGTGATGGAGCTGGGATTGGAACCCAGCCATCTTACACTAGAGACTGACACACTGCATGACGACCCCAACCCCTGCCGCCCCAGGCCAGCAGTTTTCCCGATGATCTACACCTTCGACTTGGGGATCTCCTGGGCGCTTGTTAGATCGCTGGACCTGCCTCAGATCCATGGAAGCTGAACCCTCCCCCACTATCTGGCCCCAAGGTCCTGACATCTTGGGCTCTTCCTGCAACACCTACACACACACACACCGAGGTACACATCCGCTGATGGCACTGCCCTCCCAGCATTCTGGGTTCAGTGCCATGCCCCTCTCATCCTCCCTGTGTCCACCAGTTCTATAATCTCAGCTGTACCACATGCCTCAGGTTGGCACTTTGTTTCTCTTTCCATTTTCACCTTCTTGGTTTAGAGCACGATTTTTTCAACTTTGGCACTATTGACATTTTAGGCTGAACAGTCTTTGGCGTGTGTGTATGTGTGTCAGGGAGGAGCTGTTCTGTGCATGGTAGGATATTTAACAGCATTCCCGTCCTCCACGTGCTACGTGCCATTAGCAACCTCCCTGCCAGCTGTGGCCACCAAAACTGTCTCCAGACATTGCCAAAAGTTCACTAAGGGGCAAAGTCATCCCTGGTTAAGAACTGCTGGCTTAGACCCCTTGTTCTGCTTTTTAAACTAATACCTGGCAGTGAGTACTCTCTTGTTGCCCTGGTCTCTGGCCAGCCTGCCTTGTGTACCCCCAGCCAGGCCCGATGATTTGCCGCTTTCCACAAGTTCCTATGGCCTTGCTGTCTTTGCACCTTTGCTAATACTGTTCCTGCCATGGGAACGCCCACCCCAGTTTCTTCCACGGATTCCCATCCTTTGAAGCCCAAGTCCATTGTGTGGGCTGCTTTGTGGCACAACTCCAGGGGATGCCTTTTACCTCATGGTCTATGAACAGGGTGTTCCTAGGAGCTTTGCAGTGCACAGCCTGAACAGCTGAACATGGCAGCCTCATCCAGTGCCCCTTTCAGGAAACCATCCCTGTTTTCCCAGTTTGCGGGGCTTCTTCCTCTGAATGCTAAGTCATTCACTCCAAAAAACAGTTACTGATGCCTCTGCAGGCTCCTGTCCACACAACCTCTGCTTTCATCTGTCAACCCCCAAGTGAAGAGAGTTGGCAAGGGGCCCTCCCAAGCCCTCGCCCTCCTGCGGCCAGCTGCTGACATGCATAAATGTGGGACCGTGTGGTCAAGGTTGATCACAGAGTTCTGGGTACACCCACAGACCTCTGGGAGGGACACCCACAGTTTCTGCTGGGTTAGTGTCAGATGGAGCGGCAGTGCTGACTTCGGGTGTGGGGCTGAGCCTGCCCACAACTCAGGTTTCTGGGGTTCAGAATCTCAGGTTTCTGAAGTTCAGAATAGGACTTAGGTTGTATACAGGGTGGAATATCCTGCTGGTGCAAGTCAGTGTAGCTGATGGAGTGGGAGTCATTTTGGGTACAGGCCTAGCATTTTAGCAAAGGGGCTGCAGGTCCAGTTGGCGCATGGTGGCAAGTCCAAGGATGCTGGGAACAAGAGTATTGAAAGAG